>NC_000014.9:22111713-23361713 GCF_000001405.40 Homo sapiens
TTTTTCTAATTATATTAATGTCTTCCCTCATCACGCTGGCATGTGTAAAAGTAACATAGTGGGATGGCAGACATGATCTCTAAATTGGATAATTTACCAGGGAAATCAGGGTGACGAAAGAGAAATTTGTATTTCTTATCGTCTGTTTTGAGGTAATGCGTTGTCTAACAATAAATCACAAGTGTCTCCCACATTTATTAAAAAGTCTGTGACCTAATATGTCCCATTAAGGCACTTATAAGCATGTGCTACATGGCACAACATGATGCTTAGTGACAATGGAAGCGACAAAATGGAACTTTCTCTTTTCTTCGGATGCCCTAGTTTTAAATCACAGACTCCATTTTTAAGAGGCAAATTATTCCTCCTTGAACAATGTCACCATCAGTAAACTCTTTTCTTCCAATCCTTGACACACATACATACCACCTAAATTAGAAAGCAGCTTTATTAATAAAATAATCTGTTGTCAAATCAGCAATGTTTGAGTCCACCACAGGGGGGCAGCATCGGCAAACATAGACTCTCCTCTGAGAGGGTGGGCAAAATAGTGTGATTGGTTTTCTCAACTTGCAGTCACCTCTTTCCCTTTCTTTCCAAAATGCACACATCTACTTTCCAAAATAGACCGCAACTATTTCTATTGATCTGGAAGAAGCTTGTACCAGGCAACCCATTTAGGAGAAGTTGGATGAAGAGGGAGAGGGAGATGCTACTCATCACATCAATGTTGGTCTTATGGATGCAATTGTCACGTGAGTTTGAGACGTCCCTGACTGCTTCCAGAGAATAAATCCAACAGGATAGAGAAGTATCTGCAGGCAGGGAATGGACTTTCTGTTTGAGAAACAAGAGTTAAGACAAAGGGAGAGAAACAGAGAGAAAGAGACAGAATGGATAAAGGTTGAGGGAGATGGGAAGGGAGACGTGGACAGAAAGGGGAAAAAAGAAAAGAGGAGTGAGAGAGACCTGCGTAGCTCAGGAGCTAAATATCTAATCTGATTTTATGTGATGCTTCCCATTGTCTTTCTAAACAGAGGTGAATGGACAACAGGTAATGCAAATTCCTCAGTACCAGCATGTACAAGAAGGAGAGGACTTCACCACGTACTGCAATTCCTCAACTACTTTAAGCAATATACAGTGGTATAAGCAAAGGCCTGGTGGACATCCCGTTTTTTTGATACAGTTAGTGAAGAGTGGAGAAGTGAAGAAGCAGAAAAGACTGACATTTCAGTTTGGAGAAGCAAAAAAGAACAGCTCCCTGCACATCACAGCCACCCAGACTACAGATGTAGGAACCTACTTCTGTGCAGGGCACAGTGCTCCCCAAGCACCTGCTGCCTGTCTCCAAATCTTGCCCTGGGTCTTCAGGAGCAGATCATCCTACTCTCCCCAAAGAGCAGGCGCCAGAGAAAGCCAAAGTCACAATGTCTGTGAGGATCTCGAGCAACTCCTCCCCATGGCAGTAGGAATGCATGTAGAAATTCACTCTGTTAAGACCTGGAAGAGTTTAGCAGTTTTAGTTCCTAAAACTTAACTACCGGTTTTCTTCTACACAGGTGTCTCAAAGAATTCTAATTGTCTTAGGAAGAATCGGTGGATTTTAACGAATTGTGATACAGATATTTATATAAAAAGTCATCTTTCAGTGCAGTGGTCCCCAACATTTTTGGCATCAGGGACCGGTTTTGTTGAAGACAATTTTTCCACGGAGAGGGTGGGGTGATGGTTTCGGGATGAAACTGTTTACCTCAGATTATCAGGAATTAGTTAGATTATCTTAAGGAGCGAGCAGCCTAGATCCCTCGCATGCGCGGTTCGCAATAGGGTTCGGGCTCCTATGAGAATCTAATGCCACTGCTGATCTCACAGGAGGCGGAGCTCTGGCAGTAATGCTCACCTGCCGCTCACTTCCTGCTCTGCGGCCAGGTTCCTAACAGGCCACAGAATGGTACAGATTCCCTGCCGCCAGGGGTTTGGGACCCCTGTTTGGGTGGTAGCAGAGGTTTCCAAGCAGTTTCTTTAAGGTTTTAGCTCAATTGTATTGCGGAAGATTTGAAAATTAAACATTTTTCATTATGTACACAAAACTTAAAAGAAGTTTACGACCAACTCCCTGAAGAGTCACCTCTGTAGAACTCATCTGCTTCAATGCAACGCAGTCCAACATAGCATAAAGATTATGCAGGCGGTAACCACCTTTCCAGAGAACTGAGTGAAAAGAGCTCTTTTTAAAATGAGGAGTTTAGACGAAACTGGAAGGTGACCCATGAAGAGATTTAGGCATGGTCTCTTTTTCACTCTTCCAACTGCAATTATATTCGCCAAGCCCAGATGAAGCTGATGATTCAAGTTCCGTTAGCCATGTTCATTGGTCTAACTACGGGGAAAAGTCAGCCATAGATTTCAAAGTGTGTTCACTGACTTGACCAATTACTTTATTTCTCAGTACTTACAAAGATTTTTATCTTGGGAAAGAGAGGATAAAAATACAACTGTATTGGAGAGTTTAAACATTAAAATCAACTGAGATTGGTCAGCTAAATGGTCAAATAAAGTTTTTGCACCTTTTTAATAAAAAGTTTTGTAGCCATAAAATTATTGTGATGAAAATTTTGTAACATAGGAATTAAGTTAATTTATCAAATGAACAAAGTCAAATACAAAATAGTACTATGCCACTTATAAAACAAAATAACATATGTATATAGAAAAATATGGATGGGAGCACACGCATGTTTAGGTTAATTTCTAAGAGCACCGTAATTATTTAGTAGTTGTTTTCATCCATTATAACATTTCCAAGGCTATTTCAGAGTTGTGCCAAAAACAGTTATGTTAAAATTATTGTAAAAATTATTTTCTCCTCTTCTGTCATAGCCTTGGCCCTTTTGCACACGGATCCTCTCAAACTGACCTTTTTTTCGGGGGAGGGGAGGGGAAGGTGGGTCTTTCTCCCACAAAGTTTTCCTTCCTTTCTCTTTTTTTCTTTCATACGTTTTCTGTGTTTTTCTGCTACAATCATGCCAAAGTACAAAATAATACTAATTAACAAAATCACAAGCACTAGAAAACAGACATGAATTATAAAAGGCCTCATAAATAATTCTGGAAAGATCAAAAAGTGACCTTTACAGCCAGTAGGGGAGTGAATTCATCCATCAAAACAGCTGCCAGAGATGATTCACATCAGAAGTAAAAAAACAAAAAACAAAAAACAAAAACCACAAACACCACCTTACCAGTATAATTAGGATCTCGTTTTGATTCTTTACCAAATTTAAGGAGAGTATGGTCTGATATTTCTTGGTTTCCCTCACTGATTGTTTCTCTTTTCTTCCCAGTGTATCTTTTATTAAGCACACATGAGGGGCTGTCATCCTTTGATTCTCCAATATTTTCTGTCTGGGAGACCCCATGTACAGAAACAAGGGGTGGACTGACAGTTTCAATTTGACTCTAGTGTCAAATTGAAGTGTTTGGCTACTTCCTCCAAAATCTTTCTTCATAGGATTTTTTTTTTGAAGGTTTTCTCAAAGACTACACCTAACTACTGTACAAAAACACATCAGTAGAGTCTGCTTAAAAGACCTCCTTCAAGGTTTCAGTGAGCATAGATCGCACCACTGCACTCCAGCCTGGGTGACAGAGTGAGACTCCATCTCAAAATATAAAATGAAATAAAATAAAAATAAAAATAAAAATAAAATAAAAGACCTCCTTCAGAAGGCATTAATCATGTCTTTCTTCCTTTTTATCTCTCTTTCTTTCCTTCCTTCCTTCCTTCCTTTCTTTTTTTTCTTTCTTTTTTTTTGTCACATCCAATCTGTATCTCCATGCTGTCTAGAGTGATTAGAGTGATTCTCTATCCTTTACAGCAATGGGGCGCATTAGTCCACATCTCTGTTTTTCTTGCTCACTCACAGGAGATAAGATTAAAAACAGGTAAGGATAATATTGTTTTATGAAGCAGGTATTATAATTTCAAACTTATAAAGAAAGAAATTGAAACCTCAAGATATTAAGTAACTTACATCTACTCACTTATAAGAATGGATAAAGTTCAAATATATGAGAATATCAGTACTGGTTAGGCTACACATCAGCTGGAACTCTCATACATTGCTGATAGGAAAGAGAAATGATCAGCACTTTGTAAAACAGGTTGGCAGTTCTTACAAAGTTAAACTTCACTTACAATATGATTCATCAATCCCTCTCCTACGTATTTAGCCAAGAGAAATAAAAGTTATGTTCGCATAAAAATTTCCATGTGAATGTTTACAGAAGCTTAATTCATAATTACTAAAACCTGGGAACGATCAGATGTCCTTCACCTGGAGAATGGTTAAACACATTGTGGTTCATCCATATGATTGAGTACTACTCAGCAACAAAAAGAAATGAAATATTGACTCATGCAACAACATGGATGAATCTTCAACGTGTCTTGGTAAATAAAAGAAACTAAGTCTAAAGGACTACATATTGTGTGAGTTTATTTATATTATTAATACATATGGGTAGAAGCAAAACTATAAAGATAGGAAACAGATCAAAGGGTTGGTGAGAACTGTACCATAGACCTGTATACCGCAAAAAGTAAATCTTACTGTGTATAAATTTTTTAATAATTAGAATGTGAGTGGAACCCCAAAAGAAATAGAAAGTGTAACAAATGCTTCCAACAATATTATAGTGAATAATGTAAACACAGTGACACTGTCTTTAATGTGGAAGAAAATAACTAACCTAAATAATTTTTGAAAACAGTATTTTGAATAGATATTGTAAGACTAAAGGCAAAAGAATGGCACACAAATACCATTCTGTAGTTAATAAATTTGTTTCTCAAGGGGTATAGGCTAGCAATTCTTAAAGTAATTTATGTGAGCATTTGGATTGAACAAATGTGTATAAGTAAAATATATAATAGATCATAGATCATGAGAGCCAGATTTCTCACTGTTGGGAAAAGTAATAAATAATGAAGGGAGAAATCTATGCAGACCCAGTGGAGTTGAACTCATATTTTTTTAAACATTCATACATATAGGTTGATACATAAATAAAATTATTAGGAGACTTGAGTGCTTTCTGATGCCCAACAGCAAAGGACAAGCCTGTGGTTACTTTATTCAAATTGATTCAAAAGCCTGAAAGACTTTCAGCAAAGTAGATAAGAAATGTCTGGGAAACCTAGGTGGTCTTAATATTAGGAAAGATAACAGAATTTGTGTTGTCACCATATTTAGTTCTGTCAGCGTATCTCTTTGGTTTTTGTATTGAGGTATAATATGCATATAGTAAAGTGCATGAACATTCATCAAATGTTTGTGAACGTTTTAGTTATGCACTTACCTGTGTAATAATCCTCCACCAATCAAGATGCAGAATATTTCCACCAACCCAGAAATTATTTCATTCCTCTTTTCAATCAATACCCACCTCTAGAGATAACCACTATTTTGATTTCTATTGCCTTAGATTAGTTTTGCTTTCTCTTGAATTTCATATTAATGAAATCATGCATTACATTTTATATGTTTCTTATGTTGAATACTGTTCCATTGTATGAATATGTCATCTTGTTTATCTACTTCTCTGGTAATAGAAATTTGTGTTGTTTCCAGTTTGGGGCTATGATGAATACAACTGCTATAAATGTTCTTATGTAAGTCTTTTTGTGGACATGTGAAATTGTTGAACCTTCTTATATAACTTTTATTGTTGTAGTAGAATCTCTGGGTCATAGGACAGGCGTATCTTTAACCTTATTAGAAACTTCCAAGGCATTTTTGAGGTTATATCATTATGGAAAGGAGTTTCAATTCTCCATAACCTTGCTAGTACTTAATATTGTTGACATGTATTTTTAAACTTTTTAATTTTGAGATTATTATAAATTCACATATATTTTAAAAAATTAAGACAGATCATATGTATCCTTTACTCAGTTTACTCCAGTGGTGTAAAACTATAGTACAATATCACAACCAGGATATTGACGTTGACTCAGTCAAGGCACAGAACATTTCTATCACCGCGAGGATGCTTTCTATTGTCCTTTTGTAGCCATATTCATTTCCTCTCTGCTCCCATCCCCTCCTTCATCCCTAGGAACTATTAATCTGTCCTTCATTTGTATAATTTTGTAATTCCATATATGTTATATAAATGACCTTTGGGGATTGACTTTTTAAACTCAGCATACCGCTGTATTTTGTGTCTTGCCAAACTCGAGAAGTTTTTGGCTTTTACTTCTTTGATACTTTTTCAGCCCTGCCCCTTTTCCTTTTTAGTGCTCTGATGAAAGGAATGTTAGATATTTTGTTATAGTCCTGCAATTCCCTGAGGCTTGGTTCATTTTTTTAATCATTCTATTTTCCCTTTGTTATTCAGATTGAGTAATTTCTTCTGTTCTACCTTCCAGTTCACTAATAATTTTCTCTGTCCACTCCATTTTGCTATTGAGCCCATCTGGTGGACTTTCTATTTCAGCTACATTTTTAAGTTCTAAAATTTCCATTTTATATCTTGGTTCTTTTTTATGTATCTTACTTCTTTGCTGAGATTTCTATTTCCACCTGAAGCTTTCTGTTTCTTTATTTGTTTCCAGCATGTCTGTAGTTGCCCTTCGAAACATTTTCATCATGGCTGCTTTAATATCTTTGTCAGGTAATTTTACCATCGCTTTCATCTCAGGGTTGGCATCTATTGATCGTCTCTTTAAAATTCTGTTTGAGATCTTCTTGGTTCTGAGTATATTGAGTGATTTTTTTTATTGAAATCTGAACATTTGAGTATTGTGTTTGAAACTCTGGATCTTATTTAAAATTTTTGTTTTTCCTCCTTTTCTCTGATGCCACTCCAGCAGGGGAAGGGGAACACCGCCTTACTACCTGGTAGAGATAGAATCCAGGGTCCCCATTCAGCCTCATTGACATCAGAGGGCAGGGAGGATCGTCAAACTGCCAGGTGGGGGTTGGACTTCTGGGTCCCTATGTACAGATGAGTCTTGAAAAACATGAGGGTTTGGGGCACCAACCCCCAAGCATTCAAAAATTTGTATACAACTTTTGGCTCCCCCAAAACTTAACTACTGATAACCTACTGTTGACTAGAAGCCTTACTGATAACATAAAAAATCAATTAACACATATTTTATATGTTATATGTACTATATACCACATTCTTACAATAAAGTAAACTAGAGAAAAGTAAATGATTTTAAGAGAATCATAAGAAAGAAAAAAATATGTTTACAGTACCATACTGTATATAGCAGTTCTGTAAGTTTATGTAGTCTGTTCACAAGATGAATCATCTGTCTGAAATTGCAGGCAACTCCAATTGCAGCTGCAGCTTAATATCAAGCAATAAAGTTTTTTCTTGTAAGGTCATGACTTTTCTCTGCTTCTTGGGCGCACTTCCAGCATCACTAGTGGAATTTTGTATGGATTCCATGGTGTTATTCAAGGTTTACACTATTGCACTAAACACAGCAAAAAGTATGGGAGATCGGTGAGAGATGACTTTTTACTGCAATGCGCAAATGGCTAGAGAGATGAACTGCTCATGTGGAGAGAATTAGCATTGCATTTTAAGTAGGTATTCACAAACTTGAGCTCACTGCAACAGCAACAGAAGGTGGCTACAAAATTATTACAGTAGTATAGTATGTACTATAGTTAATTTTATGCAGTTGTGATTTAATACTGCATCTTTAAGTTTGTTTGCATTTCTCTGGACTCCAAGTGCCGCCACATACACTCTGTGTTTATGTGCTTAAGTTTTGATACATTTAAAATTTTTATAATAAATTTGTGTATGTTTTATGGTAGTAAGTGATAAAATAGACTAGTATTTACATGCATTTTACACATTCATGACATATCTTTTTCTTAATTTTATTGATATTTTTAGACTACGTTGTGTGTTTGCAAGTTTTTTTCAACTTTTTGCAAATCTCCAAAAATTTTTCCAATATATTTATTGAAAAAAAGTTCGCATATAGGTGGACCCATACAGGTCAAACTTGTTCAAGGGTCAACTGTAGTCTCCACTGTAATTTATTTTTCTTTCTTTATGGTTAGGGTTTTTTGTGCACTTTTAAAGATATTGCTGTCCACTTCTAATATAATACAGTTGTTCTCCTGTGTCTTCTTTTAAAACTTTATAGCTTCACCCTTCACATTTAGATGTCTGACCCATCTGGAATGTGTGTGTGTGTGTGTGTCTGTGTCTGTGTGTGTGTGTGTCTGTGTGTGTCTGTGTGTGTGTGTTTATATATGATTAAACAATTACTTTGGCATCTATATTGAAAAGACCATTTCTTCCCCACTGAACTGCATTGGCACCTTTGGAGAAAATCAAGTGATTACATATGTGTTCATCTATTTCTGGGCATGATTCTGTTAAATCATCTTTTTAACAATTCTCATACCAATAGACCATTTTCTCTTAATTATTGAAGTTTCACATAAGTCTTGAAATCTGGAAATGCAATTCCTCCAACTATCCCCCACCTTTTTCTTCAAGATTGTCTAGCTTGCTATAGGATTTAAATTTCCATAGAAATTGCAAAACAGATTCTCAAACTTCTACCACAACAAATTTCTAGTAATTTGATTCAAATTTGCTGAGTTTATGATCAGGTTGAGAAAATTGATAATTTAAATATGGATTCCTTAGATTTATAAATATAGCTCTTCATTTATTTAGGTCCTCTCTAATTCCTTTTATTAATGTTTTATAATTTTCATTTTAATGAACTTTCATATCCTTAATTAAATTCATTCATTTATTTCATTGTAAATGGCATTTTTATTTTATTTTCCAATTGTTTTTAGCTAGAATCTAGAAATACAATGGAATTTTTTATTCAATGACTGTGCAATTCATCCATTAGTTCTAGTAGTTTCTTTACAGATCCTTTTAAATTTTTTTATATTCAAATTATGTTATCTATGCAGAAGAAGAATTTTACTTATTCCTTTCCCAAATGTATGCATTTTATTTTCTTTCCTGACTTGATGCCAGTTATTCCAATGCGATAATAAATGGAAGTGTGATAATGTATCTTGTTCCTAACCTCAGAGAAAAAATGTTTAGTATTTTACCATTAATTACAATGTTAGCCTTGGATATTTTTATAGATACCTTTTATCAGATTAAGGACTCTTTTCTACATTTCTAGATTGTTGAGAGTATTCATCATGTGAGGGTATTGGCCTTGTATCAAATTCTCTTGTGTGTGTAAGTTTTGATAAATTTAAACTTTTAATAATAGATTTGTATATATTTTATGGTGGTAAATCATAAAGAAGTTAAAATAAGTTGAACTCATTATTTTGGTTTTTCATCAAGCAAAGGAGGAGAAAACCTTACCCATTATGATCTTAGAGATCATGTAATCTTCTAAAATGTAAGATACTCTGCGAATACTCAGTAGATTGGACAAATACATTTTTTATTCTTTAGAGCTATGCAAAATACTTAATGGTTTTTCAATACCATTAAAAAATCACCTGTTAGTGGCCTCAATTGTCTTCCAAAAAATAAAGGCGAACAAACCAAAAGCAAAAAAGGAAATTGCATTAATTACTTTTCTTCTGCCTTTGTTAATGTAACAACATGATATAGTCCTCCCTACTTTCAGTAATTGCTTGTTTCTTCTTATATTTTCGGCAGTACTGTCCTGTTAACTTACATCTTTGTGATCTGGTACAGAGTAGGCTCTTAGTGAATATTTTTTAAATGAATGGAATATTATTACTATGACTTTTACTCTATATCTTTGTAGCTTGATTTTTCACACCCGTGTTGGGGAAATTTATTGTCTATCATTGAATTTTTGCCTACAAATCTGACCCTGTGTTTACCCCATTGTAGTCTTTTGTTCAAATTCTATTCCAGAAAACTGAAAGAGTGCACAGACAATAATTTAAAGATTTGCTCAGCATAAGTTCTCTCAGTAAATTTGTCAGTTATGACTCATCTACGCATTCATGAAACAAGTAATTATTGAGTGCTTATTCTGTGCCAATATCTCTTTTTTTTTTTTTTTTTTGAGACAGAGTCTTGCTCTGTCGCCCAGGCTGGAGTGCAATGGCACAATCTCAGCTCACTGCAACCTCCGCCTCCCGGGTTCAAGCAATTCTCCTGCCTCAGCCTCCCAAGTAGCTGGGACAACAGGCACTTGCCACCATGCCCGGCTAATTTTTTGTATTTTTAGTAGAGACAGGGTTTCACCGTGTTAGCCAGGATGGTCTCAATCTCCTGACCTCATGATCCGCCCGCCTCGGCCTCCCAAAGTGCTGGGATTACAGGCGTGAGCCACCATGCCCGGCCGCCAATATCTCTTATAAACATTGAATAGTATGGGCTTTTGAACTAGCCTTTAATTATGGGAATATTAGAAACAAAAGAAAAATTAACTCCAAGTCAGCAATTGAGAATTATAATGGGAATATTATTGAAATAACAAAGTAATTTAAAAAATAGTTAAAACCTTTCTTGGAGTGTTAGAGGACTGATAAAACAAAGATGAGTACAGAGGTATTAAAACTAAGATACCTACCTTCAAACCTGATAAAAGAGTCAGAAGATTGCTGGCTGACTTTTTGCCTGATTATAGCTACACAGTTCATTCAGTCAGTCAGTCACAAGAGGGGGCTGCTTCACCTTAAAACTCAGGTTTCTTTCTTGCAGAAGGGACGCTAAGCTTATGTTTTCCACTAAAGTTCCACAGAAAACAGGAAAAAAAATGATACACTTTTATCCTCTTTAGACAAATTGTACTTTATGATCTCTTATTAAGTGTGTTATGGCTTCAAAAGTTCTGGGGCCCTTACACTGATGGACTAAGTCTTTTCAGAGCACCTCCCTTAACACTGCTTTCTCCAAGTTTCACTTCCCTAATCATCTCTTACCTCCCCTATTCCTTACACCTTTTTCTTCCTTTCCTTTACCTATTCTTACCACCGTCACCCCAAACTTCTTTGCTTTTCCTGGTCTCTTTTCTTTCCGCCTCAGTGTCCTTGGTGCACACAGTAGGCATAAGCACGGGCATAGAAATTAGGAAATGAACATGAAGGCCATGAGTTTAAGGAGGATGAGAGCCAGCACCATTTATGTCATTAGTCACTATATCAAGAACAGATATATTGAGAAATGGCTACTTAGACAACAGTCAACACATGATTCCAGGGACCTCTATAGAAAACCCGAGTTTGGGGAGACTTAGCTTTCAGTGTCAATGTTATCAATTTTTATTTTCCCCCTGAGCACATCACTTCCTACTTTTGAACTTCACTTCCGTTTTCTAGAATGTAGATGGGAATTTCCAACTCCTTACAACACAGAGCTCACTATAGGCTTCTGGGATTTAATGACACTTTCCACAAGCTCCATGGAGCAGAGGAAACTTTATTTGGTACATTGAGGAAGAAATGATGGAAGAAAAGGTCTGGATAGATACATCCTTATGATCAGTTTTCCTCATTCTGTGCCAGCCTCTTAGACTTTAAACCTCATAAATGATTTCAGTAGACACCCCCTGAGTTGAGGATGTCTGGTTGATATCCTCACCGTCTTCTCAGGAACATGACTAAACCTGGGGAGGAAGACATAGAAAAGCAACTGCTCTATCATTGGCTGACAAGATCCTGACAACAACACAATGAGAGCTGCACTCCTTGCAAGTCTTTACTAGTAGCTGTTGCTTCTGTTCTCTGGAAATTCTTTAAACCTAGAATCAGACACAAAAACTGAACTCTGGGTCCACAATCCTCATTTGTCCTTGAAGTATGAGGCTGGTGGCAAGAGTAACTGTGTTTCTGACCTTTGGTAAGTGCTCTGTGTCTACCTAGGGAGGGCTTCTGAGGACAAGGGACCCCGAAGGGTGGTTTGCCCTCTATGCTCCCTGTGCTTTATCCAGCATACTAGATATGACTGAGAACTGTTCTGTGCATTTGTCTAGGAAGTACATACATCTACATACCAGGCTAGATCATAACCATAATCCCAGAAGAGCCCTTGGCAGTATTCAGTTTTAAGAAATCTATGGGTTTACTAAATCAAGCTCCCATGGAATACAGCCTAGAGGGTCTCTGATTATTGGCATGTATCTTTGGTCTTTATAATTAACAGCAATGATATTTTTTGTGTTCTTGCAGGACATAAAAGTTTTGGAGTGTTAAGGGAGTGTTGTATCCTTGATCCATAGAATTGCATTGGTTTGAGAGTCAGGAGCTAATCTGATTTTCTTGACCCCTTAGGAACTATAATTGATGCTAAGACCACCCAGCCCACCTCCATGGATTGCGCTGAAGGAAGAGCTGCAAACCTGCCTTGTAATCACTCTACCATCAGTGGAAATGAGTATGTGTATTGGTATCGACAGATTCACTCCCAGGGGCCACAGTATATCATTCATGGTCTAAAAAACAATGAAACCAATGAAATGGCCTCTCTGATCATCACAGAAGACAGAAAGTCCAGCACCTTGATCCTGCCCCACGCTACGCTGAGAGACACTGCTGTGTACTATTGCATCGTCAGAGTCGCACACTGGGACAGATGGGGCTGCACCTGTGCAATATCTCCCTGGTGGCAAGTGAGGAGGAGGGTAGCATTCACCTAGAGCAAAATGTCGATAGGAGTCAAAAAGTAACAAGAAAAGAGGAAAAGGAAGGGAAGGAGAGAAGGAGGAAAATAGGTAAAGTAAATAAGGGAGATACGATGAAGGGTAAAAAGATAAGAATAAGAACTTTATTGTTGATGCGGCTGAGAAAAATGATAAAGAGGCTGTGAATCATAATTTGAACATAGCAATAAAATGAAGAGGGTTAAGAATTTTCAAGACTCTTCTTCATGTCAAAAAAAAATCATTTCAGTTTGTTAGTAAAAATGAATGGATAAGGAAAATCAAAATAATTCTGCTTGTCCCAAAGGCTTTTTTCGTCTGGATCCAGGGGCAAGTCCAAGCTTTGAAATGCATGCTGTTATAGTTGTTCCAATTACCAGAAACAAGTTGATGTTTCTGCAAGAAAAATCTGAAATGTTCTTTCTTACTAGTGCAGTAACATCAGTTACTAGAGCATGCATATTTGTGATGAAGGTTTTTCTTTTTGGAAAGAAACAAAAATCAAATGAATATTAATTTGTTTTTATTTTTCTTGAAGTCTTGAATCTTTAAATAGTCTTCATCACGTTTTATTTCCTAAGCAGCACACAAATCCATCTTACCATAAAAGACTCAGATAAAGCAAAAGTGAAAGACCTAGCTGCATTTCCTCATTCTTCCCTATCTCACAACACTCTTTTCAAAGAACACTAGCTTTGACAGTTTAAGGTATACCATGATAGCCAGTTTAATTTCAGTTATCTATGTTTGCATATAACTTTATGCAATCACACACAAACTTACATACATACACACAGTTTTGTCATGTAAATTGGATTTATTAGATTTTTTAACTTGCCATTTATTTTTCATTTAATAAATTGTCCTAGAGATCTTTCTATATCAATAGAGAAGTTCACTTTATTCTTTTTGGTGCTTATTTAGTACTTTGAGACATTCCATCATATAATTGCTTTTCTCTTGATGCATATTTGTTCCTATTGCCTCACTGTCATAAAGAACATTGTGTTCTACATCTTTACAGATTCACCTTAGTTTGTGTGTATGTGGAAGTGTTTATTTTAATGAGATTTCTGAAACTGAAATTACTATGTCAAAGGGAAGTTGCATTTAAAATTTTTGGAGAAAGTGGCAATTTGCCCTCCAAAGGATGTAACTACACTCCATATAATACATATATATGTATTATTATACACATAATGTATCCATTATAACTATTATATAATTAATAAATATAATACATATAATGTGTTAAATAGCTTCCAACCAACAGTAGGTGAAAGAACTCATTTTACATTTTTATAAAAATTGAATTGAGAATTACTAACGGCTTTTATTTTTATTTTACTTAATTATTCTATTTATTTATTTTGAGTCTGGGTCTCACTCTTGTCACCCAGGCTGGAGTGCAGTGGCCGGATCTCGGTTCACTGCAACCTTCACCTCCAAAACTCAAGCAATCCTCCCACCTCAGCCTCCTGACTAGCTGGGACTACAGGTACACACCATCACTCCTGGCTACTTTTTGTAGAGACAGGATCTTGCCATGTTGCCCAGTCTGGTCTCAAACTCCTGAGCTCAAGAGATCTGCCAGCCTTGGCCTCTCAGAGTGCTGGGATTATAGGTGTGAGCCACCGCACCCAGCCCAGTTTTTAATAATCCAAAGATATATTATCTTTAGTCATTTTCCTGATTCATAGTGTTTTTGAGCAACTTTTTTCTACATGTATTGGCACTTTTTCATTTGGCAATATGCTTATTCCTACCTTTTGAATATTTTTCTATTTAGTTGTCCTCTTTTCTCTTTTTATTCGTAAGAATTAGTTTCATGCCTTAAATAATACATTATTTGTATGAATATTTTATTCTAACATTACCTTTTTATTGCTTATTTCTAATATAATTTTAAATTTTTACATATTTTAACCTATCAAGTATTCCTTTCCTTTAGGCCTTGAAGGTCAATATCTTTACAGGAAATCCCTAAGTATATCACATATTTTAATATTTATTACCATTTGGTTGAGAATTATTTTGAGATGTATGTTACAGATTAGAAAACTGAGTCTCAAAGAGATTTAAAAACCTGCTAATATTCACAGTATTAATAAGTGAGCATCAAGTTTAAATTTATTTTTAAACCTGAGATTGTCTAACACTAAAATCTGAACACACATTGTTTAACCTCATCTTACTGGAAGCAATCATAAGAAGAAAACCCCAAAATAATGAATCAAATAAAGCATCAGTGGAATGGATTATAGTAGCCATCTAAGACACATGTTAGAGCAAAAGGTCCGGAATGTTAGGGTAGAAATTGCGAGTTATGAGTTGAGAAAGTCAATGGTCCTTAATCTTATAGAAAGGTAATGTTAGTACCCCAAACATTCAAATAGCAGCCAAAATGGGTGTTTTGATTGTGGAAGAACTCTAACGCATCCTCAGCTCTTTATTAGCCATATGTTTCCCAGGCAGAATGGATATTGAAGAAATTAGAACATAAAGCAAAGGAAGTAGGAAAGAGGAGTTTGATCCTGGATCTGAGTGGCTTCCAATTATTCTAGGAAACTTCACACAGATTGAGGAATTTTTCTGGTCCATAGAATGGGTAGATAAATGTAAATTACTATGATGATCATACTTGGAAATTGCTTTGATTCCATGAGTGAAAGATAAGGGAACAGATATCTACACACAAATCTTAGAAAGTGCACTGAGATGTGCTGGTAGCAGTTTCCAAAGATTGACATATCACTTTCAACGTCCTTACAGTCACTTTATTCACACTCCTTTTCTCTTTCACACAGTCTTTAATCTCATTTACCTTTTGTTTAACACCATCCTCTACTCTCCTGTATTTGAACACACAAATGTTTGAGGCCTGTATTTTTGGTTTTTATTCACTGAAGCATCCTCTGTATCTAGGACAGTGCCTGGCAAATAGTAAGTACTTAGAAAATATTTACTGAACAAATATATTTATTTATAATTGAAAATTTTTACTGGCAAATACTAAGGATGCAATAAAATACTAGGGACATGAGTTAGATTCGCTATGAGGATACATGAGCCATTCAGTGAGAAGCCCGAACTCATCAACTTTAAAGACCATTAATTTGAATCCCCTTTAGCCATTAACTCCCATAGCCACCATCTAGACAGGTCTTATGATAATGTTCTGCTCCACCTCTGAAATCTTACCTGCAGTCTAAAACCTCCCACCCTGAGATTCTCACCCTCAGTTACTCTCACTGTACTTGTTCTTTGACTATATTTGGTTATTTAGTCCCTTGACACCTTTCTTTTCTTTTTTTTTTTTTTATTTAACTTTTGTTTTAAGTTCAGGGGTATTGAACTTAAAATAGGTTTGTTATACAGGTAAACTTGTGTAGGTTTGTTATATAGGTAATTCTGTGTCATGGGGGTTTCTTATACAGATTATTTTGTCATCCAGGCATTAAACCTAGTACTTATTTGTTATTTTTCCTGATCCTATTCCTGCTCCCACCCTCCACCCTCAAGTAGGCCCCAGTGTGTGTTTTTCCCTCTTTGTGTCCATGAGTTCTCATCACTTCATTCCCACTTATAAAAGAGAATGTGCAGTATTTGGTTTTCTGTTCCTGTGTTAGTTTGCTGAGAATAATGGCCTCCAGTTCCACCCATGTTCCTGTAAAGGACATAATCTCATTTCTTTTTATGGCTGTGTAGGATTCCATGGTGTATATATTACCACATTTTCTTTATCCAGTCTTTGATGGGCATTTAGGTCGATTCCATGTCTTTGCTATTGTGCACAGTGCTGCACTGAACATACACATCCATGTGTCTTTATGATAGAATGACTTATATTCCTTTGAGTATATACCCAGAAATGGTATTGCTGGGTCAAATGGTATTTCTGTTTTTCAATCTTCAAGGAATTGGCATACTGTCTTCCACAGTGGTTGAACTAATTTACATTCCCACCAACAGTATATAAGTGTTCCTTTTTCTCTGCAACATTGCTAGCATCTGTTGTTTTTTGACTTTTTACTCATAGCCATTCTGACTGGTGTGAGATGGAATCTCTTTGTGGTTTTATTTTGCATTTCTCTAACGATCAGTGAAGTTGAGCTTTTTTTCGTATTATTGTTGACTGCATGTATAAGACATACATGTAAGACATACATGCAGCCAACAATAATAACTTCTTTTGAAAAGTGTCTGTTCGTGTCCTTTGCTCACTTTTTGTTGGGGTTTTTTCTTCTTGTAAATTTGTTTAAGTTCCTTATAGATGCTGAATATTAGACTTTTGTCTGATGCATAGTTCGCAAACATTTTCTTCCATTCTGTAGGTTGTCTGTTCACTCTGTAGATAGTTTCTTTTGCTGTTTAGAAGCTGTTTAGTTTAATTAGATCCCATTTGTCAATTTTTGCTTTTGTTGCAATTGCATTTAGTGTCTTCGTCATGAAATTTTTGCCCATTTCTATGTCCAGAATGGTATTGCTAAGTTGTCTTCTAAGGTTTTTATACTTTTGGGTTTTACATTTAAGTCTTTAATCCATCTTGACTTAGTTTTTGTAGACAGTGTAAGGAAGGGGTCCCATTTCAATCTTCTGATTTGTCTAGTCAGTTATCCCAACACCATTTGTTGAATAGGGAATCCTTTCCCCATTGCTTGTTTTTGTCAGCTTTGTCAAAGATCAGATAGTTGTAGATGGGCAGCCTTATTCCTGAGTTCCCTATTCTGTTCCATTGGTCTATGTGTATATTTTTGTACCAGTGCCATGCTGTTTTGGTTACTGTAGCCTTGTAGTATAGTTTGAAGGTGGGGCATATGATGCCTCCAGCTTTGTTCCCCTTTATTTTCACCTTATTTCTCAGAAGCTTCTTATCTTTTATTTTCTTACCTATAATGCTTATACTCTATTACCTGTTGCTTTCAATCTTTAGTCATTGACTATATTATTCTCATCCCAATTCTGCATCATAGCAGTGATCTAATTAATTCCCAATCATGAATCTGTATCTTCCTTATTGTAATGCATATCTTGTCTGATCAGAGTACACCGATGCGCAGATTGGTGTCATTAAAACATACTGTTACCAGCCGGGAGCAGGGGCTCATGCTTGTAATCCCAGCACTTTGGGAGGCCAAGGTGGGTGGATCACTTGAGGCCAGGAATTTGAGACCAGCCAGGCCAACACAGCAAAACCCTGTCTCTACTAAAAATACAAAAAAATTAGCCGGGCATGGTGGCACACATCTGTAATCCCAGCTATTCGGGAGGCTGAGGCAGGAGAATTGCTTGAACCTGGAAGACAGAGGTTGCAGTGAGCTGAGATCATGCCACTGCACTCCAGCCTAGACAACAGAGTGTGACTCTGTCTCAAATAAATAAATAAATAAATAAATAAATAAATAAATAAATGTTGTTACCTTCAAAATTAACTAGGCCCACAATGTTTCCAGGAAAGTATTCTTCTCTGTAATCACATCTCACTGCCATTTTCTAAAACTTCTCACATACCTCAGACTTCCTAACCCAGATCCTCCTCCATTCACTCTCTTGGGAGACATTTAATCTCTGTGTATAACAAGAAAAAAAATCCCATTAGAAGGTAATAGGTGTTTCACTTTCTACCTTCACACTCCAAAGTATCACTTAAATCTAAACTACTGTAATCCTTTTCTCCTTCATTTCAATAAAATTGAAAATAACTGTTTTTCCTCCTACCAAAACTTTGTCCTTCTACCCATAATCCACATTCCAATCCCATCTGTCTCCTCAAAACTTTGATCCATTGTTTATACATTCTTTCCAAAAGCATGTAAATATACCCTAATTTGTATAAACCCTACCATTACCTCTTCAACATCCTCATCCAGTTAACACCATGACTCTTTTCTCCTCTTTAGAGGATCCAGCAACCTCTAGAAGGAGATTTCTATATTCAAATTTTTTCTTCCTTGTCTCATCACAATGCCTCTTCCCATAGCAGTTGACCTTTTGCTGAAAAGACCAAAATCATGATTTTTGTGTTGTTAAAAAAATCAGTAGTTCAGTAGCACAGTATGGTGACTATAGTTATCAATAATTTATTGTATATTTCAAAATAGCTAGATTTGGAATGTTGTCAACACAAGGAAATAATAAATGTTTGAAGCAATGGTTAACTCAATTACCATGATTTGATAATTACATGTTGTATGTATGTATCAAAATGTCACATGCATTTCATAAATATGTACAATTATTACGCATCAATAAAAAATCAATAGACATTGAAAAGTTATCATCTTATAGACATTTATTTACCACTCACTCTGTTAGCCATTCATTTCTTTTTAGAATTCCTTTTTCCTTCTCTTTTAGAAATCCAGCCATTTCTGATTTGCCACTTACCTCTCTGGATACCCTTTGAGGTTTCCTTTTCTTTTTCTTTTTTTTTTTTCTGAGATGGAGTCTCACTCTGTCACCCAGGCTGGAGTGCAGTGGCACGATATTGGCTCACTACAACCTCCGCCTCCCAGGTTCAAGCGATTCTCATGTCCCAGCCTCCCAAGTAACTGGGACTACAGGCACAAGCCACCATGCCCAGCTAATTATTTGTATTTTTAGTAGAGATGGGATTTCACCATGTTGACCAGGCTGGTCTTGACTTCCTGGCCTCAGATGATCTTCCCACCTCAGCCTCCCAAAGGGCTGGAATTACAGGCGTGAGCCACCACGCCCAGCTTCAAGGTTTCTTTAGTACTTTTTCCACTATCTATCCCATCAGTGTTTGGGTTCCTTGAGGATTTTTTTAAGTCCCTATTCTCTTCTAAATTTTGCTCTAAGCATTTGTCTTGGTAAAATTGCATCTAGTCTTATAGGGTAGTACTACGTCACAGATAACATAGTGGGCAAGGAACTGAGCTTGCAGTGGAAAAGAATTGGATTCTAATCCTTGCATGTCCTTGGACAAATGACTTAACTTCATAAGGACTTGATTTCCCGTCTGTTCAGTATAGATAAGATCTACTGTAAAGGGCTATAGTGTAAAATGTGCAATAGTTATCAGTGGTCAATAATGTGGATTATTAAATCATATTGATGAGACAAACTCCAATTCTGTTGAGATAGCAGATCAGCCAGACTTGTTTTCTGAGCACTGGTCACAAGACCCTGCTGAACAAAACAGGAGCTGATCAAAACAGAATGCAGCAAAGAGAGTGGCCAAAACCAGCTAAAACCAAGATGGAGATGAAAGTGACCTCTGATTGGCCCCACTGCTCATTATACACTAATTATAATACATTTGCATGCTAAGTGAAACTCCCACCACCACCATGACAGTTTACAAATGCCATGACAATCCCCAGAAGTTACCTTATATGGCTTAAAAGGGGAGGAACCCTCAGTTTAGGGTTCCTTTTCCAGGTAATTCATGAATTTATTTATTATTTAGAATATAATCAAAAAATAGCCATATATATAGCTAGCCAACAATCCACAAGGGCTGTAACTGCTGCTGCTATTACTCTGTCTATGGAGCAACCACTTTCCTGTACTCTGTAGCTCCAATACACTTGCCTTCACTTTGCTCTGTCAGCTCACTCATGAATTCTTTCCTGTGTGAAGCCAGGAAACCTGCTGGGCTGGTTTTGGGGATCACCTACCTCACTATCACTTACTATGACTTGGACAAATTGAATCTTTTCTTCCATGCTTTAGTTTCCCCGTTTATAAAATGACGATGATAATAGTATTTACTTCATAGGATTAAATAATATTATTTACTTTATAAGATTAAAATAGCTTCCTCATAAGCAGACCCCTGAAAACACTGTCATCAGATTATTCTGCTAAGAAATTCAAACCAAGGAAATGGAGCCCAAACCCAAAAGACTCAGTGTGTTTCCACATTTGACCTCCAGGGGGCAATGTCTCACAGACCGGAAATGTCTCTGCTAAGAAGAGTTCTGTCCTTCCTGAGCGGCTTTATCTCACAGCTCACTGAGGTGCATATTCTGAGTAGGATCAACACCAGAGTGGTTGTTGTCAAGAGAGCAGCTCTTACTAGTGGTCTCTAGGCCTTACCTAAGCAGGGAACTCTTGAATCCCAGATTTTCCTCATTATAGGGACTCACCATCCTCTGGCACATTCCTTCCCACTCAGGAGATCTTCTAGAATAGAGCTCTCAGCTTCCTCACTGCCTAGCCATGCTCTTAGTGGTCATTCTGCTGCTTGGAATGTTCTTCACACTGAGTAAGTATAATAATATTGTTTCCCTGCTCCCGTCTCCATACAAGGAACATTGTTCCAATCGGAATCTAAATAGAGACTCTGTCTCATTACAGGTAGATCTGTTCTGGTCTCACTAACAGAGTGTTGATGTTGCAGGAGGAACCAGAACCCAGTCGGTGACCCAGCTTGATGGCCACATCACTGTCTCTGAAGAAGCCCCTCTGGAACTGAAGTGCAACTATTCCTATAGTGGAGTTCCTTCTCTCTTCTGGTATGTCCAATACTCTAGCCAAAGCCTCCAGCTTCTCCTCAAAGACCTAACAAAGGCCACCCAGGTTAAAGGCATCAGAGGTTTTGAGGCTGAATTTAAGAAGAGCGAAACCTCCTTCTACCTGAGGAAACCATCAACCCATGTGAGTGATGCTGCTGAGTACTTCTGTGCTGTGGGTGACAGGAGGACTGTGCCTGGGACTGCAGGAGGAGCTGAACACAAACTTCCTGAGACACTGAGGTTTTCAGGAACTCAAGGGCACAGCCTGACCTATTTGTAGCAAGGTCTCTCATTTGATGAAAGTGAGAAAGGTGGAAGAACAGAGCCATGAGGAGTGCTTGACTCCAGAGAAGAAACAGAGACTTCATCACGTTCCTTCTTTTACTACTGGGTCACATCAGACAAGATGTGGAAGAGACAGACTTCTATGACTGTTCTCCTTCTGCTTGGAAATACCACACTGAAGAGGGTCAAGTTTTTTTTTATTATACTTTAAGTTTTAGGGTACATGTGCAAGATTTTAAATTAGTGTGACCAGTACTGGACTCCTGATCCTCTCCTTCTCACTGCCAACATGCTGCTTCTATTACCTTTTGTTTTTCAATCGACAGCATCTCATTCTTTCAGAATCTGCCCATAGCCTCAGAGTTATTTTTGACTCTTATTTTTTCTTTCACTATTCACATTGAATCCATCAAGAAATTCAGTTGGCCCTAACTAAAAGATCGACCCATAGTTTGACCACTGCTATCTCTTTGGTCAAGCCACCCTCATCTCAATGAATTACCGTAGTAGCCTTCCAAATGGTTTCCCTGCTTGTCCTCCTACAGAACATTCTTAATACAGCAGCCAATGAGATCTTTCAAATATAGATAGGTCACTCATCTACTCCAATCCTTGCAATAGCTTCCCATTTCTCTTAGAGTAACATCAAAGTACTTACAGTGACCTAGAGGAATGCATGATGTATCTCTCGTTACATTTTTAAAACACCAACAGAAAAATAACTTTGGCAACCCTGAATTCTATACCAGTAAAAATATCACAAAGAAATTATAGTAAAGACATTCTCGAAAGGAAAACTGAGAGAATTCGTTGTGAGCAGACCTGCTATAAACGAAGTCCTAAAGGAAGTTATTCAGGCTGAAGGGAAAGGATACCAGAGGAAAATTTGCAACTTCAAATACGAAGGAAGAACAACAGAAATAGTAAATAGATGATAAGATACAAGAAACTAGTTTCCATTTCTCTTTTACAGTCAGCTTTACTGAGGTATAAGTTATATACAAAAACTATACATATTTAATATATGCAATTTGATGAGTTTGGACATATGCATACAACCGTGAAACCATCATCACAATCAAGGCAATAGACATGTTTGTCACCTCTAAAAGTTTCCTTGTGACTCTTTGTTTTTGTTGTTATTGCTGCTGCTATTGTTGTAAGAAAAATTAACATGAGATTTACCCTCAATAAATTTTCAAGTGCTCAAGCCTGTATTGTTAACTATGGACACTATGTTGTATAGCAGATCTTTAGAACTTATTTTTACATAACTAAAACTTTAAAACCATTGAACAACAACTCCCAATTTCTCCCTCCCCCCAGTCCCTGGAAACCATTATTTTATTCTCTGCTTCTATGAATTTGACTATTTTAGATACCTCAAATAAGTGTAATCATGCATTATTTGTTCATCTGTGACTGGGTTATTTCACCTAGCATAATCTCCTCCAAGTTCAATCGTGTTGTCACAAATGGCAGGATATTCTTCTTTTTCAAGGCCGAGTAATGTTTAATTGTATGAATATACCACAATTTATTTATTTATTTGTCACTAATCTTTCTTTTCCATATCTTGCATATTGTAATACCACATGCAGAAGAATAAAATTGAACACCATACGCAAAAACTTACTCAAAATTAATTAAAGACTTAAACATGATACCTGAAAGTGTGAAACTACTAGATGAACACGTAGAGAAAAAGCTTCATAATATTGGACATGACAGTGATTTATTGGGCATGACACCAAAAGCACAGACAACAAAAGCAAAAAAAGACCCATGATATTACATCAAACTAAAAAGCTTCTGTGCAGCAATGGAGCAATTTATGGAAAGGGAGAAATATTTGCAAACCATATATTGATAAGTGGCTAATATACAAAATATGCAAGGAACCATAAAACTCAGTAACAAAAAAAAACAAGTTTAAAATGGGCAAAAGACTCAAATAGACATTTCTCCCAAGAAGACAGACAAATAGTGAACAAGTATATGAAAAGGTATTCAGTATCACTAATCATCAGGGAAATGCAAATCAAAACCACAATGAGATATCACCTCACAAATGTTAAGATGACCATTATTTTTTAAAAAGTTAAGTATAGGTGAGGCTGTGGCAAAACTGAAATCCTTGTACAGTGTACAGTGTTCTTGGGAATGTAAAATGGTGTAGCTGCTATAGAAAACATTATGGAGTTCCTCAAAAAATTTTAAATAGAACTACCATATAATCCCCAAACCCTACCTCTGGGTATATATCCAAGATAATTGAAATCAGGATCTCAAATAGATATCTGTATTCCCATGTTAATTTAAGCATTATACACAATAATTTCTCTTCTTAATTTATTTAAAATGCATAGACTGTTGAAATAAAATGTTATAAAATTCCCCGTTGGGGTTTTCAAAGTCTAAAGATGGAAGGCATCTGAGAACTATAACATGAAGAAATGAGGGTAAAGTAACCTATATACAATTTCTATATTGTTCATGAAGCAGTATAAATAAATATAAACAGACTGTGAAAGATTAAGTAGTAAGCATAGTAGTAGTAGGCAATCCTAATAGAAACCACTAAAAACATAATACAAAAAGAAATAGTCAAAAATCAAATAGATACATTATAACAGAATAATAAGAGACCAAAACAAAGGGCAGAAGTGGAAAATGAATACTGAAGTAATAGACTTAAATACAACCATATTAATAGTTACATTAAATGTAAATGGTCTAAACACAGATATTTAAAGACAGAGATTATCAGTATGGATTTTTTTCTTAAAGAAGACCCATCTACATATGAACTGACTTTAAATACAATGACAAAGATTAAAAGTAAAAGAATGGAAAAAGAGATCCATGAAAACACTAATCAAAAGAAATCTGGAAGGGCTATATTAACATCAGACAAATGGGACTTCAGAAAAAGAAATATTAAAGAAATAAAGTGAAATATTACATAATTATAAAAGGGTTGCTTCACTAAAAAAATGTTTAAAGTGCTTGTACCTACCAACAAAGCTTCAAAATATTTGAAGCTAAAATGGTTAGAACTAAAAGAAAAATAGACAAAACCGCTATTACACTTGGAGACTTAAACCCTTTGTGTTCAGTAAATAATAGAACAAGTGTTATAGTTAGAGAATCAGCAAAGATGCAGCAGACCTGCTCAACACTATTATATTGACATTTATGGAACACTCCAGTAAACAACAGAAAGAACATAAAGCCATGCTTAGAAGAAAATTTATAACAGTAAACATTTACATTAGAAAAAGAAAAAAGGCTCAAATCAATAATTTTATTTCTTCCTTCTGTGTGTCCCCAGTGATGATGTCCTGCACAGAAAAAAATAATCCTAGCAATCCAAGAAACTCTGTTTTTGAGTTCAGGCAAAGAAGAGTATTTTCTGCTGTTACTGCACCAGGTACCCAACTGGAAAATGATATGTCTCATATTTTATATTGCTCTCCTATGCTCAAAGATTAAAATGAGATTAATTCTATTTATATCACATGTCACAGTTCTGGAGGAGGTTATGAGCCTTCCTATTATAGTAATGATATCAGAAAGGGTACAAGATAAGTTTAGTCCTTCATCTTTTAAAAAAATATATCAGTTATGAAGATTGTTCGCCACGAAATGAATTCCGTTATATACATTATAAATTATATAGGACATTATAGGGTACCTTACAATACATCTGCGTATTTTCACACAAGGTGAGATATCACTAATTATTAAATGGAACTATGCCACTATGTTTTTCCTTAGCTTTTCAAGGGATAAGCACAAGAATATTCAAGTTATGCAGTGGGTCAAGCCTAAGAACAAATGGGAAAGCTGATAGAATAAAGAAAGACTCAGGCTAGGTTCTGGACTAGCTGGGACTAACATATAATAAGTCCATAAGTGCAGAATGAACTGGATGTGAGGAGTGTGTAACCCTTCTCCATTTCAACGTGCCCACCTTTTGCTTTATTTTTCGCTGAATGCCTCTCAATATAACAATGTAACAACACACTGACATCTCATTTAAGTGTCAGAAGCATTATGGTACATGATAGAGGGAACAATCAGCTTTTCTGTGTCCTATTTGATCTTTGACAGTATAAAAATCTGACTTTTTTCCTGTGGGCAGGTATAGAGGGCGTATATGATAATTTTGTGTACTTTCTGCTCAATTTTTCTGTAAACATAAAACTGCTCTAAAATAGTCTATTAACTTTGAAAAATCAATTTTAGTATAGAAGCTAAAAAGAAAAAAGAAAAATCAATCCAATGCGCTCAATCTCATAGAAAATATTTGCTACAACCAGTTCGGATTATTTCTTACTTTCCTGCCTTGTGTACTCTCTTCAACTTTTTGTGTTGGTGCTTCTTTGGTTTGTGTATTTACTATGCAGCATGCATTATGTAAAGTTTTGCATATATTATATAATTTAAGTATACTAACATGAAAGTAGAAATAACTTCTGTTAGGAAAAGAAATATAATAAGTAATTTAAAAGAAAAAGTTTATGGATTGGATAGGGTGTGTAGAACTCTCAACTCTGTCATTATTTGAATTATAGTAGAAACGTTAACAAACATCTTAAATTTCAATTTTATCATCTGCTTACAGGAGATCATCATGATCATCCTGTCGGCAGTTGTTCCAATTATCGAATAATAAAATATCTTTCAAGGGCTTAGCTCATATTCTAGCACAATGTAAACATTTAATAAATTATTATAGGTAAAGAAATGGAGGCCCAGAAAACATAACTAATTTTGCTCATAATCAGAAACCTAGTGCATTAGAGAAAGAACACTGAGTTTTGAAATCCTAGCTATAAAATTTAAGCCAAATATCTTCAACTTATGATATCACTGATCTATTCTCTTGAATACATATATTGGAAGTAAAAGATGAGCAGCTAGAGAAAAGTAGAGGAAAAGAGAGAAACCAGGGGAAGCACTTTGAAACCACCAAACATGTATTATCTCTTCAGATATTCAATCACACAGATAGGCATACTCCTTGATGGCCATTTGTACTAGGGCTGCAGGACTTGATAAAAGAGAACCTACAACAACATTCTGTAACCTTCAATTGATTTGTTGCCCTAGATCTGGTCCGCATCTCTCTACAAGGTTATAAATGTAATGTTGTTTTCAGCTGTTTCTCCTTGTATTAATGAAATGGAAAATCCTTTCTCTTCTGTCCTGACACAGCCCTGATTATTAACTGGAGTCACAATATTTTTCTTTCTATTGTTATACAAACTGTGTGGAAAGTATTCTCTTTATTCTCAAGACTATGATTTAATCCAGTTAGTAAGAGGGAAGATCAAGATAGTTAGCTTGATTTTTCCATTATTCAGTAGATGGGCCTTTATATAAATGAAGCGGGAGACTGGCAGTTTACTCCTATACTGTGTGAGCTTCCTTTCATTAAGACCTCGGTGTCTTACAGCTTCTCATGACTCTTCTCTCTCCCACTGTCACCTTCTATAGCAGCAGGCTCTTTCCTGGCAGATCTTAATGTGGGAATTAAAAAAGGATTGATGTGTCCACATATTACCACAGACAGATTGATAGGGTCAGGCTAGAAAGAACTATGTAGAAAAACTCGGCGATAGAAGCAAAAGGCAGAATGGGATGTACAGCTGAGCCAGAAAATACAAGGCAAGAAAAGATAACAGAGATCGAATGCCCATAAATGTCCTTATTTCTGTGCTAGGGCTCTGTGACTGCAGGTACAACAGAGAACACATGAGATCCTAAGGAAAGAGTGTATGTACGGGCGTTGGAGGCCTGTGAGTACCATCAGAACTTCCTGAGTTTCTTCCAAATGTCCTTTCTTCAGTAGGTATATCTCTGAAGCACCTGTGTGTTGAATGAAGAATTACCTAAAGGGCTGAATCTTTCTCTTCTTACCTTTTCTCTAGTCAGTGCCAGACTTTAGGGCATGTGTCCTCTGGGATCACAGACCTCATTGAAAACAAATCCCAGTATCCCAGTATGGCTTCCATTCTAGTGGGAATGGGAAGGCAGGCCCCCGTTGTGCTCCTCTCCTGGGGATGAATGTTCACTGAGGTTCTGCAGTACCTCTATGCCATGGCTCTCCTTTAGTCCTGGAAACAGCATTCAGACTCCAGTCCGTCATAGCAGTCACTCAGGATCTTACAGCCAGCTCAGCAACAAACAAAAACATAGTCTGGGGCTCATAGCATCCCTTCCAAAGACTAGATTTTCTGATTTCAGGTACAAGATTCTTGTGACAAATGACAGAAACAATTTGTCAATTCTTCCGAACAGAAGGTCCAGCAACCTGAACCTCCCAGGGTGGACCAGAGAGATGCTGTTGTATATGACTATGCTCTGAGAGGGATGAGAGTGACAAATGAGGCTGCTACCGTGTGATAGCCCTATGACAAAAATGAAAAGGATGGCAGCCTTGGAAGCCAGTTGAAGGAAACATACATAAAACACACTAGCAAGAACAGAATGCTTACTCTTTCTTTTTGATAAGAAAGCCCATCTGTCATATGCTTCCTTGGTCTAGGGACCAGGTTACAATAATAATGATGATAATGATATTAAAATATATCATTTAATATCATTTTCATTAGTAATAAATAAAAAAGATCAAGTAAGTAAGCACGAAATTCAAGTAATTAGAAGAAAGAAATAAATCTAAGGAAATCATGAAAATGGTACAGATAAATGTATAAGCATAACTAAATTATGAGAAAAAAGAAAAAATAGAATTGGACAATTTTTTAAAAATTGAATCATGAAAAAATTAGATTAACTCTTCTTTTATTGAAGTAATTATTCAAAAAAGAGAGAACCTATGTAATAGGTATTATACAGGTGTATAGATACATTTATATATACATTATATAGTTTTCTATCACTTTGTTATCTTAATTTATGTTTTAGTCCTCCGTGTGTTTCTTCTTCCTTCACCTGTTTTCAAGCAGGTGGTGTCTCTGTGCTTCAACATGTAAGTGATGATGCCTGGGAATACAGAAAGCTGTGTTTGCCTGTAGAGTCTTCTGGCTTGTTTTGAAAAATCTAATTTCTTTCAGGAATAATAGGGTTTATGGAAGTGGGAGAGGTGGAAGGAGGTTTTTTGGTATAAATAGAAGAGAGAATGGCTTTTCCAGGAGAGAATAAAGGGGTCTGTGCGTCCTGGGCAGCAGGGAACAGGTCGTTGTTTCTTGACAACTCTCTGAGAATTAGTAAGACCCAAGAGTGGGATGGCTGTTTGATAATTAGAAAGAGTTCCCAGGCTTGCAAAAGATTTTGGGGACTCCATAAACCTGAAAAACAGAAATCTTCCACTTAGAATACACACCTAACATGAATAGTTCATAACATATTGGATAAGAAGGCTATGTTTGTGATTCCACTCACAGACCATAGTGATACCATTTATAGTTAAATTGGCTTGTGAGAACGATTACTAGGCAAAGAATAGAACTTGTCTTGGTTGTCTTTATAATCACATACACAGGTCTGTCTCTTTGAAGCATTAGATCTCAACAGTTCTTAAGTTTGGATATTGGGCTGGGACAGATGAAGAAGACCTGGGGATCCCTCAGTTCAGCTCTCATGGCTTCACATTGGATGTGAGCACAGAGGCTGTCAAAGACTTTTCCCAACAGGCTAAGGGATAGGGCAAACAGTCACGCTCATTGTGGATTACTCAGAATTCCCTATGAGAAAGGCATAAAAAGGTTGTAAATTCGGTAGTAATCCTGAATTTACAATCTTATGCAGTTCTGCCCATCAACAGGGAGCAGACTTCGTGATCTCTGCACGCTAAAGGGGGAAAGAAGATCAAAGCTTCTTTTCATGCTTTAACAGGTATTAGCAAAATTCTGAGAAGGATTGCCAATATCCTGTTCATAATGAATCTAAACTGGAGTGAAAAGGAAGAGGTAAGAGCTCTCCTTACTAATAAGGAGGCAGAGCTTCCTCCACCCTTCAGTCTTCCAGCCTGAGGCTCAGCCACCTACCTCTGTGTGCTATGTTCTTTTGGCACCTGCAGCCTGTCCCCAGTGGTGCTGCTGGGCTTATGGCTCCCAGTGTCAAGGCAGCAAACTTATTCTCAACAGGTGTATAGGGAAAGGCAAACTCAGTGAATCAAATATTTTTAATATTCTGAAAAAATGATCTGGAAATACAAACATATAACATTTAATAAATATTATTTATAAATCATATGAACCATTATCAACTTCTCTTCCTCTGCCTCAGCCATGTCAGTAACTCAGTTATTCTCTCTTATGTCTTGGCATTATATGATACTCGAGATTATTCAAGTGTATGCATTGGCCTATAGTAGTTGCTTTTCTGTTTCTATCCCCTAAATATTGGTTATATTATCTTATTTTTTGCTCCTACATGAATGGGACCTACAATATAAGCAGTCCCCACTTACACACACACTTGTGCTTAAATCTCAATAATCTCCTACTAGTGAATGCAGTGCAGGTCTCTTTAATTTATGGTTACTTTTTTCCAGTTTCTTCCATTTCAACAATGTGCACATTTTGGTTTTTGTGCCACCTCACAATTTTTCTTTCCTGACTCTTTGTTTCCTTGAGAGGATCAGGCAAGAGGAAACTGACTTCTCTCATCTATCCATACCCACTCTGTGATCTTAGATAGGCTTCTTCCTCTATCATATGGAGACAATTTTACCTACTCTACCTCTTACAGGATTATTCTGAATTATCTTCCAAAATGAAGATTTCTTTGCATCAAATAATATAGAACTAGGAAAGAATTATATATATGATGAGATGAGCCTCATTGTATGGGTGAAGTAAAATGTGGACTATTTCTGAAATGGATTGTATATTAAATTGCAATCTGGTTAGAGGTTTAAATCACTAAAGAGGTAGTTATTCATATAAAACTGACTTAGAGTTGCTTTGATAAATTAATCAGGAACACAGACCAGTTAATTAATTTATAGCACCTGTTAACATCCAAAGAAATTAAACCTTTCTTCTCAAAATTAAGCTCTAACCGTTTACACTATAGTCATTTTAAGTATTTTAGGATTATGGGCCAGGCGCGGTGGCTCACATCTATAATCCCAACACTTTGGGAGGCTGAGGCAGGTGGATCACCTGAGGTCAGGAGTTCGAGACCGGCCTGGCCAACATGGCAAAACCCTGTCTCTACTAAAAAATACAAAAATTAGCCAGGCATGGCAGTGGGCACCTGTAATCCCAGCTACTCAGGAGGCTGAGGCAGGAGAATCGCTTGAACCTGGGAGGCGGAGGTTGTAGTGAGCTGAGATTGTGTCACTGCACTCCAGCCTGGGCAACAAAGCAAGAGCCCATCTCAAAAAAAAAAGAAAAAAAGAAAGAATTTTAGGATTATGTAAAGCTACTAATTGGCTTACAGAAACTGACTAAAATAGGAGGTCTTTTCCTTGGAAGGAAAAGATGTAATAATCTCAGTTTTGGATAAAATTGGGTAGAACAGATTTCCCTACGGTGGTTAAAGGGATAAAAACACAAGATATCCCCAGCATCTACATTACAGACTTCAATGAAGGAAGTAAAAATATCTCAATAGTTGAGTTGAGGAAGTGGGTCAAGGATATGAATATCCACAGATGCTGACAAGGGAAATATATGTTATATTCATAAAATTCAAGTAATTAAGATAGGTAAGTATACATGTCCACTTAGGTTAGATGTTAATTCTTAATAAGTAACATAATGATCTGAGGCTCTTTGTGTGCCACTTCTACATCTCAAACTTTGACGTGGATCCCCTGGAGATCTTGTTAAAGTACAGATTATGATTCAGTAGGGTCTGAAATTCTGCATTTCTAATAAGCTCCAAGGTCATATTGAAGCCGCTATTCTGCTGAGCAAGGTTTCCACTATCTGAGAGGCAGTATTCCACAGGACCTAAGTGGGTCCACTCTTTAGCCACACTGCCTAGATTAGAAGACTGGCTCTGCCCGCTTACTAACTATATGACTATGGGAAGATTAATGAACTTCTCTGTGTCTCAGTTTCTTCATTTGAAAAATGAGAATAATGTTAACTTCCTCCAGTGATGTTGTGAAGAATAAATGTGTTGATTTATATGAAGTGTTTAGAAAAGTCAACAACATTGTTAATTGTACATATTGTTTGTCAAGCTTGCCATATCAAAAATATCTATGTGTTTTTGACTACTAAATACCTATGTGTTTTTGATTGGTATTTAATTGGCTACTTGTGTACTAGTTGTTTAAAAAGGGACAAGGTGACTAATTATTGAGTTTTATGTAGTTGTTACACTTCTTCACATAACGCTTGTCACAGAACAATATAGTCATATATTCTGGGCATTTTTCACTCAGGATGAGTGTGGCTGATGAGGCTGATGTATTCTTGGATTTTTCTAGGTGATGATTCATCTGGGCTGGGCCTTTCATTAGGGCCTGTTGAGAAAGAATTGAAGTAGTAAAGCTGAGCTTCAGGGAATCCTCTAAATAGATTGGTTGAAACACAGTCTGGTTTATATACATAATCTCAATGAAGCCTCAACACATCCTTGTGGCATAAGTAATATAAGCCCCATTCAACTTATTAGAAAACTATTACAGGCGTGGGTTAAGTAAATTGTTTGATGTGACCTAGCCAGTAAATGGCAATGATGGAGTATTAATATAAGTATGTCTGAATCCAGTATCAAGTCATTTAGGCAGAATTCATCACTTCTCTACGAAAAGTGTTAAGTGTTAAAAATATTTCTGAAAGTTTTCTCTTGTATCCAAACATTTTTATATTCAGTATTCTATTTGTCCTGGTGATCCTGAGCTCCCTTGAGGACATTGGTGGCACTAAGGGGAGGCTTACACAGAACTGGTGCCTTGAACTCAGTTTCCCCTCACCACCCTTATCACACTGGAGGCTACCCAGGGTGGACTCAGAGTGGAAGGAGAATTGTCCATGTGGACCACAGGCTCTCACCGTGGAATGATTCTGGAGGACTTGATAGTGTGGCTAGAGGTTCTATTTTAAGCTCTGAGAAATGTGGAAAATCTCCTGGGGAGGTCAACAGTTGACCCTGGCCCTTTCCTCTCTGGTGCAACCTCCAAAGGGCTATTCTATTTCTCTCGCTTGTCACTGAGCTCTACTTCATGTGTAAAGGCAGGTTGGATAGTTTCCAAATCTTTGTTGGGATGCCCCTCTAAACCTTGGATAAAGTCTTTCCCTGTGGCCCCATTGTTAGCAGTTATTACATGTCCAATGTTTGCCTGTAATGCTGCTACAGGTCTTTTTTGACACATTAGTTTTGAAAATTGTTTTTGACAGCAGCTCTTTTGGACACTAAGGACCTGGAAGGCAGAGACCTTATCTTGTCTCATTTATATCCCCCAAATCTAGTACATGGCCTGAAACTGTGTTTATTAAATGAAGAATGTGTTGGAAAATTAGATTCTGGAGAAAGGCTTGCTTAGAATATTTTAATCAGAAATGAACTTTGTACTTTTTCGCCTATACTCCTACGGAGCCACATTTTTTCTAATTATATACCAAGAGGAATAATGGTACAGTTTGAGTGTGAGTGTTTTTATTTTCTTTTTTATATATTGATAACAAACTTTTTTTATAATGGGCATATTTGGGGTAGAATATTTTCTTTTTAATATATTGATAAACTTTTTTTATAATGGGCACATTTGGGATAGAATATACTTCTATCCCAAATGAACATGAAACAAGCAAAACATTTCTTCAATAACTGACCAAAGATGATAGGGATTCCACTTCACCTTAGAATATGAATAGCTAAATAGTGTGACTTAATTGTGTCATATATTATGAATAACAGAGTTCATGAGAAAATGAGCTATATTTTCATATATTTGACGGAGCAGAATATGGCAGTGAAAGAGCAAAATCTCTTTCATCTGGATATTCATCATCCCAAACCAAATCTTCATTAAACTTGGGTGCTAGAGCTACTAGGAAAGCTCTTGGGAGTCTTCTTTGAGACTTTGCGGTGTGGCTTCTGATGAACTGTTAATTTGGAGACTTGCATAAATGTAAATAAAGTGGCATTAGGACAGTCCTCAAAAGCCAAAAGATGGAAGAGTGCAACCAAACCTGGCTCATTTGCAATTGCAGTGATGCCTTGTGGAAATAAAATTAATATCTGGGGTACAGTGGCTTTAAAGCAAGATCCTAGATCACTCTAAATAGCTGTGAATCAGGAAAAAAAAAAAGTTTCCGGTTGCTGGATATTCTAGATCTTCATTTCTAGATTCCAATTATTTAAGAGACCACAGAGCCTTTGTCACCAGGACAGAGTCATTTGCTCTGATAAAGGGGAACAAGATCTTACAAAGAACGTTGTTGATGTGAACAACTAGTTTACTGAAGACAAGTCCTTCAACACAAAAAGAAACAAGAAAAAGAGAAGGGACAAGCAAATTGTTATCGTTCAGTCACTCCTTTTCAATCCACTTGTTACTATCCTGATCCAGGTTCTCATTATTTCTCACCTGGCTAATTGGAATAGCTTCTTAAGTATATCCTCTACCACTTAGTTCATGCCTCTCCAATCTGTTACCACCTCTGGAGTTGTCCTGCTAAAACACATGTGTAACTAGATTACTAACCTATTTCAGGACCTTCCACAGCTCTTCATTACCCAAAAGTAAAACTCAAGGTTTATTTGGCCATCTACACCACTACTCCCCGTAACTTTTTATCCTCATTCCTATCATTACCTCCATGATCTCTGAACTTCAGCCCATCAGATGACCTCACTCTAACACCTCCTTCTTTTATATGTTATTTCTTCATAAACTTGGCAAAACTCTACGCAATCATAAAGGCCCAGTAAACATGATACCTTTAAAAAAAAGATTTTTCCAAGAGGTGCCTCTACTTCATTATATCCTTCAGGCCAATTCATGACTATATTTCCTTTTCTTATACCCAGTAGTTCTTACTTAGAATAGAACCCCAGGAGGAAGATATGACTCCAGCCACACTGTTCTGAATTCCATCCTTTTTATAAGGATGAAATCCAGAACAGAAAAATTCTGTGGCAGAATTTTTCTTCTGACTGAAACTGCAAGGAGATTCAAGCACTAAAAAAGATCATTCCATATTCCCAATCAGTATAATGACAACGATAGTTAATCCCAGTGTCAAGGAAATTTTCTTCTCATTTCCATCTTGAAGCTAAATCGTTATTCTACTTTTCAGATAAAAGCATATTATATCTAAAGGGCTCGGGTTATGGGATTCCTCAAAGAAGCAGTCAATAGCTTGTAATCCTTGAGCAGCTCTTTTCTTGTTCCCATGAGCCCCACAGGCTGACCCCCTCTATTTTAAGCCCCTCAAGGAATCTGGATTCCCACATACCCACTTACAGGTAAAATTTTTAAAAAGAAAATGCATATGCATTGTATTTTCCCATTTAAGATATTAACAAATAGTCATATGGCCAATCTGACTATCTTTACTAATGACTGTATGCAATGGCTGAAACAATCCTCTCGGTACACAAGATTTTGTGATATTTGAATACATACTATACTCACACCACAACATCTATATCCTTAAATCACTATACCAATGCACAAACAGTTTACATATCAATTCATGATTATGTGTTCACATCTTTCTGTCTAGTAACTGCTGGGGTTACAAGAGTGAAAAAAAAAGCACAACCTTTTCCACAAGGAACTTGTAGATGAGCCCAACAAGTGCAATTACCAGATAGTGTGATGAGGGCTTTGATAAGCATGAACCAGGGATCTAATAACAGAGTAATGCAGTAGAATATCAAAAAAGTATTCTAAATTAAATAATCTACAACAGAATTGTTCATCTTTAATTTAGTAAAAATAGGTTTATGACACTCATGCTCTATGGCCCTGTAAATGTAGCATCATTTCACACCACATATGCCCCCTACTACAGTTACAGTTACTCAGATACTACATGGCTCAGCACGCTTGTTGAGGATATCAGAAATGATAAGATGGTACTTTCATTATTTTCTATTATTCTTTTATTCTGGCTTTTAAATGATCAATGTTTAAAAGGATATATTTTCCATTTTTTTTAATAAGGTCACAATACTCTTTCTGTAACCGGACCCCAGTCCAGCTGCTCTCCACTTGAAAGCCAAACAGAGAGCCGAGGGTAGATGGGAAAAGCAGGTTTAATATGAGAGCCAGCAAACTGAGAAGATGGCAAACTAGCATTCTAAAGTACCATTTTACATTTTTAAATTCACCATGAGATTTTAAAAATGAAACATAGGATGGGAGACATGCAGGAATTCTGCAGGGTGCAGGGTTTGTGTGTCTTGTTCTCGAGGCTGTATTGGGTAATTGCGCCTCTGGGGGTCTGGAAGTTGTTATCTTGACTTCGGCCTGGTGGTGGTGGACAAATTGTTCACAAGTCCCCCTAAGCTTGATGATGCCTCAATGGGGACTGCGTGGTTTGTTTCTAGGTTTGACTCTGGGATTTCTTAAGCAAGAGAATAATTAGACAAGCATGCATTACTGGCAAGGAGTGTCCAGAGGGGAAGAAATGAAGGGATGAGAGGGGAGGGAAGGGAAGGAAGAAAAAGAAAGTGGGTGAGGTCCCCAGTTACATTTCTACTTTAATCTTGATATTTATGCCTACCAAATGCAATTGGGAGAAACAGAGCATTATTGGAAATAAATCACTTTTCTATCTCTCCACAGGAGGGTAGTATTTCAAAAGGCAACATACATTTTGGGTTGGAGGAAGGGGCGGGTGGAGAGTGAATGATTCCATTGGCTGCCACACTGAGGCTCCTGGCTTTCTATGGAACTCAAAGTGGGTGGCAGCAAGCACTCTTCTAGCCCAGAGAAGTCTGTTCCAGGACGGGCTCTTTCAGGAGCAGCTAAAGTCAGGGGCCATGTCCACCATGTGATAGAAAGACAAGATGGTCCTGAAATTCTCCGTGTCCATTCTTTGGATTCAGTTGGCATGTGAGTTGAAAAGGTTCCCAATTAAATTAACAGAAAATCCCTGATGGCAAGTTGTTTTATGGCAAAGTATGAAAGGAGGAATTATAAAAGAAGGAAGAAAGGGGGAAAGCAAGGGAGGGAGGAGAAAGGAGTAAGGAGGGAGGAAAAATCATTTCAGGTTGGGAAACAATCCCTAATTCCCTTCCCTGGTTCCTTCTGCTCTGTTTCTAAACAGGGGTGAGCACCCAGCTGCTGGAGCAGAGCCCTCAGTTTCTAAGCATCCAAGAGGGAGAAAATCTCACTGTGTACTGCAACTCCTCAAGTGTTTTTTCCAGCTTACAATGGTACAGACAGGAGCCTGGGGAAGGTCCTGTCCTCCTGGTGACAGTAGTTACGGGTGGAGAAGTGAAGAAGCTGAAGAGACTAACCTTTCAGTTTGGTGATGCAAGAAAGGACAGTTCTCTCCACATCACTGCAGCCCAGACTGGTGATACAGGCCTCTACCTCTGTGCAGGAGCACAGTGCTCTTGAGGCACCTGCTGCCTGCACCCAAACCCTGCTGCCAGCCCCAGTCACGAGGCTGCCACATGCCTCCAGCTCCGCCTCGCACAGCTTATGGCATGAATAGAGAGAACAACCTCAGCCCCTCATGGAACCATTTCTGCTGCCTTTCCAGAAAACATTTTCCACACACACTGGAGGACAAGACCCCTCTGCTATAACACAAATATCTGGAAATGCAGCCTGCTATTAGGATCATTAACGATATGGGCCTGCAACTCCCCGGGGTAGGCAGTAGCAAAGAGAGTCGATATAGAGGGACAAATGGAAGCTATCAGACAGACTGTTTCTGAGTGTTCCACCCCTGTGTAGAAACAAAGCAGAAGGCACCAGGGAAGGGAGCTAGGGATTCTTTCCCAACCTGAAATGAGTTTTTCTCCCTCCTTCCACCTTTCTCACCCCCTCATTCTCTCTTTCTTCCTTCTTTCATTAATTCTTCCTTTCATAGTTGGCATCAGGGATTTTCCATCTCTTTAGGATTTTCTGTTAATTTAAATGGGAACGCCTTCAGCTCTCATGCTAATTGAATCCAAAGGATCAACATGGAGAATTTCAGAATACTTCATGGTTCAGATTGGTCATTCCGTTTTCCAGAAGACCACACCCAGGAATGTTCAGTACAATGGGGCAGAAATGGATGGTTTCCCAGCTTTCTTGTAGTACTCCAGAGATGATGAAGCTGCTATCTTTCCAGACTCTTACACTGCAGTAAAATGCAGAAGTATTGTAAAAATTAGAAGAAAGTTACTACCTTTTTGGAAGAAAGATACCGATAGTACACCTCAGTAGCATCCAACTGTGGTTTCAAAGCAACATCCTAGTTGGTGGTTCTGAAAGTGACCAAACATTAACTACAATGGCCTGTATGTTCACAGGACTGGCTTGGGGAAGAGTCTTTGAATGGCAAATGTCAATAACTTCAAGTTTTCAAGCCTGAAGAAGAAAGAAGTTGGCAGTTTCCTCCACATAGCAAGCCCTCCACTGGCCCATTTTCATACTTGAAGCAGTTGTATTTGTTCTGTAAGGCAAGATGATATAGCAAAATGCACATGAGTTTCTGAGTTTTGAAATCAAAATAACTTAAATTAAAATCTCGTTTTTGCAATTTTCTAGCTCTGTGTCCCTGGGCAATTATTTATCCTCACCTACATTTCCTTATAAATTAATGTTAGTAAGAACACCTATCTTGCTGAGTTGCTATGAATTAAATGAGATAAAATACATAAAATTGTCTCAAGTTCCAGGCATAACATGTATACTCAACAAATGTCCTTAAAATAATATTGTTATTGATGGCCGTATGTAAATGTCACCCCTACTGTGGAATTTTCACTGACTACTTAAGGGGGAATGAGTTATTCTCTGCCTAATACTCTGAGTCCTCACCAGAGGAGTCAGGAAGGCAGACACTGCAAGCTGCCAACCTAATCACAATTCTTTTCTGCCTCCTTATTAACAATACCCTCAATTTTGATTTGGGCAACAATATGTCCAGCTTTAAAAAAGCTCAACACTACATTTTACCCTCTCTTGCAGCAAGAGATTGCCATATACATATAGAACAGTTCTGACCAGTGAGATAGGACCAGAAGTTGGATAGGGCCTTCCCATAATGTTTTTTTCTCTCCTGATACAAGTACACATCTCTCTATCCCTCCTTTTCTCTTTTTAAAACATGGAAGAGATAACTTTACCGTAAAGGAAAACACATAACTAATCCCCTTTCCTTATCCCATGCCTGGTAGTCTTTTAGATGCCAAGTCAAATCCAGCCCCCAGATTTAATTTTGCATGAAAATTTTTAATAAACCATTATTTGGTTGAGTTTTCTGTTGCTGCAGCTAAACATAATTCTAACTATAGTAAGATTGACATAAAATGGCTTTATGATTTCTTGTTTCCATGTGTAAAGGCAGGAAAAGATATATAAACAAATTACTTTGTTTATACAAACATGGGGACTCCATTTATGTTGATCATATCTGTTTCATAAAGTATTAATATTCCTATATTTTTTATAAAGGAAAAAAACTTCACCTTTCATTTAGAGAGGACTCGTTATTAAATTTCCATAGCAATTTCTTATACTCATGGAAGATTATGGAATCCAGATTTCATCCTAAAGTCTTTTAACCACAGACAATTTCCATGCAAATAATAACTATAGTCTTACATTTGTCTTAACTTTATATTCCAAAGGTTATTTTTCTTATTTTCTTAACCTTACTCTACCCAGTAATCCATTTTAAAAGCCTCCTCTAAAAACTTTATCACATTAAACTCCTTCATTCTGAAAATTTTAAAGGCAAATACAAATAAAAATAAGAAAACAATTTTAATTATCTCTGATGCAAAAAGAGAAAGACACTCTCCCCTCCCTTTCGTTAGAGCACCTACTTTAGAAAACTTGTAATTGTGAGTTTTCTATCCCTTTGAAATGTAGGTAAATCTTTTTAAAAGCTAAATAAATCCCTTGCCAGTTTTACAATCCAGGACTGTCTTTCTCAAGAACCTGAGAGCATTTTTTTCAAAATGTAATCACGAAGGGAGGTAGTGCCCTAATCTAGTTTTAGTGGAGAATAGGTGCCTAACTTCAGCTGGTACTTTGCTCCCAGTTGCAAACCAACCTCCTGTCATAAAGATATGAGAAATGTTTCCTTTGCATGAAGGCAATTACGAAACAGGTGGCTACCTCAATTACCAGGTAAATTGAGGATGAACTATGTTTGAAAAATGATGCTGTCAAGTCCTCTTTCTTGCGGACTAGTTATTGTTTATCTTGAGAAACTGTAAACAATCAGTTGCATCTGCTCGGCTATATAAAAGGATAAGATTTCTTTATTTCCTTGTAGTATCTTTAGTGGATTGCCTGTGAGATGCATCACATTCTGGTTTAATGCTTATTCAATAAAACTGTTTTTTTTTTTTTTTTTTTGAGACAGAGTCTCACTCTGTCACCCAGACTGGAATGCAGTGGCATAATCAGGGCTCATTACAACCTGTGCCTCCCAGGCTCAAGCAATCCTCCTGTTTCAGCTTCCCAAGTAGCTGGGACCACAGGTGCATGCCATCATGCTCAGCTAATTTTTTTGTATTTTTATATAGATGGGGCTTCACCATGTTGCCCAGGCTGGTCTCTAACTCCTGAGCTCAACCTATCTGTCTGCCTTGGCCCCCCAAAGTCCTGGGATTACAGACGTGAGCCACTACACCTGGCCAAAACTGTTTTCTTTCTCTTCTACCTTTGTGGGAAGGTGTTATGGGTTGATAGGAGATTCTGTTTTACTTCCTCAACAAAATGGCCCAGGGTCTTTCCCTAATCACTGGGCTTACATGTCTCTTCCTGAAAAGCACCATGACACTATGAAAAGAGCAAGGGTTTCTAAAGGCTCTGTCCCTTATTGGCTGTGTAAATTTGGGAATATTATATTAACTTCATGAGCATCAATTTCCTGATAAGTACTGCAGAAGTAAGAATAAATACTTAATTTACAGTATTATTGTGAAGATTAGCAATGTTTTGGTAACTGCCTAGCATAATGGACTTACAAATTAAAAAATTGAAAGTGGGAACCACGGCTTCCACAAGGTACACTCAAAACCTCATTTGTGTCCTGATATATGTTTTGAGCCAGGAATATGTGTAAGAGTTAAAGAAAGAGGAAAGAAACACAAAACACAGCTTGGCAGTTAAAGACAGGTTTACTTTAGATAAAACATGAGAGGGGCTTCTGGCTGATTTATTTATTTATTTATTTATTTATTTTATTTTTATTTTTATTTTTTGGTCAGGAGCACTTTCTCTTGCAGACTAAGAGTATATATTGGTTTTAGGGTGAGGGGGTTTATCACAATCTTGGAATGTTTATGTGTGGAGGAGAAGTTTATGGCGGGGTTTGGAATCTCTCTGGGAGGAGGGGAGGTTATCTTGAGGCTGATGTCTTTTTGGCAGGAGGGGGATTATCTTGGGGCTGGCACCTTCCCAGTCAGAGCAGGGTTATCTCAGAGCTAGCATGCCTCTGGTTGGGGAGGAGTTTGGAATGTTTCTGGTTGGAGATGTTATTTGTGGTTTATGGTCATGCTGACCATAGCCATTAGGCTGATGGCCTTTGGACTTAGGAAGTTTTTGATTAAGGTGAATGTTAAAATGAGGGCTTGTCCAAGACAGCGATGCTCCTGCTTTGTCAATATGGAAAGGACACAGTCCCTGCTTCCAAGGAACTCACTCTCATGGTGATAGACAGTCATAGACTTGCTCCCATAGCCATCATTCTCCAGGGGCTATAAGTTGAAGAATCCTCTGACCTACAACCTCCATTCAGAGCAGTAATTTCTGAGAGAAATTGCACACTCTCCACACTCCTGAATCACTGTATGCCTTCCTAAAAACACACTGCTGATGTTTAAGACCAGACTCAGGCACCACCCCTGGGTGGGGCATCTGCATTGCTGCAGAGGAAGTGGTGTTAGCTCTAGGGGGTACTCTAACCTGAGAAAAGTCTCCTTAGGCTGTCAGGAGGATTGATGGATGAATGGAGAATAAAAATCTCTGAAACAGGAAGAAGGCTAATAATTTAGGCTGAGGGTGGGGGATCAGTAGCAAAAGAGTATATGGACCATAAAATTCTTAATAACATACATAATCCTGCTTTCTTATCACCAATTCTCCTTTATCTCCAAGAGCCAAGATGAAGCTTAAGATTTAAAGAAGACAATTTGTTTAACATTTATTTATAGTTCATGAATTAATATTTTTTAGTATCAGGGGCCAATATGAGACTAGATCTGTTTGTCCAGAAATTATTTCTAATCTCTGATCACTGTTCTTATCTAAACCATGCCTATGGACATAGAGGGTAGAAGGATGATTACCATAAACTGGGAAGGGTAGTGGGAGGCTGGGGAACAGGTGGGACTGTTTAACAGGTACAAAAAATAGGACGAATAAGACCTACTATTTGATAGCACAACAGGGTGACTATAGTCAATAATAATCGTACATTTTAAAATAAAGAATATAAGTGGATTGTTTGTAACTCAAAGGATAAATGCTTGAGGGGATGAACACCCCATTCTCCATATGTGCTTATTTCACATAGCTTTCCTGTAACAAAACATCTCATGTACTCCATAAATATATGCACATACTTAAGTACTCACAAAAATTAAAAATTGAAGAAACTCAAAGCCAAGAAAAATTTTTAAAAAGAAGCAAATTGAGAAAATGTAAGGTGTAGCTGGGAAGAAAAGGATAGAGAAAGGTTAAGAAGAAAATTATGGAGGACTGTCTGAATTGAAAAGCATTGTCTCTGTGAGTTTGTCAACAGCAACATTACTAGCATTTTGGGCCGGGTAATTCTTTTGGGGGAAGGGGCTTTTCTGGGCACTGTAGGGTGTTTAACAGCATCCCTCATCTCTGCCTACTAGATGCCAGTAAGATTCTCACCTGTGGCAAACACAAATGTCTCCAGACACTGTCAAATGTCCCTGGAGGCAAATAGCCCCTGGTTGAAAACCAATGGTCTATATGTCTACATATTGAATGTTGAATTGATAGAGCAGGAAAAACTTTTAGAAGGTATATATATGTGTATATATATATTTAGTATATATATGTATATATATTTATTATATATGTATATATTTATTATATATGTGTATATATATTTATTATATATGTGTATATATATTTATTATATATGTGTATATATATTTATTATATATGTGTATATATATTTTTATTACTTATATATTCATATACACAAAATGAGGATGTTAACATTTTTCTACTATTATAACACATTTTTATTCCTATGGTGGTCATACGTCCTAAGTTGCTATTATTTCATTTGGCTTTAATAAATTAAATAAGATAATTTCAATGTAAAAACGGGAATTGTAATATATATATATAAACATATGTATTTTATATATAAATATATATAACTTTTTATACAATTCATTCACAATGCAAAAAATTTTTCAGTCTGATCACGTTCCAGATTTCACCTTGGTCAATATCTTTTATCTCTGACTCCTCAAAGACATATAGACTGTTTCTCTATTCTTTCTCTAAGCTACTGTGTTCCTGTTCTTCCCCAAAATGATTCTTAAACCCTAAAAAGATGACCCCTCCATTACCCCCCACCCACACACAAACACACACAAGGACTCACGCATACGCACCACAGTGTGCAGAAGGTGAACTAAACCACAGGTAGGTGGAGTTTTCCACTAGGAAGCTGAGGGGCAACTCCCGGGAGCTGCTGCCGCTGAATCTGTCTCATGAAATTTCTCAGCCATGGGAACAAAATTAGTTCCAAATTCAAGATATGATACTTACCAATATTTAAAGAGAATAGATATCAAGGTGTGCCCCTGTAGCAAAAAAAGTAAAGAATCATGAAGGCATTAATAGGAATCTTGCTGGGCTTCCTGTGGATACAGATTTGCTGTGAGTTAAGGACAGCCCAGAGGAAACCTGGAGGAGTATCACAACTGAATTTGGAAAGGAGCAATGGAGGAACGGGAGAGATGGAGAAAGAGAAAGAACGCAACTCTCAATTAAGCTGTGTCCTCTATCATAAGGAAGAAAACTACAGAGAAATTTTCTACACTTGGAAACAGCTACAGTGATTTTGTGATGACTCTCATCTGCATCTACTTTTCTCTTTCTGAACGGGGGTAAAAGCGCAAATGAAAGTGGAGCAGAGTCCTCACGTCCTGATCCTCCAAGAGGGAAGAAATTCATTCCTGGTGTGCAGTTGTTCTATTTACATGATCCGTGTGCAGTGGTTTCATCAAAAGCCTGGAGGACCCCTCATGTCCTTATTTAACATTAATTCAGGAATACAGCAAAAAAGAAGACTAAAATCCGCAGTCAAAGCTGAGGAACTTTATGGCCACCTATACATCAGATTCCCAGCCTGAGGACTCAGCTATTTACTTCTGTGCTGTGGGGACACTGTGCTCTTCAGACACCTGCAGCCTATACATGAAACCATAGCTGAAGGCCTAACCCATCCCCGAGAGTGGCAGTAGGTCCCGATGTGATTAGCATTGCATTCCCACTGCCTACATCTCCTTGCATGTCCTGATTCATGTGGAAAGTATTTCTAAATGAGTTGTAACTTGACACTATGGTGCAGGTGCATAAATGGTTCCCCTGCAGATATCTGTGGGAATGGTATTACTAGGCAAAATCTATTGATTGATCAACTCTTTCATATATTATCATATCTCTCTGGATAAGAATGAGCAGAGTCCTCAATCCTCCATATCCAAGAGCAAGAAAGCACCAGTCTCACCTGTACTTCCTTTTCCACATCTTTTTTATGGCTTACTTTAGTACAGACAGAATCCTAGGAAATTTTCCATGATATTTTTTCTAACAGACTTAAGTGAAGATGAAAAGGAAGAGGGAAAATAGATGGCCTCTACTACCATGAAGGATGGTCAGAGCTTTCTGCATACTTGACCAGAGACTCAGCCACTTACCTCTATGCTGTGGAGACACAGTGCTTCCCAGGCACCTGAAGCCTGAAATCAGACAAGTACCTGCAATTCTAAGACTCAACAATAAGTTAGAGATGTCCATGTGTTTTGCTGTAACATGGTTTTGAGAAGCATACACTTGATAAATCAAAGTGATTTCATTTCCAAAAAAGATTCTGATGAATACTTACTCTAGTAACTATCTCTGTGCTAAACAGAACAATTCCTAACATCCTAATCCCTAAATCAGGGAATCAATGAGTCAGAAATTCTAGATAAAGGATCCCTCAAACTCAATGATAAGGCTTTCTGTCAAAAAGGGTATTTGCACCCCGAATGCTACTTATTCTTATCTTACATTATCTATGTATAAAGGAAAATCTTGAGAAAGTCAAACCAAAATGTGTCAAAAAAGACATGCTAAGCTCTCTAATCCTTCATTATTTTTTTTTCCAACTTCTTTTTTTTTTTTGAGTCGGAGTTTCACTCTTGTCACCCAGGCTGGAGTGCAATGGCTCAATCTCGGCTCACCACAACCTCCACCTCCCAGGTTCAAGCGATTGTCCTGCCTCAGTCTCCCGAGTAGCTGAGATTACAGGTATGCGCCATCATGCCCAGCTAATTTCTTGTATTTTTAGTAGAGACAGGGTTTCTCCATGTTGGTCAGGCTTGTCTCGAACTCCCAACCTCAGGTGATCTGCCCACCTCGGCCTCCCAAAGTGCTGGCATTACAGGCGTGAGCCACCACACCCGGTCTCCAACTTCTTAAAGTATTTTTAATTGTTCATTTTGCTCATATTCAATAGTATCTATATCATTTTCCTCTTTGTTATGTTTTGTGAAGGTTATTAGAAAAAAGCTTATTTCCAGTCATGAGTATGCTATGTCATCTTCAGCAAGTGAGTCATTTTATTTGTCCCTCATCTCAGAATCCTCATTTATAATGTGAAGATGATATTTCCCACCCACCACTACTCACAAGTTTGATACATTAATTATTCAACAAATAATTATCAAATACCTATTAGGTTCTGTAGGGAACTTTGAATAAATAAAGAGTTCTTTCCTTGTTGAATATATTTCTAGTGGGGAACACATTTTTATTATCAGTTCCTATAAAATAGAGAAGGACTTAACTGGCACAGTAAAGGGTATTATAAAAACAAACAGATGTCTGTTAAAGGAAGCTTTCTGGAGTATGTGGTGCCTCAGTTCAAAATCTGGCAATTTAATAGGAGTTAATCAGACTGAAGAACAAAAGCAAGTGGGGGAAGGTTCTCCAATTTGAGGAACAGCATACATATATAGGCAGGAAGCAAGGCAGATTATAGCAATTTTAAGACATAATGTATAATTTGCAAGTTATTAAATAATGTTCATAAGTAACTCTTATTTTATGGGAGACTAAATAAGAACCTTGAAATGAATCGTCTGTAAATCATAATATGGTAAGGTGAAGGATATGGGGAACAAAATTACTAAGCATATCTACATCCTAACAGAGCAGATAAAGATAACTGCACTAAGAACAAATAAAAATAATCATGCAACTGATTGATGATAAGAAAATGTTAGTTCTTCAGAGACCCTAATCCCTTTTAAGTGTGGAAAGTATTTCTAAATAAGTTGTATAAGATATGATAAATATGATACATAAATGTGATCCATTTTGACTATTAAATAAAGCTGAAATTTCCAATTTGATAAAAGTCTCCACTGATTCAAGGTACTCAGCAAACTCTAAACAGGGTAAATGTAAAGCACATGCACACACACACACATAAACACACACAGAACAAGAGAAATGCATACTTCTACACATCAGAGTAAAACTGCTGAAAATCAAGGAAAAAGAGAAAAATCCTTAAAATCAGCTTTGCTTTTGTTTTTCAAAGGGTCAATTTCATTTCCCTCAAGTTTTTCTGAAATCATGGATGAGTGAGTCTAGCAAATGCCCAGCCCTCTTCAGGAGCCGGGAAACATATGTGGCCCAGTTGCAAATTTGGGGACAGCTTATGGAGGCCTGAAGATCACTGCATTTGATCCACATAGGTAGACACCTGAGCAGCTGGGCTGGCCAAAACTAATTTGACATTATAGTATAGGCAAGAGAATGGCATGGACTCCTCATTCCAGTCAACCAAAAGCAAAGAAGAGGTGTTATTCTACTGGCTGAGATGATTGATGCTGCCTTTCATGGAGAAATGGTTTGCTACAATACAGTGGGGGTAAAGAAGAGTATGTCTGTGGAAACTCTTAATCCCACCATGAATGATGATAAAATTTAATGGAAAACTACAGCAACTCAATATAGGCAGGACTGCTAAGACATAGATCTTGAGGTTATCATCCCACCAGACAAAGAAATATGATTGCTGAGGGCAAAAAACAATAATGAATGATGGCAGAAGAATGAAATTGTGCATACTAGCTACAACCTCTTGACCAGTGACAGAAACAAGATCTGAAGTAGTTATGGGTACATCTTCCTTACTTTGATGTGTGTGTGTGGGGCGGGGAGGGTTAACAACCCATTCTTTTTATTTCTTTTATTCTTCTACTGTCTGCAATAGTATGTGTTTTTATTTGTTAGCTTTATGGCTCACTATAAAATTCACAGGTTATCAAAGGAGAAGTATGACTCAACTAGAAAAAGAATAAACTTCATTTAAAGATGTATAAAGTGACACAAGGGACCTTGCATTTTCTTTTGGGGAAAAGGTTAGCATCCTTACAATTTTATGGAAGAAATTGCATCCTATTAGGTAGAATAATTATTTTACTATTGTCTTATATGGAAATTAAATACCATCAAATGAGGTATGACCTAACGCAAAGTTTATAAGGAGGTACAAAATGGTGGTTTGTACTGGATTAAGCAGGGAACCAAGTTTCCCAGAGTTTCCTTTTTTGTATAGTAGCAGGATAAAATTGGCCAAAGAGTAATGTGTGTGAGCTATGGAAGGCAAAAGTGAAACAGTAGCCACTGCTCTCTGAAGCAGTCATTTGTCATATCTGACAAATAGACACGGATATGCCCAGCAGGTGCCAGCATGTTCTAACTCTGTTCCACTCCATGCCTAGCATGCCTTCCTGCTGACCAGTCACCTTCAGATGCCTGGCGATAGATGAATGGAGATGGTAACCACACAAAGGCAAGAGCTTCCTTAGACTTCTCCTTGAACTTCCCCTTCAAATCACACTTCAGCAGCTGCAAATGCTTGGTTTCTCAGATTAACTGGTTAGAGTTTCCTTCTCTGGCCCTCCCACAGCCCTTAGACCTTCACTTTCCTGTCTCCTTTCACAATCACGTAAAGCCAAATTCCCATAATTAAGCCCCTATCCCATACAACTCATGGTGACTTTCCTGCACTTGACGATACCCTGATTGATGCACTAGACAAATATAAATTAGTTCAATGGAAAGTTGTCCGTCTTTTAAAAATGTGTATCCAGATACCTATTGGGAGAAAGAACAATCAGAAATCTAGTCTTACCAGAAAAAGAGTAGACCTTAAAAGAACACATGTAGCAAGGTGAGTTGCAAGGGAAAGAAGAGAGGGAAGAAAGGGATACAGCCTGTGGGCTCCTGCATTTCCATGAAACACTGGGTGTAAAGAATCAAATTTACTGAACTTAAAGTATAATAATAAAAAAAATCTATCTATATATATATACAAAGAATCAGATTTATCACTATGTGAAGATGTAGGAATTATTTTTAATTAAAAAATTCTCATCAGAAAGAAATTACTTATAACTTTATGAATAATTTAACATATGTCAATCTAATTCTGTGTTGTTAAAGTAAAGATATCAAAGGAATAGCTCTACTCCCATGTTTCAGAAATTCCTGGTAGTATAACTGAGTAGTCTTTATTAGGGAAGACAGACTTCTCTAAACATATCTGGTGACTCAGTTTGGTGTATGCAAATATGAATATGGATATGCTATGACAAGTGTCCCCACCCCCTCCCCCAACTAATTTCCTGTGCAGAGACAGCTGTGTCACCCATCTCCACTGATTCTGCAAGGGACTTGTCATAAAAACTGAATAAGGCCAAGGTTCAGGCTCTTTAGAGTGGTTACTTCCCTAGGAATAGAAGTGTCAACGTGACTTTTATAACATGCTTTGAGCACGTTATAAAATTTGTAAATTGATAGGCTCATCTTCTGCTCTCCCACAAGCTCAAAACACTGTGAATTTTTTACATCTCCAGAATAGAACCTCTTGCTCTTGTGTGGCGGAGCCATCATCAGTTCTTTTAATGTTCACCACTCTCGGTAGATAAAAGTTCTATTTCATTCTAATTGTTCTATGATATGATTTAGAATCACTTTAATGACACAGTCTTCAGTGTGAGAACTTCTCTTGGTTCCAGCATGCATACCCCAGGAGGAGCAGAATCTCCTCAGGTCTAGGGGACCTAGTGGGCTGTAATACTCTCTCTTTCTCTCTCTTTCTCTCTCTCTCACTCTCTCTCTCTCTCTCTCTCACACACACACACACACACACACAAGCAACAAGGTGAATTCACCACAAATATAAAATTGTGAGCCACCAATAACCCACAATCAGCCTCAAAGCTTGCTGAAAAATCTCGCACTAACACCCCTCCCAAATAAAACAGTTTTCTGTAGCAAGGCATAGAGTCACTCATATCCAATGATTCAACATGGGGCTTGTGATGCATCTGTGCATTGTGTATTTTGTACTTTTGTTGTCTAAATGGTGAGTCTGTGTGCATGTGTATGAGAGCACGAGCGAGAGAGAGACTATTACAGACCACTAGGCCCCATGGACTTGCAAAATCAGCCTTCTTATACATGATTCATGCATGGATCCTCATGTTTTGCGTGTGACCACCCTTCCTAACATCAAGTCATAAATTTCCTACAGACAGATACTGAAATTCAACTATAATGAACGGAGTTCATTTGCTGAGCACTCTTGGCTATAATTTGTCTGTGTACTTTTAAAATTGCAGATACCTTTGTCCGGAATGCCCTTTTCCTACAAAGCCAACTTGTTAATCTTCCTTTATCTCTTAAGGCCCCAGCTGAAGGGCTCTACCTTTGTAGGGTCTTCCCTGACTCCACACTGCTAACCTCCTCAGCAGAACTAATGGATCACCGTTATGCTTTCCTCATAAAAACACTCATGTCTCGTGCTATGTTGTAAGTATATAGTTACACATTTTTCTTTCTCTTCAAATTACCAGGTATTTATGAATGAAGATTGTCCCATAACCATATTTGAGACTCTAAGCCAGGCACATTGCTAAATATTGCATAAAAACTAAATTAATATTGATTGATATATAAATACACAAATAAATCAATGAAAATTTCTTCACTAGAAAGTCTGAATTATATAGGTTTAAAGTATATAATATGCAACACAGACAATTTATCAGTTTCTCCTGAATCAATTATTTTTAATAGACTATATATATACATACATATGTATATATATACTATATGTGTATAGTACATACTATACATATGTATATATATACTATATGTATATACTATATATTATATATGCTATATGTATATACTATATATATTATATATATACTATATGTATATACTATATATATTATATATATACTATATGTATATACTATATATATTATATATATACTATATGTATATACTATATATATTATATATATATACTATATGTATATACTATATATATTATATATATATATACTATATGTATATATATTACATAGACATATATATTTTTTTTGAGATGGAGTTTCGCTCTTGTTGCCCAGGCTGGAGTCCAATGGCGTGATCTCGGCTTACTGCAACCTCCATCTCCTGGGTTCAAGCGATTCTCCTGCCTCAGCTTCCCAAGCAGCTGGGATTACAGGCAGGTGCCATCACGCCCGGCTAATTTCATATTTTTAGTAGAGACAGCGTTTCGCCACGTTGGCCAGGCTGGTCTCAAACTCCTGACCTAAGGTGATCCAGCCGCCTTGGCCTCCCAAACTGCTGGGATTACAGGTGTGAGCCATGATGCCCAGCCAGACTTAATGTATTAATGGACTTAAAACACTTTTAATAGAGGCATTTTAACTTTTCTGAGTATTTGTTTCATTATTCTTCAAGTGAAAATTCAAAATGTTTATTACCATAATAAAATATGCATCAAATATTATTTTATTATGTGTTATCAGTCCTTGCTAAAAATAATTTCAAAAAACATTTTGGAATTTAATCTCAGCTGAAATCACTAGTTGCCCTACTAATTCAGCATTAAAAGTACAATTGATTCTTCTTCCTTCCTCCATCATAGTAAACCATGGGGAAATACATTACCTGTGGACCAAGAGTGAAGATAAGCAGCTATGTTGCCTTTTTGGCATCTTCTGGTAAATTTCATGAATATATTGTCTATAGACTTTACAGGATTATGTCACCGTTTTTCTCTTTTGAAAATACAGAACACACTAAATGATCTCATTCAAGTTCCAATAGAGATAATTTCAGTTCAGAAGGTGATCTAATACAGAAGATAAATTTTGTTGTGCTGATTTGTGTTTTTGAGAGAGGTACCCAGAATTTAAATTTAATTTAATTATGTTGTGCTATTTATCATATAGAAAATATGGGCATATTTGAAGACCATATTAGAATTCAATTGCACTAAAGAGTAAGCTACGAAACTTCTTTGTGTTCTAAATTCATATCATTGTATTAAATAAAACATCATACCCATATGCGTCCCCAATAAGTATCAATCCTTATTAATGTTTTTAAACAAGATGTCTGCCTTAGTATGCCAGTTGACAAGGTGTCAGTCATTTGACCTTATGTAATTCTCTAATTTTCAGCTATCATTTTCTACTATTGCTGTGTGTGTGTGTGTTCTCTAAAAACTTTTCCTTCTCTTTCAATCTCTTGTTTTTTAACTTTTTATGGAGAAGGCATTATAAAATCATCTTTAGGAAATACAGAAACACATTTACAGAAACTTTCTACATTTGAACTAAAGGGGGCAGTGCTTCCTTTCATAAAGATAAATAAGCTTAGAGCTCCACACAGGTTGTTCATATGTAAAATGAAGGGTCTGTGGAAGGACATGAATAAAGCACAGGAGGTTGAAGTCAGATTTGCAGCTTTCTAGGCAGGAGATAAGACAATCTGCATCTTCACAGGAGGGATGGCCATGCTCCTGGGGGCATCAGTGCTGATTCTGTGGCTTCAGCCAGACTGTGAGTTGTGCATGGGAGGTTTGAATATAGTAAGAAAAGCTACAAGGAACACTACAAGGCTGGGAGATAATTGGAGAAGTTTTGTTTTGTTTTCCGGATCTTGATGGTTTCCTGTGGGGACATTAAAAATAAAACTGAAAATCTGTTATTCTCTTTCCAAACAGGGGTAAACAGTCAACAGAAGAATGATGACCAGCAAGTTAAGCAAAATTCACCATCCCTGAGCGTCCAGGAAGGAAGAATTTCTATTCTGAACTGTGACTATACTAACAGCATGTTTGATTATTTCCTATGGTACAAAAAATACCCTGCTGAAGGTCCTACATTCCTGATATCTATAAGTTCCATTAAGGATAAAAATGAAGATGGAAGATTCACTGTTTTCTTAAACAAAAGTGCCAAGCACCTCTCTCTGCACATTGTGCCCTCCCAGCCTGGAGACTCTGCAGTGTACTTCTGTGCAGCAAGCGCACAGTGCTCTCCAGGCACCTGCAGCCCGTACTCAAACCTGCTTTGGGGACTCAGACTGGGAGACACATAGACTCGCTTCCATTTACACATGCCAATATGAGAGATTATGCTTTGAAGTAGGTGAGGCAAGTTGAGCCTAAAGAAAGACTGATACATGACAAAACCTTACAAATAAGTTAAGAAAGTTCCCTGAGTTTTAGAGTGTTTAAGAGTCTAACCACTCTCCTTTTCTACTTTCAGAAAGAGGTTGCTGATTTAGCTAAAGCATAAATCTCTAGTGATGCTTTGTTTCTGCTAGCTTCTGGAATGCGGGTGCCCTGTCTCCCTTGTATACTAGGGGGCAAGGATGTGTGTTTGGAATGGGAAAACCAAGGTCCTACTGCAGGTTCTTCCAGTGATGAACATTTCCTGAGATGTCTTTTCTTTTAGTTTTTCTCAGTGTACAGGCATTTCTGAGCAAAGAATTGCATGTGTGAATACTAACTTATGTATATCTGCATATCTATAAATATTTCTATATGTAGCATAACCATCTGTATCTATATTAAGTTAAACATTCGTTCTTAGCAATGTCTCCAATGCTAAATCATTACCACGTGGATCACACTAGCCTCCTCCCCTTACTTATCCATAAATTCCCACTACAGGGGTGCACAGCCTGGCTCTCACTGTTAACAAAAAGTTATTCAGTAATACTTGTTAAAACACGGTGAGGCAGAATTTATTTAGGACCATCATGATAGGTACAGAGACCACTGCAACAGGATTTTGCAGTGAGGGAGAAGAATTGGATTCAACTCCGAATACAGCATAGACAAGTGGAGATTTCTAGCCAAGGGGCAGATTAGGGGTCAGTGGATAGGAAATTACTAAGAGGAAACATTAGAACCAAGGGATAGTCTGGCTAGACCAGCCAAACAGGATCCTTGCAGAAGACAGGTCAGGGTGATCAGACATCAATCCCCTGGGGGATGATAGAGGATGAGGAGCCCAGTTGGATATGGAGTGTAATCAGATATCAAGCGGAGGATGACGAGGGCAGCAGGGGAGGGTGTGGTTCTTGCTAAACTGACTTAGAAGGATTCTTGTTAAAACTACATTTTACAAGAAAATGTACAGATGAGCTTAGGAGAAACTTCAAAAGCCTGACTAAAGTTTGGTCAAGCAAAGAATTTTTGTCATTACCACCCACTATTCATTTACATCATAGTCCAATTCCATTAAACATGTATAGTGGTATCAGAATTGTTACTTGTAGCTCCATGAGAAAGAATTTTATCACTTAGAGCACACTGTTGTGTAATGGTAATAATGTCTAGATTATGTTGAACTTCTATTATTCCACCTGTTTTGCATGTATTACATTAATTCTTCTAATAATTATTTAAGACAACTATTAGAATAATCCATATTTTAGTAGAGAAAACAGGCTGTGGGAGTTCAGGGATTTGTTCAGTATCACTAACTTTGTGAGAAAAGAGAGTTCATGGTCACTCATGCCCCAAACCACCAAGTATGGGCCCTTCCTACAGAAGCTATTAACAAGTCATGCTTTTGAACAGCTAGCAATCTTTAAAATTCTTATCATACATGTCTTCATCATTGACCTATAGAAGAGTGAGATTATCACTCATAGAGAATTAAAAGCTGAAATTATGGTTTTATATGTATATTGTATTTGTAGATAAATGATTAGAGCTTGTTCCTCACAGGCTGATTTTCTGAAGCTGAAGATCTTTACAGAGAGAAGATACAGAAATTCAGGATACTTCCCAAGAAGCATGCGGAAGCCTCTGTAAATCCCATTACTTATGGCATAATCTGAACAGTGACTTCAGGAACAGTGATTTCAGGAATGCTGAAGACATTTTTTATCAGAATAGGGGTGATATATAGGTTGGCTTAGCTTTGTTCATCTAGGGATCCTTGTGGGGTTGGTTTAACTATAAGGTAAAATCTGTAGGTTGATCAATTCTCTCATATTTAATTCTATATTCCTGAACATGGATGTAAAGCTAACTCAGTGTGAATTAGATTTATTATCCCTCCATATCCAGGAGCACCAATATCACATGCAGTATTTTTTCTGTTCTTTTTATGGCTTACATTGGTATAGGCAGGAAAAATTCCAAGATCCTTTTCGTAATGCACGTAAATGAGAATGAAAAGCAGGAAGGAATATTAAGCATCACTCTTCATACTTAGGGTATTCCATGCACATCTCGGGCTCCTACTCTAGAGCCTCAGCTACTCTGAGCAGAGAGTCTGCTGTGCATACTCTTTGCTCACAGGCATCCAGAGCCTGTTCCCAAATTCAAAGCTGTAGCCACAGATCCCAGCAAAAGGGCAGACACGCGAGAGTTGTTGCTGTCTTCTAGCAGGGTGTAGAGAAATGTAGCTACGATGAATCATTTCATTTCAGTTTCAAAAAATGTGGAAATTCAGCTGAATAATCAGTCCAGTTACTATATATCCCTGCTCTTAACAAAACTATTTCAAATACCTTAAGACAATAAATCAGCTTTTCTTCTTTTCAGATATATTTAACATGATTTATAAATTACTGAAACCCATTATAAAGTTCTGTTACAATGGACATTTTTCACTCTAACTGCTGTTACATTTACCCCATTTCATGTCTTGCATAATGGGGAGGGAATATATTAATGCTGTCTTTATCCTTCTAAAGCAACGTAGAATCATACCAGAAAAAGGAATACTACATTCAATCTCATCCCTGTCTTTTTGTTCAAGCTCTTCAGACTGCTTCAACTTTCACATTTCATTCATTCCCACAGTTATCTATTTACGTTCTTTTCTTATCTAATATATTTGGGAAACAGCATTGGGAAAACATACTTTCTAGCATTGTTCTAGCCATAAGTGTGTTGTGTCTTCTTGAGCAAGTGAATCAACTTCTTAACATTTTATATCAGGACCTTCATCTGTAATGCAAGGGCAATGATTTCCAGCTAACATCGGTCTCAAGTTTTATTCATTTTATCAATTAGCAATTGTTAACTGGTTGCCTGCTGAGTTCTGCATAAATGTTACATGCTGGGAAAAAAAGAGCTATGGAAAAATACATATCTTCTTTGACTAAATTGTAGTCTAGTTAGTTATGTAGGCAGCTAATCAGACAGAGTAAAGTGAAATGAGGCCAACCTTGGGAAAGCAAAGGGAGGTATGAAGGCATATGGAAAGTCCCACCCCCATCTTAGCCTTAGAGGTGAGTCAGGGGCAGCCTGTAGTATGTCTTGCCTATGCTGAGACCTAAAGATTTAGTAGGAGTCAATCAAGTTGAAAGACAGAGAAGGTAGTAAAAGTGATCTTAAAGATAGAAACAGCATGTACAAGGTGACACAGAACACAATGAACCTGAGGACTAAAAGCCAGAATTATGCTATAATTAAAATTATGTATGTCATAAAATGTTCAAACCACCACTGCAAAGCAGTTGTACCTTAATTCTCAGTTTTATAAATGAGTAACCATAATATTTGTGAGGTTACCAAATATGTTTTCTATTTACTTGAGATTTCACTTAATAAGGTTATTCATTTGATACCTAATATGTGTCTTAGACTTGAAAACAATAGATGCAAATGAGAAGAATAAGGCATTGTTTCTGCCTTCAGGGAGCATGTAATATTGCAGAGTGTATTACAATATAGTATAATAAAAGCTATCATAGGAGAAGCGTAGAATATAACCACCTAACAGTGGCATTTAATTTGGAAACTTAAATGTAAGGGAAAGCTGCCTACGGGAAGTAGTATCTAGGTTAAGATCTGTAAAACAGTTAGCCAAAAATGGAGTCAGAGACAGGGTATTACAGAAAAAGATAAATAGAATGTACAAAGACATGAAGTCAATATTTAGGTTAAGAGAATGACATTAAACTAATTCAGGATGGCCAGAGCATACAACTCAAAATGTATGTCAGTAAATATAAAACTAAAGCAATAAGCAGAAACCACTTTGTGAAAATAATTAAAAGCCATTATAAGATGTTTGTACATTACATTATCTTGAAGACAATGATGAGCAGTGAAAGAAATCTGCACAAGTAAATAATATAATGAAATGTCACTGTTTGAAAGATTACTATGAGTTCACATACTTATATATTATATCCATGTGTGGGCATGTATATAAAATATATATATGTAGTAAAATACATATAATACATTTTCCCTTGATACTTCTTTTTTCTCTTAATTCTGGAGTAATTCTTTCTGTAACACAGTATATTGATAGGCCCTTCTTATAGCAAGAAAAAAACCTATCCTGTATGAAAACTTACTCAAGAAAAGCCAAAATCCACAGTTTAATCAACATTCCTCAGTCTGGCCACAGGGGAGAGCTGTTTAAAAAGTATTCTAGGTAGATGCATTTAGTTCTCTGCAGTTAAACTGTTGTGATGTGTCTCTGATTGGTTGCCCCCAAAGTTGCAATATCCTGGAAGCAATTGCAACAGGCCTCATTCTGAGTTCAAAGCAACTCCTGTTAAGGAAGCCCATTCAGAAGCTGACTGGATATTCTGGCAGGCCAAGGATGGAGACTCTCCTGAAAGTGCTTTCAGGCACCTTGTTGTGGCAGTTGACCTGTGAGTACACGATTCAGTCTGGGAGAGGTTGTGATATGACAGCATCTTAATGACAATAGCTTTCTGTCTTGGGAAGGGCCCTTTTAAGAACCAGACCTAAGAAGTGAGGAAAATGTACCGTAATTATGTGGTGATGCTTAATGTTTTAAATAAGGAAGGAAGAGAGAAAATCACCCTTCCCTTCACGAGATTGAGCATCTCATTCGATTGTCTTTCTGATCAGGGGTGAGAAGCCAACAACCAGTGCAGAGTCCTCAAGCCGTGATCCTCCGAGAAGGGGAAGATGCTGTCATCAACTGCAGTTCCTCCAAGGCTTTATATTCTGTACACTGGTACAGGCAGAAGCATGGTGAAGCACCCGTCTTCCTGATGATATTACTGAAGGGTGGAGAACAGAAGGGTCATGACAAAATATCTGCTTCATTTAATGAAAAAAAGCAGCAAAGCTCCCTGTACCTTACGGCCTCCCAGCTCAGTTACTCAGGAACCTACTTCTGCGGCACAGAGACACAGTGATACCCAGGCCTCCAAGACCTGTACTCAAACCTAAAGCTGAGCCGCAGATGCTCCCCTAGCATAGATGCCCACCACAGGAGTATGGGGAACTTACCAGAAGGTTCATCCATGATAAAAGAGAAACCTGAAGGAAATTCATTTGCTTCAACATATAACACAAAAAGCAAGCCATGGCCTTAAGACCATATCTAATTTGGCATTGTTTTCTTGATAATTATTTAATTGCTTTGTTGGTATTATATGATAGATAACTTAGATTCAGAGAAAATTACATAGATTTCAGTTTCAAAAACTGGAGTGAATTCCTATTTGACTGAAGCTATACATATAAACTCCTTTTGGATCTCTGCATTCCTATCTGAAAGTGAAAAGTAACCTCTCTTTCTTCTCCTAGGTACCCACAGCTTGACAATAGGACAGCAAAAAAAAAAAAAAAAAAAATTGTCTGGTTCTTTCTTGGACGTGAGGATTGTACACGGTAGGTATTTAGATTGTTAATCTTGTTACCTATCTGGAAAGGTCACTAGCATTATTTTTTCCAAGGTTTTAAATATCTGTTTTGGGGAAATGGCATTTAGAAGTACTTCAATTTTATATTTGCCTTGCCTTCTCTTCTCATTGAGGTTTATTCTGATTGATTTCCAGCTTTGCCCAAGGGACCCTGAGTTATCTTACCAGTTTGCCCAATGGTCAAGATCCTTCCTCAATTGTTCCTTTCACATCAACCCAGCACAACACTGCATGTAGGAAACACTCAACAAGTTTTAATTGAGTCATATGTTGATAAGAATTGAGAATGGCCAGGTGTGGTGGCTCACGTCTATAATCCCAGCACTTTGGAAGGCTGAGGCGGGTGGATCACTTGAGGCCAGGAGTTCAAGACCAGCTTGGCCAACATGGCGAAAGCCTAACTCTACTAAAAATATAAAAATTAGCCAGGTGTGGTGACACACACCTGTAATCCCAGCTACTTGAGAGATTGAGGCATGAGACTCACTTGAACCTGGGTGGTGGAGTTTGCAGTGAGCCGAGATCACGCCACTGCACTCCAGCCTGGGTGACAGAGTGAGACCCTGTCTCAAAAAAAAAAAAAAAAGAAAAAAAGAAAAAGAAAAAGAAAGAAAAAACAAACAAAATAATCACACACAGAATTCCTTCCACAAGATCAGTCTTCCACAAACATTCTACAACTTGCTTAAATCTTTAGTCTTGTCCTATCAGTCTACCCTAGAACAAAAATTTAATTTTTCAACTTTCTATATTCATTGAGTTTTATCCATCATTTTTTTTACTCAGAAAACTTTAAAATTAACTTTTTAAAAACTTAATTTTAAAAAATTAATTTAAAAAGATCTCCATGCTGGGAAAAATTACTTTCTCTTTAACAGAAACCAGATTCCCATGCCTTCTTAGAAGCTTTTTATCAAAAACACAAAACAACTTTATACACTTTGCATATATAACTGTTTCTCTTATAGCTAGTAGTTTGTTGTTTTGTTTTGTCTTGTTTTGTTTTTGAGATGGAGTTTCGTTCTTGTCGCCCAGGCTGGAATGCAGTGATGCAATCTCAGCTCACTGCAACCCCCGCCTCCTGGGTTCAAGCAATTCTCGTGCCTCAGCCTCCCAAGCAGCTGGGATTACAGGCACACACTACCAAACTTGGCTAATTTTTTGTATTTTTAGTAGAGATGGGGTTTCACCATGTTGGCCAGGCTGGTCTTGAACTCCTGACCTAAGGTGATCGGGCCGCCTCAGCCTCCCAAAGTAATGGGATTACAGGTGTGAGCCACTGCGCCCGGCCATAGCTAGTATAATTATATACATAAACTGTAATGTTACTTCTTAGTAACTCTTATTCTTAGTGAAAAACTGAGGAAGTAAGTAATTCTAATTAAGCACCAGATACAGAGTCCAAGACAAAGGACAATCCCTGGAGCTAGGCTTCACAATCTCCTAAAGGCCCAAATCCAAAAACATAGTTTATAGACAAGTTAAGTGTCAAAAATTGTCATAAAAACACATTTTATGATCTTAAAACATCTAGCAGAGATAATATCTGAACAACAGGCCAATAGACAGACAAAATGTCTAAATTAAATTTGGAAGAGGTTTCTATTTTATTTTATTTCACCAATAATTTTTAAATTGTCTTTATTTGTTAAAGATTACTAAAGTCACATGAACTTAAAGGTGTTTGAGTTAAGGTTTCTATTTTTCTCATAAAATATTTAAGTGTTTACTTTTTAAGTCAATTAATTAGAACTCTTTCACATATTTTGGTTGTGAAACATCACATACACATAACACATATAAATATATAGACACTAGACACACAGACACACAGACAGAAGCAGATCTTGTAGAACTATATGATTTTTTATTTACCAAATTTAAGTAGTTGTTTTTATTCACAGTTTCAATTACCTATTTTATTGCTCTAGGCAACTGTTAGGCGACCCTAAATTTGCATTTCTGAAGTGATAACTCTCAGGTGAAACAAGATAAAGGATTTGCATCTCAAAATACAGACAGAGACAGGGAATTTAAGCTCTTTAAATTTGGTTGTGTTAGAGGAAGATTGAAAACATGGATGCCAAGTAACACAAAATTATATAAATTTATCACGGGCTTTTATAAGGTGACCAATTTCATTTAGATAGGTGCTTTTAATTTAGTCTCTTTTTTATCTGGACCATTGAATTCAAAGCATAACTCACACTAAATCTTGGGTCCCCCAAAAGAGGTAAACACCATGGGGATTAGGACACGCCATGTTTTCACTGTACATTTCACTGCAAATACATTTCCCCTGAGGCTGGTGGGCAACCCATTGCCAATCAGCCCACTCTGCGATCAGCCCATTCCTTAGCCATTGTACACACCAAAGGCAAGCTTTTCACAATAAAAAGAAATTTCTAGTAACTCCAGAAGCAAAAATTTCTGGTAGTGCAATGCAAAGGAGAGAAGAGTTTTAGATCTGAGAAGACACTGTCCATTTTCAACTCTTGGGATTCCCTGAGGAAAAAAATAGCAGTTTCTCCCATAAATGGGTCTGTGGCACATTTTCTGTTTTTTCTTAAGGAATCCCAGGCTGTTAGAATTTGTTGTTGTTGTTGTTTGTTTGTTTGTTTTTGTCTTCTTATGTGGCACTGAGGGTGGCAAGAGGAAGGAAAGGGCGATAGAAAGAGAGAGACAGAGGGAGTGCACATTCCTAGCAGCGGTTTAAGAAGAAATTCAGTTGCCTGAGAAATGTTTACAGAGAGAGAGAGAACAGAGGCCTTAAAGCAGTAAGTAAATACATACATAGCCTAAATATCAGTTTTAATTAAGTCAACTTTTGACTATGGAGCCCTTTAAATAAATCCTGTCAAATCTCTTATTATCAGATTTTAGCTGAGACAAACAGTTGATATTTCTGACTTTTGAACTTCTTTACCAAAAGATATACCCCCAGGTGCCTTAATCAAGGTTATTATATAACCGTGGGTACACAAGCTGTCTCCAAAGAGTTGGCAAGCATTTTTTAACAAGATCCAGAATCACCCCAAAGATCGCTCAGCGAAGGAAAGTTTCATTACCAATAAATGGGGTATAACCCATATTTCTGTCAGGCCATGTGTTTAGAGTCTTACCTTCTCAGCTGACCATATGCACACAAAGGCCCCAAAGCCTCATGTGCCCCCAACAGATGAAAAAAGACAGGAAACAAAAAGCTATGGAAGTGGGAAAGATCAATCATAAAGATCAATAATAAATTGATACCCAACAAAAAAGTCACACAAATATTAAACCGAGAGGGGCTGGATCCCTGACCAGTAATCAGACTCACCCTGTGGATGTGAAAGTGCAGAATTTTAACTATTGGGCCACAGGTGGAGTGGCCTTTGTTTTTCCTTGACCAGAAAGCAAACCCAAGCCTCTGCAGGAATTTTACCTACCAGAACTGGTTTAGGTCAGATTTTTCACTCTTAATTTAGTCAAGAGAATTTTTAAGGCTGGCCATGACACTATTATATGTCCTTTTTAAATGTGATCTCTTTGTTAATTGTTTAGAATAAGAGATCCCTAAAATCTTTAAATTAATTGCACCGAAAGAAAGGATGGGAAAAGGGTCTTGTTGTGTAAATGAAACTTCTCAGGTAGTCAAATTGTTGACCTTTCTTACCCAGCCAGGGTTTTTAGAAGTGAAAATTGACTTTCTCCAGCTGCAGAGTTTCATTCAACATTAGAGGGGGCCAGGAGTTGGTAAAGTCTAACAGAAGGTGGACCAAAACTGAAAAGAAAAACCAGAAAAAGTGATCACAGAATTCACATATAATTGCGATCTCTCAGCATAAGGGTAAGTTATAGCCAACTGACAATAAACCTTGCCCTTCAGCTACCAAATCCCAATATGAAACCAGCTCCTTACCTGGAGATGGACCCAAGCTGAAGACTGCTGTCTGCCATCATGGAAGCAGAAACTACCAGAAAAGGAGTTTTACAGCAGAATAAACCTCAGATCCCAATTGAAAATTTGGGGGAGATCAGGGATCTCTGGAGGGAGAAGTTCCCAGAACTTACATAGCAAATCATCCAATCTGTAAGAGTAATAAAGAGCTCCAGCCGGTACCAGGGCCCCAATAGGAGACCTGCTGGAGGCCAAGAGCCAGACTCCACTCAGAGTCCCTTCGTGGTCACCAACATGTAAGCCAAAAAGTGACTGAGGCAGATCTCTATTGATTAGAGGTTTATTTTGCCAGTCGAGGATATGCCTGGGAAATAGAAACATAAGTCACAGTAGGATCCTTGACCTGTGTTTTTCCAAAGAGGGTTTTGGAAACTTAACTATTTAAGGTGTAAGAGCAAGCAGGAGGGAAAGGGGAAAAAAGGAGGGACAGTAGGCAATGAGACAAGTGGTTACATTCTTATAAGGCTTTGATTAACACTCAATGAATCCACATTTTGTGTGTGAAAAAAAGAGAGTAGAGGAAAAAATCAATTAAGCATTCATCTCATCCTCAGTAAATCTACATTTTACATACGATAGAGTAAGCATGTGAAATTAGAGTTACCTGTTTGGGAACAGAAGGAAGGCAGTGTTTTGTGTGACTCCGTTTCCAACCTTAATTTTCCCCTTGGCATAATAACTTTGTGGTTTTCAGATTTTATTTTTCTTTCCAGATTGAGATTCCCATGACCCCCCATTTGAGTTCAATTAATAATTAATTTGCTAGAACATCTCATAGAACTCAGAGAAACACTTACTTACATTTACTAGTTTATTATAAAGGCATACATATATTACAAAGCATAAGGATGAAGAGATGCAAAGGGCAAGGTATGGGGGAAAGGGGTGCAGAGCGTCCTCACTGTCTTGGGGCACACCGCTCTCAAGGAACCTCCATGTGTTCAGCTATCTGGAAGCTCTCTGAACCTAGTCCTTTTAGGTTTTTATGGAAGATTCATTAAACAGGCATAATTGATTAAATCATTGGCCATTGGTAGTCAACCTTCAGACTCTCTCCCCTTCCCAGATATTGGGGATGGAGCTGAAAGTCCCAACTCTCTAATCATGCCTTTGTCTCTCCCATCCCCCATCCTGAAGTTACCCAGGGGCTGCCAGCCATCCGTTCAGTCAATCATTAACAAAGATAAGACATCGCTTCAGAGTTTCTAAGTATTTTAGGAGTCGTATGTCAGGAAAAGGGGTCAAAGATTGAATATATACTTCATAATATCACAAGTCATAAAACTGAATAGTACTTAGCAACCAAAAGAAATAAAGTACTGATTCTTTCACCAATATGGATAAATTTTAAAGCATTATTCTGAAAGAAATAAGCTAGACACAAAAGAATACCTACCATATAATTGTATACATACGAAATTTTAGAAAAAAGCAAATCTGATCGATGGTGACAAAAATCAGATCAGTAGTTTCCAGGTATTGGGAATGGAAGAAGGACATTGACAACAGTAAGTCACATAGGAACTTAAAAGGTGATAAAATATTCTATATGTTGATTAGGATAGTGGTTACACAGATGTAAATGAGGGAAGAGAGAGACCCTCTCGTACTGTTTTATATTGTTTTATACTCAGTACCTGTTTTAAGAAAAAACAACAAGGAAGTAAAACCAAAGACAGGCAGCCTGACGCCAGGCCCGAAACCAGGTCTGGGCCTGCCTGGCCTAAACCCAGTAGTTAAAAATCAACTCATAACTTAGAAACTGATGTTATTCATAGATTCCAGACATTGTATAGAAGAACACTGTGAAACTCCCTGCCCTGTTCTGTTTCTCTCTGACCACTGGTGCATGCAGCCCCTGTCACATACCTCCTGCTTGCTCAAATCAATCACAACCCTTTCATGTGAAATCTTTAGTGTTGTGAGCCCTTAAAAGGGACAGAAATTGTGCACTTGGGGAGCTTGGATTTTAAGGCAGTAGTGTGCCGATGCTCCCAGCTGAATAAAGCCCTTCCTTCTACAACTTGGTGTCTGAGAGGTTTTGTCTGTGGCTCATCCTGCTACATATACATTTTTCAAAAACAGCTTGACTGTTATGCTTAAAATGTGATATATTATTTCATGTAATTTATATTCAATAAAATTAATCTAAAAAAGATTAATAAAAGGATTTAGATTCTAGATCTCATGATAATCTGTAACACTTCTTTTAACTCAATAGAAGTAATTCCTCTGTTTTAATTTTGGGCAAAAAATAAAAGAAAGAGATAAGATAACAAGAAGTAGGAAAAGGAAGGTAACAAGAGGTAGTATGCAGGAATTAAAATTCATTCTCTTAAATTAGAGGACGATTACATCCCAGGTTCTTCATTTACTGTATACGTGATCTTGAGCATGTGTCTGAGCCTCTGTCTCCTCTCTGTAATAATTTCTCACAAGATTCAACTGTCTCACAAGGGGAGGATTAAGTAATAATATGTACATAATGTTCCTAGAGCATGATAAATGTTCAGTGAATTTTATCTAGTATTTTTATTATTAACCAAAGGTGGTCATTTTAAGTGAGCCTAGGTTCTCTAAATCAAATTATGGGTGGTAATCAACATGGTATGGCAGCTCCAGAATATTTTTTTAATCTGGGCAACTTGAGGGGCTAGGGGTAAAAGTAGAGAAAAAAGATAATTGTATTATTATCTCAGAAACTGTCCAGTAGCCTGGAATCCCAAGTGCTATAGTTTGAATGTTTGTCCCCTTCAAATCTCATGTTGAAATGTGATCCCCAGTGTCAGAATTAGGGTTGAATGGGAGGTGCTTGGGTCATGGAGGCAGATCCCTCTGAATAGATTAATGCTCTGGAGTGGAGAGAATGAATAAGTTCTCACTCTGTTAGTTCCCAAGAGAACTGGTTGTTGAAAAGAGCCTCGTATGTCCCCCTCTCTATTGCTTCCTCTCTCACTTTGTGATCTCTGCAAACAACAGCTCCCCTTTGCCTTCCACCATGAGTGGAAGGAGCCGGAGGCCCTCACCAGAAGCAGATGCTGGTGCCATTCTTCTTGTATACTCTACAAAATCATGAGCCAAATAAATTTATTTTCTTTATAAATTACCCAGTCTCAGTATTCCTTTATAGTAACATAAAATGGACTACGATGATGGGAAATAATATTTTATCAATGGAAGTGATCTTCTATTATAACTGAGCCAAGAGAAATAAAATTGAATAGAATGGAAGTTTTCTTTTGTCTTAACAAAGTTACCAAAATCACACATTGGGAGGATAAGCAGAAGTCTAAGATAATCAGAAAACAGAGTAGACTGCAAAAGAATTGTTTGAAATCATCAATTAAGATGGAAAGGAGGCAGGGAAAACATCATAGTTTCTAGTATCACCCTGAAATTTTGTGTGTAACAATATATGTATGTCTATCTACATCCAAGGATACAAAACCACATCTGTATTTTAAAGTAAAATATATTTTCTTCACTCAAAAAAATATATAGGTATCTTTTTAATCTCAGTCTAAATCTGGGAATAAAATTTTGTGGCCCCAAAATGTCTGGAGAATAACTAAGCAAACTTTGCTAGGGAAAGAGCTGTCTTAAACACATCTAGTGGCTCAATTTAGTCTGTGCAAGTATGAGCAGGATATGATTTAACAACTTGTCCCTGCCCCTGCCTTCCCCACTGTACCACTTTCTTTCCTATTCTGAGACAGATGCATTGCTCACCTCCAATAATTCTAGGTGGAGCTTTATACAAAACTGAATAAAGTAGGTCTCAGGCTCTGAGCAGGCAGTTTTTTTTCCTAGAAATAGAGGTGCCAACATGACTGTTGGCAGCATATTACGGGCACTCATGGCCTCTGCCTTCCTTGGTAAGGACAGTAGCTGATAGGCTGAGGACAGTCTAGGACTGGGAGAAGACAGTGGGGAGGGAAGAGGGGATGAACAACTGGTCATATGTGACAAACACTCAGGTGTAATAAGAAGGAAGAGGAAAGGAACCAGATTCTGACTCCTGCCTTTACTGAAGGTTTAACCCCTGCCCCAAAAGTTCTTGGAAGCTCTCTTACAGGTCAGCTCAGGGGACCAATCTTGTTATTTCTTCTCATTTACGGGATCCAGCATGTCACAGAGGGTCATTCAATCCCAACCAGCAATATCTACGCAGGAGGGTGAGACCGTGAAACTGGACTGTGCATACAAAACTAATATTGTATATTACATATTGTATTGGTACAAAAGGTCTCCCAATGGGAAGATTATTTTCCTCATTTATCAGCAAACAGATGCAGAAACCAATGCGACACAGGGTCAATATTCTGTGAGCTTCCAGAAAGCAACTAAAACTATTCAGCTTATCATATCATCATCACAGCCAGAAGACCTGCAACATATTTTTGTTGTCTCAAAGAGCCCACTGTGAAGAACATGTTAGAAGAGCCTTACAAAAAGATCGGAACTCAACCTGAGGCAATTGCCTATTCCCACATTCTCAGGAAAAACTCACAAACCTTACCCAGGCATTTGTTAGCAGCTGGTGGTTAGGGTGCATAAGATAAGACCCAGAAAGGAAGTCATTGAGTTCATTCCAGGAAGCACACCCTCACAACTGCCTTAGAAACCACACAGGACCACATGTAAAAGCCATACTGCTCGGATGACATCACATCTCTATTTCTTCCCATGGAGTATGCCGTTTAAAAAAGCAACATGTGAAACATGGAATTTTAAAGCTTAATTGATTGTACAGGACTTTATATCTGCTCAACCAAATCTCTTGAGGAAAATAGTATGGAAGACACTAGGGAAAAAAAACACGCATACAAAATAAAGATTTTTATGGCAGGATCCCTAAACACTGGCCAGAGAGATGCAATCTTGGTGAGACTATAGACTGGAGTACTTTTGGACCATGTAGAACAGCAGCCTATTCTGGACCAGATGCATTTTTCTATCTCCTTGGCTACATTTCACTCTAATCCTGCCAACTCCAGCTTGGCTTACCATGCTTTCTGATTCTCATGTTCCTTGCAGCTGGGTCTGCTAGTTGGGTCCTCCCTGCAGTCACATGCCTATCACAAGATTTGGTTAACCACAACAGAGAAAGGAGATATGTGGGGAGACACTGCTACAGATGCTAGGATCTGTAGTTAATCTTGTAGCCACCTAACTAATTCATGGAAACTCCAGAAATGAGACTGCAGTTTCTAAATCCCGTATTTCTTTATTCAGTCCCCAAACCCAATTGTTTCGGTCAAGCACATAAGACTAGTCTTCTGACTCTGATGAGTCATTTTTCTTCCCTACAGATTCTCCTAAAAATCCCTCCTATGAATCCTCTGCTAAGGATGCTAAGTGAACCCTATCACATGTGGCTGCAGGCCTGACACAGTGCCTAAGCCTTAACCTTCCTCTTCTCTTAATTCTGTGCTCTCAGCTAAGGTTTTGACAACTTGCCAACACCAAAACTGGAATACACAAAGTATCTGCCCTTTCTTGGTTGTTACCTATTTCAGAGCAAACTGGACATTCCTCCTCTAAAATTTTATCTATCTGAATTCAAAATAAGATTGCCATACTTGGATTCTTACTCTCATTGGTTCAGTCAATCACTTGTTCATTCAGGAAATGAAAATATGTCCTACGCAAAGCTCTTCAGTTGCTTCTAATTGTTTCAAGAGAAATATCCAAGTTCTCTTGTATGGATTAAAAATTGTTTCTCTCCATATTTTTTTTATTAAGCCCAAGGTAGATAAAAATGTGGAGACTGCTCTGTAGATATTCATAATATCCATAATCGCATCTTCAAAATCTATGAAGAGCCCAGAGAAAACCCATCCGAACCAAAGTAAATTGTAATTATCTAATTCCTCAGCCTTGCTATGTTTCTTGGGATTTCTCCTTATTGAGTCCAAATTTACTACCATGACTCACAACCTAACTGAAGCCACAGAATAAATAACTCAGACACTTGCCAATTCTTCCATCAAGCGGCCCAATAAAGACTCTAGTCTCTGTGAGACTTTTAACAATTAAATATAAAATTCTCTCAACATTTTTTGAGAAAAGACCTTAGTCTTCTTTTAAAAGAAAATGGAAGGGAAAATGGTGCAGCAGAAGGGAAAACAATGCCCTCCTTCTCAGACTGAATAGGAGAGAGGTATTTCAATTATGATCTGTGATGTACAGTGATAATATGATTTGCAATGCTTCTTATGGTTCAGAGAGAATACTGACAAAGGTCTTGCGTTTCTGATACCAATATTTCAATTTTAGATGCAATGGAAGATGGCTAGAGTTCCCATTCCTGCTAGAAAAGAGTGTTGCTTCTGCCTCAATAAGTAAAGCTGGATAAATAGAAAAATTGTAACTTTGCTTTAACCCATCAGAGACCTGAGATTACAGGGCAAATAAGTAGGCTGGACTCCAATGAGGAAAACACTCCTCCAAGGGAGACAGGCAGCTTATGGACTGGCACAACTGCAGCAGAGCATAGAAAAAGAAATGTTATCTGCCATACAAGCAAGAAAAAGAAACTGGGTAAAAGATTGAGTGAGAGCTATCATCAGAATATAGAACTGCTGGGAGTTGCAGACATAGAAGGAGTTTATATTCACTGGTAGGGCCATTTCACAGATGTTGGAAGAAGTAATTAGGGGCAGGGTGAGACACAGAGAGAGCCCCAGCAAAAGTGTAGGCTTACAAGACATAATTGGCAGTCACTGCAGGAAAGCACAAATCCCAGCATTCTTGCCTAAATCAGCCTCTTGCAGGAGGAAAAGCTTTAAGCTGTTGGGGATGGGGCTAAAGACCTGACAGCGCATTCTGTCACCCCCTAGAGCACAGGTTAAGATCCACAACAGCAAAGAAAAGAGTCAAGGGAAAAAAATCTCTACCTTTGGGTAGAGACAGGAAACCATTCTGAGCTGAAGACCCTGTAACAATACCATTCTAATTTTGCTACCTGTAAGAAAGAAGCAGAAAACTCTCTCACACCACACCCACAGAGAAACACGGCAGTGTTTGGCTGCCACAGGGAGGAAAGGTATGAATGCTGAGAAAACCCTAAATCCAAGATCCAAGCACATGGGGCCAGTCTAAGATTGAAGCTGGACCAAGACAACAGAGAAGTCCACCTACCCACACAGCGAGCCTCGTAAGCACTAAATAACAAGCAACGGCAAACTATTGCTAGAGGAGTGAGGGGTGAGGAACAGAAAGAGAGATCCTCTTTGTGCTGAAGGAATTCAGGGACAGCTAAAAGCTGAGGTAGAGTACTCTAAAAAATAGAGATTCATAAATCAATAGTAATTCAAGAAGCCAGCTTTTAAGTGGCTCACAAAGCAGTAAGATGGTTTTAGGAAAACTTATGTATTTAAGGATAGTATTCTAGACCTTCTATTTTCAGATCCTTCTACTTCCTACTTTCTATTCCTGGAGACAACATGGTTGGATACCACTATCAGAGCCATATTAGGCTGACTGAACCACCATTGTGACTTGCATTATATTATCTTCTCTCAATTCTTTATCTCCGTGGAGTTTTACCTTAAAAGATGTTCATTCATATACTTTTATTCACTAGGTATAACTATGAGGAAGCTGATAAAAAGGGATGTTTCTCATTAGTCTTTTGTTTATCTAAGATTTGTTGTAGGTTCTGATACATTAGCAGAATAATATAATCAATACTTTGATTTGTTTATCAGATCTATCTAGGTTCATATGCTACCTCTTTGTGTTCTTGAACTTCTTCGAGTCTTTGAGGATTAAATGAAAGAATTGATATCAAATTAAAAGCACAGTGGTTGGCATGTGGTAGGCACCAATAAGCCACTAATAACAGCTCTTGAAATACGTCATATCCTTTCATTGCTCCTTTACAACATTGAGTTTATAACAGGGAAAAAAAATAAATATTATTGCACAGACTCCAAGAGACTATGGACTGGGACTCGAGTGCATAACATTTTTTACTTGCAATGTACATTGCTGAAATCTAGACACCCCAAACTTCCTGCATCTGCTTAGGCTTTTCAATCACGGAAGACCACTGCACTCTGGCAGGAAAAATATCCAGATGCCTAACTTGGAAAATAAACTAAATTAGGCCATCTTGGGAAATGGCATATAGCTCTTTGGAGGGCAACTTTATATTTACCCTGTCTTCTGATATGTTGAATAAAAGAAGTTTAAATGAGACATCTGCTTTAGTATTTGGCATATTGATATAGGTGAGCTCTTACACTATGAAAGTATATTGGAAAGGATATGACAAAGAATATGCTGCTAAAATCCCTGAAACTCGTTAACACTTAAAAGTGGTTGATTTCAATAATAAATTTCAGGCATCTCAGGAACTGATTTCCTCAAAAGTATGATTTATAGCCATCTGATTGTGAAGGCATGAACATCCTCATTCTTTGACATTAAAGGAGAAACTTGGCAATTAGAGGGAGATGCATGGGCTTGATTCTAGTCAGTAAATGGTTCAGGCAGAGACAATGACATTAATCTGGGGCTTTTTATATTGGAAAACACAAGCCAAGAAAGAAGGTGCAAATATCTTTGCCATAATAATGCTGGTGTTATGATTTCACAAGAAGTAGGTGTGAATATGTTTTACTAATGAAAAAAATGCATTCATTCCTCAGATAGACTACAATGATTGGACTATCAAAGGAAAATTAGCTTTTTAAATACTAAGTTGTGTGTTTTCATGTACACGTATACACAAGTCCTGGCTGTAGCTTTACTGATACAGAGAAAACAAACTGAAATTGAAGCACTGACAATTTTCACCTACCCTCTACCTTTTTCATGGCAGCAGAGCTCACCGTGTCTTGCAAAGTTGTTAATAGCTCAAGCAAACAAAGACCCCATTGATATCCAATATATGTGCAAGATCCCATTGATATCCAATATATTAAAAAGGGACTTTGATCTGAGCTTTATTATCCTGTAGAATGGAGTGCTAATGTCTTGAAGTACAATGGAGCTAGTATACCAAATATCATGAGCTTAAGAACCAATAGAGAGGGAAAAAATGAGACAAGGAAACAAAAATTTTGATGTGTGATGGATTCTATTGGTCTATCCATTGAAGCCTTGCTATATCAAGATACCTTTTAAATTTATACTGTTCAGAACGCATATTGAAACTGTCAGTAAAAAAGATCTCTCTACTCTTCCAACAGAGTCCATTGTATATTTGGTACAAAAATAAAACATCTAAGGTTGTATTCCATTCTTTTGAATGGAAGCTCAGATTAAAGTCCCTTTTAATGTCTTGCACATATATTAGATATCAATGGGATCTTTCTGCCAGCCAGCAGATAATTCCCCAATGCAGATGAAACCTGTTTTAAATAGTACTTCTACTTCAGAAACTAGTTACTAAAAATCTCTTTGGGAAAAAGTCAGGCACATAATTGTGATGTGTGATGGATTTCCTTGTCTCCCAATTTTTTCTCTCCTTGGTTCTTAAACCGATGACATTTAGTATACCAGCTCCATGGTACTTCAGGACCATGTACATCAATCCTCTCTACAGGATAATAAAGCTCAGATTAAAGTCTTTTTAAATGTCTTGCACATATATCAGATATCAGTGGGATCTTTCTGCCAGTTAGCAGATAATTCCTCAATGTGGATGAAACCTGTTTTAAATAGCACTTCTACTTGAGCCTGAGAGGCGGAGGTTGCAGTGAGCTGAGATCACACCACTACACTCCAGTCTGGGTGACGGAGTGAGACTCAGTCTCAAAAAAATAAAAAATATATAGCACTCCTACTTCAGAAAGTAGTTATTAAAATCTCTTTGGGACAAAACTAGGCACACTGCTCTGAATACTTCATGAAATAATAATTTTTCCAACGCCTTTCTGAGCCAGGTGTTCCTGGTGTTACTAGAATGTTGGTCAGTTCTGCACAAATTTACCTAATTTACATCCTAAGATGCTCTACCTTTTCTTTGCAATAGCCATCAATTATGCCCCAATTTTTTAAAATAAATCTATTGATAATATCATGGAACTGGATGAGGAATTCTAATATTAAGTCTGCATGCCAATTCGTCCAATTACTCAGTAGAGGAAAGCCTTCCAATTGAACTTCATTGTGTGCCTGCTTTTGTGCTTCTTTTATTTAAGCATTTTGAATATATGAGACTACTTTAGCCCTTCTATTCCATTCTCATTTCCTTTTCATCCAGTTAAACTTATTGAGAGCCTAAAATAGAAAATTCAACACAGGCAGTCCTAAATTTCCAAAAGAAGATTTGCAACTAATGGTAGAACAAAGAAGCAACAAATTTTTTTTTGGACAGTTTTACATTATTGCCTGGGCTGGAGTGCAATGGCACAATCTTGGCTCACTGCAACCTCCACCTCCCGGGTTCAAGCGATTCTCCTGCCTCAGCCTCCCAAGTAGCTGGGATTACAGGCACCCGCCACCACTCCTGGCTTATTTTTTGTATTTTTTAGCAGAGATGGGGTTTCACTATGTTGGCCAGGCTGGTCTCAAACTCCTGACCTTGTGATCTGCCCACCTTGGCCTCCCAAAGTGCTGGGATTACAGGCGTGAGCCACTGCGCGCAGCTGGAAGAAACAATCTTTATAATGTTTCTTAGGAACACCATCTGGGCTGGGCATGGTGGCTCACCTGTAATCCCAGCCCTTTAGGAGGCTGAGGTGGGTGGATCACTTGAGGTCAGGAGTTCGAAACCAGCCTGGCCAATATGGCGAAACCCCATCTCTACTAAAAAGAAAATAAAAAAATTAGCCAGGTGCAGTGGTGCATGCCTGTAATCCCAGCTACTTGGCAGGCTGAGGCAGGAGAATCGATTGAACCCGGGAAGTGGAGGTTGCGGTGAGCCAAGATCATGCTACTTCACTCCATCCACCCTGGGCAACAGACCAAAACTCCATTAAAAAAAAAAACAAAACAAAACACCACCATCTGTAAGACATGGTTGACCAGAAACAGAATAATGCAAGGTTGGCCAACATAGCCAAACTCTTCTAAGCCATGAGCTCTGCCTCTGTCTCATTGATTGGTGCCTAGCTGCTAGAGTTCAGTGATAAAAGTGAAATCAAAGGCTGTACATTATTTATTTTCTTTGACTATGAGTTTATCTTTCCTGCCAGATCCAAAATGACTAATAAAATGAGAGATACAGTCAGTCTAGACTCGAACCAGGAAGAGTCTCTAAAATCCAAATGAGTAACTCTAATGGTCTCTCTGAAGACTCTGCACTGTTGCTTCTTTAAAGATAAACATTAAAATAGAAACCCGCATCTCTAATAAAATATTTGTCTTTCCCAGACTTTCTTGAGAGTGAGTCTGGAGTGACCATTTTGTGGTAACAGATCATCATTTGGGGTTATTATTTAAGCACCAGTTCCCTCATATTTGTGCTGTCAGTCACTTCCTCAAAGCTTCCCATTCAGTATGTTTTAACTTAAGACTCAGAAGGACACATTGATGATAAGAAGTTTCTCAGTGGGTCTGAAGCTTAGCTCCAACACTGCTTGTCTTAGAATAGAGACTTTATCTTACTAGGACACCAAAGAAGACTGTTACTACATGGCATGAATATCTGCTTCTTCTTTATTTAAAAAAAAAAAGTGCAGAAGGCATCAATGGATAACATTCTCTATGTTTTCATTTGAGTCTAGTAGTTTTCTGTTCTTACTTTGTACTGTCAGGCTTTTTTTCCCCTTATATCTACCTTAAACCCTATAAAGAACTACTACAGATCAGAAACTTTAAATGCAAGATCTGTAACTTAATCACCAGAAATATAAACCAGAAATATGACTTTCTACTAATTTCCTACTTGTGAAGTAAGATGTTCTAAGGGATAGGCAGACATGCCAGCTCTCCTTCTAAAGACAGAATGTGTGTTATACACGTGGCCTTGGCAATTAGAGGTCTGTACACAGGATGGCAGCACTTCATTTTCACATGCAGAGAAATGGAATGTTCAACTCTGTTGGGCAGAGCATAGCTTGTCTCCTATTGGCTTATAGCCAGGTTAAGAAAGAGCAAGAATACACTGAGAATAGAATATGTTCTCCTTCCCAGATAGTATAGATCATTGATGATTCTAATGGCAAGAAGAATGGAAAAGTCCCTGGGAGCTTTATTCAAATTCAGCTGAAGCGTAAGTGCAGGGCTTCTGGAGGGGTCCATCACAAGTCTGGGGAAGGAGGGGGATTCATTTTAGTTCTCCCCTGGTTTTCTGCTGATACTCTGCAAAGAAAACGTACATTCGGAAAATGACCCAGTAACCCATTTTCCTTGTTTCAACGGTGATGACTGGCCAAGAAAAGGATGTGATACAGAGTTATTCAAATCTAAATGTCTAGGAGAGAGAAATGGCCGTTATTAATGACAGTTATACAGATGGAGCTTTGAATTATTTCTGTTGGTACAAGAAGAAAACGGGGAAGGCCCTAATATCTTAATGGAGATTCATTCAAATGTGGATAGAAAACAGGACAGAAGGCTCACTGTACTGTTGAATAAAAATGCTAAACATGTCTCCCTGCATATTACAGCCACCCAACCAGGAGACTCATTCCTGTACTTCTGTGCAGTGAGAACACAGAACTCTTCAGGCACCTGCAACCTGTACTCAAACCTGCAACTGGGAGTCCAGTCACATTCTTTGTCTTTGAACGGGTTTTGGGTTAGAATGGTTTACCATAATGTGCTTGTTTCTAAATTGAAATGAATGCAGAAATCTAATAATTGTGATTACAAAATCATTACGTTTAAAGTAACTCAAAATGAGCTGGTATACTTTGTACTAACTCCAATGTATTCGAGAGGAGAAGTAGTGTTGTTTTAAATAGATATGTAAATAATAAAGATAACCTCATTGGAATATCTGAGGTTGTTTCATTGAGATCCTACACTTCCATAATAAAACAAGGACACCTAAAACTCTTCTGGGTGGCAATCTGCTGGCCTTCAGAAAAAAAAAGAAGATTCATTTTTGAAAAAATTTTAAAATTTTTAAATCATCATATTTTAAAATCATCACACACTCATTATTTATTATAAGTATTTTCATTCCAGGTGTGTCTGCATATGCCCTAATTCATAGCAACTTAACATATCAAGTATATTTATCATATAACATTTATGTCCATTCTCCTCTGGACATCCACCTTCATAGTACGGGTATTCAGTCATAAAAGTTACAATTCAAATAGCCACCAGAAGAATTCCTGCAAAGATTTTTGTCTTGCAACTGTTCTACATTCAGAAAATATTTACCAACTGCCTACTCTGTGCCAGACATTGTTCTTGGTGTTGAGGATTGAGCAGGATGAACAGAAAGACATGACAAAATTTAATTGTATTCTGCTTCTCTCCTCCAATGGATGTCTGCTCACCAGAAATTAACTGGGGAAACATTTTGATGACAGTGTATATCCAGGGATCAATGACACCACCTAGGAGTTTTAGGATTTTGCCCAAATTCACCAATTCCTTCATACCTCATAGGTCTGTATGTACAGTAGCAACAGTGTGATCTTTCTCTTTTTTCCAATGTTCCTTCAAGAAAGGAAGATAATAGTTATTTTAGTCAAACTGTTCAAAATAGAGAAAAAAACCTACCAACTCCCTCATGAGGCAAAAAACATAAACAAAATCTGTAGAGTTAAGAGTAGTGAGGCTGGGCACTGTGGCTCATGCCTTTAATCCTACCACTTTGGGAGGCCGAGGCGGGTAGATCACTTGAGGTCAGGAGTTCGAGACCAAACTTCCCAACATGGTGCAACCCCATCTCTACTGAAAATATAAAAATTAGCTGGGCGTAGTGGTGTGGACCTGTAATCTCAGCTACTCAGGAGGCTGAGGCAGGAGAATCGCTTGACTCTGGAAGGCAGAGGTTGCAGTGAGCCGAGATCCTGCCTCTGCACTCCAGACTGGGTGACAGTGCAAGATTCCATCTCAAAAAAAAAAAAGAGAAAGTATTTTTCATATAAATTATTCTCGGATTTTTGAATAAGTAATAAGTATACATGGTATAAAATAAAAATTATACAAAAAGATATATAGTGAAAAGTAACTTTTCTCTTTACCTCTATCCCCACTATCCCCAACAGCCTAGTATAACCACTGTTACACTGAAATTTTCTTTGAACATTATACATATATACATATATATGATGTGTATATATATATATGTATATATAAAAATGATGTATGTATATATGCTTGTGGGTATATATATAACATATATATTAATGTAGCATACCATCCACACTGTTCTGTTACCATGCTTTCTTACTTAAACTATATCATGGGAAACCATCATTGTCAGTACATGAAGACAGCTACCTTATTATTTTTAATCTAAATTTTCAAACACACACAAACTAGGAAGAATTGTATAATGAACTCCTTTGTATCTTTCATTCAGCTTTAACAACCATCAACTGGCTATCTCCTTCTCTTTAAAGTTTCAAATTTTGCCATTGTGTGACTATACCACATTTTATTTAGTCAATCTCTTGTTGATGGACACAGATTGTGTTCAAATTATTAGTTTTGTTTGTATTGTAGCATAGTTTAGTAAGGTACACAGATCTCAAGAGTACAGTTCAATGAGTTCTGACAAATGTATATGCCATACAACCATCACTGAAACTAAAATATAGAACATTTCCCATAATCCTGAAAACTCTCTCATGTTTCCCCCCCAGACAACACTTCCACTAAAGTAAGAATTGTTCTTATTTACATAAAACCATAGAATAGTTCTGTTTATTCTATTTTGATAAATTGAGATATAATTCACATAGCATAAAATCCATGCTTTTGAAGTATACCATTCAGTTATTTTTAATATCATCACAAATCTGTGCAACCATCACAACTAATTCCTAAACTTTATCATCACTCGCCAAAAAAAAAAAAAATCATACCTATTATAAGTCACTCTCATCCCCTCCTCAGCACATCTGCCCCTAACAACGCCTTAATCTGCTTTCTGTCTCTATGGCCTATCCTAGATATTTCATACATATGGAATTGTACAATATGTGACCTATCATGTCACGTATTGTATGATTCACATATTCACATATTTTACTGGCTTTTTCACTTACCATAATAATTTCAAGGCTGAACATTTGTGACCAAGTTTTTGTGTGGACATACGTTTTTAGTATTTGGGGTATTATGCATAAAAATGGAATTGTGGGTCATATGGTAATTTTATGTTTAACTTTCTGAGGAACTGCCAAACTATTTTTCAATGTGGCTTCACTACTTTACATTACTGTCAGCAGTAAGGGAGGATTCCAATTTTTCCACATTCTCATTTGTTATTGTCCGTCTTTTTAATTAGACCCATCTTAGTAGGCATAAAGTAGTATCCCTCTGTGGTTTTCACTTGCAATTCCCTAATGACTAATAAGGCTAAGCCTATCTTCATGTGCTTAATGGCCATTTGTGTACCTGCTTTAGAAAATGTCTGCTCAAGTATTTGGGCTGTTTTTAATTGGGTTGTCTTCTTATTGTTGAGTTGTAAGAATTCTTTATATGTTCTGGATACTAGACTTTTATGAGACATATGATTGGCAAATAGATGCTCCCATTCTATAGATTATGTTTTTTTTTTTTGCTTTCTTAATAGTGTTTTTTGAAGCAGAAGTGTTCTAAATTTTAATGAAGTCTAATTTATCTATTTTTTCTTTAGTTGCTGGTGCTTTATATGTCATATTTTTAAAAACATTGCCTAATCCAAGGTCACAGATAGTTATATCTATGTTTTCTAAGAGTTTCATAGTTTCAGTTTGTACATTGAGGTTATTGCTCCACTTCAAGTTAATTTTTGAATATGGTGAGAAGTAGGGATGAAAGTTCATTCTTTTGCATGTGAATAATAAGACATTTGGAGTCCCCAACCAAAAGAAAGCTGGGTAGCTATACTAATATCAGATAAAATTGACATTAAACCAGGAATTATTACTAGAGACACAGAGCAACACATCAAAATGATTGAGTACGATCTACCCAGAACAAATTCTATTTTTATATATACCTAATGGCGTAGCTTCAAAATATATCAAACATAAATCAGTAGAGTTGACCAGTAGAATTAAATTGGTAGAATTTATTGATTAAAAGATCAATAAATAATTATACAACCATCATGTCAGGCATTAACACACATCTCTCAGTAGAAAAGTATTGAAATTATGACCAACACAACTAATATCCTTTACCTCACATACATAGATTGAATACTTTACCTCAAAAGAACAGATTACACAAGGAATATTTAGCAAAATTGACTATATTCTGAAACATAAAGTAAGCCTTAATCAATTTCAAAGAACTTAAATCATTCAGAATAGTCATAGTCTCTGACCATATGGTATTAAGCAAAAATTCAATAACAAAATGATTATTAAACTTTATTCCTGTACCTTGCTAGATATAAGGTTAATTTTTCAAATGTATTGCCACAGAAAACACCAAGACAAAACAGAGATTTGGGGTAGGGTAGATTTTTCAGTCTCTGAATAGAGCAATGTAACATACTACTTGCACACTTTATTTCCTGTTTGGGGGCAGAAACACTGAACTTCTCCAGGGACTTTGCACTCAGGCACTCAGAGAAGCATTTTGTTTCCAGGCTTGAGTGAGGAAGCAAATTTCAACCATAAGAAGAAATTCTACCATGCTCTGCCCTGGCCTGCTGTGGGCATTCGTGGTCCCCTTTGGCTTCAGTACCTATGGGCGGCCCCAAACATGGGACTGCAGCTTCCTCGAGAGCTGGGCTGCACAAATTGGAACTGGTGGAGTATTAAGTAAGAGGTAAGGGAAGTGGGGAAATGAAACACTATTTAATTATTTTCTTTGTCCTTTTGCCATAAATTAATCTAGTCCTCATGACCCATCTGAGACATTTAAGGGAACCAACTCTGTTTTCTCCTTTTTCCCATAGGATCCAGCATGGCTCAGAAAGTAACCCAAGTTCAGACCACAGTAACTAGGCAGAAAGGAGTAGCTGTGACCTTGGACTGCATGTTTGAAACCAGATAGAATTCGTACACTTTATACTGGTACAAGCAACAAGCAACCTCCCAGTGAAGAGATGGTTTTCCTTATTCATCAGGGTTATTCTAAGTCAAATGCAAAGCCTGTGAACTTTGAAAAAAAGAAAAAGTTCATCAACCTCACCATCAATTCCTTAAAACTGACTCAGCCAAGTACTTCTGTGCTCTCAGGAATCCCACAGAAGTAGAAATGACAGTGGAAGATAAACAAAAACCTTAGCACTCCATAAAGGAAGCCACCTGCTCAGGAGCTTAGGGAAAATACATGAAGCACAGACAGGAAGAAGGCACATTAGTGGCACAGTTGAGACCTTATAATGTAAACATTCCTCTGTAAAAAAAAAGTTTCCTTATTGAGTTTATATATAAAGCAGCATTCTTTCTTGCGATTTCCAACTATTACGTTTCTATCTTGGGTTAAAGTAAATCACAAAGTGTATTAGTCAGGGTTCTCTAGAGAGACAGAACTAATAGGAGAGTTGTATGTATGAAGGGGAGTTTATTAAGGAGTATTGACTCACACAATCGAAAGGTGAAGTCTCACATTAGGCCGTCTGCAAGCTGAGGAGCAACGAAGATAGTCGGAGTCCCAAAACCTCAAAAGTAGGGAAGCCGACAGTGCAGCCTTCCATTTGCGGTCAAAGGTCCGAGAGCTCCTGGCAAACCACTGCTGTAAGCCCAAGAGTCCAAAAGCTGAAGAACTTGGAGCCTGATGTTTGAGGGCAAGAAGCATCTGGCATGGGAGAAAGATGAAGGATGGAAGACTTAACCCGTCAAGTCCTTCCACATTCCTCTGCCTGCTTTTATCCTAGTTGAGTTGGCAACTGATTAGATGGTGCCCACCCAGATTAAGGGTGGGTCAGCCTCTCCCAGTGCAGACTCAACTATTAATTTCCTTTGGCAACACCCTCACAGACACACCCAGGAACAATACTTTGCATCCTTCAATCCAATCAAGTTGACACTCACTATTAACCATCATACAAAGTGCTTTTTAAAATCGTTGCTGAACAATAAGATTAAATGAACCTATGTATTTCATGAAATTCAGAAGCAGTTTGCTGATTCTCATCTTAAACTGTTGAATTTCCAGATTTGAAGTAGCACTATAAACCATTTTATCTTCCAATCTCATGTTGATTTTAGCAGTTTTTATAAATATTATCATTTTATTTATTTATATATTTTATATATAAACAAATTTCATAAATACATAAATTTACTTTTATGTATTTTAATATATAAATACATGGTTTTTATTGTATTCAGATAGATAAGAAGGCAATTAATGTTTTGAAAGAAATGGATGACCAAAAGAAGCTTTGACTAAAACAAACTATGATTGTTAGAGATAGAAAATAATTCTTGGGTGCTTCATAAGCCCAGCAGAAGGTGGGCTGAGAAACCAATTTATCCACCAAGGCAGGCATATTCCTTAATATGTGGTCAAAGGAGATAAGAGAAAAAGAATATTCCAGAGGACTGAGCCAGAGAATGTAAAAAACAATGGGCAAAATAACTCCCTGCATAGAGTGCAGTCAGAATCTCATCAAAGCAGGGTAGGGGTCTTCATAATAATCCAAAATGAACTAGGTATGTGCAGAAAATAATTAACAGTTTTTGTAACACACTGAGATTTTGGAGTTGATTATTGTAGCAGGATAACCTAGTTACTCAACTTATCTAAATACAGAGAAAAAATGAGAAAATGTTTTCCCAATTTATTTTACAAGGCCAGCATGATTTTGATACTAAACCTGAATAAAGAAATATTTTTTAAAAAATTATTATGGGATAATCTCACTAAATGAACATAAATTCAAAAATTCTAAACAAACTATTAGTAAAAAGAATTAGCAGTTATAAAAAAGAATAACATATCACAACCAAGTTGGGTTTTATATAATCTTTATATAACATCTTAAATGAATTAAAGTAATAATTCTCATTAATAAAAACATGATTTAATAATCTCAACAGTTACACAAAAGTTTTTAATACAAAGTAAATATTCATTCATAATAAAGAGATAAATTTATGGCAAATTAGGAATAGAAAAAAAAGTCCTCATTCTGCTAAATTATATGTATTACAACAAAGCAGACATAAAACTTAATGAAAAATGTTGAATGCTTTATTTCAAGAAAGCCAAAAAAACGCTATCCCTATTAAAAAAGTATACTGAAGGTCCTAACCAATATTTAAGAAAAATAAAGAAATAAAAGTTTTAATAATTAGAAACAAGACTATAAATATTAGCCACAGATGGCATGACTGTGATATATACAATTCCAAATCATTTGCAAATATATATTACATTACTGAGTTTAGCTATGTAGTATTAAAAATTACATTTTATATGAAAGCAATCAGAAATTTTAAATGAACCTTTAAAAAGTGTCCTTAAAATAGGTGGGGTGAACTGGGGGTGGAGGGTTACGCCTGTAATCCCAGCACTTTGGGAGGCCGAGGTGGGTGGATCACGTGAGGTCAGGAATTCAAGACCAGCCTGGCCAACATGGTGAAATCCCATCTCTACTAAAATTACAAAAATTAGCCAGGCATGATGGCCCATGACTGTAATTCTAGCCACTCAGGAGGCTGAAGCAGGAGAATCTCTTGAAGCTGGGAGGCGGAGGCCACAGTGAGCCGAGATTATGCCACTGCACTCCAGCCTGGGCGACAGATCGAGACTCGTCTCAAAAAATAAAAATAAAAAAATAGGTGGGGATGACTAATGGGTACAAAAAAACTGCAAAGAACTAATAGGACCTATCATTTGATAGCACAACAGCGTGTCTATAGTTAATAATAATTTAATTGTACATTTTAAAATCACTAAAAGAGTACAGTTAGATTATTTGTAACACAAAAGATAAATGCTTGAGGGGATGGATACCTCGTTCTCCATGATGTAAACTTTTTTTTTTTTAAGAAAGTCTCACTGCGTCACCCAGGCTGGAGTGCAGTGGTGCGACCTTGGCTCACTGCAACCTCCGCCTCCCAGATTCAAGTGATTCTGGTGCCTGTCTCCTGAGTAGCTGAGATTACAGGCAAGTGCCACCATGCCCGGGTAATTTTTGCATTTTTAGTAGAGACAGGGTTTCGTCATGTTGGCTAGACTGGTCTTGAACTCTGACCTCAAGTGATCCTCCCGCCTCAGCCTCCCAAAGTGCTAGGATTACAGGCGTGAGCCACATGCCTGGCCTCTATGATGTAATTATGCATTGCATGCCTGTATCAAGACATCTCATGTGCCTCATAAATATATACACCTACAATCTACCCACAAAAATTAAAAATTAAAAAATGTAACATGTATATATCCTTAAAATAGCATAAAAATACAAAATACTTAAAAATAAATTTTAAAAGATATTTGCAAGGCCTCAAGACAAAAGGCTATAAAACATTAAAAAACGAAATTAAAGATCTAAAGAAATGGGAGAATTCATCATGTTCATGAATTAGAAGATTTACAATGCAAAGGCATCAATTCTCGCATATTTGGTAAATACATTCAATGAAATCCCCATCAGTATCAAGAGTGTGTGTATATACAAGTAGATTCTAAAATATATAGTTTTTAAAAGTCAGTAATACTCAAAGCACTCCGAGAGAAGAAGAGCAATAGGAGGACTTCCTGTCCCTGACAATAAGCCTATGAAATTTAAAATATGGTATGGAGGAACAGGAACACACTCAGTTACAGATCTCGTCAGCTGTGTGTGTTCCTTTTTCCTCTCATATCCACTCTCCACCTTTCTCTTCCTTGCTGTTTGTCTCACGAGGCTGACCTGAATGAACCGCATCAACAAGGCTCCCGTGCCCTCTGGGTTCTAGTGGATTTTTGCCAGTGAGGTGCCCTTTGCCAAAATCTGAAAAAGGTAGCAGAGTAAGGTCAGGGTGTTTGTTCCTTGGTTCTCCTCCTGAGGAATCTCTTCTAGTGGCAAACATCATTTGTTCAAAGATCACAGCTCCTTTCAACTTGGCTCTCTCCACACACCCATCTCCATTCAGGTTTTGATATTCCTCTCTGCCCTCTGGACATAGGGATAGTAAAACTCCACTGGCCTAAAGATAATAAAATTAAAATGCAGATATTTCTCAAAAATCTCATAGAGAAAGAAGTCTGAGGATTCAGGTAAATGGGAATGTGGTAATGGAATTATCTGATGCAATTTAATCAGATGCCTGCTAACCATACTCCCTGGGAATCCCAGAGGACCCTTCTTTCACCAAGGAATCAGGAAATTCATCATTGAGTGGGTCACCAGAATTCTTAAAATATTTCTTGGAGGCCATCCAACCTCTATACAGTGAAGGCAATGGGGACGGGGTGGGCACATTGCCATGTAATTTGCTTTCCTGGATTTCAGTGGGTGTGACTGGATCCTGTTGCGATAGGTAGTGGAGTTTAACAGATAGAGACAAAGATAGAGTTTAACAGATAGAGAAAGAGTATTAATCAGAGTCTTTTAACATTCAGAGATTTTTGGAGAAAGCTAATTAATCATAGAATACCTAGGAAGGAAAGACAGAATCAGCTTCCTGAGGCTCTACTTTATATTATCTAGATTTTTTGAGGAAAAAAATATAGTTTTAGTAGCTATAATGGAGATTAATAGGCCCTTAATCAATCCCAATTGAGAGGCCTAAAACATCTGAACTGAGGGAATGGTTGCATCCATTTGAGAAAGATTATGCCAGACAATATCAAGCATTGGCAAGGATATGGAACAACTGAAGCTCTTATATATTTATTATGTTGGCGCTAGGAATGTAAAATTGTGCCACCACTTTGAAAAATGGTTTAGCAATTTTTATAAAGTTAAGCATGCATATACTGTATGATCTAATAATTTGCACCCATAGATTGTTAACCAGAAGAAATAAAAAATATATATTCACAGAAGTATTTATGCAGAATGTATTTGTGAATAGAAAATATTCACATAATATTGTTTATTTCTTTTGGATAAATATTCAGAGGTGCTTTATTCATTATAGGTCATAACTGGAAAAAAATAAATAGGAATGAGCAATTTATATATACAATAACATGGATGCATTTTAAAAACATTACATGGAGAAAAATGTCAGATGAAAAGAGTTTATACTGTTTGTATCCATTAATTTGAAACTCGAGGAACAGCAAATTTAATCCATATTGAGAGAAAACAGATCAGTGGTTGTCTGGATTCTGCAGTTGGGGAACCCAGACAACCACTGATTGACAGGTAGAGAACACAGAGGAACAATTTAGGGTGAAATAATTGTTCTGTGTCTTGATTTATACAACAGTTACATGTTCTATAAATATTTCAAAACTCACCATATTTCAAAGCACTTAAAATGGGTTCATTTTACTGCATGTAATTCATACCTCAATAATGTTGATTTTTTTAAAAGAAATAATAAATATTGCTACATGCCAACCAAAATGTCTAAAATTAAAAAAGAAAGACAGAGCTAAGTAATGAAGAGAATTTGAATCTACTCAAACAAGTAAGAGTGTAAATTGATACCAATACTTAGGAAAATTGTTTAACACTAATTTCTCAATTTGAATCATAACTGATGAAAATTATTTTTTAAAAAGCCAAAGTCTGGGAAATCGTCCTAAGGGCATACCAAAAATGGAGAAGCATTTATTCAAGAAAATCTACTGAATCTACTAAATGTCAGCAAACAAAAATAAATAAGATGTGATATATATGTATACACACACACATATAATAGAATATTATTCAGCCTAAAAAGGCTGTTTTTATGGATACAGGTTCCTTTTTGGGATGAGGAAAATGTTCTAAAATTGATTGTGGTGATGGCTGCACAACTCTGTGAATATACTGAAAAACATTGAGTTGTACACTTTAAATGGGTGAATTACATGGTATGTAAATTGTATCTTAATGAAGCTGTTACATAAAAATAAAAAAGCAAAGCAAAAGGTACCACAATATTTATTGTTCTTTTCTAGACTCAGTCTGGATTCTCCATACCATTTGAATATTGCAGTAATGAACACTATATGTTTGACTTTTGTATAATATAACTAGATAACATAGAGACATCTACATTTCATATTTCTTTTCACAATCCCAATTTTTTAAACCTATATATTTATACCAGTACTGAATTATTAGTGTCATTTTTAATCTGACACATATATAACATGACACAGTGAACAGCTGTCAAATTAAGTGTCACTATATGGCTATTGTGTCATATATGGTCATATTCTAATAACCAGTCTTTATGTATTATAGATTTGTGAATTTTTCTTTTTTGGAGGATGGAGAATAAGGTTTGGTGTGCTATTTGAATTTTGCTCACAGATCTAATCTGGCATTTTCACTTTTACTTTTAGATAGTTTTGTTCAATTTGTTTTCAAAAAAATTAGAAGCTTTTTGGGGGAACAATTGCAAGAGTCATTCCATATAATTTCTCCCAATAATGTTATGAGTAAATAAAAATTAATATATTCACCCAACAAATTAAGTTCTCAATCTGTGCCAAATCCTATGCTATACAATGAGTAACATGAGCTTTGGGAACTGCCTTCAAACATGTGAAGAACCAGATACCACAGAAAACAAAAGGAATACATTAATTGAGAAAACATCACATAAATAATTTTGGGGGGGGCTTCCTTTATTTTATTTTATTAAAAAAATTTTAAATAGGTTTTTGGGGAACAGGTGCTGTTTGGTTACATGAATAAGTTCTTTAGTGGTGATTTCTGAGATTTTGGTGCACCCATCACCCAAGCAGTGTTCACTGTACCCAATGTGTTGTCTTTTATCCTTCACCACTCCCACACCTTCCCCCGAGTCCTCAAAGTCCAATGTACCATTCTCATGCCTTTGTGTCTTAGAGTTTAGCTCCCACATATGAGTGAGAATGTACGATGCTTGGTTTTCCATTCCTGAGCTACTTCATGATATGGTTTGGCTGTGTCCCCATCAAATTCTCATTTTGAATTTCCATGTCTTGTGGGAGAGACCTGGTGGGAGGTAATTGAATGATGCGGGCAGGGCTTTCCCATGCTGTTCTCATGATAGTAAATAAGTCTCATAAGATCTGATGGTTTTAAAAGGTGTTCCCCTGCACAAGCTGTCTCATTTTTTGCCTGCCACCATCCATGCAAGATGTGACTTGCTCTTCCTTGCCTTCTGCCATGATTGTGAGACTTCCCCAGCCAGGTGAAACTGTAAGTCCAATTAAACCTCTTTCTTTTGTAAATTGCCCAGTCTCTGGTATGTCTTTATCAGCAGCATGAAAATGGGCTAACATAGCATATTGGTACCAGCAGAGTGGAGCATTGAAGAAAAGATGCTTGAAAATGTGGAAGTGACCTTGGAACTGGGTAACAGGTGCAGGCTGGAACAGTTTGGAGGGCTCAGAAGAAGACAGGAAAATGTGGGAAAGTTTGGAGCTTCCTAGAGACTTGTTAAATGGCTTTGACAAACATGCTGATAGTGATGTAAACAATATCATCTTCCAGGATAAGGTGGTCTCAGGTGGAGATAAGGAACTTGCTTGGAACTAGAGCAAAGGTGACTTTGTCATGTTTTAGCAAAGAGACTGTTGGCATTTTGCCCCTGCCCTGGAGATTTGTGGAACATTGAACTTGAGAGAGATGATTTACAGTATCTGGCAGAAGAAATTCCTAAGCACCAAAGCATTCAAGAGGTGACCTGGGTGCTGTTAAAAGCATTCAGTTTTATAAGGGAAGCAGAGCATAAAAGTTTGGAAAATTTGCAGCCTGACAATGCAATAGAAAAGGAAATCCCATTTTCTGAGGAGAAATTCAAGCCATAATGAAGATCCAAATGTTAATCCTCAAGACAAATGGGGAAAACGTCTCCAGGTTATGCCAGAGGTCTTCACAGCAGCCCCTCCCATCACAGGCCTGAAGGCCTCAGAGGAAAACGTGGTTTCATGGGCTGGGCCCAGGGTCCTCATGCTGTGTGCAGCTTAGGAACTTGGTGCTCTGCATTCTGGCTGCTCCAGCCATGGCTGAAAGGGGCCAACATAGAGCTCAGGCCATGGCTTCAGAGGGTGCAAGCCTCAAGCCTTGGCAGCTTCCACTTGGTGGTGAGCCTGCAAGTGCACAGAAGTCAAGAATTGAGGTTTGGGAACCTCCACCTAGATTTCAGAAGATGTATGGAAACGCCTGGATGTCCAGGCAGAAGTTTGCTGCAGGGGCAGGGCTCTCGTGGAGAACTTCTGCTAGGGCAGTGTTGAAGGGAAATGTGGGATTGGACCCCCACACAGAGCTTCTACTGGAGCACTGCCTAGTGGAGCAGTTAGAAGAGGGCCAACATCCTCCAGACCCCAGAATGGTACATCCACTGACAGTTTACACCACACACTTAGAAAAGCTACAGATACTCAATGCCAGCCTATGAAAGCAGCCAGTAGGGAGGCTGTACCCTGCAAAGCCACAGGGGTGGAGCTGCCTAAGACCATGGGAGCCCACCTCTTACATCAGTGTGACTTGGATGTGAGACATGGAGTCAAGCGAGATCATTTTGGAGCTTTATGATTTGACTGCACCGCTGGATTTTGGACTCGCATGGGGTCTATAGCCCCTTTGTTTTGGCCAATTTCTCCCATTTGGAATGGCTGTATTTACCCAATGTCTGTACCCTCACTGTATCTAGGAAGTAACAAACCTGCTTTTGATTTTACAGGCTCATAGGTGGAAGGGACTTGCCTTGTCTCGGATGAGACTTTAGACTGTGGACTTTTGAGTTAATGCTGAAATAAGTTAAGACTTTGGGGGACTGTTGGGAAGGTATGATTAGTTTTGAAATGCAAGGAAGTGATATTTGGGAAGGGTCGGGGTGGAAGTATATGGTTTGGCTGTGTCCCCACCCAAATCTCATCTTGAATTCCTATGTGTTGTGGGAGGGACCCAGTGGGAGGTAATTGAATAATGCGGGCAAGTCTTTCCCATGCTGTTCTCATGATAGTGAATAAGTCTCACAAGATCTGATGGTTTTAAAAAGAGGCATTCCCCTGCACAAGCTCTCTCTCATTTTTTGCTTGCCACTATCCATGTAAGACATGACTTGCTCTTTCTTGCCTTACGCCATGATTGAGAGGCTTTCCCAGCCATATGGAACTATAAGTCCAATTAAACCTCTTTCTTTGTAAATTGCCCAGTCTCGGGTGTGTCTTTATCAGCACCGTGAAAACAGATGAATACACTTCACTTAGAATAATAATCTCCATTTCCATCTACGTTGCTGCAAATGCCATTATTTTGTTCTTTTTTATGGCTGGGTTGTATTCCATGGTATATATATACCACATTTTCTTTATTCTGTCATTGATTGATGGGCATTTGGGCTGGTTCCATATTTTTGCAATTGCAAGTTGTGCTGCTATAAACATGCATGTGCAAGTATCTTTTTTGTACAATGACTTCTTTTCCTCTGGGTAAATACCTAGTAGTGGGATTGCTGGATCAAACAGTAGATCTACTTTTAGTTCTTTAAGGAATCTCCACACTGTTTTTCATAGTGGTTGTACTAGATTACATTCCCATCAACAGTGTAAAAGTGTTCCCTTTTCACTGCATCCAAACCAATGGGTATTTTTTTAAATTTTTTTATTATGACCATTATTGCAGGAGTGAGGTGGTATCACATTGTGGTTTTGATTTGCATTTCCCTGATAAATAATGAGGTTGAGCATTTCCAGATGCTTGTGGGCCATTGGTATATCTTTTCTGAGAATTGTCTAGTCATGTCCTTAGCTCACTTTTTGATGGGATTGTTTGTTTTTTCTTGCTGATTTGAGTCATTGAGTTAGATTCTCGATATTAGTCCTTTGTCAGATGTATAGATTGTGAAGATTTTCTCCCACTCTGTGGGTTGTCTGTCAACTCTGCTGATTGTTTCTTTTGCTGTGCAGAAGCTTTTTAGTTTAATTAGGTCCCATCTATATATCTTTGTTCTTGTTACATTTGCGTTTGGGTTCTTGGTCATGAAGTCTTTGCCTAAGCCAGTGTCTAGAAGGGTTTTTCTGATGGTATCTTCTAGAATTTTTATGGTTTTAGGTCTTAGATTTAAGTCCTTGATTCATCTTGAGTTGATTTTTGCATAAGGTGAGAGATGAGGATCCAGTTTAATTCTTCTACATGTGGCTAGCCAATTATCCCACAACCATTTATTGAATAGGGTGTCCCTTCCCCACATTATGTTTTTGTTTGGTTTGTCAAAGATCAGTTGGCTGTAAGAATTTGGCTTCATTTCTGGCTTCTCTATTCTGTTCCATTGGTCTAGGTGCCTATTTTTATACTAGTACCATGCTGTTTTGGTGACTATGGCATTAGAGCATAGCCTGAAGTTGGGTAATGTGATGCTTCCAGATTTGTTCTTTTTTGGTTAGTCTTGCTTTGGCAATGTGGGCTCTTTTTTGTTTCCTTATGAATTTTAGGAAATAATTCTAAAACCCCAAAGTGACTGAAAATAATTTGATCTTTCTTAGAGAATTATGGTAGGAAGCTCTTTGCTGAGCCTTGTCACTAGAGGGAGGTAGCACATCCAAAATAATCTATCTTTAGACCTGAAACACAAACCCTGAAAGATTGCTAACTGACTTGGTTCCTAGTTCTATGTAAAGGAGTTCACATATACAGTCACAAGAGGGAGCTGTTACAGCTGCAAATCCAAGCTCCTTCCAGGGTGAGCGAGGTTGTCATTGAGTTGTATAAGGAATTTATGTTCATTCTTTTTGCCACCTTGTGCTTTATTATCTCTTTTTGAGTGTGTGCACAGTTTCAAAGACATGGGTAAGCCCCTTCCCAAATGCAGAGCAGAAGTGACCCTGAATGGGAAAAACAGAGAAGTGATTAATACATAGCTCAATTTTAAATGGTGAAATATTTGTTGCTATAATGGACTGACAAGCTTAGTTATTGTAGCAGAGATAATGAGTAATTTTAATTTTATTCCTTCCCATTTCTTTAATAACCACTTTTGAAAATAACTAGAAAAACCCCTTCATAGTTACTTCTACCTCTCTTATCAAATGGCATCATTTGATTTCCCTCTCCAAACCTCTTCCCATTTCTTCCTTTCTCCTTCAATGTATGCCACTCCTAGGCATCATGAAGATGAGAAAGCATATGTTAAAGAGGAGTTCAAGTGGCATAGAAATAGGGGTCATTCAAGCCATTGGCTCCTGTCTCAAAACCAGAGGCACAGGCAATGTCTATCTAGAAGACACTTAGGACATTATTCCAGGAGCCAGTGTGGGAGACCTGAGTACCAGGAAACTTGGCTTCTAACCTGAGTTCTAAATTTGTTCTTTCCTTTCACACTTAGCACAGCAATATTATACAATTATGAAATTACTTTTGTTATATATGTTGCAAATACCTTCTTTCATTGTGTCATTTGATTTTCAATTTTGCTTATGGTAATTTTTTTTACCAAAAAGAAGTTTCTAACTGTTGAAATTAAATTATATGCTACTGCTTCTTCTAAGACTTACTCGCCCTGAAGATGTGGATAGAAATTCCCTTCTTTCCCTTACAGCACAGGGCTCACATAGACTTCTTGGAATAAAGGGCTGTTCTTACCAGCTCAATGGGTTGTCAAACTACCAATTAATGGTGGGTTTTGTCCTTACCATAATAAGGGATGGGTAATCCCATTTACTTCTTTAGATGTAGCCTACTTGAGTTTCAGCCTTGAAAATGATCTTAATGGAAACTTTCTGAATTAAAGCTAGATTTAAAGAAAATATTCTTCCCCTCTTTTTAAAGTTTTATTTTTTTAATTAACAAATAATAATCGTATTTTATCTTCTTTTAAAATGTATGTTTAAACCTGGGGGTGGGCTAGACCTAACCAGGAAGCTGCTCTATCTTTAGCTGACGATTTCTGGGGAGCACTCAAATTGAAACCTGCCTGATGTGGGATGTGCTGTGGCTGCTGCTTTGTTGCTTGGGACCTCCTCTGACCTAGGATCAGACACAGAGTCTGAGTTCTGGGGCCTGGAACCTCAATGTGCACTTGAACAATGAAGTTGGTGACAAGCATTACTGTACTCCTATCTTTGGGTAAGTGTTCTGGGCCTAAGAAAGCATAGTTTTGTGGCTAATGACAAAAGAGAGTTATCTGCTGTCTCCATGTTTTCTACCATGATTTACCAATTGCGGGAAAAAATTTGTTTCTATGTGTTTCTTGAGGGTGTCTGAGCGTCAGTGTGAGGGGTTGGTCATATCCACTACTCAGAGAAGATTCTCCAGGTCTCACAGCTCTCAAGCTGTAAGGAGTTTTAGGTTCATTGAGCTCAAGGGTCATGGAAGATGGGAAATTTATTTTTGGCCTTGTGGCTCTGCATAGCTCAGGAACAAATAAATACCAGTAATATTTATCTTGTCCTGTGCAACACACATAAAAACACTCAAATATGGAGTAGGGCAGGGAGGACAGTTCTGGAGCAGTGGTGAACCTGACCTTCAGATGCACCAAGAGCTGATGATCCAGAGCTAATCTGCTGTTTTTCAACCCCATAGGTATTATGGGTGATGCTAAGACCACACAGCCAAATTCAATGGAGAGTAACGAAGAAGAGCCTGTTCACTTGCCTTGTAACCACTCCACAATCAGTGGAACTGATTACATACATTGGTATCGACAGCTTCCCTCCCAGGGTCCAGAGTACGTGATTCATGGTCTTACAAGCAATGTGAACAACAGAATGGCCTCTCTGGCAATCGCTGAAGACAGAAAGTCCAGTACCTTGATCCTGCACCGTGCTACCTTGAGAGATGCTGCTGTGTACTACTGCATCCTGAGAGACCACAGTGGGACAGATGGGGCTGCAGCTGTGCAATATCTCCCTGGTGATGAAAGGGAAGGCATCTAACGAGGCCACTGCACAAGAAGGAGCAGAAGTTTAATAGAGGAAGAAGAAAATTTAAAGAAGAAAAGGGAAAAGAAGTAAAGAGGAGGTGGTAAGGAAATCAATGAGAGGATGAGAGGATTAAAGGAATGAAGAAACTGAGAAAGAATAGCTAAGAAGTCCTGAAGAAAGGACTGAGAAGCTTGGCGAAGAGATGAAGAATCACAATTGGAATTCTGCAGTCAGGAAGAAAGGAAATAAGAATTTTCCCGGACGCTTTCTTTTAATCAACTCTTGCTTTCCATGTAGACCTCACTATAAAAGATGAGAACCATCATCTGGTAGTCCCAAAGCATTTCTTCATCTAGCCCCAGGCAAGTGCCTGGGCTTTGAATATTATATCACATTAGTCCTTCCAACCTCTCAATAATTGAAATGAATTTCAGAAATTGATTCATTTGCCCTTACGAAAAATTTGAAATTTTATTTGTTACTCATCCATAGCACATACTCTTGGGATATAGATGATTTCTGGAAGGGAGCAAGAAAGTGGTGGATATGTGAATATTGATTTCATTTTTTAAATCTATGTTGAAATATCTCTATTATTAAACAAAAATACACAAATCTTTTTTCATTGTAAAAGATTCAAACTATTAAGTATGCGAAGTAAAACCTTAGAGGCCCAAACTGACTGTCTCCATCTCCATCCCATTTTCTCTTCAATTCCTACAATAACCCATTTTGACAGTTTGGAGAGTGCCCTGATGATCATACTCCTTTTCATTTATGTGGATACTCACATAAATATCTACCCAATTTTATTACATAAGTTGGAACATACCATGTGTATTTGTCTGCAACTTGCTTTTATTTTTATTTAAAAATAGTTTTTTGAGGTGTGTTCATACCGAGATACATGTGTATGCATGTGTGTATAAACTGGCCTTATTCTTTTCAATATCTACAAATGTTCACAGTATGGTTGTATAATAATTTTACTTACCTCACCTATATCATCTCTACATATATAAATATATATGACATATGTGTATGTGTGTGTGTATGTGTGTGTGTGTACATATTCCTTATAGATTCCGAAGTGGAATTACTGGATCAAAAGATATGCCTATTTTATATTTTTATAGATATTGAAAAGTTGCATTCCAAAATGGCTTTAACAGTCTAACCCAAGATCAGGAACATGGCAAAAATGTCTACTCTCACCGTTTCTATTCAACATTATCCTAGAGAATCTAACCAATGCAATGAGACAAAAAGAAAAAGGAAACCAGGCTTTACCTATTACAGATTTGTGAGTTTTTCTTTTTTGGAGGATGGAGAATGAGGGTTGGTGTGCTATTTGAATTTTTCCCACAGATCTAATCTGGCATTTGCCTTTACTTTGGATACTTCTGTTCAATTTGTTTTCAAAAAATTGGAAGCTTTTTTGGAATAATTTCAAGAGTCGTTCCACATAACTTCTCCTAATAATGTTATGAGTAAATAGTAATTAATATATTCACCCAACAAATTAAATCTTTAATCTGTGCCAAATCCTATGCTGTACAATGAATGACATGGGCTTTGGGAACTGCCTTCAAACATGGGAAGAACAAGATACCACGGAAAACAAAAGGAATATAATAATTGAGAAAACAACACAGAAATAATTATAAAAGCTCCGAAGTGACTGAAAATAATTCTGTCTTTCTTAGGGAATTGTGGTAGCAAGCTCTTTGCTAAGCCTTGTTCCTAGAGGGAGGTAGCACATCCAAAATAATCTATCTTTAGACCTGAAACACAAAACCCTGAAAGATCGCTAACTTGACTTTATGGTAAAGGAAACCATATTTAACTTTTTAAAACGTAACTCATTTTGCAAACAATAGAATTGTCTGTGTAGCAAATCCTATAGACAAAAAAACTACTGTAACCAATAAATGAGTTAGATAAAATTGCAAGATACAAGCTCAATATACAAAATAATGCTGCTTCCATACAGTAACACTAAACAAGCAGAATTGAAATTTATATAGATATGCATATGTATATTTATGCATTTATATATTTATGCATACATATGCATAAAAAACTTTTAACAAAATTTTAGCAGACTGAATCTAACAATATATAAAAAGGATAATACATAATAATGAAGTGGGGTTCGTCTCAAGAATGCAATTTATATGTATATGAATTTCAATTCTGGGCCAGGCACAGGGGCTCATGCCTGTAATCTTGGCACTTTGGGAGGCTGAGGCAGGCAGATAGCTTGAGGCCAGGAATTCAAGACTAGCATGGCCAACATGGCAAAACCCTGTCTCGACTAAAAATGAAAAATTAGCCAGGTGTGGTGGCACACACCTGTAATCCCAGCTACTCAGGAGGCTGAGGCACGAGAATCACTGGAACCTGGGGGGCAGAGGTTGCAGTAAGCCAAGATTACACCACTGCATTCCAGCCTGGGCAACAGAGTGAGACTCTGTCTCAAATAAATAAATAAATAAATTTCAATTCTGGCGTGTGTGTGTGTGTGTGTGTATGAATACACTTGACAGAAGTTGTCTAAGGCCTGTACACTAAAAGATATAAAAAAATTCTGAGATACATTTAAGATCTAAATAAATGGAAAGAGTTATTGTGTTTGCAGATTAGAAGACTCATTAAAATTCTCTCCAAATTGACCTACAGATTCAATGTCATTCAAATCAAAATCCCAACAGAAATTTTCATAGAAATTGACAAGTGGGTCTAAGATTTATATGAAAATGCCAAGGGACTACAACAAAAAAATTCTTTTTAAAAAACACAAATTGAGGAACTTACACTACTGATATGAATACTTTTATAGTTACAATAATCAAGAGACTATGATATTGATATAAAGATAGACAAGTAGAACATTGGAACACAATAAAGGATCCAATAATAGGCCAGCATGTACATAGTTGATTTTCAACAAAAATACCACAACAATTTGTTATGAACTGAATATTTGTGATCTCCCCTGCAAATTCATGTGTTGAAATCCTAACCCCCAGTGTGATGGTATTAGGAAGTAGGTCTTTGAGGAAGTGATTAGGTCATAAAAGTGTAGCCATCTTGAATGGGATTAGTTCCATTCAGTGAAACCCTAGAGAACTTTCTTGTTCTTTCTGTCATGTGAGGACACCACAAGAAGACTGCCATCTATGAACCAGGAAGCAGGCCCTCACCAGACATGAGATCTTCCAGCCCCTCGATCTTAGACTTCCCAGCCTTCAGAACCATGAGAAATAAATTTCCATTGTTTTAGTCACACAGTCTATGGTATTTTGTTATGGCAGCCCAAGCTAACAAACACAATCTCAAAATAAATATGCTGAAAGAAACCGGACGACAGAAAGCAGATACGGTATGATTCTGTTTACATAAAACTCTAGAAAATCTATAGTAAGAGAAGGCAGACTAGAGATTGCCTGGGGTTGAATAGGCATTGGGATGATATATTGGAAAGGTATACAGAAAGGATTAACAAGGAACACAAGGAATAGAGACACAAGGAAACTTTGGGGAGTGGTGCATATGTTCTTTATCTTGATTGTGATGATGATTTCACATTTGTATGACCATGTCAAAAATTATCATATTGGACCTTGTAAACATATGTAATTTGTTATATGCAAAGTGTACCTCAGAAAAGTAGTTTTTAAGAAGGCTCAAAACAAAAGTAGACAGAGATAAATATTGAAAAATAATCACTCTGTACTATAGAGAACAGAATTTTTTACTTTCTCTTAATTATGGAGGGTAAACTTTCTCAAGCATGCAAGGGTAACATATGTTATGAGATTATATTTTCTTTATCTCATAAGTGGCATATTTTAATGCAATAAATAGATCTATGTCATATATAAATTAACTCCAGAAAACCTGTCCATTATTCAGCATTTCTCAGTCTGGCCAAAGAGTGGCAGTGTTAAAAAAGTATTTGAGTAAGATTGTACAGTGCTGAACAAACAGGAATCCAGGTATGGCTTCTGATTGGTGCAATCTCCTGCACCAATGAGCAAAGTAACTTCTGCTGGGGAAGCTCATTCAGTAAAATCTGATTTAACTGTGTTTTCTAAATAGCTAAGGGATGGAGACTGTTCTGCAAGTACTCCTAGGGATATTGGGGTTCCAAGCAGCCTGTGAGTATGTGGTTAGTCTGGGAGAATTGCGAGATGGTGACAGCATCCTGAGGGCAAGAGTCGAGTCATCTTCTGTTCTGGGAAGGCCCGTTTGAGAGCCAGATATGTGTTGGGAAAAAAAATGACAATACTTTGTTTTAATGTGACAATTCTGCTGCCTAGGGGAAGTGGGGAGGGGGAGAAAAACATCATCCCTACCATGACCATGAAAATCTTATGAGGGTCTTCTGTATTTTCTTTACATTGTCTTTTTGAACAGGGGTCAGTAGCCAAGAACTGGAGCAGAGTCCTCAGTCCTTGATCGTCCAAGAGGGAAAGAATCTCACCATAAACTGCACGTCATCAAAGACGTTATATGGCTTATACTGGTATAAGCAAAAGTATGGTGAAGGTCTTATCTTCTTGATGATGCTACAGAAAGGTGGGGAAGAGAAAAGTCATGAAAAGATAACTGCCAAGTTGGATGAGAAAAAGCAGCAAAGTTCCCTGCATATCACAGCCTCCCAGCCCAGCCATGCAGGCATCTACCTCTGTGGAGCAGACACACAGCGATCTTCAGGCCTCTATCAGCTGTCTCCAAACCTGCAGCTGGGCCACATATGCTCTTCTGACATGGGGCTCCTGAGATGTGGCTGGGACCTTTGCCAAGACATGAAGTCTCAGAACGTTGCAATTGTCTTATTGGAAAAATGGGGAGGAGAGTAGGAATGATACAAGGGGGAGCTATATCACTAATCCCAAATTTAATTTGACTTTATTGTCTGGTAGTTATGTTACTTTTTAGTAGATGGAACATCAAATTCGAATGAGAATAGCATGAATTTCAGTGATTTATGCAAGAACTATGCACGAATATTATGTCCCTGTTGTGCCAAGGAACTTCTTTCCCTTTGCTATTTACCCACCTTGTTAATAAAAAGAAATTGTGCATTGTTTGTCAGATTCTTTGTCACAGATTAACATTGTACCAAGAGTGTTAGAATATCCATACTGAGGAGTCATGGGCAATAGTTTTTTCTAAGTTTGTAGTATAGATATAGAAAAAGACAAATGTTTAGACAGATAAATAGGTGATAGATAGATTATAGGAAGCTAGATTATTAGATAGATGATAGGTAGATAGATAGATAATAGGTAGATTAGATAGAGTGAGCTAGAGAGAGGGGAATATATTAATAAATATCTAATGCAGTCTTAGACTGGCCTCCACTTCTCTTCTCATTGTGCTTTCATTCATATTCTAGTCTCAGTATTCTTCTGGCCACTCCAAATTATCAGCTTAAAGAATTGTTTCCCAGTTGTCTCAGTATGAAGTGGAGAAGATGTTACCTTCATCCTCCACTCCACATCAGAATAGTGCTGGCCTACAGTGGGTGTTTACAAGTATTAAACTGATACTGAATAACTGATAAGATCATAGGTTAGAGAGAAATAATTCACATGTTTCTTAAAAGCTATGTGATGTTGACCAACAACTTTAACTTTACAAGTCTTTATTTTCCCTCTGTAAAGATGATACAATCATATTATTTTATTCATATGTTCTTGTTAGGATGAAGTAAGGTTATAGATTACATACATTAAGTATCTGGTGTATTGCAAGCCCTCAATATTTGAGATAGTATTTTTACTATTAATCAAACAATGACAATTTCAAGTAAGTCAAAATTCTCACATAAAAGTAGGGAAGTTGATCAACATGATATGGCTTCAACCTAACTAGGAGATGTTCTATTCTTTAAATTTAGAAAAGAAAGGAGGAATATAATGGTCTCCTGTCATCAGAAACTGCCTAGTGACCTGGTTTCAAAAGAAATTGCATGTAAAATGGGAATGATCATTTATGTTGGCCAAAGTCAGGGAAGATTTTTAAAAATCAAGTCGAATTAGATTATTTTCTGTTTTAAAGAAATGTTACCTATACCACCCACTGGGAGAAAAGTTTGCTAAAATAAACAGGAAAGAGAGAAAAGAGAGAAGCCCATGAAAGAAAATGTTTGGCAACGTGATAAGAGGAAAAGCAAGCAGGAAATAAGAACATAAGTTTCTGATTTTCATGAAATGTTCCGAGTAAAGTGACACTTACCTATGTGTGTAAATATGCATATACATATACAAATCTCAAACTAAAGAGTGTACATATTTGCATTTTAACCTAAAATCAAATTTTTCTAATTGGAAAATAATATAAAGATATTGTCTCCAGTAGAATGCTGGGAATATTAAGGGTTGAAAGTATGAAGATAAGTAGTCATAAGGATGTTTAGAGATTAACCTGCCATGTCCCACAAGGCTGGTAAATCAATGTTATCAGGAGAAAGAAACTGTTAAATTCACATCAGCGTCTTAGGTCAGCCTAAGCAAATAGGTTATATGACATGCAACTTACCCTTCTCCTCTTTTTTTCTCCCCCATCAAAAGCCAATTTCCTATTCTGAGAAAATAATTCACCTTCTCCAGTGATTCTGCCTCAGAATGTCCAGCAAACTGAACAAGGCTGAGCTCCAGACATTGGTTTTGATTCTGGGCAGCAGAAATTTCCCTATGGGAGAAGATGCCAGCATGACTTTTCCTAGTGTGCAATGAGCAGCGACCAGCTCTGTCTACCTCCTTAGGGATAGCCCCTGATAGGAATGCTGGGGTTGAGCAAGAGGAAGAGTGAGTGATTAGAAGAAAGAAGGCAGGAACCGAGTTTCTTTTCCTCCTGCCTTGAGTGCAAGGTTTAGTTCCTTTTCTAACAGCTCTTGGCAATTCCATTATAAATCAGGTGAAAGAATTAGTCTGATTTTTGTTTGTTTGTAGGGCCTAGCATGTCATAGAAAGCCACTAAATTCTAATCAGCAATATCTGGACAGTAAGGGAGATTGTGAACTTAGTTTTCTTACAGGACATAGGTATTATAATTATTATTGTGGTAAAAATTTCCTCCTAGCAGGAAGATAATTTTTTTGTGTGCTTTGGGAATCACCCAAAAGTTTTCCACTGCAAAAACCAATGGAATAAGGAACTGATATTTTCTAAACCTTCAGTAAGTGGCTAAATCTATCAGGCTTATCTATTCACCCCCATAGTGAGAATTCCTTGCAATATGTGTTTGTGGCATTCTTATAGATACCACAGTCAGAAAAAAAGGGGATGGATTAAAATAAGCAGAAAAATTTGCTACATTCTGTGCTAACTTTAACCCCATATAAATGCTGTCTTATAAGTAGATCTATTAAATAGGGCCATCCATAGCCACAGCCTTTCATATTTTAAGTAAATATCACAACATAATATTTTCATCAGAAAACTTGTCTCCAATTTCTAGAGCCTTTTGTTACTCCTGGCACTATCTTAGTAGGACTTTAGTGTGCCAGATATGAGCCTGCTAGATTTAAGTCAAATAATGATTTATTCTTATGCCCTCTTCTCAACTGTGTTGATCAAATTCATAAAACAAATGTTAGCCTTAAATTCCTTACTTCACTTCCTTGTCTTCACTTCCTCTGGGACATAGTCTTGTCTTGTCTAGTCTAGTCTTATGCTGCAGCCTTGACAACTTGCCAAGATAAAAAGTTGAGAGTTACGATAGTAGAAAGAAGAGCTACAGAGAATAAACAGAATGAGAAAGTATAAAATATGATTAAATGGAGTTCCAGAAAGAGGAGAGAGGTGAATGAGGCAGAAACAATATATGAAGAGATAATGGATGAACAGTTTTTAAAAAATGGATGAAAGACATCAATTCACAATTCAAGAAGACAAAAACATTCCTGGGCAATTTATATAAAAAGAAGTGTAGTGTGTGTGCATGCATGCGTGCATGTGTGTGTGTGTGTGTTCAGAGTAAAACAGCAGAAAATCTTAAATCAAGAAGAAAATCTTAAAAATCAAAGGGGAGGGTGAAAAAGACTGTTTTCAAAGAAGTAAACTGACAGCTGACTTCTCAAAAATAACAATGGAAACCAACTGAGATTTGAATTATTTTTCAATGTTCAGAGAGAAAATAACTAACATCAAATTTTGTATAAAGCAGAGCAATTCTTAAAATAAGAAATAAAAGCATTTAAAGAAAATCTGCAGAATTTAACGGTATATTTTCTCTAAAGGAAACTCCACAAGTAGATGGAAAGGATGAGGGCCTGGATTATACTGCACCTGCCACCTGTGTGGTTGTGCTCAAAGAACAGAACCTCTTTGGGATGGTTTCTAAATTTCAAAATAAAGATGAGGTATTCTCAGCTAGTCTCACTGTATTTTATTAATTGAAACACCATATGTGAAACAGAAGACTCTAATGCAAACGTAAAGAGATTTGTTACTAAAACCTTAGGCCAAGCTTTGGATGTTCTTAAAAGGGCAATGGCAGGAATGAGAATGGGGAAAATGATCTATCCTCAGTGAGTTGTAGGACTTAGAGAAAGCCTCAAGGGCTGTCATGTGTTTTATCATGTCCTGAGAAACAGGTTTACAAATATTAGCACCTCCTTACTGTGCTGGATAATTCTATTCGGTTTCCTCCAGCAGTTTGTGATACCCCCTATGTGTAGAGTGGGTATGTAGGGGGCAAACAAAGGACTCATCTGTTCTTGCTGCCGGCAAGCTGTAGCCACATCCAGTTGGCTCTCACCTCCCAAATAGCTTCAAAGAGAAGCAAATCATATTCAACAGTTTTTGTGGCAGAACTCATCCTGCAGAATTTTTAAAAAACTTGTTTTATCTTATGGCCTTTGATAAAAGTTCTGAACCCAGGGCCAGTTGTAGCAGAATATGGACATATGAAAAATCTGCCTTTAGTCTCTTGCCATTCCTTCACCATTGCCTCCCACCTATTCTACTGCTCCTGCTTTTTACCCAGCCCCTAGTAGTATTCTATGATGTTTTAATACTGTTAGCCTGCCCAAAGCCTGATATTTCTAGTCACTGAATTGCTCTTCAGAACCTTCTCCTACACTATTGAGTAGATATATATCTCTCTCCACTCAATCTCTAAAATAAAGTGGTTTATAGCCTAACTTACTCTCAATGTAATGTTCTAGGTTAGGTCTCCCTGGACTGTTTGTATTTGAAAAAGAGGAGATTCCAAGAAAGTCTCCTCAAAGATACATTCTCAGTTACGGTGGCAGTAGGATAGAAAAGATGTTTTTATTGTAAAATACTCTTTCCCACACTTCTCAGCCATAGTGTAGGCTGCCAGTGTTTGGTCAGTTCCCATCAGCAGGAACACAGGCAACATACTGTTAGCAATTTTTTTTTTTTTTTTTTTTTTTTGAGAAGGAGTCTCGCTCTGTCGCCAGGCTGGAGTGCAGTGGTGCCATCTCAGCTCACTGCAATCTCTGCCTCCTGGGTTCAAGCCATTCTCCTGCATCAGCCTCCTGAGTAGCTGAGATTACAGGCATGTGCCACCACACCCAGCTAATTTTTGTATTTTTAGTAGAGACAGGGTTTCACCATATTGGCCAGGATGGTCTCGATCTCTTTGTCAGCAGTTTTTAAAACATATGTTTTTATTCCAATTATTTTAGAAAGATAACATAATTCAGAGGAAAAAATTAAAGATTCTATTGCTTGAAAATACATAGAACAATATTCTATTTAACTACACCTTGTCTATGTTTAGATACACAAAGACTCACCATTGTTACAATTACCTAGAGTATTCAGTACAATAACATCCTGTGCAGGTTTGTAGCCCATAGCCTATCGTGTAGCAGGCTATACCATCTAGACCAGTACGCTCTTATAATGTTTGCACAATGGCAAAATTGCCTAATGATGGATTTCTCAGAACGCCTGTAGTTGAGCAAGGCATGACTATATCAGTAAAACTTCTACATGAAAGAATAGGCAGGGGAACTAGTTTGTCTAAGAAAACATATGAAAATTTAACTGTTTCAGAGGCAGCACAGTCAAAAAAGTAAAGGTTTGTAATCTTAGATATCACTCAAATACTAGTCCTCCTACTTCCAAACCAGATAACCTTGGGCATGTGACTGAATCTTTCTGAACTTAGATTCATCTGAAAAATGAATACCATCTATTTCCTAGAGTGGTAAAGAGTCCCATATGCTACGGGACTTAGGATTGCTTAGGATTGCTAAGGATAGCTTTGGCTATTCAAGCTCTTTTTTGGTCCCATGTTAATTTTAGAATTGTTTTTTCAAATTCTGTAAAAATGAAGTTGGAGATATATGAGATAAACAATACACATTACCTGCCACATATTAACTAATATATATAACAAACATTATGTAAATGACAAAGAGTACTAGGTACTCCCAGGACCTTTTATGATCCTCAGAATATTTTTTTGAGGTAGGTATTATTATCTTGCTTTTATTGATGAGTAAACTGATTTTCAGAGAAGTTAAGTAACTTGTTCAAAGTCATGCAATTAAGAAGTGGCAGAGATGTGGTAGTTTTTGTGATAGAATTCTTTTCCTTTCCCTGCCTGTTGAACGGTCTGCATTTAGACATTTCTTTAAATTATTTTCAGTTTCTTTCCCTTCGTCCCCACAAAGAGCACTAAAGGTCATGGTAAGGTAGGATCATTTGAATCATGTTATGATCTTCCTAACATGAATGACTCCTGGCTTTTCCAGTTAACAGGTAGTGGTCCATTATGCTGTGGTTATATTTTCTGCATGTATGATGATATAACGTAACTGGCCAGGCACAGTGGCTCATGCCTATAATCCCAGCACTTTTGGAGGCTGAGGCAGGCAGATCACCTGAGGTCTGGAGTTCAAGACCAGCCTGAACAACATGGAGAAATGCCATCTCTCCTAAAAATACAAAATTAGCTGGGTGTGGTGGCACATGCCTGTAATCCCAGCTACTTAGGAGGCTGAGGCAGGAGAATTACTTGAACCCAGGAGGTGGAGGTTGTGCTGAGCCAAGATCATACCATTTCACTCCAGCCTGGGCAACAAGAGCAAAACTCTGTCTCAAAAAAAAAAAAAAGAAAGAAAGTAACCAAAAGACTGTCACTTACTTGCCCCATGACCCCTGTTACATAGCCTTTGAACCTCAGTTTGTCATAGAAAAATGAAGAAAATAGTCTCTCCCATCCTATTGCTTTTTACTGTATTAAATGTAAATGTATATGGTTCTTTAAATGTTATGTATTATTCAGATTTATTACAATAATTGTTATGTAAATGACATCTATCTGATAATAGAATGAGGTCTGGAGTTCAAGACCAGCTTGACCAACACGGAGAAATGCCATCTCTACTAAAAATACAAAATTAGCTGGGTGTGGTGGTGCATGCCTGTAATCCCAGCTACTTGGGAGGCTGAGGAAGGAGAATCACTTGAACCCAGGAGGTGGAGGTTGTAGTGAGCCGAGATTGCACCATTTCACTCCTGCCTGGGCAACAAGAGCAAAACTCTGTCTCAAAAAAAAAAAAAAAAGAAAGTAACCAAAAGACTGTCACTTATTTGCCCCATGACCCCTGTTACATAGCCTTTGAACCTCAGTTTCTCATAGAAAAATGAAGAATATAGTATCTTCCATCCTATTGCTTTTTACTGTATTAAATGTTAATGTATATGGTTCTTTAAATGTTATATATTGTTTACATTTATTACAATAATTGTTATGTAAATGACATCTATCTGATAATAGACACAGCATATTACTCTATTAACTGCATATACAGTAAAAACACAGTATAGAAGATTTTAAGATAATCTGTGTCTATTTTTGTATCAGTGACATGCTGTTTGGGTTACTATAGCCTTGTAGTATAGTTTGGAGTCAGGTAATGTGATGGCTTTGTTCTTTTTGCTTATGATTGCTTTGGCTATTTGTGCTTTTTTTGTCCCATATTAATTTTAGAATTGTTTTTTTCAAATTCTGTAAAAATGATGCTGGTAATTTGATAGGAATTACATTGTATCTGTATATTGCTTTGGGTAGTAATTTTAATTATATTGATTGTTCCAATCAGTGAGCATGAAACATTTTTTTATTTGTTGTATCATCTATGATTCCTTTCATCAGTTCTTTGTAGTTCTCCTTGTAGACATCTTTCATCTCTTTGGTTAAATGTATTTTCTAAGTATTTTATTATTTGTATGTGTGGATATCATAAATGGAATTGAGTTCTTGATTTTTTTCTTAGCTTGGTTGTTATTGGTGTATAGAAATGCTACTAATTTTTGTATGTTGATTTTGTATCCTGAAAGTTTACTGAAGTCATTTATCAAGTCTAGGCATCTTTCAGAAGACTGTTTAGGGTTTTCTAGATATAAGATCATGTCATCAGTGAATAGAGATAATTTTAGTTTCTCTTTTTTAATTTGGATGCCTTTTACTTCTTTCTCTTGCTTGATTGCTCTGCCTAGGACTTCTGGCACTATGTTGAATAGAAGTGGTGAGAGTGGACATCCTTGTCTTGTTCCTGTTCTTAGAGGGAATGCTTTCAAATTTTCCTCATTGGGTATGTTGTCATGGATGACCCTTATTTGTCATAGTTTTTTTTTATTATTTTGAGGTATGTTCCTTTGATGCCTAGTTTGTTGAGGGTTTCTATCATAAAAGGATGTTGGGTTTTATTGAATGCTTTTTCTGCATCTATTGAGATGATCACATGGTCTTTGTTTTTAATTCTGTTTACATGGTGAATCACATTTATTGATTTGCATATTTTGAACGTAGACCAATGGAACAAAATAGAGAACCCAGAAATAAAACCATATACCTACAACCAACTGATCTTTGACAAAGTCAACAAAAATACACAATGAGGAAAGGACATCCAATTCAATAAATGGTGCTGGAAAAACTGGATAGCCATATACAGAAGAATAAAACTGAATGCATATCTCTCACCATATTCAAAAATTAAGTCCAGATAAAATAAAGACTTACATGGAAGACCTGAAACTACAAAAATCCTGGAAGAAAAACTAGGAAAAACTCTTCTAGACATTGAACTAGGCAAAAAAATTTATGACAAGATCTCAAAAGCAAATGCAACAGAAGCAAAAATAGACAAGCAGTACTTAATTAAACTAAATAGCTTCTATACGGCAAAAGAAATAATCAACAGCGTAAATAGACAACCTACAGGATGAGAGAAAATGTTTTCAAACTATCAACCAACAAAGGACTAATATCCTGAATCTATAAAAAAACTCAGACAACTCAACAAGAAAAAAACAACCCCATTAAAAAATGGGCAAGGGACATGAACAGATATTTCTCATAAGAAGACATACAAGCAACCAGCAAACATGTGAGAAAATGCTCAACATCACTAATCATCAGAGAAATGTACATCAAAACCACAATGAGATACCTTCTCACATCAGTAAAAATGGCTATTATTAAAAAGTCAAAACACAAACAGATGTTGGCAAGAATATAGGAAAAAAAAGAATGCTTATACACTCTTGGTGGGAATGTAAATTAGTACATCTATGGAAAACAATATGGAGATTTCTCAAGGGATTACAAATAGTACTACTATTCGACCCAGCAACACCACTGCTACCCAAAGGACTACAAATAGAGCTACCATTCAACCCAGCAACAGCACTACTACCCAAAGGAAACAAAATTGTTATGTCAGAAAGACACCTGCTCTTGTGTATTTATCACAGCACTATTTACAATAGTAAAGTCATGAAATCAACCTAAGTGTCCATCAATGTATTATTGTATAAAGAAAATGTGGTATATATACACCGTGGACTACTACACAGCCATAAAAAAGAATAAAACCATATCTTTTGCAGCAACATGGATTTAGCTTGAGGCCATTATCCTAAGTGGAATCACTCAGAAACAGAAAATAACGTACTGCATGGTCTCACTTATAACTGGGAGCTAAACAATGGGCACTCATGGGCATATAGAGGGAAATAATAGACAGTGGAGATTCCAAAAGGGGGAATGATGGGAGGGTTGAAAAATTACCTATTCAGTACAATGTTCACCATTCGGGTGATGGGTACACTAGAAGCCCAGACCTCACCATTATGCAATATATCCATATAACAAACCTGCACACAAATGACCTGCATCGTAGTAACAGTAATAATAAATATCAAAATTATATGCTTGTCTAGGGCACTTACAATGAATGGGGCTTGCAGGACTGGAAGGTGCTCTGTGTAATTCAGCAAGTGAGTAAGAGGTCAGTGAATGTAAAAGCCTAGGACAATATTATACACTGCTGTAGACTTTATAAACACTATATACTTAGGCTACAGTAAATTTGTTTAACAATAATTTCATTTTCTCAAGAATAAGTTAACCTTACCTTACTGTAGCTTTTTTTACTTTATAAACTTTTAATTTTTTTAACTTTTTGTCTCTTTCATAATAGCTTGAAACACAAACACATTGTATAGCTATACAAAACAATTTTCTTTTTTATATCCTTATTTATATCCTTTTTTATATCCTTATTCTTTTTTAATTTTTTTTTCTATTATTTAAACTTCTGTACTAAAAACTAAGACACAAACACACATATTAGCCTAGGCCTACACAGAGTCAGGATCATCAGTATTGATGTCTTCCACCTGCACATCTTGTCCCACTGGAAGGTCTTCAGGGGCAATAACATGCATCAGCTGTCATCTTCTATGATAGCAATGTCTTTTTCTGGAATACCTCCTGAAGGACCTACCTGAGGCTGTTTTACAGTTCAGTTCTTTATAAGTAGAAGGAATATACTCTAAAATAACTATTAAAAGTATAGTATGGTAAACACACAAACAGGTATTACCGTTTATTACTATCATCAAGTACTATGAACTGCACATAATTGTATGTACTATACTTTTATATGATTAGCAGTGCAGTAGGTTTGTTTACACCAACAACACCACAAACATGTGAGTAATGCATTTGTGCTACGATTTTACAATGGCTATAATGTCACTAGGTGATAGCAATTTTTCAGCTCCATTATAATATTATGGGAGCACTGTCATAAATTGTTGATGGAAATACCATTATATGGTGCGTGACTGTATAATAAAACCTGTTCCAGTTTGAACCATTGGCCAGAGACACCAACAGACACAATGTAATCAAGATGTAGACCCCAATGTCAGCCTTCTAGACACAAATGAAACAACACCCAACTTAGCTCAAGAACACTTTCTAAAAGCAGGAGGCTCCAGTTCCCCAATCTGTGGGAACAAGGAGAACCACAGTAAGTGAAGAGGAAAATCATTATCTCTGAACTTGTCAGAAGAAAAATCCCATCAAGGAATGCTTTTGAGAACTTGAATTCTAGGGAAGCCCACTGGAGGCCACAGCCACTACAGAAATATAGAGGCCACAGCTTCCTGACATGCGGTGAGGCCACATCTCCACTCACTTCCTGTCAGTAGGTGTCACTTGAACAAATTTTCTCATGTCCTGGCCAGTCACCTGGAGCCTGGAGGCATGTCTTACTTTGCATACACCTCTGTCAAAATGCGTATCAGACAATTATGTTATAAATTGAATGTCTTAGGTGTTACAGAGTAGGTGTTGTGGAATGAATATTTGTGTATCCTCCAAAGCGCACTCTCTCTTTCTCTCACACACACACACATACATACCCCAAGGAAAGGCCATGTGATATCTCGATTTTAAACTTCCAGCCTCCAGAACTGTGAGATAACAAATTTCTCTTCGTTAAGCCACTCAGTGAGTGGTATATTGTTATGGCAGCCCAAGTAGACTAATACATTAGGTTATTCTGCTACTGACCCACCTTACTGAGCTAGACCTACTTTGGTCCCCACATGTCTCCCCAGGGACACTGTACGAAGCCTGGAGCTATGTCAGTTTTTCTGTACTCAAAAGTAGTGCCCTCCTATATTTACCTCTTGTTTGTTTTATTGGAGTTCCTGGCAGGTATCTCCCTTCTCTTTGAACTGTAAATAGAAATAATCCTTCTTTTTGAAGTAGGATTTTCTTTCTGAACAAGCTTATAATTTCCTACCATTGATCTTCTTGCATGGCAATTTCAATTAAAAAATCATTTGAATAATTATGTTAGAATACACAGCAACTATATTTCTTAGGTTAGTGTAGTTTGCAAACAAAAGGCATATATGTTTTCCTAGTAACCGCAATGTGTGTGTGTGTGTGTGTGTGTGTGTGTGTGTGTGTGTGTTTTAATTTCCCTACAAATCACTGCTAACAGCCAAGGAAAGCGAGGCTATATTCTGGAAGGCCTGGGAGATATAGTCCCCTGTATGTGTATGAAATCTGTTTGGAATCTCATGTACTATATTTAAAATTCATTTGTTACTTTCTATTATGTAATATATTCTCATTTGTTTCAACATACAAAAAATACTTTAAATCGATTATTTAAATGTATGTCATGTTCATCCCAGAGCTTAATGTCACCCTTCATACATTCATACACTACTACTTGGCTTATTCTTCTTGAGGAGAGAGAAATGTATTGCCAGTATTCTCAATAGGTACACTTTCAAGGCTGAGACAGCAGGGCTCATGAAGAACTGGAACAATATAAACCATTGCCGAGACTGCAACAGCAACCATGATGATCTCAAGGAGGCGACAGATCTAATGGTAATGGGAAAACACACCCTTGAGGAATCAGTGAGCCCCTGCAGCTCCCTGTCATCTCTGTGCCTCCCACATTCCATTAAGAGAATATAGAAGGAATGCATTTTTCATCTGAATTAAGGTGTTTTGCTTTCTGTTTATTGTTTCTTTATTTTCCAAAAATATGTTTTTCAATAAAATCTGGCAGTGATTAAAAAGAAAAAAAGCAACATAAGATTGTATTTTTATTTGGTGGAAAGCAGCAATTCATTTTAGGTAACATGCCACCACATAACAGGAATAGAGAAGGTAAGAAAGGTAAATATACATACAGAAGTAAGTCATGGGCAAACCTAAACAACTAAGAAAAAATTAGCAATGAAATTAAAAGGAGAAAAATGCCCAGGGAGGCAGAAATAGATTTTCCTGCTCTCCTACGTCTAAAGAGCACAATGAGATACAAAACACAAATGCCAGTAGATGGCAGAAGCTATTTACCTAAATCAGGATTGAGGCTATGAGGCATAGCTTAGACACTCAGTCCAGATCCTAGGCATTTGAAACTCCAAGTTGCAGAATCAATTTTGATCTTAAAAACCAAACTTCTTCAAAATTCCCTTCTGTAAAAGTGAGGTTTGCTACTATTCAAAGTTTTATTTGCTTCTTAAAGAATAGCCAGAATGTTCCTACCACTGTGTTGATAAGCAAAGGTAACATTGCCTCTATCAGGGGCTTTTTCTCTTTTATTTAAGTCTCTGCCTTTTATGTCAAGGGATTCTTTTAATGTCTAATGATCCTGGGATGCTCATTCATACTTAGTAGGATACAAATCTGAGATTCAAGCAAAGAAAAATGGCTCCAGTTCCTGTTTTTAAATACTTCTTCACTTCACTCTCAACTAAGCCTGATAGCCCAGAATTTCATGTTATTTATTCAATATCTTCAGAAAAATAGTCTTTTTTCCACAAAAGTGGTTGGAAAGGAGTGGACACCTGACTATTCCAGGTCAAATGGGAAATCTGAGAGTATAACTGCAATTTATTCAATTTTACTTTGCATTTTCTCTATAAAGTCTCCTACCCCTACCCTCTCTCTGATTTTCTGAGGTACCAGGTATCCTACTCACTAAGACTTCTGGTGCACCTGAATTTTTGTTGGCATTTGCTTCTGTGGGACCTTAGAATTTGCCTTTCTTCAGTTCATTTAAGTCAGTTACCACTTGTTCATTCACCTGCATTTTCCAAAACATCTCACATGCTGTTATCCTTTGCCTGTTCTATGTGTCCTTTGGGGTTCATAACTTTTAAAAACATTTTTACTCTCATTTCACCAGGTACTCAGAAAGGAATAGAGAAGTATGTTTCCAATTCACCATACTTAATTATCAGTCTAGCCTTCACTGATATTTCAGAGCAATTATAAGGTGCCCAGGGGCAGAGTTTCCATCTGTCTTGTTCATGTCTCCATATTTCTCTAATATATAGTGAATACTCATTAAGTGTGTTCATCAAGTGAAACGGAGAAATAGAAGAAACTGAAAAAGTGGCATGAAAGGACAAAAATTTAGCATTTCACCATATGGGGGCAGTGTCTCTATTCATAGCTAACCTTCAAGGTTAGCTCAAAACCCTGGGAAAACATCTGGTAAGAGATCCGATTGGCTGATATCTGGAACAGAGATTTAAATTTCGTGGTAGTGTTTTTAGTGTCACTCTAAGCCCAAGAGAGTTTCTTGAAGCAAAAAAAAAAAAAAAAAAAAAACCCATTCAGGAAATAATTCTTTGCTGATAAGGATGCTCCTTGAACATTTATTAATAATCTTGTGGATGCAGCTGACATGTGAGTCTTGAGAGTTTCTGACTCTTCCATAGCGAATTCTAAAGGGAAGGAAATTCTGTGAGGGCAGGAGGTGAGGCTTTATCAGAGACTATGAAAAGAGGAAAACAGAAGGAAAAAAGCTAGAGAAGGAGGGAGGAAAGGAAAGACACAGATGCAAGGCTGGGAAGTTTGGTGATATAGTGTCCAACACAGCTCTGAAAAAGGTGATCTAAAGATAACCTTAACCACCTTCTTTTCTCTTTCTAAACAGGGGTCAGTGGTCAACAGCTGAATCAGAGTCCTCAATCTATGTTTACCCAGGAAGGAGAAGATGTCTCCATGAACTGCACTTCTTCAAGCATATTTAACACCTGACTATGGTACAAGCAGGACCCTGGGGAAGGTCCTGTCCTCTTGATAGCCTTATATAAGGCTGGTGAATTGACCTCAAATGGAAGACTGACTGCTCAGTTTGGTATAACCAGAAAGGACAGCTTCCTGAATATCTCAGCATCCATACCTAGTGATGTAGGCATCTACTTCTGTGCTGGGCAGCACAGTGCTCCCCAAACACCTGCAGCCTGTACTCAAACTTGCAGCTGGAACTCTAGTCTCTATGCTGCCTTCAGCTCTTAGTCCTCTTGGCATGAAATGTGATTATGCATGCCACCTTTGCCACTGCCATTCTGTCACCACAAACTCTCCTTTATCCAAGGATTTGTCCTCCAAAGATTGTGCTCTTTGCTTGATGAACTTGCCCCTCTCAATTCATTTTTAGTGTATGTAATAGATTTTCTTAGTTATTTCTGCCACGATATGAGGAGAATTGATCAACACACAGTTACAGTAGAAGATTTTAATAAGTATCTCTTTTAAAATGGATGATATCAATAAAGTAAAAATGAGAGTCCAGAAATAAATCCATAAATCTATAGCCAATTTATTCCAACAAGATCATTCAATGGGAAAAGAATAGTCTTTTCGACAAGTGGTGCTGGGACCACTGGATAGCCACAGTTGGATCTCTACTTCACATATGTACAAAAGTTAACTCAAATGGATTAAAGACCTAAATGTAAGATCTAGAAGTACAAACACTTAGATGAAAACATAGTTGTAAATCTTGGCCACCTTGGACTATGCAACAATCTCTTATATACAACATCAAAAAAAGCAACTGAAGGAAAAATAGATAAATTGGGCATTATCAGAATTTAAATCTTTGTGCATCAAAATTCGCAAAATATTCCACAAAGGAAAATGAAAAGATAACCCACATAATAGAAGAATATATTTGCAAGTCATGTTTATCTGATAAGGATCTAATATCAAGAATATATATTTTAAACTCTTACAATTTAACACTAAGACAAATGCCAATTTTAAAACGGTCAAATGATTTAAACCATCATTGCTCCAAAGAAGACACACAAATGGCCAAAAAGCATGAAAAAAAAGATGCTCAACATTATTATTCATTGGGAAAATGCAAATTAAACCACAATGAGCTGCCACATCACACCCACTAGGATGTTCATAATTTTTCAAAAAGGAAGAATAAGAAAGAGAAATGTAAAATTCTAAGTGTTGGTAAGGACGTGGGGAAATTGGAATCCTCATCCACCACTGGTAGGAATGTAAAATAGTACAGACACATTAGAAAATAGTTTGGCAATTTCTCAAATGACTAAACACAGAGTTACCATTTGACCCAGCAATAATAGTCCTAAATATCTACTTAAGAGGTCGAACATGTGATTTATTTCATTGGCCAGAACCACATCATATGGCCAGTACTAATTGCAAGGGAGGTAGAGAAAGGGAGCATTTAATTTGTCTAGCCTCTAAAAAAGACATGAGCATGAAAGATGTCAATTGCAGATAAAAGTGTTGGTTTAACTATCCAAAAACATCTGCCACATCATACTAGGTCCTCATTCCCCAGAAGAGACTCTGATGATACATCTTGATATTCTTATTACTGTTATTACCCTAACAGCATGTGCCAAAGGAAGCTGAAGTCTGTTAAGAGCTCTACAGAGCTCTTCAAATGTAGTATTGTTTTTGCTCCAAAAAATATACTGTAGGTTTTCTTCCTTGCAACTGTCCTGTGGGAAATCAATATCTCTCAAGAGGCATCAGCTGATGTTTCAGAGGAATGATGGTCCACTGCCCCTGATACTGATATGCGCAGTTCCAGGCAGTTCTTAAAGCTAGTCGCTTTAACGCCTCACAGAGATCATCATGTTCTTAAACATCGATACGGAATTCACTTCCATCTCCCTGAGAAGCAGTCCCCTGAAGACCCAGCACAATATTTCCGTGGGTCCCACATGTGCATATGACATAACCCTCAAAATCCTAGGGATGTTTTAATTGAGGTAATACTTTTACAGCTATTTATAGGATCTCTAGCACAATTCTTTTCTCAGGAACTTAAAAAATGGGTATTAGCTAACCATGAGTAACCATGTTTCCTTCTCCCTTCCCCATTCCCATTCAGCTGTATGTAGGCAAATCTACCATCCCAACTTTCTCGATGTTGAAGCTATGATTTATTTTATAGCAGGCTTTCTATTTTATTTTATTTTTAAACTTTTATTTTAGGTTCAGGAATACATATGCAAGTTTGTTATGTAGGTAACCTGCATGCCACGGGGGTTTGGTGTATGGATTATTTCATCACCCAGGTAATAAGCATAGTACCTGACATGTTTTTCAATACTCACCTTCCTCCCACCCTTCATCCTCAAGAAAGCCTGGGTGTCTGTTGTTCCCTTCTTCGTGTCCATGTGTACTCAATGTTTAGCTCCCGCATAGAAGTGAGAACATGTGATATTTGGTTTTCTTTCCCGTGTTAATTTGTTTAGAATAATGGCCTTCAGCTCCATCCATGTTGCTGCAAAGGATGTGATCTCATTCTTTCTTATGGCTGTGTAGCATTCCATGGTGTATATGTATCACATTTTCTTTATCCAGTCTACCATTGTTGGGCATTTAGGTTGACTCCATGTCTTCGTTAGTGTGAATAGTGCTGTGATGAACATAGGTGTGCATATGTCTTTATGGTAGAAAAATTTATATTCCTTTAGGTATATACCCAACAATGAGATTGCTGGGTCAAATAATAATTCTATAGAAGGCTTTTTAAAGTGTGGGCTAGTATTGAAGGTAAAGATTGCCTTATTCAGTTCTGTATGCTCCTCTGTTCCTGGCACAAAGAAGACAGTCAATTAAAAATGTTTACATGAGAGGCCGGGCACAGTGGCTCATGCCTGTAATCCCAGCACTTTGGGAGGCCGAGGCGGGCAGATCACAAGGTCAGGAGTTCAAGACCATCCTGGCCAACATGGTGAAACCCCGTCTCTACTAAAAATATAAAAAAAAAATTAGCTGGGCGTGATGATGCGCACCTATAGTCCCAGCTACTTGGGAGACTGAGGCAGGAGAATCACTTGAATCCAGGAGGCAGAGGTTGCAGTGAGCCGAGATCACACCACTGCACTCCAGCCTGGTGACAGAGCAAGACTCTGTCTCAAAAAAAAAAAAAAGTTACATCAATTAAGGGGCAAGATGCTAATTAATTCTCATATCTGTGCCTCTGTGCCACCCAGAAATGCAGAAGGAAGCTTATAAACAAAAAACAGTGGGTTAAATTATCTGACCTTCATGGGGACAGTACAAACTATATTCATAAGCAGTAATAGAACATGGCATTATTTACTTTATTGTGGTGTTGTCACATCATCAGTCTCTTACTTCATGTTTCTGGGTTTTGTTTCTTGCTTAAGATCTAGAGAATTAGGCCACTTTATCATTGTCACAAAAAAAGTAGTCTTGGAAACCAAGCGATCCATCACTTCCTCTCAACTGGGCAATTCAGCTTTTCTGGAATGCAAATATGTTTGTCTTCACCTTGAGATTTGAACTTTCTAATTAGTAATTCTTTTTCTTAGTGATCATAAAGATCAAGCAAGAAAGTACTAGTCTTCCTAGACTTGAACACTACCTACATAGATTATATGTATTTTACTAAAAATAGACATTCCTAGACGATGACAAGAAAACTATGTAATAACATTTATGGAATGGAATGCAACCAAAGCTATACTCCAAGTATACTAGCGAAGGCCAAACTATTCTAACAAATATATGCCAAACGTTCAGAGGCTTAATGAACAAAGTTTGTCTTTCTTGTGAAAATCTGGAGCAGATATTCCAGGTCAGCAGATGACTCTGCCTTACATGATCTTTGAGGAACTGAGGTTATTCTCATTTGGGGACTCTGCTATTTCTCAGAGACTTACCATCATATGCAGGGTCATGGCCTGGCTATGCCAGGTTTCACTTAGCAAGGAGATGAACGAGTGGGTATGGAGCAGGCATGACCATTCCCTTAAGAATCATGGACAAGAAATAATAGAATTACTGACTCCTAAGATTATGGACAGCTTTGGGTAGCCTGTCCTTCAATGGTAAGACAATTTTAGAAGTATCTACCATCTTTCATAAAACATGTGGACACTAGTTTTCAGCTATTCTGCACCAGCTCACAAGATGGCGGTGTTCTATTTTGAATGACTTCCATGGGTGATTGAGTGGGAGGGATTTGAATTTAAATAGAACCAAATGACACTTTTTTTAATGGTTGGCTGAATTGCCAAATTGCTATTTCCCTTTTTCTGAGTGTGTGTCTGTGTCCGTGTGTGTGCATGTGTGTGTGCACGCACGCGCACACAGGCAGACGCTAGGGGTAGAGTGTGATGGTTCAAAAAGAAAAGGAAACGCTTAAAGGTAGTGAATCACGTTTTGCCCAGGAAAACACACTTGATAACTGAAGGATGATGAAGTGTCCACAGGCTTTACTAGCTATCTTTTGGCTTCTACTGAGCTGTAAGTAGGGTTACTACAAAGGGTCAGGGGCAACCAGGAAACCTGAGGATTGATCCTCAGAACACTAAAAGGGTAAAGTAGACTTCGTTCTGACTTATTGTCTGGGAGCCCTGTGGTTCCAACGGTGAATAATTATCACATTTTTCTACACAGGGGTGAGCAGTGAAGACAAGGTGGTACAAAGCCCTCTATCTCTGGTTGTCCACGAGGGAGACACCGTAACTCTCAATTGCAGTTATGAAGTGACTAACTTTCGAAGCCTACTATGGTACAAGCAGGAAAAGAAAGCTCCCACATTTCTATTTATGCTAACTTCAAGTGGAATTGAAAAGAAGTCAGGAAGACTAAGTAGCATATTAGATAAGAAAGAACTTTTCAGCATCCTGAACATCACAGCCACCCAGACCGGAGACTCGGCCATCTACCTCTGTGCTGTGGAGGCACAGTGCTCCCTAGTCACCTGCAGCCTGTACTCAAATTCTACAGCTGAGGCTCTGCAACTGTAAGATGGGGAACTTGCTACATTGAGCAAGCCCTCAAAAATAAACTATACGGAAAAGCAGTTATTGGTCAAAATCCTTGTGCCTATGTTGACAATTACTTTTGCAGTTTACTGAATCCTAACTCAGAGTCATATCGCTGCATTCACTACTTTCTCTGTGAGTTTTCTATGGGATTCAGCATAGCTAATATTTCTAGAGGGTCACTCAGGATACTAACTCCATTGCCACACCATTATGCTCTGTGGTAGAAAGCAAGCCCTTTTATCAGGATTGTACAGGCAACTGATATGTGCACTACACATTAGGGAATCTACCTAACAGCTATGGATGTTTTAGCTTCTTTCCCAGGACAGGCACATTTATAGGTAAAGTTCTGCCTATAACATTTTTTTCTGGACCTACTAGCAAAGAACAAAGGGTAGGAACAAGCAGGTATCATTACCTGATTAAAACAAAAGGTTTTCATTCTCAGTTGCATTATTCTTACTTACTATCTTCATTTTAGGATTGTTGCCTATGCTAGGTACTTCATTAAAGTGGTGATAGAATTTTTCAAGATATTACACATTAATTTGTGTACTTAGAACCTTAAGCAGCCTACGAAAAGAAAGGAGTTAGTTGAAGTAAGTTATGTGAAGCTAACATAAACTTAGCCTACTTATGTTGTGATACACTCTTTCAATGAATTATGTAATCATATGTATGGTATTTACAAAGAGCTTGCAATGGAAGCTACCATTTATTGAAAGCAAGTATTATGTACCTTGTATTTTGCAAATATCATCTCATTGAATTCTCAAAATCACTTTGATAAATCATCAATATTACTTTCTGTTAACATATTAGGAAATGCAGACTCAGAAAGATTAAGCCCCCTTCCCCACCTCCTACCCCAGACAAATAACTATAACAGAATCTGAAATCAGGTCTATGACTCCAAACTATACTTTGTCTATTACATGCCCTGATGTTAAACATCACTGAGGAGAAAATTTACCCACAGTGTGACCACAATTATGTGTAAAAAATGTACACAAAATACGAAAATAATGTGTTCAACATGTAAATAAAATAACATTTGCAATAATATGTGAATAAAATAACTCCAAAAGTTTGCAACAGTATTAGTTATCTTTGAATACTGAACTTAATACTGTTCATTGTTTTACTCCTTTATAATATTCTTTATTTTTCAGATTATCTACTATGAACTCAATACTATTATTATTTCAGAAAGAAAAATATACATTTTAAAATACCAAAATCCAAGTAGGCTGAACTGCATTATATGATAATTATCTGACACTCACAGTAGCTTAATTACAATGAGGAATAGACATGACTATACATAGCCAAATGATACAGCATTAAAACAAGATTTTTGATTGCTAGCTCTTCAAATCACTGTAGACTAGTGCTCTCTTCAATTGGGAATGTTTTAAAATTACAAGAAGACCTATTTCTCCTGAGAATTTATTTGAATGACTGTCCTATGGGTAGAATGCTTTAATATCCCATCTCTGTGTAGGAGAGGACAGGCAGTAAAGGCCACCCGTGCTTGTGAGTTCATTAGACAATTCATTGCAAATTGGGCATGGTTTAGGTTTCACTGTCTGGGAAATGGGGAGATAGCCTGAGAAAAGGGCAGGTAAACATTCAAAGAGGAGGGGAAGAAACAGTATAAAAATTAATAGAATGTATCCTGCCATTTTTAGCCTGCACAGTCTTCTGTCCATTTTCCTTTCTCCTTTCTATCTGCATCAAAACCCAGAAATCACACAGTGGATATAAGAGGAAACTCTGACAGTCATTTATTTAAGACTGAAAAATAGAGCGGGAAACCCTATGCAAGATGCCCAGTGTGTCTGGCTCTGCGGTGTGAAGAGTTTATGATTTAGAAGCCAGAGATTTAGCTGTCTTTGATGGGAATGTGCAGTTGGAAGGGGGAAGTTTCTTTTTTCACTCTTTATTGTTTCCTATCCTAATGAGAACCAAACAATTTACATCTCAAAAGATCAACCTGTCACCAAAATAACATGTATTTTAATGCTAAGACTAAATATCCATTTGTTATAAAAGAAAAAACAAATTAAAAAAAATTTATAACCTCAACCTACAGACATTACCACTATTAACTATTTAGCATTTTGCTTTCCATTTCACCTGTATCAATGAACATGAAAAAATAAGTCTGTAGAGATGTGGGGAATTCAACTTATTTCAAACAAAGAGTGTTTCTCAAAGTCACTGCAAAAATAGGTGTTTCTGTTCCTTAAAAAAATCTACATGGTTAAGATCCTCCCACTTTTGACCTGTGAGTTGTGATAAAAAGCTTCCAGAAAACTCATCTCAGTGACTTGATTATGAAATGCTACCAGTTTGAAGCAGTCACTGAAAAACATAAGGTCATAAATCAGGAATCCAGAAGAAACAATGAATAGCAACTTTATCTTCACTTCACTTCTAACACTGGCTCTCCAAGGTAACAGCCCTATCCTGTACCCAGAGTGGCCCTTCTGGAGAAGGTGGCTGGTTTGACCTATGACTGTTGAGTGTTTTACATTACAGGGTCTGGGAGAGCAGACTGGATCAAGCCCCAGGAGACAGAAGTATCTGGAACAGAAGGGAAGACTGTGAACCTACTTTGTAACTATGGTACATCATCGGGGAGCTATCTTGATCTCTGCTGGTTTTGACAGTATCCGAGCCAGGCATCAGAATACATTCTCTACAGAGGGTGGGGATATTCTGGAAAAGGAGATGCCAGTTTTGCCATAGGAAAGTTTATTCAAAGAGTACAGCAAATGCAATAAATGTGTACATTAGAAATCTGGTTCCTGCAGACACTGCCTTATATTACTGTGTGCTGAGATGCACAAAAAGAACACTTTCTAGGGGTGTCATACAAAAACACCAGCGCACAGGAGGAAGGAGAGCATTTGTTATAACCACACTGATTTTTTTTTTTTTTTTTTTTTGCAAAGGCGTCATTGTAAGTGGAAGACACTGGATCAGGAGAATTCTGCTTTAATAATAGCTATATATAGTAATTTGTAGGCAAATAGCTTGAGCTTTTAGAGTTTCCATTTCCTGAAATTAGATAGCAATTCTAATTTGTAAGCTTTTATGAGACATGGTTTTAACACTTGGATTAAGTGCCTAGCATGTCCTACATGCTCAGCAAATGGCAAATATCTTTTCTTGCTCTCCCTCTCTGTCTAACTACTTTGACCTCAAAGGACCCTTCTTTCACTATCTGAGAATCTTCTATATACTCCTACTGGTAAAATAATAACAACAATAACAATAATAATAATAATAACCCTAAAAACATACATGCAAGACCTAGATAGAGAAGGCTTCTTTGCCCAGGGATCAATGGTCATTGTGCCAGGATTTTAAAAGTGTATGCTCAGCAAATCCAACAATCAGAGGACAAAAGGACCCCGAGACACTAGCTCCTGAGTTCATAGACCAGGGCAGTTGGGCATTTATCGTGATCTGAACAAGAACAGGAGAGAGTTCCTCACAAGACTAAAGAGAAGAGAAAGACATTTAGCATTAGGTGGGTGGTGGGAGAGAAGAGAGAAATTCTTGGGAAGACTACAGCCATGTTCTGGTGTCAGATCTGACCTCCCTAGATGGAGAAGAGAGGCCAAGTGAGGCAGTGGGTCCTCAGCCCACCTGGTAGAGGAAGAGGGCACCTGCCACTTCCTGCACTGGTTCAAACTACACTCCTAACAGAATCCTATCATTTAATCTGGATGTGAGCAAAGCCTAGCATCTTTGTTTGGACTGGTGATAGATGAAAGGTAAAAGAGGAAGGAAGATTTAATTTAGAGCCTTATTCAATAGTCTGCAGCAGCACTAGCACCTTACTGCTTGCAGGCCGGAAACCTCAAGGTCTAGCAGTTCACAGTGAAGCCTGCACCACACTGGCTGCTGAGTAACTGCCCCAGTCACTAGGAGGGCTTGGAAATCAGACAGCAAATGACACCTTAAAAAATATGTATAAGGCCATTCTTGCACTGTTATAAAGAAATACCTGAGACTGTGTAATTTATAAAGAAAAGAGGTTTAATTGGCTCATGGTTCTGCAGGTTTTACAGGAAGCATGGTGCTGGCATCTGGTTGGCTTCTCAGAAGGCCCCAGGAAGCTTATAATCATGGTGGAAGGCAAAGGGGGAGCAGGCATGTCACATGGCCAGAGCAGGAGCAAATGAGAGAGAGTGAGGGGGAAGATGCAACACACTTTATTTAAACCAGATCTTGTGAGAACTCACTCACTAAAGCAAAGACAGCACCAAGCCATAAGGGATCCCACCTCCATGATACAAACACCTCCCCCCAGGCCCCACCTCTAGCACTGAGGAATACAATTCAACATGATTTGGATGGGGACAAATATCCAAACTATATCATTCCACTCTTGATCCCTCCTAAGTCTCATCTCCTTCTCACATTGCAAAACACAATCATACCTTCCCAATAGTCCTCCAAAGTTTTAACAAATTCCAGAATTAACTCAAAAGTCCCAAGTCTCATCTGAGACAAGTCAAGCTTTTCCACCAATGAGTCTGTAAAGTCAAAAACAAGTTATTTACTCCCAAGATATAATGTGAGTATACACATTGGGTCAACATTCCCATTTCGAAAGGGAGAAATTGGCCAAAAGAAGGGGCCACAGGTCTCATACAAGTTCAAAACCCAGCAAGGCAGCCATTAAATCTTAAAGCTCCAAGATAATCTCCTTAGACTCCATGTCTCACATCCAGGACACACTGGTTCAAGAGGTGGGCTCCCAAGGCGTTGGGCAACTCCACCTCTGTGGCTTTGCAGGGTGCCACCCCCACAGCTTCTCTCATAGGTTGTTGAGTGTCTGGCTTTTCCAGACACAGGGTGCAAGCTGCCAGTGGATGTACTATTCTGGGATCTGGAAGATGGTGACCCCTTTCCCACAGCTCTACTAGGCAGTGCTTCAGTGAGGATTCTGTGTGGGGCCTCCAACTCCTATTTCCCCTCCACACTGCCCTAGTAGAGGTTATTTGTGGGGGCTCTCCCCATGCAGCAGTCTTCTGCCTTGGCACCCAGGCTTTCTCATACATCCTTTGAATCTAGGTGGAGGCTGCCAAGCCTCTTTCACTCTTACATTGTGTGTGCCTGCAGGCTTAACACCACATGGAAGCTGCCCAGAGTTATGGCTTGCACCCTCCAAAGTGGCAGCCTGAGATGTACCTGGGCCCCTTTGGGTCATAGCCAGAGTGGCCAGGATGTGGGGAGCAGTGTCTTGAGGCTGTGCAGGGCAGCAGAGTCCTGGACCTGGCCCCTGAAACCATTCTCTCCTCCTAGGCCTCAAGGCCTGTGATGGGAGGGGCTGCTGCAAACATCTCTGAAATGCCTTTGAAGCCTTTTCCCCATTGTCTTGGCTATCTGGCTGTCTTTTAGTTATGCAAATATCTCTGGCAAGCAGTTGCTTTGAGGCTTGCTTGAATTCCTTTCCTGAAAAATCTTTTTCTTTCTCTCCCACATGGCTAGGCTACAAATTTTCCAAACTTTTACACTCTGCTTTTTAAAATACAAGTTCTAGCTTTAAGCCATTTCTTTGCTACTGCATCTGAGCATAGGTTATTAGAAGCAGCCAGGTCACCTCTTGAATGCTTCACTGCTTAGAAATTGCTTCCACCAGATATACTAAATTATCACTCTGAAGTTCAAACTTCCACAAATCCCTAGGGCAGGGGCACAATGCAGCCAAGTTTGTTGCTAAGGAATAGCATGGGTGACATTCGCTCCAATTGCCAATAAGTTCCTCATTTCCATCTGAAATTTCATCAGCCTGGCCTTCATTGCCCATATCACTATCAGCATTTTGGTCACAATCATTTAACCAGTCTCTAAGAGGTTCCAAATTTTCGCTCATCTTCCTGTCTTCTGAGCCCTCCAAATTTCTCAGACCTCTGCCTGTTACCTGGTTCCAAAGCTGCTTCCACATTTTCAGGTATCTTTATAGTAATGCCCCACTTCTCAGTACCAATTTGCTTTATTAGGCCTTTCATGCACCACTATAAAGAAATACCTGAAACTTGGTAATTTATTTAAAAAAAAGGTTTAATTGGCTTATGGCTCTTCAGGCTTTACAGGAAGCATGGTGCTGGCATCTGGGGAGGCCTAAGGAAGCTTTCAATCATGACAGAAGGCAAAAGGGGAGCAGGCATGTCACATGGCCAGAACAGACACAAGACAGAGAGAGTGAGGGGGAGGAGCCACACACTTTTAAATGACTAGATCTTGTGAGAACTCACTCACTATTGCAAAGACAGCACCAAGTCATGAGGGATCTGCCCTCATGATCCACATATTTCCCCCCAGGCCCCACCTCCACCATTGGGGATTATAATTCAACATAAGATGTGGGTTGGGACAAATATGCAAATAATATCACAATAATTTCTTTTATAAAAAAGTGAAAAATACTTTTATTAGAGAATAATTTTCAAAGATCTGTTTAAAACTAACTTTTAAAAACAATGAACTATGGGAAACATTCACTAATGCATAAAATAAAATATGTAATCTTTTTCATTTTCAGTTTGTGCAAAGTTATTTTCACACCCTGCTGGTAGCAACACAATATATTGGTACAATCTTTTACACAGTGAATTACTTGGAAAGGGATTTTGAGATTCATTAAACAGTTCATGCCTTTGAACTGTTTGAAACTGAATGAACACCTTTGATCCATTTCTCAGAATTTATATTAAAGATTGATTTTAAGTAGAAAAAACCCTCTAGGCAAGAAAATAGTAAAAATTTCTCAACCAGTTAGAGGAATTTGGATGGCAACTTGACTGAATACTTTACAACTATTTAATGAGTTAATAATACTAAAAACATAGTAATGCTCTTGACATACAGTTAGAGAAAACATAGAGTTCCTATAATAACCATATGCTCACACTAATATCGAATGAATGAAGCACATAGATAAAAACTGGAAGTTTTGATGCAAAACTGAAAGTATGAAATTATTTAGTGTATGTACTTGCAATATTTTAATTTTTATTTTTTTCATGGAATAACTGTGAACTTGTGCCTACAATAAATAACATTTTAAAAATTCTCTTGACTCCAAATGTTGTAGCTAGTGGAAAAACAAACAAACAAGGATCTCAACCCCAGCTCTGTGCCTCAGCTGTTTCTCCTTTCTTCAACTCTGGGGCATCAATTTTCTGGTTCCCTTCCCTTAACTAAGTCCTCTTCTTCATTATTCCCCAAGACCTGCTGACAGAAACTCTGCTGAAATATTATTTGTGTCTCAAACCTATCTTTGATATGGGCAAATAAGGAAAAAACTATTTTCAGTTCTTTTCTATTTTCTCTGCAGTAGACTCAGTAGCTAGAAGATTGAGCTGATTGTACCAAAAATTAAGAATTCTTCATTGACATCACATGGGAAAACCATCTCTGGTTTTCCAAGAAGGAAGATTAGGTAAGGCTATATACCTTGTCATTTTTTTTAAGTTGGAACATTAAAGATAAAGCTTAAGTCCTCTCTGCTCATGTTTTCATCTGTTCTCTTTTCCCAGAGCTAAATGTTGCTCTGGGTTTGTGAAAGGAAATTAAATCTTGGGACCCCAAACTCATTGAGCCAAAGGGAAAAGTTAAGCTGCGAACTGGGCCATGCAAACCTGCCTTGCCCTTTCAGTTCCTACATAAGATGGCTACAAGATGAAAAGCTACATGACTCCACCATATTTTGCCCACAAGGAAATTCCTAGTGAGCTGCAAGATCTTTACCCTATAGTGTCTCTGTTAAAATTTCACCTTGGAAGGCCGGGTGCGGTGGCTCATGCCTGTAATCCCAGCACTTTGGGAGGCCGAGGTGGGTGGATCACGAGGTCAGGAGACTGAGACCATCCTGGCTAACGTGGTGAAACCCCATCTCTACTGGAAATACAAAAAATTAGCCAGGCATGTGGCGGGCGCCTGTAGTCCCAGCTACTCGGGGGCTGAGGCAGGAGAATGGTGTGAACCTGGGAGGCGGAGCTTGCAGTGAGCCAAGATCGTGCCACTGCACTCCAGCCTGGGCAACAGAGTGAGACTCTATCTCAAAAAAAACAAAAAACAAAAAAAAATTTCGCCTTGGCAATGTAAACTGATAGCTTATTATCTTTACAGGTGCAGTCAACCCCTGTCCACCAGACATAAATACACATCTGATTGTTCCCCTGCCCCATTTTGCCTATGTTATCTTGTGTAAAAATGCAAATTCCCTGCATTTTTCCTCTGCCCCATTTATCTATGTCATCTTATACAAAAAAAAAAAAGCAGATTCACTAAGCCAGACAAAGGCATGAATAACTATTTTTCCCTACCCTTCTCTTACCTAAAAATTGTATACTTCTCAATATCCCACCCTTTCCCCTTTAAATCTGGAGCCCTCAAAATCATCTTCGGAGAAAGTCATAGACCTGTCTCCTGGGCACACATCCTTAACTTTGGCAAACAAACCTAAAATGATTGAGACTTGTCTCACCATTTTTCTCAATTGACACGTTTATAATTTACATTTTAAATTCTTTATCTTTATTAATACGCACATATAAATGTACATACTCATGGGAAATATAAACTATGATTTTATGGCATTTTTTAACTAAATGTTACATATGATATGTTTTTCTCCACAATTTCCTTTCATTTTACTCAACAAAATAGACTTGAAGACTAGCCAGGTTGATAGAGATCATCTCATTTCCTTTTAATTCATGTAAAGTAAATCATTCTATCAATATGCTATATTTAATAATACTGATAGTAATAATATTATTTCTCCACAAAGTAGACAACTAAGGTTCAGAAAGATTAATTTGCCAAGGTCACATAATTAGTAAGTGGCAGAATGAAAGACAAATCAAATCTTCTGACTTTAGAAAGTTCTTCTGTCTTTCTCATTTCCAACATGTTTAGTGGCAAGAGAAAGGTTTTCTTCACAGAAACCTAATATCCCAAGCAAATTTGTATGTAGGATTTCTCTTGAAAATTACCTCTCACTTGGCTCTGTTCTTATGGCTATTAGGCAATAAATACTAATAATAAAAATAAAAATAACAAAAACCCCTCTCTCCCATATTTTGGAAATTTTTCAATGCAACACAATGGTCAATGTTGTTCATTTTTTCCCTCATTTCTTTGTCTCCAACCAAAGAAGCATATCTCTATTTTAATTACTCAACAGTGGGGAATCAAACTGATTGGGATATAAACCTAGGCATTTGAGCTGGCAATGGCTACCCTCTTTGGGTCCCCTCCCTTTGTATGGGTGCTCTGTTTTCACTCTATTTCACTCTATTAAATCTTGCAACTGCACTCTTCTGGTCCATGCTTGTTATGGCTTGAGCTGAGCTTTCGCTCACCATCCACCACTGCTGTTTGCCACCATCGCAGACCTGCTGCTGACTTCCATCCCTCCAGATCTGGCAGGGTGTCTGCTGTGCTCCTGATCCAGCAAGGCGCCCATTGCCACTCCCAATTGGGCTAAAGGCTTGCCATTGTTCCTGCACAGCTAAGTGTCTGGGTTCATCCTAATCGAGCTGAAGAGTAGTCACTGGGTTCCACAGTTCTCTTCCATGACCCATGGCTTCTAATAGAGCTATAACACTCACCGCATGGCCCAAGATTCCATTCCTTGGAATCTGTGAGACCAAGAACCCCAGGTCAGAGAACACGAGGCTTGCCACCATCTTGGAAGTGGCCTGCCGCCACTTTGGAAGTGGCCCACCACAATCTTGGGAGCTCTAGAAGCAAGGACCCCCGGTAACATTTTGGTGACCATGAAGGGACCTCCAAAGTAGTGGTAATATTGGACCACTTTCACTCACTATTCTGTCCTATCCTTCCTTAGAATTGGAGGAAAATACTGGGCACCTGTCTGCCAGTTAAAAATGGTTAGCGTGGCCACCGGACTTAAGATTCAGGTGTGAGGCTATCTGGGGAAGAGCTTTCTAACAACCCCCAACCCTTCTGGGTTGGGGACGTTGGTCTGCCTGGAGCCAGCTCCCACTTTCAACTTTCTTGGGGAAGTGGAGGACTGACTAGAGGCAGAAAGCTCTCATCCAGAACTCCCAGCAGTAGCCGGTTGAGACCATGGCGCAGCCAGAAGTCTCTAGTCAACAGTCGCCCATACCTCCTGGGTCCCGACCACAACTTTCTTGAAAGTGTAGCCCCAAAATTCTCCTTACCTCTGAATCTACTTCCTCTGATCCCTGCCTCCTAGGTACTAATGGTTCAGACTTTCATTTCCTCTAGCAAGTTGTATCTCCAAAGGGATCTAAGGAAGCTCTACACTGTGTCCTTAGGCACTTAGGCTATAACCCAGGGAGTCTTATCCCTGGTGTCCCTCCCAATTTAGGTATACGGCTCTCAACATGGGCTGTTATGTGGGACACATTCCCCACCACCCTTGTCAGGGCCCCAAGTTTGTAATGGCTAAGAGAGAGAGACAGAGAGAAGACAGAGAGAGAGAGAGATGGAGAGAGAGAGAGACAAAGATGGAGAGAGAGACAAAGAGGGAGTCAAAGAGAAAAAGATAGAAATAGAAAAAGAAAAGTGTGCCCTGTTCCTTTAAAAGCCAGGGTAAATTTAAAACCTGTAATTGATAATTGAAGGTCTTGTCCATGACCCTATAACACTCCAATACTTTTTTATTTACACTTTGTTGTCAGTGTAAATAAGGGCTTAGCCCGAAAGCACTGAGGCCACTGACAACCTGTAGCTTTCCTATCAAAAATCCTTAACCCAGTAACCCACGGATGGGCCAAATGCATTCAGTCAGTACCGGCAACTGCTTTGCTAAAAGCAGAAAAGTAACTTTTAGAGGAAACCTCATTGTGAGCACACCTCACCAGTTCAGAATTATTCTAAGTCAAAAAAGCAAAAAGGTAGCTTACTAACTCAAAAATCTTAAAGTATGGGGCTATTCTGTTAGAAAAGGGTAATGTAACTCCAACCTCTGATAATTCCCTTAACCTAGCAGATTTCCTAACAGGGGATTTAAATCTTAATTACCATACAAAGGTCCGACCAGACCTAGGAAGAACTCCCTTCAGGACAGGATGATAGATGGTTCCTCCCAAGTGACTGAGGAAAAAACCACAATGGGTATTCAGTAATTGATAAGGAGACTCTTGCGGAAGCAGAGTTAGAAAAATTGCCCAATAGTTGGTCTCCTCAAATGTGCGAGCTGTTTGCACTCAGCCAAGCCTTAAAGTAATTACAGAATCAAAAGACTATCTCAATCCTGACTCAAAAGGTTACCTACACCCTCTCTGAAATGAATTTGCATAAGAACTGTTGTTTATGGGAATGCATCTTGATGGGGCAGCTGGGTTGTTATGAAATACTCAGGAAACTAGCCCAGATCTAGGACTCACCCCTGAGAGCAAAGGCAATGTTGGGCATGCTGGTAAAGGACCGCTAGAATCCAGCAGCCAGGACCACTTTCTTTGTGGTCAAGAAAGGTGGGAAAACAGGTGCAGGACTGCTACACTGGTAAGCATAACTAATCCGATAAGCAGAGGTCCATGGGTGGTTACGCACCCTGGAAAGGAATAAGCATTAGGACTATAGAGGACACTCTAGGACTAATGCTCATCGGAAAATGACTAGGGGTACTGGCATCCCTATGTTCTTTTTTCAGATGGGAAATGTTCCCCCCAAGGCAGAAATGCCCCTAAGATGTATTCTGGAGAAATGGGACCAATCTGACCATCAGACACTAAGAAAGAAATGACTTATATTCTTCTGCAGTACCACCTGGCCACGATATCTTCTTCAAGGGGCAGAAACCTGGCCTCCTGAGGGAAGTATAAATTATAACACCATCTTACAGCTAGACCTCTTTTGTAGAAAAGAAGGCAAATGGAGTGAAGTGCCATATGTACAAACTTTCTTTTCATTAAGAGATAACTCCCAATTATGTAAAAAGTGTGATTTATGCCCTACAGGAAGCCCTCAGAGTCTACCTCCCTACCCCAGCAAGACCCCAACTCCTTCTCCAACTAATAAGGACCCCCCTTCAACCCAAATGGTCCAAAAGGAGATAGACAAAGGGGTAAACAATGAACCAAAGAGTGCCAATATTACACGATTATACTCGCTCCAAGCAGTGGGAGGAGAATTTGGCCCAGCCAGCGTGCATGTACCTTTTTCTCTCTCAGATTTAAAGCAAATTAAAATAGACCTAGGTAAATTCTCAGATAACCCTGATGGCTATATTGATGTTTTACTAGGGTTAGGACAATCCTTTGATCTGACATGGAGAGATATAATGTTACTGCTAAATCAGACACTAACCCCAAATGAAAAAAGTGCTGCCATAACAGCAGCCTGAGAGTTTGGCGAACTCTGGTATCTCAGTCAGGTCAATGATAGGATGACAACAGATGAAAGAGAATGATTCCCCACAGGCCAGCAGGCAGTTCCCAGTGTAGACCCTCATTAGGACACAGAATCAGAACTTGGAGATTGGTGCCACAGACATTTGCTAACTTGCGTGCTAGAAGGACTAAGGAAAACTAGGAAGAAGCCCATGAATTATTCAATGATGTCCCCTATAACACAGGGAAAGGAAGAAAATCCTACTGCCTTTCTGGAGAGACTAAGGGAAGGATTGAGGAAGCATACCTCCCTGTCACCTGACTCTATTAAAGGCCAACTAATCTTAAAGGATAAGTTTATCACTCAGTCAGCTGCAGACATTAAGAAAAAACTTCAAAAGTATGCCTTAGGCCCAGAGCAAAACTTAGAAACCCTACTGAACTTGGCAACCTCAGTTTTTTATAATAGAGATCAGGAAGAGCAGGGGAATGGGACAAATGGGATAAAAAAAAAAAAAAGGTGACTGCTTTAGTCGTGGCCCTCAGGCAAATGGACTTTGGAGGCTCCAGAAAAGGGAAAAGCTGAGCAAATTGAATGCCTAACAGGGCTTGCTTCTAGTGTGGTCTACAAGGACACTTTAAAAAAGATTGTCCAAGTAGAAACAAGCTGCCCCCTTGTCCATGCCCCTTATGTCAAGGGAATCACTGGAAGGCCAACTGCCCCAGGAGATGAAGGTCCTCTGAGTCAGAAGCCACTAACCAGATAATCCAGCAGCAGGACTGAGGATGCCCAGGGCAAGCGCCAGCCCATGCCATCACCCTCACAGAGCCCTGGGTATGCTTGACCATTGAGGGCCAGGAGGTTCACTGTCTCTTGGACACTGGTGTGGCCTTCTCAGTCTTACTCTCCTGTCCTGGACAACTGTCCTTCAGATCTGTCACTATCCGAGGGGTCCTAGGACAGCCAGTCACTAGATACTTCTCCCAGCCACTGAGTTGTGACTGGGGAACTTTACTCTTTTCACATGCTTTTCTAATTATGCGTGAAAGCCCCACTCCCTTGTTAGGGAGAGACATTCTAGCAAAAGCATGGGCCATTATACACCTGAACATAGCAGAAGGAACACCCATTTGTTGTCCCCTGCTTGAGAAAGGAATTAATCCTGAAGTCTAAGCAACAGAAGGACAATATAGACGAGCAAAGAATGCCCATCCTGTTCAAGTTAAACTAAAGGATTCCGCCTCCTTTCCCTACCAAAGGCAGTACCCCCTTAGACCCAAGGCCCAACAAGGACTCCAAAAAACTGTTAAGGACCTAAAAGCCCAAGGCCTAGTAAAACCATGCAGTAGCCCCTGCAGTACTCCAACTGTAGGAGTACAGAAACCCAACGGACAGTGGAGGTTAGTGCAAAATCTCAGGATTATCAATGAGACTGTTGTTCCTCTATACCCAGCTGAACCTAACCCTTATACTCTGCTTTCCCAAATACCAGAGGAAGCAGAGTGGTATATAGTCCTGGACCTTAAGGATGCCTTCTTCTGCATCCCTGTACATCCTGATTCCCAATTCCTGTTTGCCTTTGAAGATCCTTCAAACTCAACGTCTCAACTCACCTGGACTGTTTTACGCCAAGGGTTCAGGGATAGCCCCCATCTATTTGGCCAGGCATTAGCCCAAGATTTGAGCCAATTCTCATACCTGGACACTCTTGTCCTTTGGTATGTGGATGATTTACTTTTAGCCACCTGTTCAGAAACCTTGTGCCATCAAGCCACCCAAGTGCTCTTAAATTTCCTCACCACCTGTGGCTACAAGGTTTCCAAACCAAAGGCTCAGCTCTGCTCACAGCAGGTTAAATACTTAGGGCTAAAATTATCCAAAGGCTTGAGGGCCCTCAGTGAGGAACACATCCAGCCTATACTGGCTTATCCTCTTCCCAAAACCCTAAAGCAACTAAGAGGGTTCCTTGGCATAACAGGTTTCTACCGAATGTGGATTCCCAGGTACAGCAAAATAGGCAGATCATTATATACACTAATTAAAGAAACTCAGAAAGCCAATACCCATTTAGTAAGATGGACACCTGAAGCAGAAGCAGCTTTCCAGGCCCTAAAGAGGGCCCTAACCCAAGCCCCAGTGTTAAGCTTGCCAAGGGGCAAGACTTTTCTTTATATGTCACAGAAAAAACAGGAATAGCTCTAGGAGCCATCACACAAGTCTGAGGGACTAGCTTGCAACCCGTGGCATACCTGAGTAAAGAAATTGATGTAGTAGCAAAGGATTGGCTTCATTGTTTACAGGTAGTGGTGGCAGTAGCAGTCTTAGTGTCTGAAGTGGTTAAAATGATACAGGGAAGAGATCTTACTGTGTGGACATCTCATGATGTGAATGCCATACTCACTGCTAAAGGAGACTTGTGGCTGTCAGACAACCGTTTACTTAAATATCAGGCTCTATTACTTGAAGGGCCAGTGCTGCAACTGCGCACTTGTGTAACTCTTAACCCAGTCACATTTCTTCCAGACAATGAAGAAAAGATAGAACATAACTGCCAACAAGTAATTGCTCAAACCTATGCCGCTCGAGGGGACTTTTTAGAGGTTCCCTTGACTGATCCCCACCTCAACTTGTATACTGATGGAAGTTCCTTTGTAGAAAAAGGACTTCAAAAAGTGGGGTATGCAGTGGTCAGTGATAATGGAATACTTGAAAGTAATCCCCTCACTCCAGGAACTAGTGCTCAGCTGGCAGAACTAATAGCCCTCACTCGGGTACTAGAATCAGGAGAAGGAAAAAGGGTAAATATATATACAGACTCTAAGTGTGCTTACCTAGTCCTCCATGCCCATGCAGCAATATGGAGAGAAAGGGAATTCCTAACTTCCGAGGGAACACCTATCAAACATCAGGAAGCCATTAGGAAATTATTATTGGCTGTACAGAAACCTAAAGAGGTGGCAGTTTTACACTGCCGGGGTCATCAGAAAGGAAAGGAAAGGGAAATACAAGGGAGCCACCAAGTTGATATTGAAGTCAAAAGAGCCACAAGGCTGGACCCTCCATTAGAAATGCTTATAGGAGGACCCCTAGTATGGGGTAATCCCCTCCGGGAAGCCAAGCCCCAGTACTCAGCAGGAGAAATAGAATAGGGAACTTCATGAGGACATACTTCCCTCCCCTCCAGATGGCTAGCCACCAATAAAGGAAAAATACTTTTGCCTGCAGCTAACCAATAGAAATTACTTAAAACCCTTCATCAAACCTTCCACTTAGGCATTGATAGCACCCATGAGATGGCCAAATTATTATTTACTGGACCAGGCCTTTTCAAAACTATCAAGCAGATAGTCAGGGCCTGTAAAGTCTGCCAAAGAAATAATCCCCTGCACTGCAGGCCATACATTTCAATCCCTGTATCTTTAACCTCCTTCTTAAATTTGTCTCTTCCAGAATCAAAGCTGTAAAATTACAAATAGTTCTTCAAATGGAGCCACAGATGCAGTCCATGACTAAGATCCACCACAGACCCCTGGACCAGCCTGCTAGCCCACGCTCCAATGTTAATGACATCGAAGGCACCCCCTCCTGAGGAAATCTCAACTGCACAACCCCTACTACGCCCCAATTCAGCAGAAAGCAGTTAGAGTGGTCATCAGCCAACCTCCCCAACAGCACTTGGGTTTTCCTGTTGAGAGGCGGGACTGAGAGACAGGACTAGCTGGATTTCCTAGACTGACTAACAATCCCTAAGCCTAGCTGGGAAGGTGACTGCTTCCACCTTTAAACACGGGACTTGCAACTTAGCTCACACCTGACCAATCAGGTAGGAAAGAGAGCTCACTAAAATGCTAATTAGGCTAAAACAGGAGGTAAAGAAACAGCCAATCATCTATCACCTGAGAACACAATGGGAGGGACAATGATCAGGATATAAACCCAGGTATTCGAGCTGGCAACGGCTACCCTCTTTGGGTCCCCTCCCTTTGTATGGGAGCTCTGTTTTTACTCTATTTCACTCTATTAAATCTTGCAACTGCACTCTTCTGGTCCATGTTTGTTACGGCTGGAGCTGAGCTTTCGCTCACCATCCACCACTGCTGTTTGCTGCCGTCGCAGACCTGCCGCTGACTTCCATCCCTCCAGATCCGGCAGGGTGTCTGCTGTGCTCCTGATCCAGTGAGGCACCCGTTGCTACTCCCGATCGGGCTAAAGGCTTGCCATTGTTCCTGCATGGCTAAGTGCCTGGGTTCATCCTAATCGAGCTGAACAGTAGTCACTGGGTTCCACAGTTCTCTTCCATGACCCATGGCTTCTAATAGAGCTATAACACTCACCACATGGCCCAAGATTCCATTCCTTGGAATCCGTGAGGCCAAGAACCCCAGGTCAGAGAACACGAGGCTTACCACCATCTTGGAAGTGGCCCACCGCCATTTTGGAAGTGGCTTGCCACCATCTTAGGAGCTCTGGGAGCAAGGAACCCCTGGTAACAAAACCTGATGTTTGTTCTCTACTAAGGAATAAAACAGGCATACATGTGAGATAACTATAAAGAGTCAGGACATGATAGAGGTCTGCACACTATATCAGAAGCCCTGTTTCCAGCTCTGTGGCTGCAGCATCGCACAACTCCAGTGCTCTGCCTGAGGCTGGCTGTGCATGCAGAGCTGAGCCCTAGGTTTTGGCAGGACAAGACATGTTTTATTCAGGGAGATGAGAAGGCCTGTCAACATGTACTGCCCCACCTGCTGCGGCCAACTGTGGCCTCCATCTTCCCCAGTAGGCAGGGATGGACTGAGGGAGGAAAGACACCTGGGGCACATCTGAAAGATGCTTTGGGCCGGGGACAAAAAAGAAGTGATAGAAACCAGGCTGTGCTTTTTATTGCTGTCAGGACAATTTTCTTAAGACATGGGGGTTTCTTTTTTTTTTCTTTTTTTTTTTTTGAGACGGAGTCTCACACTGTCGCCCAGGCTGCAGTGCAGTGGCGTGATCTCAGCTAACTGCAAGCTCCACCTCCTGGGTTCACGCCATTCTCCTGGCTTAGCCTCCTGAGTAGCTGGGACTACAGGCGCCCACCACCATGCCCGGCTAATTTTTTGTATTTTTTAGTAGAGATGGGGTTTCACTGTGTTAGCCAGGATGGTCTCGATCTCCTGACCTCATGATCCGCCAACCTCAGCCTCCCAAAGTGCTGGGATTACAGGCATGAGCCACCGCGCCCGGACAGGACATGGGGGTTTCTAAACAAGGCTCTTCAGTATCAGCTCATTGTGAGTCACAGATCAGATCTGCCCAGTTCTCTTTTGCTGTTGACATTGTTGTTTCCTCTGCAGGATTCAGCAGTACTGAAAGGGTTATTCAGTCCCAACATGGGATCTTTACACAAGAAGGGGAGCTTGTGAAATGCAAGTACTTTGCAAATAGCTCAACTTATTTTCTTTCTTGTTTTGGGCAGCATTCCAGTGAGGAAATATTTCACCTGATTTCTCAGAGTTTAGGAGCATCCAGGAACGCAAGGAATAAAAAATGTTCTGTGAACCTGCAAATAGCTGCCAACACTGTCATTCTCACCATTTCAGTTATGAGACCAAAAGACTCAGGAAACAGTTTCTGTGCACTCAAGACATCTACAGTAAGAGGAACAATAAAAGTTGTAGTTAAAAAAAACAAAAAACAAAATACTCAGAGCTTGTACCCCAGACTCATCTGCCACAGGGACTGGGAGAGATCCACGGGCCCTAAACTGAAAAAATGTGAGCCTGTGGACAGCATTCATGAAGTATGGACAGGAAACAGGTAACTGTTGCAAGAAAAACCCTCTCAAACTGCATTCATTGAGCAGTGCTTTCAATCCACAGTCCTTAAATTGACTTTCTCCTTCAAATTTTAGCAGGTAACAAAACAGTACTTTATTTTAATCTAATTATTTTTCTTTTTTCTTTAACTTTTTATTTGATATATTTCAAAATATAAAATAATACTGCTTATTGTAATAGATGAAGTAATAAAAAGTTTTATAAAGAAAAAGTTAATTCTCACTCATCTGCTCCCTACTGAAGTAAATAATATTAATAACCTGATAAGTGTCCTTTCCCACTATTCTTTCTGCTTATATAAATATAGGCAAAAATCCCTCCTAGTGGAACAAATCTGCTTGGGGTTTTTTTTGTTTTGTTTTGGTTTGGTTTTCTGAGCCGGAGTCTCGCTCTGTTGCCCAGGCTGGAGCGCAGTGGCATGATCTCGGCTCACTGCAACCTCTGCCTCCTGGGTTCCCACCATTCTCCTGCCTCAGCCTCCCAAGTAGCTGGGACTACAGGTGCCCGTCACCACGCTCAGCTAATTTTTTGTAGTTTTAATAGAGACGGGGTTTCACCTTGTTAGCCAGGATGGTCTTGATCTCCTGACCTCGTGATCCGCCCGCCTTGGCCTCCCAAAGTGCTGGGATTACAGGCGTGAGCCACCACTCCCGGCCACAAATCTGTTAATAAATGTGTGACCAATTGGAATTTTTCCTCTGAATCGCCTTTTACATCTTTGTCCATTTTTCTTTTAGGTTATATATTTCTCACTTAAAAATGCATGCTAGAGATGTCAAAAATTTTTTTTATTTCTCCAGTCTATTGTTTGTCTTCTGATTTTGTTTATAGCACGTAGCATGGTATCCTTTGCCTCTAAATATACTCTAAACTGTATATAGTTAAATATGCCTGTCTTCTTTATATCTTCTGCATTTCTACCATACTTAAAAATAGTACAGGTTTATATAAATATTCCCAGATTCTTAGACAACAGTTTTATCATTTTGCTTTTTACAATAAAATCTTTCAACCATCTGGAAACTGTTTTTATATATGAAATCTATTTTCCACTATTGAAATGTCTTTGTCATATTTTATGTTTCTTAAACATAATCAAATTATATACATCCATATTAAGAACTTTACCAGTATCCAAACATTACAGAATAATGTAAGAATCACAGTGGAACTGGGTGCTGGTGAAAATAATCACTGAATTCTCCAGTGCCAGTTTGAAAGGAGAAATTATTAGCCATTCCACTGGGGTGAGAAAGGCCAATGAGTTTGACTGATGTTAACCAAAGAGAGATTAAAGGATGGACTAAAAGTATAAAGGGGTGACATCTTGGGGAAATGCAAGTCTTGTGCAGAGAGAGGAAGATGTTTAACTTATCCTACTCAACTCCTTTCCTATATGACCGGAGGTGCCTAGTCCAGCTTCCACCCACTCCACTAAGTTGAGGAATAGCTATCATCACATGTCTGGAAGATAATCAGCTTCTGAACTGGCAGAGCGTCTCTGGTTCTTGTGGCAAAGACATAAAATGTGGGAGAAAGTAGAGAAAAAGAAAGTGTGGTAGCCTGCATTCCCACCTTTTATTGAGGCAATTTTTCATGTACTAGTGGTTTTAATGAATCTGTATAGGTCTGAACCAACTTGAACCTGAACCTACCCTGCCTCCAAACAGCTGTCACTTAGGGGAAGGCTCTAGCACAGGAGGCTGTGGATTGACCCATGTGTGAACTGGAGGAGGAGGAGGAGGTTGAGCTTGAGAACGATCACCACTCCAGGAAATCACGCAGATGAAGGGCCCTGTAGCCCCCTGAAGAAAACACTAGCACACCGTTGTGAGAAAGCACACATTTGGATTTCTGCCACCAAGAGGGAATCCATGGCCAGGAAGAGATAAGAACCAACAGGAAGGAGAAGGAACCTCTCCATCAGAACCCTGAGAAATTCACATAAGGAAACAGCATCTGAGCAACCAAGAAGACAAGGCCCCTCAGCCCAGGAGAGGCTGAAAAGAGAGTCCTTTATTTCTCCCACCACTCTGCCCAACAGCTGAGGGTTGACATGGGGTGAAGTCTGAAAGAATAGCACATCTACCTGTCAGTGGAGCTCCCAGAGTCTTCCTGCTGGGTGTGGGTGGAGGGTAGAGCTTTGACTCTAAAATACTAATTAAGTTCAAAATGAATACACACATAGTTGGAACAAAACTGCTTTAGTAACTAAAAGAGAAAGGATAACCTGTTTCCCAGTGGAAAAGAGATGATTGATAAGTGAAAAAAAAATGAAAACAATTTCACACTCACATTTATCTCATGACTTGAAATGCTCTAGTCAGCACAGTAATATCTGGATCTCTTTGGGTATTTTCTATTAAATGTTCCGCTTATTGGCTTAATCCTTCACTTATATCATATTGTTTTGTTTAGAGTAGTTTAGAGTAAGTTTTTATGTCATAAAAAAACTGATCTTAATATTCCTTTTCAAGAATGCAGTTGAAAGTTCCTAGATATTTGTTCTCTCTTATGCATTTCATCTTGTTCAAACAAATGGCATTCTGACTGTAACTACTTTGGAAAGTTTAACATTTTAGGACATTATATTTTTCCACAAAAGAAAAATCCATCTATTTAGGTCTTATTTTAAAAGTAAATTTTGCATGTTTGTTTGTTTCTTACATACCTTCCACTTTCTTTTTTTTTGAGACAGGATCTTGCTCTGCAGCCTAGGCTGGAGTGCAGTGGTACAATCATGGCTCACTGCAGCACAGACCTCCCAGGCTCAAATGATCCTCCCACTTCAGCCTCTAAAGTAGCTGGGATTATAGGCATCCACCATGCCTGACTAATTTTGTTTTTTAGAGATGGCGTCTCACTGTGTTGCCCAGGCTGGTCTTGAACTCCTGGCCTCAAGCAATTCTCCTGCCTTGACCTTCCAAAGTGCAGGGATTACAGGTGTGAGCCACTGCACCTGGCCAGATTTCTGCTTTTCTTATTAAATCAATTGCTAAATATTGTATCATCTGTGTTGCATTATTACTGAAATTTTTCTTCATTTAGAGAAATTTATTCCATATAAGGAAAAATTACTAATTTTTAATATTTGCTTAATAGCCAACAATTTTTGTTACTTGTTGATTTTTAGCAGTACTATGACCAAAGTGGCACATGTACATGTTTATTTTTTAAATTCCTGAATAGTACAGAAAAGTCTGTATTACAAATCTGGTTTCTTATTTCTCTCCAACTTTCAATCCTTGTCCATAAATATTTACACTTTTAAGTCTGGATCTTCTAGCAGTGAGCTCCATATTTCTAAATAATATGTTTTAACTACTTCTTGCAACATACATTTTATTCTTTTATTTTATTTACTTATTTTTTTAGATGGAGTCTCACACTGTCACCCTGGCTGGAGTGCAATGGCATGATCTGGGCTCACTGCAATCTCTGCCTCCGGGGTTCAAGCGATTCTCCTGTCTCAGCCTCCCGAGTAGCTGGGATTATAGGCATGTGCCACCACATCCAGCTAATTTTTGTACTTTTAGTAGAGACGGGGTTTCTCCTCGATGGCCAGGTTTGTCTCGAACTCCTAGCCCCAACTGATCCACCCGCCTTGGCTGCCCAGAGTGTTGGGATTACAGGCATGAGCCAACGTGCCTGGCTGCAACATGAATTATAGGTGTTACCTGTTGACTTTCGTTTTGTTTTTTAAATAGACTTAATTTTTTAAAGCAATTTTAGGTTCACGGAAAAATTAAGCAGAAAGTAGAGAGTTTCCCATATACTTCCAGGCCTCACATATCCACAGGCTCCCATGCTATGGACATCTTCCACCAGAGTGATAACATTTGTTCCACTGATGAAGCTACATTGACGTATTATTATTACCCACAGTCCATAGATTACATTAGGGTTCTCTAGTGGTGTTGTACGTTACATGGGTCTGGACAAATATATAATGACGTGTAGCCGCCATTACAGTCTCATACAGGTTGTTTCACTGCCCCAAAATCCTCTGTGCTCTGCCCGTTCACTCCTCCCTCCCCCCAGCTCCTGACAACCACTGATCTTGTTACTGTTTCCATGGTGTTGACTATTCCAAAATGTCATATACTTAGAGTCATAACAGTATATAGCCTTTTTAGATTGGCGTCTTTCACTTAGCAATAGGCATTTCAGATTTTTCCATGTGTTTCATGGCTTGATACCTCATGTCTTTTGAGTGCTAAATAATATTCTGTTGTCTGGATGTACCACAGTTTATTTACCTATTGAAGGACATCTTGGCCACTTCCAAGTTTGGGCAATTATGAAGGAAGCTGCTATAAATTCATGCACATTTTGAACTCATTTGCTTAAATAAGAAAGAGCATAATTTCTGGATCATATGCAAAGAATATGTTTAGCTTTGTGAGAAACTGCCAGTTTTCTTCCAAAATGGCTGTACCATTTTGCATTCCCACCAGCAAGGAAGGAGAATTCCTGTTGCTCCACACCCTCACTGGCATTTGGTATCGTCCGTGTTTTGGATTTTTGCCATTCTATCTGGTGTGGAGAGGTCGCTCATTGTTGTAATTTGCAATTCCCTAGTGACATTTGCATGGAGGGTATCTTTTCATGTGCTTATTTGTCATTTATGTACATTTTTAATACGTTTCACTTTGGGGGTCATTTAGCCTTCACCTGGCAAAACAAACAAATGAAAATTTACACATAATTCTGTGAATTAATTTTTAAAAACTTCATAAACCTCACCTTTATCCACTTTTATTCTTACTTATATTTACCTAGTCAGACTTTTCAGAACTTTTTCCAAGTTGTCAGAACATATTTAAAATAATAAAATTAAAATAGGAGGAATTTTTGCCTGTCACCTTTGCTCTTCTCTCTTTTCCCTCATCCACTCCCACACCTTTTCTTCTTTAGTTTCCTTCCCCAACCATTCCAAACACTCATTATGCCCAAGCCTCTTTGGACACTTCGATCAAAATTTTCTCCTCTATATCATCCGGAGGAAATGCACCGTTTGCTCAGGGACACTTAGCTCACCTGCTTCCCACGTTTTCTCTCGGTCTCCACTTGTGTCTGGACTGAGTGTTGCTGACCACCACAGCATCAAAGAGCCTGTGAGACCACTGGATGCAGTCTGGGGGTCAGTGACCTCAGAGGAAATACCTTCAGTGTCCCACGGGCTCTGCAGGTCAGTGCACTCAGAGTGAGCTTCCTCACACTTTGCTGGGGAAAGTGTCCAGTAGCTTCAATAATCTCATGACCAAAAGACTGAAGAGAGGGGAGAAGACATCCGAGTTCACATTTTCAGGCAATAGTAGCTGACATTTCCTGAATGATCCTTGTGTGTCAGGCACCTTAGGTCCGTTCATGACTTACCACATGTTTCTGTATGACAGCACCATGGGGAAGCTTCTGTAATTAATTCCTATTGGATAGGTTGCTGCTGATGGAAGTGGGGTCTCCAAATCCTCTATCCCAGAGTCTGTGCTGTTCTGCAGACTGAATATGCTTTCTCCCCACCCCTTCCTCAGGCTTTGGCAAAGGAGACCTCTGAAAAATGGCACTTAGTATATTATTGACTTTTGTTTTTTAATTGGCTTTTGGACTAATGAGGTCAGTATAATGTGTGAAACCAAACTAGAAGGCAGTGCTGGTAAGTTTGTTGAGTCTCTGACAAATATTTGGATTCTGAGCAATTCAAACATCCAGGCAACTTTAAAAGGTCTTCTTCCTCTGAGACTCATAGTGACTTATACAAATAAAAATAAAAGATTAGTAATAATAGTAGTTCATCAAACACTGCATTTACTTATATTTTCTCAAATACTATTTTCTTTTTTTTGAGGCAGAGTCACTCTGTTGCCCAGGCTGGATTGCAGTGATGCAATCTTGACTCACTGCAACCTCTGCCTCTTGGGTTCAAGCGATTCTCCTGCCTCAATCTCCTGAGTAGCTGGGATTATAGGCATCTGCCACCAGGCCTGGCTAATTTTTGTATTTTTAGTAGAGACAGGGTTTCACCCTGTTGTCCAGGCTGGTCTTGAACTCCTGTGATCACCCACCTCGGCCTCCCAAAGTGCTCAAGTGATCACCCACCTCGGCCTCCCAAAGTGCTGGGATTTCAGGTGTGAGCCACCATGCCCAGCTTCGAATACTATTTTCTACCATACCATTTAAATGTCATTCAAATTTAATATTTTCCACAAATTTTGAAAGAAGGCAATCAGGCAAATTTCATCTCAGTCAAATAATCCCTAAAGTTACACATGCTGTGGCTGTACCTTTCTCAACTTTGTTTCCCTTCATCCAGTTAAGACTTGGTTGTGCAGAGTTAGGGGCTCCGCAGGTGATGACATGATCAAAGGCCCTGACCCTTGTCACAAGAGTACTCACTAAGAATAAAAGTGTTTGACATCCTCTCAGCAACTCTGATGTGTAATCCCACCAGCAATTAGTGTTTTTCTTTCTCCGCGTTGATTACAGATAGTTTGCTTTTCCCTGTATGACTGCAAAGGTGTGTATATTTGAATGTATGTCTGTATGTTGTTTGGGTTGCAGGGAAGGAAGGAGTAGAAAAAGGAATAAGAGGTGGCTGTGATTGGCTGGTCGCTCTGAATGCAAATAACTCTATGCTTTTCACCTTTAGTGAATATATAAATGTCTCAGGATAGGAGCGATAATAAATAATGCCAAAGATCTTCCTTAGTGGTCCTGTGGCTTCATTGAAGGCATACATTGAAATGTTTCTAGCCAGGTGCAGTGGCTTACACCTGTAATCCCAGCACTTTGGGAGGCCGAGGCAGGTGGATCACAAGGTCAGGAGTTCAAGACCAGCCTGGCCAAGATGGTGAAACCCCAACTCTACTAAAAATACAAAAAATTAGCCGGGCAAGGTGGCACGTGCCTGTAATCCCAGATACTCCAGAGGCTGAGACAGAGAATTGCTTAAACCTGGAGAGGCGGAGGTTGCAGTGAGCCGAGATCGTGCCACTGCACTCCAGCCTGGGTGACAGAGCGAGACTCCGTCTCAAAAAAAAAAAAAGAAAGAAAGAAAGAAAGAAATGTTTCTGAACAGGGGAAAAGCCAAATGCAATGGGCATTCCCGAAAGACTGAAGAAAGAATACGTGCAAGTTGATTCTTCTGGGGTTTCCAGGAAAGTTGGGAAAAGAAAATGAATCATTTAAAAAGTGGAGAGCTGATGCCTGGCCCTCTGTACTTGTTTCTCTCAGGGAAGAAAGGCAGCAGAAAGTAGAGCAGTGTCCCAGTCCACACGTGTCCAGGGAAGAGAGGCTTCTATTTTTAACTGCAGTTACACAAGACTGTTGGCTTTTATGTTTCAGACGCAGTGCTGTGAAAGACCATGTCCTTGTAGTTTTCATTATTTCAGAGGTAAAATGGAAAGCAGGAGTAAGAGCCCCAATCATTAAGAACACGGCTTAGCTCTCTGCAGATCACAGACTCAGCCACCAACTCCTGCCCTGTAACCATGGAGATGCCCCCACTTCAGTCTGTACACAACCCCACAAGAGGAACCACTTACTCGCTTCCTTTTCTAATCAGCATGAAATAATATTTTTCATAATTATTATCTGAGGCTTTTCTATTTCCTCCTCTCTATCTACTTTGACAACATAAAAATATATTAGGGCCTGGTCGTGGTGGCTCACACCTGCAATCCCATCACTTTAGGAGGCTGAGGTGGGAGGATCACTTGAGCCCAGGAGGTCGAGGCTGCAGTGAGTCATGATCATGCCAATGCACTCAGCCTGGGCAACAGAGTGAGACCCTGTCTCAAAAATATATATATATACACATATGTATTAGGCATTATGCTGTACACAAAGAGCTTATTATCTAATACACATGATAATATCTGTCACTAGATGTAAGCTTTATAGAGATACCAATTTTTTTATCCAATAACCACTAACCAAACAATGATCAAATAAATAAATGGCAGGTTATATGTATACCGATGTGTAAAGGCAAATTTATGGCCAATGGTTAAAATTTACTGAAAACAAATTTCAGCTCGCTATAAAAAAGAACTAGCAATCAGAGTTTTCCCAAAAAGAAACAGACAGCTTTAAGGCATAAAATATTCCTTTCTACAGGAAATATTCAAAGAAAAGTAGAATGCCCATTTCCAGTGATGTTGCAGAATTACAAAATGATATGATTTTGTGCAAAACTAAAACATGTAAGTTTTGTATGGGGGAAAATAGCATCGAAGAACAGAACAACCAAACAGCTTGTAAAATGCATCGTGAATAAAAAAAGCTACTTCCAGCTTAATGGAAATTGGATTTTGGATTTGTATTTGAAGCATGTGTAGGATTTAAAATGAGAGAGATGGTAAGAGAATACATGCCAGGCAGGATAATCTTATCAAGGGCAATGATCAAGAAATAACAGAGAGAAAGGTTTAGGAAATTAGAAGTTTCCAAATATGACTGAAAGAACCAATTTTTATTGGAAAATGCTGTGAGATAAGAGGGAATCTTGGCTTGAGACAATTGTTAGTGTAAGAGGACTGCACACAGCCCAGAACTGGGTTTCTTTCCAGACAAAGAGAAAATGGTATGAGATTATCCATCCTTACCATAAACAACATTAAGGAATATCTTGAAATTGTTTTTCAGAAAGAGCTAATATTAACCTAAATTTAAACTGTTAAATAACATCAAAGATTTACTTTACAAGCACATTTCTAAATGTACTGAAAAACTATATTTCCATAATAATTGATTCAATGGACAGATAAATTTCCTTTTCCCTGAGTAGTTCTATCATCAACTAATAGCCCTTATTGCAGGAAACGAAAAATCTAAACACTTTTCCGAAAGTGTCGCGATTCCCCGATCACTTTCCAGCGTGAATTTTCTTAGGGGTGAGGATGGGAACACTAATAGTTTCTCTGCACTCAGGAACCTCATAAAGGACAAACTTTCAAATCAAATAATACAGACCAAATAAATAAAACAGAGCTACATCTTGCTTTGCTTTACACTTCGTTCTCTTCCTTGTCTGTCTGCAAAAACCTTTGCATGATTTTCATTGAAAATAACTCCTGAATTGATGCGAGATTTTACTTACCCTGGGACCTACCCAGGCCTGGTTTAGATATGTTCCCATAGTCTTCCCTGCTCTTCCGGGTACTGAGTTACCATAAGGATAAACCAGGCAGACAGTTCTTAGACATTAGGGCTAATTTCTAATTTACCCCCCTGTGTCTTTCTTTTATCATCACAAACATGTTTGGTGTCTAATTTGGTTTACTCTTAGGAAAGGATGGTTTGGAGTACATAAAACAGAATGGTTCCTCAGGCAGCAATATGCTACAGTTTTAGAGATCTTGTAGCTCTATTTTTCTATTAATTGATGCAGGTTTTGAGAATCAACAAGCACATTAAAAATAGACATCAACACTATAGTAAAATTAAAACAGTTATTCTGTCTTTTGTTGTTGTTTCCACATTATTCAGAAAGAGAAAAGTACTCTTTAAAATTAGAAATGGAGAACAACAAGGAAGAGAAATCTATTTTGTTGAAAAACAGCTTTTGGTAATATTATTCAGTGAAAGATGAAGTGACAGACGTGGAAACTTCTAGTCAAAGTTTGCAGCTTTTATTTGCATTGAATATCTATCCAAGATGAATCATCCTAGAAAAGCAGCCAGTGGACTTGGAATAATCTCGCTCACCATGGTTTCTGCCAAGGAAGGATTTTCTTGGCGCAGAATGTTGGGTATTTATTTGGGGTCTTGAATGGGTGAAAGAGACAAAGAACAATTTACGAGAAAGAAAGGAGAAGAAGGAATGGATCCATGGACAGAAAAGATTTGTCCTCAAGGGTACATCCAAGATTTGCTTTAATCTGTCATATAATGGAAATTTGAAACAGTTATTAGCACAGGTTCACAGCTTCTCAAAACTAAAAACCATTGTGGAAAAGAGGCTAAGCACAAAGATGTAAGCACTAAATGAGTATAACTGCTTTGCAGACAGTTTCATGTCAGTGGACATGTGCCATTTTTCTTCTTTTTTTTTTTTTTTCTGCCCAGTGCAGCTGCCACATATTATTCAATGCACAACTTTACAGGGCATCATTCACATCTTAGTAAGACATGGAGAAAGACAATGCTGAGATAAAGAAAAGCAGATTTCCGAGAGCATCATCAGAGCCTACAAATTCAGCTCTGCCTGGAGCTGCAAAAGTCAAAATATTCTTTTTGGGGATCAAGCCAGCATGAATTGAGATTCTGTCATTTACAGCCAATGGATTCATAATTCTCATAGCCAAAAGGGAGAGGGATACTTTTGGTTCTCTGTTATTTTATGAGCTGAATTTATGGTCCACAGAAGCATTTTCTACTCAAAATAACTAGAGTTATGTAAAGACAAATAATCATTGGTCTACTCTCATTATGGGAAATAAGAGCCATAATAACCCTATGTGTGTTTTATGAATTTCAAATGGGAAAAATTTTGAAAACTACTAAAAATTCATAACTCTACATTATAAACATAAGAACTCTTACTTTTTCTATTTTTACTTTTTAATTTCCACTTTTGTTACTATTTTTACTTATTTTCCTTGTTTACATTTTTGCACATGAGGAAATCATATTGTAAGAATAATTTTATGAAATTTTATTCTCATTTTTAGAATTAAAAATGCCTTGGATTTATAGTTTGAATTGGCTACTATTTCACACCGTAGATATACAATACTTTATAATTTTCCTGATTGGGGATATTTTTATTATTTATTTCCAATTTTTATTATTTTAAATAGCATTGTGGTAAACATCTTTAAATATACATTTTATTTTATTTATATATATATTTTTATTATACTTTAAGTTCTAGGGTACATGTGCACACGTGCAGGTTTGTTACATATGTGTACATGTGCCATGTTGTTGTGATGCACCCATTAACTCATCATTTACATTAGGTATATCTCCTAATGCTATCCCTCCCCCCTCCCCCCACCCCACAACAGGCCGTGGTGTGTGAACTTCCCCTTCCTGTGTCCAAGTGTTCTCATTGTTCAATTCCCACCTATGAGTGAGAACATGCGGTCTTTGGGTTTTTTGTCCTTGTGATAGTTTGCTGAGAATGATGGTTTCCAGCTTCATCCATGCTACAAAGGACATGAACTCATCATTTTTTATGGCTGCATAGTATTCCATGGTGTATATGTGCCACATTTTCTTAATCCAGTCTATCATTGACGGACATTTGGGTTGGTTCCAAGTCTTTGCTATTGTGAATAGTGCCACAATAAACATACGTGTGCATGTGTCTTTATAGCAGCATGATTTATAATCCTTTGGGTACCTACCCAGTAATAGGATGGCTGGGTCAAATGGTGTTGCTAGTTCTAGATCCCTGAGGAGTTGCCACACTGTCTTCCACAATGGTTGAACTAGTTTACAGTCCCACCAACAGTGTAAAAGTGTTCCTATTTCTCCACATCCTCTCCAGCATCTATTGTTTCCTGACTTTTTAATGATCGCCATTCTAACTGGTGTGAGATGGCATCTCATTGTGGTTTTCATTTGCATTTCTCTGATGGCCAGTGATGATTAGCATTTAATTTTCATGTGTCTGTTGGCTGCATGAATGTCTTCTTTTGAGAAGTGTCTGTTCATATCCTTCGCCCACTTTTTGATGGGGTTCTTTGTTTTTTTCTTGTAAATTTGTTTGAGTTCTTTGTAGATTCTGGATATTAGCCCTTTGTCAGATGAGTAGATTGCAAAAATTTTCTCCAATTCTGTAGGTTGCCTGTTCACTCTGATGGTAGTTTCTTTTGCTGTGCAGAAGCTCTTGAGTTTAATTAGATCCCATTTGTCAATTTTGGCTTTTGTTGTCATTGCTTTTGGTGTTTTAGACATGAAGTCCTTGCTCATGCCTATGTCCTGAATAGTATTGCCTAGGTTTTCTTCTAGGGTTTTTATGATTTTAGGTCTAACATTTAAGTCTTTAATCCATCTTGAATTAATTTTTGTATAAGGTGTAAGGAAGGGATCCAGTTTCAGCTTTCTACATATGGCTAGCCAGTTTTCCCAGCACCATTTATTAAATAGGGAATCATTTCCCCATTGCTTGTTTTTGTCAGGTTTGTCAAAGATCAGATGGTTGTAGATGTGTGGTATTATTTCTGAGGGCTCTGTTCTGTTCAATTGGTCTATATCTCTGTTTTGGTACCAGTACCATGCTGTTTTGGTTACTGTAGCCTTGTAGTATAGTTTGAATACAGGTAGAATGATGCCTCCAGCTTTGTTCTTTTGGTTTAGGATTGACTTGGCAATGTGGGCTCTTTTTTGGTTCCATATGAACTTTAAAGTAGAGTTTTCCAATTCTGTGAAGAAAGTCATTGGTAGCTTGATGGAGATGGCATTAAATCTATAAATTACCTTGGGCAGTATGGCCATTTTCATGATATTGATTATTCCTATCCATGAGCATGGAATGTTCTTCCATTTGTTTGTATCCTCTTTTATTTCCTTGAGCAGTGGTTTGTAGTTCTCCTTGCAGAGGTCCTTCACATCCCTTATAAGTTGGATTCCTAGGTATTTTATTCTCTTTGAAGCAATTGTGAATGGGAGTTCACTCATGATTTGGTTCTCTGTTTGTCTGTTATTGGTGTATAGGAATGCTTGTGATTTTTGCACATTGATTTTGTATCCTGAGACTTTGCTGAAGTTGCTTATGAGCTTAAGGAGATTTTGGGCTGAGACAATGGGGTTTTCTAGATATACAATCATGTCATCTGCAAACAGGGACAATTTGACTTTCCCTTTTCCTAATTGAATACCCTTTATTTCTTTCTCCTGCCTGATTGTCCTGGCCAGAACTTCCAACACTATGTTGAATAGGAATGGTGAGAGAGGGCATCCCTGTCTTGTGCCAGTTTTCAAAGGGAATGCTTCCAGTTTTTGCCCATTCAGTATGATATTGGCTGTGGGTTTGTCATAGATAGCTCTTATTATTTTGAGATATGTCCCATTGATACCTAATTTATTGAGAGTTTTTAGCATGAAGGGTTGTTGAATTTTGTCAAAGGCCTTTTCGGCATCTATTGAGGTAGTCATTGGTTTTTGTCTTTGGTTCTGTTTATATGTTGGATTATGTTTAATGATTTGCGTATATTGAACCAGCCTTGCATCCCAGGGATGAAGCCCACTTGATCATGGTGCATAAGCTTTCGGATGTGCTGCTGGATTCGGTTTGCCAGTATTTTATTGAGGATTTTTGCATTGATGTTCATCAGGGATATTGGACTAAGATTCTCTTTTTTTTGTTGTGTCTCTGCCAGGCTTTGGTATCAGGATGATGCTGGCCTCATAAAATGAGTTAGTGAGGATTCCCTCTTTTTCTATTTATTGGAATAGCTTCAGAAGGAATGGTACAAGTTCCTCCTTGTACCTCTGGTAGAATTCGGCTGTGAATCATCTCGTCCTGGACTTTTTTCGGTTGGTAAGCTATTAATTATTGCCTCAATTTCGGAGCCTGTTATTGGTCTATTCAGGGATTCAACTTCTTCCTGGTTTAGTCTTGGGAGGGTGTATGTGTCGAGGAATTTAACCATTTCTTCTAGATTTTCTAGTTTATTTGCGTAGAGGTGTTTATAATATTCTCTGATGGTAGTTTGTATTTCTGTGGGATCGGTGGTGAGATCCCCTTTATCATTTTTTATTGCGTCTATTTGATTCTTCTCTCTTTTCTTCTTTATTAGTCTTGCTAGTGGTCTATCCATTTTGTTGATCTTTTCAAAAAACCAGCTCCTGGATTCGTTCATTTTTTGAAGGGTTTTTTGTGTCTCTATCTCCTTCAGTTCTGCTCTGATCTTAGTTACTTCTTGCCTTCTGCTAGCTTTTGAATGTGTTTTCCCTTGCTTCTCTAGTTCTTTTAATTGTGATGTCAGGGTGTCAATTTTAAATCTTTCCTGCTTTCTCTTGTGGGCATTTAGTGCTATAAATTTCCCTCTACACACTGCTTTAAATGTGTCCCAGAGATTCTGGTATGTTGTGTCTTTGTTCTCGTTGGTTTCAAAGAACATCTTTATTTCTGCCTTCATTTCATTATGTACCCAGTAGTCATTCAGGAGCAGGTTGTTCAGTTTCCATGTAGCTGAGCAGTTTGGAATGAGTTTCTTAATCCTGAGTTCTAGTTTGATTGCTCTGTGGCCTAAGAGAAAGTTTGTTATAATTTCTGTTCTTTTACATTTGCTGAGGAGTGCTTTACTTCCAACTATGTGGTCAATTTTGGAATAAGTGCAATGTGTTGCTGAGAAGAATGTATATTCTGTTGATTTGGGGTGGAGAGTTCTGTAGATATCAATTAGGTCTGCTTGGTGCAGAGCTGAATTCAGTTCCTGGATATCATTGTTAACTTTCTGTCTCATTGATCTGTCTATTGTTGACAGTGGGGTGTTAAAGTCTCCCATTATTATTGTGTGGGAGTCTAAGTCTCTTTGTAGGTCTCTAAGGACTTGCTTTATGAATCTGGGTGCTCCTGTATTGGGTGCATATATATTTAGGATAGGAGAATTGATCCCTTTACCATTATGTAATGGCCATCTTTGTCTCTTTTGATCTTTGTTGGTTTAAAGTCTGTTTTATCGGAGACTAGGATTGCAACCCCTGCCTTTTTTTGTTTTCCATTTACTTGGTAGATCTTCCTCCATCCCTTTATTTTGAGCCTATGTGTGTCTCTGCACGTGACATGGGTTTCCTGAATACAGCATACTGATGGGTCTTGTCTCTTTGTCCAATTTGGCAGTCTATGTCTTTTAATTGGAGCATTTAGCCCATTTACATTTAAGGTTAATATTGTTATGTGTGAATTTGATCCTGTCATTATGATGTTAGCTGGTTATTTTGCTCGTTAGTTGATGCAGTTTCTTCCTAGCATCAATGGTCTTTACAATTTGGCATGTTTTTGCCACGGCTGGTGCTGGTTGTTCCTTTCCCTGTTTAGTGCTTCCTTCAGGAGCTCTTTTAGGGCAGGCCTGGTGGTGACAAAATCTTTCAGCATTTGCTTGTCTGTAAAGGATTTTATTTCTCCTTCACTTATGAAGCTTAGTTTGGCTGAATATGAAATTCTGGGTTGAAAATTCTTTTCTTTAAGAATGTTGAATATTGGCCCCCACTCTCTTCTGGCTTGTAGAGTTTCTGCCGAGAGATCCACTGTTAGTCTGATGGGCTTCCCTCTGTGGGTAACCCGACCTTTTTCTCTGGCTGCCCTTAACATTTTTTCCTTCATTTCAACTTTGGTGAATCTGACAGTTATGTGTCTTGTCCACTCCAGACCCTGTTTGCCTGGGTATCAGCAGCAGAGGCTGCAGAACAGTGAATATTGCTGAACAGCAAATGTTGCTGCCTGATCATTCCTCTGGAAGTTTCATCTCAGAGGGATACCTGGCCGTGTGAGGTGTCAGTCTGCCCCTACTGGGGTTTGCCTCCCAGTTAGGCTACTTGGGGTCAGGGACCCACTTGAGGAGGCAGTCTGTCCATTCTCAGATCTCAAACTCTGTGCTGGGAGAACCACTATTCTCTTCAAAGCTGTCAGACAGGGACATTTAAGTCTGCAGAGGTTTCTGCTGCCTTTTGTTCAGCTAGGCCCTGCCTCCCAAGGTGGAGTCTACAGAGGCAGGCAGGCCTCCTTGACCTTCGGTGGGCTCCACCCAGTTCGAGCTTCCCGGCTACTTTGTTTACCTACTCAAGCCTCAGCAATGGTGGGTGCCCTTCCCCCAGCCTCGCTGCCGCCTTGCAGTTCCATCTCAGACTGCTGTGCTGGCAATGAGCGAGGCTCCGTGGGTGTGGGTCCCTCCAAGCCAGGCACAGGATATAACCTCCTGGTATGCCCTTTGCTAAGACCATTGGAAAAGTGCAGTATTAGGGTGGAAGTGTCCCGATTTTCCAGGTGCCATCTGACACAGCTTTGCTTGGCTAGGAAAGGGAATTTGCTGACCTCTTGCACTTCCCGGATGAGGCGATGCCTCGCCCTGCTTCACCTCATGCTCAGTGCGCTGCACCTACTGTCCTGCACCCACTGTCCAACAAGCCCCAGTGAGATGAACCCAGTACCTCAGCTGGAAATGCAGAAATCACCCATCTTCCGCGTCGCTCATGCTGGGATCTGTAGACTGGAGCTGTTCCTATTTGGCCATCTTGGATCCACCCCTAAATATACATTTTAATTTAACTTTTTATCGTTTCATTAAGACAGCATCCTCGAACTGGAATTAGTGGTTCAATGGGCAAAACAGCTTTATAGCCTGTTGGTTCCTTGTCTGTCTTAATAGCATAACACCTTTTAAAAGCTTTCTAAATTCCTTATCTCTACTCCCTAACCCCTTTCTTACTCAAAACCCAGTCCAGGCAGATTTTTATCCCTATCCTTGTATCAGAATCACTTTGTTAAGGTCACAATGGGTTTCATAGCCTCAAATCCAATGATCCATTACCATGTTTTATCTTACTGAATTTCTCAGAATAATTTGACAATTTGGTTATTCTCTCCTTGAAACATTATCTTTGCTTGAGTTTGGGGATTCCACACTTTCCTGGTTTGCTTTCAACCTCACAAGCCACTCCTTTTCTAGCTCACCTTCCTCTTGCTGACCTCTAGATACTGTGTTGTCTCAGGACTCAGTCCTCAAACATATATGCCGTCTACATGCACTCTCTAAGTGATTTCATCCAGGAATATGGCTTTAATTACCATCCATACATTGATGACTCCCAGGTTTATACCTCCATCCAACCCCTCTCTGTTGAAAGCCAGGCTCATATATACTATAATCTATATAACATCTTTGCCAGATGTCTGTCTGGCATCTAAAATCTAAGATATCCACAACATACCTTATTCCCTCCCTTACGCTCATCCCTCACTCTTCCCCATCTCAAGAAAACAGTGATATAATTCACCCACTCGCTATAGCCAAAAATACTGGAATCTTCTTTAATTCTTCTCTTTCCCCCATACCCCACATTGTCAACAAACTGGCCACATAAGATGTGTTTTCTGTCAGAAAAAAAAGCCTGACTTCATTTTTTAATTCAAATAAGAATGTTACATGATGGGTTCCAATGACAACCCAGTCATTTCATAATTCTAATTCTAAAGTAGGTAGATGAATATGGTAAGGAACCTTGCATTGAGGCTGTCGCCAGTTGAAATATATTCCTGTTTTGCAATATTTCTTGCTTAGCTTTTAAGGGCTCTCCCGCAGATTCCAGAAGCTAATAAATTGTCTCTTTATTTGGCAGCTTGGGAATTTTTTTTTTAGCACCCTGGACCAATGCACCATTCCGGATGGTTGAGATATATACTTTTTCTTTAAGGGGTAGGAGGTAAGGGTGATGTTGGAAAGAGAAATGGGAAAGAAGCAGCAGCTTAACATTTGGACCCTGAAGCATGTTCTAGAGCAGGCTGGTTTTAAGAAAGTCCTCATTTGCCTCAAGGTACGTGACCCCAGTTTAATGACTATAGGCCTAAATGGGACAGGATCACAATCACATTTGTCACCAGCAGACTCATATCTAGGAGGCATACAAGTTATTCCTGTTAGAACAGTGACTTACTGGAAAGTCATTTCCCACCACTGATTTGAGTCGCTGTTATTATCGTACATGAATTTCCATATACAATTAGGCCATATTACAGATTTGCTATTCCATTTAACTAACCTGTCTGCCTACCCTTAATTTTCACTTAAGAATTTTCTTTCTCTTTCTTTTCACTTCTGTGCAATAGAAAATATACTCTTTTCTTCTACATTTTCTTCTGTTTTTTTTTGTTTTGGCATAAGAATGACAGGAATTTTTTAAATGTTTAATTGTAGCCAATCCTTTGCTAGTGGTCTTTGTCCTCTTTTAGGTTTTCTGATGTACAGTCATTTTATCTACTTACATGCAGATGATGTTTTATCTCTTCCTTTCCAATTCTTATGCTTCTTATTGTTTCTCTGGGCTGACTGCATTAGCAAGTAGCTTCAACACAATCTTAGATAGCAGTAGTGGTAATGAACATCTTTTTCCTTCACCTACTTTAATAGGAAAGCCTCTAGCACTTTCCCATAAGTTGGTGCTGGTTTGGGATTACGGTGTATGCAAGTTTTATGTGATATGTTAAAGAATTAGTTATTAGTTTTTATTTTTCAATGTTTTAACATGAATCTGTGTTGTATTTTGTCAAATTCCTTTTCTCCATCAATAAAGATAATCATATGATTTTTTTTCTTGGCTCTTGTATCAGTTATTAAGCTACTAACTCTTACCTACAATTGCTTAGCTCCTATACCTCGCTTCTAGAGTAGTAACTGCTGATGTCAATCATACACTGGCCCCTAGAGCTAGTTGACTTTTTAGGTGTGTTTTTCTTCTCTCTCCAACTGGATAATTAGCATATTCTATTTTGTACATTTTATTAAATGTCTCCACAGGGTTAAGTGAATTTGTTGAGGTAGTGACACTCAACATTTATTGTTTACCTGCCACAACCCCTGTCCATCATTGCTCAGTAAAATCGTTAATCATCTATAGCTAGACATATACCTGCTAGTACCTACCTAGAATGTTGAAATCACATACCTGAGATAAGAGAGAAGAAAAATTCCAAGGAGAACTCTCATGTAAATGCTACTTCCTCCAAGCATCTAAAACAGCTCCTCTATTCTTTCTAGGAAAAAAAATCCCTTCTTTGAGGACATTCCTGGTAAGTATCCTCATAAATAGAAAAAAAATTTTACAAAGAGAACTAAAGTTTTGCTAGCATTTCTGTGGTTTCAGACTTAATGTGATGTGGGGATGCTCTGATTGGGAAAAAGAAAGATCATAAGGTTTCTAGGGAAGTGTACCAGTTTACAAATAGCCAGATTCTCCAGTGACCACCTCATGTGTCTATTGTTTTTTTCTCAAGCAGAAATGTGAAAACAGGAGAAGGTAGAGTCCAGTCTTACCCAAACCCTGCATGTCCAGGAGAAAGCTAACTCTAGTCTAAGCTACAAAAAACGAAAAAAAAAAAAATTCTCCTTGTTTTACATAATTTCATACACAAAAAAGAATGGAAGAGTAATATCCACAATTAACATCAAAGATCCTCTTATTCTTCATAGACTCAGTGTAGAGGCTCAGACACTTATGTCATGACCACAGAAAGAAATGAAGGAAGAAAAGAATGAGGATAGATTTGCTAGGGCCAGGGCTTTACCCAAGAAATATAGCTGAGAAAATGTGGGAGGGTAATAGGTAGGCACCTATGCTCCACAGGATGAGACCTGGATGCAAAGAACAGATGAGAGCTTTCTTCCCTATCCTCTCCTCATCTTGAGTCCCTAGTCATTGCTGCAAGTACAGGAAACCATAAAACAGAGTTTCAGAAAACTAATATGTAAAACATGAGAAATTACCAGTGTGCACAGGTGCCCAGAGCTAAATATAAAGCACTTGGATATTTGCAAAAGCACTAGCATGCTCAGAGTTAGCCAGTTACTAGACTGCTTTCTCACACCTGAAAACATCCTAAAAGAAAGGATACTACATTTTCCTCCTTTGTCTTTTTAACGAGAATTTGGAAAAGGTCTAACTCTTTTAACTTATTTAAAGCTGCTGAGATTGAGACATATAATACAGCTCTGGTAGAAAAATAATCAATTAAGGGAAATAATCAGATCTTCTCTCAACCTATTCCTACCCCCCTCAGAATGTACTACAGTGCCATAGAGGCAAAAAGCCTGCATAATTCTTTAAAGGTGAGGGGAGTGAGGGAGTTTCAGGTGTAAAGGATTTTCAGACAGTCATAACTGGAGAAACTTTCCTTTTAACACTGTTTGCTTTCTTTCTTTTTTGTTTGCTCCTCACCTCTCTGTATGTTCCGTCTACCTTTCATTTCAACATAACGAGTTACTTTATATTAAGGGGGAAATGAAAAAACAATTTTTTTGAGTTCAGACCACCTGGGGGCAGTGCTTCCTTTGACAGAGGCACTGCCAGAAACTAGAACAAGGGGAAGGGAACAGCAGGAGGAGGGCATTCAATGATGTGTGTGATGTAACAGTGAGGTTTTGATTATCCGTAAAAACAATGAAGATTCCCCAAAGGCTACCCAACCAACAGAACCAGAAGACTCTAGAACAGTGAACTAGGCCCAGTGAACACGGCCAAATCTAGGTCTCCAAACTGAATCCACAGAGGCTCCAGGAAAAGGAAAGAATGGAAACTCCACTGAGCACTCTGCTGCTGCTCCTCTGTGTGCAGCTGACCTGTGAGTCAGGCGAGTCATGAGGAGGGGAGGAATCAAGTAGGGGCGGCCAGGGCATTGAAATTTAGAAAGATCCCGGGGACAATCTTGGGTCTAGTCTCAGGAATGTAAAACAAATAATGAAACTGATGAACAAACACACTATATATATGAAAATGTTTCATTCCTCCTAAGCAGGGTCAAATGGACAACTGCCAGTGGAACAGAATGCTCCTTCCCTGAAAGTCAAGGAAGGTGACAGCGTCACACTGAACTGCAGTTACAGAGACAGCCCTTCAGATTTCTTCAGTGGTTCAGGCAGGATCCTGAGGAAGGCCTCATTTCCCTGATACAAATGCTATCAACTGTGAGAGAGAAGATCAGTGGAAGATTCACAGCCAGGCTTAAAAAAGGAGACCAGCACATTTCCCTGCACATACAGGATTCCCAGCTCCATGACTCAACCACATTCTTCTGCGCAGCAAGCACACAGTGCCCACAGTCACCTGCACCCGGTACCTAAAGCTTGCTGAGGGGCCTGGGCACACCTCCTTTTATAAGGGCCCTGGGGCACTGACTATAACTCTGCTGCATACAAAGGGAAATATGAGGGACTGTTTTATAACATAATATCAAACATTTCATTTGAAGACCATGTGAGGAAGGATAGTGTTTTCAAATACCATCTAAAGTACTTTGTTTCTCAGTGTGAGGCCCTTCCTTTGTGAAAACTAGCCCAAAAACTAGAGGCTAAATATCAAAAAGGAGAGAGCACTAAAGAACAAAGAAAGAACAGGGTAAAATTCTTGTCTTTGAGCTTCTTTGTAGACTTTTACAAAGATATAGAAAATACAAAATCTTGAAAGCCATGACCATCAAATTCAGTAGTGAAAGGAAAAATATTTTGACATGCCAAAAAGATTGGCTTAGAAGATCAAGTACCAAAATCTGAGGGAAAATTGTACAAAGCATTTAAAGGAAAAGAGAACACAACATGGTAGAAAAGCTGTCTTCTCCTTAAAAGGGATAAAATGCCAACCAGCTAGCTAGAAAGGAAGTCAATGATGTGAGGAGAGGTCATAAACAGTGAGTCCAGCATCCTGCTCTTTTCTAGGGTCAGAGCTCTGAGCAGGTAGGGTGGGAGGAGGGTGAGTCACATTTAGCAATGACTCTGAACTGAAGGAACAGTGAATTTTGGCAAAAACTGTTTTGATCATTGTGTCTTATATCAATACTCACAAGAAAACGCCCATTACAGAGGAAGCATTCAACAACCATGTGGACAAGACGGTCGGTCCAAAGCATGTCAGCCAGCCAGAGAATGTCTGTGCTTGTCAATTTCTTGAACAATAGACCCATGAATAGATTAGCTGAGGTGACAGATTGAGTTTCTTTATAAGCCCAGAAGCATGGGTTTTCTCCCACCAAGACAGATTCAGCTACTTCTGCTGCTGTCACAGGACTTTTCCTTAGTTCAAAGACAGGGTTCTTTTCCCATGGGCACGAAAATTCAGGCTCGCAAACAATTTGAATGGTGAGTAAGACACGGTTTTATTGGGTGAAGAGGAAGAAAAGGGGGAAACAGGGACTCTTACAAGGCCAGAGTCCCTGCTAGAGCACTTCCCACCCCGCAGTTCGAATCCCAGGTTCCACACAGGAAGAGGAGGAGCCTGGCTCCTCCCCACTGCAAAGGATGCCAACTTCTGCGGCTCCACCCCAGTGCACAGGCTGCTTGGAATTTCTCTAGGGACCCCCTCCCACCTGGCTGTCTCACTACCAAATGTCCACCCTGTCAGCAGTAAATACAACACTGAGCCTTCGATGTGGAATCATCCTTCAAAGGAACCAGCCACACACTAGTTGGCAAGTTGATTACATTGGACCACTTCCAACCTGGAGGTATTAGGAATTTTTTTTCTTCTTAATACATATTCTGGGTGTGAATCTGTGGTCTCCTCCAAAGTGCCACACATAGTTGCATGAACTGATGGCTCAGAGTGTCTCATTGATCATTCTGATCATCAAAGGATTTCACATCCCTTGCATCAACAGACCCACTTTATATCAAGGGCGTGTGACAGTAGTCATGTCATATAGCATATAGCTTCATCATACAGCATTAGCCATGAACCACTAGCCTGATAGAACTTTGGAATGACCACTTAAGGGCCCAGCTAAAGCACCAGCTTAGGGACAGCACCCTGAGGGGCTGAAAAGCTATTCTTTGAGATAGTGTTGTGTCCCTGTTACATAAAATACATGGACCTGGGTAGCAAGGGATGGAAGTAGGACTATCACCCCATCAACCACCACTTTCAGTAACCCACTTTTGTGCTTCCTGTTCTTATAACTATAGGTTCTGCTGGACTAGGGATTCTGTTTCCCTTTGAGGGGGAAAAGGGAGGATGCTGCTTCTACGAGGGAAATAGGTTTTTACCAAACCCAAGATAATATATACTACCTCATAATTTGGGGATCTTCATGCCAGTCCTGGAGGCCAAGAAAGGAGTTACTACTGTCATGGACAAGTTGATCCTGATTATCATGAAGCTAAACCCCATAGCGGAACTGGGGATATATGTCTACAACTCAGGGAATTCACTGTGATGACTTTTAGCACTTTCATGTCAGTGATTATCGTAAATAGGCAACTGTAGCAACTACAGCCTGACAAGAGCAGACTAACCAGGGGCTTATACCCCTCGGTGATGAAGGTCTAGGTTACCTCCCTGGAAAAGAAATCTAGAGCAGTAGAAAAAAATGCTAGCCGAAGGTGGGGAGAATCAAGAATAAGTAGTATAGAAGGTAGATGGAGGAGATAATAAATATGAGTTGCAGTCATGCAACTAACTATAACAAACGTAACTTGTCCCAGTAACCCTCTTGTTGTCAAAACAACATCAACAACAAAAACTAGTGATCTATATGAATTTAACACACAGCACAAGTGGATCTGAGCAAGGCAAGGAGTGAACTGTATAGATACTGTTGGTTCCCTACCTATATCTCCTAGGCAGTCACGCCAACATGCTGGACACCACTCGCTGAAAATCCCAGCAACCCTGAAGATGACTTTGACTTTCTGGCCATGAATGTGGAGGCTGTGGAGGACAAGCCAGAAATGCAAAAGAGTTAATGCCCCAAAAGCAGTTCTTAATCAGTGATAGACAGGGAGTTTAGGCATGATTACTCCAGTTTCTTCATGACTCATTTGGCATAGCTCCAAAGAGTATGCTATGCTGTCTCTTAGAGTTATTGTGACAGGTAGTTAGACAGGCATGAATGGGGCACAAGAGAGCTCTCCCCTCCACCCACCAGGAGTCATCAGGCGATTGTTCGGCAGTTATCACATTACCTCTCTAAAAATGATAATTGGCAGCAAATTATCACTGGCAACTTCCCCAACAGATAAAGACACTTAAGATTGGTAATCAGCTTCCAATAAAATCTCAGGAATTGGTGAGTGAACCCAGCATGTACATTAAGAGACAAAACAGCAGAGTATGACCTTCTGTGGGCACTCCACCAGAAAAAGGAAGAAAGCCTCAGATGTGCATGAGTACAACTTCCTAAACACACTGCTCATGCCCACGTCCCAAGCAGGAAGGAGGGCACTGCACATGCGGGCAGCCCATCCTAAGGGAAGAATCATGGGAAAGGGGCACAAGATGCTGGAGGTAGGTCAGTGTATAAAATCTTAGGATTAAGGTTAAAGGCTGCACTTGTCCTTCCAGTTGTCCGCTTGGGTCTCTTCCAAGTGTACTTTCCTTTCTCTCCTGCTCTAAAGCTTTTTAATAAAATTCCACTCCTGTTCTGAAACTTGCCTTGGTCTTTCATTCTGCCTTATTTCCCTCAGTCAAATTCTTTCTGCTAAAGAGACAAGACTTGAGGTTGCTGCAGACCCATATGGATTCACCACCAGTAACTCAGAGCCTTCTACCCCTAACATTATCCAGCTGCAGAAAGCTGCAATTGCCCATCGTGGTAACTGCCTTGATGGCACATTCTGTATTGGCTTCCTTCCTTCCCTGATTTACCTCTTACCCATGTCTTGCAAACAAAAAAGAGTTAAACTCTGTAAAATAGTTAAAGAGGTTGATTCTGAGCCAAATATGAGTGACCATGGCCCATGACACAGCCCTCAGGAGGTTCCGAGAACATGTGCCCAAGGTGGTCGCAGTGCAGCTTGGCTTATACATTTTAGGGAGGCATGGGACTTCAATCAAATACATTTAAAAAATACATTGGTTTGATCCAGGAAGGTGGGACAACTCAAAGCAAGGGGCAAGGGGGTCAGTGGGAGTGAGGAGCTTCCAGCTTATAAGTAGATTTAATATTTTTCTGGTTGACAATTGGTTGAGTTTATCTAAAGACCTGGAATTAATAGGAAATGTCTGTATTGCGATAAGAGGTTATAAAGACCAGAGTTTGGTCAGGCAGATGAATCTTCCAAGTAGCAGGTTTCAGAGAGAATGGATTGTAAATGCTTCTTATCAGACTTCAGGTCTGTGTTGATGTTAATGCCAGAGAGGTATGATGAAGCATGTCTGACCCCCACTTCCCATTCTGGCCTGAACCAATCTCTCAAGTTGAATTTTAAGAGAGCCCTGGCCAAGAAGGAAGTCCACTCAGATGGTTGCGGGGGGCTGGGGGGCCTTAGAATTTTATTTTTGATCTACAGTTTCCTAGAATCACCTATAATAAACTATTTACACACAAATTATTGTGTCGAAGCTGACTTTTAGGGATCCAAAACCAAGATACAGGAATTCAAATCATGAGACAAGGGTGAAGATTATCCAGAAGAAATGTTGGTGCCCCTTCTCTTATTGCTACCAAGCTGAGCTTTGCAGCACAAGGGATTTTAGCAGTCTCATTCAGGATGGGCCCCAGTGCTTACAAACTCCTTAAGCATCTCTCTGAGAGGGGACACTCAGCCACCTACCTCTGTGACAGAGAACTCATGCTCCTCACACAGCACCCAGTACATAACAGGGCCCCCATTCATAATGCCCAGTTTGGGGACCCCAACTCAGGAATTACATAAGGATCCCTGATGCTCCCTCTGGAAATGCAAAATTCTAAAGAATCAGAGTAAGGTATTTAAAAAGAGTTTTTTTCACAATATTTTTTCAAAATGGAATGAAAATGATAAGAGCAATTCTTGATATAAATATAAATTAAGCTGAGGCAATTTAGTGCTGATGAGAACTTCTGCAATAGTTATTTCAGAGCTTCTTGATATAGCATAAACAAGGTGGTTTTGTTTATTTGTTTGTTTGCGTTTGTTTTTTGAGATGGAGTTTCACTCTTGTCGCCCAGGCTGGAGTGTGGTGGCACAAACTCAGCTCACTGCAACCTTTGCCTCTCAGGTTCAAGCGATTCTCTGACCTCAGCCTCCTAAGTAGCTGGGATTACAGGCATGTACTACCATGCCCAGCTAATTTTTGTATTTTTAATAGAGATGGAGTTTAACCATGTTGCCCGGGATGGTCTCGAACTCCTGACCTCAAGTGATCTGCCCACCTCGGCCTCCCAAAGTGCTGGGATTACAGGTGTGAGCCACCATGCCTGGCCAACAAGATTATTTTTTTAATCCATGTAAAATGTGAACACAATTACACACTACATATTCTGCTTTTACTTATCTCTGAATTTAGTCGATGCTCTTTTCAGCCACAAGCATATATCTTTTTTCTCATTCTTTATTTTGAGAAATTATAAAAATGTAAAAAAATTGAATATAAATAGGCATATTCTTATCACTCAAAATTAAGTGTCCTTATTTCATAAGATTTGCTTTGTAATTTTTTTTAATAAGAAGAAAAATAAAATCACAGTTTGCCATTTGTTGTGAATGGAGTCAGAGGCTTCTGCTCACCATTCTGGATCACGCTCTCCTCTCCAAGATTAGGTCGTATTAAAAACAAATTTGCCAGCTCCATTTTCTCTTTATTTTTCTTCTAGGCTAACTAAAAGCACTCCAGAAACATTTTTTATTTTCATTTGAAATTATAACCAGAGGCCTATTTTCTGAGAGACCAAAAAGTATTCAGAAATGTTTCCCTCCTTGAAACCTAGTCACCCACCCACCTATCATAGCATTTCCTGCCCTGAAGGAGAATTCTCACCAAGCACAGAGGAGAACCCATCAGAGCAGGAGACTTTTCACTCTGCAGGGGAGCGCTGTCAGCATGACACGAGTTAGCTTGCTGTGGGCAGTCGTGGTCTCCACCTGTCTTGGTAAGGAAGATGTGGTTCTTTCTTTATAAAGGCATCTAATGGGGCTGTGAAGCAGGAGGGATTAACAGAACAGCAACTGCATTGCCTCTTAGAGCCCAGCTACCTGGAGGCAGAAATATGCTGCCTGAGGCTAGAATCACAAAGAAAGGTGTGTGGGAATGGGGAATGGGAATCAGCTTGTGAGTCTGTTTCTCACTCACACGTGATATCCCAGTGAAGTCCTTTCTCTCCTATTTTCCACAGAATCCGGCATGGCCCAGACAGTCACTCAGTCTCAACCAGAGATGTCTGTGCAGGAGGCAGAGACTGTGACCCTGAGTTGCACATATGACACCAGTGAGAATAATTATTATTTGTTCTGGTACAAGCAGCCTCCCAGCAGGCAGATGATTCTCGTTATTCGCCAAGAAGCTTATAAGCAACAGAATGCAACGGAGAATCGTTTCTCTGTGAACTTCCAGAAAGCAGCCAAATCCTTCAGTCTCAAGATCTCAGACTCACAGCTGGGGGACACTGCGATGTATTTCTGTGCTTTCATGAAGCACACAATGAGATGAGCAGCAGGGAGAGGCTTACAGAAACCTCAGACCTCAGCATCTGTGCAAAGGTCACAGGGTGAGAGGGAAGTGGTAGGGTAATAGGTATAGAAAATCATTGACTTCTCTTGGAAATGAAAGCTTCTCCTATTTCTTCTCCTGTAAGAAACTCAGAGAGATGGCTGTCTGCAAGCTTCAATCCTTAAAGTTACATAAAGATAATGACGTGTGCAGTGCATTCCAGTTTTACAAGGTGCCTTCACTAAGGTACTTATTACAGGTCAGATTTCCTAAGCATTTTCTCTGTCCAGAAAATTTTTATAATTTGCCTGGGCATTCTTACCTCCAGGAATTTTAAACCTTTTCCATTTGTTAATTGTTGCTTGTCCTTTTATTTGTCCATCTGGTCCAAAACTGCATCTCCTCCGAATAAGGTACCCATTTTAGAACACAACAGGTGTGACAACGGTGGCATAACCACGAAGGGGACTTGCTGGGCCCACCAGACTCAAGAGATGACCTAGGTCCACTGCAGTAGAACCTAGAAGAATGATGAAAAGGCTTTAAAATGCTCCGCTGAAGGGCCAGCTCGTGGGCAACACCTCAGTGGTTGGAATGCTATGCTTCAGAAAATGATAATATTCGTTAAACCACTGGCTGATTCATGGTGTCGTGGCAAAAGTTTAGAAACCAAGAAATAGACATAGAATAGAGTCTTCTCCTATCACTCCCTATAAGTCATTTTCAGAATTCGTGTTTCCCTTTCCCACAACCCTAGGTTCTGCTAGATTAGAGGTCCTAGTTCCCAAAGAAGGATGCTCCCTTCGGGGATTCAGTAACCTGCAGCTATGGCTGCCACTTTTAGGTCACTCTGAACTCTCTGTGCCAATAGCCCAGCAGGCAAAGAGAGGAGCTATTAGACCAGAAGGGGTCATTGACCCTGACTGTCATGGAGCACCAGGTTGTTGTGACACAAGGAGGGTGAGGAGGAATGTGGCTATAATGTAAGTATTTCACATTGGTGTCTCCTGATGTTTCCGTGCCCAATACAAACAGCAAGCGGCAGTTCTTGTAGCAGCAAGGCCTGAAAAGGGCAACGTGACCAAGAACTGAGACTCTTCAGCAATGAAGTTTTCAAGAACAGAAGCTCATGTCATGCAACCTTCCTGTATTAAGGGCGTTGAAGAGATTGCAGTCAGAGGCAACCTTGAAGACACAGTGACACAGTGGAAATAATATAGGGCAAGCATGCATCTGAGTAGTGCAAAGAAAGGACTGTAACTGATATATGCGCCCTGTTGCCCCATCCGAATGTCTGTCTGATTTTAGCTGGAGTTATAGTAGACAATCACACTCACGTCATGCTGGTAACATCCAGCGTTAAGCACACTCTGTGTTTTGTTATGTTATGTTTTGTTTTGTTTTGTTGCTTTCTATCCCAAAGTCTTCTCTAATGTCTCAGGAGATCCCTTAGTTTAAGGGCAAGCACAGCCTGAAATTATAGGGAAACTACCACCCCTGTTGGCAAACACCAACCAATGGGGAAAAAGAGCCAGGGAATAAACGCACTAGCTTTGCGTCCCTTAAATAGACAATTCTGAGCGGCAACCTGTGTGCTTCTTGGGAGATCCTACCAGAACCGAGTCCCACTTGAGTCAGTTATTGCTCGACCCACTTTCTTCTTTTATAACTTATTTTTATAGATCAAGGGAGTACAAGTGCCACTTTTGATACATGGATATATTGTGTAGTGGTGAAGTATGGGTTTTCAGTGTAACCATCACCTGAATAGTGTACATTGTACTCATTAGGTACTTTTCATTCCTCATTCTCCTCCCACACTCCCACCTTTTCAAGTCTCAATGTCTGTTATCTTTGTCCATGTCTATGCATTATTTAGCTCCCATTTATAAGTAAGAAATGTAGTATTTGAATTTCTGTTTCTGAGTTACTTCACTTAAGATAATGGCCTCCAGTTCCATCCATGTTGCTATAAAAGACATGAGTTTATTCTTTTTATGGCTGAGTAGTATTCCATGGTGTGTGTGTGTGACATTTTCTTTATTTAATCATCCATCCATTGATGGACACTTAGGTTGATTCCATATCTTTTCTATTGTGAATAGTGCTGTGATAAACATAACAGTGAAGTTATATTTTTGATATAATAATTTCTTTTTGTGGGGGTAGATACCCAGTAGTGAGATGCTGGGTTGAAGAGTAGTTCTATTTTTAGTTCTTTGAGAAATCCCTATACTGTTTTCCACACAGGTTGTACTGATTTACATTCCCACCAACAGTGTATATGTGTTACCAAACATCTGTTGTTTTCTGACTTCTTATTAATAGCCATTCTAACTGATGTGAGATGGTATCTCATTGTGCTTTTAATTTGCATTTATCTGATGATTAGTCGTGTTGAGCATTTTCTCATGTTTGCTGACCATTTGTACGTCTTCTTTGAGAAATGTCTGTTCATGTCCTTTGCACACTTTTCAATGGGCTTATTTGTTTCTTGCTTGTTGAGTTGTGTGAGTTCCTTGTAGATTCTGGATATTAGTCCTTTGTTGGATGCATGGTTTGCAAATGTTTTCTCTCATTCTGTAGGTTGTCTCTTTACTCTCTTGATTATATATTGTGTGGTACAGAAGCTATTTAGTTTAATTAAGTCCCATTAGTCTATTTTTTGTTTCGTTGCATTTGTTTTAAGATCTCAGTCATAAATTCTTTGCCTAAGCCAAGATCCAGAAGAGTTTTTCCCAGGTTTTCTTACAGAATTTTTATAGTTTCAGGTTTTATATTTAAGTCTTTAATCCATCTTGACTTTATAGTAAGAGAAATGGATCCAGTTTCATTCTTCTGTGTATGGCTAACTAATTTTCCCAGCACTATTTATTGAATAGGGTGTCCTTTCCCCAGTGTATGTCTTTGTCTACTTTGTCAAAGATCAGTTAGTTGTAGGTATGTGGCTTTATTTCTGGGTTCCATATTCTGTTCCATTGATCTGTGTGTCTATTTTTCATACAAGTACCATGCTATATTGATACTATAGCCTTGTAGTATCATTTGAAGTCAGGTGATATGATGCATCAAGATTTTTCTCTTTGCTTAGGATTGCTTTGGCATTCAGGCTGTTTTTTTGTTTCATATTGATTTTAGCATTTTTTCCTAATTCTGTGAAAAGTAATATTGGTATTTTGATAGGCATTGCATTGAATCTACATATTGCTTTGGGCAATATGGTCATTTTAATAATATTGCTTTTTCCAGTTTATAAGCATGAGAGGTTTTTTCATTTATTTGGGTTATCCACAATTTCTTTCATCAGTGTTTTGTAGTTTTCCTAGTAGAGATCGTTTACCTTTTTGTTTAAGTGTATTTCTAGGTATTATTTTGTGGCTATTATAAATGGGATTATTTATTTTGTGGCTATTATAAATTTAGTTTGTAGCTTGGTTGTTACTGATGTATAGAAATATTACTGATTTCATACATTGATTTTGTATCTTGAAACTTTACTGAATTCACTTATCAAATCTGGGAGTCTTTTGGAGGAGCCTTGAGGGTTTTCCAGGTATAAGACATATCATCAGCAAACAGATAGTTGGACTTTTTCTTTTCCAGTTTGGATGCCTTTTATTTCTTTCTCTTACCAATTGCTCTGGCTAGGACTTCTAGCACTATTTTGAATAAAAGTGGTGAGAGTGGGTATCCTGCTTTACCCATTTTCTCACTCCTGCTTCCTGAGATCACTTCCTAAATAAACTACCTGCACCCAAGGTAGTTTCAGGCTCTGTCTTGGGGGGAAATCAAACTAATACAGGGAATCTTTGGAAATCCAAAGATTCTTTGAAAATTTAACAAAGAAAGAACAGAGGAGAGTTCAAGGTGAACCTTACTGGGCTAAGCTAATAAAGGTAAGTGTGTACTTGAGTGAGAAATTGTAAAAAAAAGATGATGAGGCAGATCGCATTTACTAAACTCCAATCTCTGCAGATATGTGATTACGTCTTTTCAGTGTTCAAAAACTTTACTTTCCAAGTTTAAGCTCTTTCAACTGTCTCTCATTTCCCCTTCCCAAATCTTCTGACCCTTTACTATTTAAACTTCATTCCTAGTTATTCCCAAAATACGTCTCTCTTCTAGTCAGTTTATTCCCCTTACTGGCTCATAAGGACTTAAAGCTCATTGCTGGCTCTAGCATTTCTCTACTGGTTGCTCCACCCACCCAAATTTCCCTTTTGTGTATATTTCAGACTGCTTAAACCATATTAATCTTATAATGACCACCAGAAATCTCTCTTCCCTCTAAGATTTCTTCTCTAATAATCAAACAATCCTTTAATTCCTTCTCTTCCAAATGTCATACAGTACCAACTGTGGACCAAACAATCCGACTCTTACTGACATACCTTCCTAAGACATTTGCTGTTGTTTCAAGGTACTCATCTTTCCTCCCCAAATACATTATATTCTCTATGTAGATAGAGTTTGCCTTGTACCCTTCACAATTCCTCACTGCTCTTAGCACAGTACTAAGCACATAATAAGTGCTGATAAGGCACAAATATGCTTAAGGTTTAAATTATAATCATGCTATATTTCTGAAAGAATATGAAGGAAAAGAAACAGGTTTCTCTGAGGAGGTAAGATGTGATAGAAGGTAGAATTTAAGAAAGCAGTGATAAAGGAAAGGACAGATACATTTCAAACATCCAAGTCTTTTGATTTAGTGGAAACATAAATCTGAAACTGGTAAAAAGATTACTTTTAGAATACATTTCTTACTAAACCAAGTTCTTTCCATACAGAAAATCCTAGAAACTGCCTCTGTAATTATCTCTTTGATCTGAAGAGGGCACTGTTTGCTCCTGTTGATAGCAGTTACTTACAAAAAACCGATCTCATTTTGAAGAATCCGCTATTCCTAATACATACAAAATAACTAGAACAAATCCTATGTTATCCGTAGAGTCTAGGTCAGATTTCCACATTCTGGAATCAAGTTTTCCACCAATTAAAAAGGTCAAACCATGGAGGAGCTTTTAGGAACTGTATTTGTGATCTGGTGGCTTTGGCCTGGGTGAGAGCTGAGTGAATTCATTTCATCAGGGACACAGAGGACTCAGAAGGTTCTGAGAACTAGTCTCTATATTTTACAGAAGGGATTCAAAGAATAAATAAAACATTTAATTTACCCTTTATTTAATTTACCCTTAATTCATCTTTTTTAAGAAAATTTGCTATCAAATGAAGGAAGAGGAATGCTCTTCTGACCATCTGTCCAGAGAGACACAACCAATCTCTGTTCTCCAGAGAGACAGAGCCAATAGGATGAATATATAGATATATGAGAGGGGATTTATTAGAAGAATTGGCTCATGCAATTATGGAGGCTGAGGAGTCCCATGACAGACTGTCTGCAAGCTGGAGAACCTGGGATGCTGGTAGTAGTGTGACTAGTCCAAATCCAAAAGCCTGAGAACCCAGGGGGCCACTGGCATAAATCCTACAGTCCATAGGCCAGAGATCCCAGAGTTCTTGTGTCTAAGGGCAAGAGAAAAAGAGTGTATCCCAGCTCCAGGCAAGAGAAAGACCAAGTTGCTTTTCCTAGGTTTCTGTTCTATCCAGGCCTCTAGCAGATTGGATGCCCACACTGAAGATGGATCTTCCCCATGTATTCCACTAAGACTCACAAGCCAATGTCCTCTAGAAACACCCTCATAAACACACCCAAAAATAATGCTTTACCAGTTCTCTAGGTATTCCTTAATTCCGTCAAGTTGACGCCTAAAATTAACTATCACACCATCCATGAAGGAAAGATGTTTTGTCATCTACTATAATTATTTGAACAATGTTTCAGATCCATGGGACAGAATGAAAAAGATCTAGAATAAATCTGATGTCTTTGTTTCTGTTCTTGTTAACTAGGGTTTTGTAGTGCAGGGGAAGATAAGCAGCCTCCTTCAGTGCTAGTACCAGCTCCCTCTCCCTGAACCACAAGACCACCCAGTCGAGGGACTTAGCCATCTATGTCTGTGCTGCAGGGAACCTACATGCCCCTGAAAGCACCTAAATGCACCACCCCCTCCACCCTGCATTGGGACCTCCACTCAGGGGTTAGTAAACCATCTTCATCACCTCCTCTGACCAAAAGAATATTGTAAATGAATGTAACAAATCAGAGAAAATCTTTTCTAAAAGACTTTTAGAAAGCTTTTTGTTCACTGTATTATCAGATAAGGAATTCAGAGTCATGAGAACCCTGATCATGAGCTGTCTGAGGTGATTAGGACCAGGGACCCTGAGTGTTCTTTCGTCAAGACCCACTCATCTAAGAGGGGCTGTCTCAATGATTGGAGCGGCTTCTCCCACTTGTGCCATTAATTGCTGGTATGCCTCAGTTTTTGCATCTGTAAAAATTCTCCCACGAGAACCTGAGAGTAGGCGTGTGATACTCACATATTTTTCTCCTAGTTTTTACTTTTTATAGTCTAACTAGCTAACTCCAGTAAGAAATCCCATGATGGTAGTTGCCAGATAGGGTTGATATCCCAAGGGAGCACAGTAAAATTTCTCAGACTGCCCAGAAGGGGTTCTGCTTCCACAAAAAAGCAGCCGTCTGCCCACCCCACCCGTATTTGCCCACTTGCAAGTTCTTTTATATACATCGCTTTATTTGGTCTTCAATGTTCAATAATTTGATTAACTGTGGAAGTTGGAACTGATTGAATGATAAATACAAGATACTAAAGTTCTGATTGCATAGGTCCCAGAGGATCACAAAAAAGATCTAAAGTGGCAAGATCTATCTATGGCCACACCACCCCAAATGTGCCCAATCTCATCTAAAATGGCAAGATCCATTCAGCATTGCAGCACTGGAATCCCCAGTCAGCATTGCAGTTGCAGGCCCAGTGAGCCCAGGCAAGAGGCGGAAAACATTTACTCTTGAGACCCTAATTAGTGAACTCATAGATAGCTGCAGCTGGCCTGAGACTGGGAGAGAAGACAGCCCAATCGTCTGGAGCTTCCTATACAGACTAGAGAGTGGTGGCACATGCCTGTAGTCCCAGCTACTCGGAAAGCTGTGGTGGGAGCATCACTTGAGCCCAGGAGGTTGAGGTTGCATAATTGCGCCACTGCACTCCAACCTGGGTGACAGAGTGAGACCCTGTCTCAAAAGAAAAAAAAAGAGAGGAGAAGGGGGTAAATTGTAAAATAATAGCATATTTGCCAATTTCCTGTGAATTTGTCCAGAAAATAGTAGGTAGTGCAGAAATTTAACACCACGCAAACAAGAAAAGTAGACCACCTATGGAAGAAACTCAACATGCTGTACTTTAAGAAGTCCTCCGGAGTTAAGAACGGCTGTGGCAAAATGCCCACTGTTAGCACCATTTCCAAGTGGAAATAATAAATGGGAAGGGAGAGTTAAGACCACCACTCCCTATACGGCAAGTCAGCTTTTAATTTAGTCTTTTATTCTCCTTCTTGTTTTACAGGGGGAAAAGTTTACATAAAGCTGAACTATACAGAAGCCTTATCTAAGATTGGATGACACAAATTAAATAGGGAGAGAAAATTAATGCAAATGAAACTAGTAGTTCTCTGTATTGTGAGTTTTCATTTTTGCTCTGTTGCCTCTTCTATAAAATGCAGACTAATTCCTGACCTTTCCTCCCTCAAAGAAGAATGTGTGCATGAGGAAAAAATCAGATGCCAATGAAAAGCTGTCAGATGTGCAACACAGAATGTTCCCAAATGAATTTTATGTTGATTGTTCTGAGTCTTCTTTCACAAAGTCATTAACAGAAGCTCACAAAAGCCCTTGCCACCAGTATTGTAGAGCTCCTTGACACAGCCAAAATCAGGTATTCTTTTTTTAAAAAAGAAAGTCTTCAGCAAATTACAGTATAATTAGATATCAAAAGTCTGGTTTCAATTTTCTCTAGACTATCTGAATGTTATTGTTGTTGTCATTATTTTTCATCATTTCTCAAAGTATTAAAATACAATTTGGTCAAACAATAATATAACCAATACCTGTATTATCATAACCCAGAGATAATTTTCTGATATTGGCTTCAAGACAGAGGAGGGAAAGAAAAAAAGGAAAGAAGGAAGGAAGAAAAAAAAAAGGAAAAAAGAGGAGTAAGGGGAAGGGAAAGAGAAGGAAAGACGGGAAGGAAAGAGAGAGAAAGAGAGAGAGAAAGGAAAGACAATAAAAGCTTATAGAGAAAACTGAAGTCACAGCATTAGCTTGGCCTGTCTTTTCCCCACCCATCTCATTCTCCTATCCAAATTATGTCTTTAAAAAACAATGTATCAGCTCCCTTTCCTCTTCATGTTTATTCCCAAATAAATTACAGTTCCAACAACATCTTTTTTCGTTAAATATTATGGTCCAAGTTTTATTCTCTGAAGCAAAAGACAAAAAGTATCGAAGAGCTTTCCCTAAGGGAGACATCATAAACAGCCCACCTGACATCCCATTTCCTGTTCTGAAGCAGCTACGGCACCAGTGCAGCTGATACTCAAGGTTCAGATCAGAAGAGGAGGCTTCTCACCCTGCAGCAGGGACCTGTGAGCATGGCATGCCCTGGCTTCCTGTGGGCACTTGTGATCTCCACCTGTCTTGGTAAGGAAGGCGCATGTATTCACCTTAACTAGTATTCAATAGAACAGAGAAGTGGGAAGAAAGATTAATAGTGCAAGAATCTAATCTCTTCACTGGGCCCAGCTATTAGGGGCAAGAAAGCTGATGGATTTTGTCAGAGGTTTGGATCAAGAGGAAGAAAGGCGGGTGGCAATGGGAACAGGCTTGTGAGTCTGTTTCTGTCTCTCACATGGTATCCCAGTGAAGTCCTTTCTCTCCTCTTTCCCACAGAATTTAGCATGGCTCAGACAGTCACTCAGTCTCAACCAGAGATGTCTGTGCAGGAGGCAGAGACCGTGACCCTGAGCTGCACATATGACACCAGTGAGAGTGATTATTATTTATTCTGGTACAAGCAGCCTCCCAGCAGGCAGATGATTCTCGTTATTCGCCAAGAAGCTTATAAGCAACAGAATGCAACAGAGAATCGTTTCTCTGTGAACTTCCAGAAAGCAGCCAAATCCTTCAGTCTCAAGATCTCAGACTCACAGCTGGGGGATGCCGCGATGTATTTCTGTGCTTATAGGAGCGCACAGTGAGACAAGCAACAGGGAGAGGCTTACAGAAACCTCAGACCTCAGCATCTGTGCAAAGGTCAGGGGGAAGTGTTCAGGGTTATAGGAACATAAAGAGGAAATAATTGTCTTCCCTAAAGAAAAAAAAATGTATCTGACTATAGGAAACACAGAGGGGATGTCTATAAGCTGTAATTTTTGAAATAGTAATAAAATAATGAATCCACACATGCCTTATAGATTTTCAAAGTACCTTCACATGTTAATCCATTAAACCTGCATAAGCCTGTGTGTTACATAGGTCAGATCAGATATTCTAAGGATCACTGCTATCCAGAGAATCTTAGAGCTTGACCTAAAGCTATATTCTTTTAGAATTATATATTTTTGCTTTATTATTTTAATTACTATCTATCTGTACATCCCATGATCATATCAAAGTCAATATATCCAAAACTGAATTTCTTACCATCTCCACAAACCTTTATTTTTTCTTCATTTTTTTCTCCTCAGCCTTGCTCAAGATTCAGGAACACAATAAAAGTTTGCTATTGCTGGGTTTCCAGTTTGGGGAATTTCTTCACCCTCGACTTTCCAGCCTGGGCTATCAGATTTTTATGCATACCTTATTACATTCTAATTATAAAATGGTGCAAAAAAAAACACTACATCATGTCAGTCTCACTGTTTCCCCTCTATCCGTCATTCTTTCTGACTTTAACCTGGCTTAATCCTGTATTTCTTAACGTTCTTTAAAGCATCATTTGTCTTGACATAAGAAAGTAAGGAAAGAAAGCAAACGACTGTCAAGTAGGATTTCATGTACTGCTAGTACTCACCAGCAAACGCTAAAAAAAAAAAAAAAAGAGGAAGTTAACTTCTGGTAATGCTATAATTGCTTCTGGTAAGGCAACCTAGCAGGTGGTGACAATTTTGATAAACCTGGTCCAACAGGGAGACCAAGCAGCTGCCATGGTCCAAGTCTCCACCCCTATGTCTTCTGAGAATTGGGAGATGCCTGGACCGTGAGAGGATTCTCCCTTATGCTAAGGGAAAAATTAAAATAAATGAAAAAAATAATGCCAACATTTCTTTTTATGCCCACAATTCCCCCAATACATCTCCTTCACTATTAAGCCCCTTGTGGAGCATTTTATTCCATCTGCTCACTGTGGGTGGCGAGAGGAAGTTTGGAATGACAAACAGCCGAAATAATTAAGTCCAATAAGCAGGCTCCAGAGCTTAGGCTGGGGGTCTGTTTGGAATGAGTGGTGAGAGTGACTGGATGTGGAAGAGGGTAAGGGGAGGCCAAGACCAAACTGCAGAATCATAATTCAGATTGCCGAGTCATTTCCCAAACACAGCAGCTTCAGTAACGCCACACCCTAGCCCAGCTTAGCACCCAGGCTTCTGCTTGTCTGAAAAAGTGGGGTAGGCACCAATCAAAATGAAAACCTTTCTCTCACACGAGGAAGACACCTTCAGGCTATTCAGGTTTTGTCCTCCCTTTTACCCCTGAGGCCCATGAGTCACCCAGACTTAGATTCGGGCTAGTTACCAAGTTTCATATCAAAGCTCACTTCTTTCTATCCTTGCTTCTAGTGCTTTCACGCAGCTCCTCTCATTTGAATTAATAAATAATCATTAATCTACTCTCTCTACCTTCGATTGTGTCCTCTTTTAATATGGTTTAGCTGTGTCCCCACTCATATCTCAACTTGAATTGTATCTCCCAGAATTCCCACATGTTGTGGGAGGGAACCAGGGGGAGGTAATGGAAACATGGGGGCTGGTCTTTCCCATGCTATTCTCATGATAGTGAATTAAGTCTCACAAGATCTGATAGGTTTATTGTGGGTTTCTGCTTTTGCTTCTTCCTCATTTTTCTCTTGCCGCCGCCATGTAAGAAATGCCTTTCACCTCCCACCATGATTCTGAGGCCTCCCCAGCCATGTGTAACTCTAAGTCCAATTAAACCTCTTTTTCTTCCCAGTCTCAGGTATGTCTTTATTGGCAGGGTGAAAACAGACTAAAATACACCCTTCAAACATTGCTTCACATAGCTGTCCCAGTGAGCATCCTATAATAAAAATCAGATCATGTACACACACCTCTGCCTCAATAAAGCCTCATTTCCCACAGAAAGGCCCAGTGATTATTTAGAATATAAGTCCATCAAAGCGGAGGCCACCACTGTATCTCCAGCACTTACCATGCCTAACAGGGTAAATGGTCAGGGTCATCTACTGATGGATTAATTAGTCTGTACCCTGCTTAGCAACTCAGCCTCATTTGTTGCCATATTCCCATCCCCCCAAACTGTACACGCCCATCCGCTCAGCAAATGAAATTGTTTCCTGCATCTATGCCTTTGCCAGCATTGTCCCCTCAGCATGGAATGCCCATCCCCAATTAACCACTTGCCTATTATTTGAAAGGTTCGCAAACCTCCCCTCTTCTCTGAATCCTTGTCCTGACCCTTTTGCACTGGTAGAACTGATCACTTTCTCCTTTATCTCCTAACTGAAACCCTAAGCATATTTCTAACGTGGCAAATCCAACACCTTATGGTGTTTACAGGTATTTTTCACTGTCTCCCCACTAAAATGCAAACTGTTAGTTACCAAGGACACAGTTTTACCCATTTCAATAGCAACTGTGCCTCCAACAATCTTTAATTCACAGAAATGATTCTTAAGTTTTTTGAATGAAGGTAATTAATTGATGGGCATTTTCCTCATTAAACATTATAGAGTAAAAATGGATAAATTTTCTATTTTGTTATCTCCTCCATAGTTGTGTTAACTCAGAATTCTGAGCTAACTCATAGGACTGTAAGGCATGTCAAAAATTAATAGTAACAACAGTATCATGCTGATAATAAAAATATTAGTAGTAGCTAACAATTATTGAGTATATATATATATATATATATGCGCCCCATATTCTGAGAGGTGCATGACATGCTTTATTTCATTTAGTAGTCCCAACAAATCCATGCTGTAGCTACTATTGATATCCCAGTTTTATATGAAGAATTAATATAGGTTCAAAGAGGCCAAAATGCCTAGAATCACACAATGTACGACTCCCTGACCACTGGCCTTTTTCCCTTCCCAAAGGGTGGCAAACTGCTATAGCATCTCAGTCTTATTAATGTAATAGACACATAGAACATAAGAAAGAAATTCATGAAAACAGTGCTGCACCATACATGCACTTGTAGTCCTCACTTTTTCTAGAGTAGTAATTGCAAGATGAGACTTATTTCAAGTATCCTTATTAATAGAAGTTAAATGTAAAAATAACACTATTACCATTATTGTTTACATAGGAAATTTTTGCCTTTTTAACATTAGTTTATAATTATTTGACCTGGGACTATACAATATTTTAAACTTCTTCAGTGCATTTTTCAATAGCGTTTAAGTTTAAAATGCAGTCTTTGGCAGGGGCATTAATAAATGTTTCAAATGTCATTTTGTATAACTCTTTAAAGAATACAAGAGTTTAGAAGAAATTTCTAACCTTTCCAAGTTATCTGAATTTCCAAGTTATCATAGGAAGATCCTTCCTTTGTAACTTTTAAAACTTTTTTGTATATGGTTGGGCGTTTCTATGAATGATGCTTTTCAATTTTTTTTGCTTCAGTGAAAAATTATATATTGTGAAAGCTTTCCCACATAAACAAGCAGTTTTTCTATAGCATGAGTTTCCCATGGCTACAAGATATTGTATTTTTGAAATACACCTCATTTTACCCAATAACTTGAGGTTTTTTTTGTTTTTTTTTTTTGTTTTTTTTTTTTTCAGATGGAGTCTCACTCTGTCACCCAGGCTGGAGCACAGTGGTGCAATCTCAGCTCACTGCAACCTCCCACAGCCAGGTTCAGGTGATTCTCCTTCCTCAGCCTCCCAAGTAGCAGGGATTACAGGTGCGCACCACCATGCACAGCTAATTTTTGTATTTTTAGTGGGGGTTTCCTCATGTTGGCCAGGCTGGTCTCAGACTGCTGACCTCAAGTGATCCGCCCACCTCGGCCTCCTAAAGTGCTGGGTTTGCAGGCGTGAGCCTCTGTGCCCGGCCTAACTTGAGTTATTGATCGAGTAAATCAATGAATACAGTAAGCATGATAAGTACATTGTTTCCAAATTGGAGCTATAATAAGTAAAACTGTAATTTTAAAAAGATACTTGTACATAAAATAGTATGCAAGTAAGAGAGAGCCCAGATCAAAGTAACCGAAGCAAAACAAAACAAAACAAAAATCTGTTGGCTAATAAAACTGAAAAATCTGGGTTAACTACTTTAGGAAGGACTGACCAAATGCTCAAATAATGTCACCACAGCGTGTCTCTATCGTTTGGCTCTTGTTTATATTGGCTTTACTCTGAAGAAAGCTCAGGCCCACATGATGGCAAAGATGGCCGCCAGGAGCCTCAGACTTGTGTCCTACTGTGTTAGTTTCCTCCTGCTGCTGTAACAAATTATCACAAACATGGTGGCTTGAACAATATTACTTTATTATCCTACAGTTTGGGAGCTCATAAGTCTCACTGCACTAACACAAAGGTGTTGGCAGGGCTGTGTTCCTTCTATAGGCTCTAGGGGAGACTGAGTGAAATCCTGAGCATCCCTGGCTTCTAGAGGCTGCTGCGTGCCTTGGCTCATGGCCCTCTTCCATCTTCAAAACTAGAAATCGCAGCACTGTGACCTCTACCACCATTGTCTCATCTCCTGTCACCCTCATGGCCCTCCTGAGCCTTGATCCTTGAGATTACATTGAGATCCCCCACATATTCCAGAATAATCTTCCCATCTTAAGATTCTTGGTGAATCCCATTTTCTAAATCACATTTTCAAGGACATTTGCCACATAAAGTAACATATTCACAGGTTCTGAGGATAGGTGGTGGACATTCCTATAGACTGAATGTTTGCGTCCTCTCAAAATTTGTATGTTGAAGTCCTAATCCCCAAGGTCATGGTATTAAGTGGTAGGACCTCTGAAAGGTGATTAGGTCATGAGGGTGGAGTTCTCATGAGTGAGATTAGTGCTTTTATAAAAGAGGCCCCAGAGAGCTGCCTTGCTCTTTCCACCGTGTGAGAGCACAGCAAGAAGGTACCATCTATGAACCAGGAAATGGCCCTCACCAGACACTGAGTCTGCTGCTATCTTGATCTTAGATTTCCCAGCCTTAATTGTCAGAAATAAATGTTGGTTGTTAAAGCCACCCAGTCTATGGCATTTGGAGTATAACTGCCCCAGTGGATGAGAGAGACATCTTTGGAAAGCTACTTCTCTCCTTACCATACCTGCCAAATTAACAACTCCAGCAGAAGAAACAGGCTTCTTTTGTGATATTTCCAGAAAATATCCTGGACTGACTTTGCTTAGACTGATTTCTTCAGATTTGGGAAACAGGCAGAGGTGGTTCCTCAAGGCAAAGCCAAGATGCTACTAGAAGAGGAATGAATAAGGATACGTAAAAATAACAGATGACCCCAATGCTATTAATTTATTTCAAACTCCTTTTTGCCATCAGAAAGCAGTAATAAGCTCACATATCAATTCCAATAAAATAATTTTTTAAATCGCCCAAACTTACATTTCAACATAGCAAGCAAAAAGCAATGAATAAAATTGCTTCACCAAAATATAGAAGCTCTGTTGACCAGAAATTCAGCATAGACAGTTGTTCAAGATAATTTCAATGTGTTCAGCAGATAAAGGGACAAATAAGGACTCTTTAAGGGCAAATTTAGCTGAGGGATGTGTTAAATTGTATATTTGGCAGACTGAAACTAAAGAATAAAAAAAGAGACAGCTTGATATAACTTTCTATGCCAAACCCAATGTTATACTCTAAATCTAAAACTCCAGAAAAAGTTTGAAAGCAACAAATATGAAGTCAGGAAAATCATTCTAAATTACCAACTATTTAGGTATAATCTTGAGCATTTTAGCTGTAGATGAAAGTCCTATTTATTCATATAGATTCTCATATGCTATGAATAATAGTTCATTTGGATGTCTCTTTAAATCAAGGAGGGATAAAGACAGGAAGGAAGAAAGCTGGCAGGCAATAAGAGCCAAAGTAAAGATATTATTTTGATTAAAATATACTCATTGTTGAGGTATCCACAAATATTTGAGAACACATTGAAGAAGTAAGACAGGTCAGAAAATATAAGTATATGATCAGCACTTAGTGAAAACAGTTAAAGAGAAAGAAAGAGCAAAAGAAAAATTGCTTAAAGCAACATAGATATTCAAAGATAAGGAATTAAAGCTGAGATAAATGTGACAGAAATGGAAAGGAAGGAAAATGAAGTTATGAAACATTGGCAAAAATAGCTAAAGAATGCAGAATAAAATGTCCTAGAAAACATTTATCAAAGGGTTATATTTTATTAGCATTCAGTAGTCACAAGGCAAGAAATATGATAGCTATAAATAAATACATGAGAATGTTTAAGGTTTTATGATGATCATGGCTTTACTGTTCAATATATATTAAATAAACCACAAGTTATCTATAACACAGTTCTGAATAAAATTTAGGAAACGTAGAGTCAGGTACCTCAATATAGAAAAATACAGAAATAATTAACCATAATGCAGACAAAGTGACACCCAGTTGTAGAGAGCATTACAAGCATTGAAATATTCAGAATATTATTTGATTAAAAAAAAGCTCATGTAAAGATACCCTAAGCAATACCAAAGATACACACACACAAACACACACACACACACACACACACGACACATACATGCTATATATAGGAAGGAAGAAAGCTTCTTTATTGGGGACACAGTTTACATATTACCTCTTGTTTCTATGAGATGCTATAAGAAAAAATCTCTTAAGATTTACTACATGGGTAATATATTTATATAGTGTCTGTGTGTATGTATAGCAAACTCTTATATATATATATGGATATCTTACAGTCTTATAGACTTATATGAGAGTGACAGTAAAAGAGAGAGAGAGAGAGGAGTGTATACCTATTTCCTCTCAAAAAGGCCATATTCTGGCAACTCCCTTATTCCCCATTCCCTACTATGCAGTTTGATCTAGCCTTAGATTTCCCAGGAGGTTCTCTTCCAGAAAAGTGCCTGTAGCTATAAAATAATCTTCATCTTGGCTGTTTCAATGCAGGATTCCTATTGAGCCAATACCTTACCATTTTCTTTCCTTCGTGGAACTGTGCTTTGTCATAATGCAATAAGTTTTCTATGAAGTATATCATAAACAACAGTCCTACAGAATTCATCATTGGACATAATATAGCTTCTTTATTGGGGACACAGTTTACATATTACCTCATGTTCTATGAGATGCTATAAGAAAAATTTCTCTTAAGATTTCCTACATGGATAATTTGTACCTACACTTGTAGTTTGTTTTTATCATATGGATGAGGTAATTATCACAGGACTGATTGTTTTCCTTCTTTACATTGACTGCTAATAAGTTCAGAGCCAATGTTAGCTTAACTCCAACTATAGAGGCTGATTGCATATATTTTAATTCCAAATCTAATTCAAGGTTTATGTTCCTGCCCTTATTTTTTTCTTCTTGATTTTTGTATTTCTTTGCTGTTGTTTTTGTAGATTTTTCTGTGCCTTATACTTTTTTCAAAGATAATTAAAACAGTGTGTGAATTCAGTGGGGTGGATGAATGAATGAGGCAGAGAAAAAGGAAATTGACATGGTAGGATAACAAACTCACATAATATGTAGATACATATAAAAAGACACACAAAGAAAAAAATTTCTCTAATATATCTAATCTTCTTTATGAATGATCCCATCTACCAAATAGTCAAGAAACTTAAATTTTGTAAATTGCAATTAACAATGTCTCATTTTATTCAGGTTTAAAGAGTTCCTTTCACTTTAAATATTCAGTTCATTTAAGTTCAATTCCATGTTAGGGCTGATGTAAATTCTTTCTTAGATGACTCAGTCTCTTTAGGTGATATGTTTGGAATTCAACCACCTTACCCTTTTCTTTCCGTGATGAAATTTAGGTGATAAGGTGAGACAGTTGAGTGTCACCTGAGGCAAAAAAAAAAAAAAAAAAAAAATAGGCTTAAATCCATGCATTGCCTTCTGGATCTTTTGGTCTGAGCAGCTGAGCAGCCAATCTACTCTGTTCCCTGTGTAGGTACCTAGTTATATATGGATTTTCCTACCTGGACTTTTGGGATTATGTGTTGACACCACTGCTGAAGCCAATTGTTTCAGCCGCTTGACTCCATCTCAAAGACCCTCATCATGGGCACTTCTTTGTACTTAGCCCAGGACTTTGCCAGGCCACTAGCTCTCTCAATTCTCTGCATCTACTTCCTGGACCCCTGGGGACTTCTGTATTCCCTGCACCTGTAAACAGACCATGGGGATTCTAGAAAGTAGCCTCTGACTCATGTAGCCAAGCCTTGATTTTTCTCCAGCGCCATCTTCCCACGACTTAAGTAAGACTTCCCCCAGAGACATGCAGCCTGCCCCTAGAACACTGTGAGAGGTGCTCTACTACCCAGTACTCTTGTGCTGTTCCCATACTTATCTAAATGCTTCTAGCCTTTCCTAACCCAATCAGTGTCCGCCCATAGCAGACCAGGGGAAAGACCAGAGTCCTGACACCTAAGTTCCTTGTTCTGCCTCCATTTTTCTTTACCCTCTAGGACCCAAAAAACTGACCTCCCTCTCTGTCCTGCACCTTTCTGTCAAACTGATGTAAAACTCTATGATCAAGTCCAGCTGGTCTTACATATAATATGGTAAAGAATACAATAAATAATTAAGAAAAAGTGTTACACCTGAAAAAAACCTTACTTTTAAGGCAGTTCTCTTGTTAAGTAATCAAAGATCCAAATTTAGATGTCAGAGCTGAATATTAATGCTTTCTATTTCCATTCCTCTCAGAATAATCTAATCTCTCCCCACTCAAGACAGATAGATTCCTCAGAAGAATATAGATAAGGTTATGTATCTGAAAATATAAAGGAGAAAAGAATATTAATACATTTCAAAAATATAATCTCAATTACAAGTAGAGGGAGGAAATATTTTATATCACCAAGGGCACTCATTGGAAAATCACCATAGATATTTTCAAAGAAAATAAAAGACTTCCAAAATCAAAAGAAATTAAGAAAATGAAGAAAAGACAAGCCACAGACTGGGAGAAAATATTTGCAAAATGCATATGTATTTTTTAAGTGGTATCCAAAATGTGCAAAGTACTCTTAAAACTCAACAATAAGCCAGGCATGGTGGCTCACGCCTGTAATCCTAGCACTTTGGTAGGCCAAGGTAGGCAAATCACCTGAGATCAGGAGTTTGAGACCAGCCTGGCCAACATGGCGAAACCCTGTCTGTACTAAAAATAGAAAAATTATCCAGGCATGGTGGCGGGAGCCTGTAATCCCAGCTACTTGGGAGGCTGAGGCAGGAGAATCACTTGAACCTGGGAGGTGGAGGTTGCAGTGAGCCGAGATTGAGCCATTGCACTCCAGCCTAGGCAACAGAGCAAGACTCCGTCTCAAAAAATAAATAAATAAAATAAAATAAAACAATAAGAACATTTAAAACCCAATGAAAAAAATGGGCAAATATCTGAACAGACACCTCAGATCTGAACTATCTGAACTATCTGAACAGACTATAAACAAAGTATATAGATGGTAAAGAAGCACATGAAAAGATGCTTAACATCAAATATTACTAGGGACTTGCACATTAAAACAGTGAAATATCACTACCTGCCTATCAGAATGACTAAAATCCAAAACACTGAAACCATCAAATTTTGTGAGAATATGGAGCAACAGGAACCCTTATTCATTGCTGGTAGGAATGCCACTTTGGAAGATAGTTTGGCAGTTACTCATAAAACTAAACATTCTCTTACCATATGATTCAGCAATCATGCTCCTTAGTTTTAACTCAAGTGAGTTGAAAACTTCTGTCCCCATAAAAATCTGCATGAAAATGTTTGAAGTACCTTTATTTATAATTGCTAAATCTTGAAATCAACCAAGATGTCCTTCAACAGGTGAATCTATCGACAAAGTATGGTACATCCATACAATGAAATATTATTCAATGATAAAAAGACATGACCAGGCCGGGCGCAGTGGCTCATGTCTGTAATCCCAGCACTTCAGGAGGCCGAGGCAGGCAGATCACCTGCAGTCAGGAGTTCGAGATCACCCTGGGCAATACGGTGAAACTCTGTCTCTACCAAAAATACAAAATTAGCTGGGTGTGGTGGCACATGCCTGTAATCCTAGCTACTCAGGAGGCTGAGGCAGGAGAATCGCTTGAACGAGGATGTGGTGAGCCGAGATCATGCCATTGCACTCCAGCCTGGGCAACAAGAGTAAATCTCCATCTCACCAAAAAAAAAAAAAAAGACATGACCACAAAAAGACGTGGAGGAACTGTAACTGTATATTGCTAAGTGAAAGAAACCAATCTGAAAAGACTATATACTGTATCATTCCAACTATATAACATTCTGAACAAAAACAAAACTATGGGGAGTGTACACTGATCAAAGTCTAATGTAAATTATGGGCTTTAGTTAATAACAATATATTAATATTGGCTTATCAATTGTAACACAAGTATGACATTAATGTAAGATGTCAATAATAGGGGAAATGGGGAGGATGAGGGTTGAGGGGGTGTATAAGAGCTCTGTATTTCCACTCAGTAGTAATACATCCCATGCTAGTCTTAATCTTAAAAAGGAAAATATATTCTAGTTGCTGTATTTCACAATGCTATGATCATTCCTTGTCTTACTTAGTTCATTAAAGCTGCCATAACAATCATAGACTAGGTAGCTTACGAATTACAGAAATTTATTCTCAGAGTCTGGAGGCTGGGAAGCCCCAGGTGAAGACACCAATGGATTTGGTATCTGGTAAAGGCCCATTTCCTGGCTCATAGGTGACATTTTCTCATCATGTCCTCACATAGCGGAAGGACAAGGCAGCTCTCTGGAGCCTCATTTATAAAGGCACCAATCTCATTCATGAGGGCTTTGCCCTCATGACATAGTCACCGCCCAATGGCACCACCTCCTAATATCATCACTTTGGCAATTAGGTTTCAACATATGAATTCCAAGGGGGAAGACAAACATTAAGATTGCAGCAGTCCTTTCTTCTCTATCAAATCCTTGCTTATCCATCTAGATCCTCAGCAAATACAACTTAGACTATATAGCCCATAATGATCTACTTTGCTAATCAACTCACATACAACTTCTTGACTCTGCCATATGGGGGACTTTTTAAAACATTGACTTATATTTCTACTTAATCGTGTACAGGTTTATATGTGTCAATATTCAGAACTATGATTTACACACATAGAAACATATAAATTAAACCACCATCATCACTCCCAATCATACACACACATGTTCATATACAGCATCCAATAAAGCATCCTATTCAAATTTGGTAATAAATAAATATTTACTTCTTGAAAGATCAACTGGCTAAAGAAAATAATGTATTCCGATTCATCCACTTTCCCAAAGGAGGGTTCTACACAACAATCACTAGTGTGTGCCTTTGGTCACACTTTTAAGTAACAGTAAGCAATGAAAAAACAAATAGAAAATGCCAGGCTGCTCTCATTTGCACTCCTGCTTCATGTAAATGCTTTCAATTATTCATCTAGCAAACCACACACACATTGCAAATGCCTAAAATTTCCTTTTGCCAATTAGAGGTAAACGCAGTCCCCAATTTCTATCCATAGAAGAATTAAAGCAATTCTATTTGCATCCAATGTAACCAAAAGTTGCCTTTCTCAAAAGATACCTATGTGGCCTCAATAATCCAGACAAAAGGCTCACTCTCTCAGTGTGGCTGCTGTACTTCTTGCCTCTTGTCTGTATAATCTACTGAAATTAGGTACCACAGCACTTTCTCTCCAACAAATCCATGGAAAGTAGGAAAACATGTTGAACTACTCCAGGACTCCCAAATTCAGGTTGAAATTTTCTTTCAACATAGAAGTAGAAACTTCTGGTGAAAGATGGTAATAGCTCAGCAGGAAGTCAGCACAAACCTCTAAAGGCAAAGCAGGAGGCCGGAGTCCTCCCCTCTCTCCCTCCCTCATAAGGAGCCCTGCTCTGGAGACTTCCATGGGGACAAGAGAGAAGAAATCGTTTTGCTGCTCAGATCCTAGGATTGAGTGACATAGGAATGGAGGGCCCAAAAATTTGAGTAAAATTCCTAGACTTGGTTTCTGAAACTATCCTGACTCTAAGATTAAGCAACTTCTCTTCTTAAATTTCTTCTTATAAATCTCTCCTTGGGGAACGTTCCTGGGTGGATAAAACCTATGGAAGAGGGGAAACAGAGTTGTGGAGATTAAAGTTAAAATAAAAAAAAGTCTTTTTGTTTTGTTTTGTTTAATCCTATTTTCTCATTATTTATCTGAGGTAATCAAGATCCAGAGAAGTCCCTCCCTTGCCCTACATGGGATAGCAGGGGGTTCCGCAAGGATTCTGTCCTCGCACTGACTCCCACTCCCAGTCTGTGTCTGCTTTTCATACCAAACACTAAATATGTTATTAAACAGGAGAATAAAAGTTGTGAATATCACCCTGGCCTAGACAGAAACACACAATATATACAATACCATACTATAACAGATATTCTACTAGATATGAGAGAGCCAATACAGGCTAATGAAGAAACAAGAGGAAAAGATGAAAAAAATGACATCTAGAGGTATTCGTAAAATAAAAATCTAATAGGTAAGTAGGCATGAGTTAATCTGATCTTTCCTCTACCCCAAATTATTTTTCTGCCCCACCGTCTAGGCTAGAATGTCTACTTCCTGCTTCTGTGCCTATAGTCATCTTAGTCTTTGTCTAAGAACTTGGTCAAACCAGAACCTTTAGGTATTGTGACTCCATCAGTTAATCCCTATGGATATTTTGCTTCTTAGTAACATTCTGGGATAACATTTGTAGACTGCTTTGGTTATTAACAAAACCAACAACATGGAGCTTTAATGCACTCTCTAACTTGAGTTCTTTGTCTTGTCTCTTTTACAGCTGCGTTTTCTCTGTGACACCAGGAATCAGCATTTCCATTCAAATACAGCAAACTTTAAACCGCTTTTTGACAGGAGGAAACACTTTCTGCCTAATGAAGGGGATGAAGCAGGTAACCCAGAGAGTATCTGCCACACAGGCCTCCTCTACAGTAGCTCAGAATTGCACTGTTTGATTATTTCTTACACGTGGCATCTGCAAATTCAGAAAGGTGAGTGATGTCAGATCTAAAGGTCCCTTCTTCCATCTTGGTTCATTCAAATTCAGGTCTAAGAGGAAACATTGAAGAAGCTATCTGAATTTCAACAGGACTGATTACTTTCCACCAAAGGCTGTAGGAGACACAGATTTAAAGAGTGACTAGGGGGTTAAACATAAACATATATTGACAGTAATTCCTGCATTGTCATCAAAGTGTGCTCATGTTTGTAGGCCAACTCTTAGTGGTATTCAGACATTGGAAAACTGTAAAACCTTCATGCATTTTTAAGATGACTTCTAAAATATTTTATTATTAGTTTAAATGTTTAAATAGCTACAAAGGTTGTAAATTCCACTGTAATATAAACATTGACATTTTCAAATAAAACTCAGAATAGCTTTTAAACATATCCAGTGAAACCTTAATACCAAAGTGATTTGATACCCATCAACACCCAGTTAAAATTCACAACAAGCTCTTCATTGACAATTGAAGACCTTATATTGCTCTTTTCTTTCCTTGGAATCATATTTCCATTCAACTTCTCCTGCAGAACTTAATTTTAGTATATTTTTGTTTAAAGGCTTTTGTTGATCACCCAAAATGCCTGCAACAAAATCACGTAAAAAATTGAAATTGCTTTTAAATTTTCTCTGACCATACTGCTCTAATTGCTAAAAATTATCTTTCTAGATTGAGTTATAAATATAATTATTGTTGATGTACCTTTTATTAAAACAACAAAAATATATTTCAATTTTAGTTTTAAACTTACAGGCGAAAATTTTTTGGAAATGCATTTCTTAAGAAAATCACTGGGGTCGGCCCGGCGCAGTGGCTCATGCCTGTAATCCCAGCACTTTGGGAGGCCAAGGCGGGTGGATCACGAGGTCGGGCGATTGAGACCATCCTGGCTAACACGGTGAAACCCCGTCTCTACTAAAAATACAAAAAATTAGTCGAGCGTGGTTGCACGCGCCTGTATTCCCAGCTACTCGGGAAGCTGAGGCAGGAGAACGGCGTGAACCTGGGAGGCGGAGCTTGCAGTGAGCCATGATCGCGCCACTGCACTCTGGCCTGGGCGACAGAGCGAGACACTGTCTCAAAAAAAAAAAAAAAAAAGAAAGTGACTGGGGTCATATTTACGGTTAATTAAAGGAGGCTTCCTTGACACCAATAAATTGTCCCTTTGTTTAATGTTCCAGGGGTGTTTAAACTGCAGGGCAATGCTGCAAAAGGAGATTCCGTCTTGAATAAGGTTGGGGAAGAGCAATTATGAAATTTGAGACGGGAAACAAGAACCACAGTCAAGCTCTTGAACAGATCACTTTTAGGAAAGGTTACATACAGAAGTTGAAGATCTGGAAATTGATTCCCTTAAAATACATAACTGTTGCCTAGTTTGAAAAATCACTGCATTAGATTGCTCTCCACATTACTGATTTCATTCTCAGCCAGACTTCATGAAGTGGTGAGGTTTGAGGAAAATCAGCAAGAGATTTTAATGACAGAGCCTTGAGTTTCAGTAAACCTGATAAATTTCCTAAAACTTATTTGACATTTCTGGCTTGAAAGAATAGCTCCTGATGAATTAGAAAATTATGGGAGATTGAGTTCTTGCATGACACAAAGTCATTTAAACATATATCTTTATCTTGGGAAAGACAGTTTAAATGTCATGGCCATTTATTAATAATATTGTGAAAAAAAGTTATCCCAATCCTGGAAAAAAGAAAAATGATGATTGCTAGTCTTTTTTTTTCTCTATCTGCAAGAGCATTTTCAAGTAAGCAATTATCTGGCATTCTTGGGGATCGTAACTTTGTTGTCAGAGCATATTTACCTAGCAATCCATAACTGAGAAAAGGCTCACATAGTTTACATTCCTGTGGGTTGGAGGTTAACCTACAGAAATGGAAGAGTTTTGCGTTCATAGCCTGGAAAAAAAAATTAACCCCAGATTATCGTGTCAACCCTAATAGCATTTTATTTTGCTATCTATATAGTTGTATCTTTTTCCTGTAAACATTTGTGGAATTAGCTTTTTTTAGTTAATGATTAAGAATAGTAACAAAATGTGAACCCAGGCTCACTCCCTATTTGTATTAGTATTTTGTTTTTTAGCACATTTAAGGCCATCCTGGCACTAAATCAGAAAACTACTTCCTGATACCTAAACTATAAAATCCTGGTTTCATATACATCTGAATTAGGCAAAAACATAGCTGGCTATTATTTATTTAATTTGATGTCTTAACATGTAAAGATTTTCTTTTCAGAAGAAATCTAATGGACCAGATGTCCTGAAACACTCTTAATTATTTTTCAGTAGTACGAACATAGCCATGAAGGCAAAGGAAGGTAGATGATCAATTCATGTTAAGAGTTTCAAATTCCATGGACTAATTTATATCTTTCTCCACAGCCACCTGGCACATTCTGCCTTTGAACAGATGCTTTACAAAAACATAATCTGTGGACATGGAGATCTTGCATAAAGCAAATTCTCTCTGATCCACAGCTTCACTGAGGGGTTTCAGTTTTCTAGGCCAGAGTGACTGCTGGAGATGAAGAGATTCTATCAAACGTCAGTGTAAAATTGTCTCTTACTTAAAATGCCCTCATTGATCTTATCCTGATACCCTTACTACAGAAGTTTATCATGACTCATCTAGGAGATACCAGAGAGTTCACTAGCCAATTCAAGAGCATGACTTCTCAAAATTCTCCATGTTTTCCTCTTTCCTTCCTAGCTAATCCCACTTTCTCCTGCCTTTGAAGGCTATAGCTTCTCTGCCAATTTCTTGAATTATGGGGTTCCTAAGCCCTCTTCTATGTTATCCACAGATTCTAGGCAATCTTACTGGCTCCTGAGCCTCGAATACCATTTAACTGCTCTAGACTGACAAACCTGTATCTCTAGCCAAGACTCTCCTTGGCACAGACACACTATTGGGCTCCCTATCTCATCACCCCATAGGTCCACCTTCTCTGTGTCCCCATCCTAGTAAACGAAGCCATCAGTGCCTCCAACATGTTCTCTTCAGTCTAGCCAGAGTTATTATTTAAAAATACAAGTGCAATCTGTTTGCTCTCTTGCTTAAAACTAATCAGTGACTTCCAGTTTCCCAAAGGATGGAATCCCAAATCATTACTAAGGCTCACAAAGCCTTTCTTTCTCTAGCTTATTGCTCTGGTTTCATCTTTCATCTTTATTCTTCACCCATCTTGCACTCTGTGCTTAATATCTCCTGTTTGCTTCCAGGTCCTCTCTCCATCCTTCCACACCCTGCTTTGTGCCCCAGGTGACTGACCTATAGGGATTATACCAATAAGCTATCTTGTCTTTTGGTTTCCAGTAGGTTTTTGCCCAAGGGCAGTACCCACAGAGAACAGAAAAAATGAGGAAAGTAAGGTCAGGCTATATATTCCCCCAACTTCCTCCCTTCCCACATACTGACATTAACCCACAATCAGCTCCTTACGGTGGCCTCTCCAAATAGCCTGTCTTTCTCCAGGTTTTGGTAATCACTCCCTCCTTTCCATTCAAGGCCTGGAGTGATGCTAGTCCCAGGTTGTAGCACTATCTCTTATATGTTCCCTGCTCACTGCTTGTATTTTTATAACTAGTGTCATGTTTCTCAAATTACACAATTTCAGTATGCCATAAGTTTCCTACCAGAACCCAGATTGATACTGTCTGCTTTCAAATCCTAAAAGGTGTCAACTATGGCTTAAATGTTCCTTATTTCGGGAGGCCTTTTCTAGCCGTCTTGACTTGGATGTAACCGCCTGCTAAACCTCCTACAGCACCCTGTCCATCTCCTGACAGAACATCCTTCACACTTAGCAGCAATCATTGAATGAGTATTAGTGTCGCCTTCTCTAAACAACAAACAAACTGTGTCAGAAAAATATAAAGCAAAATTTGTAGGAAATATAAAAATAACTTGATAACATATTCATTATGGGACACCTTAATATCTTTTTCTCAGAGAGAGAAAGAGAGAGAGGATGATGGAAAAAACTTTATATTAAACATATAGCTACAGAATATTTACAAAAAAATGAGCATATAATATGACTCAAAAAATGGGAATCATATAAGCCACATTGTCTGAACCTAATGCAATAAAGCTAGAAACTAATAATTAAAAGATAGCAAATAAATGAGTAGAAAGAGAACCACTTATAATATTCTAAAACATTTTCAGGTCAAAGAACTAAGAGTTAAAATTACACGTCACTAAAAATGAACCCTAATAATGGTACTACATAAAAAAACTATATATTTGTTCAAAGCAATATTCACAAGAAAATGCATCCATCTATTAATAAAAAGTAAAACAAAGGAGCCAAATCTGGCAATTCAAGAAATAAAAAAGAAATGAGCAAAATAAGCCAAAACAGAGAAGGGGAAAGTTTAATGATAAAAGCAGGAATTAATTTAAATGCAAAGCAATAATTAGAATGTACAAATAAAGGCAATATTTCTAGGAAAACTGATAATAAAAAAGAAAACACAAATGTGCAATGTTAAGAACGCGAAAGGTGCTATAACCCCACAAAAAAAAGCAATTTTTCAAATCACTGGTTAATGCCTTGTATACATAGATCTTGATGAAATTGGTGGTGTTTAGAAATATATAACTTTTTAATTTAAACTTCTCTACTTTCTAAAAATTTATACTATTTTACAATTCCAAAGTCAACATCAAATTGTAAAGAAAAAAATCCTGAATTCTGCCTCTTCTTCCTTCTTCACATACGCAGCAAATAAATGCTACACATATACCAACTACTATGTCTCGACTCTCCTATGTTTTCATCATTAAAGAAAAAAACATATTGCATTCCTACTATATGCCAATCATTGCACTACACACTGGGAAATCAAAAATGACTATGAGAAATTCCCTGCTTTCAAGGAGTTCATAGTCTAGTGCGAGAAACAGACAGATGTGCACACTGATTATAATACTATGTGGTACCTGTGATAATGCATAATAATGATAGATGTCTTTACTGAGTTTCTGCTAAGTGTCAAACACCTTCCATTCAGCTGAGATCTTGTCCTTTCCTCCAACTCTTACCCGGGCATTTTCACATAATAGCTCGTTATCATCTCAATTTCAAAACACTTTTTGTACTCAGATGCTTCTCCAATTTCCCAGTTTCTGTAAATGGCACCACAACATTTCCTTATTCAGGCTTGAACCTTTTGAGTTTATAGTCAGGTACCAATGCTTGTCAGTTTTTCCTTTGAAGTGCTATTGAATGTATATTTTGTTTAGAATTCCCATGACTACCACCTTATTCAAGTCCTTAGATTGTTCCCACCAAGTTGAAAGGGGTGTCCTCCTTCCTCTTCATTATTGAAGTCTCTTTCTTGCTCTTCTCCCCTATCCTACCAGCTCCCAACCACCCTCTGACCCTCTGCACCACTGCCACACCTTTCTTTTTAAGATATCTTTTCATCATATCCCTCCACTATTCACAATCTTACAACAGTTTCTATTTTCTCATGAATATAAGCCCTTTGAAGTAGCTTTCAGTGACTTCCATTATCTCCTCCTCATTTCACCAATTTATCCTCATTCCCAGACACTATTACCCAGACTCTGTTTTCTCTGTTAGCTGGACCATTCTTCACACTTTCTCAAAGACATGTCATCCTCACTCCTACCTCTCTATATTTCCTGAAATAGCCTTTAGTGCGTGCTCTCTCTCTCTCTATCTAAACATTATGTGTTTTTTAGGCCTTAGCTCCTCCAAAGAGATTGTACTAAATTCCCATAGCCTTTCATAATTTCCCTCTCTTTTGACCTCACGTACAGCATACACAAAAAAAATGCACCCAATGCTATGCTACTGTACAAAGCAGTGTACTGCTTTGCACTGTTAACTTTAACTCTATGTGCATTATTTTAATCTTTCTAACTATCTTACAACTCCATTAAAACCAAGACTAGATACTGTGGAATTATTTAATACCCCCACCCACCTCATCATTTATCACATTACTTGATACTTGGTGAGTACTTGCTGGGTACATTTGAATGTAATGTCTTTTATTTCTTAATGTCTTTCATTTTCTCAAGTGTTGTTAAAGGCAAAAAGCAATGTTGGATGGTTTTATCAGTTATGCAGAGTTCATGCAGGAAAAGAGATTTCAGTGGGACCTTGCTTAAGACAATAGAGAATTTAGTTTAGGATTTAACAGGTCTAGAAATTAATGTAGAAAGCTGTCCCACAAAGATCTATTATCCAGAATATGTAAGGAACCTAAACAATTGAACAAGCAAAAAACAAATAACTCCATTTAAAAATGGGCAAAAGACCTGAACAGACATTTCTCAAAAGAATACACGCAAGCGGCCAACCAACATATGAAAAAATGCTCCACATCACTAATCAACAGAGAACTGCAAATCAAAACCACGATGAGATATCATCTCACACCAGTCAGAATGGCTACTATTAAAAAGTCAAAAAACAACAGATGCTTTCAAGGCTGTGGAAAGAAGGGAAAACTTACACACTGTTGATGGGAAGGTAAATTAGTTCAGCCACTGTGAAAAGTAGTTTGGAGATCTCGCAAAGAACTTAAAACACAACTACTATTCAACCCAGCAATCCCATTATGGGGTAGATATCCAAAAGAAATCAAATAGTTCTACCCCCAAAAGACACATATACTCCCATGTTTATTGCAGCACTATCTACAATAGCAAAGAAATGGAATCAACTTAGGTGCCCAGCGATGGTGAATTGGATTTTAAAAATGTGGTACATGTACACCATGTCATACTATGTAGTCATAAAAAAGAACAAAACCATGTCCTTTGCAGCAGAGTGAATGCAGCTGGAGGCCATTATCCTAAGCAAATTAATGCAGGGACAGAAAAACAAATACCCTGTGTTCTCACTTAGAAGTGGGAGCTAAATATTGGGTAAACATGGTCATAAACATGGCAACAATAGAAACTGGGGACAACTAGAGGAAGAAGGAAGGGAGTGGAGCAAGGGCTGAGAAACTAACTTTCAGGCGCTATGGTCGCTGTATTAGTCCCTTTTCATGCTGCTGATAAAAACATGCCAAGACTGGGTAATTTATAAAGAAAAAGAGGTTTAGTAGACTAACAGTTCCAAGTGGCTGGGAAGGCTTCACAATCATGGCAGAAGGCAAAAGACACATCTTAAATGGTGGCAGGCAAGAGAGAAATGAGAGCCAAGGGAAAGTGGAAGCCTCTTATAAAACCATCAAATCTCATAAGACTTATTCACTACCAGGAGAACAGTATGGGGGAAGCTGCCCCTATGATTCAATTATCTCTTACTGGGTCTCTCCCACAACACATGGGAATTATAGGAGCTACAATTCAAGATATTTGGGTGGGGACACAGCCAAACCATATCACTCACTATCTGGGTGATGGGATCATTTGTGCCCCAATTGTCAGCATCATGCAATATACCCAGATAACAAACCTGCACTTTTTTACCCCCTGAATCTAAAATAAAAGTTGAAGGGAAAAAAAGAAAGCTGTTCCACATTGATTGCAGTGAGTATAATGGGCAAAAATTACTGCCCCCAACCCGCAGCCCCCAAATCCTAACAGAAATCTGTTACATACACACAGACAAGCATGGATTGAGCATTAGCTCAGTAGACAGGTCGGTTGAATCCCACTTTCCAGCTGCATGATCATAAACTTATTGTTTAACCTCTGTAAGCCTGTTTATTCTTCTGTAAAATATAGATCTTGTGAGAATTAAATGAGATTATGCATTCACTTAGCATAGTGCCTGGCATACAGTACAGCTCAATACATGTTAGTTATTATTATCATCTTTTGTCCTTTCTTCCACAACTTTGTATAAGAAGTGTTGGAGGAACTGAAGAAAATGTGATGTGTTCAACATGGTACAGAAAAGGTACACCATGGGCAGATGGTCAAGGTGAGTCATAGACTAACCCAGTTCACAGGAGTAGCTACTCATGTTAGAGGAGTCCTAAAGAAATAAAAGCCTTCCTTCCCTCCCACTCTCCCTCCATCAATGGTCCACAGAGTTGAGAGAACACAACTGTGGTAGGCATCTACCATTTTGTTCACTTAGAATGGCAACTCATTCCTGGTAAAATATAAATTCTAACCATGTGTTATGAATGGAGACTGCTATCTTACTTATGAATGGGCTGATGAATCCACCCAGAGGTGGATGCCTGACCCAGCTGAACCAATCATGTTATGTATACACCACTCTAGTCACAAATTGCCCCCCTGGATGGGAACCTGGCTCAGACTGAAGCAATCAAAGCCTTACCTCAATATTTTTAAATCTGGGATCAGAAAGGATCCTCAGTATTTCTTTGGTGGCTACACTGTGAGATGAATCCCAACCAAAAAATGTTTACAATCATGCCTCCTGCTTTGTGGTGGAATCTGGTCTGAGGAATGAAACTAAGACACGAATGAAAGGAAAAGTCTTAAAGGATTAAGTTCCCTGGCACCCTGGATGCCTGAAGTCCAGATACACTTCTGCTCTTGCCAAGGTTATTGGAGTCAGTGCATTTCTCTTCTTGCCTAAGCACATTTGAGTTACATTTCTGTCACTTGTAACATCAATGAGACGTTAAAGAGTTAATTCACTAGGAAATTTTTAGGAACACCTTGCTGGCTTACAAGAAGCATCAATTCTACGAATTACTTTCTCAGGAATTTCTCTAAATATCCTGAAGAGGGCACTGTTTCCATTCATAACTTCTGTCCAAACCCACCCCCATTCTTTTGTTTTTTTTTAATTTTTCTTTTTATTTCTTTTTTTTCTTTTTCTTTTTTTTTTATGAAAGGGAGGGACTGAGTAAATTGCAGGATGTGATTCTAATTGGTTGGAACATCTTTTGAAATCGTGTTTCTGTAGAGAAAGAAAAACTACCATATTTGGATAGCCCTGGCCAACTTTCAAGGCTCCTAAATCTGAGTTTTCAGTGAACTGGACAGAAAAAAAAAATGAAGAAGCTACTAGCAATGATTCTGTGGCTTCAACTAGACCGTGAGCTGGGGGTTCATTGAAAAGGGAGCCATGGGAGGAAAGGAATTGTCCATACAATGTTTGGGGGTAGAGACAAGGTTCAATGCGACTCATTTGGGTTCCCTCGGGAGGAACAGGATTATTGGGGTAACCAGTGAATGCTTCCTTCTGAAATGTTCTCTTTGGACAGGGTTAAGTGGAGAGCTGAAAGTGGAACAAAACCCTCTGTTCCTGAGCATGCAGGAGGGAAAAAACTATACCATCTACTGCAATTATTCAACCACTTCAGACAGACTGTATTGGTACAGGCAGGATCCTGGGAAAAGTCTGGAATCTCTGTTTGTGTTGCTATCAAATGGAGCAGTGAAGCAGGAGGGACGATTAATGGCCTCACTTGATACCAAAGCCCGTCTCAGCACCCTCCACATCACAGCTGCCGTGCATGACCTCTCTGCCACCTACTTCTGTGCCGTGGACACACAGTGCTCCCCTGACGCCACCAGTCTGTACCCAAACCTGCAGCTGGTGGGCCCACTCCTCCTGCAGGAACTATGACTGTGAGGCTTCGTTCACTGTCTGTGCATTTCTTTCTGCAAGGAAAATTCTGAGATGGGTGAAAAAAGATGCTGTTTTATCTTCTTAACTGTGGAATATTTTTTAAAAGGAAAATGTATTCAGGCTGAGGGAAGATTCCTAACCATGTATTTCCTGAGAATATGAGGTCTCATTCTTTACTGCCTCACAGTCAGAATTTGTTAGTCTTCCATTATGGAATAATTTTACATGTAGTGCAACTGTCACAAATAATTCCTATGAAATATGGAATCATTATTTGTTTTATATATGAATGTAACATATGGCATTTACCAATGAAAGAAAGAATAAATGCTTTATAAAAGAATGGTCTATGTGAGGTTCCTTACCTAGTGTTTCCTGCTAAAATACTGACTACAGTAGTCAGATAATATCCGTGTGATCTAAGTACCTGTTTATCTCAATGTGTGGAGAGTCTCTGGGAAATGTATCCTTTGGCTGGATTTACTCGAAAACTATCTGAGGGTCCTTGCCAACCAGAAGAATATTATATTTTTTCTTGTATTATTTGCCAGTTTCCTCTTCTCCTCCCTCCATTTTTTTTTGTAATTGTTTTGCTACATGGTAGAATTTATATTAAACTTTATTTGCCCATTGCAGACTAGATAAAATGAATTTCACTTTCAGGAAAATTGTCTTATAAGAAATCCCCAATTTGAATGTTATACAAAAATAATTGAAAATAAGTTTTCCTGTCCCACTAATGAGATAATCAGTACCTTCAGATATCAATTGCATCATATTTTCATCCCAGACTTCTAGGAAAATAATAAACTTGATTCAGTCAGGCTTTTAAGTGACAATATTTCAGAAATTACCATTACAATGTAAAAGCTGACCTTAACATTTCAACATTTGTACCTTCCTAAGCAACAGCACCTTTAAAAACATTTAAAAACTAAAAACACTTATTTCTCTAAATTGCCCCTAGAGTCTTTACAAGCGAATCAGCTTCTGCAGCAATTTGTTGGCAGATTATGAAAAGTCAGCCACAGCAGTGTACAGACCAAAAGCTCCTGCTACCACTCAGAGCCTCCAGCAGGGACTATAATAACTTCCGTATTTAGATAAAATAAAATTTGACATGAAAAACCGACTAGTTCCATCATCCTTTGAGTCAAGCAGAGGTTTCACTCTGACAGAGTAGGCTGAAAAAACTTTGACCTTGTATTTATAAATACTCACAACGTATCTTAAATTTCAAGTTTCTTGATCTGTTACCAAAGCAAGTTTCCTTGTCAATGACTGATTGTCGGGAAATTTTTATTTTGCATTGATGATCTTATTTGTTGTGTTGTTACATAATCAGAAAACAGGATGTTACATCAGATTTTCTATATCCTTTCTGGAGCATTTAACAGCATGTCTTCACACACTCATTTCCATGCTGAAAACATTTTCACCAGGAAACTATTCATGACGGGGAAAAAAATATTGTTCAATCCAATCTAATTAACTGAAGGAACAATATTGACTTAAGTCCCCAAATCTCTTCCTTCTTAGAGAGAACTCTTGGATTCTGAAGATGAACTTTTATATCTTCTTCAGATCAAGAATATAAACAAACCCTAAAACAAATGAATAGAACTGAGGATTTCATTAATTTGATCTTTAGAACATAAAAAACTAAGTTCTTTCCACTTCTCCTTCCCAATTTTCCTGACTCCTTCCCAACTTATGAGTATATAGATTTTTTGCTTTCTTTTCCTAGAATCACTTACTGTCACTGAAAATATATCATTAAACCTTATTCTCGAAGAAACAATACAGACATTCAAAATTGAACCAGTTGACTTTAAGGGTGTGATGGTGTAGTAAGAAAATACTATCGAAGGTGACAATCTCCAATACATTAGAGCATGCTAAGCCAAATATGTTTTCCCCCAGTAGGACCTTTAGGAATGTCTCAGGTGACTCCAAGCTTCCGGCACTTGCTGTCCATGACCAGAGCTTCTACTAACAAGAAGTTCCATAAAATACTTGGATCCATCCTAATCAGATACACCAGTTGCCAAGTCCACTTACCACAGAGATTAGGAAAGGAGACATTTTTCTCAGTTGTGCTATTCATGTCCCAGAAATGGCATTTAAGACAAATAATTCTTTGAGTATTTCTTCCACCCTGTCTCATCTGTTTTGATGTGAACTAGTCTCTTTTTTCATTGCTTTTAACACAGCTGGTTATTTTTTCTTTTAATAGTGTGTCTGCTTCAAGGTTTATCTAGAAGTTGTTTCTTAATATCAAAAAAGTTAACATTTTTTATTTTTACTGAATTATGAAATCTAAGTGTAAATATGAGGTGCACCTTCTAGGAATTTATCTAAGACTCAGTATGCATGTTCTTCCATCTCTCCCAGCTACCTGGCCTCCCATCCCCTTTCCTGCTGGACTTGTTGATCCTCGGAGACTCAAGTACATCCTTCACTTAGTCTATGCACTATATACCTTCTTCAATGAGGTCCCTGTGTCAGGGACATGGTTCTCAGTTTCCAGCTACTTTCCATGAGCTCCCTCAAGCAAGCAAATATTTTTAGAAGGTATTTTTAGAAGACAACATTTTAAAAGACCATAGTGTCCTTTCTACTCTACTGTGTCTGCAATATGTTGCAGTAGAACATTTCACAAAGCTAGATCTTCTCAGAGCTCCAGATGGGAACCAGGCAAAAAGCTCTCTTTGCAGCGGACAGTCAACCTATCTTGTGGTTTCCATTGTCCGCATTCCTAGCTCAGGGTTTTAGATAGGATTTGTGATTTTTTAAAACTGCCCTGAAACCTCAGGCTCTGCTCTTGACATATAAATTATCAAAAAGAAAAATTACCAAGTACCTGTCTCTTGCAACTCAAAAAAATGCCTTATTTCAGGATATTTTTTCCTCCTAAGACTTTTTAAGTCCATTTTGAATACAAAATCAATAATTTGACCCTTTGATCTCACTGGATCCTTTCACAATCTCCCTTTACTGGAGCAATAAGATTCATCCTCAAAATTTGTGGCAAGAGATTTACAGGGGAAAAAATGAATTTTAAAGAAGGAAATTATCATATTTGAAACTGTTAGTCCACTCCATTTAGACTCAGAGATTCTAATAACACAACAGTGTGAACACCAGATTTGGTTATCAGAAAGAATTCCTGAGTATTCAAACTCTTCTACTGTGAGCTCTATGCCCTTAGGCAAGTTTCATAATGTATTTAAGCCTCACTTTTCTCATCAAAAAAATATGGAAAAAATAATAACCACTTTCTAAAGTTTTTATGACATTTAAAATGAGATGGTGTATATGTAAAGTAAACAGCACACACACCAGATCTTCTAGAACAGTGTTTACTAGAGAAAATTCATAAAGACAAGAGAAAGAGCAGGTGTGTGGTTTCCCCAGAGGCAGCACTCACCCTACATTCTGAAACAGCACACAGCAACCTAGCATGGCCAATGTGAGACCCTAAGAAAGAGAACCCAGTCTTGAGCCATGGAACTTTAAGGCTGCACTGGGGAAGCACCAGGCCTTACTGTAGCATGGGGGCTGGGCTCCAAATTATGTGATTATAGCAAAATCAAGGAAATCTGCAACCTCCAGTCCTGATCTGCCACCTCAGCTCTCTTACAAAATTTATTGCCTCAAGTGCTAGGCTGGGGCTCTATTAGAACCAGTTCCTTCTCTGGAAGGCCACCCTGCAGGGAATCCATTACCCTTACCTCTCAGTATGTGAAATTCACTAGCACAGAGCCTGGCATGTAGTTGGTATAAATGTGGAATGAATGTGTGCAGCCATGGAGGACAATGTCTTCAGTCCCTTTGTAATGCAGAAAGTGTGCTTGTTCTCAGATCAAATAATTAACTTATTGAACAAGTGTTTATAGGTATCTACTAGGTACCAGGCTGTCTTCTAGACACTTGAACTATCTTCTTTTAAAAAATGCACGAAGATATCAGATTTTATAGAAAATACATTCTAGTAAGCATTAACCATAAGTAAATTACTATATGGTTTATGACTTCAGAGAGTCTCTTTAGCGTTAATATATTTTGCATTACAATATATGAGAAGATAAGTCGGACGGGCGCGGTAGTTCACGCCTGTCATCCCAGCACTTTGGGAGGCCAAGGCGGGTGGATCACAAGGTCAGGAGATCGAGACCATCATGGCTAACACGGTGAAACCCCGTCTCTACTAAAAATATATATATATATATATAAAATTAGCCGGGCGCGGTGGTGGGCGCCTATAGTCCCAGCTACTCGGGAGGCTAAGGCAGGAGAATGGTGTGAACCCGGGAGGCGGAGGTTGCAGTGAGCCAAGATCGTGCCACCACACTCCAGCTTGGGTGACAGAGAGAGACTCCGTCTCAAAAAAAAAAAAAAGAAGATAAGTCTATGGAGACAAGAATCAGAGCAAGTTAGGGGATAGGGAATTCTGGAGGGGGCCACAGAAGGGTGGTTCCCTTGTAATTTTAGGTAAAGTGTCAGAGTAGCCTCACTGGAAGGATAACATTTGAGCAAAATTGAAGAAGATGAGAGAGTGAATCTTGCATATACTTGGAGCAAGTTTTCCAAGTAGAGGAGAGTCCGGTCCTAAATTAGGAAATGCCTACATGTTCTAGAACTAGGTGGAATGAGAAGCCATAGGAAGGCTTTGAGAAAGGAGTGATAAAATCTGACTTCCATGTAAAAGTCTTACTCTGGCTGCCGTGCTGAGAATAGACTGCAGATCATCAAGATGAAAGTGGGGAAAATTGTTGTATTAACATTAAAACCAAAGATATCTGGTGTTACTCTGAGCTCAGAGGCTTCTTCCACCAGAAAAGCTCATTCAAGAGCAGCTGTTGTTACTGCTCCTGCTGATGGAAGAGGGGCTAAAGACATATTTGATAGCCTTTCTGTAGATCTCTTGACTGCAGATGACCTGTGAGTTTAGGGGAAAATGACAGGAAGGAGTCTTAATTTCAGACACAAGAAGGTCTGTTGTGAAGGCATCTTCCAAAAGGCAATATTTGTGCTTTCTTCTGTTGTGTAAGACTCCCTACTCAAATTTAGGCAGTTTAAGGACCTTAGAAAATTGTGCTGTGGTGATAAAGGTAATGGAAGTCAGAGCAGAGGGATAATAAAAATCCATATGCCTCTTTGAAAGCCTGTGTAATAAAGATATCTGCTGCCTCACCGATCTGAACAGGGTTGAATAAGCAACAAATGGACAAGAATGCTCAGTCCCTGAGCTACCAGGAGACATAGGCCTTTAGTGGGACTGCCTATATAATTTACGGGACCCAGTACAAAATGAAAATGCATAACTTCCTAAGAATTTGAAGACTGCAACAGCAGAGCATTAAAGCATGAGTTCTATGAGACTGTACAGGTTTCATACCCAGGAAGCTGGCCCTGATCACTACTAGTTTGGAATGCCATCATTATTCAGATATCGATGTTACAGGCAGGAGCATGGGAAAGACCTTAAATTAATTTGATAACAATTCAACCTAGTGGCATACAGAATGAGGGCAAACTAACTGAGTAGTTTGGTGTAGAAAAGAAGCACCTCACCTCCTCAAATTACCTCTGAGATGGTGAGATGCCCTGTCCTTTTGACATCTACATATTTAATATAAACTCTTCACCTAGGACCACAGCAGTGGCAGAGATCCAGATGCTCGGAGAGATCTATTTGCACAAGAAAAAATATGCATAAAGAGGTTAATAGTCAAACCAAATAAGGGGCTGAGTTGTACCGTGAGCTTTTTTACAACTTCAAAGTGGGAAACATTTATTGCCCTTACTCATGGTGCTGTCTAAAGAATAACTTTTTACTCTCCTGAACATTTCAGGGTTCTACTCTTATTAGAGAAATTGTACTATTATCATTTTATTTTTAAAATATTTTTAGAAATGGGGGTCTCACTGTGTTGGTCAAACTCTTGAGCTCCAGCCATCCTCCTGCCTCAGCCTCCAGGGGAGCTGGGACTCCAGGTACGCACCACCCCACCCGGCCACTGAGTCACTATTAAAAATCATTTAGCATAGCCCGGCCTGGTGTGGTGGCTCACGCCTGTAATCCCAGCACTTTGGGAGGCTGAGGTGGGTGGATCACCTGAGGTCAGGAGTTCAAGACCAGCCTGACCAATATGGTGAAACCCCGTCTCTACTTAAAAAAAAAAAAATTAGCCTGGCATGGTGGCACCCGCCTGAAATCCCAGCTACTCAGGAGGCTAGGGCAGGAGAATCACTTGAACCCAGGAGGCGGAGGTTGCAGTGAGCCAAGATCACACCACTGCACTCTAGCCTGGGTGACAGAGTGAGACTCCATCTCAGAAAAAAAAAAAAAAATCATTTAGCATACCCAGTCTGGGGCTTTCTACTGAGAGCCTTTGTTGACTTCTCTTCTAAGGCAAAGAGCAGGGATATAAAGAAGTAACACTTCGAAAGATGGATGTTCTAGTTACATTTCTAGGCTCTGAAATCAAATACTTAATCCACTTATTGACTGATTAATTTATCCAACAAATATTAAACTTGACCGACCCTTATAGTGTCTGGAGCCTAGTAAATAACTATTGAATAAGCTGTGAACAGACAGCCAAGTCCTGCGGACTCAGAGAATAATGAGACAAATCAGATATTGAATCCTGGCTTCACCACTTTTGAGCAGTGTGACCTGGAGCAATTTGTTTATCCTCTCTGATCATCAATTTCCTCATCTATAAAATGGGAACAATAATATTAACACCTATTTTCACAATCATGTGGATTAATGTATGCAAAGCCTCTGTTTCATCACTAAGCACTCAGTAAATATTAGCTATCATCATCATCATTACTAATTTCTATTGATTTAACTAGACACAGAAAGGGCAGCATGTGTCTTACAAGCCAGCGCTTCCCTCTTCTAACCACTAATTCAAAAAGGATTGTAAGTAATGTTTAGAGGTCACTCCCTAGCCCAAAATAGGATGCCACTGTGTTGTGCTTTGTTTTCTTTCTTCCTCCAGTGCTGAAGCACTTGTGTGTTTTGGTTAATCTAAGATTTAAAAGATTCCTACATGTAGTCATGCAAAGTACTTGTATATACCTCTAAGGACCTAGCAGGTCTAGTGATCCTGGAGTCTCATATCCGAAAGAGGAACCAGTACTAAAAGACAAACTTCCCAAAATCTAAAGAAGGGAAGTGCAATCAATGGTATGAGTTAGAAGCCTCAATCCTGGGAGAGACAGCCTGTGCAAGCCAGGAGAAATCATGGGTTCTCCAGTCCCCAGCACTGGAGCAGCCATGATCAGTGCCTCCACTTCAATGCTTGTGAGGCTGTTACTCTCTGGTGAGCAAAATGACAGTTTAAAATTTTGGCTCTTTTATAATTTCTCTTATTTCTCATTTTGTTACTTAGATTCAATGTCGTTTCCATTCATTCTAATAAGAACCTTGGCTTTCCAGGAAGAACCACTAGAGACTCAGTGAATTAGACACAGGGCTATGTGACCCTTTCTTCAGGGGCACACCTGACGTTGAACTGTACCTACAGAATGGGTAGGTACCTTCCTCTTGTGGTATGTCCAATATCCCAAAGAGATATCAAAATGCCTTGTCTCTGAGGCATCATGATAAATGAAAAGGAAGATTTCAGGCCCATTAAGTTAAGATTAAAACCTCTTTCCACTTGCAGAAAACCTCTATCCAAGCACTAGGCACAATTGTGTACTTTTATGTTCCTAATGACACAGTAGGGGAGACTAACAGAGGAGTTGAGTGCAAATTGCAAGGGGTATGAGAGGGGCTGGGTGTGAGCAGTTTCTTTTTCCTATCCAGACAGGGCCCTGGAGTGCAGGAGTGTATGTGGGAAGTTGGACAGGCTTCGTGATTTGCTATCCCAGGTTAAGTAGCACATGAGACTGCATCTTAGAAATGGGGAAAGGAAAGATTTGTCAAAACATTGCCCATATCTGTCCTCTAATTATAGCTCACTGATCAAAACTACAAGCCTAGTAATGTAACGAAGGAAAGTTCTTTGACATCAGTTATTTAAAATATGTACAATGTGATTTTCTGAAATACCTTTGTATTTAAAATGTAATTTAAATTACCCTTAAAATTAAAATAAATCAATAACTGTTTTAGTCCATTTTGTGCTGCTATAATAGAATACCTGAGAATGTGTAATTTATGAAGAACAGAGACTTATTTCTTACAGTTTTGGAAGATGGGAAATCCAAGGTCCAGGGGCCTGCATCTGGGGAGGGCCTTCTTGCTGCACCATACTATGGCCAAAGGCAGAGGGCAAAAGAGTGCATGCAAGAGGGAGAAACGGATAAAGTGCCAAACTCATTCTTTTATCAGGAACCCACTCCCAAGATATCTAACCCACTCCCATGATAATGTCATTAATCTATTCATGAGGACAGAGCCCTCATGACCTTTTAAAGGTCCCACCTCTCAACACTGTTGCATTGGGGATTAAATTTCCAACATATGAACTTTGGGGGGCACATTCAAACCATAACAATAATAAAACATTAATATTCCTGGGGAAAATGAGCAATTCACAAAAAGTAGTACAAATGGCCACTTTATAAAGAGGTATATAAATTCTTTAGTCATCAAAGAAACATTTAAAAAAGTGATTCATTTTTTCCAGCTATCAAAATAGTGAAGGTTACTGACACACACACACACACACACACACACATATCATGGAATTTTTTTCTGTTACTCCAAGAACCTCCTATGGCACCATGAGTCTTGAGCCATTTACTATGTAACCAGAAATAAAGACTGCAAATACTCAACTGTAAGCCAAGCCACTTCTAGTCTAAGTGCAAGATTGCATATTTGAAGAGAAATATTTCCATTTCTGAGAAACCAGATAAAATTATGCCAGGACTGAGGAAGAAAAAAAGAGAAAAAAAAAAAGAGCAGTCAGGAAAAAAAAAGCAGTCAAAAAAAAAAAAAAAGAACAAAGTTAAGTAGACTTTGCAAAATGACTTCAATTGAATTACACCATCATTATCAAATAAATCTTCAAGTCCAGATAAAAAAGGAATAAGTGTACCCTCAGCACTACCCTTTTCTAGAAGAGAGAACCAAAAATATCTTGATTCACTACCGTTTTCAGTGAAGAATATTGCAAATGTGAAAGATGGTAATAACAGGAGCAATCAAACAATAGACAGTCCTGAGAGGTTACTGCTCTTTTACTGTAAAGCTAAACTTTGAAATGTGAATGCTAAGTCTTTGTTAACACAATTATAATAATAATTACATTTTAGATAGAATTTCATATTTATTCTTGCATTGTTGAAGTTAATTCTATTTTTTGATATTCAGATTCAGCTTTAGCTTCCCCCAGATATTGACTTTAACATCTCACCATTCGGCATTTGGTCACAATGTGTGTTCAGTGGACCATGTTTTAAGGAAATAATTAGACGTATGAAGAGGGTTTATGTAAGCATAGATTTATCACAATGTTGTTTGTAAAAACTGAAAATATTGAAACAACTGTCTAAAATACTGACATGTTGTGATGTCTAAGTTCTAGTGGAAATTATTCTCCCTTAGAATAAGTGTTGTAGCGATAACAGACTTAGGAGTGTGGTGAGTCCCCTTTGCACAAAAAGACCACCTCACACCCAACATGACTCTTAAGAATGAGGACAGTAGTGAGGACACACTGCAGAACACTGAGAGGCAGATGACGTCTTATAACCTGTTCATTAACTTGCCACTTGGGGGTGCTATTCACCAGTGAAATCATAATTTATGCATGAATTCTGAGTACAACTGTGAATCCTCACTTCAACAGTGATGCCCTCTGCTAGGCCAGAGACACTAACAATGAACTCCTCTCTGGACTTTCTAATTCTGATCTTAATGTTTGGTAAGTACATTTTATTAAAATTTTTTGTATTATTTCAAAATAATAAATACTTCTCCAAAAGATACAACAACTCTGGCCAAACCCATAAAATCAGTACTTTTTTCCCCCTACAGGAGGAACCAGCAGCAATTCAGTCAAGCAGACGGGCCAAATAACCGTCTCGGAGGGAGCATCTGTGACTATGAACTGCACATACACATCCACGGGGTACCCTACCCTTTTCTGGTATGTGGAATACCCCAGCAAACCTCTGCAGCTTCTTCAGAGAGAGACAATGGAAAACAGCAAAAACTTCGGAGGCGGAAATATTAAAGACAAAAACTCCCCCATTGTGAAATATTCAGTCCAGGTATCAGACTCAGCCGTGTACTACTGTCTTCTGGGAGACACTGTGTTAAAAGCACAGTGGGAGCTATACAAAAACCTCAAAGGCTCAGAGGAAGTATGTAGTGAGGCTGGAAAACCCAGGTTGTAGAGCCCTGTTCTCTCTTTCACAGACAGTCCTGTTAAGACATTATTAGAAGATAAGGAAAATCAAAATCAGATATAACTGCCTCTAATTCCAGGGGGCACAGGGGTTTCTTTGACAGAAAATGGGGTCAGGGAAGAGGGTCTCAGATGATATCCCTGCTCTCAATTAGGTCAGTTCTCTCTTGTCCTTCAGGCTTTCTTGCATGATGTGTAGGAATTAGAATATGATGACTTGGATGTCAGTCCTGGCTCTACTACTTATTAGCTATGCAAATTTGGCCAAGTTAATTGATGTCTCAGAGCTTTAGTTTTTTTCACTTGTGAAGTAGAAATAAAAATAATCACACAAATTTAGCATGGAGATAAAGTGGAAAAAAGGTAGGTTAGGAAGGGGCAGATTAGTACTCAAAGCATTTCTGGAACTTGCAAGTCCCACCGTAGCAGTTCTGCTCTCTCACAGCAATCTCTCTGCCTAGTGCTGACCATCCTAACAGGGCTTGGCATGCCCACTGCTTTGTCACACCACACCACACCCCACGCCACGCCCAGCCCCAGGCCATTATGATCAACATATCATCTTTTCTCTCACAGGCTCCTACTGACACTACACACAAAAATTAACTCAAAGTGGATCATAGACCTAAATGTAAAAACTAAAATTGTAAAACCCTTAGAAGAAAACATAGCAGTAAATTTTCATGATCTTGGGTTAAGCACTGATTTCTTAGATGTGACACCAAAAGCACAAGCAATAAAATAGAACATTGATAAGTTGGACTTCAACAAAATTAAACTTGTTTATGCTTCAAAGGACACCATCAAGAAAATGAAATGATAACCCACAGAATGGGAGAAAACATTTGCAAATCATATGTACTATGTACCCGATGATAAGGGACTTGTATTTAGAATATATAAGGAACTTTTACAACTCAATAATAAAAAGAAATATAACTCAAGCAGTGAGCAAAATATTTAAATAGACATTTCTTCAACAAAGATACAAGAATGTCTAATATGCATATGAAAAGTTACTCATGATTAGTCATGAGACAAATGCAAATCAAAATCACAAGATATCACTTCGCAAAAGTAAAAGGCTATGACTTTTTAAAAAGGACAATAATGAGTCTTATCAAGGATGTGAGAAATTAGAACCCTCATACATTGTTGGTGGGGATGTAAAATGATGCTATCACTTTGGCAAACAGTTTGGCAGCACCTCAAAATGTGAAACATAGAATTAGCATATGACCCAGCAATTCCAGCCCGATGTATCTACCCACAATGCATATGTCCCCACAAAAACCTGTGCATGAATGTTCATAACAGCATTGTTTATGGTAGTCAAAAGTGTAAGTAATCCAAATGGACAAACCAGATGTGGTATCTCTATACAATGGAATATTATTCAGCCATAAAAAGGAATAAAGTACTGACACCTACTACAACATGAAGAATCTTGAAAACATTATGCTAAGTGGAAAAATCCAGACACAAAATGGCCATATTGTGTATTTCATTTATATGAAATACCAAGAATAGGCAAATCCAAAGTCAGAAAGCAGTGTGGCTGCCAGAAGCTGAAAGAAGTGGGGAGTGGGGAGGGACTACTTAATAGATGTGTGGGGTTTCTTTTGGGGAAAATATTCTGAACTAGATAGTGGTGATGGTTGCGCAACATTGTGAATACACTAAAAGCTACCATATTATATACTCTAAAGTGATTAAAAGTATGAATTTTATGTTGTGTGACTTTTACCTCAATAAAAAAGAAGACAACCAAAAAATCTAAATGTGATTCTTAATGGGACAAGAAGCTCTAAAAAAATTAAATTCTTACTATTCCATTGCAAACAATTCCAATAAGTATGTGAAATATGGAGCCATCTGATAAAACCTATAGCAGTACGGGAAGGTATACTAACTCAGCTTTTAACTAAAAATTATACAAATGTTGACTGACACAAAGGCAAAGGAGAATAGCAAAGATGGCATGAGCCTTTAAGGAAATCGTTAAAAAGTGGAAACCTTTTAATGAATGCAGTTAAGGCTTAAAGAAAATGTGAAGTGGAACATAAAAAGCGTTTTAGAACAGTTTGGAGAAATGAAGAGGGTGGGGTGGGGAGGAAGGTTAATTTACATATCGAGGAAAACAGAATAATTTTGGTAGAGAATAAAGAAGAGGTAGGGCACTTCGACCCCTGGTTTCATCCTCTATTCTTCATCAAATACAATAATTTTGGGCCGGGCGCAGTGGCTCATCCCTGTAATCCTAGCACTTTGAGAGGCTGAGGCAGGCATATCACCCGAGGTCAGGAGTTCGAGACCAGCCTGGCCAACATGGCAAAAACCCCATCTCTACTAAAAATACACAAATTAGCTGGGGGTGGCAGTGGGCACCTGTAATCCCAGCTACTCTGGAGGCTGAGGCAGGAGAATTGCTTGAACCTGGGAGGCGGAGGTTGCAGTGAGCCAAGATCATGCCATTGTACTCCAGCCTGGGCAACAAGAGCAAAACTCCATCTCAAAAAAAAAAAAAAAAGAAAAGAATAATTTTCAAACTGGAAATGAAGAAATGAAAAATTATGACAGATAAAAAGATACTAAGAGAGAACTTAGATGCTTTGAAAATGATCAATTCTTCTGGGTCTTTTAAACTAATCCCCAACATACAAAAAGAATTTGCAGGCATGGTTGGCAAGGCATTGGGAGAATTTTTTGAAAACCTATCAGGAATGAAGGAAATCCCCAACTCAGGAACACAGAAATAGTGGATCGATACCCAGCAAAATTCTAGAGCAGATTATTAACAGATAATGTGTGGGCTCTTAGAAAATAATGCAGTGATCAGTACCAAGCCAGAATGAGCTCACTAAAGACATTTTTAAAACAAGTCCTAAATTCAAAGGACTTCCGTGGACTTCAAACGTGTCAAATATTTGCAAGATATTTAATAATTTGTTTTTCACTATATCAATGGGAAAAATATATATATATTATCATTTGTTGAGTGTTGTGTTTATCACAGGCCCTGTTGTACTACATATGTAATAAGAACTAACATTTATTTATCAAGGGCTTAATGTGCATGAAGTGTTGTTCTAAATGCTTTGCATACATTAATTCACTTAATCTTCACTACAACCTCATGAAGTAGGTGCAATCCTTATTATAGATAAGGAAACTATCTTTAATACAGAAGAATTAACTAACTTGCCCAAGAACACAGAGTTAGTAAGGGAAGACCTGGCATACAAATACAGTTTGACAAGCCCAAAGCCTGCATTCTTAAATTCTATACTTTGTTACCTCCCAATGTTATCTGTAATCCCCACCACAAAACTATAATTTTGGTATTGTTACACCCATTTTATGAATAAGGAGACTGAGGATTGGAGTATTGAATAGAAAAATCCAGTAGAATCTAGTAAGTAGTAAGACTAAGGCTCAAACCTAAGTTCATTTGGATCTAGACTGTATCCTCTATTCACTTTGTCATTCTGCGTAATGCTAGACTTGGTGAATTCTCAGCTGAAAGAACGGCCATGTATAAATATACAATTTAGAAAAATGTCCCTATTGTTACACCTCATGATTTTATCCTTCACTTTGACCTGTTCACATTGATCTTATGTAAATTCACACAAGGTATGCCCATTAAATGTACAAATAGCAAATTTTGAGATCGGTATATGATGATCATGTCCTAATGATCTCCAGCTAATATGTTTATTTACAGCATAAATTAAAGATTGAAAATCATCTGAACAAACTGGAAAGATAGACTGAAACTGTCAAAATAGAATTTAATGGAGATAACTATATATTTATACAGTAGTTTTATAAAAATGAGTTGTAATGTCTGGAAGAAGGGATCCTGAATTTTTAGTATTTGTTGTGTAACGCGCTCATAGTAATTAAGGAAAAGATTTTCTGAAAGGATATTAGAAATTCTCATAAAATCAATTTGTGCAAAATACAGCTAGGACTCACAGAAAGAAGAAAATCACCAATTGGCTATGCTTTCCGAATCTACTTTTCTCTGGATGTATGATCTGTTCTCCTCCTGGGAAACCAGATTCCACTGTAAGCCTGTCATATTCTACTCCACAATAACTTCAGTTTGAACATACCCAGCTCTGTTTGCTAAGAGATGAGTCTGGTTTGAATAGCACAGGGCTTTAAAGCTCTAGTTACACTGTCTAACTGCGGTTTCTGTACCTCTAGTTCAAATTAATGAGCGTAGTATCTTCCCAGATCCAATAAGCTATTGCCAGAAAAAGGAGGTTATTTGGTACAAGCATGACCTCTATGTCATCTCTTTAGAAAGGAATCCCAAAAGTGGAAAAGGACTACATGCTCAAAATAATTCACCAATGTGATAAAACAACTGAAACTATCATAGATAACAATAAAACAAGTGGAAACCAGATGAGTACAGTAATACTCTGACAGGGCAACAATATTTGAATCACATTTGAAGAGACGTGAACAAACTGTAGCAAGTCTAAAAATAAGAAAGATAAAACTAATAAAGTAGTCTGAAATAATACCATGTGCAGAAAGAAACAAGGATGTCACATAAAGAAACCAGAGATATTTATAAGGACACCTTTACAAAAAAGAACAGATCTGGCCTTGAGTTTTCAAAAGATATAATGTGAAATGCAGCTACTCTACTTGATCTATCATAGCTGGCTGAAGTCTAACAATCAACAAGCTTCTGTTCTCCCACACTACCCTCACCTTTCTTCTAGGACTCCTAGTAGGAGGATGCTAAGTTTGGTTCTCTATCTGTATTGTGGGTGAGAGGGGCTGTTTGTTTGTTTTAGAGACAGGGTCTTGCTCTGTTGCCCAGGCTAGAGTGGAGTAACATGATCATATCTCACTGTATCCTCAAACTCCTGGGCTCAAGTATTTGACCTGCATAATAAATGTCTACGCCTCATGCCACTAGGTGGCAATGTGGGTGTTATACTGAAAAGATCACAGATGGTTCACTTTGCAAGTAAAACTGTAAATGTTCTTAAGTGTGCATTTCTGCTGCTTCTGATGGGCTGAAAATCCCCTTTGATTTCTAAAGTAAATGTAGAGACGTTTTAAAAATAAAGGACTCCTTTGTCCAAGATATATTCCGAAATCCTCCAACAGAGACCTGTGTGAGCTTCTGCTGCAGTAATAATGGTGAAGATCCGGCAATTTTTGTTGGCTATTTTGTGGCTTCAGCTAAGCTGTAAGTTGGGGAGTTTCAGGACATGAGATATTTTTCAAAATTCTGGGGAGGGGAGAGAAGGGACTCCAAGTGGCTAATCTGGAGGCCCTCCTGAAAATGTGTAAAGAAATGTGTATAAATATTGCAATAATTGTAATATTCTGTATCTGATGATGTCTTTGAGAACAGGTGTAAGTGCCGCCAAAAATGAAGTGGAGCAGAGTCCTCAGAACCTGACTGCCCAGGAAGGAGAATTTATCACAATCAACTGCAGTTACTCGGTAGGAATAAGTGCCTTACACTGGCTGCAACAGCATCCAGGAGGAGGCATTGTTTCCTTGTTTATGCTGAGCTCAGGGAAGAAGAAGCATGGAAGATTAATTGCCACAATAAACATACAGGAAAAGCACAGCTCCCTGCACATCACAGCCTCCCATCCCAGAGACTCTGCCGTCTACATCTGTGCTGTCAGACACAGTGCTCCCCAGGCACCTGGAGCCCGTACCTAAACTCTAAAGTTGAGGCATCATTTCTTACTCCTGTCTTTCAGACTTGTCTGTCTCTATCCTTGGTCAGATGATGTAAAATGTTTAAGTTTTTAAAATATAATATTCTCCCCTTCTAGACCATCTCTCTTCTCTACAACATCATCACCAATTATGTTAACCAGACAGTATGTGATTTTTATCTTGAAAGTAAAATATACAGGGTATAAAAATCCCGATTCTGCTACTTATTAACTGGATGATCTTGACAAAGTTACTTAACTTCTCTGTGCTTCAGTTTTCCCTCAGCTATAAAAAGGAAACAGTGTTAGCCATGGTACGTAACCCCAATTGTGGGGATTACATGAGGTAATATACACAAAGGGCTTGACACATTTCCTGGCACGTAGTGTTACATAAGGGGTATCAATTATTAGTATTAGTTTTAGATGTACCATGAGTTTGCTAATATTCACTATGGATTAATACCACAGATCATTGGAGAAGTATGTGGAATATAAATAATAAGCACCTTATAATAATTTTAGTTTTTAGATTCTTTCCTAATGATGTCCAGCACTTGGCCTTTTTAATAGTGTTAAGAAAAACAGGGAGTAGCTGTAGAAAACGTAATAGAAGGATGACTCTATGGTTTGGTTTGTGGTGTGGAAATGAAAGACTGGTAAGAGATGTTTCTGAGGAAGCTCAGCTGCTTCTTTGGAAAAAAGGACAGGTTCTAAGTTTTCATGTGGAGATCTCTAATGGAAACTTGCATTTGTGGAAATTCATGAAGCAAAATATCAAACCCAGTGTATCTAAATCAACGGTTCTGTATATCCCCCAAGGATTCTTTACATTACTATTCCCAATCCCAGTGGAATTCTTATATCAAAACAAGTTTTATGATTATAATTGTTCTTATTACTCAACAACATCAATCACATATATTAAATTACAGCTACATTCTTTTTTAAAATCAAAGGCTTTTTAAATCAAAATACTACCTGCACATATCTAAAAAGCCAATAGTATTATAAAGGTCTGTTCCTTCCTTAGCCCATCAAGAAAACAGAAATACCATGCTCTACCCCCACCTTCCAATTCAAATCCATTCTAGCAATTTCTAATTAATATGTATATACTCTTGATTTATCATTATTAAGCATTATCTATTGACTTCCTTCTATGGCAGCATGCAAATACTCTCACTTTCTCAACATAGTTATATATATATCATAAGCTGGGGTTAAATAGACAGTCAGTGCATATATGATTATGACCACATGAATATTGCCACTGTCCAACCAAAATGACAACTATGAGTATATATCCTTTCTGGTACAACGTATTTTCTTAGTTAATAATTACATTTTTTTCATTTATTCTATGTCAATGTGCTATTTTTTCTAAGTTCTTCAACACAGTCTTAAAAATATTTATTAATAATTTCTCTCAAATGCTTCAAGCACCTTAATTTCTTTTTTTTCCCCTCAAGATTCCCTTTCCTTTGACCTCCATTGTTTCTCTGTGTGAACTGATTGCTCTATAAGCATAAATGTGATTCTAGACATTTTAGTACCACTCTCCCAAGTTGGCATTCTTGCATTTTGGATCTCATATCTTCATTTCCCAAAGACAAATACTAGAGAGAAAAAAGGGAGAGGAAGAAGAAGGAGAAAGAGAAAGGAGAAAGAAACACTCTTGGGCTCACTTTTGAACAATGAGAGAAACAAATGAATAAATGGTTCCTGCCCTCCCCCATGCCCTGCAGGAGGAAAAGTCTGCGGCATATTCCAAAAGACTCTTCAGAAGGTCATGCCAGGATCAGGCACCAGTCATGCACATGGTGGCCAGCTCCATTATGCACCATTGCATTGGCTCTCTCCACTACCCAAATTTGCTCTCTTGATCCCTCACTCCTGCTCCATGAGATCAGTTCCCAAAAATGCCCTGCATGCAAACCTTTATCTCAGTCTCAGCTTTTAAGGGAATGTAAGCTAAGACATGCCTTTTCTCCCTGTGAATAGAGAGGACACGGAGCCAGAAGACACAACCCTGCCCGTCTGCTCTCAGTAGTGCCTCATCCCCTTCAAAAGCCCTAGATACTGGCCTATGCAGCTGTCCCAGGGACTACTGACCACAGCTTCTCTATCGGTGATACATGTTCCTGGCTTCCTGTTTTTAAGAAGTACTGGACACACCTGTGTCACTTTCCTGAAAGAAAGAGTGCTGAGATTGGAGGGTCCAAGTGGAATTACAGGCTGAGACAGAGAGAAGATACAGGAGATGCTGGCCCTAACAGAGAGGGAAAACAAAACAAAACAAAACAAGAAACTATTCTTATGAAATAAAATAAAAAGTCTCCCCATCTGAGAGTCCACTGGTCTTTCCTGAAAGCCAAGTCATTTTTCCATCGAATAAATGCACGAGTAAAAATCAAGAAAACATAAACATGGATAAAAGTTTCCTCATAGAGTTGACAAGATTATTCACAGAGACAGACTTCTTGGTCTCAATTTTCTCAGCATCCTCAGAGTTTACTGTGTGGACACTATGATCACAGAAAGAATCTCAGGTGCCAAAGCTAGCAATTCAAGTTGTTTCTGGTGGAAGTCAGTGCCCTCCTGTAGTCAAATGAATGAACTAGTAGAAACCACTGCTTTGGTCAGTTTCCCCTCTCCTGTATCTGGCCTTCAGCACCTCAGTAGATGCTTAGAGAGCACTTACCAGGCACCAGCTCCCAGTTGATATGGGAACCATTAGAACTCTCTCCAGAGAAACTCAGTCTGGCCCAGTGTTTCTGACTTCAAGCCTCATTTCCATGAATCAGGTAGCTGGTGAAATTGATAGACTGCAAACTCCATGAGGGCAGGAACCATGCCTTGGTCATTACAGTGTCCCCAGTACTTAGCATAGTGCCTGGAGCCAGGAGCGTTCTCAATGATCTACGCTGCTTTGTCATCTGCTCTGATAATGAGAGTTTCTTGATGTCAAGGGCTGTGTTTTGTTCATTTTTGTATCCACAAAGGGATTAGCACTGTATTTAACAATAGTAGAAACTGAAGAAAAAAAAATTGTGTGGAATTACATTTCCTCTTTTTCATCAGAAGTGACTTAGTCTTGCTGACTTTCTTTCTATGCCCTTGTGTGTTGCCTCTTTGTTTGCTTACTTGATTTTTTTGCCTCACTGAGAATGTAAGGTCTGTGAGGACATCGGCTTGTGTTTCTTCATCCCTGATATTTCTTTTGCAACCAGCCCAATTCTGATATCTAGAAGGAGGTCAAGAAGTGGTTTTTGGAAGAATAAGTGAATGTAATAGTTATTTCGGACTTGTGTTAAAAGGCCTCTTTGCACGATTTAGCAGAAAAAGCACTGGAGTCTTAGTCCCGGTTTTGCAGCTAACTGGGTAATGTAATTCTGAAGTCACATCCCCACTTTCGGCTTCAGTTTATAACCTGGAAAATTAGGATAATAATACACACTCTACCTTTATCAAAAAAAATCACGATCTAATCTGAATTAGATCATGAAAATGAATACCTTTTAAAAAGTGAAAAATTTTAAACAAACAAAAATTAATATTATTAAGGAATTATATATATATATATGGAATTAAATGGACAAGAAATATTATCCTAATATACTCCAAGACAATAGTTTTCACTCCCATACTTATCCGCACTGCTATACAATTCAGTCAGTGCCAAATCACTACCCACACACCTGGTTGTCCTTATTACTGTGGCTTTGCAACCTTCCCATCACTCAGCTTATCTAAATATTCTCCTGTATCTAAAACCAGTTTTTAGAATCTCCAAAGAGCTTGTTTTCCAACATCCCCCAGAAACATGCATTTCTCACCTTACTGAGCCAAACTATTCCCCAGTGTTCATCCTCTCTCCAAGAAAAGTTTTTATTCATTTGGTCATTGGTCAACATTTTTCTCAGCTGTCTATTTCTCAAAATGTATGTTCTATTCTACTATTTTCTTAAACTAATGCTATTTTCACCACTGGCCAAACTTTGTATTTGAATTTGAATCTTATTTGAATTTTACATTCTACTTTGGCCATATCTTTGTAATCAGAAATACCAGTGATAGTACTCACCATTCGGTGTACAAAGTATATAAAATAGACATGCTCCATATCTATTAAGTGATGAAAATTTTCTAGGTGATTTTATTATAAAATTAAACATTTTTAGAAGAAAATGCTTCTTTAGTAGATTGAGAAGAAAATATTCCAGGGAATGACCAACCCAGTGATGTCATCTTACTGTATATATAAATTTTCATACTTGATTACTACTATAATCAACTACAATGTGAACATTTCTTTTGAAGTGCTAATCGGTATGAAATATTCTCTTCAACCTCAGATTAAATATTCACCCTCAGTCCCCCTCATTTCCCCTGAAATACAATGACATTAAATTGCCTGATCTTTGCATTTTCTGATTTATTTTATTTTTATTTATTTTCCTTTGAGGTGGGCTGGGTACTTGCAATGGCTAATAGTGCAGAGCTGCAATTCTAGGCACTATCAGCAGGTGTTTTAACTAACACATTATGTGGATTATTTAAAAACTTAATTTAAGGTATATGATAATATAGTACTGCTTTGTATTTTTACAAACTCATATTTTTTTTTTTTTTTTTTTTTTTGAGACGGAGTCTCGCTCTGTCGCCCAGGCTGGAGTGCAGTGGCGGGATCTCGGCTCACTGCAAGCTCCGCCTCCCGGGTTCACGCCATTCTCCTGCCTCAGCCTCCCAAGTAGTTGGGACTACAGGCGCCCGCCACTACGCCCGGCTAATTTTTTGTATTTTTAGTAGAGACGGGGTTTCACCGTTTTAGCCGGGATGGTCTCGATCTCCTGACCTCGTGATCTGCCCGCCTCGGCCTCCCAAAGTGCTGGGATTACAGGCGTGAGCCACCGCGCCCGGCCTACAAGCTCATATTTTAAAGCTCCATTCTTAGCTCAGAGCTGAGCCATTAAAGTTCAATAATGTAAGACAGCAAGAATGCTAAAGCTTGATGCTAAACCTATTCAGTAATATGGAACAGCATTTGAGATCAGGAAGGAGGTGGTCCCACAACTGGGAATTAAAATCAAAATGGATTTGAGCAGATAAAGCTGCATGTCCAAAGGAAGTTGGTGGGAAAACTTGAATCTGCCAGGAATTTTCTGCTAGATTTACTGCAGATCCTGCCAGATTCAAGCCAAGCATAGAAAAATAAGCAGAAAACCTCCTTCATCACTGCCTGTGAAAGAATGTTGAGTCCAAGAGACGAGTAGAGAAAGACCTCTATAGATTAGGACCCATTAATATACACTGACTTGGCAAACCGAGACCTAGAGGCAAGTACAGACCACAGGACCACCAGATGATTTACTACCTTGGATCCTACTGGTGGCAAAAGCTGCTCCCAGGGTCCACTTCCCTGTACAGAAAACTACCTCATAGAAACTGAAAATTATATGGCAATATACATCAAAGAGTCCTTGCACTCTGACCCTGTAATTTCACTTCTAGAAATTTCTTCTTTCTTAAAAAAACAATCAAGTATGTACAAAGATTCATTTTTTAAATGTTGGTGAGAGCTTTATTTAAATGAGTGGAGAAGGAAAAGAAACCCCAATGTCTCACAAAGGAGTTGATTTAAAAACTGGGGGCACATTGGATATAACCAATAAAAATCATTTTATCTAAACTTCTGCTTCCAGCCACGCCGAAATAACAGGGACCAGATTTACCATTCCACTTGAAACAACAGCAACTGAGAAGGCTGCAGACAAATGACATAAATCAACAATTTCCAAAACACGGTATACTAAGCAATAAATGACCATGATCCTGAGAGATGGGAAACAAATGAGGCGAGCCCTAACATTGCAATAGCTTATTGCCTTGAGAGAGTTTCTAGGCCACAGCACAAAGAGGGGAAACTGAGGCAGAACCTGGTAGGCTCCCTGAATTGAGGCAACAGATCTGAGACAGAGAAGACTAAGGCAGCTGAAGTTCATAAGACAGAATACACGAGAGGAGAGAGGGGCACAGAGAGGACCTAGAGATCTGCCGAGGGTGCCCTCAAGTATTCAGCAGAATGCTCATCTGCGCACGCATGTGGAATCTACCCGAGGGTGGGTGGCGGCAGCAGGGAATAACCATTCAAAAAGATTAAAGGAAAGAGGACCTCTTCAAGTATGTCTAGAATTTAGAAAAGAGTTTATTGCTTAGCCATATATTTCTTAATTCTTTAATTAATATTTCATACATTTCATTTTCTCTGGCTCTAGTCACTTATCACTGTGGTCCATTTTCAAACAAAGAATCATTTCACATATTGAGGAAACAATATATGAATAGCCTGTCTGGCTTAGATAAAGAGTAAAGGCAAGAGACCAGGTGCGGTGGCTCACGTCTGTAATTCTGGTCCTTTAGGAGGCAGAGGTGGGCAGATTACCTGAGGTCAAAAGTTTGAGACCAGCTTGACCAACATGATGAAACCCTGTCTCTACTAAAACTACAAAGAAGTAGTTGGGTGTGGTGGCACATGCCTGTAATTGCAGCTATTCCAGAGGCTGAGGCAGGAGAATCACTTGATCATGGGAGGCGGAAGTTGCAGTGAGTGGAGATCACGTCACTGCACTCCAGCCTGAGCAACAGAACAAGACTTCGTCTCAAAAAAAAAAGTAAAGACAAGAATAAGTATCACCCATATGGCATGACCAAAGTTTTTGGTAAACCTAGGGTTTTTTTTCTGTTGTCAGTAATAAAATTGCCCTTAAAAACTAGTTTTTATTTCTCATTCCTGAACTCATTTACATATAATGTCGAAGTATGATAAATTCAAACTATGCTGACACCTGTACGAATGTGGCTTAGTATGATATAAAGTCTTTATACTTTCACCAACTTCAAACCTCAGTTTCTACTGTTATAAAGTTCATTTCACTCTCTCTTGTGACCATTTAAATACTTTCACATATTTCATCGCATTTTTCATCTTCTAGGGCTGAGGACTCCTAATTCTTAAGAATATTTCTGTTATCCCTATAATTACTGTCGTGTCTCTCCAGGCATTCTTTTTTAGTGAACAGTTGTCATTAATCACTTCCAGAAAGGATTCAAACACCATCTCTACATTTATCCTTCCAAGTGCTGTGACTATTGCCTTGCGAACTACATTTTCCAGGCTCCCTTGCAGCTAAGGTGCAGATCTGTATTCAGCCAAGTATTTGATTGGGAGATGAGCCATATGAGGAACAGGTTAGGCAGGGGCATCCCTTTTCTTGGTTTAGGGGCAGTGGAGGCCATGTGGTCTGGGTTAGGCAGCAACAGCATCTTCTTGATTGGGCCAGGAGCAGTAACTTCCTGTTTGGGCCCATTTGGCTGCATATTCTGTTGCTGGCAGCACTGGAGGCAGCTGGCATAGGGATAGGACTGCAGCCTTCTTATGAGGCTGATGGATGGGTGGTTCTGGGCATCACTCCTGGAAGTCGAGCCTAGAATCTTTTTCTCCAGTCTGCCCAATGATTCTATGAGCCTTCTGCCTCCCCAAATCCTGATCTGCTTACACTAGGTAAAGCGATTTCCTTTCTTTCTTGTCCCTTAGCACACAGATATCTCACAGTGTTTAGTCTGAGACCCACCACAGCTTTCATTCCAGCATCCTTTAAGCTGAGTATCAGACCTGGTTCACTTTTTCACTGCAGTACACTTGGCTCATTCCAATGAGGATGACTTCATGTTTATAGTGATTTCTGGTTCCTTTGCTTGGAAATCCTAAAAGATAGAAAAGAGTCTCCAGTTGCTGCAGACGCAGGCATGAGATATACCGAAAACTCTCCAAAATTGTCTCTTGGAATGTTTCTTCATTACTTCACTAGGTTTCTTTCTAACCTTCAGAGCTAGTAAGGACCTTGGATTAAAAGGGCCATTGAATTTCTAGTTTAGTTAAGAAATATTTTCCTCATTTCATGGGAGTGGGGAAGCAGTGCAGACTAAACTCAGAGCCCACATCATGTTGTTCTTACCAGTTCAAATCAAATCACGGTTTCCAGTCACTTGGCTAATATTTATCCTTCTTTAAATCTTGATGAAATGTCTCTTCCTCAATGAACACTTCTCTGCCCCTCAACCTAAATTTGTTCCCCTCGTGTTACTGTTTTAAAGAACCCTGTAATTTCTATGTATTTCTGTGTGATTATTTGTATAATATCTGTCCTTCCTATTAACCTCTAAGTTCCACTAAATGCTCTGTGTTCAGAATAGTGCCTGGCACAAAGGAGTATGACAAATAGTGATGAGTGAATGAATCTGAGCCATCAGACATGTATCTTACTTTGTGTTGGGCTGTCCCTCAAGTGTAGATGTTCCTAGTGACAATCCCATTAATTCAAACACTGACTGGAGAGGATTGAAAACATATGAAGCAGTGCTTTTGGAACTGAGGCTGTAGTCCAATATGACTGGAGATAAAAAATGAAGACTTTAAAAACAGAATTCACATAAAAGCAGGTATCAACATGGAAAACTGCAGAGGATGCCTGTATACACAGTGGGCACAGCAGCAGCATTAGACCAATCACCTCCAAACTTGAGGTTCCAGGCTGAGGTGACAGATCAGAGTGAACCAGGCACTGTAGAACAATGGGAACACTTAGATTCCTGACACTGGAATTTGCTGATTCTTCTACTAACGTGTAGCAAGAAATTTAGCCTTACCCAAAGTCAGGTCTGGTCTTTGTCCCAGTTCCTGGGAGATAACCTCTGAAGGCTCGGAATTTCCTGAATTGTTGGCATGTCTTTATAATTGATGGTGGGGTCCTTGGACCGCACTTAATAGTTTCTGCTATCAAGATGACTCATTGTGAGGCTGGCCACAATCAATGGTCTCAGGATGGGGGCTGGCCATGCCAGAAAGACCAACCATATAACATAGGGTGGAGGGTTTGTGTCACAACCTAGAGAGTGAGTTCAACCACACAGGCTATCAGTCATCTGATATAATGAAGCCCCAATAAAAACTCTGGACACCAAAGCTCAGCTGAGTTTTCCAGACTGGCAATATTCCATGGGTATTGTCACGCCTTGATGCTGGGAGGGTAACTCATCCCTGAGGACAGTGGAAGTTTCACGTTTGGAACCCTACCAGACTCTGCCCTATGCATCTCATCCCTTGGCTGCTTTTAATGTATCCTTTCTCTGTAATAAACGAATCACAAGTATACTAGGTTTCAATGAGTTCTATGAGTCTTTCTAGTGAATTATGGAACCTGATTTAGGAAATACCCAACCTTGCCATTGGTGCCAGTAGTGAGAGTGGTCTTGCATGAACTTATCTCCCCTTTGTAGTTGAGTCCTAGCGACTTACAGTTGGGGGCAGAAGTCTTATGTAGATTTAGTCTGGAGGTCTATGACCTTAACCTTGCAGTTTGGCTAACTCTGGGTAGCTACATTTTGTATTGAGCAACTCTATATGAATAAAAGAAGTTTTGTTCATATAATGCCTTAACAGTGAATCAAGTATATCAAGAAAGTTTTTTAAAAGTTAAAAGTAGGCAAGTCTACTGGTAATAAAGTAGGCAAGTCACAAGGTAATTAAATGCCTACGTTTCAATGATTACACATGTTGCTTAGAACATACACATATATGAGATCATCACGTTAAAATATTTCTAACACACAGGCTGGCAACACCTAACAATAATAATAATTAGTAATTGTCTAGTTCTTACTACTAACTGGTTTCTGTTCTGAGTGTTCTACATATATTAACTAATTTAATTCTCATAAGAACTCTGGTTATTAGCCAGGTTTGTAGAAGCTGAGGCACAAGGAGGTTAAATACTTCGCCCTATGGCACACTCCCAAAATTTGAATCCAAACCATCCAACTCCATAGCTCATGCTCTTAACCAATGCCCCATACAGCTTCTCAGAAGGCAATCACTTGAAATTTCTCTCTGATCTTATAGAAAGGTGTTAGTAGACTGGTTATCTTAACGTCCAATCCCAATCATCTTTGTAGCAAAGTAATATTTTTATATGAACATGTCAGAGGCATTTGAACCAGAGCAACTCCATCTTGAATAGGGGCTGGGTAAAATGAGGCTGAGGCCTACTGGGCTGCATTCCCAGGAGGCTAATGCATTCTTGGTCACAGGATGAGAAAGGAGGTTGACACAAGATACAGGTAATAAAGACCTTGCTGATAAAACAGGTTGCAGTAAAGAAGCCTGCTAAAATCCACCAAAACCAAGATGGCGACAAGAGTGACCTCTGGTCATCCTTATTGCTACACTCCCACCAGTGCCACGACAGTTTACAAATACCATGGCAATGTCAGGAAGTTACCCTATCTAAAAAGGGGAGGCATGAATAATCTACCCCTTGTTTAGCATATAATCAAGAAATAACCATAAAAATGGGCAATCAGCAGCCCTCAAGGATGCTCTGTCTATGGAGTAGCCATACTTTTATTCCTCTAGTTTCTTAATAAACTTTCTTTCACTTTACTATATGGACTCACCCTGAATTCTTTCTTGCGTGAGATCCAAGAACCCTCTCTTAGGGTCTGGATTGGGACCCCTTTCCAGCAACAAAGAGATGTGTATTTTATTTCTGAAAATACTTTTTTGCTTTGTTATCATTCTCATGTTAGGCCAGCAGCTCAGGAAGTCCTGGTCTCCTTCCTATATTGGAAAAGGGAGTTCACAATGAACACAAAAGAAGAAAGGATAAATTTGAAAATTCCTCTGGAGACAATAGAATGGAAAAAAGGGGTTTTGAGTTTGGGTTACGACTTTTGAGTTTAAAAATAAATCTATGCCTCAAAAAGTTCTCTTAGAATATATCTGAATACAAAAACCAATTATGCAACCCTAGATTTAATGCAAATTTCTTAGTTTCTGGGAATTTCTGGGGTGATGGAGACAAAAGCAAGAAAGTAAGACATCAGTGAAGATCTCTGCCCATCTCCACATACCCTCCCAGCAGTGGGGTGGGAGGAGGCAATTTTTAGCCCCCAAATAGGATGTTAGGAATCTGAAACTAGAGGAGATTGACAACTAATTCCTCTCAGAAAGACTGAGTGACAGTATCCTGCAAATTTCCACCAGGGCAGAGACAGCTGTGCAGTAGTGCCAATAGGCCCAGAAAGCCCAAGACAGCCCCATTCTGCCAGACTGGAATTAGAGTAGTTGAATTTTTGCATGCACACAAAAAGCATAGAAATTAACAGAGAGAGACTTAGTGGACCTGGATGGGTGTCAATATTATAATAAAAAGGATGCAGAGCATATAGATTAACAGCCAGAGACCTACAGGGACTCAGACATCAGGACATTAGAAACAATAATGTCCCAGACTGGACCCTAAGCACTGCACCCCAACAGATGCCAGTATGGGCCAGGTGTCCCCAACCAATGCCAGACCACCAGTTAAGGCCTCTACATTCCACCCCAAGGATGGCGAGGAGGAAATCTGAACTGATGGAAGACATCCTGAATTGACTTAGAAAGTCATGATTTTACTGAGAAAACCCTGTATTTACTTAAAGCAAGCTTTCTGACACCACGCAAAGTGGTTACCAGAGTTAGAAATTAGGCTGTTATAGAAAATAAAGCTATCCTGGATTGAACATCTGAGTAAATTACAAAACATTTACCCGCTACATCTCTATTCACCAGATAGCGAACTCAAGCATTCCTCTGCCCCTACATAAATGACAAATGACATTCACGTGTATTACATATCCCCTCAGGCCTAACTAGGGCTGTGTGCTGTTTCCAAGACCAAAATGTCACAACTGTAAACCACTCACCTGGATACTTGCTATAAGAAATAGCTTGGATTAGTATGGAACTTGGTGTAACCCTCAAATATGGGAGTTTGTCACTAGAGGTACCAGAGGACCACATTCTCTGTTAGGGGACCTCGATGACAGTATATTACAATGAAGGCAGTGACTGGCAAACAGCAGCTTCAAATAGGCATGCAAACAAACATTGAGAAACAGTAAGCACATAAGATAACTCATTTAGACACTTTTATATGCAGCATGTATAGGATTTAAAATAACATTCCCAAGTTGAACTGAAACCATTACTATGTAAATGCCACAGCCAAGTCAAATGAAATAGTAAATACCAGCCTTGCAAATTGGTCTCCCTCAAGGGCACTCAAAAGAGTTAGACTGCGTGCTGCTGCCTTAGGAAATGTCCTCCTCTCTATCAATCATTTCTGCTTTGACATCAAACCCATTGACCAGCATATGTTTTGGAATTTCTGAACAACTGACTTTCAAGGATTCACATTCATTCTGCACTTTCTTAGAAACCTCACAGGAGCCACTGTTGCCAATAAAATAAAATAAAAAAACACAAACATTATAAATCTAACCCCAAAATGGGATTGCTTCAAAAGAGAATGGACACCCCACTCCCTACATTGCTTGTACACATCTGTGTTGATTCTCTTGGTGAACTGGCCCATGCAAGCAGGAGCTCATCAATCAGCAGTTGTCACCAAGTGCAAGTCAGAATTGCTCAACAGAAAAATTGAGTCTTTTTTTATTCCCTATTGTCACCTACTAAAATGTAAGTTGCTTGTTGATCTCATCACACTGAGCTATGTTTCAGGGAAGTGTTGAAAAGGCCCAGCCTGCGCATATTCTTGAAATTTTGAAATAATGGCTCAGTGAACAGATGTATACTTTCTCCCAATGGCTCTTTGTGGAAATGAATTTTTTATGAGCCCAAAGTATCTTTGATTCATCCCTGATTAAAAGTCAGGTTAAAACTAAATACCATATACTTTTTGAAAGACATTTTAGGAAGTTATTGACACAAGGACTTTTGAGACTGAAAATCATGGGTTAACAATAAACCTTTGTTTGGTGAAACAAAAGAACAGTACAGGACAGAGGTGAAAAGCACAGGCTCCAGGGCCAGAGTCCCTGGGCTCAGATTCTTCACATTTCAGCTCTGTAACCTTGAACAAACTACTCCAGTTAATCATAACTTCAGTCTTTTTTAAAAAATGGGATATTAAATAATGGGTATTAAATAATAGGGTTGCCATAGAGGAAAATATAAGGTAATATTTATATGCACATAAAACAGTGCCTGGCACAGAGCCAGTGTTCAATTAGTACTAGCTATTTTTTGGATACATGTAGATAAAAGAAGCATTTAATGAATAGTTACATGCCCATTAACATAAAATGTAAGCCACTTCCATATTCTGTAGCTTATGGTGACAAAGTTTTCTGCTCACGTATTAACTAAAAGGAGCGAAGAGCTTCCCTATAATATTGAAAATTTTATCCTAATGGTTCCAAAGGACTGTTTTCTAGGAATGTTTGCTACAGAAACCTCACTGGTTAGATGTTTGTTGGAGCACACTGTGATTATTCATTGTCACTGCAAACTGTGTTTACCACGGGAGGCTGTTCTGACTCACCACTTTGTGACTCACCGATTAGTAAACAGCTAAATGTCGCATTGCTGATTTAGGTGTAATTTACTGCGTCAATATAAAAGGACTCTGCAGATTCTACTAAAATCAAGAACATAGCTAAAGGCATTCTTCATCGTAAAAACGAATTTTAGAAAACAAGATGACTCTAACAGAGTTACTTTAAAATACAATGCAATATGTCTATTTTAAATGACAACAATATCTCCTGTCTGACAGCATTCAACTTACTTTCAGATTTATTCGGTGTTTTCTCAACTTCACGAGAAATTGAAAATCCATAAAGGAGGGAAATATGTCTTGTTTCATTTTCAATAGTTATATCAAGAATACTTTTCAAAAGTATTTCATATTTACCATGTTTTCAGCAAGTAACTCTTAACAATACTCTGAGAGTATGATCGTGATGATAGGTAAAAATCAGGATCACTCCCTTTTCATCTTTACCTGTGTAGAGCAATGTAATGTGCCCTTTTCCCAAACCCTCTGACTCCATGAGGGATGAGACACAGAGGGTGTGGCTGAGGGCTCCTAGGACCGGGACTCCTTGGCTGATGTCCTGTGGCCTGCAGTCCAGGGCTTGCAGGTGATCAAACAGGAAAGGAGAAATGAGGGAGGCACAGTGCTACGAGCAGGCCTGTGTTTTCACTGGGAATGGTGGTTAGCAGATGCTCAGATGTGTCTCTTCTCCCTCACACTCACCTTTGGCTTGGCTCTTAACTCCTGCCCACCCCTCCCTAAACCCTCTGTGGAGGTCCGGAACTGAGCGAGTCACAGACACCCAGCAAGCAGTCTCCAGAGAGGCCTCTGTGCATGAAGACTTCCCCAGAAGGATGCCCACTCTTCCTACCTGGCCTGGGAACTCAAAATGGGCACAAAAACTGAAGACTGTGAGAGAGGGTCAGCTTACAGGCCAGAAACTGACAATAAGATTGATGTTCAAATAGCTGAATTATTGATTCTTATCCTGAGATCCACTCCTCATTTTCAGTCTTGCGATAAACCTTAGTGAGGGGTGTTTTGTCTTGTGTTCTATCTATTGGTGGATGGATTCCAACTTTTCTGAATATGGGGACGTAATTTTTAAAGCCAAAAATTTTGCAGATAGTAATGGATTTTTAACATCCATTGATTAACAAAGTACTATGAAAACAGTAACACTTTTAAATAAATTTGCTTTCAGTTTTTTTAACTAAACATAATACATGCATGTATATATTTAAACTTATCACACTGCCTGGCACAGTGAAAGCACTCAAAAAATATTAGCTATAATTACTCCTATTGCTGTTGTTTACTCAATCATAGGTAATGCCTGGTATACATGTGGATTCTTAGAGTCCTTATAGAACACAGCAGCACATAAACTATACTAGGCTCTAAATCTTCTCTCCCAAGAACTTCATCTGATGCATATTTCACCAGCAACAGCAGCATTTAGCACTGTCTTGCTGTAGAAAAATTCTTGATAAATTAATTGAATTAAATTTATGTCACATAAAATGTCATGAAGAGATGGAAGTGTCTTGGTCCTGTATCTTAGCATTTTCAAACCTCTCCATTGTTTTTTTTTTAATGTATAGATTTCACCTGTGTAAAAATTAAAAATAAGAAAACTGATCCTAATGCTCTTCATGAAAGGCAAGAAAAGCCTTCTTGGAAAGCAATAGTTATGGGAGAGTTCTGCCAGAATTTGTTCTCAGAATGACATGAGAACAATTTTATTCTAGGAAATAGAGGTGCTGAGGACTCAGCTTCTGACCTACCCTAGATCATAAACATCACTGCACTAACAGCCAATTAAGAATAATCTAAGCTCTTGTCCTTTTATAACAGACCTGGTTATGTCCTAAAAAATAAGAGCATTTATAAATAAAGAAGAAAGTTTAACAGTTCAATAGATCAACGTGACTTTCCAGCTCCTCTCTGAACAGGTGACATCTATTTCCCCATCCCTTGAATCTCAGTTGGCCTTGTAACTTATGTGGATCAATAGAATGTGGCCGAAGTGACAGCTGTGCAAGTTCTGAGCCCTCACCTCAAGAGCCTTTGCACTCTGTCACCTGCTCTCTCAGACCTCGGCTTTTTTCCACGTGAATAAACCGAGGCTAACCTTCTGGAAGAAAAGAGACCATATGAAACAGAACCACATCAGCCTGAGGCCCTGGACATGTGCGAAAACTGAAGATCAGCAAAGCTGACCTGAAATTGAGTCACAGTTGACCTCAGATGCATGAGAATCTAACCAAGGCTGAAAACATTTGGTTGAATCCCACCTCAATTTCTGACCCAGAGATAGCAACTAATGTACAATATCATGATTGTTATGCAGTCATTAGAAAGAATATATTAGATAAATGTGTATTGGCCTGGAAAAGGTATCATCTAAGTATGCTTAATGATTATCCATCTTAAAAAAAAAATACAGAAATAGGGTTGTAGAACAAGGGTCCTGGTCATACTGAGCTTACACTTCTGTTGATGAAATAAAACACATATGAGATGATGAGGAAATAATTCAACCAACAAGAAAATACTTTACAACCAAGAGACTTATTAAATAAAATGGGTGCACCTTTTATAATACCAATAAGTATAATAGTACCCTAACACAGTAGACACATTTCTGTTGTCTGTAGTTATCTTTCAGAAAGCCGTCTTGGGAGAACCTTTAAATGACCTCAGAGAGCGAAGGTTTATGTAAATAAAGAATTAAGTCAGTGTGGGTAGAGGTTCAGCACCAGGGTGCAGGAAGTTATGTGAAGATTGTGGTATGGGGCTCATGTCTAGAAACAGAGAGTGGCCCCATGTCAGCCTATGAGGGAGGAGCCAGGCCCCACCTCAAGGGTCTCCTTCAGGAAGATCTCTGTGGGAAAGGAGCAGGGGTTCCAGGTTTTCAGCAAAGCCTGTGCTTGGGCAATCCATCAACACGGTTAGTCCAGGGCCCACATATAACCTCTGACCCTTCTCACATTTATTTTCTCTGTCTGGTACTTCCTCTAAGGAGCATCCTGCCACTCACCAGCCCCTACCAAACACACACACACACACACACACACACACACACACACACTCATACTCTATTTGCTCATAATCTCATAATCATCCATCAGGTTTTAACTGAGATAGTACTTCTTCTGGGAACTTTCTCTGGTGAGAGATCCTCTTATGTGGCTCTTGACCTACCAAACCAGAAGCAGTTGTGCAATTAGTGATCATTATTCTCTTATTTATTATAGTATCTCCAGCACTTAGCACAATATCTGCAGACAGTGGGCACGCACTGAAAAAAAAATACTTTTTGAATCAATGAATTAAATAGCTAGTTTTCATTCACCCTAAGAAAATACCAAACATTGGTCTTAAGAATGTCACAGGCCTGAAGGTATAAAGGAGGAAGCAAGGAAACAAAATCAACAGACAGAGCCTTGGCAAAATCTGCTGTTCACCAGTCCTCCCAGCAAATCCATTTCCCATTCTGGGGAAGCAATGCCAAACAGCTCCAGGAACTCTGTACATGGTCTGTCAAGTATCCAAGACAGAAGGGAGACTTTTCAAGAGTGGAAGCCCAGCCTGCTTGCTCCAGTCTGGACTGTGCTGGTCTCTATTTTCCTAGTCAGGGATGGCCCCAACCTGGGACTGTGTCTCCTCTCAGGCTCTGAGGCCTTGGGAATGGAGGAATGTCGTATCTGCCAGTGGTTTAGGTCTGTATTGTGAAGAATTAACTTTCCCAAACAGAGATCTGGCCTTCACCCTCAGCTGCTGGGTGGTGATTCCTAGGCTCCTGGATTGTCCTGCCAGATAGGAGTATCTTTGTTTGCCTGAGGGCTTTGGCCACCAGTCAGTCTAATAACGTGATATATGATGGGGCTTTGGAACATGCCATGTGAATTCTGACCTCTGGAGGAACCAGAGATCATTAGCTAGAACCTCCAGGAGGGGCTGGAGGTTAAAGGTCAGCCACGTGGGCAGCGTGTGATAAAGCTCCAGGAAAAACTCTGGACACCAAAGGCTCAGTTGAGCTCCTATCTTCTGCAACACTCCATGAGTTCTGTCACACAACATGGCTGGGAGGAGGTAACACACCCAGGTCTCCCTGGGAGAGGACAACCAGAAGCTTCATGTTTAGAACCCTCCCAGATTTCACCCAATGCTTCTCTCCCTTTGGTTGGTTCTGATTTGTACCCTTTTGCTCTAATAAACTATGATCATGATCACTTTCCTGAGTTTTGTGTGTTGTTTCATGGAACTATCAAGCCTGAGGGAGCATGGGAACTCCCAGATTTGTAGCCAGCTAGCCAGGAGTAAAGGCAGCCTGGGGACCCGGAACTTGTGGCTGATGTTTGCATTGAGGGCAGTCCTGTGGAGGACTGTGCCCTTAACCTGTGAAGCATGGCCACCTCCCGGCAGTTGCTGTGAGAACTCATTGCAGGGCCACTCAGGGAAGTGTGGGAAATTGAACCAATGATGCCTGACACCACGGCTTCCTGACTATCCTCTAGGAAGTCTATCAGGAGATGCCCCTGTTCACTTCCCTGTAGGTTCCAGCGAGGCTCAGAGGGTCATCAGTTCTACCAACAATATCTGCGCAGAAGAGAGTAGCTGTGATTTTATTTTAGTCTGAAAGAACACTGTTTGTTGTTGATTAACACCTAAATATTACAAACAGTCTCTCAGTGTGAGAAGATTTATCTTATTCTCCTGTGTAATTAGAATGATTATTCAACAAATGGATGTTATCTAGCGAACTTCCAGAAAGAAGCCAAATTTATCAACCTCACCAACTCACACATACAGCCAGGGATCTATATTCTTGTGCTCTCAGAGAAGGCATGGAGCTTGGACTGACAGCAAAAGACCAACAAAACACCCAGAAGCCAGTCAAAAATGGCCCAGGCTGCAGGATCCTTGAAAGACCTGAAAACACACGAGGAAAAGGCTGGGAAATAGTAATGGTGAGTGGACCTCTGCGGTCTGGAGAGGAAACTACTGGTTATTTTAGGAAAAACATTCCCATAATGGGGCTCAGGGAAAAAAGAAAGTAATGGTATCCAGGCCTTATTCTCAGAAGCATTCTCCTCCCTGAATCCAGTATCTGAGGTAACTGAGCAGCAGATAAAAATAGCATTTTCTCGAAACAAAGCAAAACATTAAAAAAAAAATAGCCTACTGTCTAAGCTTTGTCTCCCAGTGGAACTCAGGAACCAAGCCAGCTTCTCCAGCTGTGCACCTTGGCTGTGTGTCTCAGATGGAACATTTCTGACTTCATTCCCTCCTCCTCCCACGTCACTCGGTAAGGAGGGTGGGCCAGGACAAGCAGCTCAGACAGCTGTTCCTACAGCTGGCCTTACCACAATCCCCCAGGCCTCACATACATGCACCTCTGGGCCCTGCCTGCCTGCACTAAACCATCCGGCCCAGTGCAACAGACCATTCTTTCAAGCTGTCTCTCTCCTACTCACAACCATCCCAGGAGTCCTCTTAAAACTATTTTTTCGGAGAACACATTGTGCTTTGCCACACTGTTCCATTTATCTCTTGGTGGCCATTCCATTTGCCTCAGCAACTCTCTATCCCATTTTTTAGTACTACCCCTGAACGAGAAGGCAATCTTGTTCATCTTGCCAACTCTAAATCCTTATCGCAATCGTGTTGCTTTAGATTGCATTCATGTGTGAATAGGTGTGGATAGGTGTTTGGCACTGTGTTAGATGCCAAAGATACAGTGCTAAGGAAAAAACATACCTGACAACAGATTTTATTATATTCCAACGGGAAAGATAGGATAAACAGATACATAAACAATGTATATGCAGATTAGGATGAGTATCATGAAAGCAATAAATAAGAGGCTGACGGGTTCAATTTAAGTGGGGTGGCCAGAAAATGCTTTTCCTTCTTCTGAGAGAAGTGAGCGAGGGGCACAGAGAAGTCCGAATTGTTACACTAATGAATATTTCTGAGCTTGAAAACACAAAACAAGGGGAGATGAGGTTCCACTCAACAGAGGTATATACACATCAATTACATGACCCAGAAAACCTGATTCAGACACACCTTGCTGACACTACTCCATAGGGAAGGTCATTTTCACTTGTCCACATCTACCACACCTCCATTTTCACTCTCCCTGAGATAAGAGGATGTGCATTTACACTGTGTCTGCCTAGCGAAATTGTACCCCCCGCTGAATAAAGCACAGTTAGTTGAGATTCACGAACACCAAGCCTCTCTTTATAATGACTTTAGAGAGCTGTGCTAACTGACCAGCACTCTGGATACTTATGAGCAGATGTCTGGTAGCAATGGAACCTCTCATGACCACCCAGGCTCTAAATGACTGTTCAGCTCAGCAGCTCATTATCACCTTCCTGGAGTTAGAGCTCCAACATAAGAATAAATATCTCCATCTAGTATTATCACTTTTTAAATCAAAATCTATATTCAGCTTGAGAGTATAAATATCAAAATTTCAGGGCATTTTTTCTAACTTTTCTTGGGAGATTTTAGTAAAATTCCAGGGCAGATTGCTGAAAGTACAATCTGGGAACAGAAACTAATATAGTGTCACATCATATGAAGTTAACCTCTTTTTCTTATGCAATTCTATCAAACTTCAAGGAAATTCTTTGGAAATCTGGGCCCCACTACATTTAAAACAAAATAGGTCTATCATGAAATGCCTAATAAAGGTTGATCTTACAGTGTGATCGAGGTGCTATGCAGATCTGAGACAGGTGGATTATTCCAGAATGAGAAAGAAACACAGGATGAATAAGTCGCACTAATGGCAATAGCAACTTCTGGGAAACACCAATTTCTGGCAGCTGTTGCTTTCGTCAACACTTTCTCAGCAAAATTGCCACAGCCATTTCTGAGAGCTTAGAAGCACTGCTAGGAATCTCTAATAGGAGTCTGTTTAATGGGAATTCCTATTGACTACAGCCGCTTTTGCATATAGGAGATAATGTTGAGCTAAGGGAATCTTTCAATGATTCATTCAAAACATGTTTATCCACCATGTGATAAACATTATAGTCAGTGCCATAGTATAAACTTGAATAATGCATAATCCCTGCCCCCAGGGAACTCACATCCTTCTCGACATGCCTAGCACAAACACACAGAATTATAATAAAAGTTGTCAAGAAGAAGATATGGGTGGCGCATTATGCAAGCAGAGAAAAAGGGACTGCCTTATTCATTTAGAAGCTACTGGCCCTCTCTAGAGATTGTTGGTCTTCCAGTACATCTAAATATTCTTCAATCGTAAAATGCCATGAAGCTAGAAGTACAAAATGCTGTATTATCAGTTAAGCCCCCTATTTTTTTCTTTTTTTTTTTTTTTTTTGAGACAGAGTCTCATTCTGTCACCCAGGCTGGAGTGCAGTGGCACGATCTCACCTCACTGCAACCTCCACCTCCCAGGTTCAAGCAGTTCTCCTGTCTTAGCCTCCCGAGTAGCTAGGTTTACAGGTGCATGCCACCATACCCAGCTAATTTTTGTATGATTAGTAGAGACTGGGTTTCACCATGTTGGCCAGGCTGGTCTTGAGGTCTTGAACTCCTGACCTCAGGTGATCCGCCCACCTTGGCCTCCCAAAGTGCTGGGATTATGGGATTACAGGTGTGAGCCACCATGCCCAGCCAGTTAAGCCTCTTAAAGAATGTCTTGAATTATAACAAACACATGATGCCTATCTTCCCCCATATCTTTATACTGACAAAATTAGGTTCAAAATCAAGGCATGGTCACCAGAAATCAGGTCAGAGGGATCAAGAAAACATGGACAGTGAAGTGATTTCACTTCCATACAGGTGATAAATATTTCCTAAAATACAGGTAGATGTGTGGCACAAAACCTCCAGACTCTGAGCATCAAAGTCCCTCCTAATACCAGAAAGGAAGGACCCAGCATTTGTCATCTCAGTCTCAGACAAATACATACTCAGAGGGCCTCAGGAACATATGTAAACTAAAAAAAAAAACATGAGAAATTGAGCAGGAGCCTGAGTTTGGGCTTCCTTGGGTGGGTACTGTATTAATTTCCCATAACAAAATACTATGGAATAGTACACAGATGTTTCTTTCCTCACATTTTTGGAGGCAGGAAGTCCATGATTGAGGTGTCAGCAGGCTTGGATTCTCCTGAGGCTTCTCTCCTTGGCTTGTGAATGGTCATCTTCTCTCTCTCTCTCTTCACTTGGTCTTTTCTCTGTGCACAGGCATCCTTTGTATTTCTCCCTCTTCTTATAAGGACATAAATCCTACTGGATTAGGACCTTACCCTTATGACCTCATTTAACCTCAGTTACCACTTTAAAAGCCATATCTTCAAATACAGTCACATTGGGGGCTAGGGCTTCAGCATATGAATTTTAGGAGGACAGAATTCAATCCATAATAGATGGGGACAGGGCAATTCTCTTCCTAGGTAAGCCTTCCCTTAGGGCCATTTACGGGGAGATAAACAAACCCCAATTTCTACTGAGCAAAAGCTCAGAGACCCTGAAGTAACTGCAGTTAGTAAATGAGAAAGACAGAATATTTTCAATATCTTCAAGTCTAATACCTAGAAGTGATAGAGGTTTATTCACATTTTCTCCCAGTCATTTTCTTATTCTGTGTTTATACAGCATTTCTGTTAATGACACCATTATTTTCAGAAATCAAAATGAAATCTTAATGTTATCATTGACTCTCCCCCCTTCCTTGCCTTCACTTCAATCATAATTTTCCATGTCTATGTAAGTATTCTTTTGGCTATTTACATATTCATCAGAAACCTATTTCAGCTCTTATTAATTTTCATGAAGATCACTAATGGAAGCCACCTATTGTTCATGCTTCTAGTTCAGGTGCTCCTAATATGGGAACTGTATAGTTTCAGTTGATCTATAACCTTTCACCCCCCAGGTTTTGTGGTTGTTTTTATATACACTTTCACACATATAAGTGGTAATGTGTTCATTGCTATTATCAGTTGTTCAAAGTGGGTCCCTCACCCACGAACAGGTTAAAAGCCAGAGCTCTCCTCTCTCCTACTACACTTGCTCCTTGTAAAAAAAATTTAATCTTTGTGATTAACACAATTGTTTATATTCTTCCCCCTACTCAAATACTCCCAGTTACAAACATTTTAACTTGTAGTTTAAAATCGTTCCTGGTCAGCAATCCCTTCTGTAGACTCTTCCAAAAATTACCATGGTTCTTATAATCAATCTCACACCCAAAAGAGGAGATTTTAGAAAGGCATAGACACCAGAAGGCAGGGATATATCTGTCTACCACAGTCCACCGTCTGGCCACCAATGACTCACATTACCCTCACTTGCAAAAATACATTCACATACATCCCCAAAGGTCTCAAGAATCTTATCTCACAGAGCTTCAGCTCAAAGTCAAACTTTTATGCTTTAAATCATGGCTAAGTTCAAACACAGCTCCTGGGCATAATATATGAAGTACAGCTCCTGGGGTATAACTTCTCTCCTTCTGTCAACCTGTAAAACTAAAGAGGCAAGTGATCTGCCCCCAGTACACCCGTCATACAATTTTGAAACAGGCATAACTGGTAGGCATGGGATAACAGCTATAGACATATTGGTTCAAAGGGAGGAGGGGAAAAAGATAACAAAGAGTCGTTGGTCCATAGCAGTTCTAAAATCTAGCTGGGCAAATGTTGGGAGTTCAATGATTAGGTTTTAGAGCCTAAGATTAATCTCGGCTATTGGGGAAACCAGCCCCCAGTATTTCAACGTAGGTTCTTTTCTATTTTCCCTAAGTGTCGGCCAGTCTGAGAAATAAAGAGAAAGAGAACAAAAAAAAGAAATTTTACAGCTGGGTCTCCGGGGTTGACATCACATGTTGGCAGGTTCCATGATGCCCCCTGAGCCTCAAAACCAGCACGTTTTTATTATGGATTTCAAAAGGAGGGGGGGGTGTATGAATAGGGTGTGTGTCACAGAGATCACATATGATCACATGCTTCAAGGGCAATAAAATAGCACAAGGCAAATGGGCAGGACAAGGTCACAAGGCCAGGGCAAAATTAGAATTACAGATGAGGTTCCCTGTCCCACTGTGCACGTATTGTCATTGATAAACATCTTAACAGGAAACGGGGTTCAAGAGCAGAGAACAGGTCTGACTAGAATTTCATCAGGCTGGAATTTCCCAATCCTAACAAGCCTAGGGGCGCTGCAGGAGACCAGGGCTTATTTCATACCTTATCTACAACTGCATAAGACAGACACTCCCAGAGCAGCCATTTTAGAGGCCTCCCCCTGGGAGTGCATTCTTTTCCCAGGGCTGTTCCTTGCTGAGAAAAAGAATTCAGTGATATTTCTCTTATTTGCTTTTGCAAGAAGAGAAATATGACTCTGTTCCACCTGGCCCCGCAGGCAGTCAGACTTTATGGTTATCTTCCTTGTTTCCTGAAAATCACTGTTATCCTGTTCCTTTTCTAGGTGCCCAGATTTCATATTTTTCAAACACACATGCTCTACAAACAAGCTGGGCAGATAACACAATCATTACAGGATCCTGAGGCGACATACATCCTCAGTTTATGAAGATGATGGGATTAAGAGATTAAAGTAAAGACAGGCATAGGAAATTGTAAGAGTATTGATTGGGGAAGTGAAAAATGTCCTTGAAATTGTCACCATTTATGTTCTTCTGCCATGGCTTCAGCCGGTCCCTCCGTCTGGGGTCCCTGACTTCCCACAACACTTGGCTCTACCCTCTTGCCTCTTAGCACCACCCTCTATCATCCTTCTTCTTTAATGTTTGCAGTTGAGTAGTTTTATCAGCCTGCTTCCTGCCAGTAGAAATGTTGGGGTCTGACAGCCTCCTTTCATTTCATTTTGTAGTCTTTCTATCCCTTTCAGTCCAAGCCAGTAGTGTTTCTGCTGAAATAATTTTCTCAAGATCTTTGTGCATCTACCATAGATTTCAATGATGTTCTGACCATCAGAAAAAAACACACCCACAGATCTTTTCCAGACAGCATATATTTTTGGCTCCTGCTCGGATGGCTGAGGGGCTACAGTTTGATTGAGTGGATCTAAAAGGCACATTCTTAATCTCCTTAAGGAGTCCTTTGTGCCATTGAATATTCTCACCTTTTAGTCTTTGAGGTTTTTTTAACTTTTATTTTGAGTTCAGGAGTACATGTGTAGGTTTGTTATAAAGGTAAACTTGTGTCATGGGGTTTGTTGTTCAGATTTTTTCATCACCCAGGTATTAAGCCTGGGTGTACACATTAGTTATTTTTCACGATCCTCTCCCTCCTCTCACCCTCCACCCTCAAGTAGGCTCCAGTGTCTGTTGTTCCCCTCTATGTCCATGTGTTCTGTGTTATCATTTCGCTCCCACATATAAGTGAGAAAATGCTGTATTTGGTTTTCTCTTTCTGTGTTAATTTGCTAAGGATAATGACCTCCAGCTTCATCAATGTCCCTGCAAAGGGCATGATCTCATTATTTTTTATGGCTGTATAGTATTTCATGGTTTATATCTATCACATTTTCTTTATCCAATCTGCCATTCCTGGCCATTTAGGTTGATTCCATGTCTTTGCTATTGTGAATAGTGCTGCAATGAACATATGCATACATGTGTCTTTATGATAGAACGATTATTATTCCTTTGGGTATATACCCAGTAATGGGATTGCTAAGTCAAATGGTAGTTCTGTTTTTAGGTCTTTGAGGAACAGCCATGCTGTTGCTCCTAATGGTTGAACTAACTTACACTCCCACCAACAGTGTAAGTGTTCCTTTTTCTCCACAACCTCACCAGCACATTATTTTTTGACTTTTTAACAATAGCCATTCTGACTGGTGTGAGATGGTAGCTCATTGTGGTTTTTATTTGCATTTCTCTAATAATCAGGAATGTTGAGCTTTTTTTCATATGCTTGGTGGCTGTATGTGTGTCTTCTTTTGAAAAGTGTCTGTTCGTGTCCTTTGCCCACTTTTTAATGGATTTTTTTCTTGTAAATTTGTTTAAGTTCCTTATAGATGCTGCATATTAGACCTTTGTCAGATGCATAGTTTGCAAATATTTTCTCCCATTCTGTAAGTTGTCTTTTTAGTCTGCTGATAGTTTCTTTTGCTGTGCAGAAGTTCTTTAGTTTAATTAGATCCCATTTGTCAAATTTTGCTTTTGTTGCAATTGCTTTTGATGTCTTTGCCATAAAATCTTTGCCTATTCCTATGTACAGAGTGGTATTGCCTAGGTTGTCTTCCAGGGTTTTTTTTATAATTTTGGGTCTTTAATCCAGCTTGAGTTGATTTTTTTTGTACATGATGTAAGGAAGGAGTCCAGTTTCAATCATCTGTATATGGCTAGCCAGTTATCCCAGCACCATTTATTGAATAGAGAGTCTTCCCCATTGCTTGTTTTTGCCAGCTTTGTTGAAGATCAGGTAGTTGTAGCCTTATTTCTGGGCTCTCTATTCTGTTTCATTGGTCTATGTGTCTGTTTCTGTACCAGTACCACGCTGTTTTTGTTAGTGTAGCCCTGCAGTATACTTTGAAGTCAGGTAGCATGATGCCTCCAGCTTTGTTCTTTTTGCTTAGGATTGCCTTGGCTATTTGGGCTCTTTTTTTTTTCCATATCAGTTTTAAAATAGTTTTTCTCTAATTCTGTGAAGAGTGTCATTGGTAGTTTGATAGGAATAGCATTGAATCTATAAATTGCTTTGGGCCGTATGGCCATTTTAACAATATTGATTCTTCCTGTCCCTGAGCACGGGATATTTTTCCATTTGTCTGTGTCATCTCTCGTTTCTTTGAGCAGTGTTTTGCAGTTCTGCTTGGAGAGATCTTTCACCTCCCTGGTTAGTTGCATTCCTAGGTATTTTATTCTTTTTGTGGCCATTGTGAATGGGATTGGGTTCCTGATTTGGCTCTCAGCTTGACTGTTATTGCTGTATAGAAATGGCAGTGATTTTTTTATGTTGATTTTGTATCCTGAGATTTTGCTGAAGTTGTTTATCAGTTGAAGGAGCTTTGGGGCCAAGTCTATGGGTTTTTCTAGATATAGAATCATGTCGTCTGCAAAGAAGGATAATTTGACTTTCTCTCTTCCTATTTGGATGCAATTTAATACTTTCTCTTGCTTGATTGCTCTAGCAATCTCTTTGGCCTGAAAGCCCCCTGAGGACAAATACATCAGTCAACTGTTTCTTTGTTTGTTGTTTGTTGTTTCTTTTAAATTATTCTCATTACTTAGCACAGATCATGTACACCATGAGTGTTTAATAATATCAATAGAATATTTGGGAGCAGGAGGTTATTTTGCTTAGTTTTATGCTTTCACTGTTGTTGTAGAACAGCTGGGCTAGAAGACATTATTAAACATAAATACAACTGGTAAAATATCCCAGCAGAAGAAATGCTTTAAAAATATCTCCAATCACTGCAGGAGTGCAGAGAGGCAACAACTCCTCCAGCTTTTGCACATCGAATAATTGGTTTAGTTCACTCCTTCCACATCACTTGGAGCAGCGGGGAGGGTGGGGAAAGCTTAATGACCAGGAAAGCCTTTCATAAAGTCATCATCAATGTTCTTTATAACCTAATGTCACTTCAATAGTCCATGGTTTTCAAATAAATGTCCTACCTGCCCACAGACTGAAATTTTAGCCAAATAAATCCATAAATTTAAACATATTGACAATCAAAATGGTAAAAAGAACTTTTATTTTTAACTTGTAAAAATGGTTTTAGAGGTCATCAGGAAGAATAAATGAGATACATAGCCAAAAAAAATTTAAATACTTGCCACATCAGATATTAGAATGTGTTCTAAAGCTACGCTAATTAAAATAATGAGGTACCAATACAGGAATAGGTAGGTAGAGCAATAGAAGCATTAAGTATAAACTTATAAGAGACTCAAGTTATAAGTTACAAGAATTTGACATATGTTAAAGTTAGCATCTCAAGCCAGAACAGCATGTCAATAAATTGTTGAAAGACACCTGGATAACCATCAGGAAAACAATTAAATTAGATCCCTACCTCAACAACTAAATTCCAAAGGAAAAAGACTCATAACATTTTTAATTAAAAAGCACTGGAAGAATATATAGATGACCTTTTACATAACTTTGAAAAAGGAGAATTATGTTATAAAAATCACAACAAAGGCAGAAATTATAAAAGATAAAATTGACAGATTTGACTAAATACATCTTTAAACATGTGAATATTAAAACGCTGTAAAAAATTAAAAGACAAATAAAGTAGAAATTATCTAAAATATATATCAAAGCAAAAACTGCATTTCTATATGCCACTGGTATATAAAAATACTTCCAAATCAGTAAATACAAATTGCACACAAATAGAAAATGATAGAAGAAGCTAACAGGCATTTCACAAAAGAAGATTATAAATGACTGATAAACACATTAAAATGTCTATTACTACATAATTAAAGTAATTCTGAAACCAATAAAGTACTTTTTTCTGCATAATTCTAGGGATTTATGCTTAGGAAAGAATTTGTAATAAAGATCCACACACAAAGATATCTATCAGAATGTAGTATATAACACCACAAATCATAAATGAGTCAGGTATGGTGGCTCATGCCTGTAATCCTAGAACTTTGGGAGGCCGAGGTGGGAGGACCACTTGCAGACAGGAGCGCAAGACCTGCCTGGGCAACATAATGAGATGCTGTCTCAAAAATTTTTTAAAAAGAAACAATTTAGGGGGGCGGTTCCAAGATGGCCAAATAGGAACAGCTCCAGTCTGCAGCTCCCAGCATGAGCGATGCAGAAGACAGGTGATTTCTGCATTTCCAACTGAGGTATCGGGTTCATCTCACTGGGGCTTGTAGGACACTGGGTGCAGGACAGTGGGTGCAGCCTATCGAGCATGAGCCAAAGAAGGGCGAGGCATTGCCTCACCCAGGAAGTGCAAGGGGTCAGGGAATTCCCGTTCCTAGCCAAGGGAAGATGTGACAGATGGCACCTGGAAAATTGGGTCACTCCCACCCTAATACTGCACTTCTCCAATGGTCTCAGCAAATGGCACCCCAGGAGATTACATCCCGCACCTGGCTCAGAGGGTCCCACGCCCACGGAGCCTTGCTCATTGCTAGCACAGCAGTCTGAGATCAAACTGCAAGGCTGCAGTGAGGCTGGGGGAGGGGTGCCTGCCATTGCTGAGGCTTGAGTAGGTAAACAAAGCAGCCAGGAAGCTTGATCTGGGTGGAGCCCACCCCAGCTCAAGGAGGCCTGCCTGCCTCTGTAGACTCCACCTTGGGGGGCAGGGCATAGCAAAACAAAAGGCAGCAGAAACCTCTGCAGACTTAAATGTCCCTGTCTGACAGCTTTGAAGAGGATAGTGGTTCTCCCAGCAAGGAGTTTCAGATCCGAGAATGGACAGACTGCCTCCTCAAGTGGGTCCCTGACCCCCGAGTAGCCTAACTGGGAGGCATCCACCAGTAGGGGCAGACTGACACCTCACATGGCCGGGTACCCCTCTGAGATGAAGCTTCCAGAGGAACAAGCAGCAGCAACATTTGCTGTTCAGCAATATTCACTGTTCTGCAGCCTCCGCTGCAGATACCCAGGAAAACAGAGTATGGAATGGACCTCCAGCAAAGTCCAACAGACCTGCAGCTGAGGATCCTCACGTTAGAAGGAAAACTAACAAACAGAAAGGACGTCCACACCAAAACCCCATCTGTACATCACCATCATCAAAGACCAAAGGTAGATAAAACCACAAAGATGGGGAAAAAACAGAGTAGAAAAGCTGAAAATTCTAAAAATTGGAGGGCCTCTCCCCCTCCAAAGGAATGCAGCTCCTTGCCAGCAACAGAGCAAAGCTGGATGGAGAATGACTTTGACGAGTTGAGAGAAGAAGGTTTCAGATGATCAAACTTCTCTGAGCTAAAGGAGGAAGTGTGAACCCATTGTAAAGAAGCTAAAAACCTTGAAAAAAGATTAGATGAATGGCTAACTAGAATAACCAGTGTAGAGAAGTCCTTAAATGACCTGATGGAACTGAAAACCATAGCACGAGAACTACGTGACAAATGCACTAGCTTCAGTAGCCAATTTGATCAAGTGGAAGAAAGGGTATCAGTGATTGAAGATCATGAAGTGAAGCAAGAAGAGAAGTTTAGAGAAAAAAGAGTAAAAAGAAATGAACAAAGCCTCCAAGAAATATGGGACTATGTGAAAAGACAAAATCTACGTCTGATTGGTGTACGTGAAAGTGACAGGGAGAATGGAACCAAGTTGGAAAACACTCTGCAGGATACTATCCAGGAGAACTTCCCCAACCTAGCAAGGCAGGCCAACATTCAAATTCAGGAAATACAGAGAATGCCACAGAGATACTCCTCAAGAAGAGCAACTCCAAGACACATAATTGTCAGATTCACCAAATTGAAATGAAGGAAAAAATATTAAGGGCAGCCAGAGAGAAACGTCAGGTTACCCACAAAGGGAAGCCCATCAGACTAACAGCAGATCTCTCAGCAGCAACTCTACAAGCCAGAAGAGAGTGGGGGCCAATATTCAACATTCTTAAAGAAAGGAATTTTCAACCCAGAATTTCATATCCAGACAAACCAAGCTTCACAAGTGAAGGAGAAATAAAATCCTTTACAGACAAGCAAATGCTGAGAGATTTTGTCACCACTAGTCCTGCCCTACAAGAGCTCCTGAAGGAAGCACTAAACATGGAAAGGAACAACCAGTACCAGCCACTACAAAAACATGCCAAATCGTAAAGACCATAGATGCTAGGAAGAAACTGCATCAACTAATGAGCAAAATAACCAGCTAAGAACATAATGACAGGATCAAATTCACACAATATTAACCTTAAATGTAAATGGACTAAATGCTCAAATTAAAAGACACAGACTGTATTCAGGAGACCCATGTCACGTGCAGAGACACACATAGGCTCAAAATAAAGGAATGGAGGAAGATCTACCAAGCAAATGGAAAACAAAAAAAGGCAGGGGTTGCAATCCTAGTCTCTGATAAAACAGACTTTAAACCAACAAAGATCAAAAGAGACAAAGAAGGCCATTACATAATGGTAAAGGGATCAATTCAACAAGAAGAGCTAACTATCCTAAATATATATGCACCCAATACAGGAGCAGCCAGATTCATAAAGCAAGTCCTTAGAGACCTACAAAGAGACTTGGATTCCCACCCAATAATAATGGGAGACTTTAACACCCCACTGTCAACATTAGACTGATCAATGAGACAGAAAGTTAACAAGGATATCCAGGAATTGAACTCAGCTCTGCACCAAGTGGACCTAATAGACATCTACAGAACTCTCCACCCCAAATCAACAGAATATACATTCTTCTCAGCAACACATTGCACTTATTCCAAAATTGACCACATAGTTGGAAGTAAAGCACTCCTCAGCAAATGTAAAAGAACAGAAATTATAGCAAACTGTCTCTTAGACCACAGTGCAATCAAACTAGAACTCAGGATTAAGAAACTCACTCAAAACCGCTCAACTACATGGAAACTGAACAACCTGCTCCTGAATGACTACTGGGTACATAACGAAATGAAGGCAGAAATAAAGATGTTCTTTGAAACCAACGAGAACAAAGACACAACATGCCAGAATCTTTGGGACACACTTAAAGCAGTGTAAAGCAGTGTGTAGAGGGAAATTTATAGCAATAAATGTCCACAAGAAAAAGCAGAAAGATCTAAAATTGACACCCTAACATCACAATTGAAATAACTAGAGAAGCAAGAGCAAACACATTCAAAAGCTAGCAGAAGGCAAGAAATAACTAAGATCAGAGCAAAACTGAAGGAGATAGAGACACAAAAAACCCTTCAAAAAATCAATGAATCCAGGAGCTGGTTTTTTGAAAAGATCAACAAAATTGATAGACTGCTAGCAAGACTAATAAAGAAAAAAAGAGAGAAGAATCAAATAGATGCAATAAAAAATGATAAAGAGGATACCACCACCAATCCCACAGAAATACAAACTACCGTCAGAGAATACTATAAACACCTCTACACAAATAAACTAGAAAATCTAGAAGAAATTGATAAATTCCTTGACACATACACCCTCCCAAGACTAAACCAGGAAGAAGTTGAATCCCTGAATAGACCAATAACAGGCTCTGAAATTGAGGCAATAATTAATAGCCTACCAACCAAAAAAAGTCCAGGACCAGATGGATTCACAGCCAAATTCTACCAGAGGCACAAGGAGGAACTGGTACCATTCCTTCTGAAACTATTCCAATAAATAGAAAAAGAAGGAATCCTCCCTAACTCATTTTATGAGGCCAGCGTCATCCTGATACCAAAGCCTGACAGAGACACAACAAAAAAAGAGAATTTTAGACCAATATCCCTGATGAACATCGATGCAAAAATCCTCAATAAAATACTGGCAAACCGAATCCAGCAGCACATCAAAAGCTTATCCACCATGATCAAGTGGGCTTCATCCCTGGGATGCAAGGCTGGTTCAACATACACAAATCAATAAATGTAATCCAGCATATAAACAGAACCAAAGACAAAAACCACATGATTTTTGTCTCAATAGATGCAGAAAAGGCCCTTGACAAAATTCAACAGCGCTTCATGCTAAAAACTCTCAGTAAATTAGGTATTGATGGGACATATCTCAAAATAATAAGAGCTATTTATGACAAACCCACAGCCAGTATCATACTGAATGGGCAAAAACTGGAAGCATTCCCTTTGAACACTGGCACAAGACAGGGATGCCCTCTCTCACCACTCCTATTCAACACAGTGTTGGAAGTTCTGGCCAGGGCAATCAGGCAGGAGAAAGAAATAAAGCGTATTCAATTAGAACAAGAGGAAGTCAAATTGTCCCTGTTTGCAGACGACATGATTGTATATCTAGAAAACCCCATTGTCTCAGCCCAAAATCTCCTTAAGCTCATAAGCAACTTCAGCAAAGTCTCAGGATACAAAATCAATGTGCAAAAATCACAAACATTCTTATACACCAATAACAGACAAACAGAGAGCCAAATCATGAGTGGACTCCCATTCACAATTGCTTCAAAGAGAATAAAATACCTAGGAATCCAACTTACAAGGGATGTGAAGGACCTCTGCAAGGACAACTACAAACCACTGCTCAATGAAATAAAAGAGGACACAAACAAATGGAAGAACATTCCGTGCTCATGGATAGGAAGAATCAATATTGTGAAAATGGCCATACTGCCCAAGGTAATTTATAGATATAATGCCATTCACATCAAGCTACCAATGACTTTCTTCACAGAATTGGAAAAAACTACTTTAAAGTTCATATGGAACCAAAAAAGAGCCCACATTGCCAAGACAATCCTAAGCCAAAAGAACAAAGCTGGAGGCATCACGCTACCTGACTTGAAACTATACTACAAGGCTACAGTAACCAAAACAGCATGGTACTGGTACTAAAACAGAGATATAGACCAATAACAGAACAGAGCCCTCAGAAATAATACCACATATCTACAACCATCTGATCTTTGACAAACCTGACAAAAACAAGAAATGGGGAAAGGATTCCCTATTTAATAAATGGTGCTGGGAAAACTGGCTAGCCATATGTAGAAAGCTGAAACTGGATCCCTTCCTTACACCTTATACAAAAATTAATTCAAGATGGATTAAAGACTTAAATATTAGATCTAAAACTATAAAAACCCTAGAAGAAAACCTAGGCAATACCATTCAGGGCATAGGCATGGGCAAGGACTTCATGTCTAAAATGCCAAAAGCAATGGCAACAAAAGGCAAAATTGACAAATGGGATCTAATTAAACTAAAGAGCTTCTGCACAGCAAAAGAAACTACCATCAGAGTGAACAGGCAACCTACAGAATGGGAGAAAATTTTTGCAATCTACTCATCTGACAAGGTCTAATATCCAGAATCTACAATGAACTCAAACAAATTTACAAGAAAAAAGAAAAAACAACCCCATCAAAAAGTGGGCAAAGGATATGAACAGACATTTCTCAAAAGAAGACATTTATGCAGCCAATAGACACATGAAAGAATGCTCATCATCACTGGCCATCTGAGAAATGCAAATCAAAACCACAATGAGATACCATCTCACACCAATTAGAATGGCGATCATTAAAAAGTCAGGAAAAAACAGGTGCTGGAGAGGATGTGCACTGTTGGCGGGACTGTAAACTGATTCAACCATTGGGGAAGACAGTGTGGCGATTCCTCAAGGATCTAGAACTAGAAATACCATTTGACTCAGTCATCCCATTACTGGGTATATACCCAAAGCATTATAAATCATGATGCTATAAAGACACATGCACATGTATGTTTATTGTGGCACTATTCACAATAGCAAAGGTTTGGAACCAACCCAAATGTCCATCAATGATAGACTGGATTAAGAAAATGTGGCACATATACACCATGGAATACTATGCAGCCATAAAAAACGATGAGTTCGTGTGCTTTTTAGGGACATGGATGAAGCTGGAAACCATCATTCTCAGCAAACTATCGCAGGGACAAAAAACCAAAGACCGCATGTTCTCACTCATAGGTGGGAATTGAACAATGAGAACACTTGGACACAGGAAGGGGAAGGGGAACATCACACACTGTGGCCTGTTGTGGGGTGGGGGGAGGGGAGAGGGATAGCATTAGGAGATATACCTAATGTAAATGATGAGTTAATGGGTGCAGCACACCAACATGGCACATGTATTCATATGTAACAAACCTGCACATTGTGCACATGTACCCTAGAACTTAAAGTATAAAAAAAAATGAAGGAAGGAAAACAAAAAACGCAAATAAATAAATAAATAAATAAACAGTTTAGGCCGGGCACAGTTGCTCACACCTGTAATCCCAGCACTCTGGGAGGCCGAGGTGGCCAGATCTCCTGAGGTCAAGAGTTGGAGACCAGCCTGGACAACATGGCGAAACGCTGTCTCTACTAAAAAATACAAAAATTAGCTGGGCATGGTGTCATGTGCCTGTAATCCCAGCTATTCAGGAGGCTGAGGCTGGAGAATCACTTGAACTCTGGAGGTAGAGGTTGCAGTGAGCTGAGATCATGCCACTGCACTCCAGCTTGGGTGACAGAGCAGGAATCCATCTCAAAAAATAAAAATAGAAAAATAAAAATAAAATAAAAATTAAAAATAAACAGTTTAAACGTCCAACACTAGTGACTTGGTAAAATAAAATTTAGTACATCCACATAATGTAATGCTATTGTCAAATGAAGTTATTTATGGATATTTGTTGACATGAAGAAATGTTTGTGAATCATAATATATTAGTCAGTTGAAAGAAAGTTGCTGACATTATAAACTGATGTTTGGCTAAATTATAAGTACAGATGCACGCATATAGTACTATGGGTATATAACAGGGTTAGTATATATATATGTATATATGTGTATGTGTGTGTGTATATATATATATAGTGTGTGTGTATATGTATATATATAGTGTATATATATACACACATATATGTGTGTATATATAGTGTATATATATAGTGTATATATGTGTATATAGTGTATATATATACACACATATGTGTATATATATGTGTATATATATACACATATATGAGTGTGTGTGTGTGTGTGTGTGTGTGTATTTATATATATGCTTTCTTGCTCTGCCAGCTGAAAAGCAATAACACCCCAGTAGCAACAAGCATGGCTAGGTACCAGAACTCGCTTTGTAATCCCATTTTCCAAGAAAATAAATCAGAGCTCTCTGGAGAAATGTCTGATTCTAGGGCTGGGACAAGGAATATACAAGATAGGTCTGGAGAAAGTTACAGTGCCAGAAAGTAAGCAAGTGCTCAAAAACAAAGAAAAAAACTCACAATGATGGGAGTATGTAAAAAGGAGGTAAGAGCCAATTGGAAACGTTCCGTTTGGCTAAAGCCAGAACAATTGGAGCAATAAAATAAAGTAGTACTGAGTAATAATCCAAGGTGTAAAACAAATATCGTGTGTCAATACTGATATAAATAAATGATTGAATAAATAAATGGGGAGAATAGACAAATCTCCCATGCAGAAGAATTCCAAATAATTTACTTGGAGCATAAAGTGATAGAATGTAACTCCCTCCTCAAGTGTGGGCCATACACAGTGATGTCCTTCCAAAGAGCACAGTATGGAAAGGGGTAAGAAAGAGCAACTTTACAGTGGTAAAATCTGACAAACATGGCCTCAGTCAAGTGATCAAGGTTGACGTCAACAGTAGTAAGTCACGTTGACAGTATGAACCTTGATATGGTGTGAGGAGAAATGGCATGCTACCTATGGCGTCTTCTTCCCAAAAATGTATAACCTCAGTGTAATCATGAGGACATCATCAGACAAATCCCAATTGAGGGAAATTCTACAAAATACTGAAAGGGAGCTCTTTAAACTGTTAAGGTCATCAAAAACAAGGAAACTCTGAGAAATTGTTACAACCAAAAGGAGTCTAAAAAGACAGGATTAAATGTAATGTGGTATCCTGGCTAGAATTCTGGAACAAAAAAAAAATTAGGTAAAATTGAAGTAAATCTAATAAAGTATGAACTTTAGTTAATAACAATGTATCGATATTGGTCCATTAACTATGGCATGTGCTGCTGTAAGAAGTTAATAAGAAGCCACACTGGATAGGGATTTATGAGAACTCTGTGTACTCTCTTCACAACCTGCCCACAAATCCAAACTATTCCAAAATTAAATTTCTTCTTTTAAAACTAAGTTTCATATGACTTGATTTTTGTTAAGGGAGGATTACAATTTTATGTATAGCTGTGTCATTATAGATATAGCTATAGACATGGATATAGATATATAGATATATAGAAATATAGAAAAGCATTTAGCTGTGCTGTCTAATACACAGCCATTACCTAGATATAGCTATTGAACACTTGGATTGTGGCTAATCCAAATTGAGAAGTGCTGTAAGTGTGAAATGTACAACAGATTTCAAAGATGTAATATGAAGAAAAGAATATAAACAATATCATTAATGTTGTGTTTTGAGACAGGGTCTCATTCTTTTGTCCAGGCTGAAGTGAAGTAGTGCGATCACAGATCACTACAGCCTCGACCTCCCAGGCTCAAGCAATCCTCCCACCTCAGTCTCCCAAGTAGATGGAACTAAAAGTGTGCACTGCCACACCTAATTTTTCCATTTTTATTTATTTTTTATTTCTAGGTTTACTCAAAAACATTATTACTCAATTCATAAAATAGTAATTCAGTTAGCTGGTGCCTAAAGACTGAAAAAATTGTAATTTTCCAGGCATTTACAGTTTGGGGAACAAAAAACATGAGACCTACTTGAAAAAATAGAGGCTAATAAATAATTAAGGATAAGGCTCTAAAAAATAACAGTATTGCAAGCTATTTTTAAAGAGAAAAATTTGATAGCAAAATGTTTCTCTGACTTTGTAAATGCACAAGAAAGATCAACAGTTTTATCACTTGCAGAAAAGGCAATTAATGTAATAGAAAATGTGATGATAAACTTCTAAGAAACTAAGTGCTTATGTCTATTTAACAATAGAAGTTTTACCTATTACCATTTACTATTCATGTGTCGACAGCAATCCCCTTCTCTCCCAACTAGGCCTTTCACAATTATGGAATATAGACATAAAATATTATTCCTAGATACATTTTACAAAATAAAAATGAGTAAATGGAAAAAAGGCAAGTTAAAGTAGTTATATATATATATTGAAAAGTGGGTGAATAAACTGAATTACTTTCACTAAAATGACTATACAATAGTTAATGTATTTCTTATTTATACAAGGGGAAAACTGGATATAATATATCTTTAACATTACACAGTCATAGAAAAATGTTAACTTTAACCTGATAAAATCCTTTCCCCACATGTTTTACACTTTGGATTTTCTTTCAATGTTTATTTTGGATCCAGAGGGTACATGTTCATGTTTGTTACATGGATGTATTGCATGGTGCTGAGGATTGGGGTATGGATAATCCCATCACCCAGGTAGTGAGCATAGTACCCAATGAGTAAATTGTTACCCCATGACCCACCCCACCCTCTAGGAGTCCCCAATGTCTATTATTCCCATCTTTTTATCCATATGTACTCAGTGTGTAGCTCTCACTTGTAGGTGAGAACATGTGGTATTTGGTTTTCCATTCCTGCATATATTCACTTAGGATGATAACCTCCAGCTGCATCCATGTTACTGATTTTGTTCTTTTTAATGGATGTGTAGTATTCCATGGTGTATATGTACCACTTTTTTCTATCCAGTGTACCATTGATGGGCCCCTAGGTTGATTCCATGTCTTAGCTATTGTGAACAGTGCTGCAATAAGCATATGAGTACATGTCTCTTTTTGGTATAATGGTTTCTTTTCCTTGGGGCATGTACCTAGGAATGGGACTGCTGGGTGGAATGGTAGTTCTGTTACAAATTATCCAAGCAGAGATCTCCAGACTGCTTTCCACAGTGGCTGAACTAACTTGCATTCCCACCAACAGTGTATAAACATACCATTTTCTATGTAGCCTTACCAGCAGTTGTTATTTCTTGACTTTTTAATAATAGCCATTCTGACTGGTGTGAGATGGTATCTCATTGTGGTTTTGATTTGTGTTTCTCTTATGATTAGCAATGATGAGCATTTTTTCACATGTTTGTTGACTGCTTGTATGTCTTCTTCTAAGAGGTGTCTGTTCATGTCTTTTGCCCATTTCTTAATTGGATTGTTTGGGTTTTTCTTGCTGATTTGTTTAAGTTATTTTTCCTATTCAGATGACTTTTATTTCTTTCTCTAGCCTGATTGCTCTGGCTAAGACATTCAGTACTGAATGTTGAATAGGAGTGGCAAGAGTAGGCACCCTTATCTTGTTCCAGTTCTCAAGGGGAATGGTTCCAGCTTTTAAACATTGAGTATATTGCTGGCTATAAGTTTGTCATAGATGGCTCTTGTTATTTTGAAGTATGTACCTTCAACGCTTAGTTTTTTGAGGATTTTTATCATGAAGCAATGTTGGATTTTATCAAAAGCTTCTTCTGCATCAACTGAGATGACATATGGTTCTTGTTTTTAATTATGTTTATGTGGTGAATCACATTTATTATTTATATATGTTGAATGTTGAACCAACCTTGCAGCCCATCAATAAAGCCTACTTGATCATAGCGAATTAACTTTTTTATGTCACGCTGGCTTCGGTTTGCTATTAACAGTATTTTTTTTTTAGATGGAGTCTCACTCTGTTGGCCAGGCTGGAGTGCAGTGTTGCAATCTCAGCTCACTACAACCTCAGCCTCCTGGGTTCAAGAGATTCTCCTGCCTCATGGAGTACAGTGGTGCAATCTCAGCTCACTACAACCTCTGCCTCCTGGGTTCAAGCAATTCTCCCACCTCAGCCTCCTGGGTAGCTGGGATTACAGGTGCACACCACCCTGCATGGCTAACTTTTGTATTTTTAATAGAGACAGGGTTTCACCATGTTGGCCAGGCTAGTCTCGAACATCTGACCTCATATGATCCACCCATCTCAGCCTCCCAAAGTGCTGAGATTACAGGTGTGAGCCACCTCACCCAGCCAGCAGTTTGCTAGTATTTTGTTCAGGATTTTTGTGTCTATTTTCATCAGGGATATTGGCCCGAAGTTTTCTTTTTTTGTTATGTCTCTGCCAGATTTTGTTATCAAATTAATGCTACCTTCATAGAATGAGTTAAGGAGAAGCCCTTCCTCCTTGGTTTTTTGGAATAACTTCAGTGGGATTGGTACCAGTTCTTTATATATCTGGTAGAATTCAGGGGTGAATCCATCTAATCAAGGGCTTTTTTTGTTGGTGGTGGTGGTTTTTTTTTATTACTAATTCAATTTTGGTACTTGTTATTGGTCTATTCAGGCTTTCACTTTCTTCCTGGTTCAATCTTGGGAGTTTGTGTGTTTCCAGGAATTTATCGATTTCCTCTAAATTTTCTAATTTGTGGGCATAGAGGTGTTTGTAATAGTCTCTAAAGATCTTTTGTATTTCTGTGGGATGAGCTGTAATGTCATCTTTGTCATTTCTGATTGCACTTATTTGGATCTTCACCCTTTTACAAATTTCTTAATCTACCTAGAAGTCTATCAATCTTTGTTTATTCTTTCAGAAAATCAACTCTCAGTTTCATTGTTCTTTTGTATAGATTGTATGTCTCAATTTCCTTATGTTCTTCTCAGATTTTAGTTATTTCTATTCTTCTGCTAGCTTTACTGTTGGTTTGTTCTTATTTTTCCAGTTCCTCTAGGTGCAATGTTAGATTGTAAATTTGGGATATTTCTAGCTTCTTGATGAAGACGTTTAGCACTAGAAACTTTCCTCTTAACACTGCTTTAGCCGCATCCCAAAGATTTTGGTAAGTTGTATCTCTTATTTTCACTAATTTCAAAGATTTTTTAAATTTCTGTCTTAATTTCATTTTTCACCCAAGAGTTATTCAGGAAAAAGTTGTTTGATTTTCATGTTTATGTGTAGTTTTAAGAGATCTTCTTGGTATTGATTTCTATTTTTATTGCATTGCAATCTAAGAGTGTGCTCGGTATGATTTTGATTTTTTTAAATTTATTGAGACTCGCTTTGCAACCAAGCATGTGGTTGATCTTAGAATATGTACCTGTGTGGATGAGAAGAATGTCTATTCTGTGGTTGTTAGGTGGAGCATTCTATAGATGTCTACTAGGTCCAATTGGTTTAGTGTCACGTTTAAATCCAGAATTTCTTTATCAGTTTTCTGCCTTGATGATCTGTCTAGTGGTGTCAGTAAGGTGTTAAAATACCCCACTATTAGGGTGTAGCTGTCTACACCTTGATCTTTTCATAGATCAAGAAGAACTTGTTTTATGAATTTGGGTGCTCCAATGATGAGTGCTTATATATATTTAAGATAGCTAAGTATTCTTGTTTAATTGAACCTTTTATCATTATGTAATACCCTTCTTTATCTTTCCTGAATGTTTTTGGTTTAAACTCTGTTTTATCTGATATAAGAATAGTGACTCCTGCTCTTTTCTGTTCTCCATTTGTGTGGTACATTTTTTCCCATCCCTTTACTTTGAGCATGTGAGTGTAGTTACACGTGAGCTTGGTCTCTTGAAGACATCAGAAAATTGGGTCTTGAGTTTTTATCTAGCTTGTCACTCTGTGTCTATTAAGTGGGGCACTTAGACCATTTTACATACTGAATTAGTATTGATATGTGGGATTTTAATCCTGTCATTGGGTTGATAATTGGTTGTTTTATAAACTTGATTGTGTAATTCCTTTATATTGTCTGTGAGCTATGTGCTTAGTATGTTTTTGTCATAACAGGTATTAATCTCTCATTTCCATGTTTAGCATTCCCTTAAGGACTTCTCATAAGGTTGGTCTGGTGGTAACAAATTCCCTTAGAGTTTCCTTCTGTGTTAAGGATTTTACTTCTTCTTCACTTATGAAGCTTAGTTTGGTGAGATATGAAATTCTTGGTTGGAATTTATTTGCTTTGAGGATGCTGAAAATAGGTCTCCAATTTCTTTTGGCTTGTAAACTTTCTGCTGAAAAGTCTGCTGATAGTGTTGTGGGATTCCAGTTATAAGTGACCTGACCTTTCTCTCTAGTTGTCTATAATATTTTTTCTTTTGCATTGACCTTGGTGAATCTGATGACTATGTGCCTTGGGGATGATCATCTTGTATAGTATTTTGCTGGGTTCTCTGTGTTTCTTGAATTTGTATGTCAATCTCTCTAACAAGATTGGGGAAATTTTCATAGATTATGTCCTCAAATATGTTTTCCAAGTTGCTTACTCTCTCTCTTTCTCTCTCAAGAATGCCAATAAATTGTAGACTTGATCTCTTTACACAATCCCATATCTCTCAGAGGTTTTGTTCTTTTTTTAACATTCTTTTTTCTTTATTTTTTTCTGACTGAGTTGATTTAAAGAACAAGTCTTCAAACTCTGAGATTCTCTACTCAGTTTGGTCTATTCTGCTGTTAATGCTTCTGATTGTATGTGGAAACTCTTGTAGTAAATTTTTCAATTCCAGGAGTTCAGTTTAGTTCTTTCTTAAAATGGCTATTTTGTCTTTCAGCTCTTAGATCATTTTACCGGATTCTTTGGATTTCTTGGATTGCATTTCAACTTTTTCCTGGATCTCAGTGAGCTTCTCACCATCCAGGTTCTAAATTCTATACCTATCACTTCAGTCATTTCAGTCTGGTTAAGAACCATTGCTGGGGGCTACTGTGCTCATTTGGAGGTAAGGAGACATCCTGGCTTTTTGAATTGCCAGAGTTCTTATGCTGATTCTTTCTCATCTGAGAGGGCTAGTGTTTCTTTAAGTTGAGTATAGTCAGTTGGCTTCATTTCTGGGTGCTTTCAGAGGGCCAAGGCTCTGTACAGGATCTTTATTTGTAGCTGAATTCTTGTCTTAGGTTTCACAGGCACTGTACATTGGCAAAATATTTTGGCAGTTGTAATTTGGACTGTGATGCAGTAGATGGTGTTTAAGAGTGATGACCAACAGATAGGCTCTTATTCAGCCATGCAGCTCTTTTGTATTTCACCATGTTCTCAATAGTGCTCTGTGGTGGGGTAAGGCAGAGAGATAACTCCCTCACCAGGTTCACTCCTGGGCCTTGGAGGAGCCCCCTCCAATCACTGGGGTCATGCCCAAGTTTCCTTTGTTAGGTGTTCTGGGCTGTGGGGCTCCCTCAGATAGAGGTCATGGCTGGCAGACAGGCCACTTCCTTCCCAGACCAGCCCTGTGGAGAGAGGCACCCCACTTTCATGCTGGTCCATGAACCAGGGCATCTCAACCCTCTCAGTGTTTTGAGAGTGAGAACATTTCCCCCACTCAGGCACCACCAAGCCAGTGAGTCTTGCCTATCTAAGTACAGAAGGACCATGGAGGTCGCATGGTCAGCCATCAGGGTCTCCATTTTTTGTGGGGACAGAATCTTACTATGGTGCTCAGGCTGACTGTATGTTGAAATGACAATATTTTAGGTATATTGGGTTAAGTGAAAATAATTTTATATATTTATTTATGATTTCCTTTAATGTAGTCACTAAACATTGTTAAATTATATATGTGGTTCATATTGTATTTCTACTGATAGCAGTTGTTTAAAAGGATAGACATGAGAATGTTAACAATAGCTATTCCTAGTAGTAAAGTGTAATTTTTAGCTTTTCTTTTTTCTAATTTTTCTTGAATAAATATGTGTTCCTTGTGTAATTTTAAAAGTAATAAAGGTAAAAATACACAATGAACTACTGCTGTGAAATATACCACTAACAGAAGTACTAAGCAGAAATGTCAAGTCTTAGAGTCCTAATTATTTATTCATTTAAATACATATATATTAAGTGTCTCATGTGCAAGGCATTTGGACAGTTGCTAGGAAAATAAACACAAAAAAAGATGAGCTATAATTATTTTCTTCAAGGGGTTCACAGTCCATTTTGGAAGTTAGGCTCATGAATAGAATATTAGAGTACAATGCGGTCAGTGATACTATGGTGATTTGTATTAACTCTCCTCCCCTTCTGCTTTAAATGTTGCTGTTTTTCTGGCTCTAACCTTAGTCTACTTCTCTGCCCACAACACAATTGCAACTAACACCTATATACTAATGGCTATGGCTTTAACTTTGACTTTGCTTCAGATCTCTACATCCAACTGTCTTTTGGTCAGATGGCCATTGGGCAACCTAAACTGTATGCCTAAAACCCATCATCTCTTCACCTCCCCTGCTCCAGACTCTTCTACCTCCGTAATTCTTGTCTTTGTTAATGATGCCACCATTTAACCAGTTGCCTCATGACTCTGTAAAAAGGAAATTTAGTTACTTTACTTCACTTCTCAAAATTCTTCAGGCTTGGCAGTGCACAAGCCTACATATGCCCTTAGCTACCAATCCAACTTCATCTCCTGGAACACTTCTCATCAGCATTGACACTCTAGAAATACCAAACTACCAAACTCAGGAAACATCACAAGTTATCACTTCTCTTCCTTTCATTGTTGCGTGTGTCCTTCCCTCTGCTTGAAGTGTCCAACCTCATCACCACCTCTTCTTCATGGTTCCTAGACATTCCTCTCTGATACCTCCCTTGATCTTCCAGGCAAATTAGGCTCTCTTCTCTCTGGCTCCCCTTGAACTTTGTACATACCTCCAACATAGTGATTTTCCCATTATATTATAATACCAGCTTTCTGTATGATACTCTATTCCCTAAGGACAGAGATTGTATCTCATTAACCTTGGTATCCTCAGCGTCACACGGAATGTGACAGACAGAAAACTTTCAAGTTTACTGAATATTTCCTATCTTTCTTTACCTTTTCCACTCTATTGTGGTCACTCTTACCCTAGAATAATGTAGATGTTCCTTGAATACCAACCAGGCTTCACTTCTGGGTCTTTGTTCTTGAATGGCCTTACCCCAGATGGTTCCCTCTGATAAACCAATTAGTCACTGCTCAGAAGTCACCTCATCAGAGAGGTTTTTCCTTCAATCCTGTATAATATAGTGCCTGGCAAGAAAAGGATGCCCTCTCTCACCACTCCTATTCAACATAGTATTGGAAGTTCTCAATCAGGCAAGAGAAAGAATAAAGGGTATTCAAACAGGAAAAGAGTAAGTCAAATTGTCTCTGTTTGCAGATGACATGATTGTATATTTAGAAAACCCCATCGTCTCAGCCCAAAATCTCCTTAAGCTGATAAGCAACTTCAGCAAAGACTCAGGATAGAAAATCAATGTGCAAAAATCACAAGAATTCCTATACACCAATTATAGACAAACAGAGAGCCAAATCATGAGTGAACTCCCATTCACAATTGCTACAAAGAGAATAAAATACCTAGGAATACAACTTACAAGGGATGTGAAGGACCTCTTCAAGGAGAACTACAAACCACTGCTCAAGGAAATAAGAGAGGACACAAACAAATGGAAAAACATTCCATGCTCATGGATAGGAAGAATCAATATCATAAAAATGACCATACTGCCCAAAGTAATTTATAGATTCAATGCTATTCCCATCAAGCTACCATTGACTTTCTTCACAGAATTAGAAAAAACTACTTTAAATTTCATATAGAACCAAAACAGAGCCCATATAGCCAAGACAATCCTAAGCAAAAAAAAAAAAAAAAAAAAAAGAAACAAAGCTGGAGGCATCACACTACCTGACTTCAAACTACACTACAAGCCCACAGTTACCAAAACAGCATGGTACTGGTACAAAAACAGATATAGAGACCAATGGAACAGAACGGAGGCCTCAGAAATAACACCACACATCTGCAAACATCTTTGACAAACCTGACAAGAACAAGCAATGGGGAAAGGATTCCCTATTTAATAAATGGTGTTGGGAAAACTGGCTAGCCATATGTAGAAAGCTGAAACTGGACCCCTTCCTTACAACTTATACAAAAATTAACTCAAGATGGATTAAAGACTTAAATGTAAGACCTAAAACCATAAAACCCTAGAAGAAAACCTAGGCAATACCATTCAGGACATAGGCATGGGCAAAGACTTCATGACTAAAACACCAAAAGCAAGGGCAACAGAAGCCAAAATTGACAAATGGGATCTAACTAAGCTAAAGAGCTTCTGCACAGCAAAAGAAACTATCATCAGAGTGAACAGGCAACCTACAGAATGGGAGAAAGTTTTTGCAATCTATCCATCTGACAAAGGGCTAATATCCAGAATCTACAAAGAACTTAAACAAATTTACAAGAAAAAAACAACCCCATCAAAAAGTGGACGAAGGATATAAACAGACACTTTTCAAAATAAGACATTTATGCAGCCAACAAACATGAAAAAAAGCTCATCATCACTGGTCATTAGAGAAATGCAAATCAGCCAGAGTGAGATACCATCTCCCACAAGTTAGAATGGTGATCATTAAAAAGTCAGGAAACAACAGATGCTGGAGAGGATGTGGAGAAACAGGAATGCTTTTACACTGTTGGTAGGAGTGTAAATTAGTTCAACCATTGTGGAAGACAGTGTGGCAACTCCTCAAGGATCTAGAACTAGAAGTACCATTTGACCCAGCAATCCCATTACTGGGTATACACCCAAAGGATTATGAATCATTCTACTATAAAGACACATGAACACATATGTGTATTGTGGCACTATTCACAATAGCAAAGATTTGGAACCAACCCAAATGTCCATCCATGATAGACTGGATAAAGAAAATTTGCACATATACACGATGGAATACTGCGCAGCTATAAAAAAGGATGAGCTCATGTCCTTTGCAGGGACATGAATGAAGCTGGAAACCATCATTCTCAGCAAATTATCACAAGAACAGAAAACCAAATACTACATGTTCTCACTCATAAGTGGGAGTTGAACAAGGAGAACACATGGACACAGGGAGCGGAACATCACACACCGGGGCCTGTCTGGGGGTCAGTGGACTAGGGGAGGGATGGCATTAGGAGAAATACCTAATGTAGGTGACGGGTTGATGGGTGCAGCAAACAATCATGGCACGTGTATACCTATGTAACAAAACTGCACGTTCTGCACACGTACCCCAGAACTTAAAGTATATATATATATATATATATATATATATATAGTGTGTGTGTGTGTGTGTGTGTGTATTTAAAAAAAGATACTTTCCTAATTAAAGATAGTTTCCTACCTTGAAAAATCTCTAATGCCAGCTACTAAAGTAACAATTTCTCACTTATCCACAGGGGTTATTTCTGGCCAGTGAGATGATGAATGACTGTTTTATGTTAATTTTTAATTTTATAGTATTCTCATGGGATTAAAATAATTCCGCTAACCACAAAAAAAAAAAAAATCAGGAAACAACAGATGCTGGAGAGAATGTGGAGAAACAGGAACAGTTTTACACTGTTGGTGGGAGTGTAAATTAGTTCAACCATTGTGGAAGACGGTGTGGCAATTCTTCAAGGATCTAGAACCAGAAATACCATTTGACCCAGTAATCCCATTATTGGGTAGATATCCAAAGGATTATAAATCATTGTACTATAAAGACACATGCACGCGTAAGTTTATTACAGCACTATTCACAATAGCAAAGACTTGGAACCAACTCAAATGCCCATCAGTGATAGACTGGATAAAGATAATGTGCCATATATACATCATGGAATACTATGCAGCCATAAAAAGGAATGAGTTAATGTCCTTTGCAGGGACATGGATGAAGCTGGAAACCATCATTCTCAGCAAACTAACACAAGAACAGAAAACCAAACACCACATGTTCTCACTCATAAGTGAGAGTTGAACAATGAGAATATATTGGCACACGGAGGGAATATCACACACCAGGGCCTGTCGGGGGGTTGGGGGCTGGGGAGGGATAGCATTAGGAGAAATACCTAATGTAGACAAGGGGTTGATGGGTGCAGCAAACCACCGTGGCACACCTATACCTATGTAACAAACCTGCATGTTCTGCACATGTATCCAATAACAAAGTATAATATAAAAATAAATTAAAATTTATATTTTATATATATTGAAATTATTTATATATTTTGAAATATATTATATATATTTATATATAAATATATATTATATATATATATATAAATATATATTATATATATTTATATATAATATATATAATATATATTTATATATAAATATATATTATATATATTTATATATAAAATATATATTTTATATATTCCACCAGAATATAAGCATCAACTGGGATCTAATTAAACTAAAAACTTCTGCACAGCCAAAGAAATAATCAGCAGAGTAAACAGACAACCCACAGAGTGGGAGAAAATATTTACAAACTATGCATCTGACAAAGGACTAACATCCAAAATCTACAGGGAACTCAAACAAATCAGCAAGAAAAAACAAATAATTCCAACCAAAAGTGGGTTAAGGACATGAATAGACAATTCTCAAAAGAAGATATACAAATGGCCAACAAACATATGAAAAAAAATGCTCAATATAACTAATTATCAGGGAAATGCAAATCAAAACCATAATGTGATACCACCTTACTCCTCCTACAATATGGCTATAATTTTTTTAAAAATCCAAAAATCAAAGATGTTGGCATGGATGTGGTGAAAGAGAACAATTTTACACTGTTGGTGGGAATGGAAACCTATGGAAAACAGTGTGGAGATTCCTCAAAGAACTAAAAGTAGATCTACCATTTGATCCAGCAAGCCTGCTCCTCAGTATCTACCCAGAGGAAAACAGGTCATTATACAAAAAATACACTTGTGCATGCATGTTTATAGCAGCACAATTCACAACTGCAAAAATATGGGACCAGCCTAAATGCCCATCAACCAACGAGTGGATAAAGAAAATGTATACACATATATACCATGGAATACTACTCAGCCATAAAAAAGAATGAAATAATGGCATTCACAGCAACCTGGATGAAGCTGGAGACCATCATTCTAAGTGAATTAACTCAGGAATGGAAAACCAAATATTGTATATTCTCACCTATAAAAGTGGGATTTAAGCTATGAGGATACAAAGGCATAAAAATGATATAATGGACTCTGGAGACTCAGGGGAGAACGGGTGCACCAAAATCTCAGAAATCACCCTAAAGAATGGACCCATGTAACAAAAACCTCTTGTTCCCCAAAAAATTATTGAACTAAAATAAAATAAAAGTCATTTTTTATAAAAGAATCTAAGTATCAAAAAGCCCAGGACTTTGTCTGAATTATTCAACAAATGAATAAAGATCTGATACATGTATAAATAAGTAAATGATGTTATTTATCACCTAAATATGACACTGTCTCTCTGACTTTAATTTTCCTTTCATCTGCTTATTTTTCTTCCCAAGCCATGAATATGGGACAAAAAAAAGGGATTAAGACACAAACACCAAGAATTGGCAAGTATAATGAGGCTGAACTTGAAAAATAACAATAGTTCAGGTAACCATATATTAAATTTGTCTCAAGAATTTATTTTATTTTCTCATTCATTTATTCAACAAATATTTACATCACGCCTATTATGAGTTCTTTTTGAAAATGCAATAACTGTCTCTTACATTTGTACCATTGTTTATAGTTTACAAGGTCCTTTCTGATACTTATTTTAACGTATCCTCATAAACAATTCTTTGAGGTAAGCAGGTCTTATGAGGAATGAGTCTTATGAGGAATGAGTTACCAGATTAAGGATCATTGGGTTGTAAAAATCTTGAGCTAGAAAGCATTCCATCGTTTTATTGTTGATACAACTATATACAGAAGCCCATTATCAATCTATTTATTTCACCACAGAGAGCTATAATACACCCATTGACCATCAGTACCAGTATATTAATTTTCACTTCTGGGATTTCCAGCCTACTCTTAGCTTCAATGTTAGTGTGAATATTTCATGGTAGAATGCACAAACTTTGAGGAAGGTGCAATGCTTTCCCTGTTTCTTCCACTTATGTTCAGGTTCTGCACATACTGTATGTTCTCCATAAATATTTATTGGTGAAGAGAACAGTTATTAATGTAAGAATCTCTCTATTCAGAAAATATCCAAGGAAACTGTGATAGCTGCTGGTTTCCAAAGATGGTCTTCCAATGAACTATGTCTCTCAGTATTCGGAATTTTGCATAATTCCTTCCCCTTGATCTGGACTGGCTCTGTGACTTGATTATAACCAACAGAACATGGTGGTGGGTTAAGCAATACTCATTTCATAGGGGGCATTTCTGGTCACATGATACTTAATGGTCCATGGTCAAATACTAGGATCCAGCAAAGAGCCAAGAGCTGTTTCTCAAAAAAAAAAAAAAAAAAAAAGAAAAAGAAAAAGAAAAAAAAAGAAAAAAGAAAAAAAAAGTTATCTGCAGAGTATGGCATGGCTTTGCTCCCAGATTCTAAAAGTCTGTTCTGGAATTTACCTAAGAGGCCTGCCAAAAGCTCAATAGGCACTTTAAGCACCACTGAATCAGATGTGTCATATGACCAAAGTGGCAGGGAAGCTTGCCACCCTCTCACAAGGGCTTGTCTTTCGCCAGGCCTTATTCAAAACTGGAAGCCTTTCAGATTACTCATTCAGCAAATAGGTTTAGACTATAACAACACACCCAAATAAGATATGTTGCCTCCAAAATCCAATGAGGCACACCAGAAATTGGGACTCTTTCTTTATGGTAGGAGAGACCAGATGTAGCATTGAACTTCACCTTGAAAGAGATATCTCAACTTTCCCCAGACCATGAAACCCCAAGAAAGTTCCTGAAGGAGCAAACTTCTAAATTTTTCTGGGATTTATTTCACAACCTCTTGCCTCTATGGGTCTTACCAAGGTGTCTAAAGTAGTTGCGATTTCCTGGTCCACCAGTGTAGAGGATCCATGTGGTGTGTTGTGAAATGAAGAGGCAATCAATTTCCTGTGGAATAGAATAGGCCAGGGTTGGAGAGTTGATATAACCCTGAGGTGAAACAAGGAGGGTACCTTGTTTCACCCTTCCAGATGAAAGAAAAATGCTTCTGATAGTCTCTACTAACATGTATATAGAGGAAAAAATGACTTCCCATATCAGTATTCATATATTAGATGTACATATATTGATTTACTATAGCAATGAAACCACATCTGGAACAGCAGCTGTGATTGTACTCACCACCTGATTAAGTTTACAATAATCCTTTGTCATTCTTCAAGATCCATCTGTCTTCTGCACAGGCCAGATAGTTGAGTTGAATGGAGGTGTGGTGAAAATCACCAGCCCTGCATCTTTTAAATCTTTTATAGAGGCACTAATCTCTACAAGTCTCTACAGAATGCAGTGCTGCTGTGGATTTACTAGTTTGGAATACAAAGGCAGTTCTAATGCCTTCTACTTGTCCTCACTCCTCAGATCAGATAATCAATGTAGTTATTCTGCCTTTCCTGAGTGTGCCTCCTTCAGTTAAGCATTCTAGAACTTGGGAAATAACCATGGGGTAAGTTCAGAGCTAACTGGATGCAATATGAGATGGACCTGAGCCAAAATACCATTAATCATTCAGCTTCAATAAACCCCTACTCTGGTAAATAGGCAATAGTAGCATATTGTGTCTCCAAGGACTGGTATCATTTCAGAGCCAATGTCCAGAAATCCCCCAAAGGTCTGGTTATTTACCCTTCCCAAATGCACTATGACCTTGGCAAATGGCTTTAGGTCTTTTCAGGGAAGGAAAGAAAGAGAAATTACAGTCTAAACTTTTGGAATGTAAATATAAATTAGAAAAAATCCTGCAGTCCTTTTGGCAGGCAGGGTACCTCATCATTTTGTTCCTGCCCTGATATGGGTTGCCAGGAGTTGAGTCTAGCTATAGGCATACAAACAGTGAAAGATGTTGGGGGTGAGTCTTGAGGGGTCTCAGCAATTTTCCACAGAGTAAGTCCTTACAGCCTTTTCAATCAAGGGAGGACTAAACTCCTCAGAGGGAAAGGCTGCTTCTGCTGGGAAAGGAGACAGGGCTTTCAAGGTTCTCAGCTTCCAAAGAATCTGCCTACATGTTGCCATCTCAATTTTCAGGGGAGGAAAGAAGGAGAAATTACAGTCTAAACTTTTGGAATGTAAATATAAATTAGAAAAATCCTGCAGCCCTTTTGGCAGGCATGGTACCTCATCATTTTGTTCCTGCCCTGATACAGCCTGCCAGCTCTGTCCCAATCAAAGCCCTAATTTTAACTGTAAGACCTTCAATTGAATTGATGTTCTAATCTAGCTAGCTGCAGGATCAGTCTTTGGGCTTGGTTTTTTGAAATATCAGATCTTGCAGCTATGAGAGATAAGAGTTTCTTTCAGAGTAGTCACAAAGACTTTTCAGTCCCTTGCCTGCATCTTGAACTGAACATTCAACACTCTGAGTTTATTTCTTTTTCTCCATATTCTCTGTGACACTTTGAAGCAACCCACAAACTCCAGTCCTCATACTCCTTACTTCCACTACATTGGTCTATGGCAGCATCTACCTGGTAATCTAACACCTTGCCTTCTATAAGCACTTGATATCAAGGACTACTGTGTCCCATTTACCATTGGCAGTATAGTCACTAATGCTTCATCGAATCAGAGAATCAACACCAAATTCCCATCCTTAAAATTCTATCTCTGGATTCACTTCCAACACCAATAGTTGTGTCAGTTAAGAGTCAGTCAGGGAAGCAGAACCACTGTGAATGATACAGAATATAGGAATAGTGGATTCGTTGTGGAATCAGACCTTACAAATGTGAGAGAAGCTAGAGAAGGAAAGGTCTGGAAGAAGGAGTCAGAAGATCAGAAAAAGGGTCATTAACCTGTCTATCTTATGCAGTAGCACAGATGGACCAGACAGGCTGGGGCTTGGGGGAAATCTAGGAAGCTAAACACTTTCAACCACCAAAGTGGGACTGTGAAGGGGAGCTCATGAAGAACTGTATGGAGAGTGGTTACCTGTCTGTAGCAACCACTTCTGTGGGTCCACAGCCAAGTAGTTGGTGATGGGTCTCGAGTCACTGTTGTTCAGCAGAGCCAAGAGTCAGAAAGATTCGCTGGATGCAGAGTGAAGGAAAGCAAGGACTATATGGGACCTACCAAGCATCTCTCCCTCTGTCCATCACTGTATGTGACCACAGTGACTTCCTAAGAGTAATAGTTACCACTTCTGTGTTCTAACTCTTTTCCCATTTCATCTCTTAGCCAATGCTAATACAGAGCGATACATGAAAGGGGATTCTGAGAAATGCAGTTGTCTGCTTAAGCAAGTTGACCAGCATAATCCAGCACAACTTCTAAATCTCAGAAGATAGCAAATGTGGGCAGAAAGAAAAGTACAGATGCTCCACGGGTTCACTGGTGATCTTTATGGCTGCAACTGACCTAGGATTTGGGAGATGCTTGGAGAGGGACAGAGGGGCACACAGGAACTTTCCTCTCAAATATGAGGATATCAATCTAGATCTACGAGGAGTCCTTTTGGAGATAAAAAGAAATTTATAGGAGATGATGAACAAAAGGCCCAATTTCTATATTAGACTGTCTCCCTGAATGAGGGTGAATACCAAGAGGAGACTGAGCCAAGGCCTCAGCCCTCTGAATTCTAAAATGTAGAGAACTTCATTCTGATCTATTTTATACAAATGGTGCTGGTCTCTCAGACAGTACCTTTTCCGATGAAAGAAAGAGAGAAACGAAGTAGAAGATTCGTAACCCAGCTCAGTAAAGAGGCTTACCTTTGCTCTTTGCTCACCATCATTCCCCCGCTCAAAGTCTCAGCTACCTGCCTCTGTGCAATAGCTACACAGTGCTCCTCAAGTATCTGCCTCCTGAACACAGAATTATAACTAACAAGTATTTAAAATTTATGTATTTGGTGCACATCTTTCAGTATGAGCTTTTTGGCACCAACTCTTACTGAATGCCAATATAAAAGTAAACAATTTGAAATTATTTTAAGTGATTATCAAAAATAACAGCATAAATTCTATGATGTGGACTTCAGCCACAGTCCCTTCCAGGGACTCTTCCAGGCAGACCAAAAGAGAAAAGCTGTCTGCAAAAGAAACTCAAAGTTCCCAGGACCAATAGCATACTTGAGTCAGATACAGCTCCTTAAAAGACAAGTAATTTTCAGAGGCCCTAGGGTAAACTAAATTAGTTTTAACATAATACTATTTAAACATGTAGAAACATAATATGATTTATAAACTCTATATGCTTATTGCTCTTATGCCAACAATTTAAAAATATAAATTAAACATTCACAAAGCTTCAAAACCACTACAACTTCAATAAATAATTTTAATTTAATGTAATGATAATACTTGGCTAAAACTAAATCACCAGGTTTTTTTCTTTCCACCTTTTATATTAGGTTTAGGTGGTACAGGTGCAGGTTTGTGGAATGGGTAAATATATGTCATGGGGGTTTGACAAGATACAGATTATTTCGTCACCCAAGTAATAAGCATAGTACCCAATAGGTAATTTTTCAATCTTCACTCTCCTCCTACCTTCCACCCTCAACTGGGCCCTGGTGTCTATTGTTCCCTTCTTTGTGTCCATGTGTACTCAATGTTTAACTCCCACTTATAAGTAAGAACATGCAGCCTTTGGTTTTCTGTTCCTGCATTAATTCACTTAGGATAAGAACTTCCAGCTCCATCCATGTTGCTGCAAAGGATGTGACTTTTTTCTTTTTTATGGCTGAGTAGTATTTCATGGTGTATATGTACCACATTTTCTTTATCCAGTTCATCATTTAAGTCACCAGTTTTGAGTTTAATAGATGAAAGATATATACGTGGTGCTGGGTTTTGCTTATTAACTTGATTCTTCTCATTTTGTACATAATTTTCATGCTTGTTTTCCTTTGTTTGAAACAAATTCATATTGAATTGTTAATTAATTCACTTGATGGGCCAATCAATTTACTGTGCACCAATAGTACAATACTGAAAGAAATATTTTTAACTTTTAATGAAGCATTCTTTACTATTGCTAATCAACTGTAGTACAGTGATTTATACAAAAGATGAGCTCTACACAGTACAGCCATGTGAATGGGGAATTTAGCACCAATCATTCATTGAGTTCCCCATGCTTACAGCATCTAACTTGTTATGATTCTATTTTCCAATGACTGTTTTATATTCAAATTACTTGACATTATTAGGCCTTCACTTAGTATTAAAGTAACTATTAGTATTAGCAAAGCAGGGCATCAAAATATTGTGACAGTGTTTGCTTATAGTTTTTCAGCCCCAACGTGAGTTAGTTGTGTTTTATGAGGGGTATGTACTCCTTATAATTTTGCATAATTTAAGGCTTATGTTTCCGTGGGGAACTGGTTCACAGAGCCCAAATACCTACAACTTTGTAGCACATTTCTGTTTTGATGCCGCTCTTTATTTTCTTAGCATTATCTACAATATTTAGCAACTGCTCTTTTCTAAATTAGTGGTAAAACACATCAAGGGAGTTGTTTGGCTTTTTCTGTGGGAGTGAATTATAGCTAACATCTGTGAAAAGTTATGTATCTGAATGCACATTTTCCAGCATGAGCTTTAGTACCAACTCCTAATGAATGCTAATATAAAAAGAAGTAAAACAATTTGAAATTATTTAAGTGATTATTAAACATAATAGCATAAAATAACCAAGATCTCTTATAGAAATGCTCATAAAGCAACAGGTGGAACATACCATACTAACAATGGCTGGTTCTTTCCATTAAAGCTGAAGTAGCTCCACCATGTGGCAGGAGTAAAAACAATCTACGATTCCTTTAGCTTGTTCACCAACTGAAATTACGCAAATCTCATTTAAGTTTGATGAGAACCACAAAATTACCCATTCTTCTCAGAATATATGGGCTATTAATTTTTATATCACATTACTTAAATTTCACATAATTTATGCTGCCCAACTACATGTTTTAGACTACCATTCCATTGAAAACACATTTTTAACTCCATAAAATTATGAAGACCCATGAAAATTCTAGAGATGCATATATTCCAAGTATAATAAATATCACAAATAACTTTTAAATTCAATTTTTAAATAATTCTTGTTACTATTATAATTTCCATACAGGTCTCAGAAGCATCTTAAAAGTAATGATAACTTTTTGTCTCTGTAAAAAGAATACTATTCAAAAAAGGACAAAAAGTTCATAAATGTGGAATACTAACTTTGTAACTAATATATAAAATACATGAGTTTTTTGATTCCTAAATTCTTCCAACAGAAATTCAAATAATGTAAAATATTGGTATCTTTAAGCCGTAACTTATTACCTTGTTAATTTCAAAACAGCATACTAGTAACCTGATCTTTAACATTAGTTGTTACCAAATTATAGTTTTTAAAAAATTTCCTAGGAAAGTACGCCATTTTTTGGGTATCGAACATCTCACCTCATAGGAATACGGGGATTGTTTTCCTTCCACTCTTTTGTATTTTCCAAATTTTCAATGTAATAAGCACATATTAATTTTATGATGAAATGAAATTTGTAAAAGAATAAATGTTAACATTAGAAGATAATTAACAAGTTATCTATCTCGAGTACAATATACAATACAAGGAAATTAATATACCACTTTACCCTGGTGGCAAGGAAAATAGGTGAGATATCTTTCCCATCACAACATAAAAATATATGTTAGTAAATATTCATATTGGAAAGGAATGTATTCTATGACCTAGCAATTACTGCGTCCCAGTCTTGGCATTACTCTTATTGTAAAAGAAAGCATGAACAAGCAGCAATTTTGGGGCCATAAAAAGTTGGAAATAACATAATCATATAGTAAAAAGTGATATCACAGGTTATAATAAGTCTATGTTCCATATATTAAAAATAATGACACGAATCTACATATAATGAAAAGAGAAGATTGCCAAAATGCATTATTGATTGAGAATGCAAGTTGCAGAATAATATATACAGTATTATGCTATTTATGTTGATAAAAATATTGTACAGTATAAACCCTAAATATTGCACAGCAAAAGGACTGTAAGTACATTGATGAATTCCCTGTTATTAGTACCTGTGGAAGAGGGAATTATATTGTGGGATGGGAGAACAGTCAGTGGAGAGTTTGGTTTTAATTGCAATGCTTTTATTTTTATAATAAGGATGTATTAGCATATTACTTGCATAATTAAACTTTGTTTTTTAGGTTTTCTTCTTCACCATCGTATATTTGCATGCATATACCTATGCAAATAACAAAGTCCACCTTTATTGGGGATTTGTGACTGGCATTTTTCTAAGCACTTTGTCATGTGTCATATATTGTATCATGTAAACTTATTATTAACCTTATGATGCTAATAATATTTTTCCCATTTCACAGATGACGAAACCAAGCCTCAGAGGAACTGAGTACATTGCCCAAATTCACCAAGCCCGTAAGGGTTACAATCAAACTTTGAATCCAGATATCTGTCTCAGAGTCCACAATCTTAACCAAAATTTTTTTTACAAATTCCCATGTAGAAGTGTGTACATCCACATACAGACGTACACACACACACATCCCTGCTGTCCAGCCTTTTCTCCCCCTGACACTTGAGTGCACAGGTCATTGGCATCTTCTCTCCATAACTTTCCACCATTGACAGAAATGTGTTTGCTCAAGGGATGAATTGAGGTGAAAACCTTACAACATTAGCTCTTTTGTAAAAAATCTGAGCAGATTTTTTATTTTGTATTTTGTTTTCCTGGTTACGCCTCTCCTTTTAAAGTTTTGAAAGGTGGCATTAATATCTATTTCTTTCCTGACTGCTCCATTTATTAGTTTCATTAGGATTAGTGAATTCTACTTGGTCTTTCCCCAATCCATTAATATTTTTTCCCTTCACTTAAAAACAAACAAACAAAAAAAAAAAACACTTGTTTTCCAAATGGCTTTGGGGTGGTAGTAGGATTTCCTGATGGCTAGAGGAAACTCCTCATGGCAGTATCTTGGTTGAGTAATTGGTCCTCGTCTGTATGTTCAAGAAGGTGAATGTTCTTAGTAAACCCAGAGGGGATCAGCCCATCAGAGGTAAGCTTCTGCTATGTAAATTGAGACGAGATTCAGGCTTAACCTCAAATACCAATGCATTTGCTCTTCTGGTCTCTCCCTTCTCCTCCTTATTATCATGATACTTTAAAAGCCAAATTACTGATAAGAAATTTGCTTGCTGAGAACATAGAAAGGTAAACGGCTCGAGAGAGGGGGTTGTACATTTTTCTTTAAATCTAAAAAACCACTATGAAGAATCCCAACCTCCCAACAAAAATTGCCTCTCTGTTAACTGGATTTTACCTGCATCCAGTTTTAACACCTCTCTCCTCTGGACAGTGCTGACACTGTCCTCCTGGGAATTATGACTTCCTTAGACACATAATGCTAGAGTCAAGTTGGAACTTAGATTCTTTTTCTTGCGGAAGTGGGAGGCATTGTGTCTTCTCCCTTCATGCATTAATTTAATTAGAAAAACATTCACTGTCTCTCACTATCAGCCTACAGATTCTCTATCTTCTCAGCCCGGTAAGAGCCTTATCACACTGAGATAAATGGTTCTCTTTGTTGTACCAAGGTGGTTCCTGAAGCATGGTAATGGGGAGGAGACACCTAGAGATCAAAGCAACTAATACAATCAACTCCAATCCAGCCCCAAACCAAGTCTTTCCACCAGCTATTCCTTTCATATCTAAATGTTGTCCTCTTCCTCTGCAGCAGGATAGAAAATCAATTTCTAAGTGTAAAGGCAGTAAACAAAATTTCAGAGATATATAGTATATGTAAGTTTGAGTGCATAAAGTTAAAAGATTCCCAAATATCTAAAAATGTTTGAATTAAAAAATCAGTATCAAATTAGTAAAAAAAAAAAAAATTAAAAAGGTATGTGAGCTGTATAACAGTCAAATGTTAATATGCTTAATATATTAAAAGTGTATATAAAAGGATAAGGACAACACTAGCCTGATGGATATATAGGCAAAATTCGGATACAAAAATTGTGTATAAATTACTAATGAATATTTGAAAAAAAACACTGAAAATTTTAAAATGCAATGAAGACAGCTATAATTCATATCAAGTTAACAACTATTTTTAAACAATCACAATCTAATGCTGATGAAATTCGGCATATTAAGAGCAATTACATTTTTACTGCTATGATTGCAAATTGATACAGTATAACAGTAGATTATTTGGCATTAGGTATCAACAGCTTTTAAAATAGTCATCCTCTTGACCCAAATATTGGAAATCTATCATTAAAAGGGTCTTCTGAGCAGATTTTATATAAGCAAAATGTTCATTAAATATTTTTCATACTTTCACGTAATTTGAAATAACATAACTATCCAACACTAGAGAAACAGTTAAGCAAATTGAGCAACATCTACCCAGTAGAATACTATGCCACCATTAAAAATTAGATTTTCAAGAGTTTTAAATTACATGGGGGAAAATAAAGTTAACAGAAAATTGAATGTACAAAACGGCCTCAACAATGTCAGAAAATATACTTAAGACCAAAGACTAAAAGGAAATATGCCAAAATGATGTAGTTATTGTCTCTGGGTAGTGAGATAATAGATTATTTCCTTCTTCCTCTTCTTTTTATAATTGTATGTAAACCACAATTTCTTCTTCAATGAAAACATATTTTTATAATGAGAAAAAATGATCTAATAACAGTATCTTTTAAATACAAGGTTATGTGCCCTGAAAACATTCCTAGTTTCCCTTAAAGTCATTTGTCTAACATAAGTGAATTTGTCTGAATCTCTCTAGAATACACATTCATATGCTCTACCCCAGGAGCAAGGAGTTCCTAAAATCTACTCCCTACTATGTAAAATAAAACTGCCTTTAATTTTTTCCTGAATTTGTTTCAGACTTCAAGTAGAGTTCTTTATTATTTCTGTTCAACAGCACAAACTACAAACATAATCTGTTTGGCAAACCATTTTTATTCAAAAGTATAATAATGCCTTGTTTTTCATCCTTCCAGAGGACCTAGTGGAAGAAAATGCCTAACATCAGGGAACAGTAGGAGCAGCCTAAATTGACCACAGAATTGTATTTGGCCACTGTCCTCAAAAAATTCAAGTGGATTCAGTAATCCTGAATACTTATGTACAACAAGCATTCCTACTATAATAGATCATGAGGATTAAAATGAGGTGAGTTCATTGGTGAGCATGACATGTAGCCATAGCAATTAATCTTAGGTTCCTTCTCCCTTAAAAATGGCTAATAAAACAGAAGAAATGCTGTATGAATAATTTCAGAATAACATGGAATAATTGTAGATATTTCTATAAGATTTGTACCAGATCCACTAGAACAAATCTACCAGTAGCTAAACACTGTAGAGTCTCTAAAAATGGACAAGGAGGAGATGTGACAAAGATACTCTTTAGGGGAATAAAGTCATCCTAAAAACTGAAGATATTTTCTGCTCTGCCAATCAAGGAATCACTGTTCTTTCCCCAGCAAGAAGGAGAGTGAAAAGAGGACCAAATTGGAGGCCCCAAATTTGCATTTTAATCATAACCTTTCATAGCTAATTATGAGATTTGAGCATTCTCTGGATCTCAGTTTGCCACCCATAAAATGATGGGTGGACTGAAAGATTTCTAAGTTTTCCAGTTCTGACATTGCATGGGTCTATAAGGAGCTCCATCTTGGTTGGCCCCTGAAGGCACCTGGAGACTTTGGTTTTAGGGAACCAAGGAGTCTCAGTGCTGAATGAGGATATAGTTCCCCGGTGTAGAATTTTAGAAACTATGCAAGCACTTGGATCTTTAAAAAAAAAATAGTTGGTCCCTGGGCTGTCTCTTACAACTTTAATATTTACACTATGACAAAGTGAAAGTGCTCATTCGTGTTCGAGCCAAAGTAATACCATTCTCTTTATTCATTCCAATGAGCTAATTTTACATGAGCAAGAAAGCACTGGAGAGGTACAGACCCATGGGATATTTGCCTAGCCTAAGTGAGTCTCAGATGGAAATAAATATGAAAAGCGTTAGCATGGGACCTGTGAGAAATTGATTCTTACATCTGGCCTCCAAAGGGTCAAGCCACAAATAAGTGACCTTTGACATGCCCCTTCTCTAGTTCAGCCTGGAGCTGCCCACATTTCCCAGTGGTGCCCAGTCAACTCATTCTCCTGATGCAGGATCATCAGAGAGAATCTGGAGTAATGGCAGCTGCGGGTAAGGGGCTGCCAAATAATAGTGGAACAAAGATCTCTTCCAAGTTTCTATTTCCTCCGAATAGCTCAAATACTTCAACAGTCCAGGTCCCCCTAAAGACTGCATTTTCTTAGCTGCATTCTCTCTAGTTGTGATGAGTGTCTCAAAAAGGAACACCTCTCCTCCTGAGTTTATGATAGTTTATGACCTGCCACTTCATTTCCAGCAGTGTGTCCCAGTTCCTCTTGCAATCCACAAAGGACACTTTTTCTTTCAGTAGCCTGGTGTGAGCTCTTGCCTCTCAGGATTAGCTGTGATCTTACTGCTGGGGTGGGAGCACACTTAGCCACAGGGCCCAAAAGAACTACTGTCACTGAAAAGAGCACTTTCCTGTATTTGAGGGCTCTTCCTCTCTTCTGGTACACCCGGGGAAAAACCTGGCAGAGTCCACCCACAGTCTTTGAGGATTAATTCTGTAAGAACTTCTTACACTGAAGGGAATCCTCCTCCAGGGGATGATTCTGCTCTGTGCTTCTGAGCTCTGATGGCAATCACATCAACATCGCCAGGGACTGTGGCAGAAGAGGAACATCACCCACTGGAAACCGGGGCAAGTTGCTCCTCTGTAGTTCCAGGAAATGGCCAGAGGCACAGCTCTGCTGTTCCAATTTGCAGTTTTCTCTAACATCAAAAATAAAATGTGATTTGCATTTGAAATTTTACAGAATTCCTCATTTTAGGTCAAGACTGGCCTTACCCATAGGTTAGTGACTTATGTGGTAGGATTTAACACACACACACACATACACACACAAATATTATCCATAAAAAGAATTATATTCCCACCAACCTGCTGTGGCATTCATCAGTGACCCTTTGAAGTTCAGCCATTGAAGGGGCAGGTTAAAATGCAAATTTGTTTCTTGGAGAGGTAGCACATAGAGCTATTATCAACTGTCAATGCTCCGGTATTGCTGGAATGTCAGACTAAGAAGTTTGGGTTAAAAATTAACATATCAGTAAGTGAAGACTGGCTTTATATATTACATATTTAATTTATAAAAATGGTGACATTAAAAGGTGGCACCAAAATGTAAATAGAATCAAGATCACTTTGGATAAATTAACGCATGACACAAGCCTTTGACATGTTATTAATGGAAATGAGTTTGGGGGATCTAATTTAGCCTTTGAGATTAGTGTCAACAAAGAAAGGTATCTCCTCTGGTGCCCATGGCAGAAGCAGAACATTAGTACAATTCACCATAGATCAGTTTCACTTTGTAATTCAGTGTAAGTGGTTTATATGATAGAGAGGGCAGGAAGATCTGGTTTTGACTCTGTCTCTACTACTTACAAGATGCGTGAAGCTGCTCAAGTCACTTAAGCAAGGTGAGCCTCAGGTTCTTCATCTACAAAAGTGGGATGTAGAAAAGAAGAGTAAATGTAAAATTCCTGTTCAGTAGTTGTCTATTAAAGAATCTCTCCTTCCTTCCTCTATTCACATCCATCAGGGAGAGGAGTAGGCTGATGGTGCCAGCTAAGGACCTCGGCACTCCTAGACCTATTCCTGAACCATTAATGGCTCTGAATTTGGGACAGGAATGTTACTCTCATGGTTAATTCCTTGCTCACTTGTCTGCTGGTGCTTGTTCACAATGTCAAAGATATGGCAACTTCATGGGAAGGCAGGTTTAACTTTTTGGTGTTTTTGCACTAGCCTGTATATCTGTCTACCTTTCATATGAGAACCACCTTGCTGATTCAGACTGGAAGCTTCAAGAGAGAAGTTTCTTTCCATTTAATGCACTGGGGATGGTGCTCAACAGAGAACCACACTCAAATCGGGGCTAAATAATATGGCAATATCATGGTTACAAAAGAAACACCTCCCTTTCTCACCAAATCACTGAATCCCTTATTCTATAAAAATGAAATTGAACTGCAAACATCACCACCATGACAAGAGGATTTAGGCACACTGATCAACTGATTAAATTCTATTTGTCATCCAGAGTGATCCTGGAGGCCTTCAGAGCCTGGAGGAAACCTCTCTGTGACTCTACTCACATCTTTACACACGGAAAATCCAATTAGGCTGAGTATCTACAGCAGCTTCCAGAAGTAAACTGATTGCAGAAGGGCAGCCTGCTGCCTGAGGACTGCAGGGGACGAGGAAGGGGTGGGCCACCTGGAAGGGACCTCTGCCTTCTCAGCACCTAGAGTTGGTTTCCAGATGATCACATAGTTTAACCCTTTTCTTTTATAGACAAGGAAATTGAGGCCCAGAAAGGTTAACAGTCTTGCCCAAGACCTAAGATTAGAAGGCAGAGTTGGGGTTGAGAATTGCTTATGTGAGACTCAGACCCAAAGCAGACGACCATATTTTCAAATTCAGTGAAAACTGGAAAACTCGTATGGGCCTACCCAGCCTGGAAAATCCCCATGTATTACCAATACATAGTAAACGAATCAAAGATTGAAAAGTTTACTTGAAAACCAATCAGAAGTCCTCTCCCACATGCAAAAATCCCACCCTAATAGAACACTCATCACCCGTCAGACTGTCTTAACACTTCTTCCTTTTTCTTTCTTTGCAAACCCCTTTGAGCCTGTGCCAGAAGTGACGGTGTCTGCCACCCTCTCTGCAGTCAGTCCTGACCAGTTCTCTGGGGTTTACACCTGTCCTCTGGCCACTCGTCTGCTGCACTTCCTGCATCTGCTTGTTTCACCTTGGCCCCAGCTTTACCTGAGGGGTGCTTGGCCTGTGCCTTGAGTTCCAGGGCCTATGTTTACTTCAAAAATATTAATGTCAATTCCTTCAACTTGTTCCAAAGACAACAGAGCCTCTCACAAGCAGGCAAGCCCTGCCACTTGTTACGTAGTTGAGGCTGACGAGCCTGCAGGTCCCAGCCAACTTTATCACCTCCCTCTTCTGAGGGGTGGAAGTCCCCAACATCTCAGGGTCCCCTGAGAGTATGGGGATTCCCACATCGGCAAGTACCTGCTTCAGAGAAGCCCATGAGAAACTGGCCCAGAGCAAGCGGGTCCACCCTCCCATTGTGGGAAAGTGAAGGGCAGAAGGAGTCTGGCTGGAGGTCACTCCTGCCACTGATCTTCCTCACTCGGGTCCAGCCTGTCAGAGGATAAAGCACAGTGGTGGGTGGGGGTATCTGGCTCTCCCCCACCCTCCTTCTCAGGGGTTCAGTAGTCCCTGGGAACAAGATTCAGCTCAGGAATTTCTGGGATGCTGGTCAGTTCTGGCCCTAAGGACACTGGGAGTGACAGCGGGCTGCTAAGGATGTGACAGTGACTGGGCTGTTCCCTTCACATGACTACCAGGGCAAGCCCTGGCCAAATCCCAGCACCTGCTGAAAGTTGAAGCTGACCACTGGAGTGATTAGATTCATGACATGTGGTGGAGGCCTGGGGAGTGGAGCTACTGGGAAAGGACACAGCTAAGGAATCTCCTCCCTCCCAGCATTGCTTGACCCTTTCACAAAGACAGTGGTAGGTAGAGGAAGAAGGAGAATTGGCCTACTCCTTCCTTTTCGCTGTATATGGTCATAGAAATTGTCAGAACTTTATATCTAGATTCAAGTTCTATCTCTAGCACAATTAGCTCTAAAACTTTGCGAACGTTACTTAACCTCCTAGGTCCTCTTTGTTCATAAAACGAGAACGTAATACATACCTTGGTTGGCTGTGAAAGTTATATGAGTCAGTGTTGTGGGGAAGTTGAAGGCATGCAGTAGATGCACAAGGAAAATTAAATTCCGTTCCCCAGTTCCTGGCTTGCAAGTTGGGGGTTAAACTCAGTTAAGCTCAGAGAAGACATGACATGACGGGGGATCAAGGGAGATGTGGGAAGCTCACGGGCTGTGGTTCCCACTGATCCACATTAGACTCCAAATGACAACACCCTCACAATCCCATGAAATTGAGCAGAATTTCTCTTCTTTCTTGTGATGTTTCCAGAAATGAAGAGAGAGGGAAGGAAGACACAGACTCTGATCTTTGGCTTCACTTTGGTTCCAAGACCTGGAGCTGATAGTGTATGGAGGGTTGCCTGTTTGTCCAGGCACTATGAATAAGACCAAGGTAATCCAGCCCAACTCTACGACACAGCTAAGCCAACAAGCAGCTGGATCTTGTGTCTCAGCACTCACAGAAATGTATAAATCATCTGATACCAACTGCTCCCCGGAAGCCTCTGTCTCCAGAATATAAATGTCCAACTACAGGACTGGCAAAGAAACCAAGCCCTGGGCAATGCCTACTATGGACCCTTATTTCTTGTGGTTTGCTAAGAAAAAAGTAGGCCCAAGGGAGAGGAGGGGGAAAACCAGGAGGGTCTAAAGTTCTTCTGACTGAAAGAAAAGACCACATCAGAGAGAAAGAAAGGAATCAGTTAAGTAATAAAAGGTTGTGAGTTGATTTATCATTCAACTAAACAAATTATCTTCCTACACAAACATTCTGAGGATTAAGTGAACAATATAATACTTTTCTGAGCTCTTTTTGATCAAATGCTTTGCTGTTAAAGGTTATATTCCTAGGGAGTTGATACTGAAGCTTCTTGTTCCTTGTCAGTAAACACAAGGAGAGGCCAACCCTCTGTAAATTTAAATTACATAAAACCTTTCCCCAAACTGTCTGGTCTCCTAACAGCCCCTTTTCACTGAACTCTGTGGTTATGGAATGTAAGTATCTTTATCACAGCAGCACAGACTTTTGAAAATTTGACATAATAGAATTTCTTCCTCACAAGGCATATCAAACACCATTGCAAACTAGTGGGATTTTTAATCAAGACTAAAGCAGAGGTCTTTTATTTGTTTGTTTGTGCTTAGATTATTTCCACATGACCAATAAAATGTTCTCTCTGACCATCATCCCTGCTGACTAGAAGTACCAGGAACCTTGTCTCACCCTCACCTCCAGAGGTAAGGGTATGAACGGACTGTGAAAAAACACAGCAGAACACTGGGGTCAGCAGAGAGAAAGCGAAAGAACCCCATGGGCAGATAATCTAAAAGCAGCAGAGAATCAACGGGAAACTAACACAAGTGCCTGAAGATGGAGACAGCAATTTTTAGTGATTTTGGCTTGTCTCTGTTCTATGAAGCTCCAACTCAGTGGCAACCTAGTGTGAAAATTTATGAAATACTTTTGGATTTATCTCTGTAATTCCAGGTCTGGCACAATATAGGTTTCTTGAATGAATAAATGGATGAACATGTCAATCAATGAATGAACAGTAATATTAAGGAGGGGAAGAAAACCATTACAGGTCAATGAATGGGTTCCTAGAAGATTCCCCTGTCTCCCATTGTCTTCCGACTCAGGGAGACAACAGCTGGAGCAGAGTGCCTAGACTTCGGGGGCTTAGGAGGCCACACATCTTAGAGAGCATTTCACCATCAACTGCAATTCCTTTGGCAGTTTGAATTATAATATTTACTTCCATGATACAGTCTTCAGCTGTTGTAACTGCTAGTGACCCTTCTCTGAATCCCTACTTCGTATGTTAGACATTTTTTATATGGAGAATTAATACAGCCTTGACTGCTATGCTTCTTTTTTACTTCCATCTCTAATAATAAGATCCTCAAGGGTCGAGACTGTCATACTCTTGTTTTTTGTGTTTACTTCACTGCATATCCTAGAGCTGAGTACATATGGAAGAATGAATCAATTAATGAAATTTATGAACACATGCTGAGGTTTAAAGAGAATATCAACTGCTTGGTTTGATGACAAAAAGCAACATCACTCTGTGTCTAGCACGTAGCCCAGAGGTGCGGGCCCCATCCTCTCGTGTGAGGAGCCCACGGTGATGCATAGGCACCTGCACCCCGTGCCTAAACCCTGCAGCTGGCACGGGCCCTGTCTGCTCTTCATTCACCGTTCTCACGAGTTGCAATAAGTTCAGCCCTCCATGTCACACTGTGTTTTCCATCCTGGGGAGTGTTTCACAGCTATCCCAAGCCCCACGCTGACGAATCACGGCCGAAAACACACTCTGATGCCAGCACAGACCACGGAGCAAATGTCAGACAAGATCAGCCTCGGAAAAGTGAGTCCTGAATTGCGATGGAAGTGGGCTTCCTCTCACAAGGACTTTGTGTGGAGATGCGCAGGTGGGCTGTTGGAAAAGACCCATGGAATTCCCTTCCTCTGGGTGCCTTTTCTGTCCCAACCTCTGGGGATTCCTCAAGAATCGGGGGGATTTCAGCACGGAGTGTGGGACTCTGTCTGCCCCAAGATCAGAGGATTCACCTTGCCTTTTGGAAAGAACTGCCCAGTGTATCAGGTTTTTATGAGTCAGTTTTAGAGTTGGGAATGCGGACAGATTTGTAAGAAAGTCCACAGAGCATATCTCTCCACAGCGGAGAAGGCTCTCGAGCCCCAGAAGGCAATATCACGGTGGCCTAGGTGGATGTCACGGGGTGAGAATCAACCCTCAGTTGCCACGAGGAATCTGAGGAGATCCAGGATTACGGTTTTTATGTAACTGTCTTACCTCTGTTTCACAAGGGCCAAAACTTCAGCCCCGTTATAAAATCAACAGATGCAGAAAAGAGACAAGTGGCCACTAGATGGCAGCAGATGGTAAGAAACGTGAGTTGCAGGCGGGCTGGGCAAGAGTTAGGCTGGAAGCCCCTCCATTTTGCTTTACATCTTTAATGAGATATGTGAAGAAAATTAGTCCCTTACATGCCAGACGCAGATGCCACAGCATATGGAGAGATGCCGCACAGCAATATTTCTCTGGTTATTAAACAGGAGGCACCTAACCAGTCATTCACTGCATCATCATGCAGAGTTATCCTTTAGGTCTCCGGATACTGTTGTTGACAAGGTAATAACAGAAGAAAGCAGTTGAGAAGACTGATGTCGGGACGTGGGCCTCTGGGCTCGTGGGACTTCACCATGCCAGGGGATGGGGCACATTGCCAGAAAATGAGGAGCAGCCCACTGGGGCCACTTTTCCGTGGCCAGGGGGACACTGTGGCTTCTGCTGCCGGGCTTAGTCCCAGCAGGCGTCTGCTGCTCTCTGGTCCCCCTGGCAGCCCTCGGGGGCTCATTTATTCAGAAGCCCCATTACCGCGAGACAATTCTGCGGTCTGACCTTTCACCACAAATCCCAAATGGGAAAGGGAGCTCTGGGAATTTTAAAGAGCAAACCACACTTGCTTCTCCAGCAAAATTGAAAAGATACAGCATAACTAGAGTGCATTCAGGTGCACATAGATAGGGAAACACGGTTTCCATGCTGCCCCAAACAAAAGGAGGGAGTCCAGTCCTGCCGACTGCAGGAAACAGCCTCACTCGGAAGACACACTTTTTCTTGGGAGAGTGTTCCCAGGTCCAGAGCAGGCAGGGATTGCGCCCACTTCCCCACTTCTCACACTTTTCTCCAACCCCACCACTCAGTCTGACTATTCCTTTATTTAATTCTTCCACACTCCCAAACCCAGGGGCTTCATAAGGCCTTCAGGGTAGCTGAGGAACAGAGAACAGATTATTCAGTCCAGGCAACTAGTCCTTGTCTCAGGCCCAACAAGAAACTGTTATCTTATTAACCTGAAAGCCCAGAACTCTCAGGACTTCTCAGAGTCACTCATGAAGCCCCTTAACAGTCCTGAAATGAAGATAAATAATACAGCCATTTTTCGTACAGAGAAACTGAGGTATAAAACTGAGATCAGCTGCAGCTCTCCTGGTCCCCATTGCTTTCCCACAGATTCAACCCTCTGAAGCATCCTCCAGTGAAAATGTAGTAGCAAGATTCACCCTACCAGGATTTCTCTCCCCCTCTTAGAAAATTACTTCCTGCGCTAGAAATCCTCACTTGTCTGTGTGACTTTAGACAACTTGCTTAACCTCTCTGTGCCTCACTTATCATCTGTAATTTGAGGGACTAGAACCAGATGATGACTAAGGCCCATTCCAGCTCACAGTCTTGTGGCTAATTTCCCAGTCCTCTGCCAGCCCTCAAAGAGAGTTGTATGGGACACTTTTTCCAGCAACAGCCAAACTCAACAGGAGCAAGCAGAATTTCCTTCTCCAATTGAGAAGCAATGGGGTGGTGGTTGGAGTCTTGTTGATGTCCTTTGTCCTCGGAGTGAGGCAAACAGTGAGGCTTCAGATGTTATTGGCACTAACAGCAGGGCCTGGAGGTGGCCACACTCTTGTGGAAGGACCATGCAGAGCTGTCCCTGTGGGCAGTGTAGGTGCATAGCCAAGACTGAGGGATGTTTTAATAACTACTTCTCAATAAGAAGTCCTATTTTATTCTGCACAGGGGTGTGGACCCAATCCAGGTCTCCCAGGAGGAATCTACTCTCACCCATAATAGGGGATTGGTTCAGCTCAGCTGCGCTCACAAAGGGCTATACAGCATGCAGCAGTACAGGCAGCTCCCCGCAGCTCCATGTGAAAATGACTCACAGCAGTTATGAACATCAAACCTCCTTTGATGTGTTCCCAGACATGAAGAACAGCCACGGGAGGAGGAGACGGACTCTGGTTGCTAGCTCTGTGGGGTGGCGCACAGAGGGCCTGGACACATCTGGTACCATCCTGAAGCTCCAGGAGAAATTCAGGCTGGGTAATTACCTAGGACTTCCTAGGATAACAGAGCTTCTTTCATCTATCTCTCTCCCTCCCTCTCACTGTCTTTCTGTCTCCAGCTACAAGGGAATTAGATTCTCCAAGGAATTACAACCTGTTTCTGTACCTTCACCTTTCCCGAGGAGATAACAATTCACATCCCTGAATAAAAGTTGTTTTATTGAGCACAAAATGAATGCACCCCCCTCGCTCAGCATCTGTGCCAATTGCCTTAAAGCTATAGACCTGGCCTCCATCAGCCAAGTGAAAGGATTTTCCTCTGTCATGGCCATTTCCAGACTCTCAGCCTTTTGAGTAGCCACATGGTACCTTGTCCTCCTAATAGGCTCTCAATGATGATTGAATACAAAGGCTCTAATTCTCTGTTGCATTGGCAGCTCCCAAGACTGGGTCGATCACAATCGTCCACAGCAGAAGACAGCGGTGCTGACGGTCAAATGAGCATCAGGGCACACAGCAGAAGGGGAGGGTCAGCCACTGTCCCTTCATGCCCATTTCAACAGAAAGCTTATTTATATGCAAGAGGTGTTCCCCTTCCAGACAGGGTTCAAGAGCACATTGGTCCCTGGAAACTTGAGCAAAGTCTTCACGGTTATAGAAGGGAGTGGCAAAGGACATGTAGGAGAGAATCAGTTCCACCCCATGCCTGCACATTTCATTTTCTGAAATGAAAAGCTCTCATACACTCACAGAGATCTGCACATACCCACACATGGAAATAGCATAAACAGCTACTCTTTACTGAGCAGTGACCACGTGTCAGGCACAATGCCTCGGGCTTCACATGCATCATCTCTAATCCTCATCGACGTTCTGGGTGTGGGAGTGAAGGCATCCCTGTTTTATGGATGAGGAACCTAAGGTCAGAAAGGCTAAGAAACTTTCTTAAGATTGAACAACTATGGTAGAAGAGCTACAATTCTAGATGGTTGGATTCCAAAGCATCATCTCTTAACCACTGTACTATGGGGCAATATGCTTATAAGCAAGTGCTTACTCTGTTGGAGGCACTGGGGTTATGAGATAGTGCAGGAAAGACATAGTTATTCACTTCGCAAAGCTTCATTTTTACCGCACACTCATGCACACAGTGCTACACACACACATGCAGAGTTACTATAACTGTGGTGTCTTCCAAGAGCCCTGTCACTAAGGTATCCTCAGTGTCGTACTCTCAGTCCTCCTGCACTTGAACCACAGTTTGAATTGTGCATAGGGTAAAGACTGAGGTCTTCTACAGAAAGGCCTAAGCTGCTTGAACTTTACAGACAATTATGTGAGCAATTCAACCTTTTATACATTATGCTGTAGTTACCCAGCTCCTGAACTAGTCATCAGGTATTTTATTTGTTTTTTAACGTGATCAGGAAGTTTCTCTGACTCATTTCTCTATCTTTGCAGAGGAACAAGGTAGGAGAGCAACAGGGGCAGGAACAGAGAGGATTTCAAGCTTGATGAAGGTTCAGTAAGTCAAGTCATAGGTCAACTAGAAGAAATAAAGCAGGGGAAGATTTGGGGTGGGGCTGAAGCTCCATTGTTTCCATGACACCATAAGATAAGTGGTGATCTAGGTGATCTAGGTGTGCAAAGGTGAAACAAAACGAAAGACGCAAACATTGTACTAGTTTCAGGTTTTGCCAAGAGCAGATTGGCTGCCAAGGCTACTTCAGCCTTGACTCATATAGATCCATGATCTGGGAGGCAAGACAGCGTCCTGCTGTGCTGGACATCTCAGTGACATTGACCCAACTGGGGGAACTCCCTGAGGTTAAGAAAACCTCCCTCCAAGGCTGAGTTAATGAACTACCTAGATGTAAGACAGGAGACTGAAAACATTTAAGTCCCAGGAAAAATGCAGACTTACCTTCTTATGACCTAGATCTCTTTGCAAATCTAATGAAAAAGGTTTGTTATGCACAAATGTTTCCCTCCAATTTTATTTCAGGAGATTTGTGCTCTTTCCTGGACTGCCCCTGAACCTGGAGGTAATAATTCTAGATCAAAGTCTCCCTAGAACCTTGAAAAGGGTGGACTGAGAAGACTGGATATACAGCTCTAGGCAACCAGTCCTCCACTGCCACCACCATGCTTTCTAATCTCCAGGGGAGCCTGGTCATCTTGCTGGACAATTGCTGTTTCTCCTGACAAAATCCAAGTTAGGAAACTGACAGGGTCTTTGTTTCTATTTCTCTCTATGCCTATCTCTCAAGGTGCCCTGTCATTAATGAATCTTAATCCTCACTTTTATTTCTCAACTCTGGCTCCCAATTTCTGTTTTCCCACCCCTCATCTGGGGGAGCCACCCGGAACCCCCTCATTAATCCACAGACAGCCATCTCAGGACTTCATGCTAAGAATTCATTGTTTCCCACTTTCCTGCATTTGAACACTGGAGGGCAATGCTGGACCAGCCAAAGCACTCTAGGTGCTCCGCTCCATCTTTGTCTCAACCTTGCCTGTCATTTCAGGAAGCAGCCTCTGGTTGGAAGCCAAAACCAAGGACCAGTGGAGCGCCCATAGGCTAGCAGAACAGCTAGGTCTATTACAGCATCTCCCCCACACGGGATCATAGGAATAAAAGGTAGCTCACGGAAAAGCACATCTGGTTTCATGGGTGACACAATCCCCTGGGAAAGAAACTGAGCGGGGTGCTTGCCTAACTGTGTCATTAACCAGAAACAATCTGTGTCTCTGACTAGGGGATGCAGATTCCTACCTGTCTTCACTCACTCAGATGTAAGCCCCTGGAGGGTAATGTCTTAGTAAGGTCTGCATTCCTGTAGCAAGCACAGTGTTTGGCAACAAATACTTGCTGGATGAATAAATGGATGAATGCGTGTATGGATACATATGTATAAAATGGAACTGGCCATTTTCAGATTTGTTGTTGTTTTCTAGCTCTTATGACACCCAAAGTTTAAATCATTAATCAGTTGCTGAGCATTCTTAGTCTTAAAGACAACTAAGGATGGTCAGGTGGTTAATTAAATCAGTGGTTGTCATTGTACAAATGTTATTTCAAACACCACTTCAAGAGTTTCAGGTCTCTTATTTTTAGGAAGTCCTTCATTGTGTCATCCATGTGTCCTCAGACCTCACCAGCCTGTGGATTACAAAATACAGACACTATTTCATTAATATTCAATTTACAAGAACCTGCGGGCTCATCATGTGGAATATTGAGTATCCGTGATGTCCCCAAGTGATTTGTGGGCATTTCATGTGCCACAGTGGGTCCCCACGGGGCTTGACAGTTCCATGGAGCCAGAGCTCTTCTTCAGGCCATCTTTCATCATCTTGTGAGACTTTTCTCCAGGCTGCTCTCCCCTCTACCTTCACCACAATGGATCCCATGTCAGGTGGACATGGTCTACTCTCTTAATCATTCAAAGCACTGCTAAATGTTTGAGGAAGAAAGAAGAGCACATTTTGAGACCCAAAACCCAACTTGAGACTCTTTCTACCTCCAGGCAGGCTTACGCATAGCAAAGACCAGCTCAAGGCGCCCGGTAGAAGTCTGCAGGCATCTCCATATCTCCAAGTGCAGAGAGCAGAGGAGATTTTTTCTTCTCAGTCCAAGACTAGTTCTTTTCCTGCCCTGGGATGATTGACAGTGAGAAAAAACATTTCCTCCAGGGAAGCGCTCTACCTGCCCCTCCACCTTCTCAGACGGGGCCCGACCTTCATGACCCCGACAAAGCAAACCTGGTGCTCAACTGTCTTATTAGATCTTCTAACACTATGTGTGTGACATCAACAGCCCTAACTAAATTCACACTTGGGAAAAATATGCCCCTCATTCTAACTAAACAGACACCATTTAATTTTCCTAACAGAACACTTACTATTTTGATGCACGACACCTGTTTTCAGTTTTATGATAACTTCATAATCTCCAATACAATGAGTGAGTGTTTATTTGAAATGAGAATAACCTCATTCTCAACTAGTTTTCTCAACAGAAGAAGAGTGCTCAAAGTTCATCTAGGGTCTTTACCTACAGAAATTCAATGCTGTCAGCAATCTTCAAGGAGCAGCTCTGCCAAAGGAAAAAGAAAGAAAGAAAAAAGGAAATCCTGCTTTTATAAGTTATCCCTATTATTAAAATTTCTAACAAATCTCTCCCTACAGTTCAAACCTAGGTCCCCAGAGTATATGGGCCTCATCCTTCTCATAAAAATGCTGTTAAAAAAAAAAGGTGTCCTTTGACACCTTTCCTGAGTGCAAACAGAGATTGAAAAAAATCATTCTAAAATAACATTTTTCTGTCACTGCCCAATGGGAGGTGAGTTGATCATAGGTGAAGCATGTCCTATTAGTATGTCTTGCTCAGGATGCCTTTGGTGTGAGTAAGGGATGGGTTTCTAGGGCAAAATCTCTGTTCTATACCCGCAAAAAACAATGTACAGAAATTTCCCTAAGAGAGGAGATTGGCAGTCAATACATAAGACTCCATAGGCAGGAAGTGTCCAGGGTCAGCTCCCTGCATTCAAATACAGACCTGCATCAGGGCTGTGATTTCCAGGTCCAAGGCTCGGTGAGTGGATAATACCTAAGGCCTGATGCCAGGCCTGATGTCCAGGTTTAACACTGATGGCAGGCCACAGACCCTCCTGTCTTGGGATTCCAAAAAGCCCAGAATCTTTCCCAGTTCCTACTGACACTAACTTTTGCCCGGGCAAGAAGTGTCTGAGATTGCTTCCCTTGAGACCATAGTCCTTTCTTATAATTCCAAAACTAAGCAGCCCTGTTTATGCTGCTGTGGCAGAGCATGGAATCTTGGTTAGTCCTTCCAAACTGCACCCATTGGGTTATCCCTGGGGAAATGATCACATTACGCTACTTTGTTGAACACTGAGGACTCCAATAAGGACTGTGAATCCCAACTATTTCTGGTGTGGGAGCCAGGGCTTTCAGGTCATTCACCAGAAATTATCCAACCAGAAAACTTTCTTTCAAGTTCTGTTCAAAGTCCAGCAGTTTGCCTACAGGATTCAGATGAGACTTCTAAGAATCATCTGTGTCTTGGATAGAGCACCCTGGCAGCCTCTTGAAAATCAATTCCCTAAGAAACCTATCTTTTAGAAATGGACCTTCACAAAGCCAGTGAGAGAATGGGAGGAGTATGTGGTTTCCAATGGGAGACATATATAGACTTTTATGTCATGAATTTCTGAAGTCAGACCGTGACAAATGTTGGTCAGAGTACAATGCACAGTTGCCCAAAGGAGGGGAAATTAGCTTGGTTCAGGAGGACTAGGAAATCCTCCCCATGGAAGTTTTAGTTAAAGTGACTTAAAGGATGAATGATTTTGACAAATGAGGGATTGGAGAAGGACATGGCGGGCAGAGGGAGTACAGCTTGAGCAATGTCCAGGAGGGATATAGAACTGTGCTTGGGGAACAGTGATCACTTGGTGAGAGTTGAGTCTGCCTGAGTTGGGGCAGTGGAGTGGTGGGAGTGGTGGGCTGTGGCTTGACTGAGAAAGCTTTTGTGAATCACATTAAGGGACTAGATTCTGTTATATGGGAAATGGGCAGAAATCACAGGCATATAAGAGGAAATGTGCTTCAAAGAGTGCTTGGAAAGATTACTATGGGTGGGAAGACTGGTTCCAAGACCGGAAACAATGAGATCAGATGTAAAGTTAATATGAAACTGAGGTAGACATTGAGAAGGATCAGAAGGACTTGGAAAGAGAAAACAGATTTAAGAAACACCTCAAAAATAGATAAATGATATGTGGGAATGAAAGAAAAGGGAGAGATTGTCTCTTCCCGACATCCTGGCTATGTACTGGAAGATTCCCTAGTTCCCAAGCCCCAAGGTCTTACCATTAGAAATCAGTCCTTACTCATTTGTCCATTAAGGCTTAAGGTGTCAATCCTTCCAGGAATGCTTTTATGTTTCTATGGTCCAAAGGCTTAATCTCCAGTGGCAGAATGCCAGGTACCAATAGAGGAGATTTGGGGGCAGTGGTCTTCTCGGGACCCTCAAAAATCATTACATAGTTGCCCACTCCTCTTATTTATAAAGCTGTTCGTGTGAATAAGCACCCAACTACTTTGTCTGTGCCCATTTGATCACTGATTGAATAAGAAATAAAAGCCAAACATCTATATTCTTTTTCTTCTCTGAATAATCTTTTCCCCTGTCTTCAGATTTGGAACAAGGAAACCCAGATCCAGGGAAAATATTCTAAATCCTTGACCTCCCTATCCAGTTGGCACCCCAGCCCAGTAAAATGGCTTCAAGTACAACATTCCCCCAACAGCAAAGACAGCCTTCCTGGGAGTCTTGGGTAGGCCTGTCCAGGGCCACCGTGCAGCACACATACATCTTCCCAACCAGCTCCACTGTCACAAACACCATCCACACTGCCATGGGCAAGCCTCTGGCCACCAATGCCACCCCACCTGCTCTGGTGTGGGCACACCTACAGCCATGCCACCAACACTCCTCGTGCACATGTCTATGGTGTATCTGTGCAGTCACAGTTGTCACCAGCTCAATTCTGTGTAACCCTAAGTCCAGGCATCTTGGGGTGAATGTCTCCTTATTCCTTTGTCCATTGTCCTGCTCTCCCTTTAAAATTGTTCATGAGTGTATTTTGCAGAAAGATATGTGATCTTGAAAGACAGAGAAGGAAAGAGATGAAGTAGGAGAGTGGCAGGGGTGGGGGTACAGATTTTGAGAAAGGCAAGAAAAAAGAAAGGATCCTTGACCTCCATCAGTCCCAACTCCCAAAATAAGACTGGCCCTAAAGATAGCTTATTATTTATCCCAAATTAAAATTTTATGGCTCTGCAATCATTGTGTACACAGTGAAAAGAAAACCATCACACAAAAGATGCAGTTATCCTCACAGTGGGAACAATAGCAGCCAAGCTGATTCTGCTCCAAGAATAGAATAACAGTGCTAAGTCAGGAACTCCAAAACTTTGTCAACAAATAGAATAATTTCTTGGTGGGAAAATGGCTATGAAAGAAGGTGGGCAGGAAAGCAACCTTCTGACTCTTGAACTTGGCATGGGTTGCCAGGGAAAATTCCAGCCTTGGTCCCTCCATAGTGAGCTCACAACCAGCTCTGCTGACTGGGGAAAAGTCCTGCCTGAATATGCACAGACTCCAGAAGGCCCTCACCTTACCCTTGCCCAGAATCATATACAGAATCTAACAGGCTGTACCTGCTTCTCTTGCCTAAAGTTATGCATCATTACCAGATTTCCAGCTCCATGATGGCAGAAATTTCAGCTGATTTTTTTTTCCATTGTATCCTCAGCATTCAGCAGAAGGTTTGTATATACTTGGCACTCAATAAACACTTGCTGAATGAACGGTTGATTGATTAATCAATTAATTGATTAATTTAAAATGAGCAAAATACTTTCTCCCTGTCTGGCTTCTGAAGAGTGAGTCTGAGTACTAGAAACTGTCAGATAGGCAATAGAAGCCACAGTCCACTTGGAAAAATGACTGTTTCTACCTTTGCTCATCCTTCTGGGCATCTTAGATTCCTGAAATTCAGGAACAAGGACCCAAGAGATCATGACCCACCAAGTGTCTTTCAACAAAAGACTATTTTCCTGGCTGTTTCCTTTCAGAGAATAAGCCTCCTGGGGCTGATAAGCGAATGGCACCATATGCTGAAAACACAGGCCCTGAGTGGCAGAGGGCACCAGAGCCTCCTCTGAGGAGCCTGTTGGATTGCAGCCTTTCAACAAATCTGAGTGTGTCTTTTGATAGCATCAGCATCAACCACCCCCAAGGACCTCTTTCTTTTATTGCTTCAGCAATGAAGCAGCCACATGGCTGTTGTAGATAAGGTGGCCCAAGTGCATTGTGCATGCAATGTAGGCTGCTGGTGCACAGCACTGAGAATCGCAGACACGCCGTGTACCAGCTTCTCTACACTGCGTTGCCCTTCCTCTGTAAGTGGCCCCCAGGTAAACGGGTGTGATTCCCCACCACTTCTCATTTCTCATTTTCTATCATTTTTTTCTTTGCCAGATGGCTCCTGCAAGACTGAAATCACACAGCCTTCCAACATGGCCACAATGATTGGGACAGATGTCAAGTTCCAACGCTAATATAACATTCCTGATGGGAATTATGATTCTTTGTGCTGGCATCTGCAAAGAGCTAACCAAAGGTTTACCTATATCTGCTATCCTTTCAAGGCACCCTGGAATCAGAGCACTGCTAGTTGTCTGTGGACAGAAAATTGTTCTCCAGAACCCGAATCCTTAAGCATGTGCAGCCAAGAGACTGAGCCATTTACTGCTGTGCACTGTGGGCACCATGATGCATGCTGGATATCACACTGAACAAACACTGTAAGCCTCAAGCAGCCTCAACACAGAAAATTCAAAAGATCCACCAACAACACACAGGGTGTTTAGTGTCATCTTAAACTTGCATCTTGAATGCATCATCGATTCATTCATTCCAAACTAAAAGTCCCTTAAGGCTTTCAAATTGATGTACTGAGTATTGTGAAGGATACCAACATATATAACAAACACTTCTCAAATAATAAAATGTATTCAGCAGGTACAATCTCCTCACTTTTATGTTGCTAAACCATGAGAAATTAAAATTAAATCCTGTATAATTACTTGAATCTTCCAGCTGACAAATAAAAGTAGTCTTTGATACACAGAAGGACAAATGAATTGCACACACATACAAAATTAAGGCCAGCAATTAACATCTTAATGACATACCCTTAACTTACCAACATTTCTAAAAGCCTGAAAAAATATTAAATATCTATGTATACATGATATGTACAGTAAATTTATAGATAGATGATAGATGAATGGATACATAGACAGGCAAGCTGTAAGAAGCATCATAAAAGGACTGAGCTCAAGTTCAGACTTTAAAGCCAGACTTCTTGAGTTTTGAATTCCAGACCTTCCATTTACTGACTCAATAGCTATGTGACCTTGGGCAATTTACTTTTTGCCTTGCTTTCCTCATCTATAAAATAATGATTACAATAACACCTACCTCAGGGGATTGTTGCAGGAATTAAGTGACCTATAGCACATGTTACTGTATTCAGAGCAAAGCTTGGAACATGAAAAGCACTCAGTGAGTATTAACTACTTTTGCTTTTGAGTGTGATAATATCCTGAGGATGATTACTAAATTTCCCCTGTGTTGGGCTGGGTTGAGCCTTTAGGAAGTTGTTGATAAGAAATGTCAGTCTCTTGAACAATTAAACATTATTTTCTACATTAGTATCCTATCTAGTAAGAAGTAAATATCAATGGAAATTCAGAGAAATACAATTCAAAAGGCCTTCAGGACCTTTTTCCTGGATGGCAATAAATTATTGAGGGCTTCCTATGTAGAAAAAAAAAAAACAGAGGAAAGTAATTTCTGCTTGACCATCATAAAATAAGCAAATATAGGCTTTGCGAGATATTAAAATACAACAGTAACCCCACTCATTAAATGAATAGAATAGTGGAATAATGTATAAATTTAAAGCCAAAAGTAAAATTAAAGTTGTTTATGCACATATTTTTGAAGTAAAATATTTGTTCTATCAACATAAAAGGCATAGTAGATGACCTGAAAAAGTTTCCACCTCCAAGAAGATAACAAATCAAGTCAAAGTCACAGTATGCCTGACGTTGTGTCATCCTCAAAAACTGGGAAGTCAGGATCAGTCCAAGACTCCAGAAGTGAGGAGGCTCTAAAAGACACCTCCACTTCAGCCTCTGCTTATTCAAGGCCCCAGCCATGGAAACTCGATGGTGTGAACTGCTGAGCTGAGAACTGGGGGTAAGTGAGGACTGTCTTCTCTGTTTTCTTTTCTGAAGACGCAGGGTCTCCTGCTAATTCGGATTCTGTGTTTTATTCATTAGTGGGAACACAAATCCCCTGCTATCTTGCTAGCTTTCTCATTTGCAGCCAACATATGGGTTTATCAGCACGGTTAGCCCCCCAAGAACAGCCCTTCAGGGACATGGGATAACACAAAATGGGAAATTCTTCTTGGAATAAAGAGTTGGGGAAGGATCCTTTGTAAAATTTGGTTTTGGGGTCAGATTTCAAAGTCTTAACCCTCATGGGACAGGCAGAGACTCGGGGATATTTGGTGAGTGACTGAGTCCCTATTCCTCCTGAGCTTGCCCTTCCCCAGGGCACCTCAGAGCCAGAACTGCTGAATGTTAACATGGGGCACTCAGGTTTCCTACAGGACACTTACAACTCTGGTAACCCTGCTGTATACTCTGCCAGTAAGGAACTACTTAGTAATTCCTCCGAGAGCCAACATTCAAAGACTAATGCCACGTCACATGCAATAGGGAAATGCAGCTCTATCTGTCATTCACATCTCTGATTCTGTCATTCATTACTCCATGCTAAAAGTCCCAGTGGGAGAAATTGTCTTTCTTCTTTTTCAAAACCAGCTTCTACTGAAGGTAAAGAAAAGTTTAGGGGTAGAAGAACAAAGTCATTACAGAACCATGCATTGATTGGTGAGCACTGCCCAGGGGCAGGTTTTGTGGTAATGATCCATAAGAAGCAAAGCAAAAATTATGGTGGAGTCGATGGAATATTTGAGAGTCTCTGCCCCAACCATCTCATAATCGAACTGGGAGCCCTCCAATCTCCCCATGCAAGCCTTGGAGGACAGTCATAGAAGAAAAAGTGAGCAAGAAGGTTTAACTAGCTAACAAGTGTTCATCAAGTATCCATAAATCTCAGGGTACAGAAGTGGCATTTTTGTATTCAATCATGTATATATTAGTGTTTGCTATGTGCTGTATCCCATGCCAAGATCCAAGCCTTCTTCCACTGTGTAACTCATACCGTAGCAGGGCTTACAGTCTAATAGAGGACCCAAATCAGATGCTTGTGGAAACAAGAGAAATACTTGGTTGTAATAATTATGGGGGTGTTCCAGGAGGAAAGTACAGATTGAAATTAGAATATTTCAATTTCAGGATGAGTTAGGTGATGGGAGCCAAGAAGACATGCTAAAGGAATTAAATCCTGAGCTGAGACTAGATATGAAAAAGTTTGTTTATTTACATCCCAAGTTCCCAAGTCAGTAACAGAAGCAGAATTACAACTCGAGAAAGGCCCCACTTGCTTCTATGCTGTTTTGCTCAGCAGCTGCTTCCTTTGGTGGCACACAGCTGGGAAAGTGAGTCACAGATGGACTATTGGCAGCCAAAATTTTTTTAGAGACAAATGACACTGTGATTTTTCCTGACACCCATTGAAATTCCTCACTAATTTCCAAAAATATCTTATGTTGTTTTAAAACATCCAGTGAGGCCCAGACATTTCAGTAGAACAAATCAGAGAAACAAAGTTAATTCCAGCCATCTGAGCATTCTGAGCCCAAATCAGCTAGACTGAGAAGAAGAATCGTTTACTTACCGAAGGCAGTCCCAGGACACCCAGCAGCTAAGGTCCTGACTCACAGCATTCTAACCAAGAGAAAACACAAACACAGCATCTTCTCTTTTCATTCACTTCTGTTCCTGTTCTTCAGTTGCTTGTCCAACCAGCTGGAGACACAGCAGAGAAACCATAAAGCAAAGAAAGCAATTAGGAACAGGAGAAACAGCTGATAAGCACTCTGCCTAGGTAGAGGTGAATCCTGGGCACCCATCAGGGAAAGACTTTGCCATTACTAAGGCTTTAGGTGAGGAGTTTGAGGGTTACGAATAAGAGATAAAGCAAGGAAAGGGCTTTTCTTTGCCAAATTTATCTTTTTTTCACCCATAAAACTCAAAGAGGATAGGGAAAGAATGAATGTATTCTCAAATCAAAGGAAAAATAGTTCTAAAACTTCCAATGAGTGAGAAAATCAGAAGTTCTGGCACTGACTCCCATTTATATTGAAGTAATACTATGGGTAAATATTTTATATCAAAGACCCCAGAGTGGCAGAGACCATCAGAGAATGGCATTAAACTGGGCACGCATAGTAGCCGATATGGGGTTAATTTGATTTGACCTTGGCATCTTTTCTCTTCTTAAAGTCCTCCCATCCTTTCTTTATCCTGTATAGACAAAGAAGACTGGGGTCTAACTTTTATGTGTCTTCCATCCTAAGCTGCCAGAGACAGTCCTTTGCCAAAGGGCACAGTAGATTGATACTGCCCATATGTCTCTGACACGGCTCCACTCAGCTCATTCATTTATCTACCCAAGTCCTACGGCAGCCTAACATGGCTCAACAGACTGCTGTTTCCCTCAGAGGAATGTTCTGTGCCAGCCTTGAAATAACAAGTTCTGTGTCTCTCCTGGTAACTATGGCTCAGGCAGGGGGCTATGACCAGGTCACTAACCCCACCATGGCAAAGAAGAAAAGACAAGGCAAAGAAGCCAATATCTGTGGAGGGCTTACAAATGAGTACCTGGCACAGGAATAAGCCCTTCACAAGTGTTCTCTCATTTCAACCTCACAGCATCCCTGCAAGGTAACTATAATTACCCCATTTGCAAATAAGGAAATCAAGACTCAGAGTTGTAATTTGTCCCGCTACTGGTAAGTCACAAAGCAAGATTCAAAACCATGGGCTAGTAGACCTGCAAAGTCAGTGCTCCATTTACATGTAGGTAATATGGGCACTGATACCACCTAGGCAGTGAGCCACAAGCTATTACAAGCAGGTTCTATCCAAGTGGGAGGCACCTTGCTCTAGGTACCTAGCAGGTTCTATCCAAGTGGGAGGTACCACCTGCTGCAGAGTGCCCCACTTCTCCCTGCACCTAAAACAGTGGATAAAAGACCTGGATTTCCCATGTTTTATCCTGAGTTGCTGGCAAATTCTTTCCTAATCTCAGTCTTCACTAGATAAGCAACCAACCCTCTTGGTTCCTTGAGAGTTGGGGCGTCTAGAAATCCTGCCTGGACTAGCAAATATCTGTGAGTTCCTAATATTGACCAGCTCTGCACTGGACATTAGGAATGCAAATATAAATAAGGTACTGTTTATGTTCTAAGTACTCTTAAAGTTCAATGCAGGAAACAAACAGATTATCAGAGAATAGAGGTGATAAGTGTCATGGCCCAACATGGCAGGGGGCCAGGGGAACGCCTCCCTCAGGTGGAGTTAAAGAAGGGAGAAGAAGGATGGTATGGCTTTTCCAGGAAGAAGGAGAAGCCAGTGTAAAAACTGAGCATCTGGAAGTCTATGACACATCTTTGAACCTGCAAGTATTTTATGTGGCTAAAGTGTTGAACACAACACTTTCCTACATCTAAAATGTGCACCACACCTGAGATGAGGCTGCCCGATCATTCCAACAGTAACATCTGATAAAAGAGGCCAGGAGTTGAAGTGGGGGCAAGGGGCTTATCTTTGCAGTTGGCTTAGAGGGGCCTTCTTTATCAGTTGAAGAGGGCAGGAAAGGCTGTTAGGATTTTTGTGGAGAGATGTTGGGGGTGGGGGGTGGGGTGCTGCACCTGTCTCTCACAGGCTCCTGAAGAAAGGTTGAAAATAACAGCTTTTAATACTGAATAGGCCCTCTCATTGTGGAGGCAGGCTGAGATAAACAGAACTTTTACTATCATGAGTGCTGTAGCTCATTGCAGTCTTTATTGTGAAAGTGTTCATGTGCATAAGTCAGATAAAGCAAGGATGGTTTTCCATTACCATCCTAATCAAAATTTCCAAAGCTTTTAGAGATAGCTTTAATTCTTACTCTGTGAAGAAGGATGAATAGAGTCATTTTCTGAAATGTTTCCACAACTATTTCAGGTATTGAGTGTTTTATATCTTCCCTTAGCTGCCGAAGAGTCCTGGGGATCCGTAGGGGTGAGCAGGAAGGGGAAATGCACAGGCTTCCTTCATGCCAGTTGCTGAGAGAGAGCTTAGAGACAAATACCTGTGGTAATGTGGAATTTCTGAGTTGAGCATGGGTCAACTAAATTAAAATAAAAATTTTTATTCCCAAGTCTCAAGTTGAAATGGGTAAGCCAAGAAGGTCTGAGACCGCAGGGAGAAAACTCCTGGAGGAATCCACTAAGGAGACAAGTAGGCAGAGGCGCTTAAAGATACAAACATTAAACACTCACCCAGGGAATGCCTTCATCCTGTTGGCTCTCTTTGTTCTGCTCAAATATCTGTCTGGCATCCTCTCTCCACCTAAGGTTAAAATTCGGGCATTAGGACATAACGTAAAAATTACAACTAAAAGTCAACCCTCCTGATATCTTCTATTCAACATTTCTTCCAGTGCACTATTATCTTCATCACATATTTTTTATAGGGTACTTACTGTTCGTGGTATTGGAATGGGTCATGGGAATAGCAAAGTTCTAAGGCAAGTTCTATTCAAAGTTCTATTCTCACCAATGTGTTTTCCATTTATTTTTAAAAGACAGGGCATTAGAAAGTACAATTAAAGATTACAAAGAATACAAAAATATAACGGCACATATGATAATGAGGGTTAGTGATTTCATGTGCAGTGCTCTAGGAGTTTATGAAAGGACCAATTGCTATAAGAAAATTTCTTAGGTTCGAGACTGCAGTGAGCTATCGTCACATCACTGCACTCTAGCCTGGGTGAAAGAGTGAGACCCTGACTCAAAAAAAAGAAGAGAAATGTTTTTTAAAACCTTTTTTGCTTTTGTAAAAAAAAATTTATTTGTATATACTTAGTGCAAGCGCAAATTTCTTACTTGCATATGTTGCGTAGAGGTGAAGCTTGGGCTTTTAGTGTACCCATCACCCAAATAGTAACCATTGTACCCAATAGGTAATTTTTCAACCCTCACTCCCCTCCCACCTCCCGACCTATTGGAGTTTTCAGTGTCTATTATTCTACTCTGCATGTCCATGTGTACACATCGTTTAGCCCCCACTTATAAGTGAGAACACACAGTATTTAACTTTCTATTTCTAGGAAATTTTACTTAGGATAATGACCTTCAGTTCCATCCATGTTGCTGCAAAATATATTATTTCATTCTTTTTCATAACTGTTTAGTATATATACCACATTAAGAAAATTGTCTTAGAATAGCTGAAGCTTAAAAGAGGCAGGAGTTGGATAAGCAGGAAGGAAAAGGAAGGGTATTTCAGGGTGGGTATACTAGTTATCTATTGTCACATACAAATCACTTCAGAACTTAGAGGCTCAGAACAACATTTATTATCTCAGTTTCCGTGGGTCAAAAAATCCAAGTGTGGCTTAGCTGCATCCTCTGGCTCAAGGTCTCTCATCAGGCTGCCATCAAAGTGTTACCTAGGGCTGTAGTCAGCTAAAGGCTCAACCGGAATAAGATACACTTCGAGTTCACTCATGTGGATGTTGACAGGCTGATATGGTTTGGGTGTGTGTTCCATCCAGATCTCATGTTTAAATGTAATTCCCAGTGTTGGAGGTGGGACCTAGTTGAAGGCACTGGTTCATGGGAGAAGATCCCTTATGAATGGTTTAGCTCCATCCCCTTGGTGATGAATGAGTTCTCGCTCTATTAGTTCATGAGCGAGCTGATCATTTAAAATGAGCCTGGTACCTCCTCCTCTCTCTCTCTTGCTCCCTCTCTCACCATGTGACATGTGCCCAGGCTCTCCTGCCCTGACTACAGAGAAATGGACATTAGATGTGGTCAAGGCATCTCTAGAGCAATGGTTCTCAACTCTATCCACATATTTGAATCACCTGGGGATATCCTTTGAAAATACTAGTGTCTGGGATACATCTCCAGAGATTTTGATTGATTTGGTGTGGGCTTGAAGCTCTGGCTTACCAGATGACTCAACCTCCTTCCCCTCCTCTTGCTCTTCCCTCCCCCTGGGGTTGAAAGCAACTGGCTTAAGACCTTGCTATTCCAAGTGTAGTCTAGACAAACACAATCAGCATCACCTGGAAGGTTTTGAGAATGCAGAATCTCGTGCACCATCCCAGATCCACTGAATCAGAATCTGCATTTTAAACAAGACTCCCCAGGTAAATTATATGCATATTAATGTTTGAGAAGCACTGGTCTAGGCATTCGTCATTATTGAAAACGTTCATGGAGGTAAAAAAAAAAATAAATCACTCTTTCCCAAATGTCACCCAAGAATCCATACTTGTAAAAAATCTCCTGAAGGGATACTGATGTGCCGCCAGGGCTCACTGATAGGCAGTCAGTCATCCCCAGTTCAGTTTACAGATTATTTGTGTTACTACCAATATAATAAATATTCTTATTGGGGTGATAGTGAGTCCTTGTATGCTTCTTAGAGGAAGGTATTACATAAATTCTAGGTTTTATCATTTCTCATTCATCCACAAGCAAATAAGGAAGTGGATTAATATTTACTGAGTCAATATACTTTTTACCACACCACGATGGATTATCCATGGAAACCCAGAATCTTGTGCCACATACCTTCAATTCAAGATCAAGCCAAAAAAAAAGATCCACAAATTATTGGTGTCTGATTAAGTCTGATTGGGAAGAAGAGGAACAAGAGACACAAGAATGTGTGCGTCCAGTGGTCCAATCCTGCAGGATGAATGAGGACATGAAGTTCTGGCCCGTGATGGATTGGGGTAATGTAGAACCAGAGGTTGGCCTGGGGTTAGCATGAAAAATAGCCTAGAGACAAGGAGGAGGAAATCCTGGGAGAAAATACCTGGACTGCCCAACAATCTGAGGGTCTGCGCACAATGAAAAAAGAAACCAGACAAAAATTAAAGTAAAAAACCTGGAGAAATTTAAATAATTCCTGTGCTTACTAGCAGGTAATTAAGGAAGCATTTTATGTAACATCTGAAGCCTCAGATTTAGGGGGAGACAGGGCCACTGAAGGCCCTAGCATAGTAAGGGCATGGACCAAGTTTCTCTGCAGAAATCCCGAAGCCAAATGAGCGATATGAACACCCACTATTATTTTTGTATTATTCATTTTCTTTTTTTCTTTCTTTCTTTTTTTTTTTTGAAACGGAGTCTCATTCTGTCACCCAGGCTGGAGTGCAGTGGCGTGTTCTCAGCCTACCATACCCTCCTCCTTCCAGGTTCAAGCAATTCTTCTGACTCAGCCTCCCGAATAGCTGGAATTACAGGCACCCACTACCACGCCTGGCTAATTTTTGTATTTTTAGTAGAGACGGGGTTTCGCCATGTTGGCCAGTCTGGTCTCGAACTCCTGACCTCAGGCGAATCGCCTGCCTCAGCCTCCCAAAGTGCTGGGATAACAGGCGTGAGCCACCGTGACCAGCCTGTATTGTTAATTTTCTTCCCCCTCCACTGGTAAGGACAATTGAGAGTTGACTAAATTCTTATTATTGTTGCCTCCACTGTTCTGCTTTCTGTGATTCTTATCCATCATGAGAAGGGCTGACTTGGAAGAGTTCAGAGCAGTGAAGAGAAATCCCAGAGAGTGTCTGCCAACACTCAAAAAGACTTTGAATTTGACGTCAGAATAGGAATAGGCTTGCCACTCTCACCAGCCTCCCAAGAAGAGTCATTGGGCAGGCTGGATGGCTAGAAAAAGAAGATACCTGTCTGATGCCCAAAGGCAGCTAGAAGGCATCCTGGCTTCAGGAACAGTGCCATCACCTGGCTGCCCTCACAAAGAGGTCATCCAACATTGTGAAACCATGACTATGAGTGAAAGGCAAGAGAAAATAAGGGAATCTGAAACCATGTGAATATGCCACTTCCTCTGCATCACGGGACACCAGAGACGGGCAACGAAGAGAATGTTACTTCTATCATATAACACATTCTCGATTCGGAAGGTGCCACAGCCTTGAGAAAGTCCTCATTACACCATCTTGAAAGCTCTCAGGGATGATATAGGTAGGGTCCAAATAAGAAAATGGACTCAAGGAAATCCAAATTGTGACCTTCACTTTGAACAATTAAAATTTTAAACAGAAAATTAGAATCGTTGAATTTGAAATCCAGAAAGGATCTTAAAAACAAAGTAGGAATCCCCTCATTCAGTTTAAATGTTCACTAAATATTGAATGAGTAAGTGATCACCCAGCCTCAATTCAAATATTTTCAATGACAATTCTTGTTTCAAAAAATCTGTCCTATACCAAATCAAAATTTGCCTCCCATAACTTCATATCTTTATATTTGTTATGCCTTCCAGAGCAACGCAGACTAAGTTCACCTTCGCATATTCAAATATTTAAAGATAGCTATCCTGTATAACCATTCCTCATGACTGTCTAATAAATTTTAAACTCCTTGAGAGAAGCATCCAAGTTCAATATATTTTCCTGTACCAATGCAATTCTTAATAGAGTGACTCATCTGTAGCGGGTAGTCAGCAAATGTGAGTTGAATACATGAATTAATATCTATGTGTCCACCTGACCAACAGTTCTACTCGGGTGTCTCAAAGGCACTTCAGCTCAACTCCAAGACTTAAATCAAGATCTTCCTTGCAAATATGGCCCTAGCCTAAGATTCCCTATCTGAAGGAATAACACCATCATTTCAAACCCATCCACTGCTCTCCATCCACTGCCACCAGCCAGGTCAAAACTACCATTTTCTTCTTTGGATTGTTTCTATAGCCTTTTGAGTAAGTTAGCCGGCCTCTGGTACTATTCAGTATCTCCTCCCCACAGCAGCCAGAGTGATCTCTCCAAAATACAAATATGATCATGTCATGCCCCTGATTAAAAATCCTTGAGTAACTTCCCATTGCAGATAGGCAAATGACCAAAATCCCTAAAAGTCCTCTAAGACCTTGCACAGTCTGACTCCTCACCTCTTCTGCCATACCTCTCACTCTTCTCTCCCTCATTTTCCAAACATGCCTTCTTCCATCTATTAAATACTTGAATGTACCGGGTGCCTTCCCACCCCAGGGTCTTTGCAACACTTCTCCCACTCCTCATCCCCTGTTTAACTCCTATTGAAAGGAGTTAAACAAAAAAGATCAAAGCCTACACATCCGCTTTTCAGAGGCATCTTGAGATCTCCTAACAATTTCAGGTTGTTTATTCTTTAATGCTTTCATATATCAGTTTGTAATATTTTATTAATTTGATTATGCCTATTTTCTCATGAGTCTGTAAGCTCTGGAGATCAAGGACTATATCTGCATTTGCTTATTCAACCTGACAAATCGCATAAACATAGCTGTGTGAATAAATGAATGAATTTCCCACATTCTGGGACTTCCCAGAATTTGATCATCATCACAGACTCTGGGCTGCAGTGGGGCCTCAAGCCTTGCCATATTCTCACTTTTTAGGGGTCTCGGAGACTCCAGTGTCATCCTGAGCTGGAGTCCAAGGCTTCTTAGAAACCACTGATTTCTACTCATTCTGTCTGGCATACTCAAGAGCCCATTCTTGGGCACACAGGACAACTGAACAGGATTGGAGGGTCCTTCATAGGTCTGAGCCAGCTCCCACATAGGGACCCTGAACAGGTAAGTAAAACCTGCCCAGAGAGTCTAGCTAGACATGAAGAAATCAGAGGGGCCCAAAATGATTATTATTTTCTCAGTGACTACTGGCTGGGCTTATGATGATCCCTCTTGGTGTTTTTCATTTTGCATGGCTATTTTCAGTAGCTGTATCATTAAAATACACAAGTCTATAATTATGGGGATGCATATCCTCATCCCTCAAATATGTACTGAGCACGCACAATATTCCTGGTCCTGTGCCACACGCTCGGTTACAAAGGCAGCCAAAGCTCAATTCCTGTCCTCAAGGTGCTCTTCCTAGTGGAAGAAACAGACATGAAAATAGAAACTTACTAACAGAGAAAGGAGCAAACAAAACACAGAGAAGGAAGTGATGGCCTAGAGATGGGGAGGGTGTCTCAGAGGAGGTGACACGGGCTCATAACAGAAAAAGCACTTGTTTCCCCGAGGTAAGGTGTGCTTGCAGGTTCCTTAAGATGACCCAGGAGGGAAGATGAGCATCCTCAACAGTTACACACAAACACACTCACCTTCATCTCTGATGCTTGCAGTGAAAATAAATAACTGAAAATAGGCCCAACGTGCTGTCTCATGCCTGTAATCCCAACACTTTTTTTCTTTGTTTGTTTGTTTGTTTGTTTGTTTGTTTGTTTTTAATCCCAACACTTTGAGATGCCAATATGGGAGGATTGCTTGGGCCCAGGAGTTCAAGACCAGCCTGGGCGACAAAGCAAGACCCCATCTCTATTAAAATAAAAAGAAAACATAAAATATTGAAAAACAGCCAAAAATATGCTGAAAACCACCATGGCACATGTATACCTATGTAACAAACCTGCACACTCTGCACTTGTATCCTGGAACTTAAAGTAAAATAAAAAATTTTTAAATTAAAAAAATGAAACTAAATAAACTGAAATTTTATGGAAAAATACAAAACCCCAGACTAGACACAATCAGCTTCTTTTTGTGGGAAAATGAATTTATATCAAAGCTTTCATAGGGGTTCTATAACCACAGAATGTAGTTAGTTCCCTGCCAAGTAAAACTTAGATACTTCCAAAATGCTGCTATTGTACACACCGCAAAACAGAGCAGCCAAAATGGTAGTGGTATGGGTTGGGAAGATAAAGAATTAAGAAAAGTAAAGAGGAAGGGGAGAGGAAAAGGAGAATATTATTTCCTTGAATGATGATCACTCCTTTTATTAATAACTTTCTGTTCTTATTAAAGAGATGTCCCAAACCTCTGGGCTTTCCCAGAATTTGGTACCACTGGTGCACTGACCTATCCTCATCCTGCCAATGTGAGGAAACCCAGAGAGACTAGTCAAATGCCCTGCAGAGCAGCAACCACGCCAGTGGGGCTGGCTGTGAACTTTCACTTTGGTGTGTTCTTTGATTTCATTTGGTGTGAAATATTGAGATTTCTCCTCAGATATCCCAGCGCCTTGTAGCTGCACTGGATCTATAAATCTTTATCTGGGCTAGATTGAACCATTTTCATTTATGGAGTTGTTTTTAATCAGAGCAAGAGTAAAACTTTTGCCCTGTACAAAAGAGTCAGCTGTAAACTGAGCCATTCTGCTTCAGCTTTCAGCTTCTCCTCTGAAGTTGTGTCTCTTCTGAGAGCTCTGGAATAAAACAGCTGCCATAGTCATCTCACCCTTCCATATTTTCCTCTTTGTATTAGTCAGCTCTGCTATGGTAACTAACAGTGCCAGGACCTCAGTGGCTTACAGCAATGAACATTTACTTTTTGTTCCCACTTTTACTACCAATTGGCTGCTGAGCTCTGCTCCCTCTGTCTTCCCATTCCAGAGCCCAAGATGAAAGATAAGCCACTATTTGGGACACACTTTTTTTTTCTGACAGGATCTCACTCTGTTGCCGAGAGGCTGAAGTGCAATGGTGCGATCTCAGCTCACTGCAGCCTCAACCTCCTGGGCTCAAGCGATTCTCCCACCTCAGCCTCCCAAGTAGCTGGGACTACAGGTGTGCATGCCACCATACCTAGCTAATTTTTTATTTTATTTTATTTTATTTTGTAGAGATGGGGTTTTTCCATGTTGCCCAGGCCAGTCTCGAACTACTGGGCTCAAGCAGTCCACCTGCCTTAACCACCCAAAGTGCTGAGATTATAGGCATGAGCCACCATGCCCCTCCACACTGTTTTTATGACAGAAGAAAAAGAACAAGAGAAATGCTAGCAGAAACTCCAGATACTTCTTAAAACTTCTGCTCAGACACAGCAGACATTATGTCCACTCACATTCATCAGCCAAAGCCCTTCCATGGTCAAGCACAAGATCAACTAGTCAGGGACTCACACCTTTCCTGCAGAAGGCACTGCAAGACACATAGCAATGGGTAGGAAGCAATAACCCTTTTTCATGGAAAGAAGGATCAAATACTTCAGAATAATAATTATAACCTACCATACCCTTTAACTCCACCCATGTAATTTGTCTCCATCCTGGGGAGTTTCTCCTGCTGTCAACTTAAAAGGAATTTAAAATGATTTTTTTTCTTCTTGGAATTCTTCTGGGGCAACATTTGCCCAATTATTCTTCAGAATGTCACCATCCCTCAAGATGTTAACAGTGGTTGCACAATTTAAAAGAATTCCACCATCAGATAATTTTGGCAAATGCTACATATTAATAGCCTCCTCTTAATATTTACAATTCTTATTACCATATTAAATGCTCTGAGAACCCCTGCTGTAAAGATACCTATTTAACGTGGGATTGGAATCACAGAATTCTTTTTGTAATGGCACAGCCATTAAGACTCACGAAATTCTATAGGCAAATACCGTCCCAAAGGATTACGCAGGATTCAGTCAGATAGATTCCTGCTGTTTCCTCATTTCTGTGCATCCAGACTGAAGGATACCTAATGACGTTGAGAGGAGCTATGCATAAGGCCAATGGGTCTGTACAGGCCTCAAAAAGAAGGCTTGCATTTTTTGCTAAGACCAAACTCAATGTCAGAAACCTGAAAATGTTATTCAGATACTACTCTTTGTCTACTGAATTAAGTATAAACACTTCAGACTGTCTTTTGCTCCTTCCTTTCTTTCTGCAACAAACGTATCTTGAGTCCTACTAGGTGCCAAGTACTATGCCAGGCATTGAGTACACGGTATGAGCAAAACAGACATGCACCCTGCCCTGTGGACTTGCCAGTTTAAAATAAGAGAGACAGACAGAAGACAGGGATATGAGTAAATAGCCAGTGATCATACAACCTCCCAGTGGTTAGCTACACCGTTGGCCACCCATTCCTCCTTGAAATGCTTTCCACACTTAGCTTCTGAGATGCCACTCTTGGCTGATTTTCCTCTTCATCACTGGCTTCTCCTTCTCAGTCCCCCTTGCTGGCTCCTCCTCCACTACACAGCTTCTAAATACTAAAGCAGCCAGGGTCTATCTTCTCTCCTCTATCTCTCCCTAGATGATCTCATTCACCCTCATAGCATTAATTTCACATATGTGCCCATGACTCCCAAATTTATATCTCCAGTGCAAAACTCTCCTCTGAGGATATAATCTTCCCCCAATTGAACCGCCTTAGCACTTCCCACTCTTGAGTTATTTCATGTGTTTTCTCTTTTGCCATGATTGTTTTCATACTTCCTTCATCCTCTTCCTGACTTATAAACCCCTCGAGGCGGGGATCCTTGGTCTGTTTCATCTTCAGTTTCCGTAGTGCATTGCAGAGTAACTGTTTAATATATGATTATTGAATTTAATGTTTGAACTGAATTTCTGCTTTAGGGATCACTGAGACACAGATGTAATGAAAGGGAATATTTTATTTAAAGAAATAATGCCTCATCCTTCTGTATTTCCAAATGAACAACCTCAAATGAGAGAACACAGCTACAGACATTAGCATGAGGTGAATACTTAAGTTTAAAAATGCTAAATCAAGCCAGTATCATCCCTTGTGGTCACAGCAGCTGCTGCTGCAAAGGTTTTATAAATTGCCTACATTCCCGCACCCCATCTGGCGATGCTGGTGTGTTACAGCCATGGATGACTTACTCTTCACAATAGCCTTCACTTGGATCTATTCCCTACTTTAAAATAAAAAGACAAAAAGAAGGTGCCAAAGGGCTTGCCTAAAGTGCTCCCACCCAACAAGAGTACAATTCAACCACATAATGCTGCCTCCTCAGCATTTAGAAGATTAGATTCAGGGCCAAAGGGGAGGTCAGAAGAGGAAGGCCCCCTGGATTGCAGCATTTGGTATGCTGTCCAGCTGAGTCCCCAGCCATGTTGTGAGTCAATGCGAACACAGCAGGTTTCAATAAAGGCAACAGTTATCTAAGCAGGCTGCAGCCGTGACTCTCAGCTCAGCCTCTGGGTCACCAATCTGGGACGTGAGCTGGCACCTCGTTAAAAAAGGTATTCTGACAGAGAGATGGCTGTCAGTGGACTCTTCCAAAAATTCTCTTTCCCTGGGTTCTTCTAGTCCATCTCCTTGGCATGTGCCATTCCCTATGCATCTTTTGTTAGACTACATCTCTGGTTTCTCACCACAGCCTGGACACTGCTGATGGGCTAGATTGCTACCATATGCTTTGTCATGCACCGTGATCCCACTCACAATGTTATTCCAGTGGGATAGATGCTGAGATGGTTCACCATGCAAGAGGAATCGTGCTGCACGTAGTATTTTCTTTGCCCTCCTTTGGTAACTTCGCAAGTTCCCACAGTCACTACTCAGTTATGCACGTGTGCTAACTCAGGCTCAGACTACTTTGCGATTAGAGCCCTGCCAATTGGATAGCTTGTATTTCTATTCAATAATCTTTTCATTCACTCATACTAAACATTCATTCCATAGCTCAATGTTAAGAGCCCTTTAACTTGTCATATACATGATGACTATAACAGCACTCGCATTCTAAGCTAGGCTTTAACACAGCGCTACAGTGGTGATTATAGAACAGCCACTCTGAACTGCGGCTTCTCTAGCTGTGGTGAATGTTATAAAGAAAGTGTATTTACTCTAGTCCTTGCCCTTTTACCAGTCCCCACACACTACCAAACTCAATATAAACCCCACATAACCAGCAAGAATATCTGAGGTGTGCAGGTTATGGCAATGGGACAGCAGCAGACGCACAGTGGGTGAGGTTCCTGGGACATGACCAGGACACTGGTTTATAGTGGCCCAAGCTGCTGTAAGTCTAAGATCCCACTCAAATACTGTACTCACTTTCCCACTTGATGGTTTAGGAACTCTTTTCTAGCCCCCAAAGCTACATTCTGAGCCACTTTTTTTTTAAACCTACACAGCTGCCTTCCCAAAAGTATCCTGCAGTAATTCCATGTTCCTCCTCCATTGTTTCCTCGTTAGCTCTGACTCCATGTTCTGGCAATCTTTCAGCCTCATTCCTTTTTCCTCCCAGTCTGTAATAAAACTAAGCAAAAGGTAGTAGGTATATTAGCTCAAGAATTGGGATGTACCTGTGGAACTGTTGCGTGATGCAAGTTTTTGTCAATGACTATGGGAGCCCCTGGCACGGAGGGCCGGGCCCACCACCCCTCTCCCAAGGGAAAGAGGACAAGTCCCCATCCATCTGTCTTCTCCCCTCCTCTGGCATCATAGACCCACCCCAGTAGATAGGGTCATCTCACTGTCTCCCATTGGAGGTGGAGTGGGGGAGGGTCTCACTCCCAGAAATGCTCCTACAGCTTTCTCCTCTCCCTTGGATTGAAGGATGAAAGGTAGTTATTTGCTTCCCCATAGGGGATGAAGCAGGGAGTTTCCCTAGGGTTCTGGGAGGGCCCACCCTTGTCACCACCCTGTGGTGCCCCAGGGGTAATCGGCCAACTGAAGGAATGTAAGATCTATATAATAAAATCTTAATTCCACAGAAGTATGATTCCAGCCACAAAATTTAAGCTCTCTGTAGACACTAAACACTCTACATTTCCATAAGTCCCACCACCAAAGGAGGAGAAAAGAGCATTTATATTCTCTCTAACACTGCGCTATCCCCTCAGCCTACTCCCAACCAAGAATCTTGAGCAAAATTCTTTGCTCCACTTCAGAGGAGGAAAGTGGGAAATGTTTTTTCCTGTGTGCAGAGACTACTACAAAGAGGGAGGGGCTCCTGTTCGGGCCCATTTAAACTAATTTTCCATCTGCTCCCAATCCAGGTTTTTCCAGTTTTACCTCTTTATTGGGATATTGTTGAATGGAAGCACATAATTACCATTATTTTATTTTTTATAAATGGGCTTCTACAAACAAAAACACAGGATTAGTCTATTATTAGCATGAAAACCTGTGCCGTGGCTTCTCTGAGTTCTACCTGGGGACCAGCACACCCCCACTGTCTTCCAGCGAGCAGAACAAATCAAAGAGGATTTCCAGAGACAGCAATAACTTTACATTCCACCCACTGCTCTCCCTGGGGCAGCAAATCTTCACTGTGAAATCTGCAATTCCAGGAGAGCAGAAAGCAATCTATCTCCCTCCAAAAACAAGTTGCCATTTCAGGGAACTGGACACATTTTCACTCCTAATGGTAGGTCTCCTTGGATTACTATGGTCTGCCATGAGCCTGGGAATTGTAAGACAAAAACAGAGGAAGGAAGGAAGGAAGGAAGGAAGGAAGGAAGGGAGGGAGGGAGGGAGGGAGGGAGGGAGGGAGGGAGGGAGGGAGGGAGGGAGGGAAAAAGAATGCAAAGTTGAAATATAGCAAGAACCCATTACTCTATGAGTCCAGTGCGCTACAGGCTGGGTTCCATCTCACACACACACACAGTGATGTCCCAATGTAAGGAATCCCAGCTAGTGGGCTCCCCAACTGAATTCTACCTCTCAGAAGGGAGCTGGATAGGACAAAATTTCTATCTGAAAGGTCAGAGCAGGATTAGGAGGAGAAACCAAGAACACAGACTTAGCCCATTTCAACTAGCACAGAAGGACCCAGAATGCCAGGTATGATAGCACCTAACAAATATTTACTAAGCACCCACTAAGTGCCCAGCACTGTTGAAAGAGATCAAGGGAACAGGGAGATGGTTGGTGCTGACGTAAGTTTGTAAGAAGTGAGCAATCACCAGGCAGCAAAGGTGTTGGGGGTCCGCGCTGGTCATAGAGAAAGGACAAGGAGCAGAAGACTGGCCGATCCCAATGCCACAGCAGGCCCTATGGTCACAGGTGACACCTCTTCCTTGTCCCCTCAGTACAACAGTGTATAAGCCTTTACTGTCCTACAATTCTTCTTTTTGTTACACAGTGGCTTTCAACCCTGGCTGCACATCAGAATTATCTAAGGAAGTTATTAAAATCCTGTTGCCCAAAACCCACCCCAGACTAATGAAATCAGACTCCGTGGGGGTGGCACCTAGGCTTCAGTAGTTCTTAAAACTCCCCCGGTGGTCCCAGTGTGGGGCCAAGATTGAAAACCATTGCATGGAGGTAATTGTCCTAATTACCTCTCCAGCTTTTCTCTGCCTCTACATTCCTCTTATCTAAGCTGTTATATTGCCTTTTTATTTTTAGTTTGTTCTACTTTGTCCTTTCAGTAGATAATTCTATAATACTCCATTAAACCTTTTTTCATGCTTTAACTTTGTTTTTTCTCATTTAATTTTCATCGCCCACTCTACTTACTCCCTCTTCCCATTATGTTTGTTTTGTTTTGTGTTTTCTTTAATTCAGCATCAACATTTGCAGGGCACTTGATATGGACAGAGTACGGCAGCAGGCATTTAACTGCTGCTAAAAATTATATTTAACGCAGTAATATTTTGTGTTAGATCCTGTGCCGTGGCTACAGGCTCTTGTCTTATGGAAGATTGGCACTTTGGCTTCTTCCTTGGAAGTAGCTGCATTGCTGTATAAATTTAAGATCCAAAATAAGTATATTACAATAAAAAATAAAAGAAGCATCCACAAATATGAGGGAAAGAAGCATTAACAGCAGTCTGAAGCTAAATATCAACATCACCCCTGCCAAGCTCTTGGCCTCATTGTAGGTGGAAGACGCTGCCATGTGCAACAAAAAGAGAAAGGGCCCAGGCTGCATGCACAACTAACGAGGCTGTTCCCTGAGGAAAGGGCATTTGCTGATTTAGACTCATTTCCTCAAGGTCCTCAAGCAAGCCCAAGAGTACATAGGCCAGTCGCTGAGACACTGAAAGTTGAGATGTGGAAGAAAGGGCCAACAGACTGTCCCAGAAGCAGAATGCTTCAGTCCTCCAGGGAAGCTTTGGGGGAGATCTGCCCTCGTGTCCTCCTACAGCTCAGCTGAGAGCAGCCCTGGAGCCTCAGAACCACAGGCCCTGTAGTTCCCTGGGTCTGGCAAACCCCTGGGAGAACAAATCACTGTCCTCCCCACAGAGCCAGCCCAGCACTGAGAACACCATACAAGCCAGAGGATGCTTGCCAAATAGATGCATGAACGAACGAATGAATGAATGAATGACTCCTCTGATGAAGTTGTCCCAGGGAGAGTTTGTGGGAATACTGAAAAGGAGGGTGGTCCCCAAGCTGGTACCCCAGTCCTTGATACTCTGATGTGGCTTTTTAATTTCTCTGTCTTCCTTTTACCTTGATGTATTTATTCTCTATCAATCTATTTGTTTATTTATTTATTTACTTTAGGAATCAAGCCAGACACCTTGTTGGAGCAACAAGAGCTAGAGATATTTGTTCCTTTTAGAAGAAGCAAAATTTTCCAGTGCCAACTGACAGGGAAGAAGATGAATAATTACACTATGTCCTGGTAAAGAGGACCCGAGACGGCTTCCTGATTTTCGTACATCAACAAGGAGACGTCTATGACCCTGGTCTCCAGCACACCTTTCTTGGTAGAGTTGAGAATTCAACCAGCCAGTTCTTCCTGGAGATTCTCAGAGCCACATTGAGAGAGCAGAGGACTTACAAGTGCTGCCCTATCCATGGTGACTCCCCTTGGCCTCTAGGTAAGTCACACACTGAAGCCTGCCCCTCCCACCTTCCACCCTGGTCAGCTAATCTAGGTTAGTGCAGGTCTAACCTAGATTACAAGGCGTGCTCGTGTGCATAATTTCATGACCACCAACAACCACATGGGGCAACGTTATCCCCATTTTATTGTCCAGGAAACCGAGGCCTGGTGTGGTAAGTGACTTGCAAGTAAGAGGAGGAGTGAGATATAAACCCAGATTCCTGAATCTAAATTCAGTGGTCTGTACTGCAGCATAGCTGCCGCCTCTTGAGAACTAGAGTGGGCAGTGTGGAAGTGGGAATTCCCAAGTTCCCAGGCCTCTTCCAGCTCAGTCTTCTATGTAAAATTTTTCTTTTCCAGGCTTGTCTGAGCAGAGGTAGAGTGACCCTGCCGCCTGTTCCTCAACAGTCTGTGCAAATTCAAAGAAATAGAGTGTGAATTCAAGGAACTCATTTGAAGAACAGGAAAAGCAACTCTCTCCTTGAGGTTATCGGGGAAATGAAGGTTGAAACATGGATCAGAAGACTTGCTGAGGTCCCTTCCACCCTCAGCTCTTCCATTCTGTTCCCAAATGAGGCCCAAAACACAGCTTTCTCCATCACTCTTTAATCTGTTGGTTGATTTGTCTGGTGCACCCAACCAGCACTGTGGCCCTGAAAATAAAATGTTAATTACATCAATCTTACAGCCATCCATCGCTAGCCATCTGATGCTGATAGAAAGGCAGGAAGCACTCGTGGCAGTTTGCATATCAGGGTCAGCAGTTCCTTTCTTAACCCTCCTCTGTCTGGCAAGGCTAAGGGAGCAGACGTTCCTGTAATGACCTGGCCTGTCTTTAGAGCTGCAGCCCTAAGAGCTGGTTTTCTTCCTGTGGCTATGGTCTTGGCACTGAGCTCCTTCCTGCTCTTCTTTTGCTCTTGTGTGTAGCGGACCACAACATGCTTTCAGATCAGACATCCTGTGGGCAGAAGAAATTATTTCACTTCAATAAGAATTTTTGAAGACCAGTATGGGTTCAACGGGTGCTTTTGGGAGATTACACCAGAGATAAGAACAGACTAAATCACACGCGTGAGGCAGCATTTACAAATCATACAACACAATATGCAATAGCAGCTTCTGAGTTTCTGCAGAGGAAAGGCTAAGGACAGCAACCTGGTTGGAAGATGCCTCAGGAACTTGCCTTGAGGCTGTATTTTCATAGCACATAAGATTGGGAAAGACATCAAAGAATGGGAAACCTTCCATTCTGGAGAGATGGAGATTATGGGGGAGAATGGATAAAGCCCCCAAAAACACTCTTGCCTCTCCTACTAACTGTTCAAGTCTCAGGTATCATTATTTGTATGACAAAGAGAAAATTAACATCGTTAAGCAATGAGCCAAGTGTTTACAAGTATAATTTCATTTATTTCTCACAGAAATCCTATGAGTTATCTTCTCCCATTTTACGGAGTATAAAAAAATTAGTTTTTTCTAGAAATCACATGAAGGGACAGACATCCCCTTGGCAGGACCAAGGAAGCTGTGGCCTAATTGCTGGCCTTGACACGAAGGAATGACTGAGCACAAAGAACACAGCCTACACAGGGCCGGAGGAGGGTTGGGTCTGAGGGCAGAGCCCTGGTGGATGTTTCTGCCTTCCACCTGGGCACCCTGAGACAGGCTGTGTTTTTGTTGAAGTTCCATCTTGTCCTGCCACAGGCCCAGGCCAAGCTGACTGCTCCTGACCTGGTGAAGCACTAGCCACACTCTGCCCCAAGCTCCCGCCGCATCATCACCTGTCCTCTCCTGTACTGTCTTCTACCTCTGGCTTTGATTTATTGTTCATACCAGCTTTCTCTCTTAGTCAGGCCTAGAGGAAGGTTGTTTTTGGCCATTAGCAATAAATTCTTAAAATTCCCTCTAACCGGTGGAAGATATAAATCACAGTCATAAACATAATACACATTCTTGGGACTTTTCAAAATGACTTCCTGAATAATTTGAGATAGTTCAACAATAATTTTCTAGAAAGACAGGCTTATTTGAGCCCTGCTAACTACTCTTTTGATATTAATACAGCTTTAAACCCTCTATACTTCTTTCTGCCTCAAGGCTTTTTTAATACATGTCCTCATTTGTTACATAGAATGTTATTTCCCCACCCATGCCCCATACCTGTTTCAGGCAGGGTCCAAGCAGGAGACAGGGCACTCTCGGAGTGATTAGAGAGAGTTTAATGAAAGGGACTTTTACAAAGCTGTGGACAGGTGTTATGGATTGAAATGTGTCCCCCAAGGGACACATTAACTCTCAGTACCTTAGAATGTGATCTTATTTGGAAATAGGGTCACTGCAGATGTAGTTACCTTAAATGAGTTCATACTGGAGTATGGTGGGCCCCTAATGCAATATGACTGGCATTCTATATGACAGCCAAGTGAAGACAAAGACACGCAGGGAGAGAAAACCATGAGACAGTGCAGGCGGAGACTGGAGTGATACAGGTGCGAGCCAAGCCAAAGACCATCAGAGTTTCCAGCAAACCACCAAAATCTAGGAAGAGGTGAGGAAGGATTCCCCTACAGGTTTCAGAGGGTGCATGGCCCTGCTGACACCTTGATTTCAAACTTTCAGCTTCCAGAACTGTGAAACAATACGTTTATATTGTTTTAACTACCCAGTTTGTGGTACTTTGTTAAGGCAGCTACAGGAAATTAATACAGAAGGGTTATGGGAAACCAAAAAGAAGGTGGTGAAACACCCAGGGCTGGCAACAAAGAACCGCTGCCATGCCAGGCCTGAAGCGTGTAGGGGAGGAGCCTTTACTGAAACCTGCAGCTGTGGAAGAGGAGTTATAGCTTCCAGTGAAGGAAGGCACTCTCCTCCTTCCCTCCAGTCTCCTGAAGGTGTCTCCATTGGCCAAACCAAATGGGATGGAGAGCCGGTGGATGCTGCCAATTAAGGTCAGGCTCAGAGTAAGAAGTAGAGTGGATGTGCAGAGGCAAACAGACTCAGTCTCAACTGCAATGCCACTTCCTCTTCAGGGAAGCCTTCCCTGACCTCCTGACCAAACCTGGCCTCTGTAACATGCTCCCATAGTCCTTCTGCTTCTGCAGAATATTTATAGCTGCAATGGAGGGATAAATTATGCAAATTATTAAGTGATGACTGGCTCTCATGCTAGAACATAAGCTCCATGAAAGAAAACACTGTGTCTGCCATTCATCAATGGCAGACCCTGAATCCTCAGGGCCTGGCATATAGTAAGAATGACTAGGTTTTATAGGATGTGCCAAGAACTAAGCAGCCTGATAGAAAAAGGTCAAGTATTTAAGTCCAAACAGATTGACCTTGGCAACTTTCAAAGAGCTATAGACAGCAGACAGCATTATGTTCTGCTGGGGGACAGGGTTGCTGATGATATAATGTGTAACATCAAAGAATGTGACCACCTTGAATACTTGCTAATAGTCCTCCAAGAGCAGTAGGCAGGATGGGCAGTTGTGCAAAGTGAGGCGAGGCAGAGGTGGGTGGGGAGAGCAACTACTATGGGGTCAAGAAACTTCATCTGCTCCTATCTGAATTTTTTTCAGGGCAGTCTGTTCCCAGTCACACTGGGGAACTTAAGAAAGCTTAGATGAGTCTTTCCTCCACTAACCTGGGAATGTAAGTCCTGCATCCACCCTCCAATATGGAAGCCACCTTTGCTCTTGCCTTTTTGCTTACCAGGTGACTCTCTTCCCAGCTTCTGCTGCACTCTCTAGTTCTCATTATTAATTTACCTGTTTGATTTCAAAATTTCAAAGATTGACCTTTAAACTCAAAAGTGGAGGTCCCAAAAATCCTAACCTCCCCTCTTTTGAAGTCCATGTAAATTTAGCCCGTCATAAGTTGAGATGTAGTGGTGGTTTCTAAGTTTTTTACAATGTTTGGCTTTGTGTAATTTAACACAGGTAACCTAAGAACCCTTCAGAAAAGAAGCTAGATGAGCTCAATAAAGATCAGGAAACTCTGGCTCACATTTGGAAGACCATGTTTCATTGGATTGCTCTTTAACACATGGGTAAATCACCCTTATCCAACTTTGCCTAGAGGGAGTTTGCAGTGAACACAACAATCATTACAACATCTTCAGTCTTTGTGCACATGCTGTTGATCTCCTCATTTGGTGGTTCTTTTGATTACAGCTGTAAATGCCAATAATTCTTCTTGGTATGAACTATGAACATCACCACATAGTGTCTAACATGTACATCTAACCTGAAACTGGAACAACAATATCAAATTTAACGTCTAGGGAAGGAAGCAGAAACCCTGTCACCAATTAAATAAGCTGCCTTAATCTCCTCTCAGTTGGCCTAACTTACCTGAACCGTACTATTGGTCTTGAAGGTGGCACTGTCATCCCATTAGCAGGCAGCAGGCCCTGCGAGCCTCCTGTGATCAGCTAGATTTCTCTGGGGAATGAAACAGCTGCTGATAGGGACTGACTTCCTCAGTCACAAGTGTTTCACAAGTGTGTTGGTTCAGAGGAGGGACCAGGCAGAAGGTGGTTGAGAGGCAGAGCTGCCCCTGAGTGAGCCATGCAGAGGATCTCCTCCCTCATCCATCTCTCTCTCTTCTGGGCAGGTAAGGCAGACCCCAGAACTTGGGCCAAGCAAGACTCAGCAGCAAAGAAACATCAAGGCTCACAGGACCTTGTACTCATGGACTGTGCTCCTTACTCAATGACCTCAGCCCCCAGCCCTCACTGAGCCCCTCTCTTGTGTCTTTTCTCTCAGGAGTCATGTCAGCCATTGAGTTGGTGCCTGAACACCAAACAGTGCCTGTGTCAATAGGGGTCCCTGCCACCCTCAGGTGCTCCATGAAAGGAGAAGCGATCGGTAACTACTATATCAACTGGTACAGGAAGACCCAAGGTAACACAATGACTTTCATATACCGAGAAAAGGACATCTATGGCCCTGGTTTCAAAGACAATTTCCAAGGTGACATTGATATTGCAAAGAACCTGGCTGTACTTAAGATACTTGCACCATCAGAGAGAGATGAAGGGTCTTACTACTGTGCCTGTGACACCCACCCTGCTGCAGCTCTACTTCTGAGCAGCTCAAAAACCACTGACCAGGCGCGGTGGCTCACACCTGTAATCCCAGCACTTTGGGAGGCCGAGGTGGGTGGATCACGAGGTCAGGAGATCGAGACCATCCTGGCTAATACGGTGAAACCCCGTCCCTACTAAAAATACAAAAAAAAAAAATTAGCTGGTCGTGGTGGCGGGCACCTGCAGTCCGAGCTACTCAGGAGGCTGAGGCAGGAGAATAGCGTGAACATGGGAGGCGGAGCTTGCAGTGAGCCGAGGTCATGCCACTGCACTCCAGCCTGGGAGACAGAGCAAGAGTCCATCTCAAAAAAAAAAAAAAAAGAACATTGCCATCCATGTAGAGCAGCAATTCCAACAAGATCGTGATTTTCTCTTGAATAAATAATTTAGGAAATAGGGACCAGAGAAAGCTAGTGTTTCTACCTTTCTTTCAGGCTCAGCCACTCAGCTTGCCCGTGCCCTCCCATGGTGCTCAGATAGGCAGCCCCCAGTGGGACAGAAGAGAGGAGAGATGGAGCCAAAGGAATGAACTGTAGCATCTACTGTGACAGTTTTCTTGGAGGCTCATAAAAGGTATGACCACAGAGCCACAGTGCTTAGAGTATAGCATAGATTAAGGAGGCACCTTACAATTTACAACTATGGGTGACATCCAGTTTTTCCCCAGCCACATGCCTCTGAATTTACATGTTCTAGAGGAAAAGGACTGGCAGTGGGGGGAGGCTCCTCTCCCTCCTTCAGATCAAATATGTACACTACCTGTCATTTTGCCCAACATGGAAGGAAAGGCTACATCTCTAGCATCTCTAGCATGCTCTGTTGTTTTGATGATTACTGACTGGATATTTTGTTTTGCTTTGTTTTGTTTTCTTCATGAGACGGGGTCTTGCTGTGTCCCCCAGGCTAGAGTGCAGTGGCGTGATCATAGCTCACTGCAGCCTCACACTCCTGGGCCCAAGCTGGATATGGTGTTTTGCTCTCCCTTTCTTCTCTATCTCTTTACTTCCACATGTGCTAGAAACAAAACGTTGAAAAATTGCTTCCACTGGCACTTCCTTATCCTTCTTTGGACAGCTCAATTTAACACTGCACTTTTATCTTGAACAATGTGTTTTTCCAGATTTAGATGATTGACGGGGCTCTCTACTCCAAGGCTGAACCTGTGGCAGAAATCAGCCTTCCTTCTGTCCTCATCTAGAAAATCTACCACTTACCTTGTTAAATAACCTCATAAGAACTTGTGGTGATAGACATGGTCAGTGACTTGATTGCGGTGATAGTTTCACAGATGTACAGGCATATCAAACTCATCAGATTAGACACTCTAAATGTGTACAGTTTATTTCACATCAAGTATACCTCAATACACTTGTAAAAATATTTGTTTAAACCCAAAATGGATTTTTTAGGCTTCTTTGGACTACTTCAGGCAACGTCTACACAAAATGTTCTTCAACAAACCCCTCTAGTCAAATATCCTCTAGTCAAATATCTTCCACAGAAGTACAAAGAGGCTGACAGGGCTTGCCACACCTTATTTGGTTTCAGTCAGGGCTTTTCACTGTTTTGCCAAGTGTCTTCCCAATCCTCTCTCCTCTCATGATTCTGCCTGACCTTTCATATATATAATACATGTTATATATATATGTTATAATGTGTCGTTGTTCCATGCATTTTAGTCATGACTGCCCCCATGAGCTCTTATCATTTATCTCCCCAAATAGCTATATTCTAAACCTTCAGAAAATCTCTCTTCTCTACTCTTCATCCCAAACTCACTCACTTTGACCTGATGCATGATCCCAACATAGGCCTGGAACCTGCCTTCTACCTTTCTGCCCCACCCCATTGGGCAACTTCTTTGGTTGAACGGTCTGCAAGGCCCTGGATACTGGCTCTGCCCTTGGACAAAATCGGGTTCCCAAATCCCCATCCAGATACAGCACTCTGAGCTCCACGATCTTGGAAGGGGTTTGGACCCAGCCTTCCCCAGATGTATTTAAACAGAGGGCCTGTCATGATTCATCAAGCCCACTGCCTGCCACTCAGATCTAATTCTCCTTCTTTGAACAAATGATAGGCAAGAAGGTGGAGTGCATCTCCAACATGGAGAGGATACAATTATTCTCCTAGTTTGAAATCATGATTTGGAAAAAGAATGACATCTGGAAAACTGGTTATGCAGATGTCAAAGTTGTGGAGCCATGGTTTTATAACGCCTGCAAGATGGATTCCTAGTAAGACCCCAAGTGACTCCCTCTAACAGAGACTGGGAAGAGTGTCTCTAAGGAGAAGGAGGGGAAAAAATATCTGGACAAATCCATAAGACTGTATGTCTTCCGTATTAATAACTAATATCTGTTGAGTGCTTACTATGTGCCAGGCAGCATTCTAAGCACTTAACGTGTGTTATATGATTAATCTTCACAACAACCTTAGTATTTACTTTCTATTCTTGTCCTCATTTTACAAATGAGAACCCCAAGGCACAGAAAACCTAAAATACTTGCCCAAAGTAGCATAGCTAGTAAGGGAGGGTGACAGATTTCAGACTCTTGATGCTGCACCAGAGGACACAGCATGTAATTTGGGGAGATGGGGGACCCATAGAGAAAGCCACCTTCAGGATGTGTCAGAACCAAGGGACAACAGGGGCTGTGCCCTCACCACCAAACCTGTTCCAATTGATACTCCCGTGACCATCTGTCAAAAAACTGGGACAACAGAACAATGGTCCCAAATGACCTCTCAAGTGTTTTCTAACTGAGATTTTGTGATCCTGACACAAGCTTCACACTGTCTTCTAAAATCATCTGCATCTCTTCATCTGTGAAATGGGGATAATAAGAGTTCTACCTTCACTGTGTTATAAAATATATAATTATAGAAAGTAAATAAATTGCATAGCTTATAGTAGCTATTTAATAAATGTTACCTATTATAAGAAAAAGCAAACTGCAAGGAAGAATAATTGAGAAGAAAGTGAACTAAATTACTGAGCACCAACGAAATGCAGCCACTTTACAGGTATGGACTCACTTATCCTATGACAACTCAGTGAGGTCATTATCATCCTTTCTGTTTTGCAAGTGAGGATACTGAGACTCAGACAGGCTGGACAGCTTGCTTACAGAAGCAGAGCCAGGATCCGGATCTGACTTGAAGCCTGATTGTCCTGGCTGGGATACTGGGCTGGGAGCTGCGGAATGTCCTAAAGAAATACCTTACCTATAGCAACATCTCATGTAAAGGATGGCTGGGAACAGGTATGTGAAGTCTGGTCATCTTTGCTCATGCAAAGATTGCTCTTGACTCCTTGGCCAGTTTCCAGAAGAAGGGATAGTAGGAGGTCTTCAACTCCTTCCCCCTGCCTCCTCTCCCCTGCTTTAAAACACCAATTGTAATTTCAGCTTCCAGGTTGTTCTCCCGAGATGGCTCACTCCCCTGACTGAAGGAAGACAGCTACTCCCCAGCCCACTGCCACTCACACTCCTGAGCACCACCCCTAGGTCAGCAGCTTTTCTCCCAGGGTACACCATGAGAAACATGAGAGACTGGCCCACATATTCCCTCCTTCTGATGCTTGTCAAAGGTAGTCTCTTGTTGGACTCCCTTAGATCCTCGGGGTGCTCATGGATTCACTGCCTTTTCCTCTCCTTTTCAGGGGCTTGCCTGGAGCGAAAACCATAGGGGTCCAAGGCCGGCATAATGAGAGCTAGAAAAATTCCCTGGGTTTCTGTCAGGTCCATAGAGTTGGTGACTTTACCACCCACATATATCTTTGCTGTCAAGCAAAGTGTGCAAGTTTGTCTCTTCCGTTGTCATCGACTTATCACTTATACAGAGGCAGCAATGGGGCTTGAGATCTGACAACCACAATTCTCTGCATTCAAAAGTGAGCACACGGGTACCAGAAAACACTGCGGTGGATGAAGGTGCAGGAGCCACCGTGTAAAGAATAGAAATTAATTTCTAACTAAATGTCTCTGCTTTAGTTAGGGTCTTAGTCCACTGCAGTATCTTAAACAATACATATTCAATGATAAATTTTCCATAATGACAAGGTGAACAAACTCAGAATCAAAGCTCCTTTCCTACTCTTCAATTCAACACATTACCCTAAAATATTAATTGAAATGATAGGATTATACAGCTTTTTTTTTTGTCAGAGCACTTTATTCATTCTTTCAGTAAATACCATCTCTCATATCTGCTTAATTTTTCTCCACAGCATTTATCACTATTTGGCATGCTACATATTTTACTTGTTTATATTTTGTTGTCTGGCTCTCCACTGGAATACAAGGTCCTTGATGGCAGAGATGAGTTTTTGTCTGTTTTGTTCACTGCTTTAACTCCAGCACTTAGAATAACTTTGGCCCATAACAGACACTCAATAAATGTATTAAATGAATGAGGGAATGAAATACATATGAGTGAGTGCTACGTACCCTGCACTGAGCTGGATGCCAGGGACACAGTGGTGCACAAGGCTGGTGCGGACTCTGCCTTCTGAGATGTTCTCCCCAAGCCTCATCTACCCACTAAAAAAATGCTACTGACCGTAACAAGATTTTCTGAAGAGTTGATTATAGAGTACTCTGGAACACCAAATAACTTACTCTTGGAGAGCAGACATCGAGGCTCCTAAGTGCATTGGATGTTAGCAGGGGCAAAATGAAGAAAATAGTAGCTTTCTCTTTTCTCCACCTTTTCTCTCTTTTGAGTCCCAAGGGTCCCAGCCCTGAGTCTGAGGCTGTCAAAGAAAAAGCGAAACACTTCTGTTTTATTTCACAAAGGAATTTCGCAACGCTTCTCTCCAAACAGACTGGCTGGGGCATGCTATTTCACAATGAAAAGCCACGATAACACAGTTTCCTAAACAAAGGGGCGATTCCTAACTCCCTCTCACTTTATCACCACTGCCACCAAATGATTTTGGTATTCTTCAAGAATACAGAATCCACTGGGTCTTTTTGGGCTTTTTAGCAATTTACACATCCACAAACACATAGGTTTATGAGCGGTAACAGCGTACATTCCAGTGCATGAAACACTGCAGGGATTCTCTGAAGGCGTGCCCTGGATGCTGCAAGGCTCCAAGGCAACAGTCAGCCAGTGGAACAGTGTGCCACCCAGCATGCTCGACTTGATAGAAAAAAGACCCAGTGACAGGGCAAAGGAAGTCAAGCCAACATGCAATTGCTTGTATTAATTTAAATAAAGCCAGGTTCTCAAACTCCATGTTTAAATAAGAAATCTAACAGTCATAAGTTTTCTTTTTACCTGCATGCATATGGGAGAATAGGGAAAGTTTAAATTATCTTTCTGGCTTAAGGACAAAATTGCATGAGTATTTATAACTTTCAGAAAAGAAATGTCAGTCTAAATATATTACTAGGGCAACAAATTATTAAGAAAAAAAACCCAAAGTACAGTCTTTTGGAAATTAAAGTTGCTTTCATAGAATATAGCAGCATTCACTCAGTAACAATTCATTAAGTACCTCATATGTGCCAGACGCTTTTCTAGACACAATGGAAGCACAGCTCTCAGAATCTCAGGAGCTTATATTTCAGTGGAAATAAACACAAAATAAAATAAGTAAAATATATGTCAGATGGAGATAATTGCCATGGAGAGGAGTAAAACAGGCGGGGAGAGAGAGAGTGTTGTCAGCAGGCTTGCAGAAATTACAATTTTAAATCAGGTTGTCAAGAAGGGATACAATAAGAAGGTGACATTTCAGCAAAGGCCTGCGTGTAGGCAGGGAGCCCAGTATTTGGAGTGTGGATGTTTGCTGGACTCCCTCTGTTAGAAATAACATTTTCATGCACATTCTTAAGACATAATCATACCAGCTTTTCTGTAGGTTAGGGAGATAAGGAGTCATTTTTTCTTTCTTATCTTGCTAAGAGCTCTTTCACAAGTAGTTCACACTTTCATTTTTCAAAATCAAGCGATGAAATGCCATTAATTAGCACAAAGTGTGTTGGGGAGTGGACGCGAGGGTTTGGCAAGGAAGCAGTCCTGAAAAGATCAAAACTTACAACATGAACAGGAAGATGACAGCACTGATTATTGACAAACGGAAAATGGGGCATGGCATTTTGAGCCCTTTGCCTTGAGTCTCTCCCTAGTCACGTGACCACATTCTGTGGACTGGTGAGTGTTTCTTCCCCAACCACAGGGATAAGAATACAAAGTGAGTGATGCATTTCTCTCACTGGTCCCCAGATGACTCCACTCTAGCAGCCCCGGAAAAGAACCTGCAGCCTCATCTATACCTGCAGGTTGATGTGCCTCCCAAAAACTGTCTCACTCAGTTGTGGAGCTGAAATCAATCATGTGTTCACCTCAGTGGGGTTCTTGGTTTTTCTTTTCTGGCTTCTCCAAAAAGCCAATCATAGAGAAACCTGAGGACTGTGGAGCCACTATGGAGAAGGCTGGAGTGCCTTTACCATCCCTAGCTCAGCTTTAGGGATTCACCCTCCAGGACCTCTGAGTGTGCTGGGATCACACGGCCTAAGGTAGGCCCTAGAGTCAGTTTCTGTCTTTACCTGCCACCTGACAGGAGTGAGAAGTTTTACTTAGAGGCAGTGAGAAGGGAAGTCAGCAGCCCCAGGGACAGTACAAAGGAGACACAGCCTGAGTGTGTGTTGTCAGAAGCTCTGTCACAGCGAAGGCCTCCTCGGGCATAAAGACCTCACTGTGTTTGCATAACACCTGTGTTATAATCGTGAGTGATCAATAAAGGATTAACTGCCTCAGTCATCTAAGGAAATGAAGAAGGGTTTTATGCACCAAGTTCATAAATAAGGACACAGAAAAAAACCACGAAGGCCAGTGTAGCTGCCTCTGTACGTTGAAATTAGAGAACTGGTACAATAACAATAACCCACCTCTGTAGTAAGAATCAATGTAAAATCTTTGAGTTCATAGCTAGTCCATTTCTCAGCATCAAAACCATCATTTTGCTTTCTGTATGGAGGACGTCCACCCCCACATATGCACACTCAGAGTGTCAGAGCAATGAGAAACCAATTACCATCAGGCTCCACCTCTTTGGTTGAAGACATAGAAACTGATGAATGAAGAAATTAAGTGACTTTTCCAACATCACACATATAGTGCAGACAGGTAAAGTGATATACTGTACTTCTGTCTCTTTCCTCCAATATCCTAGAAGTCAAGGGCTAAGAAAAGACAGAAAGGGTAAACCATGTGATCATGCCAAAGTGAAAGAAAAATGGCAGCGGAGTGTTCTCCACATTCCAGACAACTACCTCCTGCCACCTTCTAGGTGGCAATGCAGTCCAGGTAGGTAAAGCGATATACAAAAATAAATAGCCTTAATCATTCACAAAAATATTAATGTGTGTCAAATTTAAAAACAATGAATTGCAAATTGCCCCTAACTTTGGCAAGATCCTTTCACCTACCTTAAAATGGACAAGTTTACAAATTTGGGCTATAAACTGCATATAAGTTTTTGTTGGTTTTTTTTCTTCCTTGAGACGGAGTATCACTCTTGTTGCCCAGGCTGGAGTGCAATGGCACAATCTCAGCTCACTGCAACCTCTGCCTCCCAGGTTCAAGTGATTCTCCTGCCTCAGCCTCCCGAGTAGCTGGGATTACAGGCAGGCACAACCACGCTCAGCTATTTTTTGTATTTTTAGTAGAGACGAGGTTTCACCACGTTGGCCAGGCTGGTCTCGAACTCCTGACCTCAGGTGATCCACCTGCCTTGGCCTTCCAAAGTGCTACGATTACAGATGTGAGCCACCATGCCCGGACACATATGAGTTTTTATAAGTAAGTTCTTTTAGTAGTGAAAAAAGCATAGGCTCTGGAATCAGAGAAAAATAGAATCACAACCCCTCACTTCATAGTTCTGTGACCTTGAAAAATGTTGCTTTAACTTTTCTAACCCTCTATTCCCTCATCCACAAAATAAGGATAATAATTGCATAGAGTTATCATAATGATCAAATTAAATAATTGCAAGTAAGTACCTGAGTGACTACAAAGCAGAGGTGCTCAATAATACTAACTCCATTCCTTTCAGCACCCGATGGTCTGCAGTAGAGCGGTTTCACCCTCTACTCCAGACAGAAGGAGACAGAAAAGACAGAAAAGCTAGAATGGGAGAGAACATGGCCAATGACCACCAGCATTTTTCCAAACCAAGAAATCTAAAGTGCCTATCAGCACATTTTTTATAAAAATACCTCCTCAGGAATGTTCTTCCCACACAACCTCTCTAAATCCTTTCCCTGCACTAATGATAGTGAAGGTCCCAAAGGCAAGACCATCACTGGGAGGGTCTAGCTCCCCAACAAGAGATGATGCCCTCATTGCCCTTCATTTGCAGAGATGAAGGTGACACAGGTCAATGTCAGCTTCACCAATAGTAACAGGGAGAGTAATTTTTTTTTTTTGAGACCGGGTCTCGCTCTATTGCCCAGGTCGGAGTGCAGAGGCATGACCATGGCTCATTGCAGCCTCAACCTCCCGGGCTGAAGTGATCCTCTCGCCTCAGCCTCCTAAGTAGCTGGGACTACAGGTGTGCAGCACCATGCCTGGGTCATTTTTTAATTTTTTGTAGAGACAAGGTCTTCCTATATTACTCAGGCTGGTCTTAAATTCTTGAGCTCAAGTGATGCCCCTGCCTCGGCCCCCCAGAGTGCCAGGATTACAGGCATGAGACCTCACGCCCTGCATGAATGAATTTTTTACATCAAACCTTCTCCAACAAACTTGGTTCAGATGTCTGAGACAAGAGTTGCACAAAGGAGTCTCAGTCTTCAGAAAGTTCATCCTTACCCAGCTTTATGGATGCTCTAGGACACATTTAATTCTTGCATCCATTTAGGAACAGAGATCTTCTCCCATCCTTAAAAGGGAAACTATAATATTAATTACTGACCTGTGATGAGTCAGCTGTCCATCCTCATTTGGCCCATGCTGTCTACATGAAGTTAGTTTTCACTGTAGTGCTTGGCCAAGAAAAACCAAGTTTTTCTAAATGAATTCCAAGGATAAATAGCCTAATTCCTGTTCTTTGGCTTCTTCCACTAAAGAATTATAGGGACCTGATCTAGGGAAACTGGGGGGAAAAGCCAGGGAATGAGAGCCACTGTCTTGCCAGAAATGCATGTTCTGATGAGGAAAGATAGTTCAGGATATCTGCGCCAAATCACACATTGGAAAGAAGCTTTCTGAGATCTGAGGAAACTTCCACCTGCTAAAAAGAGCTAGCAGTCTGCTGGAAAGAAAAAAATTCATTCAGGTGTCAGAACTCTTACTCTTCACTTTGTGTGTGACTGTAGACAAGTCAGTTAACCTCTTTGCACCTCAGATTCTCATCTGTACAGTAAAGAGTTCACATTAGATTGTCTCTAAGTTTCCTTCAGCACTAACAAGCCGTGGGACATAGGAGAACAAATTTGAAAGATTCCTGAGATACAGGAGTATGGATTCCTGCAGCTGATTCCTTTATGTGACCCAGTAAGGATAAAATCGAAAAAAGGAACTAAACGAAATACACTCTTGATTAATCAAAGGGGATTGAAAGTCGTGGCTAACCTCACACCTACCTTGCATCACCTCCAGCTCACCTCCCTTGAGACACTCCTCCTCTTCTTTAATGCCTCATCATGATTCTCAAAAACTGTGATCACTCAAGGTTGAAGCTTTTAATCTCCCATGTATAAAAGGATATGCAAATAGAGTTCAGTTTCCTGTTGAGTCTCTGCCAAGGTCTTAGCCTGGCAGTTCTGGGAAAAGAGCCAAAGACCTCATATTTCTTGGCTGTTAACATTCTCCCATCTGTGCTCAAGTCAGCAGCCTAGGCTTCAGGCTGTGGTTTGTCTTTAGTCTTACACTTTCCCAAGTTTTCTGAAGGAACCCTTTAGAATGTTCCTGCAAGAAAGTAAGATACAAGTGGCTCCCAAGAAACCAGACAGAGGATTATCTGGTTATATTTGGAGGCAGTAAGAAAAAGACCAGGAAGTCTATATTCCTATAGTATATAGCCACAGAATCCAATCTTGCAAGCTACTTGAAATGCTGATATTAATTAAGTCTTAGGCAGGGCTTTCAATAAGTCATCTGTGTCTCCAATATGGGATGTCCCACATCATGCATATGCACAGTGAAAAAAAGCGAGGTCCTTGGGTACAGTACAGCATTCAAAAATTAAAGATCTGAAAAACACAAGACATCTCAGTGTGCTTCCGGGCTGGAGGCTCTGCTAAACAACAGAAGCAGAGACCGGACTAATTGTCCCCCATGTCTCTTTGACTGAACTCACACAAAATAGAATCTACCATTTTTACTCAGTGCGGGGTACCCAGACTCAAGTTTACTGCAATGTTGTTACCAATATTCTAATGGAAAATTATATATTCAGAGCTATGTTAAATTTGACCATTTATTAAACATGAAATTTCTACTTTTTCTGTAAGTGCCTTGTCTTACTTGTATTTCCCGGTATTTCCCTTCTAAAGCTAACTCCCCAAAGGGCTTTCCTGTATGTTCTCACTTCCATTACAAAGTCAATGTACAAGTTAATTTTTTTAATTTCTTTAGAAACCTTTATAAAGAGATTTCCTCCTTCATTTCTCTGTTATCCCAGGCAGCTGTCAGGAGCAAAGAGCTCAAGCCTGCACTGCCTTGGAACAGGACATCAGCAAAAGACACTCTCAATCTACTCAGAAGGCTGAGGTGGGAGGATTGCTTGAGCCAGGGGTTCAAGACCAGCCTGGACAACTAAGTGAGGCTCAGTCTCAAAAAAAAAAAAAAAAGATCTCAATATTATTGTTCCATACCCAGTCATTCACTTGGTGTTTTCTGCAGCATTTATTTATAAATATCTCAGTCTGTTCTTAATCCTTGAGCCTATATTTTTTAAAATCATACTTTGATATCTACTCAGAGTATTGATTCTCTTCAAATTTCCCACCTCTTAGTTCTCCTCCCACTCTCTCCCACCCTGAGCCTTACACCTCCAACAATGATCATTCTAAGACCATTTATATCTCAATAGGAAAGTGATGTAAAACGGGTCTCCTTACTCTGTTTTGGAGGGTTTTTTTGTTGTTGCTGTTGCTTGCTTCTCTGTCCCACCCCAAACTCATGTGTGTCTGAAATTTAGCACCACCTTGCGACGTTTGTGAGCATTTTTCTCAGAGCAGCATTTTGAGACTGAGCCTGAACTCCACTGATGTTATGACCCTTAAAAGTGTCTGGCTCCAAAAGACTAAGGAGTTCCTGCGTAAATCCAGGTCCAGCTACTTCATCACTGTGACTTGTTATTGGAAAAGGTTGAGCTATCAACATATTGCTCCTGTAAAGGCTCAGAACTGAATCTTAGATTCTTCAGGATATTTGAGTCCTCTGAGGCTCCTGGGTAAAGACTCCAATGTAGCAGTTCTGTGGACTATAAATGGGAGATATCCAGATCATACACCTTCAATGGAAGAAAAAGCACTGTCACCTTAGACGACTCCAACTCTGTAGTCTACTTTTGTCTTCCTAATATCATACCTCATTCTCCAGTGGGTTTATGGCAAGCCTCATCTACTCAGAAGTAACCAAGTACAAGCCAACACACTCTTGTGTTAGTGTGGAGGCCCAAAGTGGCATAAGTGAATGTGACTCCAGATGAAAACCTTCCCCTCTCCAACACAAAGATGCCAAAGACTATGTATAAAGCAAGTCTTAAATCACTCTATATTTCCATTTGAATATATTTCCCCAGTTCCTGTGCATTGCTTCTGCATACACAGAATTCAATGATAAAAATTGAGACTGTCTCCTAGATACAGTAATTAACTCAGCTATCAATGCCAATTGACTGTGTAGAGGGGAGACAATTTTGTACCAAGATTTACTAACCTCTATTTTAATGGAAAAACAATGGAAAAGCTTTCTTCCTACTATGACTCTCTCTGGATAAATTGCTTGCCAGGAAGCGTTAGGATAATTCTGCCATGACTCTTTGTCTTCCACACCCAAAGACATTTGGTCTCCATCACATATGGAGGAAGGATCTCCTTGTTCAGCAGTATTTACACCATCACCCTGACACCCGCAGTCAGATCTAACTATACAGCTTGGCTAATAAACCTGGAGAAGCTCATATTCTAAGAAAAAAGTGGAGAGTGGTGGGACAGATGGGGCCTGAGTGCTGGGAAACTGCCCGTGCCCACTGCTGACTTGGTCTTCTCACCAGCTGCTTGATCTAACAGATGCATCTTCCTTATGAGGCACCAGAGAACCAGAATGTCCACATCCTGTGGTCCCCTGTACCCTTAACACCCCACATTTGAGTTCCTTTCCAATTCAGAAAACAAAACCTGCAGGCTTTGAGCCAATTTACAACAGATGTGGGTCACAACAACCAACTACCCAGGAAGCCTCCACCAGAACGCAGCGTGAGAATCAGCTTCTTAGATATTCCCATACGTGTGATCCCATCAATCATTTAACAACTGTCAAAGAGAAAGACTAGGAGACTTTCTCCCGAGCATCTCCAGGGATTTAATTCACTATGTTGGAAATTAAGAGATTACTACTAAGCCATAAGAAGGCTAAGACAGAGTTAAAAGAATTATTGGAAGGTTGGCATTACAACTTTACGTGTACACTAGGAAAATCTGCAGCTCTACCTGTAGCTTTGACATAATGCCTTCCTATACCCTGTCCTTGCCCAACTGTGACTCCCACATCATGGTCATACCCTGGATAGGCCCCTCTCTGCATGTAGAGCAATGTGAATGGGGATTCTGCTTATCAGGATATCATCACTAGTCTGTGCCAGGCCTTGCAAGAATGTCCTTGTACTGCAACTATTTGTACCAGATGGTACCCTGGCCACCCCTAAGTGTGCAGACTTTTTAACTTTTTCCCCCAAGAAAGTGGTCCCTGATGTGCACTGCCTACTGAGTAAGGCTAAGAAAGATAGGAAGGAAGAGGACAAAGTGCAAGGAGAGAAACATTTTTGCAAGGAGAAAAATAATGATGTGGATGCAGAATATTTATCATGTGAATTCATATTAACCTGACTTCCTCAGAAAATGTCACCGTTAGTATTAGAATGTGTATTTCCTTCGGAGCTCTGAAAGAAAATATGAGAATTCAAGGGGTGCTAGTGCAGAATACACACACACACACACACACACACACACACACACACACTGTGCTTCACTGTGGCTGGAATGATGCAGAGTCTTGGCAATAGTTCGGGAAGCTGCTAGCTGTCCGCCCATTGTAAACAGTGAAGTAGGTCATCTGTGGCTCCCCATCCTCATCTGTCTGGGCCATTTTCTTGGGCCCTCCTCCACATCCCATTCCTCATATGTTCTCATTCTATTTCCATCAAACCTCAATCTCAAGAAATGACCTGAAATCAATTCGTACTAATGTTTGAGTCATGAAAACAGAGGAAGGCTTTAGCTTCTCTGAGATTGGCAGGGAGGGTCGCTAGTGAGCATTGTATTTTCATAAAGATAATAGCCATAAGCTAAACACTGCAGCAACCACAGCAGAATTTTCCAAGCCTGAGGAACACTGCCCAAAATGAAAGACAGAGGTTTGTTCTCTCTTTGTTTGGAGGTTCAGTGTGGATCATACACAGAGAGTCTGGAGCCTCCCACAGTGGACACTTCTTTTCCTCTGTCCAGGGAGAAGTCCAGCTGGAGCAGACAACCAGAGAGAACATTAGCCTGACCATGGGGAAAGGCATTGCAGCAGAATTAGGCCCAATAGAGGAAAAAAGATGCCTGGAAAGAAATTTCATTTCAATAGCAGGAATAGCTTTGTAAGAGCTGATAGCCATTCAACAGTGAAACAAGCATCCTTGTCAGTGGATGAGTTCGGTGGATGACTACACTGGGAAGGTTGTCTACATTGGTTGGGAGCTAAACTCAGTGAGCTCTTTCCCTCCTAGAATTCATTATATACTGTATGTATATGATTATATATACTCTGTGTATGTAATCGTGTATTACATATACTCCATATATGTATATTACATATACATATATTACATATACTCTGTATATGTAATCATACTCCATATACACATTTGTATCCATTACATATTCAATTTTCCATGCTATTGGATATTTTTCCTATTCAATAATTTTAATAAGCTATGTTAATATTGTATCTAGAGCTACATTATAGTTTACTCAATCAGTTCTCTTCATGGTTGAGCATTTAGGCAACTTCTAAATTTTTCCTACTATGAAAATTATTATGATGAACACACCTGTACTTACAACTTTTTCATTATTTAAAGTCATCATATATGTATATGATGATTTGGATCCACTTCCACATCCCATTCCTTATATGCCCTCATTCTATTTCCATCACAACTCAATCTCAAGAATATTTCAGTATGTGACCTGAAATCAATGCATTCTAAAGTTTAAGTAATGAAAACGGAGGAAGACTTTAGCTTTTCTGAGGTTGGCAGGGAGGGTCACAGGTGAGCATTGTATTTTAATAGCAATAATAGCCATAAGCTAAACACTGCAGCAACCACAGCAGATATACAAATGGTATATATACAAATATACAATTATATTTGTATAAATATATATAAACATATAATAAAGTAAGCTCCTATTTTCTTAATTAGAAGATTCAAAGTTAAGAATTTTGTCCAACTTGAATATATGAAACTTTAGGGTTATAGAGAAATTAGCCAATTCTACTTTAGATGTTTTAATGTATTAATACAGTTAAACACACATATTTTAAAATTACATATTATATAAAATAATATATCAATTTTGAATACTGCTATTTCCTTTTAATAATTCATAAAATAACTTTAAATTCTTCACAGGCATTTCAAATCAATGTATTTGTTGCCACTAGAGCCACTTTTTTATCCTCAAATATTTTTCCAGAGTATATGAAACTCACTTTGCTAAATTGAAAATTAAGAGGCACATTAGATTTAGAAACATAATTTTAAATTGTTTCAATGATGGCACATTATTAATACCTACTTTGAGACACAATACATACTCACATAATATTAGAATCATTGTTTTGCCATTTATCCTGTAAGTGAATATTCATGATCTCCACAACAAAACATTTACTTTGATAGATTTGTTTAAACAATATCAAACACTTGCAGTCTTGAAGGCACTGGAAGACCCAAAAAATAGTTACTACGTTTCTGTTAAACTACTTAGTCATCTTTTTAACTAATTCTATCAGCTGACTGCCATAAGCATCCATGAGCTAGCATTGATTGAGATCATTCCAATGTGTCCTCACTAAACTGTACTTAACTGTTCAAAGCCAAATAATTAAGTGAAAGTATGGTAATACTGTTTTTCATAATTATTGTAAGGAATCAAATATAAGGGATTTCTTCTTCTCTGAGGATCATGAACCTTACTCCATGTTCAAATAGATATAGTATTTTTTCACAGTAAATTCCCCAAAGTGGAAATAGTCACTCAAACGAATACTTTTACTCTTTTGACATTAACCAAATGGCTTCCAATAAAAATCAAACAATTTATATTTTTACCAACATCTTGCCCACATTGGGAGTGTCAACATTTTGAGCAAAAGCTTTAATTAAATATCCATGCAAAAAATGGTTTGTTAATACTTTACAGTTTTATTACTAGAGGGTTAAAATCCTTTTTCAAGTCTGATAATCAATGATTAACTTTCTTCATTTGTCCTTCACCCATTTGTTTTTTAGGTTGATGGTGTTTTACTTATTGATTTGTGTAATTATAATAATTTTGTGTCTGAGTTTTACAGCATTTAACCACAAAAACAGCATTGGTGAAAGGAGTTTCAGGGGTATTGTGGATGGCAGCGGGTGGTGATGGCAAAGTGCCAAGGAAAGGGAAAAAGGAAGAAGAGGGTTTTTATACTGATGTGTTTCATTGTGCCTTCCTACCACACAGGTTGGAGTGCATTAAGCCTTTGTCCAAAAACACCCAGCCGTGACCCGCTATGTATGTCTCAGCATTGGGAAGAGTCCTCTGAGTGTCATGGGAAAATAATATATGAGTTTTATTGCCCCTGTGTCCCAATTATTTTCTGTTTACTCCATGTTGGTCTACAGCAATAGCTTCAGAACATAAACAAATATCACCAAAAACATCAGTGATGAACAATTCCAACCACACATTTCAATGTTTACTAAATATACCCGTGGCACTGTAAAAAAGAATATAATGGAAGAGTAAAGGAATTGGGACTGATCGTGACTGAGAACCTGTATAGTAGGCTACACACTAGCTATATGATGAACCAAGAAGTTGAACCCAAATCTAACTAACTTACATAATCCCTTCCTTTAAAGAACTTAATGTCCAGTGCAAAGCAAGTGTTCAAAAAAGTGTTTGTTGTGAATTGAATTCATTTCATTGGAATACAGCATGCTTGCAAAGTCCCAACTTTTTAAAATAATGTGTTTCTAAAGACCACTGGTCTTTAGAAAGACCAATGACCAAAGACCTTAGACCATTGGTCTAAGGACCATCTGGAAGCAGATCCCCAAGGTGAAATTCTGACGTTGAATTCCCAAATCTAACAGGTCATGTGCCTTGTTCTGATGAGAAAACTGTCGAATAAGGGAGTAGCAGTGGCATGAAGGTTGTTAGTAGGTAGCATAGGCCAAATGGCCCAGTGATGTGATGAAAAGTGCACTCCTCCAAATAAGACCCTAGTTACTAGAAAGTCACAAGTAGGTAAACAGATGCCGGGAGGGACAGTTTTTGTTGGATAAAGTCAGCAGAGAAAGGCTTTTGGAGGAGATGAATCCTGAGCTGGTGTCTACAGATAGTGACAGACTTAGTGCGACTAGGAATATTATGGAGAATAAAAGAATCTCCCTCTCTAACTAATGCCACCAAGCAGTCCCTTCACCCCAGAGCAAAGGCATAACCTATCTTCACCCAAGTGAACTATGTATTCTTGAAATATATCTCCTTGGAACTAAACCATTTTTCTGTTCACTTCAAATCAACCAGTGTTAATATCATAGATCTGACAGCTTAGAAGGCCTGTGTTCTCCTTCACTCTTCTCTTGACCCTATGTGAGTTTGATTCAAGAGCATGGGGATTAGTCCCTTCTCTTGAATTACAATCACCAATCAGCACACCACATCCAGTTGCTCTTTTTAAGTCTAGGAGAGCAAAAACAATGCACAGGTGAAGGAAACTATGCCTAGGCCTCATCCCTAGGTTGTACAAAGTAACTGAATTTATGGCTTCAAGGACAGAATAAATCAAATAAAATCAAAGAAGCCCATTTTCAGGGAATAGAAACAATTCACAGAAATAACACCTTGAATGAAATTCTCATTTTTAGTGCAGAAATGGAACATAACATTCTTAGATTACTTGCTTTCTAAAAGTGAATATTCTTTAGGTATTACTTTTTCAACATTGATGAGTTTACAACATTTCTTTTTGCATAGCAGACAAAACTGTGTAGGCATTCACAGTTACAGAAAGAAAAAATATGACTAGCTTCCTGCTTCACACAAAGAAATCATGCAAAAAAAAAATTTCAAGCCAAAAGAAAAAAAAAGTTTTAAAACATTTTAAAGTCTCATATTACTTGCTGGCTGTAATGGGAATGTGTAACTTTGTGAAGATGTCTGTAGCCATCTTATTCTAATGATCACTTATCTTTATCAAGCCATTATGTCCATCTTGACATGATGCAATACACAGGGCATAACATTACCTACACAGTATTTCTGACATAAATAAATAAACTAAAACTAATCAAACTTTTAGTTCTAACAGGAGACAGGAAGCTAGAAAAGCAAATTAAAGGATTCTACAAAGAAACATCTAGACAAATCCAGCAGGTGAGACATTCCACTGGACAACAGGTTCAGTCCCACCAATAATCAATGTCATGAAAAGGCAGGAAAAAAGTGCAGTAGAGGGGAAGCAGTGGAAGGAGAACTATTAAAGATTAAAGAGATTTTAAAGATTTAACAACAATGAAATGCACAGTCTTTGAATGGATCCTTGTTTTAAAAAAAAAAAAAATCTGTAACAGAGGCCAGGCATGGTGGCTCACTCCTGTAATCCCAGCACTTTGGGAGGCAGAGACTGGAGGACCACTTGAGCCCAGGAGTTTAAGACCCTGTGTCTGAAAAAAAAAAAAAAAGAAAGAAAGAAAGAAAAAGGAAAAAATAATCTATAAAAGACATTTGGAGCATTTGGAGGAAAACTAGGAAAACTTGACTATGGGTTGGCTATTAAGTTATTTTCGGGAATTTCTGTTAACTTTGTTAGGTGGAAAATGGTATTGTGGTTGAGTAGAAAAATATCCTTTTTTGTAATATATACTGAAGTGAATTGTCATTTTATCTGTATTTTTTTTAAATACTCGAGCAAAACAAATAGAAAATGTGACAAATGTTAACAACTGTTAAATCTAAGTGATCATTCTATAGATACTTATTTTATTAATCTCTTCTTTTTGGATTGTTTCAAAAATTTTATAATAAAATCCTTTTTTAAAGTCTTCATTTTGTGGGTGGGCATGGTGGTTCACTCCTGTAATCCCAGCACTTTGGGGAGCCAGGGCAGGTGATTGCTTGAGCCCAAGAGTTCTAAACCAGCCTGGGCAACATAGCAAAACTCTGTCTCTACAAAAGAATACGAAAATGTCACCAGGCGAAGTGGTGCATGCCTGCAGTCCCAGCTACTAGAGAGGCTGAGGTGGGAGGATCACTTGAACCTGGGAGATCAAGGCTCCCAGTGAGCCATGAGCATGCCTCTGCACTCCAGCCTGGATAATGGAGTGAGAACCTGTCTCAAAAAAATAAATAATAAAGTTTTCATTTTTAAATGGCCAACAAGTCTACAGCAAATTTAAACAATGAAAATATGAGATACAATATCTTCCTTAAAAATTAGCATATTTTCTTAAGGAATACTGCTCTGCTCGAAGAATTCCCTAGTTCTGTAAGCGTTCGAACAAATTAAAATCTTGTGTTTATATAACATATTTCTAAGACAACAATGAATTCTGTCACTAACTATATGAGTAAAATGAACAAGAAAACCACTAATAATGATGGTGCACATTTTAGATTCCTTTTATTCTTTTTCAAGACACAGACATAACTGAGATATCTTAAAATCACTGACTTTCAAGATTTGAGATAATGATAATAACTCAAGATCAAGTCTTCCCCTTGTGTTAGAAGTGGGGGTGGGACAGTTCCAGACTTCCACAGTTGTACCAATGAACCCCAATCAGATGATTTTCAAGTTACTTCTCCTTCAGGTGGGTGGGCATCAGAGAGAAGCTAAGAGAAGGTTTTGACAAAATCCAAAGTGTGTCCAGACCCCTCAAATAAGGTAACCTGACCAAGTTTAATACATTCTTAGGGCCTAATATGGATCTCAGTTAAAAATCCTGGTCTCTTTTAATTCTTGTCCAGTTGCTAAGTGTATTATTTGACCCATTAACTCTGCAAGTCATGTTGGTCCATTCTTCTTCTTTACGGTTTTGCAAAATACATCAGGTTACAGTTTCAAGTATCTGTCACTTAAACAAGTAAGCATTTATTATTTTTAATGGGAGGGCTAACATATTGCCACAGAAATATAGTATGGGTACTGAAGAAAATATACACAGACTCTCAGGTCATCACTGAGCCTTCCCACCATCATCATAGATCCAGCATCTGACTTCCAGAGTACCACCAAGAAGAAATCAGAGGCAGATGACATACATATCCATGGTCCTTGACTCTAGAGAGTCCAGCCAAAATGTGTGGGTCCATTTAATCATTTCTACAGAAATGGGAGGCTATTGCTCCAAATGACTTCTAACCACTCACTCATCCATCACTCAAAGCATATGATACAATTGATTTACCAGTCATTAGTAGGCAGGTAGAGAGTGGTGAAGCAGTGGAGAGAGCTTGGTATTTACAGCTGCTATTGCAACTTTGGTAGCACAAACAACATGGAATTAGGACAGGGATTTTCAAAGTATTGCCCACGGACTTCTGAGCACCTCAAGATCTTTTCAGGGAGTCCATGAGGTCAGAATTTTTTTCATAATAACAGCAAAACATTACTTGCCTTTTTCGTTGTGTTGATATTTACACTGATGGTGGAAAAACAATGATGGATAAAACTGCTGGTGCCTTAGCATGAATCAAGGCGGGGGCATCAAATCTGTATTAATAATCATGATATTCTTCACTGCCACATATTTTCAGGGGAAAAAAGTTAGTTTCACTTAAAAATGATACTGACTGTATTACCTTGCTAGGGCTGCCATAACAAAATACCACAGACTAGGCAACTTAAACAACAGAAATTTATTTTCTCATAGTTCTACAGGATAGAAGTCCAAGATCAAAGGGCTGGCAGAGTTGGTTTCTTCTAAGGACCCCTCCTCCATCTCCAGGCAGACAGCAGGCTTGCCGCTGTGCCCTCCAGAAAGGATGGTCTTTCCTCTTTGTGTGGGGAACACTGGTGTCTCTTCTCACAGTGTGTCCAAATTTCCTCCTCTTATAAGGACATCAGTCAGATTGAATTAGGGCCAACTTTAATGACCTCATTTTAACTTAATAACTTCTCAAAAGGCCCTTTCTGCAAATATAGTCACATTCTGAGGTTATGGGATTTAGGGTTTCAACATGAATTTGGTGGAAAACAATTCAACCCATAATACTGACAAAGCAATAACAATTATTAATTTTATTAAATCTCAACTTTCGAGTACATGTCTTTTTAGTATTCTATGTGACAAAATGATAAGTACACATAAAGCACTTCTGTTACATTCCAAATTATGATTGTTATCTAAGAGGAAACACTTGTGTGGTTGTTTGAGTTGCAAGCTGAACTAGCTACTTTTTCCATGAAACACACATTTTTGCTTGAAAGAACAATTGACAGGCAACTATGGTTATTCAGACTTGTAGATTTGCCAGGCATTTTCTTAAAAACAAATGAACAGAGCCTGTCATATTAAAATAAACAACTTATAGTTGTTGCTAATTATAAAATCTTTTTTTTTTTTTTGACAGAGTCTCACTCTGTCACCCAGGGGGGAGTGCAGTGGTGCAATCTCAGATCACTGCAACCTCCACCTCCCGGGTTCAAGTGATTCTACTGCTTCAGCCTCTCAAGTAGCTGGGATTACAGGTGCTCGCCACCACGCCCAGCTAATTTTTGTACTTTTAGTAGAGACAGGGTTTCACCATGTTGGTCAGGCTGGTCTCGAACTCCTGACCTTGTGATCTGCCCACCTTGGCCTCCCAAAGTACTGAGATTACAGGCATGAGGCACTGCGCCTGGCCTCCACCAGTACTCTTTAGCCTCTGTCCTTTGAGATGAAAGGCGTATATCCAGGGAGTCATTGCCACTTCACCCTGACCTCTAGAATGAAGACACATAAAACAGACCTAAATCCAACTCACATCTTGAAGCCAAGTCCAGGTGGCCTGCAGACCAGTGAGCAAAAGTGATACATGTTTGTTGCTGTAAGCAATTGAAATTTTGGGGTTGTTATAGATCACAATTACAACAAAAATAGCTGATTAATACAGATGGTGGGTCTTGAGAGGATTCTACCTTCATATGCTTTTAACTCTATGTCTCTAGCAATTATGAAATGGCATACCTAAAATTTTTGGTGGTTTCCTATTATCCTCAGGACAAAACAGTATAGCTTACTTGCTCCCTTAAATGCAGTTGCATTGAACTACTTACTTCCTGAATGCTCTGTGTTCTTTCATATTTCTTTGCTTGAGATGCCCTTTCCTTCTTCTATCCCCCAATTGGTCCGTAGTCCCTCTGTATTTTCAGGGTCTTAGCTCAGTTGTTTGCTTCCCTGCGAATTCCTAAATGACTACCCCAGTGATCTGGGTTAAGTGCTCACCCTTTTCGGAATTTTCATAGCATCCAGTACTTATCTCTATTTTCGCACTCAAAACCCTTTTTCTTTCTTCTTCATTAGGTTGAGACCCTTGAGAGAAGTGATCTGTCTTGTTCATCCCTGTATACCATGTACCAGCACAGAGCCTAACCCAGTGAGTGCTCAGAAAGTGCCTTCTGAACCCATTTTAAGGATGAGGTATCTCAGGTTCAGGGAAGATAAGCTAGTAAGTGACAGAGCCATGGCCAGATCTTCCCAACTCCCAGGTTCTGGCTCAGTGCCTGGTACTAGGCTGCCTTATGGAATACTGCCTTAACATTTGTTTAGTGGTATTAAAACACATTGGTTTTTAATATTAGCCTGAGTTAAACATGGTTGGTAAGTTTAATTTGTTGTGATTTACTCCATACCATATACTATATTCTAAAGCTGTATAGAAATGAGTTTCACATTGTCTACATATTTGGAGTATTCAAGTCATGTTCTCTTCCACTAAGATCAATTGCATCTCTGGAGAGGAATCCTCGAATGCCACAGCTGGGAGATGTTTCAAAGATCATGTATTCACTCTCCTAGGTTTTCAGATGAGAGAGTCTAGAAAGATCCAGAGAGGTTTCACAACTTGGCCAAGTCACCCAATTTCAAAAGAACTTACAAGAAATTGGGTATCTCTATCCCAGTGCAGTGATCTTTTTGGTACACTAGGCGAATGTCTTCTTTGGTCTTTCATTCTGGCATTTATGGTTTGAGACTGTTTCAGCCTGTCAGTGGATACCCTTCCCTGGAGTGGCCCTAGGATAGTCTGGGCAACCTGGTCCTTTCTTTCTCTGTGTAGATTTTAATCGTTATGTGAGATGCTCTTCTGCAGGAATGGGGAAGAGCAGGCACAAGGTGGATGAATCCTGAAGTTCAACTATTCCTGGAAGGAGACTGTGTCATGTTCTTTTTTCCAGGCAAACTCATTTTCAGAGGAAAGGGACAGTGTTGGAGGCTGAGTTGACTGTGGTACAGTTCAGTCCTGGCTGGGTTGAGGTCTCATGCTTGGGAGCAAATATATGGGATATTAAGCCAAGAAATGAAACAGGGATTAAACAGGGGCATCCTCCAGGCTTAGAATATTTGGGATTGTGAACTTTGAGCTAGTGTTATTTATCTCTACCCCCTGCTTCTGGTATTAACACACACGGTTTGAGAGTTGTAGACAGACTACGGCGTGTTTTAAAAAGGATACCAGGTTGTTTAACAGACTTCAAACCATGTCCTGGGAGGAATAGCTAAAACATATGGGAGACTGTAGACCAAAGGAAGGGAGGTATCATAGTGATCACAGTCTTCAGATATCTGTCAGAGAAGAGCTGGCATATCAGAAGACAGTTGGATTCTCATGTCTGCTTATGCACTCTACCTATTGCAGTATGTTGGTTTGGTTGAAATATATGAGAAAAATCTGGCCTCACATAGATATGTAGTATGAAAACAAAGGAGTATTTTAATAGCTTGTTCAAAATATTGTGGACATGATATTCTTTATATTGCACCATAATTATTTGACAAGAGGTAGTTTCTTTGAAGGTTAGTTGCAATGTGAAATCTGATACCATCTTAGTGAACTTATCATATTCTGTTACATTAAAACATTGGTTTATCCTGAAATTTGGATAGAACGTTCACCCATGCATGCTTCTTAACCCATCCATTAGTCACTTGAGAAAATTGGTTCGCTGTTAAGCAGCTTCCACCTGTTAGCACACATTTTATTATTCAATACCAAAATATTACAGTAGCTAACATCATCACTGGTCTCTTTAAGTCAGGAAAAATTTTTAAATATTGGTGAGCTATCTACTTCACAGTGACAAACATAAATTTCCTAAAACTCTAATTTTTCCTGGAAGCTTAGATTTTCTAATTAGCAGGCTGGGCACGGTGGCACATACCTGTAATCCCAGCACTTTGGGAGGCCAAGGTGGGCAGATCACTTGAGGTCGGGCGTTCGAGACCAGCCTGACCAACATGGTGAAACCCCGTCTCTACTAAAAATACAAAAATTATCTGGGTGTGGTGGGAGTGGCTATAATCCCAGCTACTTGTGAGGCTGAAGCAGTAGAATCACTTGAACCCAGGAGGTAGAGGTCGCAGTGATCTGAGATCGCACCACTGCACTCCAGTCTGAGCGACAGAGTGAGACTCTGTCAAAAAAAAAAAAAAAAGATTTTATAATTAGCAACAACTTAGCTTAGGAGGCTGAGGCAGGAGAATCATTTGAACCTGGGAGACAAAGGTTGCAGTGAGATGAGATCGCACCACTGCATTCCAGCCTGGGCAACAGGGAAAGACTCCGTCTCAAAAAAAAAAAAAAAAAAAAAAGAGAGAGTGCTGGTGGAAACCCATTATGTGACGTGTCTTGAAGCCTCAGCTTAGAACTGGCACACCGTCACTTCCACTCATATTCTATGAATCAAAACATAATGAAGCCCCAATGTCAATAGAGCCTGTAGTAGGAAGCCCTGCAAAGTCCCATGGCAAAGAACCTGGAGGTACACTTCTATTACAGGGAGGAAGTGAAGAGTTGGGAAGCTGCATTCTCATCAGGATTCCCAACTTCTGTTTCCTCTAACTAATCCTATTCACACCAGTTTCTGATGGCTGCTTCTTGGGAAAGTCACCAGCACTAGAAGGAGCTCAATGAGTCTCATATGGGTGAGTCAGAAGCTTATTTCATCAATCAGCTACCTCTTGCCATTTCAAAGACTAGTACCTAAGGCCAGCTACACTCAAGAGTCCAAGTGACAGTTCTTTATTCTCACCTGGTTCTCCCCATGAGGCCTTTTGCTGTATGCCATCCCATTACATCGTCTGTTATTGAAGCCATAACATTTCTTATTTTTCTCTTTTCCTATTTGCTTTTTTTTAATCAGCAAAAGAATGTTAGACTTTATATAGAGAGATAACGTTCCTTGGAGTTTATGGGGCAGGCATGCAGCTGTATGTAGGGTGGAAAGTCATTACAAAGGTCATAGGTAAAATAGTCATAATTAAATCAAACCATGGATTTGGATAAGACTCCAGGGAAAGTGTGAAGAGTAACCTTTTTAAATTCCTGCTCCCTGTTGATAAATAGCAACAACAACAAAATTCCTACTCTTCTTTCATGGTTAAAGTTTAATAAGGTCACTTTCGATGAGCCTATCACCTATCATATTGCTTTGTTTTGACAGCACTAGAACAGAGATCAAAGGCAAACAAGACCAGTGTCTTGTGAGCCCTGAGGAGAGGTTTTGAGAAGGCAATGACTGGGTCAAAACTCTGAGGTCAAACAAGATTAAAACTGAAAATCATCCGTTGAATTTGGCCAGAGCTGCTGCCTCTGATTGCTCAGGTTGTGCCTTCACAAGGGCATCTGGCAGAGAGGAGAAGTGGGGCTAAAATTCAATGCGTGCTCTGCCGCCAGCCAAGGCCCTGATGTGGCGTTGCATCTTCCGGAAAGGGAAGGCCTTTTATAAACCACACAAAAGTGCAATCTGTTCGCCAAGCTTGAACCCAAGGGGCTATCTCTACATTCACCCAGCAGGGCTGCCTTTTCTAAATCGCACAAAGCACCATATGGGCTACTGGCCTGAATTTAGCAACTGGGAGGAGGTCAATGGAGGGGACACAATTTTAAATTTACATGAAAACCCTTTGTAAACTGTATAACACTATTCAAGTGTAAAGCAGGAAGAGGTGATTCAGAAGCTTAGCAGGTGACAGGAGAAATTACACTGACCACAAGCCTTTTCTGCCTAACCCACAGCATGTAGAATCTCCATGAGACGTTTAAGTACCCGACAAACTCCTCAGTGGGAAACCATTTGAGGGCAGACTGGCCAGAAAGCACAGATGGGAATGGATGTGATTATTTCTAAAAGTCCATTCTAGTCACAAACCCCAAGGCAGATCTAGCCAGTGGGGCAGAAGAGCCCCAGACAGAAGCACCTGAGCCAGCTTGGCCTGACCTAACTGTCAGGACCCTTTGATCTTGCTGGAGCTTGACTTGGAGAAAACATCTGGTTCTGGGGATTCTCAGGGGCCATATAGTGTGAAACCGAGGGGAAGTTTTTGTAAAGCTCTGTAGCACTGTGACTGGGGGATACGCACAGTGCTACAAAACCTACAGAGACCTGTACAAAAACTGCAGGGGCAAAAGTGCCATTTCCCTGGGATATCCTCACCCTGGGTCCCATGCCTCAGGAGACAAACACAGCAAGCAGCTTCCCTCCCTGCTTTGGGGCCTGGAAGGGATAGCAGGAAGTTGACTGGACCAGGGAGATGACCACAGCTGCTGACCTCTCACTCACTGCTGTTCTTCCTTGGGTGAAACTGGCATTTCTACATTTTCTTACAGCACATTTGGGGAATACAAAAAGGCCTTTCTTAAAAACTATTCTTGTCTTGTTTTCATGTTGATTCTATTGCAAAAGAGAGTTATATGAGCCACCTCATACGGAATTTCTAAATTCAAACCTCTAGAGAGATTTACCCAAGTGCTTTGCTTTGCAGTTTGGGAGGATGGATTTGAAGAGAGATTGATTTTTTTGTAGGCAATCACCGGCCACAGTTGCTCATTCTAAAGCTGACTGCTCTGTAAATCACCCAGTGCTTCATGCCACCCTTTCTCCTCTTGCTGTGCCACACGTTATCTGCCTTTAAAGCAGCAGCACTGGTGTCTGTAAAGGCCTTAACCCTGGAGTAGTCATGGAGCCAAGACCCACCCCTTTGACAGTGCCAGCTTTCCAACACAGAGAGCTGAGTATGGGTCTAGGAAGTGAGAGCAATGTAAAACAATAGAAAGCAACAGTTCAGAGCACTGCATCAAGTGTACTGTGCTGGAAAGGTCCGCCATAGGAAATATGGTCCTCCATACTCCTCAGACAACAGCCTTCCGAAAGCAAACCTGTCCCTACCTGCAGATGATTAACCATCTATGAACCGGCTGGGTAAGCAACAAGTGCCATCTTTCATGGAGCTGAGCCTTAAAGATCCTCCAGTCCTAAAGCTGACGGGAAGAAGGTAGGTGGGAGCAGCGCTGAGGTTTTTGGAACGTCCTCAAGTGCTGTGACACCGATAAACTCATCTTTGGAAAAGGAACCCGTGTGACTGTGGAACCAAGTAAGTAACTCATTTATTTATCTGAAGTTTAAGGTTAAGGCATCCTCCATCTAAGGAGGCAGAAATAATCCTGAAATGGGAAATGGGTGAAATAGCTAGCATTTAGGAGGACTCCTGGGAAGAGGTGAAATATGGTTAATCCTTTCCATAGGAGAGGAGCAGAAGGTGTCTGTAAAAAAAGAGTTTGGGGCATATGAAGGGACCCTTCTGGCTCAGAGGAAACAGAGAACTCTGCCCAGTCCATCGAATTTGGGTCAGGCTGTAGAAACCACAGAGTCATTGGCCCAACTCCCTGAGCAGAGTCAGAATGGACACAGAATGAAGCTGACTTGAGTCCAGGTGGTTTTACCAACGTGATTCCAAACGTTCTGACCTCCCTTATGCCAAACACATCCTCCTGGAAGAGCTCAGAACTGAATCCGTCTCCTGGGCATGGAGGGTGGGGCGAGCGCAAGTAGTCCCTGGTGTTGCGATATTTCTCTTTAGAAGAAAATAACCTGTTTCAGACATTTGTTTCTAATTGTTTGAGCTGCAAATGAAAACTAGGTTACTAGTGAGAAATATGGGACATTCTGGTTCCCACTGAGACCAGATTCCAAGCAGGACAAAGTGAATGTGTAGTGCTTCCAACTAAGAAATGCTTTGAAGTCTCCAGGACACAGCCAGGAGAGTTCCCTACCACTCACCAGTGTTCATCGTTTTTGCAAAGAGTATATGGTGCCAGTCACTTATTAACAGTTATGCAAGAATCAATGCTAAGGTTGTTGAAGGATTGTGCTCAACACAGAAGGCATCTTTGGTGTCCTTTCAATGACATTTGAATTCGACCGTGTCTTGCTAAAAAATAAAATAAAATAAGACAGTGGTCTCCACCTGGCAGCAGATTCCAGTTAGATAGTACATATTAATCTTAAGTAAGAAAATGTAATAAACCAATACAAAAACCCATTTCGAAGGTCCTAGGGAAGTCTAGCAATAGGGGTCAGTGGTCCCAAATCTGCCCAACCAGCTGTTGGAAAAGAAACAGCATGCCCTGCCCTGGCTGGGACTTTGGCACTCAGCTCAGGTTTTTCAAGGTAAAAGAAGGCTCTAGAGAGATAGGGTGGTGATGGTGGGCTCTTCTCAGAGACCAAATGGGGACAAAGCAGTTCCAGGCATATGCAGGCAAGGAGGCTGAGGAAGGGGAAGGACAGGCATGAGCAACCCAAGACCTCACACACTGCAGGGAGAAAAGGGGCAGGGGCCCTGCCGTCAGGGAGAAAGACACCCAAAGTTGTGCTAGTGGAGTCAGTGCAGAGATGTTCAGACTTTTTTAAAAAATCAACATCTTAGTAAGATTTTGAAATTTTAACTAATTTGGGCCTTTGCCTTTAGACCTTATTATCCTTAAAATTTTCACTAAAATAAGTTTATCCACAATTCCAACAAAGCTAAAGACTGATTATCCTAATTTCCCTTTGTTTGCCAAGTAAGGGATGAATTAAGTTCCTCTGTTTACCCATTTACTTGGTCCATATTTCCCTAACTGCGGAGTGCACAGCACATATTTTCAGATGGAGAGACGTTCTTTTTATTTGCATGGATCTATCTTTTAATGGCTATCAGAATAGTACAACTAGGCTATCAAACCCATGTGATTTCAAGTTTCCTTTTAATTATATTTTAAGTTAAAAAGTGAATAAATTTTTTTAAATTATTAAGCAAATTATGACAGATGACTATGACCAAAAAAGCGGGGGAGATGTGCTTAATTGAAGTTTGGGAAGTGCTGAACTTCATATTGGTGCATTTCATCAGCCTTTGAAGTGAAAAAGTAAGGGGTATCCAGAGGGGGCACAACCTAGAATATCTTTGAATGGCAGCTTCTATTTTTAAGCTACCAACATTGGATTAAAGAGACTGCACTGCAAACCCAGGGCCTTTATCTTCTCAGAAGCCTTTTGATGCTTTTTTTTTCCTTGGGAGCTTCTTTCAAGTTCTTACTTACGGAGCTCCTGGGTAGCACAAAACTAACAGAACAGGTCTATACAAACCCACAGCTGTAGATCCCACACTTTAGTCCTCTGGATACAGTAAACCTGGAGAGACCACTTAGCTTCGTAAAACAGAACAGAGAAACAGGACAAAACAGCATGGAATAAAGTAATGGAAACGTGTACTTCTATGGTAACAACAGCGGCAGTGGGGAAAAGAGGCATGGTCGTTGGGAACATCTGCGTGGAAGTGGGCCATGTGATGGACTTTGAATGCAATCTATTATTGTATGTCACAATTATGTAACTACCACTTTTTGAGTGCCTACCATTTATTAGGCCACTGGGCTAAGTCCTTTAATGATTATCACTTCACTCAGTCCTCACTACGATCATGTGGAATTGAGGTACCATGACTTGCGTTTTATGGATCAGGAAACTGAATCTTAAAGGGGTTCCTCAAGATCACACAGCTTAGTAAAGTCATCATTTGAATCACCTGCTTGATGCCAGCATCTGTGCTCTTAAGAAGTCTGCTCTTCCATCAGGGCTGCAGCTAGACTAGGGCATGTGTGGAGGTTTTTCCTGCCTGGCCCAGCCTCTGCCTCAGGTCTCTAATGAGCTCCTTTTCAAGCTGAATCAGAAACAACAGTTATGCCACTTCCCTTCCAGTGCCATCCCCATCACTTCTCTCACCAAGGAAGAACTTCTGAACCCCCGCCAAAACCAGTTACCCAAAGCAGCATTCCCCTTCCCCAGGAGGAGCCAGGTGAGGCCCATCTCTCACATTACACCCCTGGAGACCCAGGGTCCCTAAATACAGAAAGGTCCAGACGATGATCAGAGCATCACTCTTTCCCTCAAGAAAAGGAGTCCACATAATTCTGGCCTCATCAAAATGTTTCTCAGATTCCAAAAGATGACCTTCCCATTCCTCCAGGCCCACTAGCCCTTGGCCTGGCATCTGGCACTCCCTCTCACTCCCAGTCAGCATCTCCCAGAACAGAGCCTTTGCACCTGCAAGTCCTTCCACCTGGAGCCATTTTCTCCCAGGGACTCACACAGTTTTCTCCCTCCCCTCCTCCAGGTCTCCACTCAAATGTCATTTCCAGTGAATCCTTTCCCTACCACCTCATGTCACTCTGAAGACCCCTTTCCCTGCTTTATTTATAGCCCTCATGTCTACTTGAATCTTTATATGCTCGTTTACTGTCTGTTTCCCTTGCTCTGTGAGAGAAAGGACTTTGAGTTGTTTCTTACTGCACCTATAAGTACACTGAAAGCACTAAACAAACATTTGTTGAATGAGTGAATGAATAAATAAAGGAATGAATGAATCAGAGAAAAAGTCAGCTATGGTATAAAGCAAAAGAAAAGAAAAATGAAGGGAAGCTGGTAACCTACAGAGCCGAGCCTGAGTCCTGGCTCTGCAACCCATCACAGGTCTCTGCCACGAAGTGCCAGGCACTGTTCTGGGTGCCAGGGAATCGACATGAACAAAGCAGGCATGAACTTCTGCCATATTGGAGCTTATTTTCTAATGGCAAAAGACAGATGGTAAACTAAATAAATAAATAAAAAATATATACAGTGCGTTAGGGTGGTAATAAGCCCTGAGAAGAAAAATAAAGCCGGGAAGGAGAATAAAGAGGACTAGTGGGAGGGACCAGCATGCAGTTTTAAACAGAAGAGTCACAGAAGGTCTCACTGGAAAGGTGACAGTGGAGCAGAGACCCGAGGAGGTGGTAAAGTGAGGCATGCAGACCTCTGGAGAGAGAGCACTTCCAGGCAGAGGGGACACAGGGCTGCCTGGGGTGTGTGGCTGGAGGAGGGGAGGGAGTGATGGGGAGAGAATGTGAAAATGAGGTCAGATTGGTGATGGGTTGGGGAGAGGGTGGCTTGTAGGCCACTGTAAGGACTACTGCTTTTGGATTCGAAAGGGAAGATTGGGGAGTAGAATGGAAGTCACACGTAACCTAGAGAAAAGATCTAGAGAGACAGAAACCTGAATACCAGTCCTAACCCACGGCCCTAAGAAGTGGGCACCCTCTTCATATCACATAACACCAAAAAATAGCTTCTGTTCTTTTTCAGCAACCTGTCCCAACAATCCTTCCTGCTTGGGAGCTCTGTTCTTAGTGCAATTACATTCCCCACGCTTCTAGTAAAATGTATCTTCTCTGAGTTTAGCCCTAATAAACATTCTAATAATTACATCGAGTCTCTCTAGTTCACAGATGCTGTATCTAATCTTATAACCTATAATACGGAAGATGTTATCCTCACTTCGTAGAGAAACCAGATAAAGCTCAGTGAGTTTAAGGAACTTGGCCAAGATTACACACTTGGAAAGGGACAGAGTCAAAACTAGGTTTTGGATCTTCTGACATCCTTCTACTTTACAACGACTAGGAACCACCCTTCATGTTAGTGATTCTCCAACTATCATCTACAGTCTTTTAAGGATTGTAAACTGATCCGAAAAATCCATATTCCCTCCTTGGTTTTTATGAGTGACATACAGGCAATCTCATAGATTCTGATGTTCACGTATAACAGAAATTAATTTAACTGTCACTTCTAAGTGTGAGAGTGTCATTGAAGCTTGCTAAAATTTGATATGCATGAATGTGTTATTAAAATGGATGGAAAAACTTAATTCTATTTTGTACTAAGCAGTTTGGCTGCTGCACAATACTTGGCAATGATGCAAAACTCTCAGATATGAAATAAATTTCCCCTAAAAGGTTGGAATGCATGGTATATATAACCTGCTAGGTCCCTGCCTCACCTAAGTGTAGCCCGAAGGTGGAGAACCACTGCTCTATGACCAACGTTCCACCCTTCTTTCCTCTTGATCAAACCAAAAAACATCTTTCCAGTCTATATTCATTCTCTCTTATTTGAGCACAAATTCTGTCAGATTGTAATATGGGCAAAAGCTTGGATTTCTATTTGATGCTAGAGTCACCTCTTGTTCCATCCTGAAGGACAACCTCTAAGACGGAGGAGAAGAGGCTAGGCCAGATGGGACAGAAAATCACATGGGATGAATATCATGTGACTTGGCAACTGGGGCTAGGGTTGCCGTAAAGGGAAAAGCAAGGTAGTTTTTGGATTAGGTATGTCAGCTGTGCCAGACCCCTGATCTTTGGCAAAGGAACCTATCTGGAGGTACAACAACGTAAGTAACCTACTTTTCCTTCTTATGACCACTATGTTTGGCAATTACATTTGTTAAATATTTTTCTAAGTCACCAGGTTAGGAAGCAGTGCTCCAGTAGGTAATATAGCAAGGGATGGCTTGAGGAACAGGAACTGAGTTTCCGATAAAATCCAGGATGGCGTCTGTGCTTCAGTGAGCCGTCTTGATCCATTGTCCTTCCTAGAGAGTTTCTATTCCCTCTACCTGGCTCCAGAAAGCTACCCTCCTCAACATCTATGCATCCACCATGTACAGATCTAGGCCACCACTGTGATCAGACTCACATGACAGCACTTCGGGGGGTGGACACAAGGTGAAATGAGGAGCACGCTGAACCAGTAAATCAGAGGCCAAGTTCCAATCTGTCCAATGCATTAACTGACAATGCATTAGCTGACAAACTCTGTGACTTAACTGCACTGAACTATAGTTTCCCTATAGTTAGATGAAGGATTTCCAAGCTGTCTTCCAGCCCTTGCCCACTATGATCCTGATTATCCCCAGACCAATTCTTATGAACAATTGGGAGGAAAAGCAAGGAAGCCCAATGGTGTGACTGTCCTATTACCCAGTAGGAATTCTGTGATTTAATGGAAAAAAAAAAAAAGGCACTGGAAAGGGAGTGAAAACTCTCCCTATGCATCCCTTAATTAGCCCTTGTGTGATCACAGAGGTTTGGAAAAATGATGCCTTGAGGCTCCTTTCAGTCCTACCATCTATTACTCTGGTTCAGGGGCTGGAAACTGGAAATTGAGTGAAGCCCAACTCAGCCACTCACTTAACCACCTTTACAGTGCCTTTGTCTGTGAGATGGATCTAAAAATATCACCTCATAGAGTTTATTTCAATAACTTTGTTGAAGTAGTATAAACACCAGCTGTTTAAGTAGGAAAGTATTTATACAAATCATAGTCATCTGTGATTATTATAGTCCTTTGGATAGACCCCAAGTCTTTTGCATCAATGGCTCTTGCTCCAACCATTGTGTCCTTCCACCTCTCGCTGAGGCACAGTCCTGTTGTGATTGATTTAGTTGAGGCTTGTTGTTACGTTTCTGCCTACAACGGCCATTTGGCAATTCTCAGCAAAATATGTGAAAATGTTATCCTGAAGCAAGATCTGGGAGTAAGAGATGGCAGGTTGAGGAGATAATAGCAGAAAATCTAAGGACTTGCCTAAGTGTCAAAACTCAGAAGATAGCAGACATCAAAAAAGCTGCCAAAATATAATGCTCAGATCTCAGAAACCCTTGCAAAGCTCTGTCTCCAGCTACACCCATTCTGCTCCACCCACCCACTTCCAAACAGATGAATTAGACTGACAGGGAGCAAATAGGTAGCAAGGTTTTTCGTAATGATGCCTGTGGTAGTGCTTTGACAGCACAACTCTTCTTTGGAAAGGGAACACAACTCATCGTGGAACCAGGTAAGTTATGCATTTTACTACAGCTCAGTGTGTATATTTCTTTAGGGTTGTTGTAGCGTAGTCCTGAATGAATGGGGCTTCTTGGGAAGTAAAGAGTTCCAAATTAGAAACCCATTGTTTGTTGCAAACAGTAGGGGTAAAATTTGGGAGCAAATGCATTAGATTTCTCTTAAGAAAATATTCTGTATATGCTTGGAAACTCCATTCTGAGGCTTGGTATTCATAAGTTTTTTACAACTACTGAAAAAAAGCCCTAGGTCAGGCTTTTAGTTTTGGGCTCCCTAGAACCAGGAAAAAGGCAAGCTGTGGTTGAGGAGGGTCTCTCCAGTATTTATGAGGGATAAAAGTCATGGTCACAGTGTAGGAAGAGGGAAGGTTAGAAAGAAAAAAGTATTACGAAAGAAGGAGTTTTAAAAAGAGGATCTTTCTCTCCTCTCTCTCTCTCTCTCTCTCTCTCTCTCTCTGGATAAGAAGCCAATCTTGCCCTTGTCACTTTTTTCTGAACTTGCATTAAACCAACATAAATGGTTCAGATTAAATGGTTCTCAAGGTCCCATCCTGGCCTGGGTCTGCTGAGAGCAGTTATGAGCTCACCTCTCCTGTTAGCCCTGAAACTGGGAACTTTGCACAATGGTTCAGGAGCCTGTATCCAATGTAGAAACACAGCCACCAACTCCAGGACAATAGAGAAGTCGTGGTCCCCTACTGGAGACATTGTCTACTGGTAGCCTACTCCAATGTTTGGAAATCCAGGGGCTATATTCTGGTAGTTTGGGTAGCTGCCAACAGTCAATCACTAAGACCAGTCCAGAGAATAGCCTTCAGACACCTTCCAAAATGCCAAGTCCATTGGGAGAGCCATTACCTCTTACATGATTAGGTATTGATTTTGTTTATTCAGAGGAAATAAATAAGTAGGGAATGGTACATGAATGTGGCTAGGCTATCTGACCAAAAGTCCAAAAAGTGACTGGTGCTGTCAACATGGTCTCTGCCTCTCAGAGAATAATATAAACTTATAGGGATTCTCCACTGCCTGTTGCCTCCAGGGAAATGGTAGAATTTGGTGAGTTTTCTTATCTTTGAGGGGAGAGAGACTAGAGCACTGAAAAGGAGGGAAACAGAATCATGTCGTAGCTGATTGTAGTCTGATTGATGTTTAGCAAATTGCATCTGAGCAAAAACTACTGTGTTTCATTTTCCCCTAAAATCATTTCCACTTGAAATTTGGAATTATCTGCAGTGTTAGAATCAAATCTTTGAGGCTGTGCCTTTGGGAGTCTTAGGGAAGAAGGAAATTGATGAAACTGATGCTTAGCCCCTCTGCCAGGATGCTGACCATGCTCCCCGATGACACTCCATTCGCTTCTCTGGTTTTCTTCTCCTGCAGTGGTGAAATGTAATATGATGATGTGAAGCTCAGGTAGGGGATGTGAAAATTTTCAAATCAAACCCCAAGTCCTTAAAGCTTTGACAGTGAATAATGGCCCTACACAACTGTCATTCTCTTTTGCCTGGCTCTAGCCCAACGATCTTGATTTTTGGTGATGAGGCAGAGTAATTCACATGGTCTTTATGTTACATTGCACATGATGACTATATACTCCTGAAACTTATATCTGGATCCAGAGTCAGGAGAAATTATAAAACAAAAATAAGCAATGCAAAGCAAGCACTGGCTTCTCTGACCTGTGTCCATGACACACAGCACCAGTGGGCTCCCTGAGCAGTGACCAATTTCTTGTTCAACCCTCAGGTCCTTAGAAAGCCTTTCGCCAAGCTCAGGGAATTAGAAAGCAGGTTCGTTATTATTGTGAGACTCAGTCTGAGTGATGGGGGAAATTAGGTTTCTAATCAAAATTCTGTACTTGTGACCCAAGAGAATGGAACCAGAGTATAATAAGAATGGAAACTCTTTCTATAACCCTCCTCTCCTCAACCTAACATTTGTTGTAAGAAAGGTCAAGTTAAGTGCCCCATCCCTACCCTCAAGCTATTGTGTTCTTCTTGGATGCCCCTCTCAATAAACTGGAAGTTAGATTTTCCATCATGAAGGCAGCTATTTGTCACCTGCCACCCTCTTCTCTTGCTCTGTCTCAGCCCTGCCCTAGTATCTCTTGGATGGGGATATCACCCTCACATCTCTATCAAGCAGTTCAACTATTATTAGCTTCAAAGGGAACTGAGACTCTGTGTACTCAGCCCCTTGGTCTCATCAAGAGCAGCTTTGTAGTTCTCTGAGCTGTGGGGTCTCTAGGCTGAGAACTGAGGCTGGGGAGGCAGGGCACAGATGTTACAGCTCAGGCCCCAGGGCCAGCTCCAGGCTAGTTACCTGTGAGGCACTGTCATAATGTGCTCCTGGGACACCCGACAGATGTTTTTCGGAACTGGCATCAAACTCTTCGTGGAGCCCCGTGAGTTGATCTTTTTCCTATATTTCTGGGATAATTTGAGTCCTGGCACTGGGGCTGCAATCCAGTTTGCATTATAAATTATAACTAGTAAATGAAATTATAACAAGGAGACAGAGTATTACAGATGTGAAATAGGCCAGAGTGAACACACTAGACTGAGTCACTTAAGTAGCTCTGTAACTCTATTTATTTTAATATATATACTCTATATTAAAACAATAGCTCCCATTTATTTCTGAAATCTTCAGAGCAGCCCAAAAAACACAAAGAAATCTAGAAGAACTACACTAAGAGTTGGAGCATTCAGGTGCAAGGGAGACAGTGGGAGGGATACTTCAGCCCCAATTCCTCAGGAAGCTGCTTCATCTCTGCACATCCCTTTGGCTAAGCTAACTAGTATGCGTGCCTCCTTGCAAACTGAAAACAAGTGTCCTACAGCTTGGAAGATTCTGGAGAAAGGTAGTTAGCATGGTCAGAGTAATTAGGTAGAACAAACTTTTATTTCAGGGTTTAAGTTAAATCCCATATTGGCAGAAAGTCTTGAAATTCTGAGTGACATTTATTACAGTTGTTGCAATTCTTAGGGGATCAGTAGGACTAGCTATGAGAATCTAAAACATAGGTGACTTCTAAGTTTATAAATTAAGAAAGACTGTTCAGGAATGGTACACACTTTTTTGGTATTGTTTACCAGCACATAAACTTAGCAATGTATTGGTGTTCATAAAAAGAGAAAGTCTGACAATAAAGCAATTTTCCAAAGAAATAACACTTGAAACACATGTTGCAATGTAATTATATTTGTGGACTAAGAAAAAAAGACTACAAGTTCTTCAAAGATAAACGATTAAATCTTTAATCTAAATTCTGGACTACAATTTCATACAGCTTCACGTCTGGGTTTAAGTCAAATACAAAATAGACTAGGATGCATATGGCAACTATATTGAGTGCACTCCAGTTTTTAAAAAGGTTTAATTCAGTCAGACACCCATTTCTTTGGTTACCAAGATGCCAAACAATGGATTCTATAAGACACTTTCTTTCAAACAATCGTTTTGAAAATATAAACATTAATGTAGAAAGAGGGATTCAGAAAAATGTTTTATCAAATCAATGTATTATGCTCTATCTGAAATGCTGACTAACAGAGTCAGAGCACAATATCATAAGTGCATGACCTTCTTCAGACATCTGTCTTTTCAGTTATATTGTATTATTCAAATTACTCAAACCCAATCTCCCCAGCCCAAAGTGATGATTTGACAACTGCCTGATGAATTTAGCTTTTAAAATTCTAGCAAGCCTTAATTATCCAACTAAATCAGACCAGGATTAAGAGATACTCTTAAATAAACAAGGAGATAGGGTGTTTATTTTATGGACAAGTTTCTTTTGTAACTTGTAACTCCCTTGAAAGTCAGCCAGAGTATGTCTCAAACCAAAGTCAAGATAGTGAGCAAGAAGTGTTGCACTTATGAAGGGAGGTGAGTGAGCAATGCATGTGGTTTCCAACCGTTAATGCTAGAGTTATCACTTTCTGTTATCAAGTGGCTTCAGCTATGCAAGGAAACCAAACAGGGGAAGTTTTCTCAAGCAGGTTGAAAGCAGGTTCCAAGAAAGCCCTTTGAAAAATGTCTAATCCTTTCAATTGTCTAGAACTAAAGCCAAAAACATAAGGAACCAGATTCTTAGGAATAAGTTTCCTGCCCTGAGTGACTGAAACAGAATCAGTCTTTTAGTTGAGCTTCTCAGCAGAGGAAACGGGGAGAATGATGATGGTAGTGATGGGGGGTTTCTCTGAATAGTTGATTTTCTAGGAAAACCATGATCAACTTTGGTCCATTTACAAAGCCGTGATCAGCAGAAACTTCCTGACTAGCAATCGCCCCCTCTCAACCAGATATAACCAGTTGATCTGGCAGTAGCTCTGCTGCTGTGAACCTCACAGCTGAAGCCCAAATTCAGATTCAGGATAAAGCATTAGAAAAATTATTTATTTTTATACAGAAAATTAGCCAGGTGTGGTGGTGTGCACCTGTGGTCCCAGCTACTCGGAAGACTGAGGCTGGAGGAGAGTCTGAGCCAGGAGGCAGAGGTTGCAATGAGTTGATATTGGGCCACTTCACTCCAACCTGGGTGGAAAAGACCCTGTCTCAAAAAAAAAAAAAAAAAAGGAAAAGGAAAATTACTTATTTTCCATTTACACATTCATTACCAACTTTCTGTTCAGCAACACCTAATGTCTTGATTATAGACCATAGTAGGTAAAAGTACACTGGAATTCAATGTATTTTTCATTTGATATCAAGAAGCAAAATTCACCTAAGTTTCAAATACTAAGGGCCAAATTTACAGGAGCAATTAATATTAAAAGTCAGCATTAAATTTAGGATTGAAAAATGTATCTTGATCATCATTCACAGGTTGGTTGTGTTTCTTGGTTTCAGGTATTAACAGGGCTCTTTCTTTAACAGTTATTTGAAGATAGCCTAAGAATTTAAGTCCCCATGGACACAACATTTATCACAATTCAAAAACTTCAGTGAGGCACTGTGTGAAAGAATCATCACTACCTCTCTCAAAGCTTCAAGACTTGTGGTCTTAAGGAAAGAAAAGTATGCATGTACAGGGTGGTAGTCCAAAGTGAGGCACAAAAGAAGAGAAGGCCAGGAGGGAAGCCAATCCTGGGACCAACATTCCACAGTTCCTCTTAGATTAAAACAAGAATGAACGGGCTTCAATTGGTTTTATTTCTTTAAGGACTTCCTGAAAATGATCATTGTTATCCTCTGATTAAAGACTCAAAGGAAACTATACAGTAGTCAGTCCCCTACAGAAGAATGAGTATTCACCTAAAGGCAGAAACATGTACCACCTACCTTCAGCAGATCCCTTTCCACCCTTTCCAGCAGATCTGGAAGGGATGGCACCCTTCCGGGACCCCAACACTGCCATCCTCAGAACCTCTGAGCCAGTTATGCAGTCCTTCTCAGACCCTCGATTCTTTAAGTGACAGAATGCATAGCATGAGCACCTGCCCTGATCTACCATCCAAGGGCCCATGCATTTACAAAAAACCAACTGGTGCAGAGAGATATTCAGCCTGACCTAGATTGTCCAGAGGATTGATTAATAAAACACAGATAATCGGCTGGATGCAGTGGTTCACACCTGTAATTCCAGCACTTTGGGAGGCCAAGGTGGGCGGATCACCTGAGGTCGGGAGTTCGAGACCAGCCTGACCAACATGGAGAAACCCCATCTCTACTAAAAATAAAAAAAATTAGCTGGGCATGGTGATGCATGCCTGTAATCCCAGCTACTCGGGAGGCTGAGGCAGGAGAATCACTTGAACCCGGGAGGCGGAGGTTGCAGTGAGCCGAGATTGCACCATTGCACTCCAGCCTGGGCAACAAGAGTGAAACTCTATCTCAAAAAAAAAGAAAAAGAAAAAAAAGAAAGAAAAAGAAAAAAGCCACAGATAATCGAAACCCAGATGATCCAGAAACTTCTTTGTAGTTGTCATTTTCCATCTGTGCTTCCAGCCCTATCTCCTAGCAGCTCCTAACTGGAAGTCAAACTTACTGCCTTTCATTTCTGCTCCCCTTGCCTGTCCTTTCACAGAGGTGGTAATAAGCCCAGGTCACTAACAGGATGCATGGAGGTCTGGATTGTAGTGTTTGGCTCCAGGGTAATCGAGGTAATCACCACTGTTTAACCCCCACAAAGTTGTGAATAATCATCTCACCTAATAAGTTGATTATATTTGCAGGAAGTCAGCCTCATACCAAACCATCCGTTTTTGTCATGAAAAATGGAACAAATGTCGCTTGTCTGGTGAAGGAATTCTACCCCAAGGATATAAGAATAAATCTCGTGTCATCCAAGAAGATAACAGAGTTTGATCCTGCTATTGTCATCTCTCCCAGTGGGAAGTACAATGCTGTCAAGCTTGGTAAATATGAAGATTCAAATTCAGTGACATGTTCAGTTCAACACGACAATAAAACTGTGCACTCCACTGACTTTGAAGTGAAGACAGATTCTACAGGTAGGCCATTTCTAGCTTCAAGGAGCTGGAGATTATGGGGAACAAGAATTGGGTGAAAGGGAAGTTAGAGATGTAACTGTGGACAAATCATTCTCAGTATAGCATCATGCTGGAAATAAGACTTAGGCCCAACTATAGCCTGCCATTGGCAGGGGAGGGAAATGCTTGTCATCCCTAAGATGGAATCTAAAATAAAGCCCATCTTATTTCTTCCTCATCTCTCCTCTTTACCTACCACTGTCCCCTTCATACTAGACTCTGGGATTGAAAGTCCTCGTGCATTCTAATCCAGTGCTAAATTCCAACAAAGGGCAATGCGGCCTATTGTGGGGCTAAGAATCCTAGTTCTTCCCGCATATTGGTGTGCCTGGATGTTGACCTCATGGTACAATGAAAAAGGCTAGAATGGGAAGCATGTTGTATAATTAGCTATGTGACCTTCACCAAGTCACATCCTCTGGTCCTCAGTTCACTCACCCAAAGTCTCCTCCAGTTTTAAAAGCCTACAATCCTGTGAGCCTCTTCATTCCCAATGTAACCCTGACCACTGCTGTTTGTTCCAGATCACGTAAAACCAAAGGAAACTGAAAACACAAAGCAACCTTCAAAGAGCTGCCATAAACCCAAAGGTTAGTTCAAATCAAAGGGCCAACTTCAGAATCAAGGGTTAAAGCAAACTCTGTAATTGTCCACTGGGGCCAAAATGTATCAGATTTCAAAAGAAAACACAAACCATGCTGAGCCCAGTTGGTTCTGCAGAGCCTCTGACTCTCCCAGCAAGGCTTACCTGGCTGTCGGCATCGGTTTCCCAAGCTTGCCTGGCTGGGTGTCAGCAGCAGCCTAAGGTCTCTGACGGCTATCTGGCACCATGCTGGACTTGCAGGCCAGAAAGAACTAGGCAGACTTGGGGCAGGCTAATATCAGTGTTGCAGGCCCAATTTCTGGAAGGGAATTTAATCTCTCCCTGAAGCCACCCTCTTCACTCTTTTTCAGCCATAGTTCATACCGAGAAGGTGAACATGATGTCCCTCACAGTGCTTGGGCTACGAATGCTGTTTGCAAAGACTGTTGCCGTCAATTTTCTCTTGACTGCCAAGTTATTTTTCTTGTAAGGTAAGAATTAGCCGCTTCTTATTCCTATCTCTACCCACACCATGCTGCACATGGGGAAAGGGGATTTAGAAATGGCTAAGAAACCAAGAAGCATTGGAAAGGGAAAATAGAGACATACTTAGAATTAATAAGGTAGGCTATCTCAGCTACTCAGCAAAACAGCACCCCATTTCCTGTTATCCTTTCATTTTGAGTCAGACTGAAACCCATTAGGTAGTATAATGTACTATTTTTCTAATATACCAGAGAATAACCCTCACTTTCACTCCAGGGAGAAAACTGAAGATAAATAAGGAGAATTCATCTTCTTTACTGCTATTTTGTTCATCGACCAAGAGACCATGGGTTATTTGCAAGGCCATAAGTAAAGCTTTGCCTGAAGACTATCCAGAGGAAGCAGAACCTATCTTTGTCCTGATAAAGGGAATGCCAGCTCACACTCCTTAATCATAGGACCAGCCTGTCTATGTGTGGATCAGCCTGTCTTTGGGATGAACCTACACACAGCATTAGTAGTGAACAGCTCACTATTAGCTACTCAGGATGCATACACAGTTAGGTTTGAGATGTCAATTATTTGCCTGTTACTTGCATTCCGTTCTCAGGTAATCTCATACACGAAATTGAAACCAGGGCCTGGGTTTGCGTGTGAGGCTTCTCCCCCTCACTCCTTCTCCAATACTCACAAATGCTCATCAACCCCAGCTTCTGTTCTAGGAACAACCCTAGACTCAGAGTACTTGACTGATCTGACCCAGACAGTAAACATACCCAGTCATCTCAAAAAGGGGGTCCAGCTCACCTGTTATTTTACTAACAGTCCCAGGGACACAGGCAGTGTGGCTGGGTAAAAAGAGAGCTATACTAAGAGTCAGAAGATCTGGGTTTTATCCTGATTTTGACACTAACTTACATGTTACCTTAGCCAGGTTTCTTCATCTCTCTGGGCCTGGGTTTTTGCATCTGCAAAACAAATGAGTTAAAAAAAATAATAACCAAAGGAGAACAAAAGAGTCTCATGACTTGTGCCAACACTGATAGCTGAACTAGCTGAGCTATTGCCATGTGTACATGGAAAGTGAGCCACAATAGATTAGTGATGTCTGCAATGGTACAGTATAGCAAGTACCGGCCAACCCCAGACTACATGACCCCTACGATTCCTTCTAGCACTGGCAGTCTATTCTATAACAACTTTCTTCACTGCAGGCTGACTGGCATGAGGAAGCTACACTCCTGAAGAAACCAAAGGCTTACAAAAATGCATCTCCTTGGCTTCTGACTTCTTTGTGATTCAAGTTGACCTGTCATAGCCTTGTTAAAATGGCTGCTAGCCAAACCACTTTTTCTTCAAAGACAACAAACCCAGCTCATCCTCCAGCTTGATGGGAAGACAAAAGTCCTGGGGAAGGGGGGTTTATGTCCTAACTGCTTTGTATGCTGTTTTATAAAGGGATAGAAGGATATAAAAAGATATAGGACTCTTTTTTTACTCCTACAAGTGATACACTTTGAAAATGATGTTTTGTTCCTTTTGACTTTCTTTACCTTTTGAAGTAGAAAGTGGGAACCAACAGGTTCACAGCTTCATTCCTCATGAGGCAAATAGGCCTTGGGAGAAGAAGAGCGGGTGCCCTTTTATCTAAACATGGAAGGCTCTGCTCAACTGAGCACTAGATTTGCTACAAACCAGCATCATCTTCTTCCTCCTGTCCTCACGGCTTGTCCCACCCTCTATGTTCACTTCAGGAGCCACACTAGAGATTCTGCATGGCGTGGAGGAGGACAAAGTTTCAGCACTTTCTGCCTCTCCTAATACTTTACAAATGAGATTACATTTGAATTTGCTAATACTTTATGAGCAGGCAATGAGGTTTCCAAAATCTCATCTAAATACTCTCCAATCTATTAGCAAAAATCAGAGTAAAATACAGAGGAAAGGCACTGCTTTCTGTTAATTGATTTAACATGCATGAATTAGCTCCCTCTGAGTTCCAGGCACTATGCTGAGAGTACAAAGAAGACACAAGTCTGCTTTCAAGCAACTCACTGTGAAAGTGTTTTTGAAGGGAGGAACAGAAATGAGACCCCTATCTTTCCCTATAAAAACAACATTTTTACTGTCTTTTGCCTGCCAATCTGTATTTGAAACCATTGGACACTGATTCTCTGGCCTGGGACTTTGGCATTGATGGTTTTCTGCCTTTCTTCTCAGCCTCTGCCTCTATTGCATTTATTAAACTGCATTGTGTGCACCTCGCCTCTGGCTTTACTCTTTGCAGATCACCACAGGGGGAAACTCAGCTCTGTGAGCTCACTATTAGTCAGCCAAAAGCCAAATTGAACTTATGGGTCACACTGCACTTTCCTGAGCCCCAAGCCTACAGAGGCCCTGCCTTGGAGACCCAGCCTCGGGTTTCCTGCTGCCTCTGCTGATGCCGCTGTTACAGCAAGAGCAACAGCAGCACCTGCAGCGTGGCCAGTGACCTCTGCTACTGCCACCCAGGAAGGCCACAGCCTTTTCCAGGAGCACTGCTCAGGTGCAGAGCCCTAGCAACCCATTATTGTGGTTCTCTCAGCACCTATGTGGAGCATCAAGTCGGGGGTTATGAGGTTACAAGTGAAAGAGTGACTGTCGCCAACAACTCCACTTGCCATCCCCGACAGCAAACTCCCCCATCATGTCTACTACACCTTGTATGTGTAAGGAATGCTGATTTCCAAAACATTCACGAGTTACCTTGTGTAATATTAGGGTGTTTCCTCTGAAGTTGTTAGGAACAAAAAGATCATATTCTCATTTTTCAGATAAAACAAAAATGCCCTCTCCTCAAAAAAGTATGTATCATGTCCAGAGTCATTCAGTGAGGCAGGGATATTGCTGGGAGCAGAACCAAGGTCTCAAGATTTTCAGCCCAAAGTTCCTGCTATAAGAACATACTGCATCCCCAAATGAGGACAAGATGTCAAAGTGAGTATCAGCTAGAATGAACTTCAGGATTGTCCCATATTTAGCATATAAATGAGCCACCCTCTAGCCCACTATGCCAGAAACAAAAAAAATCCTGGCATATCACAGGACCATGAATTTCCCACACCAAAAGGAGCCTCCAGGGAAGATTTAAGGCAAGAGCCAGGAGGGATTATGGCTGCCTTCTGATCTGGGGCCATGATATGTGAACTGTGAGATGGACATGTGTCACACTCAGTAGGCATTAGAACAGAAGCCCCAGAAAGCCAAGCCACATGCCCAAGGTCTTTGGCTCCCTCATCCCCTGTTCTTTCCATTGTTCTATACAGTGGCTACTCTTGTCCACTGTTTCTGAAGAGCACATAAACTGCTGCCCAAACCACTCACTGATAGAGCCACCTAGGGTACAGCTGCAGAAGAGAGCCCTGGAAGTGTAACGCTGCATCTCTGGGCCTGTCATTATCCAGGTATACGACTTTGAGAATGTCCACCATGTCTCTGGACTGCAGTGTAGTTTCTATAAAATAACATGTAAGGCCTCTTCTATTTCTAAGATTATATCTAATAACTCTAATAGTTCTATTAAGGCAGATAATTCAAGAGAAGAGGAAGGAGGGACTGATTCCCAGGGACTGAGGGTGTGTATCTATTTCAACATCACATAGTCAGTTTGCCCCAGAGGAAATTTTCTCTGCCGGAGACACCACTGAGCTTCAAACTCAGGGACTTGGCAGCTGGAATTCTGGAAGTCACAACTTTCCAGGAGTGCCTCAGTGCTCTGCAGTGAAAAAAAAGAAAATGTTCTCCAAATAAAATAAGTAAAATGGAGGTGTCAAAGAACATCAAGGAGAAGGTGGCTGGATATAAAAAGATGCGGGAAAAAAAAAGTAAATTGGTGAAAAGTCTTTTAAGTAAATAACTTTGTGTCTAACTTAATTTTTTTTTTTTTTTTGAGACAGAATCTCGCTCTGTCACCCAGGCTGGAATGCAGTGGCACCACCTCGGCTCACTGCAACCTCTGCCTCCTGGGTTCAAGCGATTCTTGTGCCTCAGCCTCCCGAGTAGCCGGGACTACGGGCGCGAGCCACCACGCCCGGCTAATTCTTGTATTTTTAGTAGAGACGGGTCTTCGCCATGTTGGCCAAGCTGGTCTTGAACTCCTGGCCTCAAGTGATCTGCCCGCCTCAGCCTCCCAAAGTGTTGCAATTATTGGCATGAGCCACCACATCTGGCCCTAATTTAATTCTGCAATGAAAACAGATCAATTCATAATAATGGATAAATGGTGGTGGTGACTAAAATAAAGACACGGCTGACGGCCTCGCCTTAGATGGGCCCTTTACCTGCACCTGAACCTGCATCCTGAAACACTCACAGAAAATGCAGCACAGGCTTGTCAAGCCCCTTTCTGTATCGGGACGACCAGGGCACCAGGGGCACGAAGACAGCGCTCTGTAAACATGCAGTTCTCCTTTGCCTACCAGGAGTCATTCAGGTGGCAAGGGCCCCGTGAGTCAGAAGTGGGGAGATACTCTGCTTCTCTGAAGCCAGGGTGCTCCCCTGGATCTGACCAGGCCATTTATTTCTCAGAAGACACTTTAGGTCACTTCTAAAGGCCAGGCTGGAACCCAAAATGGCTAAGAGAAGGATGCCAAGTCCCAGACATGACCTGCCCTAAGAGGCAGCTCTGCTGAGCTGTGCCCCAGGAGTTTGTGTTATGACTTCCTGGGCACCTGCATCATAGTGCTAAAGGCACAGTAGTAAGTGGCACTGTCTTCAGTCCTTACTGGAGAGATCACCAAGTGAAAGGCTTTCTGGGTCAGAATGTGTTTCACAGAAAACCGTCCTTGAGTAAAATCTGCACCTTCTGATCTGCTGTTATCCCCATAAAAGACAAACTGAAAGGAATAATCTGGCCTTATCCGGTACCAGAATAAATCTGGATTTGAATATACAGTGTCGTAAGTGCAGAGCAGTACCACCTCACTGCCACTCGCCACCGTCTGGTCCGGGGAACTCTGGGTTACTTTGTCACACAGCGTGCCCCTGTCTGGGAAAAAGACAATGAGGAAATAGTGAATTCTGCACCCCCCAGACAGTGAGTACAGCACATGCCTAGCCCAGAAGAACTCAATGAGCAGAGGCAAGAGAAGGACACAGAAATAAAGCCAAAGGCAGCAAATAACCAAAAACCAAGAGTGCAAGAGAAAAAGCCTTCAAGAGTCAGAGAAGGAGAAATGGGGTTATAGAGCAAGTGGAATGTAAACAAATGAAACTACTTACAGAAAAACAAAAAGCTAAAGCCCACAGTAAGAATCATCTTTTCTTCATATCAGGGCAGAGGATATACAACAAAACAGGGTTCCTAAGATCTCAGAGACTATCTGACGGTTCTAATGAAAGAAGACGGGAGGAAAACAAGAGGAGACTGGCAGCGCTGACGGTCATGTGACTGATTCAGCTGTGACTTCTAGAGGCAAATGCGCTCAGCCAAGGAAACTGCTATTGCTATTATGATTTTGGCCCCAATCCATCTTGAACTAACACATATGACAATGAAAAATGGATTACTTTTAAAAAAGAAAAGAAAAGAAAAACAAAGGAAGGGAGAGAGAGAGGAAGTGAGGGAGGAAAGAAAACTGCAAGACTAATGATGGCGTTCTTGGATATCCAACTGCTACAAAAGTAGTTCACTCTCCATTTCTGTATCCTCTGGTCACAGACTGGTGTACTAGTCCATTAATCACATGTCGTACTTTGAGTGACACTGTCTCATAGCATCTAGCACGGCTCCACACACTTTGTTCTATTCAATAAATGGAATAAGTGAAAGAGTACCTTGGACAACTCCCTTACTCCTCTGTGTAAAGAGGAAGGAAAGGGGGTTGGACCAGATTCTTTCTAAAATCTGTCCTAGACCTGAATTCCAGAAATCTTTGATTTCAGATGCTTGAGGGAGTGTCCTGATCCTAAGTGCTTCTTGCACTTCACCAGCTTGACTTTCCATCTCTCACTGGGCCCACTGCAGCACACACTTGGCTCCAGCTGGAAAATCCTGAACAGAGCTTCCCGGCAGGTGAACTGCCATAAGTGGGTTATAAGCTTGCTGAGATAGTGTTCAGAGTGCCCATGTACCTGGGGTGGCTGGAGCCCCTGAGCCAGCCCCTCCCAGTCAGGAGCACTACAAATACAGTTTTCCATGTAAGCCATCAATATGACAACAGTTGGGAGGCACTGCTGTGAAAAACAGAACACTGACTAACTCACTCCCCAAAATGCAGGAGTGTTCCTAGGAGTATTTCTAGAAGGTCCTTCATTTCCCTTTTTCCCTACATCCACTTCATCAGTAAGACCTGTCAGTTCTACCATGAAAATATATCTCCAATCCATCTACTTCTTCCATCTCCACTGCAACCACCTTCTATAAACACCATCATCTCTTACAGGGACTGCTTCAATAACCCACTAACTGGCCCCCTTGCTTCTGCTCTTGTCCCTGGACAATCCATTCTCCAGTTCTTCATAAAATGTACATCAGATGATGACAGCTGGACCTCCTTCCCAGGCCTGTAACATCTGCAAACGATCTGGCCCTTGCTTCCTCCCCAGCCTCACCTCACATCTGCTCCTTCTCTTTCTTCCCTTCAGCTGCAGTGGCCTTCCTTCTCGTCCTTTCTATGTCTCTCTTTTCTAGCTACCTGAAACTCTGTCTCCAATTTTTCACAGTTCTCAGCTCCAACTAAATTAGTCACCCATGCCACCCATAACCAACCTCAATTACATCTCTGTTCTTATTTTCCCTCACATCACTATCTGAAATCATCAGATTCATACATGTTTATTTTATGTCTCTCCCATCTCACCTCTCCCCTACACACACACACACACACACACACACACACACACACACACACACACACACACACGATAATATAAACTATATGAGGGCAGGGAGCTTATCTTTTCACTGATATGTCTCCAGCCCCTGGGCTTGTGTTGACCGCATCACAGACAATCAGTAAATATCTGTGTAAAAAAAAGGAATGCAATTTCTTCACTTAAAAACTCACCATTCACCTAGATTTAGGAAATAAAAATACAAGACACCCAGTTAAATGTGCATTTCAAATAAACAACAAAAATTTCAGTAATACGGGTAGCTGGGACATGCCATATTTGGAACACATTTATACTAAAAAAGTATTCATTGTTTATCTGAAATTCAAATTCCACTGGGCATCCTGTGTTTTATCTGGCAATGCTAGGCATGCAGAATACCAAAAGTAAGCACCAGGCAGGCCAGAGTCCCACCATGAGCATCTTCAGGGCCCCTGGATGTGGAAGAGGGATGTTGAGGGCCCAGGGGCTGCCTTGCCGGTGCATTGGCTGCCCAGGCCTGCACTGCCGCCTGCCGGCAGGGGTCCAGTCCACGAGACCCAGCTCCCTGCTGGCGGAAGTCCATTTCAGAGCTTCCGGTTCTCCCAAGTCCAAGGATTATGCTCACTCCCCACCCACAGTCTCTTAGTGTCTGTCCCTGCTCTAAAGATGTTGTCTGGGCTTGATATTAATATGAGAGCTGACTGTTCCCTTCCTGATCTAGACCATAACCATCTTCAAGTTAAATTGCTCCTCCTCTTCTAACTGCCCAACCTCACCCACGTCTGACCATACCCAAGCACAGAGAAGTGGGTTTAATGGACCTTCACACAGAAGGACACATCCTCTCCTATAATGCTTTACATGGAAGGTTCAGACATAACCTGAGTCCTGCTTGGGGTAGCATCATCATGACTCTCTTGCCCTGGTGTCCTTGCAATATTCCTTGAAAGGCATCCCTCCCCCAAGGAAGGGCAGGCACTGAGCACAGCAATGCAGTATAATGGCTAAGAGTGGGATCCCGGAGCCAGCCTGCTTGGGTTCACATCAGCTCCGGCTTTTACCAGTTGTGTGACCTTAAGCATGCCCTAACTCTCCAAGTCTCAATTGCTCCATCTGCAAAATGGAGATAGTAATAGCTTTTCTCACAGGACTATTGGAAAATTTAGTGAGGTCACACATGCAATACACCCAGCAGATAAATGATCTATGAATGTCAGGTATTGCTGTTGCATATTTAATTTAAATGTTGCCATTTTTATTAAATAGACATATGAATAGAGTTCCTAAGAGTGTTACTCTCATCAATGCTGCTCAGGGAAAAGATGCTGAGTAAATCTAAATTTTAAAGTTGCAAAATCTAGCAAAAGATTGTTGATATGTTGTATCAATCAATGGTTAAAAAAAAAAGACTGACATCTTTAATTTGCTTTCAGTGCTGCAAGCATGTCCTAGAGCTCCGTGATCCCCTGAGACCTGTGATCCTCTGAGACATGAGCCAGCTGTGCTCTCCCCAAGTCCCTAAGAGCATTAGGAGCATGAGAAGTGAGCATTCCAGCCCCTTGTTCTTATGTCTTCCAAACATTGTAACAGGCTTGTTCATGAGAGGCCACAATGCATGATCAAGTGACCCCACCACTGAGGAATAGGAGAAAGCCTCAAGATTCAGTGGCCCACTAAGGACGTATTGCCCTAAGTTTCTCCAACCCATCTTCCTATTGGCATCTGGAGACTATGCCTCTTCCCAAGGTGCTGAGGGTGCTGCAGACCCCACTTGCCCTGCAGGCCCCACCCGCCCACCAGCGAAGAAGGGCTGCCTTTCATTAGCCCAAAACTGCCACTCAAGAGGGGTCCTCAGACAAGGTGGGAGCCAAGAGATTTGGCGAACGTCACCCTTGTCCCACAGCTTGGATCTTGATCACTCATATCACTCAGAAGAGGGACTTTTCTCTCTTGTTTCCTTTGAGGTGGGCGGCTTTGTTTTTGACATTGTAGCGCCCTCTGCTGCTACTAATTATCGCATCTCCATAAATAGGTCATACTGGAGGTTGATAGAAAATAGATCAGGGAAGGAAAACATTCTTTGTTCACAATTCAAGTCAAAGCTGCTGCTTCTGTCTCCATTCCCTTTTCAACTCTGAGACTGGCAGCTGCTTCTCTGTTGGCCCAAAGGGACTATCCTCCACCAGTCACCCAAAGAGGACTGTCTTTAAGGATATGAGATAGCACCCTAAGAGGATAAATGGACATTTTCTTGTCTACAAAAAGCCTAATGCAACAGTAGAGGACATAGGGAAATTTCTTTGGATGGATAGAGACAAGTGCATCTCTTTCTTACGAAAGAATAGAAATGTGATTAAAAAGGAAAAGCCTAGAAACATCTGAACGTGTGGAAATGGGGGTGAGTGGGCTAGAGAAAGGATTTCTGCATCACTTTCTTCCTGTAGCAATTCCATCCGAGATCCCTGGGACAGACCTGGCCTGATGAATAGCAGGAAGCACACCAGGGAGGGACAAGGTCCTGCAGACAACCTTCACCACCAGGCTGGGACAGCGCCATGGGGACCCAGGGCCTCTGCTTTGGGGAAAGACCTTGCTGAGGGCCCCATGGGCAAGAACAAGTGTGAAGAACCCTACTATGGTTTTTTGCCCAATGCCCTCCACAAAGCCAGCGTTTGAAGGAAAACTGTGAGGAAGAAGGGACACTCCATGGTGTTGTTGTTGCCACCGCTGGAGCAGCCTGTAGCAAGAACAGTCTTGGTCCAACCAGGTCAGTGATACTTTTTATGATGGGGCTGTGTGGGACCTGACCTGACTCTTGCTAACCAGATTTCTAAAGCCATCTGCAGGGTCTTTTCTCCTATTATTCCCCAGGGCAGGGAGGGCAAACAGATTATATCTCCATTATCAAGAGCTAACAATTGGTAGAGACTATGCGGAGCATGCTGGTAAGAAAGATTCTGAGGCCACATCTATACTCAGAGGAAGAGAGTGATGTGTTTATTAGCAATATTTACCAAGGGAGCAGAAGCAGGAGGCAACCCCACACCATTTTGTATTTCCCATTCCTGCTCTCGATGTCATTCCCTGAAATGAGTCCTGCAGAGAAAGAATAATCAGAGCCAATTCTCCATTGGATTGTCCTTTTGGTAAAGGGCAAATTTTTCCATTTCTGTCTTTTCCATGGACCATTTCCCCTGCTATCAATTGCTGTTGCCTGCAGCCTAAGAAATAAAATTTTTAAATAAATGAGAACGTTCTATAATTCTCTCTAAAATCATAAACAATGTGTCAAGGCCAAACACTTCCCTGGTGTGATTTATTCCTATGTGGACTCATCCTTGTATAATTAGCAGGAATAATCACACCCTGAGCCAGCTGGCAGAGCCCCTGGGGACAGAGACCACCCAAAGAAGGTCCTTGTTCTCCTGAGTCACATAAAGGGAGTCACACAAGGCGGGAGTGGAACTCAGGTGTCCGGAGTTCTAGTCCCAGCTCTGCTTCTACCTATCTACATGACCTTGAGCAAATTTATCCCGCAGAGCTTCAGCATTTTCATCTCTAAAATGAGGGCATTGGCCCAGGCAGCTGTTAAATTTCCTTCCAAGTCTCACATTCTAGGATGCTAATGTGTAAAATTATAGAACTGACCCAAGAGTTATTAGTTCATATCCCCCTGTGCATGTTGCTTGAACTCCTCATTGCCCAGCAGGAGGAAAAGGGAAAACATGTTTCTTCATTGGGGGGTAGCATAATTTCCTGGTTGACTATGTGTGACTCATCAGAGCCTGGCGGTCCAAGCCCATATGCCATTTGAAATCCGGTTATTATTACATCTGGGAGAGAGAAAAGTGCTGAAAACAGCCTTTGGGACACTATCGATTTGGCCAAAAAAAAAAGAAGAAGAAGAAGAAGGCTCTGTCTAGTGTGATAACATTTTGTTATCTTATTCATTGTCTTCATCCCTGAAATACACTCTGCTCTCTCCTATCTCTGCTCTGAAAGGCAGAAAGAGGGCAGCCCTCTCCAAGGCAAAATGGGGCTCCTGTGGGGAACAGAGGGGTGCCTCTGTCAACAAAGGTGATGCCACATCCCTTTCAACCATGCTGACACCTCTGGTTTTTGTAAAGGTGCCCACTCCTGTGGGTACCGGGTTAATAGGAAACTGACATTTGGAGCCAACACTAGAGGAATCATGAAACTCAGCAAGTAATATTTGGCAGAATTTTTTTTTCTATCTGAAAATTATCAGTGAGAGATTCTAATGTGCCTTAACAAACAGGAACAAAAGATGAGTGTTTAATACAATTCAATTTAACAAATATTTATTAAGAGCCTACAGTTATTCCCATGGATCATCTGAGTCAGTTTCCGAGGAAACATTATCGTTGCCTTAAGGGAGCTGGGGGGTTGTCAACGGGCCAGAGGTGGGATGAAAAATGACAACAGATTTACCTCTGGGACCGGGACATGGTTAACCACAGCGGCCCTGGGTAAGTAGCTTAGCTTCAGAAGAAAATGTGCCCAACAGCATGGGTAACCTAAAACACCGGGCAATCCAAATATTCTTTTATGATTGGCTTTAGCATGTATTTTATTCTTTTGTAGGGCAGGTTTATCTCACCAATTATATATTTTCTTAACTGACCTGTAAAATCTACAGGGGAAAAGTATTTTAAGAATTATATGTTTCTGCAATTAGGCTCCCAGCAGTCAACAAAGAAGTGGTACTTTTTGTCTTTCCAGTGATGAAAAAGGGAACCTGGCATCCCTGGTGGCCCACCAGCGTCTCCTTCCCTGGCCTAGGTCAGAACAAGCCGTAAATCAGCAGGCCGTTATCTTCTTATAAATCTGTAGAGCAGGGTGGACAACAAAAGGCAGCCTGCTAGGTTTTCAGAACATGAGTTCCTTGTGTAGCCAGAGAACCTGGGACCATCCTGACGTGGCTGGTCCTGCTGTCCTCACAGCCTGAATCCCAGGCTGTATGAATAGGAGAGGTTCAAGTCCAGATGACTGTTCACGATGCTGGTCCCCCTTGCATCCCTAATCATGCTAGAGACATGACCAGGGTCTGAGAGGAGGAAGTTACAGCACAGCACCAACAGGGGCTTTTGGTAAAGGGCCTGGGCACTATGTGAAGATCACCTAGATGCTCAACTTTGGGAAGGGGACTGAGTTAATTGTGAGCCTGGGTGAGTACCTCAACTCCAGAGGTAGCTTTAGCGGAACCCCTCTATACCTAACACCTGGCAATCAGAGGGCTGAAACACTTGGCCAGATAATGAATTCTCTTATCCGGTGGGAAAAGGCTGTAAAGATCAAACCACCTTTCCTATGGGTAAGCAAGAGTCTGTAGTTTATGTAAAGGCAGCAGCTCCTGTGGGAAGGAAGGAAACAGGAAATTTACATTTGGAATGGGGACGCAAGTGAGAGTGAAGCTATCTTTAAACCAAAGGTGTCAGGTTATTTGGTTTGGTTTTTGAATTATCTGGAAGTTCCAAAGAAAGAACACTTCTCCCTGAGGATTTGATTGCAAAATTCTGACTTCAAACTTCTAAAAAGATCAAATGTTAAATCAGATAGTAGGCTTGGAAAACTCTATTTCTCTATGTAAAAAGTAGAGAACTACTTTTCTTTTGTTTGATCATTTTATTTTGTTTAGGAAATAAGAGGATTAGATACCCTGGTGGTGAGTGGGGAGGGCAGGGACATTTGCACAGCATTTCTGGATAAATTAGATCCAAATAATCAAATCAAAGACTCTCAGCTCAGAAAGTAATTAAAGATCTCCTCACCCACCTCTTTAATTTTGCAAATGAAGACAGTGAAACTCAGAGAGGTTATGAACTTGCTCAAGGTCACACAACTGATCCTGATATCAAGGTCCAGGGCAAAGCCAAGACAGCTCATAGTTCTCACCAGCCCAGACCCAAGGGAGAAAAAAACATCATAGTCCTTGGCCACGGCAGCATCATTTGCATCCCAAACATTCTTTACCCAAGACTTAATGAACTCAAAAAGAAATCCTGAGTTCCAAAGGGAAATAAAATCATTCTGCGTCTGTTGAAAAAAAAAGCAAGCTAAAGTGGAACAATAATTGAACTTGATATTAGGGGAAAGGTGCAGCCATCTGCAGACTGAGAGAAGGGTGAAAAAAACAAAATGAAAATGCTAGTCTTGTGTTCAGACAATGATTATGACCATAGAACACTACCTATAAGTTCTGTAGAGCTAATTTCTTTCCCAGTGGGGTTGATATTCTATGATAGATTGCATCAGCGGTGTGATTGTTTTGGACCATAGAATACGTATACAGAATTGGCTTGTTGAGCCTTCTGGTGTCTTGAAGTGAAAATCATATCTCTGGACATATCTGTCAGGCCTGAAGCCCTAGGCTACTGGAAAGAAAGATACCATGACTTATCCTTCCTCTAAAGCTTAGAAGTTGGAGAAAAATTCTAGTTCTTGGGAAGCTCTGCAAAGCAGGGTTCGTTAAGCTGATGCCACAGGTTTTTGCAAAGCCCCTCAGCACAGTGTTTAAGAAACCAGTGGCTCTAGGTTGACCTTTGGGGAAGGAACACAGCTCACAGTGAATCCTGGTAAGTGGAGGGGAGCATTGAATCCTCTGCCTGAATGTATCCATTTTATGCCAATGAATTGAGATATGGCTTCTTGCCCCATCTCTGCCACATTCAAGTCCTGCTTGGCTAAACAATGCTCACGGATGTGCACGTGTGCAGTGGGATGCAGCTTTTTCTAACCTCTCACAAAATCACGCAACCCCTTCACCAAACTGCTTGGTGGCTCTTCTGTGCCCTCACAGCCCTTCTAGTTTAGCAGTTAGAGGAAGACAAGTGCCCAAGGGCTTTCTCATTTTTAGGTCATTGTGGAAAGAGGAACGTTGGTGATATGTTTGCCTGCTTGGGAGGAAAATAATAATGATGATTTACTCATTGGTTTCTATATGCTAGTTGATGTGCTGCATTCTTTCTCTTATCACATTTAATCCTTATACCAGGTCTGTGAGTTAGGTGCTATTATTATCCTCATTTTATAGAAGAGATATATTTATATTTTATATTTCTATAGAAGCACAGAGATGTTGAATAACTTGTTCAAGCCGATGAAGTAAGAAAGAGAACCTGGAGTTTAATTCTTGGCACTCAGATTCCAGAGCTAAAAGCTTTTCAGTGAGGGGATTATGTCTAGAGGGAATGTCCCTGATGCTCTAGTCTCTAAGGTTGCTAAGATAATCGCTAAAGAACTGCGCTCTCAGCAAGTAAAGCCAGGGGTTGGTCAACAGGACCACGGTGACCCAGTTACATATTCTTAATCCTTACAACATCATCAAGCAGTTGCTGTTTTCCCCACTTTACAAGTGAGGAAACTGAGGTGTAGCAAGTTAGGAAACTTGTCCTGAGTTTTAAACTCAAGCCTACCTGCCCCAAAGCCTGAGCTCTTTTAAATTAACTGCAACTGCTGACCAGTTAGATTAACTAATTACTTAATTAATAAGATAACAACCTAACAGGCTGTAAGGTAAAAAAGTAATCAGATTTGTTCTATAGGTCCCCTCCCTTTTCGGGAATAGCTATACAATTGTATAATTTTATGCTTCCCCTGGGAGAGTGGGTGGAGCCCTGGCTCCCAGCCCATGATGGAAGGGTCTTGGCAGTATTTGTAAAGCAGTCTGTGGGGGTGTAACTCAGGGCGGATCTGAAAAGCTGGTCTTTGGAAAGGGAACGAAACTGACAGTAAACCCATGTAAGTCTGAATAATGCTTCCAAATTTCTCCCTGGAACCCTGATTTCCAAATTTTCCATTCTGTTTTATAACCCAGGTCCAAACCACAGCAGTCCCATTAATGGATTCCAGTGCAAAACAACTGCTGGTGTATTCCTACTACACGCAGGTCTCTGTTGTTTGCCCTCATGTGCTATTTTATCTAATAGCTGAGAATGACAGTACCAATGGAGCACTGAGTTAAGGAGTCAGACTGTTCGAAGGCTTCATTCTTCGTTATAATTGGTGAGATTTTCCATGGGACTAAGAGAAAATTGATTAACTCTCTGAGCCTCTATTTTCCTCCTCTGTAGAATGGGGGAGGCAGTTCCTGTTCCCATTTTACCACAGCCGGCGTGCTGTGAGGGGATGTTGGTACATTTCCAATAAGGGGACAATGAGTGTGAAGAGAAAGGAAGGCCCCAGGTGGTCCGTAAACTCTTCCACCAGTCCCACACTATAAACAGCTGGTTTTATCAGGGGGATTCTTGGATGACAAGTAAGCACTTAAGTAAATATCAAGGGGAGTCTGGGCAACTGAGTTTTTGTAGATCCTCGTGTCATTGTGTTATACTGGAGCCAATAGTAAGCTGACATTTGGAAAAGGAATAACTCTGAGTGTTAGACCAGGTATGTTTTAATGAATGTTATTTGTTTCCAAACATAAGCCACCATCCTTAGAAATTCAGTGAAAGATAACCGAATCTCCTGCCCAGTTATTAGCATCTTTCACCATGGGTCTTTCTGGAGAAAATGACAATGTGGGCAGCCCCTGACTGCAGCCCCTTTGGGACTGTTTCTTTAACACCTTTAAGTACTTGGGAATGTTCAGTGTGTTTTTGTTAATGTTGGAGATATGTGTCTGACAAATGGAATCTGAATTGAAGTTTTAGTGTGTAGGGGCAGAAAGCATTTAGAAAGGACAAAAGAAGGACAGATTAGACTAAAATACATACCAATGGCTGGGAGTATGCAATGCAACCCAATCCAAAAGGAAACAGTGAGATGTAGCCTGCTGATTAAACAACTGAGCCAGCACTCCGTGTCAGCTGACTTGTCTTCCCAAAGCTTCCATGTTGGTGCAATTAGGAAAAGAATTGTCTAATCCCCATAACTCAAAATCTTGGAGCCAAGCTAAATTGGGTAAAGCCGTGTAAGATTTTCTGGTACTGACACTGACTACAAGCTGATATTTAGGGAAAAGTTAAGATTGAAAGCAAATATTCAAATTAGTCAGAAAGACCACGAACTTCTGAAAACAAGCCCCAGGGTGCTGTTAACTGCTGCATTTCTAATTGGGTCCTCATGGAACATTTTCATCTCTGCCTTGTCTGAGCTTTCTGCACCAGAGAAGCCCCTTTTGATACCCACTCACTTCTGAGTCCCTCATTGAAAAGGTGGCAACTAAGCTTAGAGAAGGATTCCCTAATCCAAATGCAATACTTGGGGGAATATTTTGAGTATTGCTCCACCATTCTCAAAACAAACCTAATTTCAGTTAACTTGAATGTAGCTGAAATTTTGTTCCATGAGGGAATCTCTGCTTTCTATGATAATGCAAGCTCATTTCAAACAATTGTTTGGGATTTAACTTTTGCTCATAATTCCCAAAAGATACCAACTATTCAATGAGTATCTTAAAATAAAACTACTTTTATGACCAAATTATTATCCCCATTAGAATGGCTAGAATCAGAATGTCCTAGTATGTATTATGTGAACCCCATGCGACCTTCCTAAAGTTTCTTATGCCTAAAACAGCATAAGAGAGAAAAGCATTTCCACGCTAACCTGTGTGTTCACTGGTTAACAAAGGTCTAAAGAGCAGGTGAGTCAGCTGCTCCATTTCCAAACTGGACTGGACATTTACAGTCCTGCAGATACTAAAAATGATAATCAGGAAAAGCACACACAATTCTACTTTTTCTTATAATTCCCATCTTTCCCAAAGAACTGTTATAAATTCTCTCCCAAAGGTGTTATATTCATCCTTCTTTTGTTGCCTCTATTTGTGATGTGTACTGAGGTGAAATATTTGTTGAGATTCAAAAACCCCATGAGATTTAACTTAAGCTTTCCCTGTCAGAGAGATTCTAAGAGCTAAAAGATGGGAAGCTGGTATTTGGGAACTAGATTAAAAAGAAAATCCAAATTAATCCCAAGGAGCAAGGCTCAATAGATAGTTATTTAGACATAACATGTCCACCCTGCAAGCCTAGTTGCTCAGTTGACTGGGCTGCCCCTATCTTAGTCTTGCCTGGAAGAGAAATAAGTTGTTTGCCCCATACCTGTCTTGAGAAATGTCAGCCTCCAGACCTGAAAGCTTCTTGTGATTTGGTTTATTTCTGTAGAGTTTATTATTATACACAGTGTTCTTGAAGTAATAGAGAAGTGCATTAGAAGCTCCTGCAAATGGAAATGAAATGTAAATTTAGATTGTAAATACATGACTGCGGTAAATAGATAGCAAGAAAAAGGATGAAGAGATTAGAAATTTGCCACATTTCTCTAACCCTAAAGGGATGTTTCTATAAATAGTTTAAAACTGTTGAAGACGAAGGGGGAGGAGGAAGGAGAACAGAGGCAAACAGATTTTCTCCTAATCCTTTCCATTTGGCAAAATTAGAAATGGTTTTTCAATTAAATTTCCCTGAGCAGAGGAAGAAACCATGTCTGTTTCCACACTAAAATTCCTGTGGGTGGGAGTCTCTAGAGTTGATTTGGAGGATGGATCCCTGTTAGTGACAAGTGCTGGTAATGCTCCTGTTGGGGAAAGGGGATGAGTACAAAAATAAATCCAAGTAAGTGTGGAGGGACAAGAAGATCTCACAGTGCAGGATTTCCCCTGGATTTTCTGCATTGCCTTTTCACCTTTCCTGTCTTAGCACGACAAATTAGGTCCCAGATGAGCAGGCCCTCGCATTCAAACCGGAAATTTTAAGGAGGAAGCCAGATTAACTTTACTCGGGAGACCTAGTAGACTCTGACTTTAAAGATTCTTTTAATCCAGCTGTTTTTAGGGAGAGCTCTGTAAAAGATGAAAGAAATGTTTTAAAAAAAAATTAAAATTCTGTGGGGTGAAAACAAAGATGTTAAATATTTGATTGGCAAGGCAACTGGAAAATCTGGACCATGTCTACAACTGCTAAAGGAGGCTTTGTGAAAGAGAAAATGAGCAGCCCAAGGAGATCCTGTCCTAAACTTCTCTGGCCAGTGAAATTCGGGCCATTCTCTGCCACAGCCCTGGACTGCTAGGAGGGCAGATCATATGTCTTCCTCAGTGGGGAGAGGTGGGCCCTCGCTGGCAGTTTCTGTAAAGCCTCGTGCTGTGGTGTAATTCAGGGAGCCCAGAAGCTGGTATTTGGCCAAGGAACCAGGCTGACTATCAACCCAAGTAAGTATGACAGGGTGAAGCTACATGCAGCTGAGTACAGTCTTTTCCTTTCTAGACCGTGTCCTGCAAGCTCTCCTTGAGGGACGTATACTCATTTTGCATTGTCCTTTGTAGAGAAGCAGACCAGGAAAGACAGGAAAGCCCTCAAATTTCCACTTTTAAACACCTCCCTGTAAAAACTGTCTCGCTTCCCTCCCCTTCTACAATCAGTTTCTAGTAAATCAGAATCCGGTGAATTGATATGCAATTTCAACGAAAAAAAAAGCAGAGAAATAGTTACCCCAACAAGTGCAAAAAGTAGAAACTATCTGAGTACCAGCCAAGGGAAGATAATTAGGAAAGAAAAAAAAAGAAAGAAATGGATTACTGGAACCATGATGGCAGCTTAGTCACAAAGAAAATGATAAAAAAAAATTAAAATTAAATTTCAAAAACTTTAAAGATATATACATATATATATATCTATATATATATGATATATTGTCCTCTGGAACTCCAGCACTCACCTACAGCAGCTGCATTCTGGACTTATTATCAAATAACCTATAAACCTGTAGCTTAATGAAGAGTTGAGCAATCGTGACTATATTGACCCCCAGGACCCTTCTGCAAAGAGCAGCTTCTGTTCCTGTTTCTGTAAAGCCTTCTGTGGCTGTGAGAATAGTGGAGGTAGCAACTATAAACTGACATTTGGAAAAGGAACTCTCTTAACCGTGAATCCAAGTAAGTTTGAAGGGAGTGGGGGAAGGGGGAATTCAAACACTTCTGATTTAATTACTTGCCCCTCCAAAACATTCCAGCTTAGGTTCCAAATCTAATGTTTGTGCTGGGGGGATATGGTGCCCATCAGAGGGATTAGAACTCCACTGTACAAAGACTAAATTACTTTCAGCCCAAAACATTCCTATCATTCATCTTAAACAAGATTATTGGTGCAAGGAGAAAAACTGAATACAGAATCCTGAGGGATCCAGCTAAGGGTCAGGAAATGTTTGCCGAAAAGATAAAGAGGAAATTGGCATATCGTGACTACGCAAATGCAGTAGACCAAATATAAATTGTCCTGACTTAGATACTAACACTCCTCTTAAATTTATCGCCTGAAATAATGGAACCCTGCAACTTCATTAACTAATGCTGAAAATTCTATAAGCAGGCTCCTTTTCTTCTTTTACCTTCACTTTACCTCTCTGAAAAGAACTGTTCTCAATCCCCAGTCTGGTAACTGAGGTCCAGTCAGTTAACTGTCTGGTTAACTCAGGCAGAGCATTTAACCCCACTTTTTCTTTGGTTACCAAAATAGTGGATTCAGCCTCCACTTTACTTAGTTCACCTGAGAAGGGGAAAATTCATCTGTCCTCTGAGTCGTGAGAATAGAGCAGTACATTCTCTCCTTCAAATATACACCCACCCTTCCCTAATGGTAATGTGTGAGTACTTAGAAAAGTTTTTAAATGTTAGATATAAAAGTAAGGCACAGTGGTTGCTAATGGCACTTCTTGAAAATCTGCGCTGCTGGTGGACTTCTGAAAGTGGTGCTTATAAACTAAGGCTGGAGAAGACTGACTTGTAAAATTCAGATAAAATGAAAATGGGAAAAACTTATCAAAGGGCCCCGGTCTCCTAAGTGCCCTGATGTTGAGTAAAGGCCAAATGCCCCAGTTTTACTTACTCAGATCTGCTTTCTGTGATTAAGAAGAGATGCACACTAGAGAGAGGCACTTTGAAAAACACAGCCCAGGCAAAATTCTTAAAAAGACTGGCTCTGGTGGCGGGGCGGGTGGTGAAGGACTCAGGGACACCGTGCATGCAGCATTGAGGGAGTTAATGCAGACTTGCTAGCAGACAGCTTGGAACGTTCTGGGATAGGCCCTGCCTGAAGAACATGCAGTGTGGTTAGCCATCAAGTTCCCATGTGCAGAAGTGCCTTGCTCAGCAGGGGCAAAATCAGCACGTCTGTGGCAACAGCAACAATGAATAATATATGATGTTAAATCCCAGGGGTTCAGCAGTCTCCACTGAGGTCTTATCAAATTAAAGCTTCAAGGGGATTCATATGAACATCCCAGGAGACTCAAGGACTCAGTCGCTTTTCAGAGGGTGGGCAGCCAATGCTAGGGACCAGACAGTAGGCTTTTTTCTTTGGTTTCTTACCGGAAGCACACTAGGGCGGGGCTCTGCGGTGGGTTTTCCAGAATGCAGAGAAGCTGGGAGCCCCTCTCAGCACTTGGTCAGCCTCTTAGGGGACTGAGAACTGTAACAACTCCTACCTTTTAAAACATTGACGAGGTCAGGGTGTTTGACAGCCTAACCAGGCAAAGAAAATATCTGTGCAAGGCTAGCATTCTTCCAGAGCTCTGGACAGTAATCGTATGCCAGATTTTCCATGCAGTGGATTCTAGCTGCAGGAACTATATGGCAAGGCTGGAGTCCAAGGAACCCATGATTAAATTCTGTTTTCCTGCAGTAAGTGGAACACAGAGATTATTGCCACAGCAACACTTTGGGTGCCTGTCTGTTTGAGGACCTCAGCTGAGGGCAGGCATCTGGTTTTGCTTATGTCCTGCGGAGGCTGAAGAGAGGGTGGGAAGCCCTTTAGACAGTGAATACTGTGAAATAGTGAAGAGATGGGAAGGGTCGTTTGAATCCCTGACTGCTGTCCTTAAAAAAAATGGATACGTCTTCTTAGCTAAATAATAGCCTTTTTCTCTCACCCTTTTCATGATAGTAAGCAAGCTAAAACTTTAACCCTTTGTAACAAGTGGTTGCTTGAAGACATGACTAAACAGGCTAGCATAAATTCAGCCCAAAAAAAGTCTGAGTTAAGAAAACTAAATTCTATTAAAGAGGTGTCTGTTTTTCACACCCCTGGGGGACAGGGTTTGATCATCACCACATCATGAAACTGCCTGGATTTTGCTCTTCACATTTTTTGTGACATCCAGACACAGCCAGGGTGACTCCCAGGATTCCTGTGGTTGTGTCTGTTGGCAACAGAAGCATTATTTGGTCAAGGGATGAAATTTACAGGAACCCCAAGTAAATGTGCAAAAGCCTGCCCCTAATAGAGACCTCACTTAACCCTACCACTGTGGTCACCGGGCTGCTCTGTGAGGTCAGAACACCTCAGGTGAGACTGTGGAGTAACCAGATGTCCTGGTTTTCCTGGGTTTCAGGGGTTTTCCAGGACAAAGGTCATTCTTTGCTAAGCCCAGAATGATCCCCAGGATAGTTAATCACCGTAAGAAGGCACAGATAAAAACTTTTTTCTGTGAGCTACTACTTACATTTCACCAAATTCAAGACTGACAAAAAAACTACGTTGTGTGAAAGCTCAGTTACATGTGCCCATCATTTTTATTTCTTATGCTAGGGCATGAAGGGAAGCTCAGGAGATCCTGTTTCATGAGGCTACAGTCTAAATCTCATCTAATTCTAGTCATTCTCCAAAAAGCTGAACACTCTCCTCTTGTCTCCTTGTAATCAATTCATTGTCATCAGAAATGTGTGACACCTCGAGGGGAGGGGAGGACGTGTCTTGAAAACTGATCAGAGAAATTGTCCTGAAAATGATGCTGTAAAATGGAAATGAGACCTTTAGAAAGAGAGATGCTGAACATGAGAAATCAGTAAGCCTCAAGACAAAAACCAGAGGAAATGGAGAGAGATGGGAGGCAGGAAGCCGGACCTCGGGGGACGCAGCAGGTCAGTGTCCCAGGACCAGAGGTGGAAATGGTCTTCCAGCCTTTGGTGGGATGAAACTGAGCCTCACAGACCCAGGCCCCTTTGGGTGAGTTTATTCTCCCCAGAATTAAAAGAGGAGGAAGTCTGCGAGCTTCAGAAGTCCCCCTAGGGTTCTTGTAAAGGCCTCCAGTGCAGTGCTAATGCTGGTGGTACTAGCTATGGAAAGCTGACATTTGGACAAGGGACCATCTTGACTGTCCATCCAAGTAAGTGTAACAAGACACAGCAGTATACTGGAAATTCTGGAATGTCACCCCAGTGTCAGGTTTTAAAGAACCAGATATTGCTTAAAGTTAAGTGGTGTCCTCTGAGGTCCTTTCTCTTCTTTAACCTCAATATTCACAGATTTTCTTTTGGACCCTGAGTTGTTAGGTCTGTCTCCCTGCTGCGTGTACAGCTGACCTTGACCCTGGAAAGTCAGAATCTTTCCTGCTTTCAGTGTCTTCTCTGGAGGTGATGCCCTAACTTTTTTGAGGGGGAGGTCATCCTTTCCAAATGACTCCCCTGAGTAACCTGTTCTAATGTTTAGTAGCATTCCCTGTCAGAAGTCCTTCCTTACCTCAATCTTAAATTATTCTTGGTATAGCCGAGGCCGTTTCCACCAGCATCATCCACAATAAAGAGGAAAATTGAGAGCGGAGTTTGAATAGGTATGTGGTATTTGGTTCAGAATGGGTTTTAAATGAAAGTGGAGAGGGAAAAAATGAAACCTGAATGGGAATCTGAGGTCTTATTTCAAATCCCTCTCTGTTTCCTGTCTGTCATCTCCTTTTGCTTCTATAGATGCAAAACTACAGAGAGAGAGGCGGGGAGAGAAAGGATAGACAGAAATAAACATCCACTGTGTCCATTCCCTGTCACTGAAACCACCAGGCAAGGGATTACAATTAATTCCAAAGAGTTTCAGATACACGGCTTAATACCTTTCTCCTTGTGGTGACTTGTATCCTGGCTGATAATTAGAGCAGATAGAAAGATTTGGCTTTGGTGTGTTTGCCGCTGCACCCCGCTGGGAAGAGACAGAAACTTGACTGTTTTTTAAGATTCATAAAGTTCCTTCTGTCAGTCGTTGTAAAACTCCCTGAAGCAGGGAGATGCGTGACAGCTATGAGAAGCTGATATTTGGAAAGGAGACATGACTAACTGTGAAGCCAAGCAAGCTGGAAAGACCTAAACTCACAGTGTTCCTTATGTACTTTTGCTCCCTTCCCCGTTTCAGGCCTTTTGGCTGTTTCCTGTAGGGATTCTAAGAGAGTCAAATGGAAATGGATTGAAGAGAGTCTGAAGCCCCGTGGGTGCTCAGAAATGATAAATGAAAGGAATAAGAGACAGAAAGGGAAACAAAGTTGAAAAGCAGGAATATGTCTTTCACTGCAGCTTGATAAGACTGAGATGTGAGGTGGGTGTCAGAGAAGGGCATGATCGCTCCAGCTGCTATTGCAGAACACTCTGTTTTCCTAGGATCTCTATCAAGGGCAGTGTCCTCTTATGCCAAAGGGATGAGTCAAGTCCCTATATTTCTGGAGTAGCTGCCCTTGTGCAGGCATAGTTGGTCAGGCAGACAGCACAATCCCAGCTCAGTGTGTATGGAGGAGGCCACCTGACATTGCCAGCTGTATCTGCTCCATTCAGTGGCAGCATAAATCCATACCAGGTGGGTGTGGATTTGGAATATGCCAGTGCCACTACAAGGCTGAATGTTGAGTTGTTGTGATCATCTTGAATGTGTGAGATGCCTCCAAGTGAAGTCTGGTTCTAATGAGCAGGGTGCAGGTTGGACCAATATTGCCCATTTTCTGTTGAGTTTCTCCAAGCCCAGTAGTGTGGGAGCCAACATTGAGAGACTGACATTTGAGCTAGGGATCCTATTGACTGAAATATGCCAAAGGGATCTGAAAGGTCAAAACTGCCTTCAGAGCTCAGCCTTTGTTGTTATCTCTCTGGCAGTTGTCATTTCAGCAAAATGCATCCACTTAGAAAGCTCAGCTCTTCATTAGGCAGACAAATGAGAACAACATATTGACCAGAGATAAGGAGTTGGGAGCCCAGATCTCAGCCTCTGAGAGCCTGGCATTTCCAGTTCTTTAATCACGTGAGCCAGTGAGCATATGCTATCTCAGAGAAAGCAGATCAATGGTGCCTGAGGACCTGGTGTCACCAAGCTAGGGCTTAGAGACAGAAATGAGATGCAGATGGGGATGTTGTGTGAATTGGGGAATAATAGAGAAGTGAGGAGGAGACAGGGAGTTCAATGATGCTTTTTAAAACCAGCAGCATGTGAGAAATTGTAATGACACAAAGGTGAAGAAGTATGTATTGCATATAATCCTAGCAAGTTTCCTACCATTCCCAACAGAATCTAGCCTCACTGTGGCTCCAACTCACAGATCCTATAGGTAATGCTGAATCTTACCTGAGATGCCTTTTGAAGTGGCATCAAGACTGGGCTCTAAAATCTTTAAGAGTCACCTGTCAGTTATTGTAAAGGTTTGGATGGCTGTGTGAAAACCTCCTACGACAAGGTGATATTTGGGCCAGGGACAAGCTTATCAGTCATTCCAAGTAAGTGTCCCTGGGGTGCTGCCTGTGGAGTGCGCTGGGGCTAACAGTCTCATACATTAGGGCTTAAATGACTGTGCAGATGGCATCGTGGTTGAGGACACAAAACTGAGAGAATCGAGATACATTGACTCTGATCAGAAAAAAAGGTCACGGAATAGCAAACATAGGTTTAGTCCTTAAAAGGTAGCATAGATAACATGGGACTTGAACGTGGCAATTTGAAAAACAACCTGTGGTCTATCAGCACGTTCTCACTGCACACGGGGGATAAACAGGGGTGGGGGAATAAGCAATGGACATTGCATGATAGGGGTGCTAGGGAAATGAGGCAGGTCAGGAAGAAGGAAGGTGATCAGAGCCTCATACGGAGTTAATCTAGAGAAGATGAATTGTTCCATAAGTTTCACAAAGAAATAAAGTCCAAAGATATAATAAGAAGTCCTGATTAAAATCCACTTCAGAATCATATGATCATCAGGAGAGAAATTAAGTCTTAAAAGAAAAAGAAGTTTTTAAATGTAGGTCCATAAAACAAATGGACCTACACCTTTAATTAGACAGCAAGCAGCACAAGATGCACGTTAGCCTTCCTTTTAATCCCCTCTCAGGAGGAATCAGTCCCTCCAGCTGCACATGGTCACAGCTGCTCTAAGCCCTGGAGCTCCTTCCCAGTAATACCCTTGCTCCTGTGCCTGCACAGGGAAAGGAGATGCCTGCCTGCCTGCCTGCCTGCCTGCCTACCGGTCTGCCTTTTGGTCCGCCGCTTGGTGGGGCCCCAGGTGTAACCTCTGGCTGTCTCTTCTGCCTGGTTTTTGTTGAGCTTCCTATCACAGTGGAACACCGGTAACCAGTTCTATTTTGGGACAGGGACAAGTTTGACGGTCATTCCAAGTAAGTCAAAGAAAATTTTCCATCACCATTGTGTTGAGCAAACCCTTTAAACTGCAGAAAGAGCTGTCAAAGTCTGCTACTCTATTTCTCTGCTTCTAGGTATAACTTTATCTGGACCAGAGTAAAGAGGCCCCCGACCCACCCCGAGAATGATTTATGCTTGGACAGGTCTTTATTTCATTCCTTGAACTATCTATCTGTCTATCTATCTATCCAGCTATCTATGTATCTATCTATCTATCATCTATCTCAGAAATAGTTGTTTTTAACAGTTGATTCTGTGCCTCACCCAAATTGTCATTAACTAAATGCAGATGTGCTGCCACACTGATAAACTTCATTGGAAAAAAAGAAAAAACCAAACCCAGAGAATGTTCCTTGAACATTCCTGAAGTGGGGGGGCAGGCGATGTCACTTGCAGTGACAGCTGGCCTCTCTAGCTCACCCCCACATCTGTGCCAACCAGAGAAGCTGGGCCCTTTGTAGCACAAGCCTCAGGAGCAGAGAATGGAGGGACATTCTCAACTGAGAGGAGAGGGACTAGGAGGCTAGATGGGAAATGAGGTGACTCTACAGAAAATCGAATATGGGATGGTATAAAAGGATGAGAAAGATGGCAGGGGGTCCACGATCGCTCTTGTATTTAGACCTGGGGGATGCACTGATAGATACCACCTGGAGAGAGAAAGAGGATTTCTGTTTCCCTCTGAAGAAAAATGTGGCAGAAAAATCAAAACAGATCGCACATGTCAAGCCTCTCCTAATTACAGCCTTTCATTCTGGTTTCTCTCAGCTGTTCCAGCAGGAAATGGTAGGAAAGGGTCATTGGTGCCTTTGATGTTGTGGAAGCATTGCAGGAAGGAGATTTGCAAGAAACGGGGCAGGGGCTTGCAGTAGAGTCTGGAGAGTTTAGAATGATGGTTTTTGCAATGACTTAGAACACTGTGTATCTAACTTTGGAAATGAGAAATTAACCTTTGGGACTGGAACAAGACTCACCATCATACCCAGTAAGTTCTTCATCCTTGGTCAGGAAATCAGCCTGCATAAGATTCTGGGGATCATAGTAGAGATGCAGGCTTAGAGAATTTTCATCTGTCCTTGTTCATAACTGGTAGAGACAGGTGGCAGCCAAATATCTGAGTTTTCCGGGGGAACTCCAGTCCTGACTATTTAATTCAAAACTAGAAAATATGATTCACAATTCTGTTTTTGCTGCTGCCGTCAAGTGCTAATGTGGCATGTGAAGAGAATTCAGGCAGAATGACTGCATCTTCACTTTCATCTTGTGTGATAATTTTAGCTTTGAGTACTGCAAGTGTTTGGGAGAAATGGTAGAAACATAGAATATCAAAGAGACAAGCAAACCAAGAGACCCAGAGAGGCAGGCAGACGGAACGTCAGGCAGTATAATTTTACAAAACTAATTCAGTGTTGTGTCTCTCTCTGCAAATGGCAAGGTATCGGGAAAGGTGCTAAGAGCTAGTGCTCCGGGTGGGGCAGGATTATCTAAATAGAAAACTAAGCACTGATCTCAGGGGGAAAGTTTAAACTTGGAAATCTCTGGGTTTGGTTTTTTGTTTTTTTCCAATGAAGTTTATCAGTGTGGCAGCACATCTGCATTTAATTAATGACAATTTGGGTGAGGCACAGAATTAACTGTTAAAAACAACTATTTCTATGCAGCCATAAAAAATGATGAGTTCATGTCCTTTGTAGGGACATGGATGAAACTAGAAATCATCATTCTCAGTAAACTATCGCAAGAACAAAAAACCAAACACCGCATATTCTCACTCATAGGTGGGAATTGAACAATGAGATCACATGGACACAGGAAGGGGAACATCACACTCTGGGGACTGTTGCGGGGTGGGGGGAGTGGGGAGGGATAGCATTGGGAGATATACCTAATGCTAAATGACGAGTTAGTGGGTGCAGCACACCAGCATGGCACATGTATACATATGTAACTAACCTGCACAATGTGCATAAGTACCCTAAAACTTAAAGTATAATAATAAAAAAAAACAACTATTTCTGAGATAGATAAATGATAGAGAGAGGGAGATACTGGATATATATACACAGTTAATGACAATTTGGGTGAGGCACGGAATTAACTGTTAAAAACAACTATTTCTGAGATAGAGAGAAAGAGAGAGATACTGGATATATATACACAGGGTAGAAGAATGTAGAGAGAAACATGGGCAAATATATTCTTTTGCACCTACAATTAAAAGCTGTGGAAAATTTGAATATGTTCACTTTGTAACCAAAGACAACCACACAAAATGGAACGGAAAGCATGCTTGCAACAGCGAGAACTGGAAGTATGGAACCTTTCTGTCTTAACCACTCAGTTGCCTAGAAGAATCTTTTTTCTATTTTGCTGCATTAGAAATTAAAGGCATGAGTATTGAGGATTTGGGTAGGTCAGACTTTTATAGTGACAATCACATTACAAAGCACCTCTTAGCTAGGTTGGATAAAGCACCTTTAAACATCAAAGTCTTTTTCTTCTTTCTGGATGAGATAGAAAAATGGTCTCTCCTCACTCTGTATCTAAGGACAGGGGGCTCAGAGAGTTCCAGACTTACAAAGTGAGACTGCAGCAGAGCTGAGCCATGGGACCTGGAGGGACCCAGTGACGGTTAGTCTGCTCCCTCCCACGGGTGCTATAGTAGCCACAACCGTTCAGGAAACCGTCCCCAGGTGAGAACGTAACACACGCAGGGAAAATCCCACTGCTACTAAGAGCAACTCAGCATAAGAATGCATTACCCAGCAAGGGACAGTCAGAGGGGCTCTAAACCAGAGCCCCAAATATTTGAAAACTTTATGTGGAAGCCAGCTATAACAAGTTCGTTTTCCAAGCCGTGCTTCCAGAAGCTGTTAGTGGTTGGTAGTTGCTAAGGGTTTTGAAACTGGAGGACATCATAGCAGAGTGGAATTATTTGGCACAAGGGGCTATGATTAGAATTAATGAGATGAAAGAAAATTCTGGCTAGAAGACTAGAAAAATCCGGAAAGAAAAGATACAGTAAACCTTGGGGGAGTTGTAGCATTTATCCTAGTCCAAGCAGCAAAGAGCAGACAGAAGCCAAATTCCAATAAACAATTGGCCTTTTTACTTTTACAAGTTTCTGCAATTATCACAATGTCTTCAGCTTCTTGGGCAAATATCAACAGGTCCTAAATGCAAAGTGGAACAGTCCTCTGTTTCCAGAACCGAGTAGCTTAGCCCCGCCCCACACACCACCCATGCTCAACCACTGTTTTTGTAGAGGAGTTTGACGCTGTGTGGAATATGGAAACAAACTGGTCTTTGGCGCAGGAACCATTCTGAGAGTCAAGTCCTGTGAGTATAAAACACACTCAAGTCCCAACCTGGGTTTCATTGCATATTAAATAAACTTTTTCTGGCTGGGAAGTATTTGATTCTAAAGAAAGGAAAAGTGAAATTCCAAGCGCAACGCAAGCATTTCATTAGTGTGATTCATTAAGAATTTCCATGGGTTGCCTTCGAGAGCGTTAATCACATCCATTCACTGGTGAGACCCACAGTTTGAAAATTGAGTTAAATTTGAAAAAAAAATTGTCACCATCTCTGTAGACCACAGTGCTTGCTGTTTGGGTGTCTAGACTTCCAAAATGGAACCTCAATCTGTAGTTTCGAGCTTGGAGATTTATCCCGAGCCCGTGACTTAGAGATGTGTAAGAAAAGCTGCACACTGCTGGGCCTTGTAGGGCATTTGTGGGATCAGTGTCATGAAATAGCCTGGGTAGACAGGTTGGTGAGGAGACACTGGTGACAGGTGTCTGCCCTGTTTCTGTAAAGCTGCTGACAGCCGTGAGAAGAAAAGCAGCGGAGACAAGCTGACTTTTGGGACCGGGACTCGTTTAGCAGTTAGGCCCAGTAAGTCTGAGCAGAAAGTAAGATATTTATGCCTTTTCCTATTATTTGTTCTAGCCTGACATTTGAGTTGTCCTCCTTTGGATTCCAGATCAACAAACCATAGTGTCTTTTCATACTCCTTTTAATATTTGTGGCTAAGGGCCCTCCGTTCTTCCCATCTGTCCTACATGAGGGTCCTGTGGCCAGGTCCACATTCATAAAGAAGCCAACAGTGATGCAGTTGGTTGGCAGTGTGTCAAGAAACTGCAGTCATCATCTCCAGGGCCCTTACTCTGGTTATGTGTGTTTCAAGCTTTTATGCCAGCAACAGAGGAGAGGGAGAAGTGACCAGTAGCAATGACCAGGGCTATTAGCTGTACCTGGTGTCTGTGGGTTTCAGAGCAGCTGTGGAGGTTACGGGAGGTTCAGGGCATGAGTTTTTCTGGCAGAGGAGTTTATGTAAAGGGTTGGCCCAGAGTGTGTATTCAGGAGGAGGTGCTGACGGACTCACCTTTGGCAAAGGGACTCATCTAATCATCCAGCCCTGTAAGTGCTTTTGCCTGGGAGGTGGGGTTCAAAATGCAGTCCTCATGGGGACATTTCTAAACCTTGGCTCATGTGCTTCTGGTGCCACTACCATTTTTGGCACTATCCTACTTACATGGGAGGTTTTGAGCCATGTAGACAAGGAGGTGATGCAGTTTGTGCTTTGGAGGACTCCTGAGATCTGCCCTTTGGCAACTGTGTTTGAGTAGGAGTCCCTCATTGGAAAATCTGGATGCCAGCAGACAAAAGATATGAGCTTAGGATGGGTCACAAACAAATGGAGGCCACTTTGCCAGCAGCACCTTTGCAACGAAAATTGCTTTCATAGGAAATGTGGAAATGGCTGTGTAGATAGAGATTTGGCCATTTCTCCTTTTCTGTCTTTATACCCTCTTCTCTGCCTGACTTAGGGACCTTAAATTAGAGCAGTTATTAATCATTTGATTTCTCGGCCCCATCACTCATCAAGTATGACAAGAGGGATTCATTAAGATAAAACCCAGAAACAGAAAGGACAAAGAATTCAATTCTCAATGTCTTCAGAGTTGAACTTGACAACTCCTCAGCCTTAACCATCTAGTCAGCACCCCATGACCAACTGAGGTCAAAGAGGGCAACCAGCAGGTAATGTTAGTCAAGTGAGTATCTGGCCAGAGCCCAGCTGCCCTCATAGGAATTAATACTGTGGAGTTTGGGAAAGGGAAATGCATCTGTGAGGGCTCACCCAGGCTGCCCATCTGGGAGAGATCATGGGGAGAGTTCTGAGTGAGGGAGTGAACACCAGATGGAAAGTCAAGCAACAGGTTTCTGTTATGAAGCATCTCACAGTGTAAATACCGGCACTGCCAGTAAACTCACCTTTGGGACTGGAACAAGACTTCAGGTCACGCTCGGTAGGTAACAGAAACCGTGAGGTAACTTAACTGTGTGTTCCTTTAAAACAGGGGATACTGCAGAGGGGATATCCTGGCTGGATGTAGTCCTTCCTTCCTTCCAGTGGGAGGTGATCTCACTGAGGACACATACCTGCATTCAGTCAGTTCTTGTGCTATTTTTATACCTGTTACGGAGGCTTTCCTTTCCACCTGTGAAAACAGAACCTCTCTGCTCCAAGCTTCTTCAGTCTTTATTACCCTATGTATTTCCTTTAGAACAGTGGTTTGGGAATTAATTTATCATCAGGACTTTGTCTCTGATGATATCACTCTGGGCAACAAAATGAAAGGGCTCTCAAATAGAGAACAGAGAGTCCTGAATACTCGGATAACTTTTCCAGAGTGATATGTGTTATGCGTAATGGGATGAAGTGGGCTAGAATGACCTTCCAATGACTATTTTGGAGACACACTAAGGAAACTTGCTTAACATCCTATATCCTTAACTTGTTAGAACATTGGTGAAGTAAAGCAAAATCTTGACCCTCTAAGAACATAAACAAATGCCAACTCCTCTCCCCCAAAGCACTGCCATGTTTCATTATGTGCAATTATGAAACAAATACATGATAATTTATATGAAATTACATAGATGAGTAGTTTGAGTATTTTGACCCATGAGTAAGATGCAAATTGTAGAAGTTCTCAGGTAGTTCTTCATAAAAAGTTGTCCCTGAAGACAAATAGTGTACCTGGGCATAATTTGTTTGCAGTGTTGGTTTATGCACCATTTGGGGACCTGTTTGAAAGCTGATTATGTCCCAGTGTGCCAATTTGGGGTCTCAATTAACTGTGCTCAGTGCACTGATAAGTGCCCATATTTACAGTCTAGAAGCATGACAAAATGACCCCATTTCTGTAGGAAAAGGAGAATGGAACTGTGTGTGGCGTGGTACTTGTCAGTGCTGCTCCCCCTTGTCCCTGCCATGCTGGGAGGTGGCTGCAAGTTTTCCCCAGGAGGTTTTTGTTAGAGCATGTATTACTGTGACAATAACAATGACATGCGCTTTGGAGCAGGGACCAGACTGACAGTAAAACCAAGTAAGTTGGGGGAATGGGTCAATCTTAAAAGCTGACCTGAGTGAGCAATGGTGCTGTTCTGGGCAGTTTCTGTGGGGTTAAGACACTGCCACTCCCAAGAGGATCTAAGTACCTGGTTTCTTTGTGCCTGAGACCCTGAGCTGGTTGGAAGTCTGTTAGTTGATGAATTCTGGCAATCTTAAGGATTAGGTCAAGAAGAAGTAGAAAATTTCACTGGTTTCTTCATTGGCTTGGCTCTGGATATATAAAAATGCTAAATATAAGCCGGGTGCGGTAGCTCACTCCTGTAATCCCAGCACTTTGGGAGGCCGAGGCGGGAAGATCATGAGGTCAAGAGATGCAGACCATCCTGGCCAACATGGTGAAACCCCATCTCTACTAAAAATACAAAAAATTAGCTGGGCATGGTGGCATGCGCCGGTAGTCCCAGCTACTCAGGAGGCTGAGGCAGGAGAATCGCTTGAACCCGGAAGGCGGAGGTTGCCGTGGGCCGAGATCGTGCCACTGCACTCCAGCCTGGCGACAGAGCGAGACTACATCTCAAAAAAAGAAAGAAAAAGAAATATGGCTGAGAAAGTGGCATGGTGCTCCTGGTCCCTAAAGTAGCCCCTGGGACCTCAATGTTGACCTCCTGTGCTGGGTGGGATGTTTCTGCCCAACCTTGCTATTGTGCCTCTGGCACAAGCATTCTGTCAGAACCCAGTGTCCTAGGAACAAAACAGGGGATTTACGATCAAGTTCAGATCTATCTGCACAGCCAGCTGTTAATTTTAGAGAACTGTCCTGACCTTGCAAAGGAACTGGAAACAGAGGCTGCAAGGTGGGGAGACTTCCACTAGAGGGGAAGGTGATCTCACTTGCTCAGCCTTCCCCTCCATCCTTCCCACCTGTTGATTATTGTAAAGCCCCATAGGACTGTGTGAATTATGGAGGAAGCCAAGGAAATCTCATCTTTGGAAAAGGCACTAAACTCTCTGTTAAACCAAGTAAGTGTTGGGGATTCAAAGTCCTGATTTATCATCAGTACTTTGTCACTCTGGGCAACAGAATGAAAGGGCTCTCAAATAGAGAACAGAGAGTCCTGAATACTCAGATAACTTTTCCAGAGTGATATGTGTTATGTGTAATGGGATGAAGTGGGCTAGAATGACCTTCCAATGACTGTTTTGGAGACACACTAAGGAAACTTGCTTAACATCCTATACCCTTAACTTGTTAGAACATTGGTGAAGTGAAAACAAAAGCAGTAAGTGCAACTAAAGTGCAATGCAGAGTGAGTGAGAAGAGACTTACCAACTCCTTTCTCTGTGATATCTTCCCCCCACCTTCACCCTTGAACCCCACAGAATTGTTTCTGTCCATGCCCCTGGCTGTTCCCAGTCCAGACCAGCACGTCGTTCTGCTGGACATAGGAAAACTCCAGACTTCATAACATGTCACAGGGCCCCCTCCCTCAGATGGCAGATCTCAATATTGATCACCCACATCACTGTGGGGAGTGGTGACCTTGTCAGCAATGGTCTCATGGAAGAGGGAAGCTTTATTTACACCATCAAGGGCCCATGGATGACCCACAGTCTGTGTGACTGCTGTGTGATTGGTTTTCAGACATTAGCTTTAATAGGAATCATAGGAGAAGGGACATGGTGGCTACTGCAAGGGGTTTTTTGTTTAGGGAGAACGCACTGTGGAACTCAAATTCCGGGTATGCACTCAACTTCGGCAAAGGCACCTCGCTGTTGGTCACACCCCGTGAGTTTTTGTGGTTTACTAATTGTCCTCTCTGGAAAGAAATCCAATGGGACCTGTTGAAACACAGCTGAATTTAATTGCTATGCTTAGCATGCAGTTGTTAACTATGTCTGATGTGTGAGCAAGATATGAATACATGTTTCCCTGGAGGCTGGATTTGGTTATCAGGTCTCGGGGCAGTTTGATAAATTGTACTAATGCTGCAATCACTGTTTTTCAAAGGTCCACAAAGCACGTTGTGGCTTTGGGAAAGGCAGAGATAAGAAGCAAAGCTTTGTGATAGAGACAGAAACAAGGCCATGAAAAGGGAAGCTACCAAAGCAATGGCATAGCCAAGGAAGTGTGTCCTCAACAGATAAGTGGCAAGGACCCTGTTGAGTTGATGCTTGTGTTGTCTGGTAGAATTAAAAAATAAGATGAGTGGGCTGGGCACAGTGGCTCATGCCTGTAATTCTATCACTTTGGGAGGCTGAGGCAGGTGGATAGCTTGAGGTCAAGAGTTCAAGACCAGCCTGATCAACATAATGAAACCCCATCTCTACTAAAAATACAAAAATTAGCCGGGCGTGGTGGCGGGCACCTGTAATTCCAGCTACTTGGGAAGCTAAGGCAAGAGAATCTCTTGAACCCGGGAGGCAGAGATTGCAGTGAGCCTAGATCGTGGCACTGCATTCCAGCCTGGGTGATAGAGCGAGACTCCGTCTCAAAAACAAAAAGAAAGAAAAACAGAAAAATAAGGCGAGTGGACTGAGGACTCCAGTGAAGGGAGGGCAGCAGGAGTTCCAAGCTTGGCATGGCTTTCTTCCTCTACGAGAATAGCAGAACAATGTAACTTTCTCTAGAGAGAGAACAGAGCCCTTGATTTATCACATCAATGCTTCTGTTTAGGTAGCCCCCTTCCTCACCGTAGGGACAAAGCAGGCCCCCACATGGACTTCACCCCCTTAACTAGGCTGGCCAAGCCAACCCTATGGGAGAGGCAGAGAATCCCAGGACTGCAGAGGGCCTCCCCATGTCCACTAGATTATCTGTAATAAAACAGAATATTTATCCAAGTTGTGAAGCTGTGAGGGAGAGGGTAATCGTGATAGATTATAAAAAGCAATATTGAAAATTATACAAGCTGTCTCCACACTTGCAGAATTCAGTGTGTTTTTTGTTGTTATTGGGTTTTTTTCTGTTAGAATTACAGAAACAGGGGTGCTTTCCTGCAGGCACCCTGTTTGCAAAAATGTCTGCCATCTCACATTTCAGTAGTATTTCATCAACAATCTTCTGCACACGAACCAGCTGTGACAATAAGGTAATGGGGCTGATTTGTTAACAAATCGAGTTTATACATTTCAATGAGTGGCCTAGTCAAAACACTCAGCTTGAAGCATCCAACACTGTCCATTGCTTTCCCCCTCCCTGAAACCACCCTCAAAGGCCAAAACACTTTCTTTTTGTAGCATCCATGATGGCTTTATCTTTTAAAGGTGGATTTTACTCTTGATAATCAAAATCCTTTCAGAACCAAGGCTATTAAATAGAGGAGAGAATCGACTAGTTACTGATACTGTTTTGGATCCAAAAATAGATGTAACTATAAAATAATGTCATGGGTTTGTTTATGTGGCTCATAAACTGGCTCTCGGGGGGAATCCTAGATGGAATATTTCAGAGGGTTCAACAGTCATTTAGATGCTTAAGTCCTCATATGTTCACTAAATCAGACTCTTTAATTAATAAACATGCATAAAGATAGCATGAGATTGAAGAACTTTTGCAAACTCGGACCCAATAGAAGCAGTGAAGACTTTCTGTATGAATTAAGATATAATCCGAAATAAATTACTTGTAGAAAAATACGAGGTCAAGGCCTTTCAATGGGGAAAGTGCATGTAATGCCCCTTTTATTCATGGAGAGTAAAGCTGCTTCCATAAATGGTAACATTATGTTGGTTTATGTAGAGACACATAACACTGTGACTACCTCAGGAACCTACAAATACATCTTTGGAACAGGCACCAGGCTGAAGGTTTTAGCAAGTGAGTATTACAGACAAGACAGGCTGTATTTTAAAGGTTGTTGGTGTTCATGTTTGAGGGACAAGGGAAGGTAGGACAAGGGAAATACCCATGTAAACTGTGCAAGCTAAAATCACTGCTATCTGAAGCGGCAATTCTGGGTCCCTCTACTCTGGACAGGAGGGGCGAAGGAGAGCTCTGAGGCTTACCATGATGGACTTACTGCCGATTTCATAAGAATTGTATCCATCATTAGCAAAATGTTTATGACTTGAAGGCCTCAAGAAACTCCTGTTAACACAACAGGAGTTCTGTGTTCTTTATTCTTTTAAAACTATATTCTCACTTTACATTTTTCACTCATTTTTCTGCCTTTTTTTATGCGTCTCTCCTCTGTGCAACTCAATGCTTCATCTGGGCATTCATATTTTGAGAAATCATCTCAAGAGGAAATCATGTCCAGATCCTAGCATGTCACTCAAAGCTCTCTGAAATCTGGGCCCTTTCTATTCTCCAAATTTATTCCCACTGATTCCCTTTCATGAATGCTCTGCTCCAGGAAAACTAGGTATCTCCCTCCCTTGAATATTTACACATGCCCACACCTGTACCCTGTGTCCATACATCAGACATCCTGGACCCACCACCTAAAACAGGCTTGCACAGGTGACAAAATTTGGCCTCATCATCTCTCAGCCTTGAGACCCAGCACAGGCATCACCAGATTTAGTTTCATAGGAAGAGCATGAAAAATCATATCATTTTTTAATTAAGCAGGCCAAGGTAAGAGATCCATCAGACAAAGAAGCAAAGTAGGAAGGAGAGAGATGGCTTCTGTAATGGGTTTGCAAAGGAGAGCTCTGTCCCTGAAATAGCACTAATATAATCCAAGTAGGAGATTTACAGGCTGCATGTTTCTTGGTTTCCCTTTGGAGTGCTCCATTCCTAACACCAGTTGTTAAGCCCCTGGTCCTGAATGTGGCCGGGGGTGAGGAAGTGGGAGGAGACCATGCTGGCCACTCAGTGGTGGTGCCCATGGAGTTTCGGGCTCAGACTTTCTGTGAGATACCTCAAAATTGAGAGAAGCTCAAAAGGATCATGCAGCAAAAATGGGAGAAGTCACCTTCTTAGTCATAAGAGGATTATTTCTGATTAGTCCTTGAGCTGTGTTATGTCCTGGGGAAGGGACAGTAAGAGTAGAAAAGTCTCTCCTAGGACAAGGATAGGAAGTGGTGAAAAGTCCTTTTCCTGGTGACTAGCAAAGCAGGGGATGAAAAGATCTGGAGTTGGAGTCCAGGGTGGATTCCAGGGCAGACAACTGCATAGGACTGTCTCGAGTTCTGTGGATTGAAAAGGTTGGGCATCCCTTCAGATGTTCCTGAGCTGACCTCAGTCAGAGGTGCGTGGCTCCAGCACCCAGAAGGTGTGACCAGCACACCAACCCCTCCTCCCAGGTGGGCCGTGACAGCTTCCCTCAATCCCTCCCACTCTGACAACAGTCTCTCTGATTGCTTTTGCTTTGGTGCTCTGGACATAAACTGTTCCTACTTTGTCCAAGTGAGGTATATAATTTTCAGAACGCTGGAGAATTATTATCTAAAACACCAGTGGATACGCTACAATTTTGGCATTCAGTATTCTGGGCTTGTGCAGGAAAACTCTTTCTTTAGAACATGTAGAAAGACTATCCTTTAGTTATCCAGTGTGGAAACAGTCCTGAAATCCAAACTGATACTGCGATCCTGTGCCAGGTTATTACTGTGACAATTACTTAATATTCTCTGTGCTCACGATATCACTCCTTCCAGAAGATCTTTAGGGAAAACTTAGTTCAGTTTCTAGGAGGTTTTTGCTCAGCCGAAGATCACTGTGTGAATAATAATGCAGGCAACATGCTCACCTTTGGAGGGGGAACAAGGTTAATGGTCAAACCCCGTGAGTATCTCTGCTGAATCCATAATGAATGCTCTAATTTCAAAAGGAAGCCGTAGCACTGAGCTCTGTTTTCTGTTTTCTCTACTTAATTTTATCTTTTATATTAATTCTAATGGTTACATGTTATCGATACATGGCATATGTATATATGAAAATGGACATACATGTAACTGTCTGGCGTGGGAACAAATGTGCTGGAGAAAAACAGATTTCTTGTCCTTTTTGTCTTAACCATTTGGGTCAGAAGGTCTGACTGAGTAGAACATGGGCTGGGTGAGCACTGCAGTGGGGGAATCCTTCTCCAGCAGCTTTGTCAGAATTATGCTCTTTGCTGGCCTGGTCAGAAGGCAGCTTTGTCAGGAGGTGGAAGGATGAACTAGTTAACCTCAGAAGAGCCTTTCCACTCCGACCATGCTGGGAATAGACCGCCATAATAAACAGTCTTTTCCGCTGCCTCTTTAGCCAACGTCCCAGCTGGAGGAGCACGCCGGCCAGATTTGGGGATTGAAAGGGATTTCCTGATACACATTGGCCTGGTCGGTTTTGGTAAAGCTTTCTATGACTGTGTAATGCTGGCAACAACCGTAAGCTGATTTGGGGATTGGGAACAAGCCTGGCAGTAAATCCGAGTGAGTCTTCGTGTTAACTCTGTCAAACCTGTCTGTGCAGTTTGAAATATCTCAGAAACTGCCTCCTTCTTTTTTAGCCCTGAGGTTTAAGATATCTAGTTATGGCTAGTGTTTTCTTCCTGTCCACCAAAGCTGAACCCTTGCCTACCCCTCAATCAAAATAACTAGATAGAGGGATCCATATGAGCAGGGTAGGAAGGCCATTGGAGTGTTCAGCTGTTTTCTTAGAGAGCAAATACATTCGTGCATTCCAAAAAGGCCTGTGTGGGAGCACTGAATATTACAGAAGGTGAGTGTGTAGCACATTTCATGGCCGCTTTAGTCTGCACTATGCCAACCTCACCGTGGGCCATTGGTAAATACTGTTGCTTTCTGGCCAAAGACAGGTCAAGTGCTGGGAACTCTCGGGACTCACAGTCACGCTAGTGACCGTGCTAGAGCACATCTCCCCACTGTGGATTATCCAGAATGACTCAAACTTGCGATATAACTCCTGCATCTCTCAGTTCTCTTTGGCTTAGAGCCTTATTGTGGATTTGCTAGAGGTAACAGGAAAGGAACTGATTTCATCCTAATTCTAGCCTCTTCTGAGAAGTTATTCTCTGCAAGAGTCTTCAGGAGCATCTTACAGACCACCTACACTATTCAGAATTTTGTTCCGCACACCACATTGTGTTCCCAGCAGTGTTTGCTGTGGCTTTGGCTGGGGCCAGGTCCTGAGTCAGTTCTGGAGCTCCAGGCTTGGCAAAGCTGGATAAGGGCAAGGGGAGTTGTACAGCAGAACCAAAGGGCTTCAGGAAAGACATCTTTGATATAGACATTAATGAATTTCTAAATGGGCTTCTATATGCTAACCTGATAAGACTCTCTGGGGAGAAGGTCATGCTTTCCTTTGCAGCTCTAAATATAAGACACATGCAGAAAAAAAAAAAGAATGGGAAATGTCTGTTACAGTGCCAAAATGAAGATAATCAGTATAAATATTAGATTTGTCTTAATATTAAGTTTATGAAATGTAAGTCTTTCAGAAGAACTATCTCAGGATATATTTATTAGGTCAATGAAATATTTTATCCATGTGACTGGTATACACACTTCAAAGGAGAACCCAAAATGGCAGGCAGGGGAGGGTGGCTAATGAAAGGTATGGCATAGTAGTTAAGAATATGAATTTTGGAATAAAACTGTTTGGGTAAATCCTAATTCAGAAGGTTACTTAATCTCTTTATGCCTCTTTTTTCTCATCTGTAAAATGGGGATGGTAATAGTACCTAGCTCACTGAGATGTTACGAGATTTAAAGAGCTAATACCTATAATGGACTTTGCATAATGGCAGCCCGATTGAAAGTTTTCAGTTAATATGTTTTTATTGCTACTATGTCAGGTTGCTGGAGGGAAGGAAGAAAAATGGAAATGATCCCCATTTATAGTTTTTGTAAAGTACAGCATTAGAGTGTGGCTCTAGCAACACAGGCAAACTAATCTTTGGGCAAGGGACAACTTTACAAGTAAAACCAGGTAGGTCTGGATGTTTCTAAGTGAAGTGCAGTTATCCACTCTGTTCGTTTTTTGTTTAATCTTCTCTGTCTCAACTTCTAACCAAAAACTCTTACTCTTAGGTTATATTTTCCTTTTATAAAAGTAAGTAGAATGTGTGTAAAGTCTGGTTGATATGATCCTTTCTAACTCACTTGGTTTCAGCTAGTGGCAAAAAGAAGGGTGTATTGGATCTGGAATTCTTAGGTTAAGGCTGAGAGAATGTGAGTTTGGCTGACTTGGAAGAAATAAAAACATCAAATGTGGGTGGTTCACACAAAAGAAGGTGATTTTTCATAATAATATACTAAAGTAGAATCCACCCTTGTGACCACCAGAATTATTCAAGTACAGTCTTCCAAGGACAAAATGGGTAGCATGGAAATGATATGTTTTTTTGGGGGGAAAAAACATGGGGAGAGAGAGAGAAAGGGGACTATTAGTTGTCTGGATTGTTAGGAAACATGGAAGACAGCACTTCTTGTTGTAAGGTTTGGCAAAGGTTATCACCAAGTAGAAGTCCAAATGTGTGTAACATACCCCTGGCAAACGTTATAGAAGAAGGAAGCTGGGGCCGGGCACGGTGGCTCACGCCTGTAATCCCAGCACTTTGGGAGGCCGAGGCGGGTGGATCACGAGGTCAGGAGTTCGAGACCATCCTGGCTAACACAGTGAAACCCCGTCTCTACTAAAAAAAAATACAAAAAATTAGCCAGGCGTGGCGGGCGCCTGTAGTCCCAACTACTACAGAGGCTGAGGCAGGAGAATGGCGTGAACCTGGGAGGTGGAGTTTGTGCCACTGCTGAGATCGCGCCACTGCACTCCAGCGTGCGCGACAGAGTGAGACTCCATCTCAAAAAAAGAAGAAGGAAGCTGGGAGCAGTGTCTCTCACCTGTAATCTCAGCATTTTGGAAGGCTGAGGCAGGAGGATCACTTGAGGCCAGGAGTTCAAGACCACCCTGGGCAACACAGTGAGACCCCCATCTCTACAAAAAATAAATAAATAAAATTTTTTTAAAAATAGCCAGGCATGGTAGCATGCACCTGTCATCCTAGCTACTGAAGAGGTTGAGGCAGGAGGATCACTTGTGCCCAGGAGGTCAAGGTTACAGTGAGCCAAGAACACACCACTGCACTCCAGCCTGGACAACAAAGTAAGATCCTGTCTCTAAAAATATATATTTAAAAATATAAAATAAATAAGTTAAAGAAGGAGGAAGGAGATGAAGAAAATTTGGCTTAGTAGGAAAGCGTTTTTGTACTGGGCAGAAACACTGTGTCAAACTGGGGCAAACAACCTCTTCTTTGGGACTGGAACGAGACTCACCGTTATTCCCTGTAAGTCCTTACCTCTTGACAAAAAAGCTCTTAGTCTGTAATGACAAGTTCTCACATCCCAGACACCTAATGAATTTCTAAATGAGCTTCCATGTGTTAAACTGATAAAACTCTCTAGGGAGAAGGTCACCCTTACCTTTGCGGCTCTAAATGTAAGACATGTTGTAAGAAAAATTGGGAACTGTTAATTGCAGTGCCAAAATGAAGACAGTGATTACAAATATTGGGCTAGTTTTAATGTTAGATTTATAAAATATAAGCCTTTCCAAAGAACCATCTCAGGGTGCATTTATTAGTTTGTGTCTATACAGCCCAATTGTCCAGTTACTTTGATTAATGTTGGTAGCTGATGCAGATATTTAGGGACTTCCTTGAGAAAACTTCTTTGTGCTCAAAATTGCATGAATTGAATGGCACATTACCTAAATAATTGCCAAATCTGTTTCACTTTGTGCTGTATAGACTCAGCCTAATAAAAACAAATGCTGTTGTGCTTTTTCCCAGTCTGTCTCCTCTCCACACAGAAAGTTTCCCTTTCTACTAAACAGCATCTCTTCACACGAAGAAAAGATGCCCAGCAAGCCATTTGACTTATTGCTGCTGCTAGTTTGCATTTATATGACTCCTTTCCTTAGAAGGGATGAAGACACTTTATACGACTTATTAGCTAAACAGATTGACAGCCTAATTAGGAAGAGAGAAACAGATTCTGAGTATCTTTTTGTGGCTGCTGTTCCTACCCCCTCGTGTAGAACATTTGGTCAGATGGCTCTTTGAGACAGAAATAAGACAGGGACGTGGTCTCTGCTTGTAGTGTGGGACGTCTCAGCTGCACCTAAGAGGTTGTCACAGGAGTACTAAATAGGTCAGGGCAACTGACACAGCCAGGAAAATTTCTTTCCCCTAGAACTTGTGTGTGCTCACCAAGCAAAGCGTGACTAATTTTGACATCCATTGTTAGTGTGTGTCTACCCTTCTTGCCTTTGTTTTCAGACCCTTCCTCTCTAGATCCTTTTCCTTCCATCTCCAACTCCTGTATGTAAATCCCTGCTCTCTCCTTTGAATTCCTGACTGCTATGCCCATGCCCAGCACCGGCACCCCCACGCACACTGCTGCCTGCCTCTGTAACCATCAGCTGTATTTCTGAGGACTTTCCTAGCTCCTTGAGTGATCCTCAAATGGCTCAGGGCCCTGAGGGAATCTTTGCTGAGGGTTGGCCCCAGCAGAGCCGCTGCAGAGGTAGAGGTGGCCACCAAGGGACACAGACTGCCTGCATGAAGGCTGGAGCTGGGCCCAGGATGAGGAAAAGCCTCAGGAAGGAGGGGCTGACACGAAATAAGGAATACCATGGCATTCATGAGATGTGCGTCTGAATCCTCTCTCTTGCCTGAGAAGCTTTAGCTTCCACCTTGAGACACAAAACATGTGGTTATGAAGAGATGACAAGGTTTTTGTAAAAGAATGAGCCATTGTGGATAGGCTTTGGGAATGTGCTGCATTGCGGGTCCGGCACTCAAGTGATTGTTTTACCACGTAAGTATATCTTTTCTCATTTCTGTGGGCTGTTATGTCCGTAAATCATATAGAACAGTTCTTCTTATGCACACACACACACACACACCCATTTTCCAGTCACTGAGGAGAAACAGTCTCTGGGTCTACCTACACAGCCAGTTTGACCATTAAGATGGTCAAATTCATTTTTCAAGATAATTTTAACTGGTTCCATTTAATGCTGCCAACAGCCAAGGGCATTAGCATGTCGTGGGAACCTAATCTATGTTCACTCACTGCTGTGGGAGGACAGTCATTTCTTCTTCTCCCCTGGCAGTCAGACTTCAGAATCCAGCTGACCTTTTCCATGCCTGTCTCTTCTGGCAGATTAAGTGGTTATTTCCACTAACTTTCTTGTGGAAAAACACACAAGACAGATATATTCTCCTTCAGTTTTTACTAAGAAAGTTTTGTGGTTATCATTTTGACAATAAACTTCAGCTAGCATAGTCCCTACTATTCATGTTAATAATATCTTGACTTGAACCATCATATTTTCCCCACATCATTCACAATGCATTTCAATGCTGTAACCCACTGCACCATCCCCAGCCCTTTTATCTTCACAACGTTCTCTAATAAGGTAAACAGGATCATACATCATCAAACATATGTCACAGACAGAAAAGCTGACACACAGACAAGTTAAATAATTTAAGTCAAACCAAAAAAAAATCATAACTGGGATTAGAGCTTGAGATTCCCTATTTTCTTACAGTGAACTGTCTTGAGCTGTCACTTAATGCATTGAAAACATAATAAGCACAGGCCATAGGCATTTTCAGAACATGAAACTTGACTGAAACAAAAACTGACTGTTTGATTGCTTTGGTGTTTTAAATGTATCCCCAAATCTCCTTTGCTATTGATAGTCATTTGGTGCCAGTGACAGGGAAGAGCAGAGGGGCTTAGGAGGTTTTTGTAGATCTCAGTATCACTGTGTCTTATAACACCGACAAGCTCATCTTTGGGACTGGGACCAGATTACAAGTCTTTCCAAGTAAGTACTAGAAACCAAGGAGCCATTTTGAAAAGGTGTTTTCTTTTTCTTTTTCTTTTTTTTTTAAATGAAGTTTTGCTCTTTGTTGCGCAGGCTGGAGTGCAGTGGCATGATCTCGGCTCACTACAACCTCCACCTCCCGGGTTCAAGCGATTCTCCTGTCTCAGCCTCCCGAGTAGCTGGGATTACAGGCACCTACCACCACGCCTGGCTAATTTTTGTATTTTTAGTAGAAACAGTGTTTCACCATGTTGGCCAGGCTGGTCTTGAACTCCTGACCTCAAGTGATCTGCCTGCCTCGGCCTGCCAAAGATTACAGGCCACTGCGCCCAGCCTTAAAAGGTGTTTTCTATAAACAGGAACGTTCTCACAGCACTGCAGGCCACCCTTACCAACTCCGAGCTCTGTAGGGGCCTTTAGCACCTATAGCTGCAGAACCTTCTATAAACCAATTAATCTATATGTGAACAATTTAACCTATATGTGAACACCATGGTACTGAGTAAAATCTTACCAGCAGTGAAAAGAAGGCACTAGAGCGTCAGATGCATTATGACTCTAAACAAATGATCTGTTTCCCTCTTTTGCATTTTTATTTAAAATATCAGGGAAGGTGAAGCAAGTTCAACTTCTCCAATTTGAAAACTGTTTCTGAATTATGCTTCCCTTGTATGCAGAGAGACCTAGATTGACTTTGGATGTTTAGTCATTCGATTTAATCAAATGTAATTAAATGAGCAAATAATCTCCAATAGCCAATATTCCTATGTTGTTTCATTGTTTTATGTGCTTTGCTCTAGACTTTTTGTCTGGGCTTTGTCTCTAATAGGATCCCCGGAAGGACAGTGAAGGTTTTTGTTAAGGTTTTTGTGTCTGTGTGGATAGCAACTATCAGTTAATCTGGGGCGCTGGGACCAAGCTAATTATAAAGCCAGGTAAGTCTCAGAGATGTGACTGCACGGGAGAGGAGACACTAGTTGAATAATGCACAAAGTGTAGCATGCAGATTATATTTTTAAGAACAAGTCAGCCTGCTGGAGACAATGCACTCAACCCAAATGGGGTCTCCACTCCCAGTGAGAAGCATGTCAGCCGCTAACTCTTTTGTTTGGTCTAGTAGCTTCCGGAATGAATAATGCTTAAGTAGCCCTCTAAGAGAGCAGAGCCAGGTTGTTAGGGAATATCTAATTCCCTCTGATATGGTTAAAACTCTTTGCCAAGGGCAGAACCAGCCTCATTCCATTGGAAGAGCAAATTCAGAGAAAAAGGAAAGGGTCACACAGCCAAAGACGGTAAAATGTTCAAAGGTGAAAAATAGCCAAGTCTGCAGCTCTCCTGACATCCTTGCCTCAGGCTGCTGTCCCACGTGGAGAGCAGATGCCTGCAAAGCTCTCGGTCACTTGCTGGAGTCACTCAGGGTTCTGGGCCTTGGGATGTAACTTAAATGACAGTGTCAGGGCACTGTCAGAGGAATATGAAGGCTGCAGCGATGCCTGCAAGTCAGCTTTTGCTACACTGGGACTGAGGTGTTCTAAGCCTGGAAAGACACAAAGCTGTCCTCATCCCAACCTGCCGTGCCCCTCCTTGAGGGTTAGTGTAAGGCTCTGAAGGACTGTGTGAATTATGGTGGTGCTACAAACAAGCTCATCTTTGGAACTGGCACTCTGCTTGCTGTCCAGCCAAGTACGTAAGTAGTGGCATGTGTCAGGTGGATTCTGTGTCCATGGCAAGTAGGAAGCGACAGCCACCCTTAGGTGGAAAGGATGGCTGAAGGTTGACTTTGTTCACTGCTGTCATCTCTTATCTGCCGTGATATAGCAGGCTGTCAAAATTCCCATTCTCCTGGATGGCACACCACAGTCAGGGGAGGGGAAACATGCTAATTTTATGATAAACCCCAGGGGAGAAAAAGACTACTGTGGGAAAATTTAGTTGAGAAAATCAAATTGTTCTCAACTAAATGCTGCAGGCTTTATGCTTCTGTGAACCCAGTTTCCCAGTTATTCATTGACCCTGAACATACGTTTACCTGTGCAAATACAATCTCTCCTAACCTATTTATACAATTATGTGTCTGCCGGTCCAAATGCCTTCTTCTATAGGCCATGTTTTTATTTCTCTTCCAAAAGAGACTCCAGAGCCATCCTTGGGAAGAGTGCTGAGAAGTCAGGCAGGCCTAACTCCCAGGGGTCAGGGAGGGGAAAGAGAAGGCTAAGGGTAACTTAGCTCAGTACTAGAACTGTGATCCACGTATCTGTCACTCTATTTCCTACGTTTGCTTCCCTTTTGTTTTCTCTAGAATAAGTTCTTTTTGTTTGCTCTGGACACCCACTGCTCCCAGGATGAAAGGAGAGAAATGAGATCAGTTTTGAACACTTCCTCTTGAAATATAAAGAATCAACAAGTTACAGTCATGTTGGGGACTTCTTCTCTCTCCAAGCTTAAATTTCTATTACGTAAGCCTTACTTTTAACCAAGAAAGTTAGTGACATGGTATCACTGTCTGGGATGCTCACCCCTCTCTCTTTTCTCCAGATACTCCGTGTATACTAAAGCTCAGCCAATGCTCAGCTTTGTGATAAAGGAGCTGTTGTGTGTCTTTATCTCTGCCTTTAGGATACAGTCTTTTTTATAACAGAAAGTGTTCACTTCTCCCATTTATTTCATGGCTGGACTCTCTACCCCTTCCTGGCTGAAACAGCATATGGGTCCATGGTGGAACTTCTTTGGGAAAAAAAAAAAATAGAACTGTTTGACTTTTGCCACTCTTCCCTCATGAAATGTTTTTTAGGCTATCAAATAAGCATTATTACACATTGAGAAGGCTTTGAAAAAACTTGATCACTGAGTCTGGAGGTGAGCTGGGATGGCTCTGTAGCTGGAAAATATCCCTGTGGGTGTAGGAATGTACCGTCCCTTCAAACTTGTGTGTTTAGGGCTGAGCTCACACATACGACAGCAAGAGTTGTTAACAAATTAGATTCAGCTTTGGCAGTTTTATGCCTAGAAATGCAAAAGAATTTTAAAAGCTCATAAGTTTGGCATTTTTAAAGGAGACATTGTTTGCTTTATGTTGCAGAGCCAATTTTTCTTCCTATCATAAAAGGCCAGAAACACAGAGAAAGCAAAAAAAAAAAAGGAAAAAAAAAAAAAACACAAGGAGAGTCTAACTGCCCCCTCACCACAGTGCTATGTGTTTGGTAGGGTTTTACTATGGGTTTCAGTAAAGGCAGGAAGTGCTGTGGGAATAACAATGCCAGACTCATGTTTGGAGATGGAACTCAGCTGGTGGTGAAGCCCAGTAAGTGGCCATGTTTTATTGATATTTGACCAAACAAATAAATCCCGTGAAGTTAGTGGAGATTTAATTTAATATGTAAACAAATCTACTTCTTGAAAAATGACTTTTGTGAATACATGAAACACTCGTGATTATTGAGACTAGAGCAATAATGATAAATAAAGGCAAAATGAGACCACCCCAAATCACCTTTAACATTGTGGCTTAGCCCTCTTTCTTCTAGAGAGATATGGGGCCATGAGCTATTTACAGCCGCAGTATCTCTTAAACTATGTTCTGCAATGACTTGTGTGTTTACTCTGATTTTAGCCACAGAATTTGTTTTCCATTCTATTAAAAATGAGAATCTATCTCATTTTAAATGCTACTAATATTTATAAGGTACCTTCTTTGTCTCTTGTACCTGCATATATATTCATTTCAAAAAGATCTCATAAGAAACCCAAACATTGTCGCATTTTGACAAATGTCCACATCTAGTCCCGTAATGTCAAATTTCACTAAAAACACAGCCTGACTATGCAAATGCAGTGGAAGAAAAAAACAATTCAGAAATGGATTGACACTCCCAGGTGGCTTTATAAACACCTAAAAGGAAATCCAGAGTGAAATAAAATGGCAGGTATGATAACACGATTTTTTTTTAATGATCAATTCCTCCATGGGGAATAAAAGTTTTTAAACTTACCTCCTTGAAAAGGAGGGAAATAGGAGTTCAGGAGCCTGGCATTCCCAGGTGTGCTCCTGGGGTGTCTGTTTCTCCACATTGCCATTTTGGAGACAATAGGACCCATCCAAATGTCCAACCAAAAAACTAATATTAAGAGGCTGGAGTCACCACATTGACTGTCTGTTATTAAACCCTATAACAGGTTATAATTAAGATTATGGAATGACTAACCCAAGGAGCTTTAAAATAGGATAGCCTAGTTTTAAACGGTTCAGCCTTGGGAAATGCTGGAAGACAAGGAAATGAGATAGATGACTCCATAGGTTTGTTTTACGTCTGGTGAACATATCCATCCCATGTTAATTTTTTTTAACGACTATGATAAAGAGCTTCTTTGGGGTCAGGTAGAACCCAAAGGAGGAAGAGAAAATGGGACTTGGTTCTTTAAGTGTCAAACAAGGATCCAGCCAGGGTTGAGGGCAATGGCATAAGGCTTCCCTCTCTTGGTGGTGAGAGACCACATCCATGGACTGTGGAAGGAGAACATTTTCTAAAAGACGGGGATCCCTTGGGCTAAAATGAATGATGCTCATGACCCCCAGCTAGGGCAGGGCTATAATGAGTACAGCAAACATAAGGCAAGGTATCCTCAGAATTTGGTGACAGGGCAAATTCTAGAACTTAAGGCTTAGAGCCAGGGTGAAGGGAAGACTCTGTAATGCAGTTCCTTCTCAGGTGGAAATCCAGATATGTGCCCTAAGTGACCTATTCCTGCCCCATTTTTGTTTGGGCTCTGAAAAGTGGATTCCTAGCTCAGTGGCTGTCTGCCAGGTATCTTTTGCCTTCAGTAACAGAATTATGTTTGATATTGGAAAGGAGTTTGTTGTATTGTTGGCTTTATAATTCACTCTCAGTGTCAAATGAGGTCATTCAACTTCCTCTCGCACATTTGCAATAAGCAGCATGAAATTCAAGCAGAACAACTAGAAGACACAGAGAAAGATGGCTGAGCTGATAATGAGGCCTGTTTATTACAGGAGAAGAGACAATATAGGAATCTGTTAAGTCCCATGAGGTTGAAATATCCACCAAAAAATATGCAGCTGTCCCCCAAAAAAAAGTCACTAGGAGTTTTTGTTATGGTCCCAATCACAGTGTGAACAGAGATGACAAGATCATCTTTGGAAAAGGGACACGACTTCATATTCTCCCCAGTAAGTGCTGTTTATGTGATTTTCTGACATTAACTCCCACTGAGTTCAAACTGCTGAGAGTGTTCAGTAGGAAAGTTTCTAAGACATGTGGGTGGCCTGTAGGTCCTGGGCTCTTCTCTTGCAGAGGTCCAGTCCTCAGCCTTTCCACAGCTGAGCCAAATACCAAATTCTCCCCTCCAGGGCTGGAAAAGTTGCTACCAGTCCTCTGCTACCCAAATATAAATTATTTTTTTATTGTTTATTAAGAAGAGTAAAAGAATCGTGACACTTTGTCCAGAACCTATTTTCCAGTCTTTTCCCCCAGGCTTGTCCCTGGTAACCTCTGTTTGGACTCATTGTTAAGCCCAGCGTGATTTTTGGCTCCAACTAAATTGATTTTGGAAATGACTCCAGCATACCTATGACCCCTCTCCTTCCACCCTCCATAAAAGATTTATTTTTCTTTATTTGGCCTCTGCTGAGATTCCTGGCTTTGATGCCCCAGGATCTCTCATTTCCCTTGTTCCAGGGATAAGTGAGAGATGACTTTTTAAAGAGCTACTTTCATCTTAGAGACAACAAAGAGAGTATGCCAGCAAGAGCAACATCTTGCATTGAGCCTTCTCACTCTATGCCATTTTCCAAATCTTTTTCTTTATTTAGGATAAGTGACCACTCCTTTTTATTTCTAGTACAGCAAAGAGTACATCATGATGTCAGAAACAGGGATTTCCTTTGGAATGTTTTTCACAGGCTAACAATAAGCTAGAAGTCTGCAAGCAATTCAGAAATGCATCCCTGAGCTACAACTCCATGTATGGAAGCTCATCAGCAGGGTAGACAGGCAAAGCAGAAACATTTTAATTATACCATACTTTGTAGAGATTGGGGGAGAAGTGGGCAAATGCGTGCTAAGGAAAAACAAAAACTATGGTTAAGTGGGGAGATTTCTAGATGGTTCTAACAGGGAAGAAGACCAACAAGAGGAAACTTCCAGGAAAACCACCAAGGCCAGGCATTCAGGGTTTTTGTTATGGAGGAAATCACTGTGGGAATTCAGGAAACACACCTCTTGTCTTTGGAAAGGGCACAAGACTTTCTGTGATTGCAAGTAAGTGTTTCTAGCCATCCTTGATTTTGATCAGCAATGGCTTCTTCCCTTGAATTATTTTTCAGTGTACCTAGAATGCTTTTGCCCCCAAGAAAGGTTTGGAAGGAGCTGGGTCATTAGCATTGCGCAGGAAAATTACAGGTTATTCTGTTATAATTCGAAAGCCAACTGGACAGTCATGAATGCACACAGATCTGGGCCCTGCATTGCACCCTGGCCTAGTTGCCTCCAGCTTGTTCTGACCGTAATCCTGGCCCAGTTTCCTCCTCTGATCCCAGGAGACAAAAGCCCTGGGCAGAGAACCAGACTACTTAGCCTGGGGGAAGCACAAAAAGGCTTGTCTGAGATCCATAAGCCTTTTTTTTTTTTCTTTTTCTTTTTTTTTTTTTTTTTTTTTTGAGACAGAGTCTCGCTCTGTCGCCCAGGCTGGAGTGCAGTGGTGCGATCTCGGCTCACTGCAAGCTCCGCCTCCCGGGTTCACACCATTCTCCTGCCTCAGCCTCCCTAGTAGCTGGGACTACAGGTGCTCACCACCACGTCCGGCTAATTTTTTGTATTTTTTTTTAGTAGAGACAGGGTTTCACCGCGTTGGCCAGGATGATCTCGATCTCCCGACCTCGTGATCCACCCGCCTCAGCCTCCCAAAGTGCTGGGATTACAGGCGTGAGCCACCGTGCCCAGCCCCAAAAGCCATTTTTAAATACATTGCAGGTTTCTATTTAATGTTGTTATTCATTTTGATTTGCCCAAGTAATACATTAAAATTTCTCATTGTAAACCATTCAAATTACAGATAAAGTCCAGGCACGGTGGCTCACACCTGTAATCCCAGCACTTTAGAAGGCTGAGGTGGGCAAATCACCTGAGGTCAGGAGTTTGAGACCAGTCTGGCCAACATGATGAAATCCCATCTCTACTAAAAATACGAAAAGTAGTCAATCGTGGTGGCAGGCACCTATAATCCCAGCTACTCAGGAGGCTGAGGCAGGATAATCACTTGAACCCGGGAGGTTGAGGTTGCCATGAGCCGAGATCGTGCCACTGCACTCCAGCCTGGGTGACAGAGTGAGACTCCATCTCAAAAAAAAAAAAAAAATTACAGATAAAACCAGCATTCACCTTGGCCACTTCCTTCAGTATCAGTTTCCTCCTCCCCAAAAGTGACCACTGAAACCAGCTTGGTGTGTTGTGATGAGTTTCTCTGTGGAATATGTTTATGTGAAATCCCATCTTCAACCAGGAAAGCTTGAGAGGGAAAGGGCTCAGACTGCAGTTTGCAGGATTTCAATTAGATATAAGGAACAGTTGATTAGATGTAAGAGCTGTTAGCAAAGGAAAACCTTATAAAAACTAGGAGCTCTTAATAACTAGACAGGTCTTTGGTCAGACAACACACTGACTGAGGACAGGAGGATGGATTCGATGACCTCTGAAAGTCCAGCCAGGACTCTGGAGGACTCTGAGGAATGGTCTGTTCCATAGCCTGCCTCTGTAATGCCCTTCTCTCTTGCCTATTGTCTGGTTGTTGTTACAGTCTGAGCTTTTGTCAGAGCTGCTCCTATGCTGTGAGTGGTCTGATTTTCTCAGCATCTCTGGGGTTTTTGCAAAGCAAGGAAACTCTGTGCATACTCTGGGGCTGGGAGTTACCAACTCACTTTCGGGAAGGGGACCAAACTCTCGGTCATACCAAGTAAGTTCTTCTTTCTGGCTAATTATTCTTCCCGAGAAGCCTGTCTTCCATCATGCAGAAGCTGTCAAAACACAGGTGGTGTTTTCTTTGCTTGGTTTGTGTTGGGTGGTTAGTAATATCAGTTGGAAAACAAGGTTATTAATGCACATATTCCCTGGGGCATTGTATTCGGACATTTAATATCCATGTAGTCTCTCCCTGTGAAAATATGTGAACCTCCACGAAAAGAAAGGTCCAAGGAAAGTAGCAGGGAAAAGGCAGGAATTGGATGAAAATAGCCAAAGAGCCTGCAGGAATATAAACAAGGCAGGATCCCAGGAGACAGAGCAGTAGCCACTTTGAGTGAATTTCCCAGGAGGTGCTCCTGCCAAGGCCCATACCTTCAAGGAAAATTAAGGCAAATAGAATTGGGCTGGGGAGTTGCTACTTATTAGTATTCCTCCCACGTTCTAACCTAATTATAAGGAGGTTGTTTTGGCCATGGGCAGTCATCTCAGGTTTTGTTTTCCTGCTTTCCTCCCTAACCTCCACCTGTCTTCCTAGAGGCCTGAGTCAAGGTTATTGCAATAGCACTAAAGACTGTGTAACACCAATGCAGGCAAATCAACCTTTGGGGATGGGACTACGCTCACTGTGAAGCCAAGTAAGTTGTGTTCTTCTTTGCCTAGGCCTTCAGGGGCAATCAATCAAACCATTAGTTTGAAAAAGACTTTAATCCTATGCATCTGGTTGGGCTCTTTATTAATGTTCTTTCCCCAGGCCAAAGAGAGTTGGTTCTCTTCCCTGCTTTAAAATGAGATATGAGTGCATGTATGCACACACGCATGCCCACATGCAGACTCTTGCTCTAGCTCATGGTAAGGGCTTCTCAGGAGCATATACAACATTTTGAAAGAAATAGAGAAACAAACAATAATGAGCCAATGGAGCTGTCAGGAAGGTTCTCCACCACCCCTGACCAGGCTTCCCAGCAGGATCTCTGGCCATATAGGATGTGCTTGCACTATATCGGATGGTCTAGGATGGGAAATATCTCTCTGTAATTAATTCCAAAATTTGGCAACCCTTATTGCCAGAAAGTACTTCTCATATCTAAGTTTGATCTCCCTGCTGCGATTTAAATATCTACTTGAAAAGAACCACTAGAACTCTGTACATCTGGATTGAGAATCAAGTAACTGCCATAGAATATGAGGCTGAGCACTAAGCCCACCTCTGCAGCACCTCTGACGTGTCATGGGTCCCCTCTGGACATTTTGAGCTCAAGTAATAATGGATTAAGCAGGATAGCACAAGCTTTGGAAACAGAAAAACCTGAATTCAAGTCCTTGCTCCACTACTTACCTAGCTGTGTGACCTTGAACAAGTTACTTAATCTCTCTGAGCCTCAGTTTCCCCATCCACAAAATGAAGATAAAAATATTCCTACCTCGTTGAGTCATCGTAAAGATGAAATAATACAGCTAAAGTAGTTAGCATAGTGCTCAGAACATAGAAAAAGCTCATTAAACCCTCGCTATTAATAATAATGATAAACATCATCTCTAACCCACAGCAGAGCCTTTGTTTGGCCCCTGGGGCTCTTCTGTCAAGGTTCTGTTGTGCATCAGCAGCAGAGCTGGAATTGGGGGGAGGGTGGAGAATGTCAGCCTGTTCTATGAAATTCTTCACCTGGGATTTGAAAGTGGAAATACAAAGAATCCTGACTAATTTAAATACAAAATCATCCAAGTGTCAGAGGCAGGGGAGAGGTTTCTGCAGAGAGCTGCATAGCTGGGATCCTCAAGGCTACACACACACGCTTGGAGCAGGGATGCGGTTCACAGGATGGCAGGGCAAAGGTTGCAGAACTGAAACCTTGTACTTCCCCATCACCAAAATGACCCCAGCATGATTTCCTTTAAGGTGTCCCGAGCCCCTTCCCAAAAGACAGGCTCCCCATGTGGAGGGGCAATGACAGAGGGAAGATGGAAACTTTATGGGAAGGGCGATCTATCCCAAGGTTGTCCTTCTCCTCTTCAGGGTAGTGAAGCTCATGAGAAATATGGCTCCTGAAAATAGCCACTAAATGAAACTCTCCAACCTGGAGGTAGAGGATCAGTAAAGTCTGCAGAGGCAAAATGAGGCAGTTTATTTCAAAGAAAAGAGGTTGAGGGCAAGGTGGGAGTTAAGTCACACATCTAAATCTGGGAAAGGAAGCATTAAACAGAAGACGGAGGGGCTCGGCTCTCCACCTCCACCAGGATTCAGACCACAGGACATGGCTAATACTGCAAGAAGGGAGTTAGGTTAGTGGTAAAACCTTTCTAATAGGTTTTTGAACAGTGAAAATGAGCTGTCAGGAGTAGTTGCCAGGGCACTTTCTCTAGAGAGTTTTTGAAAGGAGATAGACACCCTGCTATCAGAGGTGATTGGAGTGCAGCCCTGCCTCGAGGCAGGAGGAGAAATGAGAGAACCTCTTAAAGCCTCTTTCCAGCCCCCAGAGCCTGTCTCCATGAAAAAGGCCCAGGCTCATTAATGCAGAGCTGCATCCTCCAGGACACAGGGGGTTGCTGGGTTGTTAAGTTTGGAACCTTTGCCGGCTTAGTGGTTACCAAACTCCCTTTGTTCTCAAGACTTGACTTGATAAATGGGCTGGCTTTATCCCTTTAAAGCCAAAAACACAGGTTCTGAGTGCTGTGTTGTTTGTGGTGTTGAGATGCCCAGGCTGGAGGGAGGAAGCTCTAGGGGGTTTTTGCTGAGCCCAGAAACACTGTGGGGATAACTATGGTCAGAATTTTGTCTTTGGTCCCGGAACCAGATTGTCCGTGCTGCCCTGTAAGTACAGTTAAGTGGAGATAGAAAATGAGTCCAGTGCTTGATGTGGGGAGAAGCTGCAGGGTCTTGAGGCCAGGAGTCCACCGTGACCTCAGGAGTGGTGATGGAGAAGAAGGTTAAAAAAGGAATGAGAAACAGAACCATAAGGACAATACAGAGGAAGGGTTCATTTTCGGGAAGGAAAATCACAAGGCCGTGTGATTAACGCTGGAGGAAATGCACTCCTTTGGAGGGTCCCTTCTCAGGAGGGCTTTGTGTCGGGGAAAGCTGAGCTGTTAGGTTTTTGATGCTGAGATAATCACTATGCAGAAGGACAAGGCTTCTCCTTTATCTTTGGGAAGGGGACAAGGCTGCTTGTCAAGCCAAGTAAGTGACATATAATTTATATGTGCTGAATATGATTATCTCCAAGAGGAAAACTTGCCCTCTTTTCCACGGGTGCCTCCTTGGGTCAGGAGGACATTAAAGGTGTTGAGCAGACCAAGGCCCAGTACCTCGTCACCTTCTTCATCCTTGAAGGAGCTTTAAGAGGTGTGGAGGGGAAGAAACCCACCAGGACCCCACCAATAAGCCCAGCCTTGAGACCCCTCCACTCTGTCAGACTTGAATAAGAACCATCTGAGAACAAGGTCTTCCTCAGAAGGGGACTCCAGCATAGTCATCCCCATTTGATAGATTTTGAAACTCAGGGCGGGGCAGAGTGGCTCATGCCTGTAATCCCAGCACTTTGGGAAGCTGAGGCAGGTGGATCACTTGAAGGTCAGGAGTTCGAGACCTGCCTGGCCAACATGGTGAAAGCCCGTCTCTACTAAAAATAAAAAAAATTAGCTGGGTGTGGTGGCACGCACCTGTAATCCCAGCTACTCAGAAGGCTGAGGCAGGAGAATCGCTTGAACCCGGGAGGCGGAGGTTGCAGTGAGCCAAGATCATGCCATTGCACTCCAGCCTGGGCAACAAAAGCGAAACTTCATCTCAAACAAACAAACAAGCTCAGGCAAGTAGAGGCCAGTGATTAACACTCTTCCAATAGGAACAGATCCCAAGCAACCTGCAGTAGTTTTTCCAGTAGGCTCGTGAACTCAAAACACCAAGTTATTTAAATGACAGGGCAACCGTTGTGATCAGCTGTCATTTGAGTAGTGCTGAGGACTGGGTCTGACCTTGAGTAAACGCCTAGGCTGGTGGGTTTCTATCCCTGCAGCATCTAAAGCGGACGCCCAGGCTTCACTGACCCCAGCAGTCTGGCTTTCTGCCCTTGCCGCCCAGGAGGTGCAGCTCTTGGCACACACCATCCTTAGTGTCTTGAAAGAAGAGAAATTAAAAGAGAAAGGGGGAAAAGCTTATATCTCATATCATGCAGTTGCCTCATTTTGTAGCAAGATTGTTTCCCCATGAGCAGTTTGTCTTCATTCAGCAGCTGTCTTCTCTGGGGAAGCCATTTTGTAGAGGTGTTTGTCACAGTGTGACAACTGACAGCTGGGGGAAATTCCAGTTTGGAGCAGGGACCCAGGTTGTGGTCACCCCAGGTAAGCCCCATTCCCTGGAGCCTCACCTGCCCTTAGTATTTGGCATGCCCTGCATGCCAAATATTTCTAGCCGAGACTATGAGAAACACATCTGAAAGGAAGCCATTTCCCTGAACAGCAGTACCCAAAGCCATTAAGCAAAAATGAGAGATCAGACTGGTGTTAAATAGAAACGTTTTTGGATAAATAGTAATTCTCATTATTCTCTATCAGTCTCCTGTGTGAATACCCTTATTTCCCTTATAAGGAAAAAAGTTACAATAAGCAGGATAGCCATGATTCATGCTGTGGTGTGGGAGCAATCTGCTGTGGATTTGGGGGTGGAGGATTAGAAATGTGTTCAGGCAGACTGGATGTGTTTTTGACAGGATATGTAACACAGTGTGATTTATAACCAGGGAGGAAAGCTTATCTTCGGACAGGGAACGGAGTTATCTGTGAAACCCAGTAAGTATAAAATTGTATCCCTGGATTAAGCAATGTCTGTGGATTAAGGGCTGATTTAGACCCAATTATACACCATATGAAGAATGTTTAGAGAGGGGGATGAGCATCAAATAGGAAGCCAATCGTCGTCCTGGCTAGGATCTAGCATCTCAGTGCAAAATGGGCTATGTAAGTGTGCCTCTGGGAATTGCTCCTGAATATATGTGTTGGGACTAAAATGTATGACTGGCTACTTGTTGTATTGGCTGGGATCATATCCCTGGATTTGTGCAGTAATTGGTGACAAGATTTCTAATTCCTTAACAAACCTTCTAAGGCACTATTCTATTTGGCTAAGATTATGTCAATTTATAGAAGGAAAGAACCTTGTAAATAATGATCATTAACCAAAAGTAATGTGATTAGTCTCTCTCAAAGTCTGAAAAACCACTTTTTTTTAAAAAGTTTACTCATGACTACTGAGGGACACTTCCTGTTTCTGAGACTTTCAGCCAAAAATTCGTACAGCGTAGCCTCACGGAGCAGAGAGAACCTTGACAACATTCCTTTTTGACTTTCTCCATGGATGAGAAAACTGAGGCTCAGGGAAGAGACAGATCCCGGCCCCACAGCCAGTCTATGGCTGAGCTAGAACTAGATTTTAGGTCTCTAATTTGCCAAACCTGTCAGTTGGCTCAAACTTGAAGTTTGAAGAGTCCGCAAGATTCATCTGACAAATATTTTCATGTACTTGCCCTCTGCCAGGCTCGTTGCTGAAACCAGGGATCCAACAGGAAGCAAACTCAGTGTGATATTGCCTTCATGAAACTTACATTCTGGAGGTGGATTCCATGTTTCTTCCCAGATATGACAATGCTTACCCTGATTTCTCTTGGGCATGGCTCTCTTATACTATCATCACTTCCTTAGGAAATACTAAAACTAATTTTTGCTGCAGTTTAAAGTCCTTGAGCAGATAACTAACACACATACCACTTTAGTCAGGAGAAGGGAAATGCCCAAAAGTGAAGTAGAAAACTAGGAATTTGTCTGATAATTGATTATTATAAAGTTATTTTATCAGTGTGAAATGAGTGGCCAAATTAACTGGACAATGCCAGCTCTGTACCTACCTCACTTTGATTCTATAGACTCAGTCTCAGGAGGATTCAAGAATTCAGACAGTTCTCTGATGACATAATCCAGTGATGCCCACAACAGAGGAGGCGTATTCTCTATTCTGGACTTTGTGAGTCTCCTTGGATGAAAAGATTCAAGTGCTGTTTTGACACCTAAAATCAGAGAGTATTTGCTCTATACATATATCGAAAATACACAGTTAATGTTTAGAACTTTGTAGTGGAAAGTGGAAAGCAAAGGTCCCCTAAAAGAAAATGGGATTGTAAAGACGAAGGAGGGTTAGTTTAGGATTTGTAGAAAGTCAGTTTGGCTACTCCAGACCAAACCTAGATTAACAGTGATGCAGGCCTAATTCATAAAGGAAGCACTGCCAGCTCTTTATTCAGTGCTTTGCCAACCTGGCCTGTTTGATCTGGTTTTTGTTGTTGAGCAAATCATAGTGTTTCTTCTGGTTCTGCAAGGCAACTGACCTTTGGATCTGGGACACAATTGACTGTTTTACCTGGTAGGCTGCCTCAATTAAATACTATTTGCACTGATTTACTAATCTACAAATGTATTCTGTACATGTAACTTAATGGGCCTGAGGTTGAAGATGGGGAGAGACAGCAACAATGCATACTAGAAAGGGTAATGCGAGCAGAGAATTATTTATCAGAGACCAAGAAGAGAAAGAGAAGCTTTTTGCTAAGGCTTTTAGTAATAGGAGTTAATGAAAATGAATAGAAAAAAATTTCATTTTAACTTAGAAGAATTGCTGAATAATGGGAACAGATTCCATAAGGGGAACCTCTGCTTCTGAAAATATTTGCACTAGGACCAGCCTACGTGCTACAAAAACTGTCTCACACCAAGTCTAGTTGGTCACTTACATTTTTAGCCTATTCTAGTAGCTATTTCTAAATAAGTCTTTAAACATAGAGGTGCCTATATTTAAGATATTTAAATGAGGCTCTATTTCTATAGCTCTCTGGTGCCCTTCCAGCAAAGCATTGCTGTAACACATTGCTTATCATTTCTACAAGTGAGAACAAGTAAGCCCCTGGCCCTCCAAAATTGCATGAGTATTATAATTACTTGGCTTAGATTGAAGTCACTTCTGTGTTACTTCTCATAACTGTGTTCATTTGTTGAGATCTGTTTAACTCCAAACTGTGTGGGCGTCTAACTGTTGGCACTAAGGTTTCTTTTCTCTTGAAATTGCCAGCAAAATATTTTACCCATAAATAATGTTTCATCTAGACTTGCAAATGACAACTAACACTGCAGGCTCTTTTTTTTTCTTTTGCTTTGTTTCTTTTTTTCTGAAGGGAATATGCAAGCAGGAAGCAAAAAAAAAAAAAAAGCCAAAATGTACAGTTTGACTGTGGGGTCTGGGAGGAGAGTGTCAATGTGGATGCTAAAATATACATGGTTGTATAATGTAGGTACTGTCACAGAGAGGCTATAGTGATCTTATTAGATCATACATACAGAGCACCACTGGTCAGCTGGCGTTGCTCGGGGTGTCCTTAAGAAAAGCTCAGGTCTAGTTGTCAAGTGCAACCCAGATTCAGATACAGAGTCTCAGAGAGAAGCTTCCAGATCACCCTGGAGCTAAATGCAGAATATGAATTTTCCCCTTAGTTAAGTCTACCTGAGGGGAATTTTCATTTATAATTAGGAAAAGAGAAAGGTAAAGAACATTTACTTGCAGTGTCCTGTTTCAAATATTGTGTGCATTGAGCACAGAGGACACAAGAATGAACCCAAGCAGAAAACTAAAGAAAAGAAATCAATAAAACCACTGAAGAAAACCAGTTGCCCTTATCTTGCCTGTCTCTGATAATGAATGTGCCTTCCCTGCTCATTCCTCACTTTGGTTCTCAAATTTTCCAGGGAATTAGCAAAGAACTGGTAGGGTTGGGTTAGTCTTGGTCTAATTTGGTTAGTCATCTCTGGATAACAAGTCTCCTTTTTAGGAAGTGCCAGGGGATTTTTTGTAATGCCAATAAACATGGTGTACAACTTCAACAAATTTTACTTTGGATCTGGGACCAAACTCAATGTAAAACCAAGTAAGTTATAGTTGCCTAGAAGAAAAAGTTACCAACACATTATGCTAAATTCTTCTTTTCAGTCTGTATTTCAGTTCTTTTATTTTGCATTTTGGGTCCCCACCCATGATATTTTATTAGTCCTTATTCATATGTCACTTGAACAGATATGTAGTAAACAAATCTCATGATCGAGTAGACATGCTGAAACTGCCAATGTTCTCAAGGTGCTATTCTTTATAAGGAAAATGCCCAAATTTTAACTGTTGCTACTGAACAAAAGAGCATTTGGATATAATTTAAAGCACCCCTGAATGTCCAGGATTTCAGAGAGGAGACATGACAAATTAAAATTATATGTATTATTTAAAGATGAAAAGAATTAGATCCTCTTGAAAATACTCTAATAACTAACATTTCTTCAACATTCGCAATATGCAAAGCACCTTTCATACCTTGACTCATCTGACCCTCCTAACAACCCTCTGGGATAGATATTACCTATCTCCGCTTCCACAGATGAGGAAACAGTGTGAAAGGTAAAACTAAAGCAAAGAGGTTGAAATAGTTACCCAAGGGCTCACCGCAGATGAGGGGCAGAGCTAGATTAAGAGCCTGGCCTGCCTGTCCCCTAGCCCACTCTCTTAACCATGGTCTTGGTGAGGTTTGTGTAGGGCGACCTCGCACTGTGGTTCTAACGACTACAAGCTCAGCTTTGGAGCCGGAACCACAGTAACTGTAAGAGCAAGTAAGTAAGAAAGAAAAGTCCAGAATAATTTTAAGCAAAATGGTGGGTAGGTTTTTCAGCAATTTCACCTAGGAAGTGCAATGTCAAGAACTAAATTCTAAGAGCTTTCCCAGTTTGTGTTAGAACCATAATTTTTCTACCTCACACGTCTCCCTCGCCTTCTCTGTCACCTCAGAACAGCTCCTCCTAAGGCATGACTTCACAATGGTACATTTGTTGGTGGCGCAGTCTTTGTGGTCAGATAAAAACTGAGCTAATTATCTGAAATTATCTCAGGTCTCTAAGTGAGAGAGTTAACTCCTTTCAAATATTTGAAGAACTACGATGTAGACCAGGTAAGGGGTGAGTGTGGAGGCCAAATCAAAACGAGCAGGTGCAAGATGTGCCCCAACCTCCCCTCAAACATTGTTGAACAAGTGGAACTGCCCTGCAGTGGAAAGGCTGCTTTGTGAAGTATGGAACTTTTCTTCCTTAGATATCTTCATGCCAGACCCCTAAGGTTAACCATGAGATGTTGCAGAAGGCACTTCTATGCCATTTTAGCTATTAGATTGAATCACCTCTGGGCTCCCTTTCAAATCTAAATGCTAAGATCCCATGACTCAAGCCTGGAGGATTAATAGGTGAGCTCAGACTTGTTTCTTCTATTTTTACTATTTTGATAGCCAAAGAAATAATTCATCAAATTATTCATAAGCTAAAGCCTACTTGGGATTTTTACACCTAGAAGATGGTGGGGTATGATTTCCCAGTGCAGTAAATGAGAAAACAATAGGAGACATCAAGGAGGAAAAAAAGAAGGAAGAGATAAAGGGAATGTCTTAAGGGAGGCTCAGAGGTTGAATGAAGGAAATGAGGTGATTTTGCAGAGGACAGATGTGGCTATCAAAGATTTTACAATTTCACCTTTGGAAAGGGATCCAAACATAATGTCACTCCAAGTAAGTGAGCAGCCTTTTGTACTCGAAAATAGGGCCAGGGGAGCAAAGTTTCTTCCAATTTAAACACACTCAAAAGGATGTGTAATTGCTTTCTGATGGGAGGGAACTCTGAAGGTAGAAAGACTATTGTTACCACAGATCACTTGTCCCTGGAGATATAGCATCTGAGGACTGACTGTCTAGCTTAGACTGCTGTCTGCACAAGAAGAAGACTTACAGATGCTTAAGGAGGATGGAGGCAAATTTTCAACCCTGTACTCCAAAGCTGAGGGGAGAGGGGATGGGAAACATTAGGGCTGGGTTCATGTAAAGGGGACCAGCATTGTGCCGACAGAGGCTCAACCCTGGGGAGGCTATACTTTGGAAGAGGAACTCAGTTGACTGTCTGGCCTGGTGAGTGAGTCGCTTTCTATTCCAGGAAAATATTACTGTGGAGAAATTAAAAGGGGAGATGAATTAACTCCTTTAGTCTTGAAACTAAAGAGATATGTGTACTTCCCCTCCTGGAGGACCCCAGTCCCTAGGTAGATTAGGACGAGGAAGCAGAGGGAGACAAAGGCGATGGAAAGTCCCTTTTAGGAACCCAGGAATCAGAGAGAACTTGATGGTCCCCACCAAAGGCAAAGAAGGGAGGTCCCACTAAAACATGTGAGCATCCTAAAACACCTGCTCTGGTCCACCCACAATATTTGGTGAAGGACATGGCCCTCCACCCAGAATGGGCAAGCAAACTAGACCAGCTTTCTAAGGTGTGTTTTTCTTGGGTCCTGTGACTCTTGGCCGTCTCCCTGTCAGAGGCTCCATCTGTCGCTGCACTCTTTCTTATTGAGAATGGCCTCTCCGTGGTTCTCTGTAAACTTTCCCCAAGAAGCCTGTTTCCATGCTTCCTCAGCACTTAGCCTCACCGATGGATGGGCTCTAGAGTAGCTGGAGGGAGTCTGGGTCTGAAACTTTCACTGAGAAAGTAAAGTTGATCCGCAGTATCCAGTGGATATGGCAGCTGGGAGGACCTAGGACTGAAGTACTCGTCCTCTCTTTGGGGCCTTTCCTGGGCACTCGATTGAATACAGAAACCCTGTTAGCAAGTGCATGCATGTATATGAGTGTGTTCATTCAGCATTTCCATTCTGAATGTATGAATAGCCTTACTCTGAAGACTCCCTGGAGCTTACAGGGCTTTCTGTTTTCAGAGAAAATTGCCTTTGTGAGACAAAAATGGCCAAGTGGGCCCCTGAATGAGGTTATGGTTGAGAGCTATTAATATTATCCTTATTCACAGAGCAAGATCCGAATTCCCAAAGCAGAGTAGACAATAACTATGTGAAGGGCTTAGACCCAAATATGTGCCCACTTGCAAGCATTCCAGCTCTATGAAGAGGATACAGTGCTAGGAGATAGGATTACCCTGCACATTGCAAACCCTCCACTTTTCCAAGACCATAGAAAATGTCCTTTGTTGAGCACCAACTGAGTGTTATTTTCTTGGTCCCTGTGGTTTTTGCTGGGCCTTAAATCATTGTGTGATCAAAGCTGCAGGCAACAAGCTAACTTTTGGAGGAGGAACCAGGGTGCTAGTTAAACCAAGTGAGTACTGGGGCTTGACCCACAATTGAGCCTTGTCATCAATTTGCAATTCAATGTGCCGTATTGGCCCAAATTAATGTCTCAAACTTGTCTTTAAAATGTTTCATGTTGCTCTTATGCATAAACATGCACTTATGTACAAATTCAGCATGGATAAAGGATATTGTCATCTTGACATTTTCTAGAATCTATTTTCTTAAGAGAAGGCACATAGTAAAAGGTACTTTTCTTATTTCTTCACATTTCTTAACTGATTTTCCCAAGAGGCAGAGGAACTTGGACGTGGCGTTTCTGTCTATTCAGAGTAGTTGATTTGAATATGGTTACAATAGCAGAGCAAGGACTTACAATTTCTAAGGTTCAAAATATTGCTGTCTGTACCAGCCTGCAGCCTCTATAACCATTATTCTGATTTATTTCCTCTGGCCCTCATTTTTCCCAATTAATGTAACTGAAATATTGGTAACCATTATCTTCCGGTTCACAGAAAGTGTGTGAGGATTAAAAAGTCGCTGCTCTGAAAAGGAATTGAGCTGGAGGGTTTTCTTTTGGGGGATTATTGTTTTGTTGATGGTATTGTCTCTTTCATTGAGGGAGAGAATAAGAAAGGAGGCATACTTGAAAGGCAAGGTAATATGATCAATACATGAACGTGTGCAAAATAAATCATTAAGGCATTCAACTAGAAGCCAAAAAACAGTATGGACCCCGGCTCAGCCACTCACTCACTAGGCAGCCATGAGAAGATCACCAAGCTCTCCCAGCCTCAGTTAACCTAAAATGTGGAGATTATTATTCCAGCCTTGACTACTTCAAAGGATGCTATGAAATTCAGATGAGATAATATATGTGAAATCTCCTTGAAAAAGATGGGTGGTCAAATGATTCATGATTTTTTTTTTTTTTTTTTTTTTTTTTTGAGACGGAGTCTCGCTCTGTCGCCCAGGCTGGAGTGCAGTGGCGGGATCTCGGCTCACTGCAAGCTCCGCCTCCCGGGTTCACGCCATTCTCCTGCCTCAGCCTCCCAAGTAGCTGGGACCACAGGCGCCCGCCACTACGCCCGGCTAATTTTTTGTATTTTTAGTAGAGACGAGGTTTCACCGTTTTAGCCGGGATGGTCTCGATCTCCTGACCTCGTGATCCGCCCGCCTCGGCCTCCCAAAGTGCTGGGATTACAGGCGTGAGCCACCGCGCCCGGCCTCATGATTTTTAATAGTTAGATTTTATGCAAAATTTCATTTGAGGGTAAACTTAAAGGTGAACAAGTTTAATGGACTTTGGCCATGGCAGAGAAATGGTTAGGTTTGGATATAAGGTGGACCTCTCTAATTATAAGAAAAAAAAGGAACATGAGAATTGGTGAACAAGACCTTCCCTGGAGATCTTCAGAAACCTGAGGTCACTCAGGAGAGAAATGTGTGAAGTTGAGAGCTTACAGTAAATGGTCTCTGAAGTTTCCCACCATTCCAAAGAGTGCGTGAGCTTAAAATTTTTCGTGAGTTTAGCTAAATATGTGCTTAGTGTTAGATTAGGTTTCAACCAAGCAAAAGAACCCTGGGAGAAGTACTCTGCTTGGAAATGAAGCATCCTTTGGTTTTTGTGGTACAATAGATCACTGTGGGTTTTCAGATGGCCAGAAGCTGCTCTTTGCAAGGGGGACCATGTTAAAGGTGGATCTTAGTAAGTATTATTACTAATGAATTCTTAATTGATTAGTTTTTGAGACAAGTAATAAGCTTTTTTGGAAATCTAAGTGGACTGCCAAATGTTCTCGATTTATCCATATTGCATGGGGAGCAGAGCATTCTTCATGCCTTCTCCATCCTCACTTCTGCCAGGTAGCAGTTTGCATTGTTAACAGGGAAGCAGAATGGAAGCTTAACAGAGAAGCAGTATGGAAGACGTCTCCTTAGCCCAGTGGTCAGTTGCATCAGAGAAGTCTGCTCTGAAATGCGAACACTTTCTCTTGCAGCTGGCAGCCCCCTGCAACCTCAGTGCCCTCCATGGCCAGGGCCAAAGCTTCCAGGTGCCCAGATAACATCCCAAAGTCACTCTGAGAGAAGAGAGAAAATCGGTCTTACTTTACCTTTTCTAACCAGGAATTTACATGGTTAGTTTTACATCTAACACTTCAGCAGGGAGAAGACATGATCTAAGTGTCCATGTGGACACTCTGTGTGACTCGGATCCAGGATCTGCTCTTTCAGCCCCTCCATTTATCGCAAAAGGGATGATGATTAATTCCTCCATGCCTAGACTTCACTTTAGACATCACCTCAGAGAGGCCTGTCTTACCCAGCCAATCTAACAAGCCATCAAACACAGCCACTGCCTGGCTGCTCTCTACCCTGTTATTTAGCCTGATTTTAATTCACACACTTTCATCACTTAACATTATACTATCTGTGTATTTATTGTTTGCCTTCTTCTAGACCGTAGACACCAGGAGGACGGGGACAGTGTCTAAGTGGCTCTCACCGTATCCCTAGTGCCGGCACAATGTCTTTACACATCGGAGGTGTTCAGTGAACAGTTACTGAGTGAATAAAGGACTTAGCACCAACTGCCGCTCTTTTTCATGAAATTACAGAGCTTTGCTATTTCATACCCAAATACTAAAACCTACTGAGATTTTTGCAAATTTCCATCATTTATAGTTATATCCAAGGTGGATTTGAGTGAGCAGGTACATGAGGTATTTGCAGGGCCTCATTTCACTGTGCCAACCAGGCAGGAACTGCTCTGATCTTTGGGAAGGGAACCACCTTATCAGTGAGTTCCAGTAAGTACCTGATAATTATTGATCATAGTGCTTGTACTTATCCTGTAGTCATATATTGCACAGGTGACCAAATGCCTCCTATTTCTTTGAGTTAAGGAATATTGACATTTGATGAGGAAAGCCATTTAAACACATGGGAAAATTGGATGTTGTCTCTCACCCCTAATACTCCAACCATAGCCCCTGTCCTATTCCATGCTCTTAAAAAAATTTTAATTGATAGAAGAAAGAAAGATTATCTACAAGGATATGAGCAATTTGCTAAACAGTGGTAAAACGAGATTATGTACAGGTGTTGATTCCTAGGTAAAAATGGGGGTCAGAGCTGCTATCCTTTGGCTAGTAAAACAAGATTACTTGGTGAAATTATGTAAATCTCCTCGAAAGAAATAAGTTTCAGAGTTGTCTAGAGAATATCACTTGGACTGTTCTCAGGCTTTCCACTACATCTATTGTACCACTATGGTGCCCTGAAAAGAGGCTTTCTCAGGCTTAATTCCATGGCTTAGTCTTTATTCCAGTATCAAAAAGGGGGAATCCCAGCCAGAGCTCCCATGAGGGAGGATAGCTGCATGCTAACCACATTAATCTATTATCAAGGTAACTCGGTCATTTTTGTCAGGCAGCACAGTGCTGTGATTTATAGCACATTCATCTTTGGGAGTGGGACAAGATTATCAGTAAAACCTGGTAAGTAGGCAATATGTCACTAAAGTAGGAGGCTTAATGTGGCTACTGAGACCCACTAAACTTACTGCAGTATTTGGAAGGCCCAAGTGTCAAGAAATTAATGGTTTATGCAGACTTAAGTGGATTCCAATGAAGGAAGAAATGTTAAAGTAATGGCACAGAGGATAGAAGAGCTAGCTGTGAAAAAAAATAGCCATGTGGATGAACCAAACGCAACAGACTGAAAGAGCCTAGAGAGTTGATCCTAAAGAAAAAGGCAGAAAGTCTGGCTGAGCACTTCCAGTTCTGCTGACCTGGCTTGATTAGTGAATCTGGGCCACAGTATCTTTATCTATAAAATGAAAACATTTAATATCACCTCAGATTTTTTGTTTTAATTTTGTGGGTACATAATAGGTGTATATATTTATTTTAAAGATAAGCTAATATATGTGAAAGTATTTTGTAAATTCTTAAATGCTATCCACATGTAAAATATTATTTGTTTATAGAACAAAAAAAAACTATGTCAGATTTAGAATTCTTTTAACATGAGAATTTGTAGGTTCTTAGTGAAATAGCCATTTACATGTGATCTGTAGCCCTAGGCATTGGTAAAAAGCACTTTCTCTTCTACTGAAATATAGTGGCTCAAATGCTACCCAAATGAAAAGGGCAGGGGAAGGGAAGTCATTTTGTAAAGGCAGGCATTACAGTGTGAATTCTGGGGGTTACCAGAAAGTTACCTTTGGAACTGGAACAAAGCTCCAAGTCATCCCAAGTGAGTCCAATTTCCTATGCTTTCCTCTTCCTTGTGTTGTCTTCTCTCAGACCGTAACATTTGGAGCACATAAAGAGATATTATGGGCCTGCTCTTTTCTGGCTGTTTCAGGAGACTGAAAAGGATTGTATAAGAACATCCTTTAGCATGTTCTTAGTATTGTTTTGTCCAGTGTGTGTTTCTTCTTAATATCAAAAAAAACTAAGACATTGCCTGTGAAGCCAATGGAAAACAGTAGATTTGCAAAGAAAAGAACTAAAGAGAAGACAAGTGGTACTTTTTACCAAGCTTAAAGCAGAGTGGGTGTCCTTTAATCAGAGGGATGCTTGGTTCTGGGGGCTGGATAGGACTCAGGTAAGTAACAAGGCTACCACTGAGTCACTGAGCTTCTAAAATGAGTTGACTCGGGGGAGCAGGAAGCTGCCACTCATGATGATCTGAATGCTATTCCGTGAAGTTTCAGATTGATTGAAGTTAAAATTAGGGGTGACACTATGTCAGGAATCTAAAAATTGATAACTGTAATGGAAATGAAAGAAGGGCTAGCTACATCTGTTGGATAAATGGAGTTGAAAATCATGAATTTGATGGCGACAGACCCAGAGAGTTGGGCAGGTAGAAACTTCATTTCAAGTGATATGCAGTAAATACCCCAAATTTGAGTCAAATGGCCTGTGTAAAAAGGAAGTGAAAATGTAACCCGTATCTCCTTGTAGGTGAAAAGGCCATATCTCTAGGTCTTAGGTATGAAAAGGATGTGTGGGCTTCTGGGTGTTTTTGACTGACTAAGAAACACTGTGGGATGGATAGCAGCTATAAATTGATCTTCGGGAGTGGGACCAGACTGCTGGTCAGGCCTGGTAAGTAAGGTGTCAGAGAGGCAACAGAAAGATTGAGGGTAAAATGTCTTCATGTCTCAGGAAATGATTGTATAATGCAAAATGAGCTGGAGTTTTTTAGGAGCACTGTTACTAGAGTTCTGATGTCTGGTTCTAGCAAAAGAACCCTAATATAGCTGTAATCCCTCTCTAGAAGGAACAAGGAAGAGGATTCTTCTCTGAAAGCTCCTCCTAAGATTTATCCATCCTCTGCCAAAGTGTCTTGTGGATCCAGGATACTTACATCTTTGTTAGCAGTGCTGGCCCAACCTGCTCAGCCTCAGATCACCTATCCCTCATTTGTAAAATGAGGATAATATTTAAGCTCATGGCACAGTTGAAGCCCAAATGAGGTAGTGGAATATATGCAGATTATTAATCCATTTGGCTCATAAATGAAGGTTTTCTTTCCTTTTCCCTAAGTAGATCATGGGTTGAAATACCTAACACTGCAAATCATTTTTGTATGGGGATTTGCTATAGTGTGAATTCAGGATACAGCACCCTCACCTTTGGGAAGGGGACTATGCTTCTAGTCTCTCCAGGTACATGTTGACCCCATCCCACCCATGTTTTCCCCCTATCTGGTTTAAGGCTTCCATATGTATTGCGTGTTATCCTCATGGATTTCATCATCCTTGTTTTATTATCAATGTTCTGTGAATTTAAGATTGAGCCTCCATGGACTCTTCATTTAAAAATGAAAATAGCTAATAGAAGAGTTGGAAATAACAGTAGAACTAATTCACTAGGTCAGGATGGAGAAGGGAGTAATACCCTAGACAATTAGGACAAACGTGGTTTTTCCAGAAATAGACTCACTTCCTGTTTAAAGCCTAGACTGTGGTCTCTCCCCGGGCACCCTTCACATTCCTCTAACCCTCCATATCCCAAATTTAGCTGTGGAATCTTAGACAATCTGTGACCTATGCAGCTACAGAAATCTTTTCTTACTGAGAATATCTGCCTATTTGAACCAAAAGATCCTTGAGAATAGACAGTCTCTAATATTCCATGAAGTGTCTGATATGGTCCTTTTACAAAAGTAAATACTTGATAAATTCTTGCTTAATTGAAGTTAAACACCCAAAGAAATCAGGTTTCCAGGCCAAAGGGAAGAAGAAAATTAAGCAAATGACACAGTACATTTGAGCGTGTAGTGGGGAGGAAGAAATGCTAGATTGGGATTCAAATAGAGCCATGTTTTGGTCTCTGCTGCCAACTAGCAATGTAACTTAGACCAGATCTCTTGCCTCTAAGCCTCAGTTTCTTTATCTGTAAATGGGGAAGTGGGTCCAATGGCCTCTCTGGCCTCTTAGTACAAAAAGTCTATGAATGTATCCCATTTGGGGCACTTTTTTCTCCTAGGAGTAACTCAATAGCTATTTTAAAGCTTGAGTGTTTTCTAACTCATTAGAGCACATCAAGAAGAGGGGTGAAGTGACAAAAGGGAGTTTATTGTGAGGCATCAAACACTGTGATACTCACGGGAGGAGGAAACAAACTCACCTTTGGGACAGGCACTCAGCTAAAAGTGGAACTCAGTAAGTATGAGATTCTATGGTAATTACAAAATGTATTCTGGTGACAATAAGTGGAAGAAAAGGTGATGTAATTTTTGTCATTGTATCTTATTTTTAATCTATTACTGAAGCATTAAGAATTGTGACATCCAGATAAATTAGTGAAAGTATTCAAAGGCTATATAAGCATGCTTTCGTTAGGGTGGAATTTAGCTAACCACTAAGACTTTTTCCAAGATATGAGATTTTCAGCTCTCTTCAACGTGAGAGTTTTTAATACTAGTATTAAGCTAAACGATGCTCAATGGAAGAAAAGAGCTAGAAGAGCAGAAAATTGCACCGTCATGATCAAATAGATCCTTTCTACTTCCACTGCCATGGACTCAGTGGTGCATTTAGAAGAGGGTATTCAAGGTCATTTTAGCCATGCCCCAAAAAAACCACTCCCAATTCATTCCAGAGATTGTGCCCCCTTATGCTAAACATCATCCAAGAAGAGTCAGTGAAGTACAGAGAAAGGAACCCAGGGCTTCTTGTTTCGGTCCAGAGTTCTAGGTTTGATTTGGTCCCAACTGGATGTGTGATATTGGAACGAGTCATTGCCCCTCTCTGCACCTCAGACTCCTCCAGTGGATGAGGGGGTCAAAGCCCTCAAAATCTGTTGTTCTGGGATTTCGCTATTATACCACCCGAGAGTTTATAGGACTCGAGAGTATGGAATCTTGTGAGTATTTCATAAACAAATTCTATGACCCTCAGGAAATAGCCCTGTTAATCAACAACCTAACTTAACATAGAAATAATAACCACCATCTCAGTCCCTACCATGTTTAGATACGATGCTAGATGCATGACATGTAGAATTGTTCATCTGAAATAACTCTGTGAGGTAAGGGGAAGTATCTTATTTTACAAAAGAAGAAACTGAGGCTCAGAGAAGGAAGTGCCCAAGATCCCAAAGCTAGTAAGTAAAGGGCCTAAATTTAAACTTGGGTCTGCCTGCCTGACTAAAAAGCCCTGCTCTTTCTTTTATTTTATTTTATTTTATTTATTTATTTATTTATTTCTGAGACAGAGTCTTGCTCTGTCACCCAGGCTGGAGTGCAGTGCAGTCTCAGCTCACTGCAGCCTCTGCCTCCCAGGTTCAAGCGATTCGATTCTCCTGCCTCAGCCTCCCAAGTAGCTGGGGTTACAGGCATGCGCCACCACACCTGAAAGCCCTGCTCTTTCTACTGCATGATGTCGTAGAGCTTGTGCTCTAGTTTACTTAGAAATGAGAGGTGATGCCAATCACAGTGACTGGTGAAATGCTTGGAATTTATCTTTTCTACTTTAGATATTGCTGTGAGTTAGAGAGGGTGCTTCGGGAAATCTTGACATGGATGCCCCAAGTGTCTAAAGAGTTCTCCTCCCCTTTCAATGACAAAACAAAGTACAGAGTTGCTGGGAGCATTTACCCCAATAGGGAGAAAAGAGAGGGGAGCTGGCTGCAGCCACTCCCTTGTTCTGACTGTCCCTTTCCTTCGCTGTTTCTTGTATTTTCCCCAGGCAGACCAGCCACCAATATAACTGATCTACAAGAGCCTGACTCCTTTGTGAGTTATAGAGAAATGCAGGGTGAAGGCACTTTGCACATAGAACTTTAGCTCTGAGAGACAGCCTCAAAATATCTAGTTCACCCCTCTTTATTTTCCCAATAAGGAAATTAAGACCCAGAGAGGTTGGCTGAATTGTCTAAGGTCAGTGCGAACTAGGGCTGGGACTAGAACCTGGAGATCCTGGTCCTGGGGCCATATTCTGTGACTGCTGTTTGGTGAACTAAACTTCTGATAGGTAGGAAGTGTGAGTTATGCTCATAAACAGGAAAAACAAATAGGTTTTACAAGGGGAGTATAAAAATGTCCTCCTTATTACTAGCACCTTAGTATAGGCTCCCTAGACCTGCTCCCCAGCTGTGGTGTAAAAATGGAAGGAGAAGGAAATGGCCCATTTTGTCGCAGTGCAAATCACTGTGGGAAATACTGGAGGCTTCAAAACTATCTTTGGAGCAGGAACAAGACTATTTGTTAAAGCAAGTAAGTTCCATGAAATAACCTGATTTATATTACAGTTGAAGAACATCTGTTTTCATTGATTTTTTTCTTTTTAGGGGGAAGGGGACATAGTTTTGTCTGCCAGTTAAATTAGAAGATACATTGGCAATAATAATGTTGCACTGTACAGTATCCATGGGCATCACTCTTGCAAGAAACATGTATAATAACAAACAGTTAAGTGTGGATGGATAAAACTTCCCTAGGTCCTATCTAGAACTGAAACTCTGTAATTATATTAATAACTTTTTTAACTTGAATATTAGTGACATTTTTATATAACCCAAGGTATACAAAGCAGAATCTTCAGTTGGGTTCTATCTGATTTGTTGTCATCTTCCAATGGTCTTAGGAAAATTAAGGTTAAATAGTAAGATTAGATGCCTCCTACCACTTTGGTACATGCATGCAGACATAGAAACACCCTTAGTAACTAACTTGCATGTGACTTGGCAATCCTAGGCTATGGCCCAGTGACAGGGTCCCATTTTGTACAGAGTTATGTCAGAGTGTGAACACAGGCTTTCAGAAACTTGTATTTGGAACTGGCACCTGACTTCTGGTCAGTCCAAGTAAGTCAAATCTGCAGAAATGTGTAGCCCTATCCTCAATATTGGGCATATATGGATATAATTATTCTGGTCTATAATAGATTATTATTACTACTATTTTGTTCTTATTAATCATAACAATGCTGCTAATTTCAAATATACATTTTCTGCCATATTATTATTTTTACCTTTAAGGAGAATTATTGTCAAGATATCAGGAGGGAAATATTTGAATTTCCTTTGAGTCAAGTTTCTTATTTGTTCGTCAGTTCCCACCTCTCTGCTGAGGGTCATATGAACCTCACGATGTTTTGGTTTTTATACCGCCTTCTTATTATCTCTCTTAGAAATGCTTCCTTGGTTTTTCCTTGCCTAAGCACTTAGATTTTGCAGCTCACATTTACCCAGAGTATACTTAGCTTTTAACCTCTCCCAAAACTGGCCTCCCTGTCCCAATAATTATGCACAGTAAAAGTCAGTTCAATTCAGTAAATGATTATTGAGTATCATCAACAAACCAGGGAATCATCATTGGTTTTAAAAGAAAGAAACAAAGAAAAGAATTTTTAAAACCCTAAGCTATCTTAGGCTTCTGATCTCAAGAACTTCCAGTCTTATCAGAGAAACTAAGCACTCATAATAAAAAGTCTAACAACAATTTATATGTGTATGTGCCAAGATAGGGGGGTGGGTTTCCTGAGGGCTGGAGACAGGACAGGTATGACCATGCACAGCCGCATTCTTTGGCAGAGAACACACATGATTCCCCCAAATATGTTTCTGGAAACGGAATTGAGTCTGTTCTGTGCTGAGATCTTTGACTTTCTTGAGGACAAAAGCCCCCTTGGCAGTTAGCATCCTTGAGCGGGGGTGAGGACAGAAACAGGAATGAGTCAGGCGTGAGTCACCCAAGACTCTCACTCAGCCCCAAGAGGATGGAGTGACTCTGAGTCATGCCGAGGCATGTCTTTAGCATGTGCTCCAGCACAGTGTGCATTTATGGCAAGGTGAAAAATACATTTTTGCACATGTCACTAGGAAAATGGTACCTTCTTCTCAGGCATGGCAGATGAAGTAGGAAAATGCCCGCCTGCTCTCTGGTATCTTTAGAAATACTCACACCCATCCAGCCTATGTAGGATACAATGTTTTTCATGAAGTTTTATGAAGATTCTGTTTTTCCCAAAGGAGAAATAGCCAAAGCTGTGTTTATTGATAGCTGTGATGAGGAAAATGAAGGCCAACAGGTAGCAGTGGGGTCTGGTGCTGTTTATACCCTTTAGGGAGGTTCCTTCAAGTCTTCATACCACCCATTACAAGGAAAACTTTAGCATCCGCCTTTCAGGGTTTCCAGATCTTAGAGCTACTGTGAAGGGGATGTGTCTTCAGAGAAGGGGTGGGCAAAACCAGGAGGTTTTTGTAATACACTTACACAGTGTGACTATGGGAACAACAGACTCGCTTTTGGGAAGGGGAACCAAGTGGTGGTCATACCAAGTAAGTGAGCTGGGATCCTCCTGCACAAATGGCCACAGCCACCCCCATCCCTACCCTGTGCTGGAGAGCCTCTTATCATATTTCCATGGGAGCGGGGGAAGGACATGCCATTCATCAGTGCTATATCGAAGAACCTTAGGCGGCCACTGTCCCAAATCTTTGCCTGTCCCTGGTTTCTTTCACTCTCCCCTTCTCTGCATCTCCACTGACCACACTCCCATTCTCATGTAAGCTGCCCCTGATCTTCCCTGAGGCTGGATTTCAGATTGAACAAAGGACCACAAAAGTGAGAGCTGGAGGGGACCGTGGGGACATCTTGCTCATGTTGCAGAGGGACCTGATGCCAGGGTCTAGCATCTGTCCAAGACCGTGCTGATGGTCAGTGCACAGCAGTGGAGGGGCCCCAGCCCTTTACTCCCACCCTGAGTTTGGTGGAGCCACACAGCTCTTTGCTAAGTGACCCTCAAACCCAGTGTGAGATAAGCTGAGTGTTGACAGTGCCCACCTGCTAGGGAACCAAGTACTGAGTTCCTGCCCCAGCTCAGGACTGTGGCGCAGGCCATGACCTCCCTGAGCCTCAGTTTTCATATCTCTGAAGTAGACAGCATGGTCTCTGTTTCCTCCCATCTTTCAAAAATTCTATGGAAATTATTGTGACTTTTTTCTCTGTAATTGTAGGGTTTCACAGAGGCAGGGCCTTGTCTGAGTCAAGGTCATTAGAAATAAAGGAATCCAAGGGCTTTGGATGCCTTGGCCTAATTCTAGGTGGTAAAGAGGGAAGGATGAAAGCACAAATCACAGGAAGTGCCTAAATCCTGCTTGGATTTAGTGTTGCCTCAAACAGGGATATGCAGAAATCCAACCCCAGGGTCTCCCATAGGAAGAAGACTAGGAGTGGGAAGTGCCAAAGAGCTCTGGAAAGGAAAAGAGAACAAGGAGCACTCTGAGAAAAGGAGGTCAGAACAGCTTCAGGAAAAACGTCACATAAAATTTCCTTTGCTCTCTGTCCTCGCAGCACTTTCAGAAGCTCCTTGCATCTGACTAAAGAGTAGCAGAGCCAGACCCTCAGAATGTCTGCCCCAAGCAAGCAGAGTGTGGTGTTTGTATTGGGGTGCTGGGAGCAGACATGGGGAGTTGCTGCCCTGCTTCTCTGCTGATGGGAAGGTGGTATTTTCCCCTGGGTACACGGGGGCCAAAGAGCTCTCCAGTCCCCAGCCCCTGGCTCCCGCCCCTGGGCTCCAGCACTCGGGGGCTCTAAGGACAGCAGTAGGAGACTTTCTACAACTCAGAGAGTATTCAGGAGGGTTTCCCAGGATGTTGCCCAATACCATGGGGCAATTGGTAGAGGGAGGTCACATGAAACAGGTTTTATCAAAGGCTGTCCTCACTGTGTGCATCAGGAGGAAGCTACATACCTACATTTGGAAGAGGAACCAGCCTTATTGTTCATCCGTGTAAGTATTATAGAAATGATCAAGGGAAATTTTGCAGACAGATTATATTATGGAAGGATACTGTAGTAGTGAGAGTTTGTGTTGTGATCTATTCCATCATTAAAGGAGTCCTTTGTTGCCTGGGAGTAACTATCAGTGTCAGGTCTGATGAGATGATTGAGGCTGTGCCGGACAAGGGTTTTGCACAATGATTTCAGAGGACAAATCCCCAAGTTGTGAAAAAAGACTTCACTCTTGGTTAGGTTTCTAAAACAGAACTTTCTTCTTGGCAACCAAGGGGTCTACTCTGCCCCCTCACTCCTATGTCTCTTCCACCTGAGACTCTGTCACCACCTCCCCTAGAATCCGTGAGATACCTTCCCCTGAATTAGAGCATACCAGCCAGGGTGCTGAGGCACTCTGTGGTACTGGAATGGATGGTACAGGGATGCGTTTCTGGGCTTCTGGCTGCAAGAAGCCTCATCCTTTCCCCCAGTGTAAAGCATTGCTGGGAATCATCCCATTATGAGCTACTATTTACTGAATGCCTGACACGTACCAGTGGCCATTCTCTTGTCTTTTATGTAATCCTCATTCAGTGATTACACACATCCTAATAATAGGTAGCCGATATTTTGCCCATTTTACAGGTGAGGAAACAGAGGCTTGGGATAAGTAACTTATCCAAGATTATATAGCCACGAATGACAGAGCTAGAGTTTAACTCAAATCTGTTTGACTCTAGGGCCTTGTTATTAACCGTGCCACCACCATGCCTCCTGCATTCTGTGAAGGAAGACTTCACACCTCAAAGGCCATCTGTTTGGCCTTTGGTTTGCCCATCCTGAGCCTTCTTACCATAGCGACCATGGCATGGTGACTCAGCACTTCTGAAGAGATCAGCAGAGTCATTGGGTTGGGTGGCAGAATACAGGTATGGCAGGGAGGGAAGGAGAAACTTAGGGGGACTGTTTATTGCGCATACAGTTAGAGAGAAAGAAAAATGTATCAACAAACCATAGAATAGGCTGCTTAAAAGTTTTTCTCCCAAGAAACTGTGAGTGTATGAGGGTCATGGGCAGCTGCCCCCAGCTGGCAGAGGGCAGGATTTTGTACTGTGATGTACCAGGGTGTGGACACGGGCAGGAGAGCACTTACTTTTGGGAGTGGAACAAGACTCCAAGTGCAACCAAGTAAGTACCCAAACTTAGGCTCTGGCCAAAGACACAGAAAGCCCCTACTCTGCTTTCTTAGATGATGAATCTGTACTTCCTGAACTAATTTTTCATGTTTCTTTATGAGGCTTGAATATCTTGAAATTTTAATTCCTAGCCACTAGCTTAATAGTCTGTTTTCTAACGGTAGTATTTGCCAATGGGAATTGGCCATTTCATCATTGCAGAGACAGATTCCTTTGAGACAAAAGATCTTTATCAGAAAAGAAACTGTGACTGATTATGCCAAAAGATTTATTTTTGTTCCATTTAGTTTTCATGAAAGGTGATGAATTATGCTTCCCAAAGACTCTGGGCATTGGACACACTTTCTCAAAACTGCACATCCAATTGAGAGATATAGGAAGAACTTAGAGCCTAAATAATGCCATAAAAATAATAAAAAGTTTGTAAAAAGGAACCATATAGAAATTAAAGAAGAAATGAAATAGTCTTAATGAAAGAAGATAACAGAACTGCATTAGAAACGAATGGAAATATTTAGAGGGTTTATGTATTCAACAAATATTTATTGGACAATTATTTTATTCCAAGCACTATGTTAAGTGTGAGGAAGGGAATGGGAGGGAAGGGAAGGGAAGGAAAGGAAAGAAAGGAGAGGAAGTAGAGGAAGGACCGGGAGGGAGGGAAGAAGGAAGAAAAGGAGGAAAGGAGGGAAGGAGGGAGGTTCTCTTTCATCCAGGGAAGGAGGGAGAGTCTCTGCCATCCGGGAGCTCAGAGTGCAAACAGACAACTATAGCCTATTGTCACCACGTCATAGTGGAGGTACATGCAAGTTGCAATGGAAGCACAACAGAAGACATGACTAGCCTCCAATTCTCATTGCCTGGTACATACACACATCCTCCACTATACCTTAAGCTCCATGAGGGCAGGACCCTTTTTCATCCTCACAGCTCTACAGCTCAGCACAATGCCTGGCACATAGGTGTCACCAAACAAATGATTGTGGGGAAAAAAATGCCTTCTGGCTAGATGAGTTATGATTTATACATTAACAAATATTCTCTAACAGAGAGAGTTGTTAGACCTCAAAACCAGGAGATTGCAGAATCCATCCAGATGTCTGTGGTGGGAGAAGGCCCATCTCTCAGGGAAGAGCACCTCTGTATTTATCTGTTCATATGTGTGCTTCATCAAAGCCTCTTCTCAGCCATGGTTCAGGCTGAATTTATAAAGCTTGAAACCTATCGTATTTCTCAAGAATCAGAGATCAGAGGTGGAAGGTTTACAATATCTCGATAAGTAAGCAGTACAAATGAGTTCTAGCAGTAAAAAAGAAAGAGGTCTAATGATAAATATATGAAGCCTGTCTCCACTTGAGAGACCTCCTAGAAAAGATTTGTTCTAAGGAAACTTTTCTCCATTAGGAGCAGAATCATCTTGGAAATATACAGCTCCAAGTTGTGTTAGAAAGGTGTGTACAAAGAAGACCAAAAATTCACATTTGGAATAAGGCATTAAAGTTGCCATTGTTTCTAGTAGGGAAACCCTGCAAAGTGTTGGGGCATCGTAGATCCTGCATGTTGACGCCTGCAACTAATCTGCCCCGGAGCTGTTCCGACAGTGGCTGGAGCATTTGCTGCACAGTTGCATAGGTGTTCAACAATTGCCAAAATAAAATGAAGCTATTTCGTGATGATTAGAAAGAAATAATCAGCATCAATGAGGCCTCTGATGCATCTTCAGGAGTGAGTAGGTGGAATGAAGACCTGGTAGGTGAGACTTTTCTCTCTTGTCAGAGAAAGTTTGACTTGGGGGAGCCTGGAAAACAGGGACAGGAGATGGAGTGCCCCAGCCAGGCATGCCCTGCCCAGGTCAGAGTTCTTGTAAAGCACCATCTGATTGTGTGTTTTCTGGTGGCTACAATAAGCTGATTTTTGGAGCAGGGACCAGGCTGGCTGTACACCCATGTGAGTATGACCCTGCAAGTGACCAGTGCAAAAAGAACTGACCACTTGTCTATGAGAAAACAGGTGATGATCTATAGCAAACTTGGGGATATATTGAGAAGCACTCATTTTCCATTCCTACAAGCTCTCTTGGTGACTTAAAATGTTCCCATTTCTCATATGAAACACAGAAGTGCCAAGAGCCAATTGCGTAAATGAAAATCTGAGCAGAATAATTTATAGAAACATAAAAAGAGTTCCAAATAATGAGTGCTTTCAAGTGAAGCTGATAATATCGGCACCAGATAATCTGAACATTCAGGAAATTAGCTAAGTGCCCTTGGGGGAAAGAGATGAGTTAATGGCAAACACAAATTCTCTTTTATTGCAGCATGTAGCTAAATTCCCTGGATTGGCTAATAAACATGGTATGGGGATCCCTACTCATAGAATCTTCCTCTCTGGAGTTAGGAGAGTTTTCAGCTTCCTCCTAAGGGTAAAAGTGGCCCAGACCCCTAACTGAACGGCAAGTATACCACATGCAATTACAAGGTATAGAGGCAGCAATGTAGAGGGAGGCCCACAGACCTGGGGAAAATCTGGGCTCTACTCTCACTGGCTGTTTTCAATAAAGCCTCCACTTTCTCAGCAGCAAAATGACTATAACTACATCATAATAATATGAGATAATGGCCAGAATGTAAAAAGTGATCAATAAGTAGTAGCTTTTCTAAAATATTATTATAATTATTATTATTGAGGCTTTGCTTATACTAAGGTTTACACTATCATAAAGGGAAAGGAGAATCGCTTCCTTGGGAAATAAAAGATGTAAGCAACAAAGACCCAAGGAGCCTTTTAGAATGTTGCTCTGGGACCCCAGTGGCTTCCAGCAGATTAGCATCAAGAAGGTTATCTCAAAGACCTTACCCACAGTGGGGGTACAGCAGTGCTTCCAAGATAATCTTTGGATCAGGGACCAGACTCAGCATCCGGCCAAGTAAGTAGAATGAAGCAGGAGAGCAAGGGAGGACGGACAACTATTTCTTCTTTGTCCAAAATGCCAACTTGAACCCAGGTATTTTCCTCTGTGGGCTCCAAAATGGTTTCTTCCACCCATCCCCAGAAAATCCTCCCATCCAGCTCTCGGTGCTCTGCAGACATCATCCTTAGGCTGGGACCTTAGGAACCATGAGGCAGGCAATGAGCGAGTACTCCTGAACCTTCCACAAACATATCCAAGATACTGCTGCCTGGAATTGAGGTTTTTGTTCTAGGGAATTATTGGTTTATTGAAATCATATGAAGTCACAACCTCAGCCCAGGGAATCACAGCAGAATGGAACAGGAGGAGAACTTTTGTATCAGAAGCGAAATTTCAGTGCAAAAGAGCAGAAGGTTTAGGCCTGGCGTGGTGGCTCACGCCTGTAATCCTAGCACTTTGGGAGGCCGAGGCAGGGAGATCACAAGGTCAGGAGATCAAGACCATCCTGGCTAACACAGTGAAACCCTATCTCTACTAAAAATACAAAAATTAGCCGGGCGTGATGGCACGCGCCTGTAGTCTCAGCTACTCGGGAGACTGAGGCAGGAGAATTGTTGAACCCGGGAGGCAGAGATTGCAGTGAGCTGAGATCGCATCATTGCACTCCAGCCTGGGCAACAGAGCAAGACTCCTTCTCAAAAAAACAAAAAAAAAAAAAAAAAAGAAGGTCTAACCCTTAGGAGTGTGATTATCCTGTTCTCCTGCCTTGTGGGGGAGATCAGTGTTTCTCTTATTTAAGTAATAGGTAGGTCCTGTGAGTTTGTGCAATGGTGTCACCTACGGTATGAATACTGGAGGAACAATTGATAAACTCACATTTGGGAAAGGGACCCATGTATTCATTATATCTGGTGAGTCATCCCAGGTGGCACCACGTGCAACCCCATGGGCCAGTGTCACTAATCCTTTCTCTGGAGATATCACTTATTACTATGGTGAGGCTTGCTGTAGATGTTGTAACTAATTTTCTTACAGAGGTCTGGGAAGGGAAAAGCATTACTATCTATCTTGAATATTCATGTTTCTCTAGGTCAAACACATTAAAATTTGACTTTAATCATTCAATGGGTATTGTAAAATGCCTTCTATGTGACTATCACTCTATAAAATGTTAGACTGAGTATGAAGTGTGAGATAGATTCCTGTCCTGTCCTCAAGTGGTATAAAAACTAGACAAAGGTACTGAACTATTGTAAATTAAGCAGCCAGAAAACTATTTTAGTATTGACCAGTTGATGATGTCAATGGACACAATAGAGATTCAGAGGGGATAGGGTGCTGGCTGAGAAGTTGGCCTAGACTGAGAAGTTTCCTGTGGTACAAAGGATTCATTGAGCCCTGAAGGATGGATAAGATCTGTATGGGCAGAGAAAGGAGAGAAGGGAAGTTCTGGGCGTAGGGAACGACAAGAAAGAAGGCATGATCTTGGGAATAATCAAGGCACATGCAAAGTAGCCTAAGTATACATCTGATAATAAAATTGGTTGAAAAGTAGTCAGAGAAGATGTCTTTTTAGGCATGGAAAAAGGAAATACTAGAGCATTCAACAGAATACAGAAATTAGGGCCAGGGCCAGCCATTGGGAAACTGAGAATCCGATTTAGAGATGCAGACTAGAAGTGAAGGTGAGAGCAGCCAGCTATGGTGCCGCAGACCTCCCCTCTCCTTCCTCAGTGGGCTCTGAGAGGGGTCATCCCACACCTTAGAGGAGGAGAAACCTAAGGGATTCTGTAATAGAGACACGGGGCATGGTATGAAAGTATTACCTCCCAGTTGCAATTTGGCAAAGGAACCAGAGTTTCCACTTCTCCCCGTACGTCTGCCCATGCCCACAGTTTCCTGATGCTCACTAAAGCCTCGGTGGGACCCAGAGTGACTGTCACTAATTCTGATTTCTGGGTCCCTAGTGCCCAAACACGGGGGACAGATTTAATGGTAAGGAAGCTTTCAATCACTGCTGTGTCCCTAGGGATCTAAAGCACTAGAGCACATGTGCTTCTGCAGTTCATTTTGAATTTAAAGGACAGCTTAGGATCTAGAATAGCTGAATTTCCACCTCAAAACATTGGTTCCGTCTTGCCAAGCCTACCTTCTGATATCATCAGTGATGGGATGTGTTTTTCTTACTAGGGTAGAATAGGATGTCTCTCCCCAAAGGACTCTGGCAGACAGACCCCTAAACACCTCCAAATTAAAAGCGGCAAAGAGATAAGGTTGAACTAGACGTACATGGGGATAAAAAGTATAAAAGGTACATGGGAATGAAAGGATAAAAAGGCTAAAAAAATTAAGTACCTCTAACTCAGCCCCTGTTGCCATTTCTCAGAGTCTTGTGTTCTGTGGCATTGCGCTTTCTAGACCAACAGTGTCCAATAGAACTTTCTGTGGCAATGGAAATGTCCTGTCAATCTGCACTGTCCCATACAATAGCCACCAGCTACATGTGGCTATTGAGCTCTTGAAATGAAGTTTCCATTTTTAATTGAAAACATTTTATTTCACATTGACTAATTTTTATTTCAACAGCCACATGTAGCTAGAGACTATTATACCAGACAGAGCAGCCTAGATCTTCTCCAGTCTGACACCCACCAGCCCCAGGACTTGAGTGAGTGTTTAACCAGGACTCAAAGTTGGGTTTCTGCCCCACAAGGCCACCCCCTTTCCTCTTTAAAGCCAACCTGCATCTGGTGGCCCCTGATCCCCTGCCTTGAGGATCGGCACTTCCAGACTCCTCTCCCCCTCTGCAGTGCTGTCCAGTACCCCCACTGATGACTAACAATCAGGGGGATGTGTTGGTAGAGCTAATGGCTTTCTGTCTGTCCCTTCCCAGCAAAGGAACTATGCCTTAGGGCCTTCACCCAGAGTGATGTCAGGCTGCCCAAGCATGAGGAGGGAAGTAGGCAGAATCCTCTGGAGCCAAAGCTCTGGATGTCTCTCCCCTCTGACCATGGAGCCCACCCCTGCTCCACTGCTCCAGGGACAGCCCTATGCTGCAGGCAGCTCTGCCCCCACTCAGCATCCCAGGGGCTGATTTCTTTGGTTTTGGATCCAGCTGGATGTCTGCATTGCCGAGGCCACCAGGGCTGGCTCAGCAACTGTCGGGGAATCACCAGGGTCTGAGAAATCTTGTGCGCATGTGAGGGGCTGTGGGAGCAGAGAACCACTGGGTGGGAAATTCTAATCCCCACCCTGCTGGAAACTCTCTGGGTGGCCCCAACATGCTAATCCTCCGGCAAACCTCTGTTTCCTCCTCAAAAGGCAGGAGGTCGGAAAGAATAAACAATGAGAGTCACATTAAAAACACAAAATCCTACGGAAATACTGAAGAATGAGTCTCAGCACTAAGGAAAAGCCTCCAGCAGCTCCTGCTTTCTGAGGGTGAAGGATAGACGCTGTGGCTCTGCATGACTCACTAGCACTCTATCACGGCCATATTCTGGCAGGGTCAGTGGCTCCAACTAACATTTGTTTGGTACTTTACAGTTTATTAAATAGATGTTTATATGGAGAAGCTCTCATTTCTTTCTCAGAAGAGCCTGGCTAGGAAGGTGGATGAGGCACCATATTCATTTTGCAGGTGAAATTCCTGAGATGTAAGGAGCTGCTGTGACTTGCTCAAGGCCTTATATCGAGTAAACGGTAGTGCTGGGGCTTAGACGCAGGTGTTCTGATTTATAGTTCAAAACCTCTATCAATGAGAGAGCAATCTCCTGGTAATGTGATAGATTTCCCAACTTAATGCCAACATACCATAAACCTCCCATTCTGCTAATGCCCAGCCTAAGTTGGGGAGACCACTCCAGATTCCAAGATGTACAGTTTGCTTTGCTGGGCCTTTTTCCCATGCCTGCCTTTACTCTGCCAGAGTTATATTGCTGGGGTTTTGAAGAAGATCCTATTAAATAAAAGAATAAGCAGTATTATTAAGTAGCCCTGCATTTCAGGTTTCCTTGAGTGGCAGGCCAGGCCTGGCCGTGAACGTTCACTGAAATCATGGCCTCTTGGCCAAGATTGATAGCTTGTGCCTGTCCCTGAGTCCCAGTCCATCACGAGCAGCTGGTTTCTAAGATGCTATTTCCCGTATAAAGCATGAGACCGTGACTTGCCAGCCCCACAGAGCCCCGCCCTTGTCCATCACTGGCATCTGGACTCCAGCCTGGGTTGGGGCAAAGAGGGAAATGAGATCATGTCCTAACCCTGATCCTCTTGTCCCACAGATATCCAGAACCCTGACCCTGCCGTGTACCAGCTGAGAGACTCTAAATCCAGTGACAAGTCTGTCTGCCTATTCACCGATTTTGATTCTCAAACAAATGTGTCACAAAGTAAGGATTCTGATGTGTATATCACAGACAAAACTGTGCTAGACATGAGGTCTATGGACTTCAAGAGCAACAGTGCTGTGGCCTGGAGCAACAAATCTGACTTTGCATGTGCAAACGCCTTCAACAACAGCATTATTCCAGAAGACACCTTCTTCCCCAGCCCAGGTAAGGGCAGCTTTGGTGCCTTCGCAGGCTGTTTCCTTGCTTCAGGAATGGCCAGGTTCTGCCCAGAGCTCTGGTCAATGATGTCTAAAACTCCTCTGATTGGTGGTCTCGGCCTTATCCATTGCCACCAAAACCCTCTTTTTACTAAGAAACAGTGAGCCTTGTTCTGGCAGTCCAGAGAATGACACGGGAAAAAAGCAGATGAAGAGAAGGTGGCAGGAGAGGGCACGTGGCCCAGCCTCAGTCTCTCCAACTGAGTTCCTGCCTGCCTGCCTTTGCTCAGACTGTTTGCCCCTTACTGCTCTTCTAGGCCTCATTCTAAGCCCCTTCTCCAAGTTGCCTCTCCTTATTTCTCCCTGTCTGCCAAAAAATCTTTCCCAGCTCACTAAGTCAGTCTCACGCAGTCACTCATTAACCCACCAATCACTGATTGTGCCGGCACATGAATGCACCAGGTGTTGAAGTGGAGGAATTAAAAAGTCAGATGAGGGGTGTGCCCAGAGGAAGCACCATTCTAGTTGGGGGAGCCCATCTGTCAGCTGGGAAAAGTCCAAATAACTTCAGATTGGAATGTGTTTTAACTCAGGGTTGAGAAAACAGCTACCTTCAGGACAAAAGTCAGGGAAGGGCTCTCTGAAGAAATGCTACTTGAAGATACCAGCCCTACCAAGGGCAGGGAGAGGACCCTATAGAGGCCTGGGACAGGAGCTCAATGAGAAAGGAGAAGAGCAGCAGGCATGAGTTGAATGAAGGAGGCAGGGCCGGGTCACAGGGCCTTCTAGGCCATGAGAGGGTAGACAGTATTCTAAGGACGCCAGAAAGCTGTTGATCGGCTTCAAGCAGGGGAGGGACACCTAATTTGCTTTTCTTTTTTTTTTTTTTTTTTTTTTTTTTTTTTGAGATGGAGTTTTGCTCTTGTTGCCCAGGCTGGAGTGCAATGGTGCATCTTGGCTCACTGCAACCTCCGCCTCCCAGGTTCAAGTGATTCTCCTGCCTCAGCCTCCCGAGTAGCTGAGATTACAGGCACCCGCCACCATGCCTGGCTAATTTTTTGTATTTTTAGTAGAGACAGGGTTTCACTATGTTGGCCAGGCTGGTCTCGAACTCCTGACCTCAGGTGATCCACCCGCTTCAGCCTCCCAAAGTGCTGGGATTACAGGCGTGAGCCACCACACCCGGCCTGCTTTTCTTAAAGATCAATCTGAGTGCTGTACGGAGAGTGGGTTGTAAGCCAAGAGTAGAAGCAGAAAGGGAGCAGTTGCAGCAGAGAGATGATGGAGGCCTGGGCAGGGTGGTGGCAGGGAGGTAACCAACACCATTCAGGTTTCAAAGGTAGAACCATGCAGGGATGAGAAAGCAAAGAGGGGATCAAGGAAGGCAGCTGGATTTTGGCCTGAGCAGCTGAGTCAATGATAGTGCCGTTTACTAAGAAGAAACCAAGGAAAAAATTTGGGGTGCAGGGATCAAAACTTTTTGGAACATATGAAAGTACGTGTTTATACTCTTTATGGCCCTTGTCACTATGTATGCCTCGCTGCCTCCATTGGACTCTAGAATGAAGCCAGGCAAGAGCAGGGTCTATGTGTGATGGCACATGTGGCCAGGGTCATGCAACATGTACTTTGTACAAACAGTGTATATTGAGTAAATAGAAATGGTGTCCAGGAGCCGAGGTATCGGTCCTGCCAGGGCCAGGGGCTCTCCCTAGCAGGTGCTCATATGCTGTAAGTTCCCTCCAGATCTCTCCACAAGGAGGCATGGAAAGGCTGTAGTTGTTCACCTGCCCAAGAACTAGGAGGTCTGGGGTGGGAGAGTCAGCCTGCTCTGGATGCTGAAAGAATGTCTGTTTTTCCTTTTAGAAAGTTCCTGTGATGTCAAGCTGGTCGAGAAAAGCTTTGAAACAGGTAAGACAGGGGTCTAGCCTGGGTTTGCACAGGATTGCGGAAGTGATGAACCCGCAATAACCCTGCCTGGATGAGGGAGTGGGAAGAAATTAGTAGATGTGGGAATGAATGATGAGGAATGGAAACAGCGGTTCAAGACCTGCCCAGAGCTGGGTGGGGTCTCTCCTGAATCCCTCTCACCATCTCTGACTTTCCATTCTAAGCACTTTGAGGATGAGTTTCTAGCTTCAATAGACCAAGGACTCTCTCCTAGGCCTCTGTATTCCTTTCAACAGCTCCACTGTCAAGAGAGCCAGAGAGAGCTTCTGGGTGGCCCAGCTGTGAAATTTCTGAGTCCCTTAGGGATAGCCCTAAACGAACCAGATCATCCTGAGGACAGCCAAGAGGTTTTGCCTTCTTTCAAGACAAGCAACAGTACTCACATAGGCTGTGGGCAATGGTCCTGTCTCTCAAGAATCCCCTGCCACTCCTCACACCCACCCTGGGCCCATATTCATTTCCATTTGAGTTGTTCTTATTGAGTCATCCTTCCTGTGGTAGCGGAACTCACTAAGGGGCCCATCTGGACCCGAGGTATTGTGATGATAAATTCTGAGCACCTACCCCATCCCCAGAAGGGCTCAGAAATAAAATAAGAGCCAAGTCTAGTCGGTGTTTCCTGTCTTGAAACACAATACTGTTGGCCCTGGAAGAATGCACAGAATCTGTTTGTAAGGGGATATGCACAGAAGCTGCAAGGGACAGGAGGTGCAGGAGCTGCAGGCCTCCCCCACCCAGCCTGCTCTGCCTTGGGGAAAACCGTGGGTGTGTCCTGCAGGCCATGCAGGCCTGGGACATGCAAGCCCATAACCGCTGTGGCCTCTTGGTTTTACAGATACGAACCTAAACTTTCAAAACCTGTCAGTGATTGGGTTCCGAATCCTCCTCCTGAAAGTGGCCGGGTTTAATCTGCTCATGACGCTGCGGCTGTGGTCCAGCTGAGGTGAGGGGCCTTGAAGCTGGGAGTGGGGTTTAGGGACGCGGGTCTCTGGGTGCATCCTAAGCTCTGAGAGCAAACCTCCCTGCAGGGTCTTGCTTTTAAGTCCAAAGCCTGAGCCCACCAAACTCTCCTACTTCTTCCTGTTACAAATTCCTCTTGTGCAATAATAATGGCCTGAAACGCTGTAAAATATCCTCATTTCAGCCGCCTCAGTTGCACTTCTCCCCTATGAGGTAGGAAGAACAGTTGTTTAGAAACGAAGAAACTGAGGCCCCACAGCTAATGAGTGGAGGAAGAGAGACACTTGTGTACACCACATGCCTTGTGTTGTACTTCTCTCACCGTGTAACCTCCTCATGTCCTCTCTCCCCAGTACGGCTCTCTTAGCTCAGTAGAAAGAAGACATTACACTCATATTACACCCCAATCCTGGCTAGAGTCTCCGCACCCTCCTCCCCCAGGGTCCCCAGTCGTCTTGCTGACAACTGCATCCTGTTCCATCACCATCAAAAAAAAACTCCAGGCTGGGTGCGGGGGCTCACACCTGTAATCCCAGCACTTTGGGAGGCAGAGGCAGGAGGAGCACAGGAGCTGGAGACCAGCCTGGGCAACACAGGGAGACCCCGCCTCTACAAAAAGTGAAAAAATTAACCAGGTGTGGTGCTGCACACCTGTAGTCCCAGCTACTTAAGAGGCTGAGATGGGAGGATCGCTTGAGCCCTGGAATGTTGAGGCTACAATGAGCTGTGATTGCGTCACTGCACTCCAGCCTGGAAGACAAAGCAAGATCCTGTCTCAAATAATAAAAAAAATAAGAACTCCAGGGTACATTTGCTCCTAGAACTCTACCACATAGCCCCAAACAGAGCCATCACCATCACATCCCTAACAGTCCTGGGTCTTCCTCAGTGTCCAGCCTGACTTCTGTTCTTCCTCATTCCAGATCTGCAAGATTGTAAGACAGCCTGTGCTCCCTCGCTCCTTCCTCTGCATTGCCCCTCTTCTCCCTCTCCAAACAGAGGGAACTCTCCTACCCCCAAGGAGGTGAAAGCTGCTACCACCTCTGTGCCCCCCCGGCAATGCCACCAACTGGATCCTACCCGAATTTATGATTAAGATTGCTGAAGAGCTGCCAAACACTGCTGCCACCCCCTCTGTTCCCTTATTGCTGCTTGTCACTGCCTGACATTCACGGCAGAGGCAAGGCTGCTGCAGCCTCCCCTGGCTGTGCACATTCCCTCCTGCTCCCCAGAGACTGCCTCCGCCATCCCACAGATGATGGATCTTCAGTGGGTTCTCTTGGGCTCTAGGTCCTGCAGAATGTTGTGAGGGGTTTATTTTTTTTTAATAGTGTTCATAAAGAAATACATAGTATTCTTCTTCTCAAGACGTGGGGGGAAATTATCTCATTATCGAGGCCCTGCTATGCTGTGTATCTGGGCGTGTTGTATGTCCTGCTGCCGATGCCTTCATTAAAATGATTTGGAAGAGCAGAGACTGTGCCTCTGTTTGACTGGGTTTGGTAGGAGTCATTTTCTGCTTGCTGGTGATCACTAGCTGGGCAGAGAAAAACCAAGGCATTTGTCTATGATGCTGTCCAGGAAGCCTCATTCAACAAGCTGCCTAAGTCAACCTCTTCTTGGAATAACCTCTAAAAGCTTCCGCTTAGCAGGCTATGCTGAGGGCCAGGAAAACCCACCTACCAGCTTGGACCCCTCCTCTCCCACTCTCATGCCACGCCACGGGACCACCCATAACAGGAGCCCACACACATGGGTGGCAGTGACCTGCGGCAGACAGGGACCACACAGCAAGTGTCCCCAAAATGCCACCCACTGTCTCCTGCCCTCCAGGAGCATTTCCTTTGCCTCTCCTCTCAGACTGGGTTTCCACTGAAACTGTGCATTGTCTCACAAATTCGTGGCTGGGGACCACCCACCACTCTGCTGCCTGATCCAGCCCCACGCCAGCCCTTTGAGGTGCCCAAGCTGACACCAGGAGCAAGGTTGAGAGGAAGCTGTGACCCCAGCAGGACTTTATGTTCCCACCATCCCGGATGTGAGAATGAGGAAAAAAGGAGATGAGCTGTCTCCCCACAAGCCCAGAGATTTGACCGAGGAGAGTAGAGGCCTCGAGCTCTCACCTAAGAGAAAAGACATGGGGCTTCCTGGGGTCCACAGCTCACTGCGCTCTCCCTCCTGAGACTCCTGCTGCCAGAGCACCTTTCCCCAGGGTCATGGATGCTGAGGGAAACACAACTTAGAGACCACTCCACCATCCACCCAGCAAGCACAGCTACCAAGACCCAAAGCTGAGGCTTACCAATGCCCAGGGTGGGAGGGGGTTCCATCCCTGAATAACTCCATGGTTCCCCTATGCGTCTGACCATCCCAGCCAGAAATACATAAATCATCTCAGCTACAATTCAGGCCTGCTTCTTTTCATAGGGATGAAGCTACAGGTTGAGTATCCCTTATCTGAAATGCTTGGTACTAGAAGTGTTCAGGTTTTGGATTTTTTTTTTTTTTTTTTGAGGCTGGGGGTGGAATATTAGCATTATACTTACCAATTCGGCATCCCTAATCTAAAAATCTGAAATCCAAGATGCCCCAGTGAGTGAGCATTTCCTTTGAGCATCATGTTGGCATTTAAAAAGTTTCAGATTTTGGAGCATTTCCAATTTCAGATTTTTGAATTAGGGATGCTTAACCTGTACCAGCTTTAATAGGTGACCTAGAGCACATCCCTCCCCTCTACAGGCTTATGTGTTGCCACTTACGAAATGTCGGGTAGGACTGGAGGCTACCTCCCACTCCCTGCACCTCTGATTCTGTGACCCCTGCAGAATTAAGAACCAGTGTCCCTTCTCCTGGTCAGCCCTACTGACGGGAGTCACAGAATCCCCAGTTCTTTCTAAGCTGCCCCATCTCTCACCTAAATACAATCCCCTTAAATAACACCAAAGGGAAAGGGCTCAGACCTCCATCACAGCAGGGTCACTCTCGCACGTGGTAGGACCATACCACCTTCACAAAGGCGGGGTTTGCCACCTTTGGGGAGCTCTGGGGGGCCTCTACCTCCTCACCAGTCTGACACAATGCCAGAGATTCCACCACTGGGAATTTCTTATAATTAAAGCATTCTCTTCCCTGTATTAAATGAAAATGCCCCTGGGAGAGTTAATAGAGCAAGCCTTTATCAACCATTAAAAACTGAGGGCCAGTTAGTTTCTCTTTCTTTTCCCCCTGAAGTGGTACTTCATTTTGTTTTATAGAAAAAAGATTCAGGCAAGGGAAGTGTGGGTGGCTGGGGAGGCAGGTCTGCTCCTTTGAGTTGGCTGCAGTGACATGGAAGTCACAGGGCTGAGGGAAGGAGACAAGAGCCTGGACAGCAGTGAAGGGGTCAAAGACAGACCCCTCCAAGAACCTCAGAGGAGACCCGGACTGCAGGAGACCTGCAGGAGGCCCGTGGGAGCCTGTGGAGGCCTGTGGAGGCCCGCGGGAGCCTGTGGAGGCCTGTGGAGGCCCGCGGGAGCCTGTGGAGGCCTGTGGAGGCCTGTGGAGGTCTGCGGGAGCCTGTGGAGGCCTGTGGAGGCCTGCGGGAGCCTGTGGAGGCCTGTGGAGGCCTGTGGAGGTCTGCGGGAGCCTGTGGAGGTCTGCGGGAGCCTGTGGAGGCCTGTGGAGGCCTGTGGAGGCCTGCGGGAGCCTGTGGAGGTCTGCGGGAGCCTGTGGAGGCCTGTGGAGGCCTGTGGAGGTCTGCGGGAGCCTGTGGAGGCCTGTGGAGGCCTGTGGAGGTCTGCGGGAGCCTGTGGAGGCCTGTGGAGGCCTGCCAGCCCAGTGCCCTCAGGCAGCAAAGCCCAGCAGTCACTGGTCCCCCAAGGCCGCCCACAGATCTATGCAAGGTGATGCAGCAGGGGCTATGGACCCACCCACACCCAAGCAGGGAGGCACGATGACAAGGCCCGGGCAGGTAGGGGGACATCCGGAAAGCAGGCTCAGCTCCACCCCTGAGAAATTTCCGTCTAAATCCAGGAGATCCTTGATTCAGCAAGAACCTTCCCTCATGTCCGAGGCTGTTAAACCTAAAGCCAGTTAGGGCAGAGGTCAGAGGGGTGGACCAGGAGCAAGTGGGTCGAGGGTGAGCAAGTGTTGGGAGTGGGGATAGAAACTCCATCCATCTCCGACTGCTCTGCTCGCATATCTGGCTCCAGGGCCCACCTGGTATGTCAGAGGGAATTAGAACGGCCTTGTGAGGAGGCTCAGGAGAAGGGCTCCTGTGCCCACCGGCCAAGTCAGCACTGGGCCTAACGCCACCACAGCAAAGCCCCTCAGTGCAGAGGGCCCAGCTATACGGAACTGGGCATTGCTTAGCCTGGAGGGAATAGGCAGCTGAGGAGACCTGGAAAACACAGTCATGAAGAGACTGGCCATGAAGACCCACAGACCCTGCGAGCCAAGGCCTTGGGCTGCAGCTGCAGCTGCAGCTCTACCAGCCTGGACCCAACCTCAGGCCGACATCCCAGCAGGGAACATGTTACTAAGGCCAGTTGTAGAAGGGACTTCTCTGGACACATGCCCTACTCTCCCAAAAGACTTAAGCACAGGCCAGTCCCAAAGGCAGAAGAATGGACTAAATGAGCTCTTGTGGCCCCAGCCCTAAGATTCTAGAGGACTCTCTGAAACTTCACTTGAAGACTTGACCTCTGAGTGCAACTGGAGTCACAGCCACTCAGGAGAAAGGGCAGGCTATGCAAGCACGTGCTTCAGGAGCATCCTGGTGAGGTCTTCAGCTCTGACAGAGCAACCCCTCTGCTGCTACCCTCACTGGGGGCAGCCATCTGAGTCTTAAGGAGTTGCTTATTTTTTAGGTCCAAACATAAAATTCAACTCCCCTGGGATCACGTATACAGACAGGCCTATAGCACCTTATTATCAGGTACCATCCTAGTGTGGAAGTCCCCTGGCCTGTGTGCTCTGTGGGATGGGAATGTCCCTTGTCATCAATGTGTCCCCAGGAACTAGAACAGTGCCTGGCACACAACAGATGCCGTTAAATGAATAAGTGAATGACTCCTGCAGTTAGGCTCTGGGTGGGGGGAGCTGAGTGTGAGGAGTGGGGAGTACAGGAGAAAGGAAAGTGGGGATTAGTAGAGGAAGTGGTCAGGTGAGTCAATGCTTCACAGTTTTGCCAAGAGCTAAAGTAACTTGTCAAGAACTTCAGAACAAGGAAAGCCTGAGTGGTGGCCCCTTGCTCAGGGCAGCCCCCAGGCAGGCACACATCTATCCAACAAAGCCTGGAGGACAGGGACTGTGGTAAATCACGCAGGGTACCTGGGAGTCTGACCTCACTGTGTGACCACACTGAGGTCCAGAGCCAACAGTCACTTTATGTGGGTTCGCCTCAGTTTCTCCATGAGTCCTACTCTAAAACCCATCTACCTCCGTGAGCCATGTGTGGGAAGACGAGCTTCTGACTGGGATGAGTCTGGGGGAGCAAGCACATGGAGACCCAGTGCTGTCATTCTGGCTGCCGGAAGGCTGCAGGACCACCAGCGCCCTGCGTCTGTGTCAAGGCCACCTGGGCAACGCGGCGAGGGGTGGGGAGTGCAGGCCTCCTTTCACACAGAGACACACAGGCCTGAGGCCTCTCTGGGTAGCACACATAGAGCTATATTTTGCAATTAATAAACAGGTCAGACATTGAGTCAGTAGCCACAAGTAGAACAGGAAGTGGAAAAAGTCTCCCACTTCCCTCCAGGTGTTTGGGGGCTGGGGCGGTCCCCTCCCATTTCCATGACGTCATGGTTACCAAGAGGGGCAAGTAGGGCACCCTTTGAAGCTCTCCCGCAGAAGCCACATCCTCTGGAAAGAAGAGTTTAAAATACTGAGTTAGAGATAGCATCGCCCCAGGCCACGTGCCGAGGGGAGCAGGCTGGGCCGTTACACCACCCCCCAACCGCAGGTGCAGCAAGGCCAACATGCCAGGCTGGGAGGGGCTGCCGGCCCCTCGGTGACTTGCACCGGGCCCGCAAGCAGGCTGGGGAGGTGCTGCTGGCCCCACCGCTGAGCCGCCTCCCTCACCGCACCTCTGCTGCCCCTCCAAACCAGCCAAGATCAGACCTTGATCTCACCTGATTAAGCGCTTGCTTAGTACAGGGCAGACCCTCGAGACTTATGCTCAGGCCAGTGTCTCCTGGGAGGGAAGGAGGTGGGGAGGCCGTATTTGCCCCCACACAGAGCTAGGGCTGATTCTCTGAGGGACCCCCCCCCAATAGCACCTCCCCCCTTACCCTGATGCTTGTCCATTAGGTGATGGCCCTAATGGACGCCTTGATGGACACGTCCGGGACCCAGGGACCCGGAGACCAGGAATCTGCTGGTCTCAGGGAGCCGCAGAACCTGAAACCCAAAAATACCAGGCTTGATCGCCTGCTCTTCGGTAGTGTCGCCATCCACCCGCATGGGGGCAGCAGCGCTCCACCAAAAAGACCTCTTCTCCCTTTGTCTGTTAATTCTGGAGATAGAAAGCCCCCAAAGTTTAGGAAAAGCTCTTTTCCGAGGAAAATAAAAGGGCAGGTGACTTTTATCCCACAAGTCCCTGCCCTGTGCCCGTCACTGCGCTGGGCGCAAGGCCTGTGTCATCCTGTCACATCCCCCCCCAAAGGAGAGGAGGGCCTGGGGCCTGGGCCGGCAGCAGGGGGCGCTGTTCGTCCGGGATCGTCAGACCCGCTCCACCCGGAGCCCTGGAGGAAGTGCCCAGGGAGGGCTGGGGGCCCGGAGGAGGCCTTGGGTTCGGAATTAGGCTGGCTGGAGTCCGGGATCCACCACATCATACACTCGTGCCTTTGGCAGGTCACTAACCGCCCACCGCCTCAGTTTCCCGGTGGGACGAACTCTCTCTCACAGGTAGTTTAAGAACCAGGCTTTCTTTGGCATTGTATACCTGCCATGTGCCAGGCTGTGTCGTGCTCTGGGGATTCAGTCTCTGTGCAAACTATGACTCCATACAGATGAAGTCCAAGAACAGGCAAAACGCATCACAGGTGATAGAAATTAGGGCACTGTTTGCCTCTGGGGTAGAAGGATGGATTGAAAAGGGGCACGAGGAAACCTTCAGGGGTGGTGGAAATGTTCCATATCTTTATCTTGGGTGATGGCTATATATATATCAAATGCATCATTAGTGTATTTTCATGTAATTATGCCTCAAGAAAGTACTGCTCCCATTAAATACACACACACACACACACACACACACACACAGAGTTTCTGTCTTCAAGGAGTTAACAGTCCAGTGAGTAGTGGGTATGAAAGAGATGTGTTAATGGCTGCAATTGCAAGACAGAGGCTTTTGTTACTATATTCTCCTCAGGCAGGAGTCCTCAGGCAGGAGGCAGGAGAACCAGTTGTTTGTCCCTAAGCGTCACTGCCCCTCACTAGCCTTCTCTCCTGGGGCCTTTAATTTTTCTGAGTCCCCATGTGTTATTATTCACATAGAGATAAAAATACCTGCCCACCTATTCTCAGTGTTGTTGAAGGGATTGAAAGCAGTAATGGGTGTGGAATGCTTAGTAAACTGAAATCCCAGTGCAAATATGAAGTGGGAATGCATCAGAATGCCCAGGAAGACGAACCATGACCCGAACAAGATGGGCTGGGCCAGGTCAGATGGCACTGCCATACTGAGAAAAAAGTGGGCTGGCTGCGGCTTCACACAGCCCGGGAGAGCTCAGAACTCCCCAGGCCCTGCCGGTGCGCTGGTGTTTCTCATAGTATGTGGCCACCTCTCCAGTCACTTCGGCCCTAGGAGCTTCTTGTTACACCATGATTTTGTCACTACCTCCGCAGCTTCCCACCTCCTGCTTCCGGCTTCCAGAAGGAAGCGCGTGATGGAGGGGAAATGACAGGGCCAGGAGGCAGCGGTCAGGCTGGGCCGAGTTTCTGACAGAAGCCAACACTTCTGGCCCCACAGTGCTCACGGCCTCCCTGACTCCTCACCACATCACAGCTGAAAAGGCTCACGTCTTATCTCCCCTCTCAACCTCTGGGGGCTTCTCTGCTTTCAGAAGGAGCCCCTGGAGCCCCTGGCCGAACACATCTGAAAGCACGGAGCCAGACCTCTGCAGCGCCCTCCAGCGGGCAGGTTCTGCGGGCAGCCATCTCCTCGCAGGCCAGAACACCCCACGTCACTCCAGGACGGTTCGCCACCTTTGAGAAGAGAGGACTCCAGTGTCTGTTCGCTCTGGAAATGTGGGCATGTTCCCATTCCAAAGGTGATAGGATCTGAGGGGAGGATCCTTCCCATTTTCAAAGCCTTCCTAAAATCCCACTGATTAGTGGGGAGGAGTGCAAGTCTACCCTTTCCCCGAACCACCCACATGAAATTTAGCAACAACAACAACAAAAAAGGAAAATATTAGAGGAAGATCATATAAGTGTAAGAAGACAAGGCTGGCAGGACCTAAGAGAGTCTAGGTAGATGAAGGAATATGGTTTACATAATGGGGAGCACCTGGTCTCCATTTCATGCTTCCAGCCTTGATGGGAGGAAAGTAGGTAAACCTTAAAAGGGACTTCTTTCCAGTGGAGGCTGCAAGATTCTATTTTTACCAACCTCTAAGGTGTCCACCTTATCCTTGCTGACCCAAGTTATTCCAGTGATTTACCAAGGGAAATGGGTGGAACGACATCCTTATCTGGACTCCTTATTAACAATATCCTACATCTGTACAACACCAAAGCAAACATCAACTCTTTTGATCAAAATGATAAACCCCAGTGGTAGACAGAGTATTCTCTCCTCTTTTACAAATCAGAAGGCACATGGAGCGGCTTGCACAGGATCACGGTGAACTAGGCCCTGATCCCCACCAGACTCGGATCCCAGGCTTTCCACCAAGCTCTGTGGACTCAGAAATACCAAGTGGTTCCAGATTCAGCCATCAGAGGAAGGAGCATGAATTGACTGGCATTCCCAGGCCCCCTAAGACTAAGTGTCTTGTTTCCTGCCTCCGTGGCCCTTCCCTCTTCCTGACTCTGCCTGCATGGATTTGATCCCCCTTCAGGATGAGATCAGAATGGCAAGGCAGAGCTCTGTACCTTTAGGAGGCACTCCCTCAATAAATATTTGATGTTGCCGGGCACGGTGGCTCACGCCTGTAATCCCAGCACTTTGGGAAGCCAAGGCGGGCAGATCACTTGAGGTCAGGAGTTCAAGACTAGCCTGGCAAACATGGTGAAACCCCATCTCTAGTAAAAATACAAAAAATTAGCTGGGCATGGTGGCGGGCGCCTGTAATCCCAGCTACTAGGGAGGCTGAGGCAGGAGAATTGCTTGAACCCAGGAAGTGGAGATTGCAGTGAGCCGAGATCGCGCCATTGCACTCCAGCCTGGGCAACAGAGCAAGACTCCATCTAAAAAAAAAAAAAATTGATGTTTGTGGCCTCAAGGCAATACTTATCCACTACTCAAGCATATGCCAATGGGGATAACTAATATCCAGACACACTCCCCATGGCTGGTCCCTTCGCTGACTCTTTCTTAGCTGTCAGATCTCAGCCTAAAGGTCACCTGGTCAGAGAGGTCCTTCCTAACCACCCTAAGCAGCTCCCTCCCCAGCCCCATTTACTGTCACATTATATTGTTTACTGTTTCTTTCCTTCACTCCACTCACAACAAAATTATTTCATTTATGTAATAATTTGGCTCTCTTCCCTACTGGAATTTAAGGCTCAGAAAGTGAGGCGTCTTGTCCGTTCTGTTCATTTCTGTAGCACTTAACTCATGGTAAGCAAAAATTTAAAGGAAGGAGTAATAACAGAAAGAATGAGCTCTGCCATCAGATGCCCCTTATTTATACCCTGACACTAGATTGGGGTTAAATGTTGACAATCATTGAAGCTGTTAGACATATGGGAGCTTGCTGGCCTCTTGACGTGCATGTATACGCACGCATGAGGGAAAATTTCAATTAAAAGTTAAAAACAAAGTTGTTTATCCCTGGGATTTAACAGGCCTGAATAGCAGGTCTCAAACGGGGCTCCTAGGGAGGTCTCTCCGCTTCTCCCAGGAAGAGCCAGGCCTGCCATTGGTCACCACAGTGCTTTAGCTGAGAGTCAGTGAAACGGATGTGCAGCTGAGGGAGAAAAGCAGTATGTCATGGAACCCTCAGAGCTTCTGGTGAGCACTGAAAGGAATGATACATTTGTAGAGCAATTACATTCAGATATTTTCACTTAACGTTTTGTTGGGATAACCGCAGTATGAAGTATTATTATCCCCATGCTGAGTTTATGACTTATCTCATTCAAAGCGTAACCCAAACGCTTTCAGCTAGACAGAAATAAGATTCAAGCCTAACACTTGCTGAGTCTCCATTTCCTCATCAGGAAGATAAGAATGCCACCCACCTCCTTCATGCAATGATAGGGAAACGCAAGTAACAGGAGGGCGCTTAACAGTTTGCCAGACATGTGGCCCACGCTCGCTCACTCCTGGACAGGATAGGGCTGTGTCTTATCTTTTCTAATGCCATGCACTACCTAGCACAGAGCCTAAGTGTGTAATTATTTGCTAAATTTTAGCGACAAAAGGTCAACAGACAGTAAGTGGCAGAACAAGTCCTTGAATCAACACTTTCAGATCAAAGTGTTTTCCGCAACACCAGGCTGCCTCTCTGGTGGTTTGAAAATACTTTTTAAAAATCCCATTGACAGAACTTGGACCTACCTATAAAATCAATGTAAGCAAATAAAATACTTTGTTTAGTCCTTCTTCATAAGCTTCCTCCCACTTTTTTCCTACTCTCTCCTCTAAGATCCTTGTTCTAGAAAGTGTTTTCTCCCACAGGAGAAATCTATTTTTTATATTTGTTAAAAACTTTTAAATTAACCGTAGTTATTAAGTCATTTCACACACAAACTTTTATTACAGACGCCCAGAGCTGAGCTGCAACCCAACAAGATAGGAGAGCAGCAGAGTCTCCCGCTAAGTTTGCAAACAAGCTCCCTGGCCTCTATAACCTCCAACACCAGGGAGCACGCCTCTGTGACCTCCCCAAGTATTTTCTAGCCATCACAACAAAAGTGTTTTGAAGCCCAAGATGAAATGATGTGATCACAAGAGGCCGAAGGTATAGGCTGCTAAGAGAAGAAAACAAGAGAGATGGTTTCCATGTGATAGGGGCCAGGAAATGTGTGGGCAGGAGGTGCTCAGGGCTGGGCTTCCCACCACTGCAAAGAATGGCAGGGAATAGACTTTCCACAGTGTTTGTGGTGAATGGCTTCCGGCCCCATAAAAGAGCACAGAAAATAAAAATAAACCACCCCATAGAGGTGTTGAGCAAGGGGGAGCAGGAAATGCTAGGGTCTACCTCACTCTCCATGCAGTAGTACTCAAAATCAACTCCTTCAACATACTTCAGCTGAAAAAACACCTAAGAATCAGAAACGCAATGGGGCTTGGGGGTGTGTCTTTAAGTTCAAGACAGGGTCTTGTTCTGTTGCCCAGACTGAAGCGCAGTGGTGCAATCATGCAGTCTCTACCTCCTGGGATCAAGTGACTCTCCAAACTCAGCCTCCCGAGTAGCTGGGACTACAGAGGTGCACTGCCACGCCCAGCTAATTTTTTTAATTTTTGTAGAGACAGGGACTCACTGTGTTGCCCAGGCTGGTCTTGAACTCCTGGGTTCAAGCCATTCTTCCACCTTGGCCTCCCAAAGTTCTGGGATTACAGGTGTAAGCCACTGAGCACCTGGCGCTTTTTCAGTGTTGTCTTTTTTTTTTTTCTTTTTGTGATGAAGTTTCGCTTCTGTTGCCCAGGGTGGAGTGCAATGGCACAATCTCGGCTCACTGCAACCTCCGCCTACCAGGTTCTAGCAATTCTCCTGTCTCAGACTCCTGAGTAGCTGGGATTACAGGCTCATGCCACCACGCCTGGCTAATTTTTGTATTTTTAGTAGAGACAGGGTTTCATCATATTGGTCAGGCTGGTCTCCTGACCTCAGGTGATCCACCCACCTCGGCCTCCCAAAGTGCTGGGATTTACAGGCATGAACCACCATGCCTGGCCTCTTTTAAGAACAGGGTCTTACATTGTTGCCCAGGCTGGAGTGCAGCGGCTACTCACAGGTCCACAGCTAATTCTTCAGTACATGTCAAATTGAGAACCATAAAGCAAATCAACAGAAGCATAAAAACAAGAGTTACCTATAATGAGCCTTTAACTAAATCTAATCCCAACACTCCAAAAGCAGTCTGTAGGTTTTAGCCCCGAAGCAAATATTGAAAAGACACACCAAAGAAGAATGTTTCCTGTTGATGGTAACTGGCTTGGGTAAATCACAACCTCTGAGACAATAGCTGACCTGGTAAATGGGAATTTAATACCTGTCCCATGTATCTCAAGATCATTATGAAAAATTAAACAAAACCTATGTATTAAAGACTGCAATTACAATGTCTTCCTTCATAAAATTACTATTATTCCCAGTTTTCAACCCGTGTCTCAAAGTCCAGATGCTTTTCTTATTCAAAATTCCAATTTCTCTAGACTAAAAATTATCCAGAAGCCTCCTGATAGGGTCTGTGACATCTGTATATAAGTTTTAGAACAGATTAGGCCAGGCACAGTGGCTCACGCCTATAATCCCAGCACTTTGGGAGGCTGAGGCGGGCAGATCACCTGAGGTCAGGAGTTTGAGACCAGCCTGACCAACATGGAGAAACCCTGTCTCTACTAAAAATACAAAAATTAGCCGGGCATGTTGGTGTGCACCTATAATCCCAGCTACTCGGGAGGCTGGGGTGGGAGAATTGCTTGAACCCAGGAGGCGGAGGTTGCAGTGAGCCGAGATCACACCATTGCACTCCAGCCTGGGTAACGAGAGCAAAACTCCATCTCACAAAAACAAAAAAGAAAAAAAAAAGTGCAGATTAAACTGCTCAGTTATAATCTCAATGAACTAGTATCACTTAAGAATGGCAAACCATGACCCACATAGCCACAACCAATTTTTATAAATAAAGTGATAGTGGAATATAGCCATGCCCATTTGTTTAAGGAAAAGCTTGCGGACTCCTGACTCAGTGTGTTACCAGTTAGGCAGAGAGCTAATAAGAAACATACAGGCCCAAGCTTTTCACCAAGTTCCTAGGTAATCTTGAGACATGCCAAACTTTGAGAACCACTGCTGTAGATGAGAGATTCTCAAATCTTATTGTGCACATAAATCACCGGAGGACCTTGTTAAAATGAAGATGTTGCTTCTGTAGGTTTGGGGTGAGGCCTGTGCTCCCAGGCGATGCCAATACTGGTAGTCAATGACTACATTTTGAGTAGCAAGAATCCAGAGCAGTGTTTCTCCAATTTGCTGTGCTCTGGAATCACCTGGGTAGCTTTACAAACTACAGAAGCCACCCCAAGAGATTTTTACTTAATTGGTGTGGGTTGTGGCCTGGACGTTGGGATTTTCTTTTTACATTACCCAAGTCATGCTAACGTGCAGCCAAGTTGGAGAAGCTTGAAACTCATCATTCTCGGTAGTTGGCTAAATTTAAGTAGTGGCATTCTCAACATAGCTTCCGCCCCATATATAGCAACCCAACAGCACCCAAGATGAAAACAGGGCTGCGAACATGACAGACTTCAGCCAGCAGACCTACATTCCATCCAAGCTTTGTCATGAACTCTGATCTTAAGCAAGTCACAAATCTGAGTTTCAATTTCTTCACCTAACTAATGAGGACAGGAACCCCTAAGATAATTGCAAGAATAAAATGAGAGAATATTTGTGAAGGTGCTTTGGAAAATATTGTATCTTATAAGTCAACACATACATAACCCCCATTTTTCACTCTGTCTACATTGCCTAAGAGAAATATATTTCACTTTTACCACTAAAACATGTTGAAACAGATGTAAATGTGGTAGCACATACTTAGTTCAATTTCTAGCAGAGTGCATAATGATGCAGTTCCAGGAATGCACTGTCATAAGAGTGGAAGCACCTGTAACAATCGAAGGATTAGTAAAGGATTACCTGCTCCAGGAAGAAGACAAAGGACTGCCATTTCCCAGGGTTGTCAGCACTGCCTTTTGCCATTAACTTCAAATATACTTAATGAAAACAAGGAGGCAGGTTCACAGCTGTAAGTTACCAACTCATAAAGAGTTCAGCACAGAGGACTGAAGAGAAAAAAAGGATTCTGATACCAGCAAAGAATAAAAACAGAGCCAGAGGCATATGGAGGAGTGGCATGGAGTTCTTTAATTTGGAAGGCAAAAGGTTACATTTAATGAAAGGCAGAGGCTGGATTAATAAATGTTTGTTAGAAAGTTGTTCTGACACACAGTGAACTCTGGGCTTTTCTCCTGCATAAAAAGCAGAGCTAGCAGTAAGTGCAAATCTGAAGAAAATCCATGTGTCCAATAAGCTGCCATCTCCAGAACTCTTATCCAGGAAATTCAAAGAGTGAACCTAGAAGAAAAAAGCAGCAAGGTTAAATGTCTTATGATACTAGAGACAGGGCCCCAAATCCTTCCATCTAAATTCTAACCCACAAGACAGTTATGGGGTTCCCACACTCAGGACAATATTTAAACCAGGCGAGAAAAACTAGAAAGAAGCAAGTATTTTTCAAAGAACATTTTATGGGAGTAGTATCCAGAAAAATTAATGTCAAAACTGAATTTCAAGCACATCAAAGCAAAACGAACTAGGAACTGTGAGACATGTGTCCTAACTCCAGCTCTACCATTAATTAGCCGCAAGACTTCACATAAGTCACTGACTTCCCTGGCCCACAAATTCTTTGAGGTGAGAGGGTTGTAGTTTAACCTAAAGAGCTTTCTGGAATCTAAAATGCTTATGAAGCACAGATTTCCATTGGTGGGGAGGCAGGGTAGGGAAGTAAGGATTCAAGAAAGAAAGAAAAATTCCCAATCTCAGCTATAACAAAGGACCAAAATATAAGAAATAATTTAGTTTTCATTTAAAGATAAGTTTATTTTTGGCAAGAAAAAGGTGAAGAAAGAGTAACCGCAACAGAAGTGGCCACATTGCTGCTAGAGCCAAATGGAACTGAGATCTGTAACTTGTGAGGTGGAACCCTCACCACAAGATACAGGCTTCCTTTAGTCCCTCAAAGCACAGCCTCCCACCTACTGGACTCCAGCACAGCTCTGGTTGGAAAGTGACCTCCAGCCTTAGGGGCTCCAATGTCTCCAGCTATAAGCAACTGATTTTCCCAGTGTGCCATAAAAATACTGCAATCTCCTACGTGTACCATGACTCAAAAGAGGCTGGGAAATACTACCTTTCAGAAGAACCGGGCTGCCCCAGGAGGAAAAAGGGCACTACCTTATTTGGTATATTGGGTCAAGTAAGTAACCTGGAGATTCTGGCATCAGAACTTAAAGGAGAGATTTTGGACTTTCAGCCAGAATGCTTTTATTTCACTAACACTGGTATTTACAGAAATGCTACATAATTGCAGAACATTCCTGAATCAGTGGTATTATAAGAAATGTATAAAAGAAAGAGCAATAACAGGAAGCAAAAGGTGTTCACAGTGCCAAACAAAACCAAACAGACCTATTCAAACTCACCTATTCATTCCATCAAATTTCTTAAAGCAAACTCTCTGGCAATAGACTATCAGCCAATATAACATTACAGCTTTTTTTTTTTTCAAGACAGAGTTTTGTGCTTGTTGTCCAGGCTGGAGTGCAATGGCGTGATCTCGGGTCACCGCAACCTCCGCCTCCCGGGTTCAGGCGATTCTCTGCTTCAACCTGCTGAGTAGCTGGGATTACAGGCGTGTGCCACCACACCCAGCTAATTTTTGCATTTTTAGTAGAGATGGGGTTTCACCATGTTGGTCAGGCTGGTCTCGAACTCCTGACCTCAGGTGATCCACCCGCCCCAGCCTCCCAAAGTGCTGGGATCACAGGCCACCATGCCTGGCTACATTACATTTCTAATGGCCAAGGTGAGAGAGGACTAGATCATAATGCCATTTTCAGTGAACAAAGCCTTGACACTTTTAGAAATATAAAAGAAATCCTAGTTTAGTACAAAATCAAAGTTTAAAGATTTTATTATATTAAAACATTTAAATCTAAGATGCTGAGGCCAGTCCACGTGAAAGGCAAAAATTGACTCATGAGAGTAAGTCTCTTTGATAGTGGTTTTCAGAAAATTCTGTTTACAAAGATCTGCTTCCCCTCTTTTAAAGCAGATCTATTTACCAGACACTATTCTAAAAGCAGAGGTTCTAGGATTCTTTGAAATATTAGCTCACACAATTGACTACTCAACAGCTAAGAAGAATGGTTTCAACTATTAACCAGGGCATAAAGGTTTCAGGAAACTGACTAATAAAATCTCCTCCCCTGATATCAAGACATGCAAAATGAAGACACCTACTGAGAAAAGTTAGCGTGACTTCAGTCTATTTCACCTGGGCAGAAGACAGTGCCATTTAATCAGTTTGTTCTAATCATCTAAAAAGAAAGCAAGGCATAACACAAAGAACTGTTAAAAATGACGCTGTAGAGATAGAAAAGATAATGCCAGCCAGGGTCATTTCTATTTGGAATCTGTATTCTTCTCCAGCAATATCTCTATTCAGACACTAGCACTGGGCAGATATGTTCAAATACTGATTTTCCTTCAAATTCATCTCATCCTGGATTCTAGTCACCCAATTAAAACTGAAATTAGAAATAATGTGAATCAAAGACCATTCTGCAGAAATTCTAGGTTTACAGCTCAATTTGAATCACCAGTTTTAGAAGGCACAGACTGTGTATTTCTAAAAAATGAAAGGAGCTTTAGAGATCAGCTTCTTTAATCCTTTCATTACAGAGATGAGAAAACTGTAACCTGATAGTGTTGACAAATCTGTCCAGAGCTGTGCTGTCCAACACCACAGCCACTAGACACAGGTGACTATTTAAACTTAGTCAAAGTTAAATTAAAAATTCAGTTCTTCAGTCTGTTAGCCACATTTCAAATGTTCAATAACCACATGTGGCTAGTGGTTACCATAATGGGCGGTGCAGACCCTGAATGTTTCCCCACTGCAAAAAGCTCTGTTGGACAGTGCTGGTCCAGGATCACCCTCCCTAGCCAAAGTCAGGTCTCCTGACCTGCATTCTCCTCCATTTCTCCTGGACCATATTAAGTATGGCCAACTATGCAGAAACATTTGAGATAGCCGGCCTTCATCCTTTCCTATCAATCTCTGCCAAATTTTTCCCATTTAAAAAAGAAAAGAATCCAGTCTGATGGCTCTGATGAAAATTTAAAATAAATAAAAATTTCTTAAAAAGAAAAGTTTAATATTTTTAATGAAAACCCTCTAACATGACATATATATAAAGCCATCATCTGAGAGTCCTAAACATAACAGGAAGGAATATAAAGGTTTAGAGTCCAAATGTCTGTTATCCAGTTCCCCCTCAGTCACTTATTAGTTCCAGGGCCTGGATACATCAACTAAAGTTTCACCAAGGTGTAATTACCTCAAGTGTAAAATAGGAATACTACTATTTGTCTGTCTCCACATCACTGGGTAGGAAGGAAGGATCACATGAGCTGATGTATGTAAAAGTATATGTGGAATGTATGTGAATCCTACAAGCCTGTTAACGTGGGAACTAGAAGACATTTTACAAATGTTTACTTTTTGTAAAAGGCTTCATACAAATATGTGCATCTTGTTATAATCATTTAACTTTCTGCCTCCTATAAATGGATAATGGGAATCTGAAAATATGAATAAAAAGCAACGATTAAGGAGAAAACAGAAAGCAAAGCCCAAATGAGGATCAACAAAAACAGTACAATCCTCCTCAAACACAAAAGAACCATCAAGAATCATGCTGAGAGGCATTAACAGTGGCAAGAGACTTTGATGAACATCCAGACCAATCCTCTCACAACACAGACAGAGAAACTGAGGCTCAGAGGTAAGTTTATTTGTCCATTCAACTAGTTAACAGAGCAAAGCCTACAATACAAGTCTTCTGATTTTTTTTTTTTTTTTTTTGAGACAGGTTCTCACTCTGTCACTCAGGCTGGAGTGCAAGTGGCATGATCACAGTTCACTGCAGCCGTGACCTCCCACGCTCAAGCAATCCTTCCACCTCAGCCTTCTGAGTAGCTGGGACCACAGGCACACGCCACCACGCCCCTCTAATTCTTTTGATTTTTGGTAGAGACAAGGTCTTGCTATATCACCCATGCTGGTCTCAAACTCCTGGGCTCAAGCGATCCTCCCACCTTGGCCTCCCCAAGTGCTGGGATTACAGGCCTAAGCCACCGCACCAGCCCCTCCTCTGACTTCTTGTCTCATGCTCTTCCCCACCCCACAGCCTCTCCTATGAATCTTTGCCTTGGCTTTTTTTCTTTCGTACCACTTTCCATGTTTTAGCATCCAAGTAACTTAATAACATAACTTTTTCTTGCAGTTAAAAAGTGTTTATTTGGCCGGGCACAGTGGCTCATGCCTGTAATTCCAGCACTTTGGGAGGCTAAGGTAGGCAGATCACAAAGTCAAAAGATAGAGACCATACTGGCCAACATGGTGAAACCATGTCTCTCCTAAAAATACAAAAATTAGCCAGGCGTGGGAGCACACACTTGTAGTCCCAGCTACTCAAGAGGCTGAGGCAGGAGAACTGCTTAAACCCAGGAGGCGGAGGTTATAGTGAGCCAAGATCATGCCACTGCACTACAGCCTGGACAACAAAGCGAGACTCCGTCTCAAAAAAAAAAAAAAAGGTTTATTCATTCATACACTCATTCAACAAACACACACTGTTACTGTTCACAATTGAGTCCAGTGGGAGAGAGAAGAAAGTGAATGAATAGTTTCATAACAATGTGATAAGTGCAGCACTGGAGGAATGCAGTAGACTAAGGGCTCCTATGCAACCTGAGGGGTGGGAATGACTTGGAATAGGAGTCATCCAAGCTGGGAGGATGGAGAAAATAAGGCAGTAAGTTAGGGCAGCAATGAAATTCATAAATATAAATCTATTTCGATATTCTTTTTTCTTTGGTAGCCTTAAATACACCAAATATAAAATAGAGTTCAATAAACAAGTAAAGTCATCAATTAGCACTTTTTAGCAAATAAAATAAGTAGATTCAAAGTTTTAAGAATGAAAGGTAAAGAACTAATCTCAGAGCCAGGCACTGTGACACACCTGTAGGTCCAGCTACACAGAAGCCTCAGGCAGGAGGATCACTTGACCCCAGGGAGTTCCCAGCTTGGGCAACGTAGCGAGACCCCAGCACATAAAAAAATATATAATTAATCTCACCTTCTAAACAGAGAAAAATGAGTTGAAAAAAGTTATGATGTGACTACCTCAGATTTCCTACAAATGTAGGACAGTTCCCTCTGAGAGAGCTTATTTGGCGGCAGGACCTAATTCAATATAAGGTGGAAATATCAAAGAGAAAATGAAATAAAAACTAAATGGGCCCCTCCACCAACAAAAAATTAAAGATTATTGCGTGGGAGGTCACCATTGAGAATAAAAGACGTAGAACAAACCAAAAAAAGAAGCTCTCAAACTAAGGAGGTGAAAAAAAGAAATCAAACGGGAAACCTGCGGGTCTATGTGCACAGTCTTGGTCTTCCCCCACACAACAAAATCTAGGGCCACTTTAGGGTTCTATGCCCTTTTGTTCCTAACTCGACATTGCCCACTTCTGGCCAGAATGTAAAGCAACCCCCAACCCAGCATCTAAACCCTCCTGGACCTCTGCTGCCCCCCAATGACTGGAAAGAAACTAGGTTTTTTAACACAGGTATCAGTAGCTTCTTCCCCCAAACTCAACTCCTCATGTTTTGTAGTAGCCGCTCAACACATGAAACATACCATCCACTAGGTGGCAGCAAAGCCCACAGAATAACATCAAGTTCCCCTTCCCGAGGTAATTTTCTAGATTACTATACTTTAACTGAATTCGAAAAGCCAACATAATTTCATGTTTGTAAACAGTGCTGCCAGTCAGAGTTTAAAATGTTCTGCCCAACCCTGTAGCCCCCTTGTTCCAGCTAGGATCAAACACTGAATTTTTTAAGACTTGTGAGAGAATGGTCTCCATTATAAAAACAAAACAATGCTAACAAGGCACAGGCATTTGGCAACTATCTCCCTGGGAGCTGAGCACATTTTCAAGCAAGGTTTTGTCCCTTTGGGCCCAGTTCACCCTTCCTTCTGACCCAGGGCCCAATTCATCAGGAACTTTAATTCTCAAACTGTGATCCAATACAGTTCTGTCCTTCTTTTCCTCATTACCCTTCAGAACACCTGAGATGGACTGAGATTTTTTTTTTTTTTTTTAAAAAAGAGTTTCACAGGCCAGGTGCAGTGGCTCACGCCTGTAATCCCAGCACTTTGGGAGGCCAAGGCGAGTGGATCACGAGGACAGGAGTTCAACACCAGCCTAGCCAACAGAGTGAAACCCCATCTCTACTAAAAATACAAAAACTAGCCGGGCAAGTGCCTGTAGTCCCAGCTACTCGGGGAGGCTGCGGCAGGAGAATTGCTTGAACCCGGGAGGCAGGGTTGCAGTGAGCCAAGACTGCACCACTGCACTCTAGCCTGGGCAAGACAGTAAGACTCTGTCTCAAAAAAAAAAAAAAAAGAATTTCACAAAGAAACACAGAAGAACAAACATGGAAAAAACTAAAGTATATACATTTTTAAATACTGAAATCCACTGAGCTTCTTTCTGTCATGGATTCATTCAAAAATATGCCGCCACCTACACAACAAAAACTGATCATTTCAGGTGTGCATGGATTTCTGGGGGTCAGAAGCTCACTGGGAGAATTTTTGCTTTTGTATTTTCATTTGTATAGTCTAAAAAATAAAAAATATTGAGTCTTTCTTGATCACCTGGATAGATACATTAGTTGTAAGATTTCTAGCAAGGGGCTCTTTTTTTTTTTTTTTTTTTTTTTAGAAAACAGAGTCTTACTCTTGCCAGGCTGGAGTGCAATGGTGCAATTCGGGCTCACTGCAACCTCCGCCTCATGGGTTCAAACGATTCTCCTGCCTTAGCCTCCCGAGTAGCTGGGATTACAGGCACCGGCCACCACGCCCAGCTAATTTTTGTCTTTTTAGTAGAGACGAGGTTTCACCATGTTGGCCAGGCTGGTCTCAAACTCCTGACCTCAGGTGATCCACCCACCTCGGCCTCCCAAAATGCTGGGATTACAGGCATCAGCCACCGTGCTCAGCCATCCTAGCCAGGCTCTCTCAACTTCAGTTCCTCATCTGTAAATGAGAACAGCAAGCCTATCCTCGTGAAATTATTCTGAAAATAAAATGATATAGAACAAGAAGTACTTAAAGCATAGCACACACTGAGCACTCATTATCTGTTAACTTCCTTACTTCCCCTTGAATTGTTTATTTTTTTAACCCAATGCCATTTTCTTTTGACCTGCCTCTTTCAGAGTAGGTTAGAGTTTGTCACCCCCAAATTCATGTAAGATCAGCTATATTACAGAATTTTTTTTTTAATATCAAACTCTCAACTTAGTTGGAAAATATAAAGACATTCAATCTGTTTTGTTCTACCTTCTGAGCTGGTATAAATATTGAGAATTTACTTGGAACTATTTTTAAAGTGCTGTGGCACAGTGCACATATAGCTGAGTTAGAAGCACATAAAAGGAGCAAATAAATGTATATTTTTAAAAACTGAGAGCAGGACAGTATAGTATAATTCAAATGAAGGATCTCTATGAAAAACAATCTGGGCAATCCCCCAGAGAGAAAGATTTTTCTATGAACATACTCTCCATAGAAAGATTTAACACTGCAATCTGGGATTGAGGATTTTGCTATGCTTTGGGCCCATAATTCCCAGCTGAGCAGGTGGTCCTAGGTTGTTAATATGGTCTGCAGTACACAGTTTCTGCTGAGACTGCTTTTTTGTCTTTGCTTTTGTCATAATTTTGAAATACTAAGCTCTCTGCAGTAGAGTCTTCCTCCAATCATGACAGCCCTAAGAAATAATTTTCCATGATTTGGTATCTCCCTGAGCCTAGAAAACATCCTTGAAATGTTTGCTGTGTCCCCTTCCTAAGTACACACCATGACTCATCTAGAAAAAAAGAACTTCAGAAATCTAGAGTAAGCAATCAGAAGACATGACCTTTCCAGAAGGCTCTATCAGGAAGCCCAAGGGTTACTCATATTTGCAAGCGTGAGAAGGTCAATGTTGGTGGGTCAGTTTTCTACCTGCATTCAAGGTTATCCACTGGTAACAGTTCATTTTAACTAGCAATAGCTGTTATCCATTGCTCAGATAACTCATCTGCTGTCCCTGCTCCCAGATGGTACAGCTGCTCTCTTCTCTGGATTTTTGCAGCACTTTGTTCAAACCTATAGCGAGGCCCTAAATGGGCTGTATTTTAACTGTTATGTTTACGTATTCTCCCCTACTAGACTGTACATGTCTTGAAGGCAGAAGCCACACTTTTGGGTTTTTTTTTTTAATTGAGATAGGGTCTTGCTATGTTGCCCATGCTGGTCTCAAATTCTTGAGCTCAAGCAATCGCCCACCTCGCCTTCCGAAAGTGCTGGGATTATAGGCATGAACCACCACGCCCAGCCAACAATATTGTTTATATTCCCAACAACAAGACATTGGCTGGCACATAGAAGGGGAGGGAGGAAGGGAGGAAGAGGATAACTCAAGTCTTAATCAGGTGTCTAATGAGTTAAATTGTATTAAAATAACAGAACAAAGTGGTTCTTAAAAGTTTTTCACTGTTGGGAGGCCAAGGCGGGCGGATCACCAGGTCAGGAGATCGAGATCATCCTAACACGGTGAAACTCCGTCTCTACTAAAAATACAAAAAATTAGCCGGGCGTGGTGGCGGGCGCCTGTAGTCCCAGCTACTCGGGAGGCTGAGGCAGGAGAATGGCATGAACTCGGGAGGCGGAGTCTGCAGTGAGCCGAGATCGCACCACTGCACTCCAGCCTGGGTAACAGAGCGAGACTCCATCTCAAAAAAAAAAAAAAAAAAACAGAAAAGAAAAAAAAAAAGTTTTTCACTGAAATAAACCTCACTGTCAACTTACCACTACCAAAATGATACCTTACCTGAACTAACAGAACTGTTTTTGAGGCAGTATCAAAGGAAAGGATTTAGGTAACATATTATAAGTAAATGACTAATTCATGTCAGAAAAGGAAGTATAGTCACTTCCACATTATTGCATCCACTTTGCACATAGATGCTCTAACTCTTATACTAGATTTCTGCTGGTTAGTATAAAAATGACAGCTTTCCAAGTGGTGACAGGAAGAGGTTGGTCCTAGGATATCCTTCCCCCAAATAGGATGAGATCTCCTAAGGTTCTCTTTTCTCTACCACCCAGAACATTACATTTTGCAATGCAAAGGCAAAGATTGCATGCATTCATCAGTAAGCTACATGGGATACCGGAAGGAGTACGGGGCCAAGAACACCGCTAGACTAGGGCACTTCACTGCAAACACTTAACTATGTGGCCAGGGAAGGCCAATGGATTGTTCTAGGCCTCTGTTGTCTCATATATAAAGTAACAGTGTTGACATACGGTATGGAAAACAGCCATATATTTATTAAAGCTTTAGAACTCTGCTTGGGAGGGAGCGATTTAGGGGAGGGCGTACCATATGTGATGAAGGCCAAGCAGAGAGGGCTTTTCAATTTCTGTCCATCAAAAAAAACTCCAATTCTACTTCTGCTTTATATACCAAGATTCTTTTTGTAAGAGTTTGTTTGGGAGAAGGGAGAAAGAACTCTACTGCTAAAAAAGTGAAAATGGCAAATGAACCAAGCAGCATCCCATCTTATATTTTAAAGTCTTCTCCCAAGTTAACCCAATTTCCCCATTTATTTCTACTTTAAGGCACATATTAGCAAATGCCCACAGTCATTCATCCAACATACACTGGATGCTATCAAATTTAAGTGCTATGAAAACAATGGTCCAGCATTAAAAGTCATCTGAGATCAAAATCAGAAAAAAATTAACTAACAAATCTAAAGGCAAAACCTACCATTTATGTCTCTTCCAAAATCTCCGAGTTATTTTCGTGGAGTTATTGGTACAGAAATTATTGTACTAGCTACAAACATTAATTTTCTATTACCTTAATGATTTGAAGAACAGAAAGACAAGGCAATGACCAAGAGCAGTAGCACTGATGAATTATGATGATATTAATGCATACTTTGCAGACCAATGGAAAATTCTGCAAATGTCAATAGCAGTATGGGAGCCTGGCCAACCATGATCAAAACCAGTCCCATCCAATTTCTCTTCCTAAAATCAACATTATAGGACAAGGACTATGATCATCACTTACATTCTTTTAGTCTCCTACTCCTCAATTAAGTAAATGAGAATGATTCAGCCAACAAAGTTCATGACAACAAGGTGCAGGATGGTGCTGGCAAAGAGAAAATCAGCAAAGGCTCGCTCTGGGGAGATGCCTTGGAAATCCGCTTTGTTCTGTGGGTTGATCTGTATTCTCAGGCAAACTGCACAAGAAGCAAAACACAAAAAAATGATTATATAGAAGTATAAAATAAATATGCTAATGAACACAGACATACCCGAGGACCCAACAATTCTACTCTAACAGAAATGAATGCATATATACATCAAAGGGCATACACAGAAATGATACCCAGATAGCCCCAAACTGGAAACAATCTAATGTCTATCAACAGTAAAATGGATAAATTATAGCATATACAAACAATAGAATATTATACTGCAATGAAAAAGAACTTCTGCTATACACAAAAATGGATGAATTGCACAAGTAAGTTGGGCAACACAATCAAAAACTTTATTTTTTGGGGAGTCGGGGACAGAGTCTCGCTCCGTCACCCAGGCTGGAATGCAGTGGCATGATCTCGGCTCACTGCAATCTCCACCTGCTGGGTTCAAGCAATTCTCCTGCCTCAGCCTCCCAAGTAGCCGGGACTACAGGCATGCGCCACCATGCCCGGCTAATTTTTTGTATTTTTAGTAGAGACGGGGTTTCACCATGCTGACCAGGCTGGTCTCGAACTCCTGACCTTGTGATCCACCTGCCTCGGCTTCCCAAAGTGCTGGGATTACAGGCATGAGCCACCGTGCCCGGACAAAACTTAAAAAATACACACTGGCTGGCCAAACCAGCTGGAACCTGGCAGGTACCCAGAGGAAGCCAAAGACAAAAAAGCCCAGCTCCCACACAGAGACCACAGGGCAGAGCCTAAGTGTATATGCTGGGGGAACAAATGTACCCCCTCAATTAGATGAGGAATATTCTGGGATGCAGCCACACAGAGCCACTGAGAACTCGGCAGGAGACAGGGTCTGGTGGTGCTGCCCAGGCCGGACTGGAACCCAAGCGATCCTCCCACCTCAGCCTCCTGAGCAGCTGGGACCACAGGCACGGGTGAACACATCTGCCTAGCTCCATGGTATTTTTAGTGTGACCTTCTATTTAGGGATAATGATTCAGGTTTTCCATTATAAGTTTATTTTAAAAATACATTTACTACAGTTAAAAAATGAATCAATTTAATTGCTTTGTTTTTTAAGAAACACACAAAAACCCTCGTATACAAAATCAAATGATTTTCAACCAAACTGACAAAACCACTCAATGGGGAAACAGTCTTCTCAACCAACGATGCTGGGAAAACTGGATATCCATAGGCAAAAGAATGAAGCTGGACCCTTACCTTATACCATATACTACAAAAATTAACTCGAAACGGATCAAAGACCTAAATCCGAAATGGATAAAGACCAAAAACTAAAAAACTCTTAGAAGAAAACAGAGCAAAAGTTTTATGGCATTGGATTTAGCAATGATTTATTGGATATGACACCAAAAGTACAGTCAACAAAGTAAAAATAGATAAATTGGACTATATCAAAGTTTAAAACTTCTGTGATAAAGGTACAATAAAGGGCACAACAGTGAAAAGGCACCTACGGAATGGGGAAAAATATTTGCAAATCACTTATCTGATAAAGGGTTAATATCAGAATATATTAAAGTACCCCTACAATGCAATTAACAACAAAATAATAACCAGATTTTAAAATGGGCAAAGGACTTGAATAGACATTTCCCCAAAGAAGATATAGGAATGGCCAACAAGCATATGAAAAGATGCTCAACATCATTAATCACTAGGGCAATACAAATCAAAATTACAACGAGATATCACCTCACATCTATTAGGATGTCTAGTATCAAAAAAACAAGAGTTGGCAAGAATGCAGAGAAACTGAAACCCTTGTGCACTAACAAGTGGGAAAATCAAATAGGGTAGCCAGTGTGAAAAACAGTACTGCGTTTCCTCAAAAAAATTAAAAACAGAATTGCCATATCATATAATCCAGCAATTCCACTTCTGGGTACATATCCAAAAGAAGTGAAAGCAGGATCTCGGCCAGGCACAGTGGTTCACACCTGCAATCCCAGCACTTTGGGAGGCTGAACCAGGCGGATCACCCGAGGTCAGGAGTTCGAGACCAGCCTGGCCAACATGGTGAAACCCCGTCTCTACTAAAAATACAAAAATTAGCTGGGCGTGGTGGTAGGCGCCTGTAATCCCAGCTACTAGGGAAGCTGAGGCAGAAGAATCGCTTGAACCCAGGAGGTGGAGGCTGCAGTGAGCCGACATCACTCCGTCCCACTCCAGCCTAGGTGACAAGAGAGAAACTCCATCTGGGAGGTTGGGAGGGTGGGGGATGGAACCAGGCTCTCAAGCAATATTTGCATACCCATGTTCATAGCAGCATTAGTCACAATAGCCAAAAGGTGAGAGCAGCCCAAGTGTCAGCAGAAGAACGGATAAGCAAAGTGTGATGTATACATACAATGGAATACTCAGCCTTAAAAGGAAGGAAATTCTGATACCTGCTACAACACGGCTGAATCTTGAGGACATTATTTTAAGTGACATAAGCCATGACAAAGGGACAAATACCATGTGGTTTCACTTATATGACATCAAGAGTAGTCAAACTCCTAGAAACAGAAAGTGGAATGGTAGATGCCAGGGACTGACAGAGAGGAGGATGAGGAGTTACTGTTTAATGGGAACTGAATTTCAGTTGCGGAAGACAAAAAAGTTCTGGATATGGATAGTGATGATGATTTTACAACAATGTACATGTACTTAATGCCACAGAACTATACACTTAAAAATGGTTAAAATGGTAAATTTTGTCATGTTTTATCTTGACCAAAAACAAACAAAAAAAAGGCCGGGCACGGTGGCTCACGCCTGTAATCCCAGCACTTTGGGAGGCCGAGGCAGGCGGATCACCTGAGGTCGGGAGTTCAAGACCAGCCTGACCAACATGGAGAAACCCCTTGTCTACTAAAAATACAAAATTAGCCGGGCATGGTGGCGCATGCCTGTGATCCCAGTTGCTTGGCAGGCTGAGGCAATGAGGCAGGAGAATTGGTGGAGGTGGAGGTGGAGGTGAGCCAAGATCGTGCCATTGCACTCTAGCATGGGCAACAAGAGCGAAACTCCATCTAAAAAAAAAAAAATTAAAAAATAAAACAAGGGCCAGGCACGGTGGCTCACTCCTGTAATCCCCGCACTTTGGGAGGCCAAGGTGGGTGGATCACCTAAGGTCAGGAGTTCAAGACCAGCCTGGCCAACATGGGGAAACCCCATCTCTAATAAAAACTACAGAAATTAGCTGGGCATGGTGGCACGCACCTGTAATCCCAGCTACTCAGGAGGCTGAGGCAGGAGAATTTGCTTAAACTCAGGAGGTGGAGGTTGCAGTGAGCCGAGATTGCGCCACTGCACTCCAGCCTGGGCAAGAGAGACTCCGTCTCAAAACAAAACAAAACAAAAAAGTATATGCTATATGATTCCATGTACAAAAAGCTTAAAACTTGGTAAAACCAATCTATGGCAAGATAGTGGTTTTTATCTTTCACAGGGAGAGGATAACTGGGAAGATGCAAGGAGGCATCTATGGTGCTGGTAATGTCCTGCATCTTGATCTGGATAGTGGTTAGACAGGTACATTTAAAAATTTATCAAGTTGTACAATTAAATTTCGCACTCTGTTAAAGGAAAAAAAATATTACTTCTCAGAGTTACACTGAAACCTAGAGGCTTTCTCAAAGAAAAAAATATATAACCAAAAAACCCACAAAGCTCTCTTATCTGCTGATTTAAAGGTTTCTAATTATACCTAGATGGGGATGCACTTGAGGCAACAACAAAGGGTCCGGGCTGAATGATAAAAAGTTATAAAAATGTGAATTATTTTCTAATAGAATATTCATTTAATGGGTAGCAGAGTTTATAAAGATAGCACGCTCATTCTTGAGAACCTCACAGTTCTCGATAAACTATCTTTGATCTCGAAGTTCTAGCAGCTGCTTATTTGTCTCAAAAAAGGCAGAAGACCTAAGAGAGATAACTCATGAGAACTCTCCACTGCCACACTCCATCCCCTTGAAGATTCTAACAGTCACCATTGACAAAAAAAAAAAAACAGGCAGTTCCAGGAATACACTCTTCCGAAGTATCTTTATGCCTGTGATAAATTATTACATTGCTTAAGAAAACCTAAACTCGCTTCAGGCTAGCATCATCCCATCATTAACTAAGAAAAAGCAACAAACAAATCTAATCCAAAGGCCAGAAAACTATCAGACTAGTTCTCCAGAGCCTGTCACCATGGCAACAGTTTTCATTATGCTTAAACATGTAAACACCATGGAAGCACCATTGATCCTTTCAGGTATCCAGACCCTTAAAAATATTAAAGACAATGACTGAAGCAAGGGTAACCAGTGTAAACCCCTGCTGTAGAAAGTACAGATTCATTCATCCACTTGGGAGAGCAACTAGCAATATCCATTAATATTTAAAATGATTTTACCTTTTGACAAAGGAATTTATCTTACAGAACAAAGACATTCTGAAAGTATGTTTGTAAAGTTGAAAAAAAAATTAAAACAGTCTAAACATCAAGGGGATTAAACTATACAACTGACATGCAATGAAATCCCATGCAATTATTCAAAAGAATAAGGTAAATTCTCTGTACATTGACAGCAAACATATCTAAGACTTATTAAGTGAAAAAAAGCCAATCCTTTTTTTTTTTTTTTTTGAGACAGGGTCTCACTCCATCACCCAGGCTGGAGTGCAGTGGTGCAATCATGGCTCCCTGCAGCCTCGACCTCCTGGGCTCAAACAATCCTCCCACCTCAGCCCCCTGAGTAGCTGAGACAACAGTCATGCACCACCATGCCTAGCTAATTTTTTTGTTTGTTTTTGGTAAAGACAAGGTCTCCCTATGTTGCCCAGCAATCCTCCCGCCTCTGCTTGCCTAAGGGTAGGGATTACAGACATGAGCCCCCACACCCAGCCCATTCCTAATTTCACTTGGCCAGGGCATGGTGGCTCACAACTGTAACCCCAGCATGTTGTGAAACCAAGGTGGGAGGATCGCTTGAGCCCAAGAGCTTGAGACCAGCCTGGGAAAGATAGGGAGACCCTGTCTCTACAAAAAAAATGTTTTAATTAGCCAGGTGTGGTAGCACACACCTATGGCCCCAGCTACTCGGGAGGCTGAGATGGGAAGATTGCTTGAGCCCAGGAGGTAGAGGTTGCAGGCTGCAGTGAGCCACAGTCATGCCACCGCACTCTGGCCTGGGAGACAAATCAAGACCGTCTCAAAAAAAAAGTAAAATATTTTATTTACATATAATGATATACATAATTATCTTGTCATTTCAGTTAGAATCTAGAAAAAAATCTGAAGAAATAGAAAACTATTAATAGTGGTCATTGGAGTAAAGAACACGGTGTTGAGTTTTGAGGAAATATGAGGGAAAAAAAGAAAAATTATCCATGAAGGTGGATAAGGTAATAAATTGATGTTATTATTATTGTGATCATGGTAACCAGATTATTTCAATGAAAACATATGAATCAGAGTCCCACAAAGTTGGAAAGGACCTCAGAGGTCATAAACACCAACACCCCATTTGATGTATACAATGCCCAAGAGGTGGTAGGGGGTGGCCATGCTTGGGGAGGCGTACTAATCACGTGGGAAGCTTTCCAAAGTATACTCACCACTTACAGAATCTGGTAAGCCACCTCCAGATGGAGAATTATCAACTTTCCAGAGCCTGTGTTACTGATAAGGATATCACATCTCTCAGATGCATTGGAAACAAAAAAGGCAAAAAAAAAAGCCTGTTCAAAATGCTCCACTACCAATGATCCTTCAGTCTCTCCCTGGGCACTTCCAAAGATGGAAATTTACTACCTCTTCAAGCAGTCTGTTCCATTTTAGCAATTCTGATTTACTCTATCCCCTTAAATGTCCATTTATTCCATAAAATATTTACTAAACATCTACTACATGACAAGCATCATTTCAGGTGCTAGGAATATGGCACAGAACAAAACAGTCTGGCTCTCAAGGAACTTACACTCCTATGGAGAGAAACATATAATCAATAAGTTAACAAATAAACCAGGAACTACTAGGTAGAGATATGTACTATGAAGAAAATAAAACAGGATAATAAAGAGTGACTGGGAAGCTTTTCTTAAATTCAATCATAACAGAAGGTCTCTTTAAGAGCTTGCTATTTAAGACCAATATTTGAAAGATAAGGAACCAACCATGTAAAAATCTGGGGGCAGAGCATTCTAGACAGTAAGAACAATCTTGACATGTTATAAACACAAGGACAGACGCCAGGCATGGTGGCTCACACCCGTAATCCCAGCACTTTGGGAGGTCGAGGCGGGTGGATAACCTGAGGTCGGGAGTTCGAGACCAGCCTGACCAACATGGAGAAACCCCGTCTCTACTAAAAATACAAAAAATTAGCCAGGCTTGGTGGTGCATGCCTGCAATCCCAGCTACTCAGGAGGCTGAGGCAGAAGAACCGCTTGAACCCGGGAGGCGGAAGTTGCAGTAAGCCGAGATCGTGCCATTGCACTCCAGCCTGGGCAACAAGAGCAAAACTCCATCTCAAAAAAAAAAAAAAAAAAAAAAAAAATCAAGGACAGACCAACAAGACTATAGTGATCAAGGGGAAGGACACAAGGGCCAAATCCTGAGGGGCATGGTAAGCCTCAGAAAACAGTACGGATTCAGTTATAAGAGCGGTGGAACAGTATAATGGTTCGCAAGGTTAAAAAGAGGCAGAAGGCCGGGCGCAGTGGCTCACGCCTGTAATCCCAGCACTTTGGGAGGCCGAGGTGGGTGGATCACAAGGTCAGGAATTCAAGACCAGCCTGGTCAAGAAGGTGAAACCCCATCTCTACTAAAAATAAAATACAAAAAATTAGCCGGGTGCAGTGGCAGGCTCCTGGAATCCCAGCTACTAGGGAGGCTGAGGCAGAAGAATCGCTTGAACTCCAAGGGCGGAGGTTGCAGTGAGCTGAGATCGCGCCACTGCACTCCAGCCTGGCGACACAGTGAGACTGCGTCTCAAAAAAATAAAAATAAAAATAAAAATAGGCCAGGCGCAGTGGCTCACACCTGTAATCCCAGCACTTTGGGAAGCCAAGGCGGGCGGATCACAAGGTCAGGAGATCGAGACCATCCTGGCTAACATGGTGAGACCCATCTCCACTAAAAAATACAAAAAAAAAAAAAAAATTAGCCGGTCATTGTGGCGGGTGCCTGTAGTCCCAGCTACTCGGGAGGCTGAGGCAGGAGAATGGCGTGAACCCGGGAGGCGGAGCTTGCAGTGAGCCGAAATCGCGCCACTGCACTCCAGCCTGGGCAACAGAGCGAGACTCCGTCTCAAAAATATAAAAAATAAAAAGAAGCAGAAGAATTACTTAGGACCCAAAGAGCTCAGGGGAATGGTAGTAAAAATGGACAGAAATAAAGACATACAGGCTATATTTTGGAGAAGACAGAGCTTGCTGATGAAACAGATGCAGGAGATAAGAGAAATCAAGGGACCCCGGAAACTTAAATTTCTTCATTTAAAAACACAACCGGCCGGGCATGGCGGCTCACACCTGTAATCCCAGCACTTTGGGAGGCCGAGGTGGGTGAATCACCTGAGGTCAGGAGTTCGTGACCAGCCTGGCCAACATGGCGAAACCTCGTCTCTACTAAAAATACAAAAATTAGCCGGGCATGGGGGAGCGTGCCTGTAATCCCAGCTACTCAGGAGGCTGAGGCAGGAGAATTGCTTAAACCCGGGAGATGGAGGTTGCAGTGAGCCGAGATTGTGCCACTGCACTCCAGCCTGGGTGACAGAGTGAGACTATGTCTCAAAAAAAAAAAAAAAAAAACCACAACCAACATTGACACCACGTACTAACTGGTGAAGAGGCAGATGGCTGGATGAGCAGGTTTGATCTTGGACATGTTAAGTTCAAGGTACATATCAGACATCAAGTGAAGACATCAAGTTGGCAACTGGATTTACTAATTTGGAATTCGGGGGACAGTTCAAAACTAAAAATATAAAGGAGTAGTTGTAGGTATACAGGTGTTATTTAAGTTTATCTATTTAAAAAAAAATACAAAGTGAAGGTATCTACAACCATGCTCTCAGTCAGAGAAGCGCCCAGCACAAAACAGCAGAAAGGAAAAAGCAGTGAGGTGAGACAGAACAAGCAGGAGAGTGTTGTATTCAAGAAAAAACTTTCCTTTTACACAGAAGCCAATACCTACATTAAATGCTAAACGTTGCAACATGGCAAGAGTAGTTTCAGTGAAGTAATTCAGTGAAGTAGTGAGGACAGACCAATACCAAGAGTGGGTTAAGGAATGAATAGTTAAGGGAGGAAGTAGGAACATTAATTATTCTTTCAAGAAATTCTGTAATGATGGAAAGGAAATGGGATGGTAGCTAGAAGATTATCTGTGGTCAAACGGATTTTTTTTAAATAGACAATATTAGAACATGTTTGTATGATGGGAATGATCCAGGAGAGAAACAGAAATTAATGACACGGAACAGAGGAATAATTGCAGAAGCGGAGTCCCTGAGTGAGCAAGGGAAGACTGGATCCTCTGCACAAGCAGAGCTTTCACAGGAAAGAGACACATCATCCACCATGAGAAGTCAGAGAGTATGGGTATAAAAGTAGGTGATCTGTTATGATTCAGTGGTGAAAAGATGAAGGAATTCTTATCTACTTCTTTTTTTTAGTGAAAAAATAAAAGCAAGATCACCAACTAAGAATAAAGGAAAAGAGGAAAAATAGAGTGATTTATGAAGCCTACTTTAGGAAGGCGAATGTATAAGAGAAATATTATTGCAGGACCACTAGGCAGGGTTGGATGCACATTGTGTTCCCATTCTCACCAATAATTCTCCATCAGCACCATATCCATATTTACTTGTCTGTATTTCCCACTAATTACAAACTCTGTGAGAGTAGAAGCCACGTCTGTGTGCTTCACAGTTGAATTCCCAGCACCTTGGCAGAGAACCTAGCACATCATTGCTCACTATTCCTGACATGACTATAGGCCTGCTCACCATTTAACATATACAGTGTTCAGCACTGAGGATGGAGAGATGAGAAGACAGCCCCTGCCCTCAAGGGCTCACCTTCCAGAGAGAAGGCAGACACCCAAATACAGCACAATGCCATATCTCTCTCACACACACACATACAAGGTGAAAAAGGAATACAGAGGAAAGACCTCAATCTGCTGGAGAGTCAGGGAAGGGTTCCAAAGGGCAATAAGCCAGGCATAGTGCTGTGTGCCTATAGTCCTAGCTACTCAGGAGGCTGAGGCAGGACTGCTTGAGCCAAGGAGTTTGAGGCCAGCCTGGGCAACATAGCAAGACCTTGTTCTCTTTAAAAACAGTAACAAAAAAAAAAGGAAATTGCACTTGAGCTGAGAAGTCTAAAAAGTGAAGGAATTTTGAAGGCAGTCAAGCAAAGGCAAATAGTTTGACACATGAGAGTGTTCAGAGAATGACAAGTAGCTCAATACTGTTGGAGCAGAGTATAGAGGAGGCAGAGGCAAGAGATGAAGCTGCAGACAGCGAGGAAGCCAGATCATGAAAGAGCCTGTATGTCAAAAAAAAAGTTTTAATTTTACTTTGGGAAACACAAATTGTACATGGGAGTGACACAATCAGATTTGCAAGTCAAATCAAGCCTGCAAACACAATAGAAGATGGACTGGAAACCAGAGGCCGGAAGGCCAGTAAGGAGGATTACAGTAGTCTTCATAAGAGATATTGAGAGGCTAAAACAGAGGATGAAAAAGTAGCAATGATATGAAAGATATTTAGAAACAAGACTATCAGGCACATGGGTGGCAAACTTCTAATCTCTCGGATAACAGTTATGAGAGATAATATTAGGATCCACAGATCTGATGGATAATTCCAAAAGAAATGCTGGACCCCAGTCCACAACAGCCTAATAGCTCCCGTGAGACAGAAAACTCTGGACTAGGCCTCCTTGCCTTACAGATTCAAACTGGTTTTGAATTTGTAAACTAGGAAAAACAAAACTATTTTTTAAGACAAAATTACCTCATATAGATTAGAGAACAGAACAGATGAAAGTTGGGAAATGAATTAAAACTTGTTTCAAGACCAAAGACTTATTTTGAGGACAGTCTTAATGTTTTCTACTTATCCCTCCTAAATAGCACTTTAAATGAGCACAGCTTTCAGTTGGGCAAAAAAGGAAACTAAAGGGTTGCCAACACTGGAATATAACTCTAAAAAAGGGACAGATGTCCTCTTCTAGAGATATCTAACTACAAGATAAACAGTCAGCTACTGGATGTTTGAAATCTGTCTCAAATAGAAAAATATTCTACCTCTGAGGTCCTTTTAAAGCCAATATATTATACTCTGATGATCCAAAACACACACAAAAAAAGATCTCTCAATGACAACTTTCTACCTCTGGTTCCTTCTTGAAACCATGGTTAAGTCTCTCAGCTATGAGGGAATAGAAGAAAACAGACTATTTTCATACCATCAGGCCCAATAACAACAGGTTTTTTAAAGGTTTGGTAGCGTTCTGAATTGGTTTAAAATGTACTGGTCAATTTCCAAAGAGCATATGCTAAACTAACACATGCAGAGGGAATAGAAGAGAATAGACTGCCAAAAAAAAATAGAGAAGATTAAAGAACATTTCCCTCCAATTCATCCTACATGCTAACACCAATTTTAAATCTTTTCCTTTCTTTAAAAAAGCACCCTCAGTGCCGGGTGTGGTGGCTCACGCCTGTAATCCCAACACTTTAGGAGGCCGAGGCGGGCGAATCACGAGGTCAGGAGATCAAGACCATCCTGGCTAACACGATGAAACCCTGTCTCCACTAAAAATACAAAAACTTAGCTGGACGTGGTGGCAGGCGCCTGCAGTCCCAGCTACTCAGGAGGCTGAGGCAGGAGAATGGCGTGAACGCAGGAGGCGGAGCTTGCAGTGAGCCGAGATGGCGCACTCCAGCCTGGGGGACAGAGTGAGACTCCGTCTCAAAAAAAAAAAAAAAGCATCTTCAGAAGCTTTACTATTACCTACAGGATAAAGTCCAAATTCCTGGCCGGGCACAGTGACTCACACCTGTAATCCCAGCACTTTGGGAGGCAGAGGCAGGCGGATCACCTGAGGTCAGGAGTTTGAGACCAGCCTGACCAACATGGAGAAACTCCGTCTCCACTAAAAATACAAAATTCGCCGGGCGTGGTGGCACATGCCTGTAATCCCAGCTACTTCGGAGGCTGAGGCAGGAGAATTGCTTAAACCTGGGAGACAGAGGTTGCAGTGAACCGAGATCGCCATTGCACTCCAGCCTGAGAAAAAAGAGCAAAACTCCATCTCAAAAAAAGTCCAAATTCCTTGGCCTGGCATTCAAACATCTAGCACCCAGCACTACCTAATCCTTCAACAGTATCGCCTACATTTCCCTCTCCCAGCTCACTGGACTCCTCCATTCTCTTGCAACAGGAAATTCCACAGGAAAGTTAGAAACCCCAGCACCATAAAAAGGAACAAGGCTACCTTTGCCAACAATCAAAACAAAGGATAAGCGTCCAAATTTCCCATTAAAACCAGTCTCCAGTTGATGATCTAGGCTAACAAATGGCAGAAGAGGCAGGATTTAGGAAAGTCAATGCTGTCAAAAGAAGGGTAAATCATACCCTTCTGTGGCAACTAAGAATTATCATGAATCCCTTCTTTTCTTGAAGTTGCTTTCATTTCTATAGCTCTATTATCTGTTATCTAACAGATCTGGAAATCCTAATCCCCCTTATTGGCCCCATTACTAATATGCCCTTTTACTAGGTTTTTCTTCAATGACAAGCCACCTAGTTCCCACTGGAGAGGAGAAAGGCAGTCCAGTCTGCCAATTCAATTTCAGCCACAACGGGCTCAAAAACAGGTCTTGGCATAAGTGAAAGTCATTTGCTCAAAAAAACCTTCTGGCTTTATTACACTGATAATCTATAACTCTAGTCCATGCCCACTCTTCAGCAAACCACATTCTTCAAAGCATCCATGAAAAATCATTCTAGACCCTAGAGGCTTATGAAGGCAGGGTGACTTCTACATGGAGAAGGCATCTTTTTTAAAATCAGCTTTCAGACCCTGCCTTGCTCCTACTCTTCCAGACCTGGAAACAAAAACATCAAACAAAATTAAATCAAAAGTTCTCATCAAGGTTCCTTCTCCGGGCTGGCTAATAAAAACATATAGTACCGTGGCAGAGGGCGGTGGGTGGGTGGTGGAGAATACTTAGAGCAAAGGGGTAGTGTATCTGGTCGGATGATGGTTAACACATCCTGAAGGCAAGGACGCCACCACAGACAACTAGGTCTTGGTCATCTAGGACAAAAGTCAAAGATGGTAACTAAATATCCAATCAAAAGGCTAATCTGCAACTTCAGTACACAAGTCATTAGATCCTCAGACCTGTTTTAAATTCTAAGAAATATCTCTGGTGTGTCAGAACAATGTAAATGTACAATAAGCATTCTATAGGTCTGTAACTTTAAGCACAGCACCACTGTCACCAGACTTTTTTTTTTTTTTTTTGAGGCTGAGCCTCACTCTCACCCAAGCTGAAGTGCAATGGCACGATCTCGGCTCACTACAACCTCCACCTCCCGGGTTCAAGCGATTCTGCCTCAGCCTCCCGAGTAGCTGGGATTACAGGTGTGTGCCACCATGCCTGGCTAATTTATGTATTTTCAGTAGAGATGGGGTTTCACCATGTTGGCCAGGCTGGTCTTGAACTCCTGACCTCAAGTGATCTGCCTACCTCGGCCTCCCAAAGTACTGGGATTACAGGCATGAGCCACTGTGCCAGGCCTCCAGACAATTCCAATGCTGTATTTTGTCTGTACCCCAACTAGACCATAAACTCTTTACGGATAAAGAACATGTGCCAAAGCTTTTACCATAATGCCTCATATTGGACTGAAAATACAACTGATGACCTGACTGATGATCACACTGAAAAGAAACCATGAATGCTGGCATGTTTTCAAAGTCAAAGTAGCAGGTGATACCAGTGATAGAGGCCACGCCTGTTTTCAGTATTCACTGAATCCCCGTTGGGCAAGAAAAGTCAGATTTTAACAAAAATTGATGGAGACTGTTCTCGCTAAATATAGCAGTCTACAAGGTTACCAAATCCTGGAATCAAAAGGAAAAATAAGGCTAAAATAGAGTTATGTGAACAAAAATTGGGTTCAGGACAGTGAAATAACAGCTTCCTCAACAAGAAAAAAAGTAGTAGCAGCTAAAAGGCAAAATCAAGTAAAGGATGATTCAACAAGAAAAGCACCAGTATTTATATTCTTTGCACTTTCATTGAAACGTTTCACCGGAGATTGGTAATGATTAGGCCAAGATGACAGAGATGATTCAAGGTTGGGTTTTTCATTTGAAAAGTCTACTAATTTTAGAGTTGTGTTAAACCTAAGTTAAAGTTGGAATAGGGTTTTCCCCGGACCAATATTAAGTGAAGTGGATCACCAAGTGGAGTAGCGGCACGAAGGTGGTTTCTTTAGACTTTTAAGTCCAACTCCTACGGAGCCGTTTGGTATTAGGCATATAATCTAAGCTTTCTGAGCCTCAATTTCCCCATTCACAACAAAAGGGCAATGCAGGCTCTTCTCATAACTTCAAGGGGCGGTGGTCTGATATAGAGTACTATGAAAACAAAAGCAGCACACCAAAGTAACACATTATTATTATGATCACTTATAGAACCATTACCCGCTAGGATGAAACTCCCCACACAAGAGATGAAGCCCGAGAGAAAAGAGTTGAAGGGGAAGGTCCCCACGAGGAGACAGTAACCGAACTGCAGCGCCCCGGTCAGCAGTATATACAGCAGGTACGCGTCCAGCAACTTCAGACGCTGCGGAGTGGAGCTCAAGTACTCTTCTAAGAACCGCGAAATGACAGACACTACCGACGCCGACATAACTGCACGCAAGGTACTCCGGTCCGCGCCCCAAACTCTTGGAGGACCCGTCGACCACACCGGATGTGCTGTTTGCGCATGCGCACCCTCGTGACCTAACTCCGCCCTCCCCGGTGTGCCAATTTGCGCAGGCGCTGAGGCCGGCCAGGGCGCGTAACAACTAATGCGCAGACGCGGACTGCATCAACAGACTCAACTACAACTCAGAAAAGTTAATGCGTCTGCGCAATGGCCCTATCAATGAGCTGGGGACGTGTACTCTTTCTGTTCTGTTTCCGCCCGTCAGCTCGGTGACGCCCACAGTTGCTCTGGCAACAAGACACACTGGGAGGAAGAGGGGAATAAGCTTTACTGGGGACCGCGTAGCTAACCAGAGGTATCCGGCTCTCTCTGGTCCTTCTGAGTCCTGGAAGATTTAACGGTTTGCATCTACTTTGAGGCAATGCCTGGCGTTCCTGGGGTTTGATACCAGCCTGACCCTAATTCTGTTAAGGGCGCTGTCTGCAGATGTCTGTCACAGATCATTGGAACAAGTCAAGTTCATCCGCAGTGAGACCCGGCGCGGCCAATCACTGCACAGGCCCCAGTTTAGACTTAATTACTTGGGGGAGTGAGTGGGTGTGGTGAGGGGCGGGAGGCAGGGAGGAAGCCTGACCTCAGCAGGGTTCTGAACTGGAACTCGGGATCTGGCCCTGCAATGCCAACATTTATTGGGCGCCTCCTTGGGGCCTGACGTTGTACTAACTTGTAGGGACTCTCACGTGAATCAGATATATTTGCAGCCTTAAAAGAGCTGGTGAAGGGAGGGACAGCTGTCGAATGTCGTGCAAAAAGCATATGGTCAAGTTTAGCAGCTCTCTTTCCGCAAGCTGGTATCTTGAACCTGGTGTAATATCCCGGGATGTCAGCGTCGAAAGGCCCGAAAGAGCATGCCTGGTTCAACCCTACTCTCTCCAACTCATTTTGCAGAAGAAACTGAAATGGTTTCAGGTTTTGTATTTTAACAAGTGGGATTATTTTGAGGGTTTTAACTGTTTTTTTTTTTTTTTTTGAGACGGAGCCTTGCTCTGTCGGCCAGGCTGGAGTGCAGTGTCGCGATCTCGGCCCACTGCAACCTCCGCCTCCCTAGTAGCTGGGACTACAGGCACGCGCCACCACGCCCGGCTAATTTTTGTATTTTCAGTAGAGACGGAGTTTCACCATTGTTAGCCAGGCTGGTCCCGAACTCCTGACCTTGTGATCCGCCAGCCTCGGCCTCCCAAAGTGCTGGGATTACAGGCATGAGCCACTGCACCCGGCCTGTTTTAACTTTTTTTAAGAAATTAAGTTCTGGCTTTCGTTGCCCTTTTAATTTCACGTGAATCCGACCTTCTAGACCCAGTTCATCTCACCTTTTAGCTGTAAGTTTTTCCACACATGACCAGGTACTTTATTTTCAGCTTCTTAATATTTTGAACTGTACGTGAGCAAAATTCCTAAAACAGCAGGTGAACAACAGCGTTCCTGCCTTTTCACTTTTTTTTTTTTTTTTTTTTGAGATGAAGTTTTGCTCTTGTCACCCAGGCTGGAGTGCAGTGAATGGTGCGATCTCGGCTCACTGCAACCTCCACCTCCTGGGTTCAAGCCATTCTCCTGCCTCAGCCTCCCGAGTAGCTGGGATTAGAGGCACCTGCCACCACGCCCGGCTAATTTTTGTATTTTTAGTAGAAACGGGGTTTCGCCATGTTGGCCAAGCTGATCTTGAACTCCTGACCTCAGGTGATCTGCCTGCTTCAGCCTCCCAAAGTGCTGGGATTATAGGAGTGAGCCACTGCGCCGGCCCCTTTTCACTTTTTATTTGCCTTTAGACTGGAAACTCTACACGCATTAACTAACGGATGTATTATCAGTGGTGATCAAAGCCTTACTTAAGTTCTAGAAAGAAGAGAAATAACCTAAGAAACCTTTAGAGTCTATTTGAATAGATAGATTTATATTCATACCCGTGGAGATTTGTGCAGCTATATGAACATAAGTTCAGCCTAAACCTATGTTGCTGAGAAAGAAAAAAAAAGAGTGGATAACAAGCTGGTTCTTATTTCAATATAATATGGCAGGAAGCATCAATTTCTCTGACAAGTTGAACCTTTCTCTCTGCCTCATCAACAAGTAGGAGGGTAGCTTCCTCACGAATATTCAACTTCAAACTTTACAGGCTAGGCTGATGCTTTTTAATCATTCAGGTGTGGATTCTTCAGGGAGTTTCTGTTCCATCAGCCAGGCTCCTTCCAGTGTTTTCTCCCTTATGTTTTGTCTGCCTTTGATCCATGTCAACTATCATCATTAAGATCTCCCCAGGAACTCTCACAGGAGAGAAGAAGAGATGAAAAACACCAAATGGACTTATTGAATGCATTTGTTTCTGAGACCTGCTAGTCACACCAATATACTACACTAGGGCTTTTCTGAACTACTTAAAACAGCAAGAAAAGGCCTACTTCTCTATTCGGTTTATGATTCTATAATCATTGAAACATTTTTAACTGATCTGTCAATAGGAAATTGCTAACACTAGTGTTGATTTCAATTAGTTTAAATCAGAATATTAATATAGTTTAAAATTCTTGTCCAGAGTAGTGGATAAGAGTGCAAGCTCTAGAATCAGACAGTCCTAGGTTTGAACCTTGATTCTGCTGTTTACTAGTTGTCTAATCTGGAACAAGTTACTCAGTCTGACAGTCTCATTTTCCTTTTCTATAAAACAGAAATAACAATACCTGGCTCATTGAAATTATGTGAGGATTAAATGAGATAATGTTAAGCATTAAGCTGTTAGCATAGTGTTTGGCAGACAGTAAATGTTCAGTAAATGTTTGCTCTTATTAACTATCATTAATCCTAGTAATTAACCATGTCTGCTTCTCCTAGTTCTCTGAATGATTAAAAGTTAGCCAAACTACAGCGCCCCCAATAATTTGGGTATGCAAAAGATAGCACTGGAGGGACTGCAACTCAAATGGCTCTTAAAGGGCAGATCTAATTTATAAGCTGAAACTGAAGTCAGAGTATACTTTAGGGGTTTCATTACATAAAACAATGGAAGAGTGGAGGAGCAAGAGGGTTCCCTTAAGGGCAAAGTCCATGATTTTACATCATACATCCTCTACAAAAAGAAATCACATTATTTACCAAAAGAAACACAAATCCTCCAAAGTTTGAGTAGACAATAACTCTTCTAAAGGAAATCTCCGCATGGAAAAGAATGTCTTTTCCATTTCCTTTCCCTTGCATTGTCACGTTTGCCTTAAGATTCCCCTCTTTGCTTCTGTTAACTGCTATTGCATATATAATCTCTACCTTCTAAACTTTGGCCCCAGTGTGACCAAAACCCCCTCTCCTTGTTTCCTAATAGAACAGATAAAATAGGTTATTATTTTCAGAAATAAAAATTTAAGGAGAATCAAGTTGCAAACAGCACAAAGTCAAATTTTTAAAGTATCAAGTTTCTGATCAAGTCCTAGTAAAGCAGTAAATATCTTCAGTGAACCCATATCCCTTCATCCTTTCAGTTTCTGATGAAGTGGAACAACTTTTCAGCTCCTTTGTCTGGTTTCCCTCCCTCCTAGCTGTTTGGGAGTCTCAAAAAAGCCTCAGTTTTGCCCCCTTGCTGGCACCCGAAAGTGAGTCCACTATATTGTCCTTTCCAAGAGCAGATCACTCACCACAACATGGGGCTGAAATCATCAGTGCCTGAGCAACAGTGTGCAATAGAATTTTCTGTGATAATGTCTCTGCACTGCCCAGTATAGTAACTGCTAGACATATGTGGCTATTGAGCACTTAAACTAGTTAGTGTTGTAACCCAAATGCAGGTTCACTCTCTCGCTGCTTGCAGAGTCCACTTAACAAGAGTGAGATCTGGTATAAAGAAAATGATATTTTATTCCAAAGCTACCTTAGGGGAGGAAGTACAGGTTTTCTGCCTTAAGGGTACCATTTCACTTTTGGAGCAGAAAGAGGGTGCTTTTGAAATGGGGCATGGAATGCTGGCATGAATGGCACGAGGGGAGGAAGCGAGTGGTTGGGGGGTCTGCATACTACCTTCAGTGCCTTATCTACTGGACAGTGACTGCTGGTGCCTTTTGTGGGCAGGACTGGGTTGTAAAAGTGGCCAAAACTCTCCAGGTAAGAGAAAGCTTTGTAGCAGGCATACTTTGGGTTGTAGATAGGCTGTTGTCTCTCAAGGCAACCTCCCGGTGGGTGAGAGTTCCTCTCTGGAGCTTCTAAGCACATAGTTAGATGAACCTGCCCCATAGGGAGTGTCTGATAAAGAGGAGGTAAAAGGCTACAATTGCATTTCTAAAGAGCTAAGGAGGAAGTGAGGAGAAGGGGGAAAAGAAGAGAGATTTTTTAAAAATCATTAAACTATCTCTTAGAAAAATGGGGATACTTGGTTACAGTGTGACTAAGGAAATTTTATTTGGCTTTTATTTAAATCTAAGTAGCCACTTGTGGCTAGTGGCTGTCATTGGACAGAACAACTTATGAGCTATTCCACTCATTTCTATGTTCAGTCAAAGAGATATACCTTGTTCACAGTTTATTCAAATGGCAGTGATACCCATTTGAAACAAGAATAATCTATAGCTGCCAGGCCTGAGCTATCAGTTTATCAGCTCCACCTACTTTTGGAATACTCAGTGATGACTTACAGTCATAGAAAGAGGGTTTGTAACCTCCCAAGGAGTTCACCTTGCCCGCTGCCTAGACAGAGCTGGTTCATCAAGACTGGGCAATTAGAATGGAGAAAGAGTAATTCATACACAGCCAGCTGTGCAGGAGAACGGAATTTTATTATTACTCAAATCAGTCTCCCCAAGCATTCGGGGATCAGAGTTTTTAAGGACAACTTGGTTGGGGAAGCCAGTGAGCCACGAGTCCTGATGGTCGGGGAAGAAATAATAAGGAGTCCAAGCTGTCTTCTTGCCCTGAGTTCCTGGGTGGGGGGCGCTGCAAGATCAGATGAGCCAGTTCATCAATCTGAGTGGTACCAGCTGATCCATCAAGTGCAGGGGTCACCAAATATCTCAAGCACTGATCTTAGGAGCAGTCTAGGGAGGGTCAGAATCTTGTAGCCTCCAGCTGCATGACTCCCAAACCATAATTTCCAATCTTATGGCTAATGTTAGTGTTACAAAGGCAATCTAGTCTCCAGGCAACAAGGAAGTCAGCCCCGGGAAAGGGCTGTTATCTGTCACAAACCACAAACTATAAACTAAGTTTCTCCCAAAGTTAGTTCAGCCTATGCCCAGGAATGAACAAGGACAACCTGGTTAGAAGCGAGATGGAGTCAGTTAAGTTAGATCTCTTTCACTGTCTCAGTCATAATTTTGCAAAGATGGTTTCAGATTTGTCAAATTAATTTCCATCCACACTTGTTGGAGTCTCATACTTGCTCATGGTGTGCTTTGTCCTGATGATAAGGAGAAAAAAAATAACTTACATTTTCTCCCCAGAGGCCTGCCTTAGAGTAGGCTCCGAGAGTCCTCTTTACTCTGTGTAATTCTAGCAGATCCGTCCTGATCCTGAGATACATCAGCACTGGGGATACCTTAAAAACTGTGGTAACTTTGGTTATTAAAGGCATTTTCCATCCATTCAAGTTTCCTACTTCCAAGAAACCTCTACTTTAAAGCTGATTTCGCACATGAAAACAAAATACAAACACTTCTCTGCACTCCTGAGAAATGGTCTAGAGAGATCTAATACCAGTTCATGTGTAGTCGTCCTTGCCTAAAAAAATCTCACAACTTACAGGTTTTCAGAAAAGTGGGAGATTTTATTGTCCTGTCTGGGAGTGATACAGTATGGAATTTTCTATTTGGTACAATTTAGAATGTAGCTCCCAAAGCCTTTGACACTTAGTATATTGTTTCATAGGTAATTGTTTATGCTTCTGCCTCTTCACTAGACTTTTCTTCATTTACCCAACAAATATTGAGTGCCTACTCTGCCACACTTTGTTCTAGGTGTTGGGAGCACAGCAGATAACAAGACAGAGAGGGTCCCCCAGGAAATTTATTCTCTAGTGGAAGGAAACTGATAATAAATGAGTAAAAACAATGCAAGATAATTTCAGATAATGTTATGTGTTATGAAGAAAATAAAAATAGGGTAATGTGACAGAGTGATGGGGGGCTCTCTTTAGATCCTGTGGTCAAGAAATGCCTCAGATGAGGGGAAGTTTGAGCTGAGCTCTGAATACAAAGTTATCAGCTCTGCAAAGCCAAGAACAGCCTAGGGTAGCAACAGATAGAAAGTCTGTGTTTACCACTAGAGCAGGTTGTTTATTTCCTTTTGATAATTGCTTTTATTTATTTTTTCTTTTTTTAGAGACAGAGTCTGACTCTCACCTAGGCTGGAGTGCAGTGGTGGGATTATAGCTCACTCTAACCTCTGACTCCTAGACTCAAGTGATCCTCCTGCCTCACCCTTCGGAGTAGCTGTTACTTTTGGTGTGCATTGCCATGCCCAGCTAATTTTTTTCATTTTTGTAGAGATAGAGTCTTGCTATGATGCCCAGGCTGGATAATTGTATTTTTAGTGCTCAACATAATTCTTGGCATTGAATAACAGCAACAACAAAAATAAGTAATATTCGTATCACAAATAAGTGTACCACATGTTTATTTGAATTATCTTGGTTAGTTCTCACAAGATACAAGCCAGAGGAAGAAATTAAGAGATGCTAAATAACTTGGCCAAGGATTTACAGTGGATAAGTGGCAAAGCAAATACTGAACTTAACCAGGCTTCATGACTCCAGAATCTATACTTCTAACCAACCAGTGAGTCTCGTGGAGCACCAGTATCTGCGGTGCTTCCTAAAAATGCGGCTTTCTAGCATCAAGCCAAACCAGCTGAATCTGAATCTCAGAGGGTAGGTGCTAGAAATCTGAATTTTTTTTTCCAAGATGGAGTCTTGCTTTGTCCCCCAGGCTGGAGTGCAATGGCACGATCTCAACTCACTGCAACCTCCTCCTCCCGTGTTCAAGCAATTCTCCTGCCTCAGCCTCCTGAGTAGCTGGGATTACAGGCACGCGCCACCACACCTGGCTAATTTTTGTATTCTTAGTAGAGATGGGGTTTCACCATGTTGGCCAGGCTGGTCTCAAACTCTTGACCTCGTGATCCATCTGCCTCGGCCTCCCAAAGTGATGGGATTACAGGCGTGAGCCACCATGCCCAGCCCAGAAATCTGAATTTCTAATAAATCCACCAGATGATTCTATGCATACTGAAGTTTAGAACCACTGTGCTTTGTTGAAAGATTGAACGAAGCCAAGTTTGTTGGCTCACCCCTGTAATCCCAGCACTTTGAGACCCCAAGGCAGAAAGATAGCTTGAGCCAAGGAGTTTGAGACCAGCCTGGGCAAAATAACAAGACCCCATCTTTACAAAAACTAAAAAAAAAATTAGCTGGGCACATGTAGTCCTAGCTACTTAGAAGACTGAGGCAAGAGGACCCCTTGAGCCCAGGAGTTCAAGGCTGCAGTGAGCCATGATCATGACACTGCATTCCAGCTTAGGTGACAGTGAGAATCAGTCTCAAAAAAAAAAAGGTTGCATGAAAGAGACAAGTCCTCTGCTAGTTGAACTACTTTGTACCACATCTGGCAAATTCCTAAGCCCCTAAACTCTATAAATGCTGGTTCTCCTAAACGTTAAGTCTTTATAATGATCAGCTTAACACTGTGTTGCTACAAAGAAGAAATCTCAGAATCATCTGGGTCCTGCAGGAAGGCTAAAGAAAAATGCTTTGATAAACCCCTGTGCACCAGCATTCTCTCACCCATCCTCCACCACTCCCCAGTCTGGTTTTTTTTGTTTGTTTGCTTGTTTGTTTTTGGTTTTTGAGATGGAGTCTCACTCTGTCTCTCAGGCTGGAGTGCAGTGTCACAATTTTGGCTCACTGCAACCTCCGCCTCCTGGGTTCAAGCAATTCTCCCTGCCGCAGCCTCCCCAGTAGCTAGGATTACAGGTGCCTGCTACCACACCTGGCTAATTTTTTGTATTTTTAGTAAGAGATGGGGTTTCACCATGTTGGCCAGACTGGTCTCGAACTACTGACTGCAAGTGATCCACCCACTTTGGCCTCCCAAGGTGCAGGGATTACAGGCGTGAGCCACCGCGCCCCACCCCTAGTCTGGTTTTAACTAAGGGGATGATCTGAAATCTGACAGTTCCAGGGAGGTCAGGCCCTGTTTACCGGTACAAGCAAATTCAGCAGCCAGCCTCAAGATTTAGCTCCTCTGCTGAGCAAACTGAAGTGCACTCAGGACCTCTGGGCCAAGCCAGCCTTATCTCCCTGTCCCCGCATTTACATACCGAAAGGAGACCTAGCCTTATTGGTGAGTCCTTCAACTGTTATCCTCCAAACTGAGGGTGACCTGGAGTTGAGCTATATTTTCCCTGGAAAATAGGTTGGGGTCAGAGTCAACATCAGAGCAGAGATATGCCCATTTTGGCAGATGTCATATAGGTTTAGGTTTGCCAGAGAAAATACAGGATGCCTACTTATGTCCCAAATACTGCATGGCCCATACTTATTCTAAAAAAGTATTTGCTTTATTTAAATCTGGAATTTACATTTAACTAGGTGTCCTGTATTTTAGTTTCGAAATCTGGCATCCAGGCCCTTTGTAGGAGCATTCAACCAATGGCGTTGTCTCCACAAACATTTAAGCCTCTTACTAGAAGGAACATTAACAAGGGTCGATTTCAGGAGGACACAGTTACAATGGGAAGCCCAAAGAGTGGGTGCGAGCGTGCAGGCGTAGTTCTACCACTTTTTAGTTATGAGAGAAGGGAGGGCTGTCGGAGCTCCTGCAAGGACTCCCCCAAATGTGTGACCAGGATTACTGTCCCATTCTGAGACCGTCAGAGACATCTCTGCCGGGACACATGCCAGTGATTGAAAACACAGCAAGGGCCCCACTAGCTGAAACCAAGTTGCAGAGTTTTGAGGGTCCCACCGCCGACCGCCGGCCCGCCGCGAGCCCTGCCCCCTGCGCGGCCACGCCCCCTTGCTCCCCGCGGCCTCCCGGGTCAGCTGGTGCTGGCGTCAGGCGCTGGGCGGGCTCGCCAGGACCTGGCAAGGCTTGTTTACTATGGCCGATGATCTGGAGCAGCAGTGAGTTAATCCTGTCCCTTTCTCTCTTTCTCTCTCTCTCTCTGGGCCATGATCCTGGGACTGTCTGTGGCTGAGGAACAGTTGTAGACACCTTCCCGCTCTTCCTTTTCCAGGTCGGCCTCCGGGGAGGGCGGGGGGTGGGTGCGTTGCTTGCTTTGCATTTGCCCAGAAGAGGCAGCGGCTGAGCCTGGGGAGCCATGGGAGACGCGCTCGCCCGCAGCCCGGGGATCCTGGCTTTCTACCTTAGTCCTCGCGAGTGCCCCTCATTCTCCTCTGGCCTCTGGAGAGATTCCATGTTGATGTGTGAGATCCCCGAAAGCAAGCTTGTGGGACGCGGGTGCGGAGGTAGCAGCCAGGCGTGCTCGTCTCGACTTGCCCCCCAGAACGGCAGTCGTGGGGATGGAGAGAGCCTCCTCCCTCCGCCCGGCAAAGAGAAGATGTGGAGAGACTGGAGAGGTCTCCATCGCGCTGAAATTGGTGTGGAACAACGGGCTTGCAAGTTTCTTTAGCTGTCGCCCACCGAGACACGTAGCCGCATGTGATCCTAGTTGATAATGCTTTTAATAATCGTAACAACATCTTTAATGCAATGGTTTCAGATTTAGAGCTATTGGGATTTGCTACCACTCTTTCAAGGGCATCAGGTTTGGGATACCACCTGTAGGTGGTGTGACTAGCAGTTCGCAATCTGATAGGAGTAAGAAAAAGTTGCTACGAGAAGAATGACTCAGCTCCCAGCCGAGCCTTGGTTTCACCAGAACTGGGCCTTTCCTGGACCCAGTAATCCTGTTTTTCAGACCTGTAGAACTGGAAGTCCGGGGAACTAATTAACTTTATGACCATAATTAATAGCTTGCTGGGCTTGAAAGAAATGTCCAGGGGAATGTTTTACTTTCTAAGATGACTTTTCCAAGAGGAAATTTGCAATGCTTTAAAGGACTTAGGGAGGCAGAATATTAGAGCTGGAGGACATGCAGGTAGTTCAGCTCCTTTTTAAAAATGAAGAAGCTGGTGTCCATAGAAATTAGGAGACTTGCCCAAGATCACAGAGGTCTAGAACAGGATTCTCTCCCAGCACAGAACCCCTTGTGCTTCACCCCCATCAAGTTGACAGAGACCGTCCTAGCCAGGTTAAGTTCATGGCTGAATGTCTTTTCTGCTCCTTGCCTCAATTTCCCACTCCAGCCCTTACCTCCCGCATAGTTTTGAGCACATACAGTGTGCCAGGCACCATTTCCAGTGTTTACTTGTAACATTTTTGGTGAAGAAGGAAAGCAAAGTAATTCTCCCACCAAGGACTCTCTGCTGAGCAGTCTATGATGCTGTTCCTTGGGTAGCGTTTCTCCTGAACTCTGCTTTGTACAGTAACAGGACAATGTGGGATCCAGGTGTTATGATCTGACTTGTCACAGTCTGTGATTTAGAGAGAAAATTTGTCTCTTAAGGCTGACAAAATCCTGTGGTCTTGGTCCCCGTGCTTCAAGCCTACAAGGAATTCCAGTAGAATATTAAAAGGATTCTGAGTCTCCCTAGGATTAGATCGATTGATATTGACAACTCTCATCTGGCTAAAACCATTGATGTATCACTCCCAGCTGCAACCCCAGTTTTTCTTTCAAACTTCAAACATCCACTGAGAGTTGCTACTTGCAAAACACTGGGAATGTAGACAACTTATGATTTAGCTGGGGGGAAAGAAAGTTGATTGGGAGTTTGTGCTAGGCAATATTCTATGTGCTTTAGATGCATTAACACTTTTAATCTTTATAGCAACCCTATGAGGTAGATATTATTACCTCCCTTTTAAAGATGAGGAAGCTCTGACACAGAAAAGCTAAATAATGTGCCCACAGTCACATTGCTGGTAAGTGACAGTGCTAAAATTGGAACTCTGGCCTTCAGAGTTTAGATCACACCTCCCTTGAGAAAACAGACATAAATGTAAAAATGTGGTTATGTTCTGTGAATATTTGTACATGACCTTGAAAAGCTGAGGCTGGAAGGTTCAGGGAGAGAAACCTGGATTTGAGATAAGGGGCTCTAGTTCTGGTTCTTTTTTTCTAACTTGTATGACCTCTTTGGGCATCAGTTTGCTCATCTGTAAAATACAGAGGCTAGACTAGTTGATTCCTAAGGAAACATCCTAATTTAAAATTCTGTGCTTCAAATGATGTATCAGGATGCCCAGTGTGGGCCAAGGGGATTTGGTCATGGTTCCCCTCACTCCCCCTTAGAGTGCCCTACCTTGAATATGCCAGTGTTCACAGGCCCTTCCTATAGCTGTAGATATCTGTCCTGTAACTCAGGCAGAGTTCAAGAAAAGAGAAATATCATATGGGGTTAACAAGGAATAATACAAACTGTCATTCATTGAGCATCTCATTTGTACTGGGCATCTTACAAGTGTCCTTACATATACAGATGCTCAAAGACAGGTTATTTAATGGGCCAAAACCATTCTGCTCATCAATGATAACACTATGATTCACGTCCAGCAGGGGGGTGTGTGTGTGTGTGTGTGTGTGTGTGTGTGTGTGTGTGTGTGTGTAATTCCAAAGCTGGTGCTTTTAACCTCTACCTTGCAATGACTTAAGGTCCCTGGGTATGAAGGAGAAAACGGGATGAGTTATCTGTGTTACCGCATGTCATTAGAGGTGAGGACATAGGTGAGCTTTCTACTCATTTTACAATCTAGAAAACAAGACCAGAGGGAACCTGTGTCCTGTCAGTGAACCATAACAGAACTTGAATCCAGGTCTCTCACCTCCTCCTCCCTGCCTACCCCATCTCCATGGGTTGGACTGATTGATTACCTGAGAGATCAGTTGGGCACAACACAGTATTCCACACTTCTAGGGGCTTGGAAGAGGGCATACATAAACACCAACCAGTGCCCTGCCAGTAGGGCAGATGGCATGGGAATTTGTCCTACTGTTAAGGAACAGCTAGTACTGGGGACAGCAAAGGATAACTGAAACATTAGTTAAAAGATGCCTCTCCCTTTAATCTCCTTGAACATAAATTATGATAATCAGTAACAAGGAGAAATTAGAAAGCTGAGATAATAAATGTGACAGAGCTTTGTAAACTCTAAAGTATTATATACAGGATGTTCTGAATATCTATTGAAACAAGGGGCATGTTGTTAATACCCATTTACCAAAAAGAAACAATCTATCAGGTAGCTAGGGAACTGCTGCCTGCCATGGGGGGCAGGTCTCTCAAGGCTAGGAAACACCCTGCTTCCTGAGAACTCTTTTGTAACTCTCAGCAAGGCTAAGAGCATCAATGTTTCTTTCCAATGTTGCCAATGAGTGTCTCTGTCTCCTCCTCCCAGGTCTCAAGGCTGGCTGAGTAGCTGGCTGCCCACGTGGCGCCCCACTTCCATGTCTCAGCTGAAGAATGTGGAAGCCAGGATCCTCCAGTGTAAGTAGAATGGACAGCTTGTCCCACCTCCCTCATGGAGCCCAAGAAGGATTCAGGATCTTCCCAGAGCCTGCTACATTGAGCCCACTGATTCCTAATTAACAGTGTGTATGGGGTGGGAGGAAAGGATGTCAGTTGTGTGAGGGAAGAGGTGCATACAGACGGCACCATATCTGATAATAGTGCTTCCTCACCATCTCCCTAGCCATGTGGATAGTTCCTGCCACTTCCTGCAACTTCACCTCAAACCCTATGCCAGTGCCGGCTAACACACACAAACACGTACATTCTCCCCTTCCTCCTTCCTTCTCCCCCATTTCTCTCTTCCTCCCCTCCTCTCTTCTCACCACACAAGTACTTCTTAGATTTACCACCTGCAGATCCTTGGCCAGCAATCTTGCATTCTCTGATGTTACTATTCCTGTGTTCTACCTGGTTTTGGCCCCCCACCTATCTGGTTACCACAGTAGTTTGTGGTTTGCAGACCAGCTGTCATCGGCACTGTTACATTGCAGCAGGGCATCCCACTAGCGGCAGCAGCCACTCGCTCAAACAAGCCCCTTAAGCCACTTCTTCCCATATTTCCCTTATGATCTTCACCACACCCCTACTGCCCCAGCCATAGCTACCCTTTCTCTTCTGGGCCCGAGTAAGTGCAGACAAACAGCAGCCAGAGCTCTCAGGCCTCTGTCCAGGATCCAGGCTGCTTCACCCAGGCAGCTCTTCCCGGGAGACTGCTGTCACACCAGCAGAACAAGCACTGCCCCACCTCAGTCTCTCACCCGAGGCTCAGTCCACACCCATCACTCCCTCCAACTGGCTGGACCACAGTTCTGTCCATCCATCAAGCCCCAAGCACACACAGGTTCAAGAGCAATAGATGCAAGAGCTCTGTGGGGTTGGTGGTGTCACTACCACCTGGGGCTAAAGGGAGCTGGGCACGCTGTTTCAAGGGATAAGACGGTCCCGCTTATTATGTACAGACTACATGGTCTGTAAATGTGATTGGAGTTGAATTCTTTAGAGTGTGTAGTGTTAAAGAAAAAGTGATTCTGACAGATTAAATCGGTAAAGATCATTCAAAACTACTGCAATAGGGGAGAGAGATCAGGCTCAACTCTTGAATACATTAAGGACTAGTGGGGATTTATAACCAAGCAGCATGGTGAGGGGGGTCAGTGGATAGAAAATTGCTGAGGAGATATCAAAGATAAAGGGAGATATCAAAGATAAAGGGAGTTCTTTTCAAACCAGTTTAACAGGATCATTGCTGAAGGAAGGTCAAAGGTGAGGGATGAGGAACTTGATCAAATATGAAGGAATTCTTACTAACTGATGTATGACTTACTCATCCTGACTTTGCAGGATTCTTGCTAAGACTGAGCTAGACATTTGGAAGACAGGCCAGGGGCCAAGGTCAAAGCCTAGTCAAGAAGAGGGCTCAGAAGGGCTTGCCTAAAGTTTGGTTAAGGAGAGAGTTGTTTTCAGTGGTCAGAGGGTTGTGAGAGGAAGGAGCTGAGGGAAGTTGGGGAGGGTTCGGGAATGGAGAGAATGTGAAGAGTGGTAGTCCAGGCAAAATGATGATGCCGTCAGGAAACACTTATTGACTTACCATGGGATTCTTTCCTCCCCAGGTCTCCAGAATAAGTTCCTGGCCAGATATGTATCCCTCCCAAACCAGAATAAGATCTGGACGGTGACTGTGAGCCCCGAGCAAAACGACCGCACCCCCTTGGTGATGGTGCATGGTTTTGGGGGCGGCGTGGGTCTCTGGATCCTCAACATGGACTCACTGAGTGCCCGCCGCACACTGCACACCTTCGATCTGCTTGGCTTCGGGCGAAGCTCAAGGCCAGCATTCCCAAGGGACCCGGAGGGGGCTGAGGATGAGTTTGTGACATCGATAGAGACATGGCGGGAGACCATGGGGATCCCCAGCATGATCCTCCTGGGGCACAGTTTGGGAGGATTCCTGGCCACTTCTTACTCAATCAAGTACCCTGATAGGTAATAAGGAGATGGCTCCATCCCTCGTGACCTAATTCCTGGCCTTACTGGGAACTTTCCAGTATTCATTTCCAAACTTCTCTCATTCCCAGGCGATTTAAGGGGCTATGGCAACTACCAGAGAATATAATGTGTCTTCTCCTCTTTCCGCCTTTAACATAGAGTTAAACACCTCATCCTGGTGGACCCATGGGGCTTTCCCCTCCGACCAACTAACCCCAGTGAGATCCGTGCACCCCCAGCCTGGGTCAAAGCCGTGGCATCTGTCCTAGGACGTTCCAATCCATTGGCTGTTCTTCGAGTAGCTGGGCCCTGGGGTGAGTAGCCTGTAGTATCTCCTTAAAGGAAGGCTATAACGTTCTAGAAGGCCCACAGTGTCTTTCCCACTTATTCCTAAAAAGTGGAAATTGGCCTAGCCTTGTTATTTAAAGCTGTTAATCTGAACCAGATCACTTTGTTCAAGGTTTGAGAAGGTTTTTTGTTTTTTTGTTTTGTTTTGTTTTTTTGAGACAAAGTCTCGCTCTGTCACCCAGGCTGGAGTGCAGTGGTGCGATCTCGGCTCACTGCAAGCTCCGCCTCCCAGGTTCATGCCATTCTCCTGCCTCAGCCTCCCAAGTAACTGGGACTACAGGCACCTGCCACCATGCCCGGCTAATTTTTTGTGTTTTTAGTAGAGACGGGGTTTCATCGTGTTAACCAGGCTGGTCTCGATCTGACCTCGTGATCCGCCTGCCTCGGCCTCCCGAAGTGCTGGGATTACAGGCGTGAGCCACCGCGCCTGGCCTGTTTTTTGTTTTTTGTATTTTTTCTCTTCATCGGCATGGGAAAAGCTTTTCCTATGCCAGGAACAGGTGGAGCAGAATAGCTACCAGAGTCTCACTCTATCTCCCAGGCTGATGTGCAGTGGTGTGATCTCAGCTCACTGCAACCTCCGCCTCCTGGGTTCAAGCCATTCCCCTGCCTGAGCCTCCTGAGTAGCTGGGACTGCAGGTGTACCCCACCACACCTGGCTAATTTTTGTGTTTTCAGTAGAGACGGGGTTTCACCATGTTGGCTAGGCTGGTCTTGAACTCCTAGCCTCTAGTGATCCATCCGCATCAGCCTCCCAAAGTGCTGGGATTACAGGCATGAGCCACCACACCCAATCTGTGTGAAATTTTATGAAAACCTGCTGGTGATTCATGCCCAGTAACCACTGGATCCCATCCCTGTGGTTCACCCAACACCTGCAGCAGGGAGAGGTCAGAACCAAAGCCTCCAACATAACCCACAGTGGCAGGCAAGCCCCTCTGAACCATGCACTTGTCCAGGCAAGCACCACATCTTCACCTGCTCTGTGTCACCTAGCACTTGGTAGCTGTCAGCAAATTCTGTGGGTAAAAGGGAGAAAAGGAGGTGGAGGACCATGGGGAGCTAGCCATAATGAATAGTATCAATATCTCCAGCCTTCTGACCTCACACTGCCAGCACCCTTCTCCGCTGGGGAGCTTTTTACTCTGATGAAGTGCAAAGCAGAAAAGTGCAATCTTTTCCAATGGAAAAGATTGGTGATGCCTGTCTTGTACTGATGATTGTGCTTACAGAGTAATATTCAATAGCCAATTATTATGAGTTAATTGCTGATGGCTAAGTAAGAGTTATCTCTCTAGGTCCTTCAAGAAAAACAGAATGATTCCAGATAAAGAAAAAAAGCATTTGATTAGAAGATAGGAGTTTAGGAGTTCTGAGAGAGAGGAAGGATACCAAGACACGGGTGCCAAAGGACAGTAAGTGGGCAGAGGCTCCCAGCACCGTGGTCTCCAACAGAGTCTATAGTCCTTTGCCAAAAAGAAGGTCTGCTCGAGCTACTCTCCCCTATTCTCACCTCTGGCCAGGCTCATGCAGGAGCATCAGAGCTATCATAGTTGGGGAAGTTGGCCAGCAGCCATGAGGGACTATGCAGGAGGGAGGGCCAGGCCCATGCAGATCCTCATGGCACCCCCAACCCAGCCCCTTCTTACCTCCCTCTTGCTTCTCATAAACAGAGAGAAGACCAGAGAGAAAGAGAGAGATCAGGGATCAGAAGTTGACCAGTAGACCTCATTTTTACAGTCTGTTGTTGCATGTATGTATACCATAATGAGGTGAAACGAACAGATTGTTGTAAAACAGTGCCCTGAGTCTGAGACACGATTGTGTTTAGTTCACCTCTCCACATATTCTAATACAGGCCTGAAAATGAGAGCGCTGTCGGGAGGTGGTCTAGTTCCATCCGCTACCATCAGAAGATTAAAAGGCCATAAGGGTGTCTGGGAGAAGGAGAACATAGCTCAGGCTATAAGAGAAGAGCATCTCAGCCATGGATTCTGATGGGGAGGGCTTGTGATTCTTGCAGGGAAAGATCTCGGGGCTTCATTGAGCTGAAAACAACCTGGCTCCTCAGTGTTGTTAGATTGTCTCTAAATTCTCTGGTAATGAGCTGACTTTGTGATTTGAAGTCACCTGGACCTTCCCAGTAGATTCCTGCACTCTTTCTGCCGCTGTAGTGTTAAATGAATAAAGCAAACAAACCCTTAGGAGAAATAAGGTTTAGTTAAAGTTCTCAAAACATACACAGGCAGGAGTCTTCCCTGCCCCACCTCCCAAATTGGCCTGTCTGTGTTTTTCTATCCCCTCCCAGGGCCTGGTCTGGTGCAGCGATTCCGGCCGGACTTCAAACGCAAGTTTGCAGACTTCTTTGAAGATGATACCATATCAGAGTATATTTACCACTGCAACGCACAGAATCCCAGGTGAGGGCCGCTCCCCAGGCCAGCTTGGGGCAGACAGTTGTTAGGAGATAAAACTCTTAGCTGCTGGAGTTCTGGGCTTTATTTCTTCTTCAACAAAGCTCTGACTCAGTTAGGTAAACACAGGCACTAGCAAGCCTGATCATTTCCAGAGAGTTCCCCAGGGACAGACACAAAGGAATACAGAAGATAATAGATTAATTAAACATGCTGCCCATCTCTAGAGGAAGGCCCTCCCTGTTCCCTACAGGTATGCAATTGGCCTGATGAACAAGAGTCTGGAAAATATTAATATTTTAAAAGATTTTTTTAACTGAAAAATTGATACAAACATGGTATTTTTTTTCTTTTTTTAGGTCAAAAATAATTAGCAAAAACATGATATTTTTCAAAAGGAAAGGAAGTCTTCTCCTGTCCCGGGCCTGTAGTCCCTACATTTCCTTATTATTTCCAGTCTAACATAGCACATGTACCATTTCTTCAGAGGGCCTCCATGTACATATTCCTTTGTACACACATGTGACTGTATCTGTTGAACACATTACTACCAATAGAATTTCTCAATGAAAGAGCATGCATTTTAAAATTTAATTATGTGCATTTGAAATGCCTTATCATTGAGACAGAAATTTTTTTGCATCTTTGGGAGATTTGGGGGTGTCTCGAGAACTTTGAAAAGTTCCTATCTGGGGCTGCTTATTTACACAGCAGGCCCCACAAGCCTACCTACCTGCAGTTTGGGCACCGTGGATGGCAGGGCAGTCAGGGAGGTAATCCTCTTATGTGGAAGTGCCCTGTGACTGGCTGATACCACGAGGCCATGTTGGTGACACCCCGAGCTGCTGGGAGGTATCTCAGCAAAGGCAAGCTTACTGCCCTACTCCTTTCTAGGGCTGTCCAAGTCACTTGTTGGGAGCCCAAAGCCATGAGAAAGGCAGAGATTTGCATTCCAGCAATACTGTCTGAACATTAACCTCAAACCCCAACAGCTGTTGGGCAGTGTGTGAGCTGTCTGTCCAGCATTCCACATGAGCTCAGCTAATTGAAGAACCCTGATCAAACAGTAGTATAGAAACTCCCAGCTCAGCAGTCAAATCAGGTTCCCCTGTCTTCCTGCCGTTGGCCCTTCTCTCAGCCCCCATGGGCTCAGTGCCTGTCTCATACCCACCTGAGGCCCCACAGGCCCAGCCCTAGCCCTTTCCCCAGAACTTTCCCCATCCCAGACCTAGTTCTGTACAATGTCCTCCCAACCTAAGCCACAGAGTATATAAGTTTATAATTCATTCACATCCCAGAGGAAGCAAAGGTGACATCAGTGACAACCAGCTCCCTCACCCCCAAACACCGTCACTCAATTTTGTAACTCCCTGAGTTTTTTGACTTTGTAACCCTGACAAGCTCATGGTAACTCTTATCATTTCCTTGGAAAACATGAAATTTGACCAACATGTTTGAGGGTATCTACTTCATCTCACCTAAACTTAGGGGCTTTGTATATATTTTTATTTTCCTAATGATGTCCTAGTGAAGTAGGTATAATACTCTACATTTATAGATGAGGAAACTAAAGTATATTCTGGTTACATGACTTGCTAAGAAAACACAGCTGAGGATTTGAATTCATTTGACTCCAAATTCCATGCTTTTTCTGCCGTGCTGCAGTATCTTAAGGAAAAATTTATTTCTGATGGCCTGGGCAGAACTCAGGTTCCCTTTCATCTGTACATGTAAAAGAGAATGGAGATCTGATGGTACTAAACAGGCCAAGCCTAGGAGGCAGCAGTGTCCCCAACCTGCCCTATCTCTAGCAGAAGCTGCAGACCAGCCCCAGAAAGCTGGCTCTGCCCCAGCCTTGTGGACACCTCATGATACGGCCTCAATTCATTCTACCTGAGCAAATGACCGGGGAGTGAAATAGATTACATTGGCATTTGTTGTTTCTTGCTTAACAGAAACTGCTGCTCCCCCAGCCCTTGGAAGACTGATTTTTAATTCCAGAGTCTTCTCAGGAAGCCCTTTTTACTACTATAGTACTCACTTTTAAGCGTTCACCTCAGATGAACTTCTGACCATGTCTCTAGACCCCCAACAGGCTAAATCCCCAGTCTGTGTTTTCATAGCACTCGACCACCTTTTCATCCTTCTTGGGAAATTTTAAGTTGTTTTTTGTTTGTTTGTTTGTTTGTTTTTGAGATGGAGGTTTGCTCATTGCCCAGGCTGGAGTGCAATGGCACGATCTCGGCTCACTGCAACCTCTGCCTCCCAGGTTCAAGCGATTCTCCTGCCTCAGCCTCCCAAGTAGCTGGGATTGCTGGCATGCACCACCATGCCTGGCTAATTTTGTATTTTTAGTAGAGATGGGTTTCACCATGTTGGCCAGGCTGGTCTCGAACTCCCGACCTCAGGTGATCTGCCCGCATCAGCCTCCCAAAGTGCTGGGATTATAGGCATGAGCCTCCATGCCTGGCTGTTCGTTTGTTTTTTTGAGACAGAGTCTCGCTCTGTCACCCAGGCTAGAGTGCAGTGGCGTGATCTTGGCTCACTGCAACCTCTGTCTCCCAGGCTCAAGCAATTCTCCTACCTCAGCCTCCTGAGTAGCTGGGATTACAGAAGCGCACCACCACGCCCCGCTAATTTTTGTATTTTTAGTAGAGACAGGGTCTCACCATGTTGGCCAGGCTGGTCTTAAACCCCTGACCTCAAATGATCCGCCCGCCTCGGCCTCCCAAAGTGCTGGGATTACAGGTGTGAGCCACCGTGCCCAGCCCAAGAAATTTTAAATTAAATAACAATTAATCATATGATTAGTTACTTAATGCCTACCTCCCTAACACATGAGCTAAAGTGTGTGAGCTCCAGGAGGGACAGCATCCTGCCTTTCTTGTTCATATGTCCCCTTTCCCAGTCCAGGGCATGACAGAATATTTGTTGAGTCAATAATAACCCATTTCATTCTCAGATTCTTGGACAGTTCGTACTGCCATGGGGTTTTTCACAAGTGTTCCTCCGAACTCTTCTGTGATGGGAGGCCTCTGGAATTTTGGTCTTCCCCTAATCTTACCAATATTTAATGAGCCCAGTGTGGGGCTTTGACAGGAATACAAAGGTGACTAAGATTCTGCCTCAGTCTCTGAAGAGACCAACAAGTTGACATATTCTGCTGTGAAGTTTATTGCTGTTTTGCTTTTGACAGTGGTGAGACAGCATTCAAAGCCATGATGGAGTCCTTTGGCTGGGCCCGGCGCCCTATGCTGGAGCGAATTCACTTGATTCGAAAAGATGTGCCTATCACTATGATCTACGGGTCCGACACCTGGATAGATACCAGTACGGGAAAAAAGGTGAAGATGCAGCGGCCGGATTCCTATGTCCGAGACATGGTATGTTGCACCACCCAAGGAGTGGAAATGATGACTGAGAGTCAATCACCTCTCAGCCTTGGGGTAGAGAAGGGTGATCAAGGAGAAAGAGGAATGGACAGACTGAGATAGAGCAGTAGATTTGAGAAGTTTGGAAACTCTCTTTGGAATATCTTTTTTTTTTCGTGATGGAGTCTCGCTATTGTTGCCCAGGCTGGAGGGCAATGGTACAATCTCGGCTCACTGCAACCTCCGCCTCCCGGGTTCAAGCGATTCTTCTGCCTCAGCCTCCCGAGTAGCTGGGATTATTAGCATGCGCCACCACGCCCAGCTAATTTTGTATTTTTAGTAGAGACGAGGTTTCTCCATGTTGGTCAGGCTGGTCTCGAACTCCTGACCTCACGTGATCCGCCCACCTTGGCCTCCCAAAGTGCTCGTATTGTACTACCTTCATTAGGGGCTTCCTGCTTTTAGCCCAGTTCAGCTAAAAGGCTGGTTCTTGTCTAGCAGCCAGGCACCTGCTGCTACTCCAGCCCCCATGTAGTTTCTACCCCAAAACCAGAGCCATGGGCAGTAGAGTGAATAGTAGAGGCTGCCATGAAGCTTCCCCACCACACCTCCTCCCCTTTTTTCTTACCCCTCTCCGCCATGTGCCAATGAGTGTGCTTAATGAGGCTGGGTGCCAACCATGGGCCCAGGTTTACTGGACCTTTGGATTAAATGAGCAGATCAGTGGTGGGGCTAACACAGAAGGAAAGACACAGTGAATGTTTATCAAGTAAGTAGAATGGGAAAGCATTGGCTGTCAAAGGAAAATACCAAGATCCAAGCGAGAAAGGTGGAGCATTATCTCTGATAAGAGCTCGTGGGTGGCAGGCAAGCAAGTCTAAGGGGAAAAGAAATAGCGTGAAGGCTTCCCAGCACCAGGAATAAAAGGCCATCCCACCCCTGCGGGTTCTCTCTCCACAGGAGATTAAGGGTGCCTCCCACCATGTCTATGCTGACCAGCCACACATCTTCAATGCTGTGGTGGAGGAGATCTGCGACTCAGTTGATTGAGCTGCTCTCTGAAGAGGAAGAGGAGAAAGCCAGAGAGTCACTCTTACCTCCCTGTCTGCTTACTCACCCACTCTGTCCTTTCCTCACCAACTAACATGTGCCAGCCAGGCAGAGTCTTGTGCTGTTCCCAGAACAGGACGACAGTGAAAAGAACACTCTTGACCCTACACTGAAGGCTGAAGGCAGAAGCCACAAGAGGCCTTGAGTGCCACCCCCAGGGAAGAACATAAAGGGTTGCACAATGCCACCCATCCACTCCTTGCCAAGTGTTACCCAGATGGTGGAGGATGTGAAGGGATTGCACCAAGCCACATTCACTCTCTCTGTGGCCTTTCTTCCTCTGGGCAAAGAAGGGCTTCCAGTGGCCTTTCCTCACTCTGTAGTGTTTGTGGGGATAGGTTCCATGCAAGAACACCTTCCTCCTCCATCCCCCACTTCACCCCATCCCATACCAGTTCCATCCAGGGTCTGCTTAACTGCCAAGAGCAGGTCCTGGAGTTCCCTTCACCTGCAGAGTCCTTTTCATGACCTAGGAGGTCTTATTCAAAGCCCTCATTGACAGAGGAGGAAACAGGCCAAGGCAGGACATGGCTGGACCATGGTGATACAGCTCTGTGTGATTCAAGTTCTGGCAGAGCTTGTAAGGCTAGAGCCCAGGTCTGCCGACACCCTGTGCTTGTTGCACACTTGATTTGCTAAGGCTGGAGACAGGCACCATTGCCATGGGGCTGGTCCTAGTCACTGGCCGAGGATAAGCCCGTCCCTGTCCCACATTCTAGCCCCACTATGCGGGGGTGCTGTTGTCCTGCCTGTGTCTCATCCCCGGCTGCCTAAGCTAGGGACACTCAAGTGCTTCCTTCCTTGCCCCATCTTCCTCCCAACTGGAGGCCTCTGAGCCTCCCCTGTGCCTTGGGCCCTGAAGCCCCATATGTAGTATAGAGCAAAGGTGGCTCCTGGTGAAGAGAGGGTGGAAAGGCCCTTCAGCCCCAGGGCCATGTCTGGGTTCTCCATGCCCATCAGTCTCTGCAGTTTCTCTACCTGCCCCCAGAGCTGAGGCCATCTGCAAGCCCCTGCCCATGGCCCAATGGGGAGCCTCCAGCCACAAGTTCCCTGTCCTTATCAGCCACTGGGTGGTTCCCACTGCATGACCCTCTATCCCTGCCATCTGTCCCCATGGTTTCCAGCTCAATCCACCCCTGACCCATCTGTCAGCTTTTTCCCAGGGAGCCGTTTCAGGGGTTCTGGGCAGTAGGCTGGGCCTGGCCTCAGAACCTGGTGGCTCCTGCCTGCTCCTTCACTTTTGTAAAACCATCCCCTTCACCAGAATGGTATTAACTCCTGGTGCTTTGTACTACTGGTCCAGCTGCCCTGGGCTCCTTTTCTATATTAATAAAGAAACGAGTAAAAATTACCGGTGGGGATGATGTTTAAAATTGCTCTGATCACTGGTGGTGCTGAATTCGCAACAGCCTGTGTGATGCCTGAGAGAAGGGAGTCCTGAGGGTTGCCTGCCTACCCACGACTCCTTCTCCTTTTAGTGTGGCGTTTGCCCGCTAGACCCAGCCCAGAGTCCAGGTCAGCACAGGCCCTCTCAGCCAACCACTCATGACAAATGAGGAGTCGAGATCCACAGTGTGGATGGGGCAAGCCCCAGTTCACAGTAGAGAGGTGGAACTTAGTACTTCCTGCTGCCCATTAGACACCCTTTCTTCCTAAGTTCAAGGGAAGCCCACACATGTACTGCTCCCTGCATCCTGCTCTAACTTCCTCTCATCCTCTGGATCTCAGCTCAAATATTCCTTATGCAGAGATGCCTTCCCCTGATTCCCTAAACTAGACTCGGACCCCTCTGTTCTGCATCTCTGTGGCATATCATCTGCCCCTTTTGTAAAACTTATAAACTTGTGGTTACTTGTTTAGCGTCTCTTTCCTCCCCAGACCATAAGCAACATAAAGACAAAGGGTACATCTAGCACATAGTTCGTGTTCAATAAATGTTTGTTTTCATCATGCCACGGGAAGTGAGATATACCAAGTATTCAAAAAAGTGTTCAAATCATTACTAACAGTGCTTGCTCTGTGCTGGCTGAGTCCAGCTGGGCCCAGAATTCCACGGTTCTAAATGGCGCATATTCCATGTGCATAGGCTGATTGAAAATGTATTAAACCTAAATTTTAAAAAAAAAGCACATGATACTACACATGTCATGATGAATGAATAGACAGAACTCCTCCTGAATATAATTACAAAGTTCTGATCCATCTCAGGACCCTGTGTCTTCTCTGAGGATTTTTATAGGGAGGAGAAGGCAGGTATATAGAGCTTACTACATGCCAACCACTAGGGCTGCAATAGTGAAGAAACAGAGAGTGTCTGCCTTTGTGAGAAATTCCAGTTCACTCAAAGAGATGCACCTAGTCAAAATATTATGTAAATCAATGTAAAATTGCTAAAGTGCTACCCGTGAGAATTGAGAAAACCTCCTGCAGAAGTGATGGCAGCTGTGCCTGAAGGCAGGACCAGGGAAAGGGGAAGGACTGTCTGGAGAGAGGGGCGACTGCAAAGGCAGGTGGCTGGGAGAGAAGTCTGGTGAGATCAGTAGGGACCAGCTCAGCAGATCCTCTGGCCACATGAAGAATGTTGTGTTCATTCTAAAAAGCAATGGAAGGAAATGAATGGGGGTCAGGGTGGGGTAGGGAGTGTGACAAAATCAGCCTGAGATTGAAAGAGCCATTCTGGCTGCTCTGTGGAGTTCAGATGAGAGGGGGATGAGAACTTTGAGGCTGCTGCAGTGGTCCAGGCCAGAGCTGATGGTAGTTTGGACTTGGCTAGGGGCTAATGGACACAGAGAGGGGAAAAATGCAAAAGATGCTTAGATGGTAAAATCTAAAAGACTTAATATCAACACTGCATGACCCTACCACCCTCTTGAAGAACGGGCCAAGTGAGGCAGTGGTTACCAAACCCAGTCACATAACAAAACAACCTGGGGGTATTTTTTTTTAAATATAGATTCCTGAGCTGTATTCCCTAGAGTTTGATCTGGTTAACCTGAATGGAGTCTGACCGTGAAATCTACATTTAAACACATTCCTAGGAGATTCTGGTGCCCTGTGTCTGCAGGAACTGGTCTAAGGGACTCTGTCTCTGACATTTGACCCAGAAGGCTGGGTAGAGTAGGGCCTGTGCCCCTGAGAGTTCATTCTGCTTGCTCCAGAATCACTTTTTTTTTTTGGAGGTAGCACAACATGCTGATCTGCTTTTTCCAACTCAACACGAGGCAAACACATTCTTCAGGAGCAGACGCAAGAAGAGTCTGAGAAAGGTCACCCAGAGTCCCCTGTTTATACTACATGGTCTGCACGCATGGGCACAAGCCAGCACGCAGACACACACCCCATCTGACAGGAACATTCCTAACATTCCACTAGGTGGGACTAAGAAATTACTATGAACATTCTACCCAATCAGCACAGTTTCTGGGTGGGCACTAAGGATTTATGGTGACAGTTTGAACCATAAATCCAGGCTCCTCAAATGCCTAGCAGTTTAAAAGGAGAGATTCCACAGACAGACATTAAAAGGACTGTGACTCAACTTAAGACCCAGGTGGTACTGCAGTATTCAGCGACTAGCAGAAAATGTGCTAAATTTAACTTCCTCCTCGGTATAGACACCAAAGTATGTGTGCTAAAAATGTAGTCTGGTTTCATTGCCAAAACGGTGGTGAAATCTTGATGAGTACCTCTTTCCATTCTGATCCATGACCCTGCAGGTACAGTTCATGGCCAGATAGAAAAGACTCCTACTCTTTTTTTTTTTTTTTTTTTTTTCACTCTGTTGCCCAGGCTGGAATGCAATGGTGCAGTCTCGGCTCGCTGCAACCTCTGCCTCCCAGGTTCAAGCAATTCTCCTGCCTCAGCCTCCTGAGTAACTGGGACCACAGGCACCCGCCACCATGCCCAGCTAATTTTTGTATTTTTAGTAGAGATGGGGTTTCACCATATTGGTCAGGCTGGTCTCGAACTCCTGACCTCAGGTGGTCCACCCACCTTGGCCTCCCAAAGTGCTAGGATTACAGATGTGAGCCACCGCGCCCAGCCTAAGACTCCTACTCTTAACTGATAACAAACACAATGTCCAATGAATGGTGCACAAGATTTTTTCTCATTTTGTGACTTTTCAATTCATACAGAGTCCTCGGATGAGGTCTGGAGGGTCCTTTCTCTCAGTCTCCCTTCCTTTTCTGTCCTTCCTCAGGGTCCTGGTCTATCTGGCAGAAGCAAGAAAGCCACTTGAGATTCTGAGGGTCTGTCTCAACCCCATCCTGGTGAAATATCTCAAGATAAACATTCTCCTCTCGCTATTATAATATTGACGGTTTTTTGCTGGGCGCGGTGGCTCACGCCTGTAATCCCAACACTTTGGGAGGCCAAGGCGGGCAGGTCACTAAGTCAGGAGTTCAAGACCGGCCCAGCCAACATGGTGAAACCCCATCACTAATAAAAATACAAAAATTAGCTGGGCGTGGTGGCAGGCACCTGTAGTCCCAGCTACTCGGGAGGCTGAGGCAGGAGAATCGCTTGAACCCGGGAGGCCGAGGCTGCAGTGAGCCGAGGTCACACCACTGCACTCCAGCCTGGGCGACAGAGCGAGACTCTGTCTCAAAATAATAATAATAATAATATTGACTTTTCTTTTTTATACTTTAAGTTTTAGGGTACATGTGCACAACGTGCAGGTTTGTTACATATGTATACGTGTGCCATGTTGGTGTGCTGCACCCATTAACTTGTCATTTAACATTAGGTATATCTCCTAATGCTATCCCTCCCCCCTCCCCCCACCCCACAACAGTCCCTGGTGTGTGATGTTCCCCTTCCTGTGTCCATGTGTTCTCATTGTTCAATGCCTACCTATGACTGAGAACATGTAGTGTTTGGTTTTTTGTCCTTGTGATAGTTTGCTGAGAATGATGGTTTCCAGCTTCATCCATGTCCCTGCAAACAACATGAACTCATCATTTTTCATGGCTGCATAGTACTCCATTGTGTATATGCGCCACATTTTCTTAATCCAGTCTGTCATTGTTGGACATTTGGGTTGGTTCCAAGTCTTTGCTATTGTGATAGTGCCACAATAAACATACGTGTGCATGTGTCTTTATAGCAGCATGTTTTATAATCCTTTGGGTATATACCCAGTAATGGGATGGCTGGGTCGAATGGTATTTCTAGTTCTAGATCCCTGAGGAATCGCCACACCGACTTCCACAATGCTTGAACTAGTTTACAGTCCCACCAACACTGTAAAAGTGTTCCTATTTCTCCACATCCTCTCCAGCACCTGTTGTTTCCTGACTTTTTAATGATCGCCATTCTAACTGGTGTGAGATGGTATCTCACTGTGGTTTTGATTTGCATTTCTCTGATGGCCAGTGATGATGAGCATTTTTTCACGTGTCTTTTGGCTGCATAAATTGTCTTCTTTTCAGAAGTTCATATCCTTCACCCACTTTTTGATGGGGTTGTTTGTTTTTTTTCTTGTAAATTTGTTTGAGTTCATTGTAGATTCTGGATATTAGCCCTTTGTCAGATGAGTAGATTGCAAAAATTTTCTCCAATTCTGTAGGTTGCCTGTTCACTCTGATGATAGTTTCTTTTGCTGTGCAGAAGCTCTTTAGTTTAATTAGATCCCATTTGTCAATTTTGGCTTTTGTTGCCATTGCTTTTGGTGTTTTAGACATGAAGTCCTTGCCCAGGCCTATGTCCTGAATGGTGTTGCCTAGGTTTTCTTCTCAGGTTTTTATGGTTTTAGGTCTAACATTTAAGTCTTTAATCCATCTTGAATTAATTTTTGTATAAGGTGTAAGGAAGGGATCCGGTTTCAGCTTTCTACATACGGCTAGCCAGTTTTCCCAGCACCATTTATTAAATAGGGAATCCTTTCCCCATTTCTTGTTTTTGTCAGGTTTGTCAAAGATCAGATGGTTGTAGATATGCGGCATTATTTCTGAGGGCTCTATTCTGTTACATTGGTCTATGTCTCTATTTTGGTACCAGTACCGTGCTGTTTTGGTTACTGTAGCCTTGTAGTATAGTTTGAAGTCAGGTAGCATGATGCCTCCAGCTTTGTTCTTTTGGCTTAGGATTGACTTGACAATGAGGGCTCTTTTTTGCTTCCATATGAACTTTAAGGTAATTTTTTCCAATTCTGTGAAGAAAGTCATTGGTAGCTTGATGGGGATGGCATTGAATCTATAAATTACCTTGGGCAGTATGGCCATTTTCACGATATTGATTCTTCCTACCCATGAGCATGGAATGTTCTTACATTTGTTTGTATCCTCTTTTATTTCATTGAGCAATGGTTTATAGTTCTCCTTGAAGAAGTCCTTCACGTCCCTTGTAAGCTGGATTCCTAGGTATTTTATTCTCTTTTAAGCAATTGTGAATGGGAGTTCACTCATGATTTGGCTTTCTGTCTGTTATTGGTGTATAGGAATGCTTGTGATTTTTGCACATTGATTTTGTATCCTGAGACTTTGCTGAAGTTGCCTATCAGCTTAAGGAGATTTTGGGCTGAGACGATGGGGTTTTCTAGATATACAATCACGTAATCTGCAAACACGGACAATTTGACTTCCTCTTTTCCTAATTGAATACCCTTTATTTCCTTCTCCTGCCTGATTGCCCTGGCCAGAACTTCCAACACTATGTTGAATAGGAGTGGTGAGAGAGGGCATCCCTGTCTTGTGCCAGTTTTCAAAGGGAATGCTTCCAGTTTTTGCCCATTCATTATGATACTGGCTGTGGGTTCGTCATAGATAGCTCTTATTATTTTGAGACACGTCCCATCAATACCTAATTTATTGAGAGTTTTTAGCATGAAGTGTTGTTGAATTTTGTCAAAGGCCTTTTCTGCATCTATTGAGATAATCAAGTGGTTTTTGTCGTTGGTTCTCTTTATATGCTGGATTACATTTATTGATATGTGTATGTTGAACCAACCTTGCATCCCAGGGATGAAGCCCCCTTGATCATGGTGGATAAATTTTTTGATGTGCTGCTGGATTCGGTTTGCCAGGATTTTATTGAGGATTTTTGCATCGATGTTCATCAGGGATGTTGGTCTAAAATTCTCTTTTTTTGTTGTGTCTCTGGCAGGCTTTGGTATCAGGATGATGCTGGCCTCATAAAATGAGTTAGGGAGGATTCCCTCTTTTTCTATTGATTGGAATAGTTTCAGAAGGAATGGTACCAGCTCCTCCTTGTACCTCTGGTAGAATTCAGCTGTGAATCCATCTGGTCCTGGACTTTTTTTGGTTGGTAAGCTATTATTGCCTCAATTTCAGACCCTGTTATTGGTCTATCAGAGATTCAACTTCTTCCTGGGTTAGTCTTGGGAGGGTGTATGTGTCCAGGAATTTATCCATCTCTTCTAGATTTTCTAGTTTATTTGCATAGAGGTGTTTATAGTATTCTCTGATGGTAGTTTGTATTTCTGTGGGATCGCTGGTGATATCCCCTTTATCATTTTTTATTGTGTCTATTTAATTCTTCTCTCTTTTCTTCTTTATTAGTCTTGCTAGCGGTCTATCAATTTTATTGATCTTTTCAAAAAACCAGCTCCTGGATTCATTGATTTTTTGAAGGGTTTTTTGTGTCTCTATTTCCTTCAGTTCTGCTCTGATCTTAGTTATTTCTTGCCTTCTGCTAGCTTTTGAATGTGTTTGCTCTTGCTTCTCTAGTTCTTTTAATTGTGATGTTAGAGTGTCAATTTTAGATCTTTCCTGCTTTCTCTTGTGGGCATTTAGTGCTATAAATTTCCCTCTACACACTGCTTTGAATGTGTCCCAGAGATTCTGGTATGTTGTGTCTTTGTTCTCGTTGGTTTCAAAGAACATCTTTATTTCTGCCTTCATTTCATTATGAACCCAGTAGTCATTCAGGAGCAGGTTGTTCAGTTTCCATGTAGTTGAGCAGTTTTGAGTGAGTTTCTTAATCCTGAGTTCTAGTTTGATTGCACTGTGGTCTGAGAGACAGTTTGTTATAATTTCTGTTCTTTTACATTTGCTGAGGAGTGCTTTACTTCCAACTATGTGGTCAGTTTTGGAATAGGTGTGATGTGGTGCTGAAAAGAATGTATTTTCTGTTGATTTGGGGTGGAGAGTTCTGTAGATATCTATTAGGTCCACTTGGTGCAGAGCTGAGTTCAATTCCTGGATATCCTTGTTAATTTTCTGTCTCATTGATCTGTCTAATGTTGACAGTGGGGTGTTAAAGTCTCCCATTATTATTGTATGGGAGTCTAAGTCTCTTTGTAGGTCTCTAAGGACTTGCTTTATGAATCTGGGTGCTCTTGTATTGGGTGCATATATATTTAGGATAGTTAGCTCTTCTTGTTGAATTGATCCCTTTACCACTATGTAATGGCTTTCTTTGTCTCTTTTGATCTTTGTTGGTTTAAAGTCTGTTTTATCAGAAACTAGGATTGCAACCCCTGCCTTTTTTTGTTTTCCGTTTGCTTGGTAGATCTTCCTCCATCCCTTTATTTCGAGCCTATGTATGTCTCTGCACATGAGATGGGTTTCCTGAATACAGCACACTGATGGGTCTTGACTCTTTATCCAATTTGCCAGTCTGTGTCTTTTAGTTGTAGCATTTAGCCCATTTACATTTAAGGTTAATATTGTTATGTGTGAATTTGATCTTGTCATTATGATGTTAGCTGGTTATTTTGCTCATTAGTTGATGCAGTATCTTCCTAGCCTCAATGATCTTTACAATTTGTCATGTTTTTGCAGTGGCTGGTACCGGTTGTTCCTTTCCATGTTTAGTGCTTCCTTCAGGAGCTCTTTTAAGGCAGGCCTGGTGGTGACAAAATCTCTCAACATTTGCTTGTCTGTAAAGGATTTTATTTCTCCTTCACTTATGAAGCTTAGTTTGGCCGGATATGAAATTCTGGATTGAAAATTCTTTTCTTTAAGAATGTTGAATATTGGCCCCCACTCTCTTCTGGCTTGTAGAGTTTCTGCCAAGAGATCAGCTGTTAGTCTGATGGGCTTTCCTTTGTAGGTAATCCGACCTTTGTCGCTGGCTGCCCTTAACATTTTTTCCTTCATTTCAACTTTGGTGAATCTGACAATTATGTGTCTTGGAGTTGCTCTTCTCAAGGAGTATCTTTGTGGCATTCTCTGTATTTCCTGAATTTGAATGTTGGCCTGCCTTGCTAGATTGGGGAAGTTCTCCTGGATAATATCCTGCAGAGTGTTTTCCAACTTGGTTCCATTCTCTCCGTCACTTTCAGGTACACCAATCAGACGTAGATTTGGTCTTTTCACATAGTCCCATATTTCTTGGAGGCTTTGTTCGTTTTTTTTTTTTATTATTCTTTTTTCTCTAAACTTCTCTTCTTGCATCATTTCATTCGTTTCATCTTCCATCACTGATACCCTTTCTTCCAGTTGATCGAATCGGCTACTGAGGCTTGTGCATTCGTCACGTAGTTCTCGTGCTGTGGTTTTCAGCTCCATCAGGTCCTTTAAGGAATTCTCTGCATTGGTCATTCTAGTTAGCAATTCGTCTAATTTTTTTTCATGGTTTTTAACTTCTTTGTGATGGATTTGAACTTCCTCCTTTAGCTTGGAGTAGTTTGATCATCTGAAGCCTTCTTCTCTCAAATTGTCAAAGTCATTCTCCATCCAGCTTTGTTCCGTTGCTGGTGAGGAGCTCCATTCCTTTGGAGGAGGAGAGGCACTCTGATTTTTAAAGTTTCCAGTTTTTCTCCCATCTTTGTGGTTTTATCTACCTTTGGTCTTTGATGATGGTGATGTACAGATGGGGTTTTGGTGTGGATGTCCTTTCTGTTTGTTAGTTTTCCTTCTAACAGTCAGGACCCTCAGCTGCATGTCTGTTGGAGTATGCTGGAGGTCCACTCCAGACCCTGTTTGCCTGGGTATCAGCAGAGGAGGCTGCAGAACATATTGGTGAACAGCAAATGTTGCTGCCTGATCGTTCCTCTGGAAGTTTTGTCTCAGAGGATTAACCGGCCGTGTGAGGTGTCAGTCTGCCCCTACTGGGGGGTGCCTCCCAGTTAGGCTACTCAGGGGTCAGGGACCCACTTGAAGAGGCAGTCTGTCTGTTCTCAGATCTCTAGCTGCGTGCTGGGAGAACCACTACTCTCTTCAAAGCTGTCAGACAGGGACATTTAAGTCTGCAGAGATTTCTGCTGCCTTTTGTTTGGCTATGCCTTGCCCTCAGAGGTGGAGTCTACAGAGGCAGGCAGGCCTCCTTGAGCTGCGGTGGGCTCCACCCAGATCGAGCTTCCCGGCCACTTTGTTTACCTACTCAAGCCTTGGCAATGGCGGGCGCCCCTTCCCCAGCCTCACTGCCACCTTGCAGTTTGATCTCAGACTGCTGTGCTAGCAATGAGTGAGGCTCCGTGGGCATAGGACCCTCCAAGCCAGGCACGGGATATAATCTCCTGGGGTGCAGTTTGCTAAGACCATTGGAAAAGCACAGTTTTAGGGTGGGAGTGACCCAATTTTCCAGGTGCCGTCTGTCACCTCTTTCTTTGACTAGGAAAGGGAATTCCCTGACCCCTTGCACTTCCCAAGTGAAGCGATGGCTTGCCCTGCTTCGGCTCACGCTCGGTACGCTGCACCCACTCTCCTGCACCCACTATCCAACACTCCCCAGTGAGATGAACCTGGTACCTCAGTTGGAAATGCGGAAATCACCCGTCTTCTGCGTCTCTCACGCTGGGAGCTGTAGACTGGAGCTGTTCATATTCGGCCATCTTGGCTCCACCCCAAGTGTTTTTCATAGTATAAGTTCAGCATTGTTATGCTAGACAGATCTTTGTCATCATCCTGCTAAATATCACTCTTCACTAGGGTTAAGGAGGAAAGACCTTCCTCATTCCTGGAGAGAATACTAAGGAGGATTAACAGATGTCAGCAGGTGCACAGAGTCTGTTCCCCAACCCACAAGGACCCCATTATCTTGGTTGGTGACTCTGCTAAAGGCCTAGGAGATCTGTAGACTTCACCTTACTGATGGCTGATGCTCCTTCTTCCTGGAATATTCTGAGGCCTAATGGAGAGTTTGTGATAATTCAGCAACCACATATTTTAGTTGGTATATATGTGTCTTAGTCTGTTTCTTCTGCTATAAAGGAATACCTGAGGCCAGGTAATTTATAAAGAAAAGAAAACCTGTCAGTTCTGCAGGCTGTACAAGAAGCATGGCATCAGCATCTGCTTCTGGTGAGGGCCTCAGGAAGCTTCCACTCATGCTGGAAGGGTAAGGGGAGCTGGAGTGTGCAGAGATCACATGACAAGGCAGCGCAGGCCAGAGAGAAACAAGTGAGGTGCCAGGCTTGTTTTAACAATCTCTCCCAGGCACTGCTAGAACAAGAACTCACTCATAACCACACAGACAGCACCAAGCCATTCATGAGGAATCTGCCCCATGACCCAGACACCTCCCATTAGGCCCCATCTCAACATTGGGGATCAAATTTCAACATGAGATTTGAAGAGTCAGATATCCAAACTATAACAATATGAGAACAAATCACACACAACCAGAAGAATCCTGAGACATGCTAGTGGCTGAAAAGGATCCTGAAGGATATGGCGTTAGAGGTGATATTTTCATCTTCTCAGTTTGACCAGCTGACACCATGTGTTGTGTCTGGGAAAAGAATTTTTGAGAGGGCTCACAACTTATGATAGATTTATGGGCCTCTGATAAATTATGAGGTAACTAACACAAAAACTGGGCATCATGTACTTTCTAAAATGTTCAAGGAAAGTGTCCAAATGTAACTGCAAAACCATATATTATAGCAGTGGCTTCCTACATAGATCCACAGACTGGAGCTGGTCCATGATAAAGTATTTCTGGTTCATAACAAAATAGTGCCTTTTTTTTTTTAGTATTTTTAAATTCTGAAATTATATCCTTTCTAACCCTTTCAGGATTAAACTATTGTTATTTTATAAAAAGATGCTGATATTCTACGATTGTTTGGGGGTGAGAGGGAATGTCATTTTTTGTTTCCAAACATATCAATTTTAGAATTTTTTCCTGTATTTGTAATTAATATTATTAAAATCCTAAAGTCTGGGGAGTGCTGGCTATATTACAGAAGACCAGAGTGGGAGAGGAACTTGAATTTTATGACAAGAAGATAGATAAGTCAATCATGTGGATCCCATGACTGGAGGGGACCGTGGAAAGATAACGCTGTTCAGAGGAAGTGAATCTAATTGAAGGGACTCAACAATAGCATGTATGCCAAAAAGGAAACCACAGAACTGAAGGTGGAAATGTTTGGATGGGGATAAAAGGAGAAACAAACAGAAATAGATACTAAGATAATTGGAGGACACAGATGCTGCTTTCTTAGTTCAGACTGCCAAACATCAAAAGCAAGTTACAGTAGTGCCAGAGGTCTCCAAGAATCAGGACACTAACATGAGTCTCTTTCTGCCAGAAGCAGAGCACCTAGTAAATTCTTGCTCTACTCACAATTGCGTTTACTAGAATATTGAAAAAAGATTGTCAGATGTAATTTTTATAGATTTCAGGAAGTCAGATTTCAGAATGTTCCAAGGAAAATTATCTATAGTGCTTAAAAGGGACAGGGCATTCTCAAACATGAAGTTTCAATTGTATCTCAAAGGGTCCTGCTGAGGAAGAATGAAGCGGCTTCAGCAATCAGAAAGCGGCTGCACAGGTTGTTTTCTGATATGATCAAAGTGTGGGCAGAGATGAATGTCAAGTCTTTCACATGAGAAAAATGAACCTCGGCCGAGTGTGGTGGCTCACGCCTGTAATCCCAGCACTTTAGGGGACTGAGGCAGGAGGATCGCTTGAGCCCAGGAGTTCAAGACCAGCCTGGGCAATATGGCAAGACTCCATAGCTAAAAGTAAAAATAAAAATAAAAAATTTAATTAGCTGGGCATGGTGGCATGTGACTGTAGTCCTAGCTACTCGGGAGGCTGAGGCAGAAGGATTGCTTGAGCCCAGAAGTTCAAGGCTGCAGTGAGCTATGAAGCTATGGAGTGCCACTGCACCACAGCCTGGGCAACACAGTCAGACCATGTCTCCAAAAAAAAAAAAAAAAAAGATAGAAAAAAATGAACCAAACTAGTAAAGCAATGGCAGTTGATGTGAAAAGATTAAACCGATGTGAAGGTTTTAGTGGGCTAGAAGCTCTGTTTATGGCAGTAAAGGAATGAAGCTGCCCCAAAAGCTAATGGAAAGCTAGGTCTCATTCCCTGCATTGATTGGGGGACTCAATGGTTTCACTGTAACCTGATTTGAGTGTTGGGTTCAATTCTGAGAACATTTTTCCTTTTTTTAAATGTAAACAAAAATTTTTAATTGTACAAAAATAAGACAAAATTAAAAACACTTTTTAAAAAATCTATAATTATACTACCCACAAATAACCATGTTAAATACATTGGAATATATTCTTTCAGATGATATATATGTTATTATATACATAAATGTATATTTACTAGAATGAGAGCATACTAACAAAGTGCTTTATAAAAATTTTTAACCTTATTGTTATAAATCTCTTTCTATACCAATAAATATAGAATCCATAGAAATATATCATCATTTTTAACTGTTGCATCTTCTTCCACTGTCTGGATTTACTATAGTTCATTTACCTGCTTCTCTGTTCTTGGACTTTAAATTGCTTCCAAATATTTGTATGTTATAAACAATGTGCGCTAAGTCCCTTGTACGTACATATTTGCATATTTGACCAATTATTTCCTTCCTTGAGGTAAGATTGCAGGATTGAAGGGTTTGCAAAATGAAGCTTTTTTTTTTTATTTTGAGACAGAGCCTCACTCTGTCACCCAGGCTGGAGTGCAGTGGCGCGCTCTCGGCTCAGTGCAATCTCCACCTCCTAGGTTCACGCAATTATCTTGCCTCAGCCTCTTGAGTAGCTGGGATTACAGGCACACATGACCCTGCATGGCTAATCTTTTTGTATTTTTAGTAGAGACAGGGTTTTGCCATGTTGGCGCTGGTCTCGAACTCCTGACCTCAGGCAATCCACCCTCCTCGGCCTCCCAAAGTGCTGGGATTACAGGCATGAGCCACCACGCCCGGCAAAATAAAGCTTTTTGATAAGCAATGAGAATAGTTTATAACAAGTGATCAGAAAAAGAAAAGCAACCCAGAGAAAAATAAATGTTTTATTTTTGTGTACATGGCAAGAAATATGAATAAGTAATTTACAGAAGAAGATATGCAAATGACCAATGAATGATCGCTTCTCGGCCTTTTGGCTCTGATAAAGTGTACAAATGACCAATGAAGCCGGAACCAGTGGCTCATGCCTGTAATCCCAGCACTTTGGGAGGCCAAGGTGGGTGGATCACCTGAGGTCAGGAGTTCGAGACCAGCCTGGCCAACATGGTGAAACCTCGTCTCTACTAAAAATACAAAAATTAGCCGGGTGTGGTAGCAGGTTCCTGTAATCCCAGCTACTTGGGAAACTGAGGTAGAAGAATCGCTTGAACCCGGGATGCAGAGGTTGCAGTGAGCCGAGATCATGCCATTGCATTCCAGCCTGGATGACAACAGCAAAACTCCATCTCAAAAAAAAAAAAAAAAAAAAGAGGCCAGATGTGTTGGCTCATGCCTGTAATCCCAGCACTTTGAGAGGCCAAGGGGTGGATCACCTGAGGTCAGGAGTTCATGACCAGCCTGGCCAACATGGAGAAACCCTGTCTCTACTAAAAATACAAAAATTAGCCGAGCATGGTGGTTCATACCTGTAATCCCAGCTACTCGGGTGGCTAAGGCAGAATAATTGCTAGAACCAGGGAGGCAGAGGTTGCAGTGAGCCGAGATCCTGCCATTGTACTCCAGCCTGGGTGACAAGAGCAAAACTCTGTCTCAAAAAAAAAAAAAAAACACCAATGAACATATGAGAAGATACTCAACCTCACTAGCAATAGAAGAAATACATAACAATAAGATACTATTTTTTACATGCAGGTTGACAAAAATTTTAAAGATTGACAATAGCTAGTAATGGCAAAAAGTGAAGAAGTTGGATTTTTTATACAATGTTGGTGGGAGAGGAAATTGTTTCCACATTTTTGGAGGCAACTTGGCAGAATTTATCAAAATAATTACTGAAATTTAAAATGGTCCTACACTATTAGCCATAAGTCCTAATAGCAGGAATTTATGCCAAAAAAATTTAGCACCAGTAACAAAATAGAAGAAATGTGTGTTCATTGGTTATAAATGTGACATCTAAAAATGAATTATGGAATTTTATGGGTACTGTAAGCCAAAAATAAAATTCTAAGCACCCCGAACCAACTAAATGGGCCCCTCCTCTCGACCAAGGGCATTCTAAAGTAAACTTGAAACACTAGTTCAGGCCATGATGAGAATGGGTGGTCAGACATGCCTCCTTAAACCTTCCTCCCTTTGGAATTCAGGCACAGCTGACCAGCATTAACATTAAAACAGTCTTATACCTTAAGACAGGCAGCACAGATTCTTGGTAGCAATAAGATAACAATATGCAGACCAAGATAGCAGGCCCTGAAAGAAACCGAGTATTTTGCTCCAAAATATATTGCTTTGACATATTTTGAAATGGCCCTGCAAAGCTGTCTCTTTAAGTCTGATGTTCTCTCTGAAGCCTGCTACCTGAAGACTTCATCTGCATAATAAGAACCTCAGTCTCCACAACCCATCTGAACCCAGACACTCCCTTTTATTAATTCCGGGGCTTTAGATAAACTCTCGGCCAATTGCTAATCAGAAAATCTTTGAATTCACCTTTGACACGGAAGCCCTTCTTCGTCCCCACCCTCCTCAATGCCTCCACCCTCAACCGCCTCCCTGCTTTGAGTTGTCCCGCCTTTCCAGATCAAACCAAGGCACATCTTACATGTACTGGTTGATGTCTTATGTCTCCCTAAAATGTATAAAAACAAGCTGTAGCCTGACCACCTTGGGCATATGTCATCAGGATCTCCTGGGGCTGTGTCACAGGCCGTGGTCACTCACATTTGGCTCAGAATAAATCTCTTCAATTATTCTACAGTTTGACTCTTTCTGTTGACAGTATTGACATGGGAAGATTTTAAAAATCAAGTTGCAGACAATTCATATAACGCTTTCTTTTTTGTAAAACAAAAGTTATATGTGTGAATATGAATGAATATATACATATATAGTATAAGCATCCTAGGCTGGGCAAGGTGGCTCACACCTATAATCCCAGCTACTCAGGAGGCTGAGACAGGAGAATTACTTGAACCCAGGAGGCGGAGATTGCAGTGAGCCAAGATCATGCCACTGCACTCCAGCCTGGGCGACCGAGCGAGACTCCGTCTCAAAAAAAAAAAAAAAAAAAAAAATATATATATATATATATATATATATGTTTAACTAACAATGTTGACTGCTACAGAATGGAATTGGCTGGCAGGACTTTTCATGTTTTACTTTATACACTTCTGTACTGGCTAAAATTTTACAGTGAATGTGGATTTTCATAATTAAAAATATTAAAAACAAAAAAGTTTTCCAAAATTGATTCTAACTTTGGTTTACACCTGTGATGTCAGTTTCGGGAATGAGGCCCCTCAGACAGGAATCAGGTCTGCTCACCTTGTTTTGTAGGGATCCTGAACAAACATACGCCAAAATTGGCAAAGCAGGCGGACGCAAAGAGCATTGGCAGAATGTCTCCCGCCCCTCCTCCAAGCCTCAGGGCTGCGTAATGGCAAGTGCAAATTCAAAATAAGTGGCTTGTTTTTCTCTGCTGAAAATAAAGGAAGAAACTTCTCCCTCTTCCCTTTCCTTACACATTTACCTCAAAAAATATATGAGTTCTTTCTCTGTCTCTTTGAACTATAAATAAAACTTTTTAAATGTTAACTAATCCTCTGAACAGCATTACAACCCAGGAATGTCTTTCTTAAGGACCTGGGAAATATCTCTTTGAAATCATCAAGGAAGATAGCACCTGTATGTCCCAGTCCTGGTGGGAGGGGAGGAACCTCTTGCTCCTAAACTACCTCCTGTTATAAAGATATGTAAAGTTTATTTTTCCTTGTCATAAAGCCAATTAGATAGAACAGATGATTCACCCCAATTACCAAGTGAACTGAGGACAAACTGTGTGTGACAAGTGGGGTTGTCAAGTCCTTTTACTTGAGGACTAGTTGTTGTTTATCTAGAGAAAATGTATGGAATTAATTTTATTAATATGTCTTTATAAAAGGGTGAAATTTCTTTCCGTCTTTGCAATCTTTTTAGAAAATTGCCTGTGATGAGCATTATATTCTGGTTTAATGCTTATTCAATAATAAAACTGTTTTATTTGTTTTCTTTTTTTATTATTATTATACTTTAAGTTTTAGGGTACATGTGCACAACCTTTGTGGGGCAGTTTTCTGGGCTGGGAATAGATTTTGTTTTTAATTCTATTTCCCAACAGCTACAGAGTGTCAGACCCCCTTGTACACCTTCAGAAGCCAAGGCCACCCCCGGCCCCCTAGGTTCTGCCAGCTGCATCCTGGAGAAACTCTCTGGAGCTACTGGGAGAGTAAATGGAGGCCACAGGCAGATGCAGGCTGTGGATGCCACAGATATATTAAAGAATAAAAATCATGTCATAGACTAGAGAGGTCTGTGACACTTTGACATGCTCCCCCAATCCCCAGACTTTCTGGGACTGGACCACTGGCCATCTCTAAGGCTCTGTTTTCTAAGGAGTTTACAGCAGAAGCTACCTCCCACTTGGTCTTGGAACTAGAATGAGTGTAGAATTGGGAGCAAGTACAGACAGCTAAGGCAAAGTGTGCAAGCAGATGAACTTTTCCCTCATGCCCCTTTCCCTGTATCTGAACCCATTACCCTTTCCTGATGCTCACTGCCCCTCAGGGGGTCCTCCTAGTGCCTGCAGGCTTCTTCCTCCTTTCTAAGGGGCTGGACTGCTTTATTTAGTGGGAATACTCCAACCCAAATCCAAGCTAAAATTTACATTTTCAAAAAGGACTTTTGATAACTGCACATATTTTCACTTTATTTAGTAAATACTTACTGAGCATATCTGGTATGTGAAACACTGATGTAGGTTTCTGGGAGAAAGGGTAGGAGACCCCCAAATTAATATCAACCAATCTTCTGCACTGAAGGGGATTTGCTATTTCTTGGGGAAGATGTTACAGGTAGTCAGGCATGAGTGGGGCAGGAGAGGGCTATCCTCCACCAACTAGGAATGTCAGGTGATGGTTCAGGATTTGTCACATTGCCTCTCTAAAAGTGATAAATTGGCAGCCAGGGAGACGCCATTATCCTGAGGGTCCACACCTGTTGCACTGAAGTGTTAATTGAATACAGATGCCAGGAAGAAGCATCTTTTTGGGCATGCATATTAAGAGACAAAATGGCGGAGTATGACCTTCCAGGGGCACTCCACCGGAAAAGGGAAGAAAGCCTCAGTTGGGCGTGGGTACAACTTCCTAAACACAATGTGTGTGCTCACTTCCCAAGGGTAAGGGGGGCACTGCACGTGCAGGCAGCACACCCTAAGGGAAGAATCATGGGAAAGGGGCCAGCCTATAGAGTCCTAGGATCAAGGTTAAACACTGCACTTTACCTCGGTGCCCACTTGGATCTCTTCCAAGCATACTTTCCTTTCTTTGCTGTTCTAAAGCCTTTTTAAATAAACTTCCACCCCTGCTCTGAAACTTCCCATGGTCTCTTTTTCCATCTTATGCCCCTCAGTCAAATTCTTTCTTCTGAGGAGACAAGGATTGAGGTTGCTGCAGACCCGTATGGATTCGCCTCTGGTAGCCTGGATGCCTTCCACTGCTAACATATTTGGTGCTGTGAGACTCAAATATTTGCCACCCCTAACAAAGACAGACAAACAAACACATCAACCCCACAAAGCATGAAAAGGTCTATAAGAAGGAAGTGTTTGCTGTGGGCTGAGAATGGAACTGCTAGGCTAAGGGTTCACCAGTGGAAACTTGGACGTATGTTGCTGGTTTTAAATCCAAGCTTAGAAGCTTTTGGTCAGTGGTTTGAAAGACTTCTGAGACAGTCTATGAGTTCTCAAATATTTTAAGTGAAACACTTCTGGTAGAAAGAGCATGGGTTCTGAGGCCATCTCAGAGTCTTACACAGGGAATCACAGAGGTCTAGCTTCTTCCTCTCCACTAATCTGATCCTAGAGACTCACAGAAATCTCCATAGAAGACTGAGCCTCACAGTCTAACTGCTTTGCCAGATGTACAGTAACAGTGGGCTTCCTCTAGAGGCACAAGGTGTCCTCACAAGCCCTACTAGCCAAAGAGTCTAAATCTTGGGGCTTCGGGTCCACTCAAAGAAGCAGAGTCTTTGGCACATGCAAGACATCCTCAGTTTCTACAGCTCCCATTCCTGGCCTGCAAATCCCCAACAACGCTCCGTTTACCTGAGCTCACCTTTCATCATCTGTTCTCATGGGATCTAGTTTTCCACTTTGGGAGGATTGTCCTTCTGCTTAGACTTAAAAATGTTACATGAAATTTCAAGGTTGTAAGAACTGAGAGACTGAATATAAAAGTGGACAACAGCCAGACCATATATAACAACAGAACACTGACTCAGAAACTCCGAAGGGACCCTCAAGGGAAGCCAAACCACAACCAAACCTCTGAAGCACTTGGCCCAGAATGGCCAAGACTTGTTCGTGACTGCTCACTTTCCTGTTTTCTGAAGCTCCCCTCCCCTTCCACACTTCTTTCAAACTCAAGACCAATCACATAAAGTCAAATATGCTTCCCAAACCAATCCCCTAAGATGTCCTGCTTCTAGTTTATCAGAGAACCTGCCCCATTAGTCACTTAGGTTCTTTTCTATTTTCCCTAAGCATCGGCTGGTTTGAGAAATAAAGGGACAGAGTACAAAAGAGAGAAATTTTAAAGCTGGGCAGCCGGGGGAGACATCACATGTCACTAGGTTCCATGATGCCCCCCAAGCCACAAAAACCAGCAAGTTTTTATTAGGGACTTTCAAAAGGGGAGGGAGTGTACGAATAGGTGTGGGTCACAGAGGTCACGTACTTTACAAAGTAATAGAATATCACAAGGCAAAGGGAGGCATGGCGAGATCACAGGACCACAGGACCAGGGTGAAATTAAAATTGCTAATGAAGTTTCGGGCACCATTGTCATTGATAACATCTTATCAGGAGACAGGGTTTTGAGAGCAACCAGTCTGACCAAAATTTATTAGGTGGAAATTTCCTCTTCCTAATAAGCCTGGGAGCGCTATGGGAGACTGGGGTCTATTTGACCCCTACAGTCTACAGACCATAAAAGACGGGCACGCCCAGGGGGGCCGTCTATAGGACTACACTCCCAGGCGCGTACTCTCTTTCCCAGGGATGTTCCTTGCTGAGAAAAAGAATTCAGTGATATTCCTCCCATTTGCTTTTGAAAGAAGAGAAATATGGCTCTGTTCCCCCCGGCTCACCAGCGGTCAGAGTTTAAGGTTGTCTCTCTTATTCCCTGAACAATTGCTGTTATCCTGTTCTTTTTCCAAGGTGCCCAGATTTCGTATTTGTTCAAACACACATGCTCTACAATTTGTGCAGTTAACACAATTATCACATGGTCCTGAGGTGACATACATCTTCCTCAGCTGACAGGATTAAGAGATTAAAGACAGGCATAGGAAATCACAAGGGTATTCATTGGGGAAGTGATAAGTGTCCATGAAATCTTCACTATCCACATTCTTCTGCCATGGCTTCAGCCGGTCCCTCCGTTTGGGGTGCCTGACTTCCCGCAACACTAGTTAGCTCACCTCCAGCTTCCCCATGCCAAAATCCTCCAGTCAGGGAATACTCGGGCCTTTCCCTTTTTTTCTACTATGAAGCTTTCCACTCCCCTGCCTGCCTTTGACTCTCTGCCAAATGCAAGTGATGGTGGCTGACTCCCCTGATATAGCTAGCTCTGAATAAGTGGCATCTGTGCTCATTTAAGTAGTCTTCATTTATGTCCACAGAACTCTGCAGCAGTTCCTTAGGTATGCATGTGTCCTTCTGACCAGTTCCACGCAGAGCATAGGGGTTAATTTAGCAAAGTGGATGCTGCAGCACTGGCGGCCAAGCAAGACAAGAAATTAAACCTCAGAGATTCTGATGATATTGAAAAGCTGGTTTGCACTGAGCTGAACCACAGGCCCAGAGTGGGTCCAAGTAAGCATCCCAGACAGTGTTTGGGCACCAAGAATTCAGACTAGGAATGCAGTTAAAAACAGATTCTTGGCTGGGCGCAGTGGCTCATGCCTCTAATCCCAGCACTTTGGGAGGCCGATGTGGGCAGATCACGAGTTCAGGAGATCGAGACCATCCTGGCTAACACAGTGAAGCCCCATCTCTACTAAAAATACAAAAATTAGCCAGGCATGGTGGCACGCGCCTGTGGTCCCAGCTACTCAGGAGGCTGAGGCAGAAGAATCACTTGAACCCAGGAGGCGGAGGTTGCAGTGAGCTGAGATTGCACCACTGCACTCCATCCTGGGCGACAGAGTGAGACTCCGTCTCAAAACAAAAACAAAACAGATTCTTTCCAGGTGTATGGAGCCAGAAAAGGGGAGAAGCTATGCCTTGTGGAGAGATAATGAACTTTGTAGTCAAGCTGCTTTTTGGTCACAAGAATCTAAGACCTTCTCAAGATAGCTCAATAAAAAGGGATTTCATTTACAGGTACAGGCAAAACACATCAAATCCAGGAATAGGAATCAAAATTCTACCAGCTCCAGCCCTAGGAAGTCATGAGAGAAGAGGGCTCTTTGTGTTGTGCCTTTGTGTTGTGAGTGGGCTGTCATCTCTCTCTTCTCTGTTTTTCTCTATACATCAACTGCATTCTCTCTGAGGGGCAGACTGGTTTCCTCTAATTATTCATCAGCTTGCACCTGGCACCCAAAGTGGCCACTCCAGCCACCAAGCCTATTTCTGCTTCCAGGGGAAGCATCACACTTGTGTGGAATAATCTCTGTGTTTTTTGCTTCAATTTCTCAAAAAAGTCGTATCTGTTTACACAGCTCCTCTGGTCCAGCCAAGCCACACAGGTCATAGGTCACTGGCCAGTCTCTTAGGTGTGCAAGTGTCCCTGCAGGTGATGGGTTATGCCTTCAGTCAGATTATCCATCCATGGATCAATCATTAGTGGCTAGGGGAACAGGGCCATGTCTTACATAACGACATGAGCATATTGGATATTATGAACATGTTCTATTACAGAAAGCAATATTATTAAATAACACAGATGACATGCACCCAACACAATCATTGCAAATGCCCGAAAAAAAAATGGATATGATAGTGGATTAGAGAATAATGAAGGTTATTTCTAAAAAGATCCTGCAGAGGATGGAAAGAAAGAGGGTCCGTGCAGAGAAGTTCAGGAAGGACTTCGTGTCAAGCCGATAGAACAGTTGTGTTCGGGATCCATAAAGAAATGGGGCCAAACATGTTAGGACTTTAGGAGGAAATAGGCTGCATGGCCCTTCCATTCTTACAATATTCAGTGTGGATGGGGCTTAGAGATCATCAAGTCCAGCCCTGTTGCACTTCAGCTGAGAGTACTGAGAGTCAGAATGGCTGGTGACACAGCTGCGGTCACAGATTAAAGTGAAAACCAAGGCCAGCGTTCAAGTCTCTGTCTCCGCAGTCAGTCTTTCCACTATAGACTATTCAGAATTCCTTAGCTAGCTCACTCTTTCACTAAGGCAGCTCCTCTCTTTCTAACACTGGAGCTTTACAGAATAGACACATGGTGGAGAAGAGCAAGCCCTTCCTTGGTGGTCTTTGTTGGAGGATAATCTGCTTCTCAGCACTGCCCTCATCCTCTTTTCAAAAACTCCTCGAACCCTGACCCACACATCCCTGAGGACTCCCTGCACTGTGTCATTCCTCAGAGTATATATAAAGGGGTTGAGGAATGGAGTCACCACACTGCTCAGAACCAAAGGGATCTTGTTGATCTCCAGATATTCTTTCTGGGAGGGAGTCACATAGATAAACACAGTGATGCCACTAGAAATGATGACTATGGTCAGGTGGGAAGCACAGGTATTAAAGGCCTTCTTCCTTCCACTTGCAGAAGGAATGCGCACTATGGTCAAGATGATGTACGTATAGGAATAGGCCACGAGGACTATGCAGCAGAGGATGACCATGGAAGAAAGCATAAAATCCATCAGCTCGATGGCAGTGGTGTCTGCACAGGCCAGGGCCAGCAAGGGTCCACTGTCACAGAAGAAGTGGTTAATGATATTGGAGCCACAGAAGGGCAGCTGGGAGATGAGGATGGTTGGAAAGAGCACAGACAGGAAGCCTCCCACCCAAGAGAATACAACGGTCCCAATGCAGACAGAAGGTCTCATGATGGTGGTGTACCGCAGGGGGCAGCAGATGGTGGCATAACGGTCATAGGACATGACCGTCAGCAGGAGGAACTCAACTGTGCCCAAGAAAAAGTAGAAATAGCACTGGGTGATACATCCGGCAAAGGAGATGGTTTTATCCCTAGATCCTAAGTTGGCCAACACTTTTGGAGAGATGACTGAGGTGAAGAGGATGTCCAGGATAGAGAGGTTGCACAAGAAGAAGTACATGGGGGTGTGGAGGCGGGAGCAGGACAGCACAGTGGAGATGATGAGCAGGTTCCCCAGAAGAGTCAGCAGGAACGTGGGCAGCAGGAGCACCAGGAGCAGCAGCTCCACCTCCCTGCTCAGGGAAAACCCCAGCAGAACAAACTCAGTCACCGCTGCAGTCCAGTTACCCATGGGCCTGGTGGGCCTGGCTCAATTCTCCTAACAGAACAAAGGGAGATAACACTTAAGAGAGTGTTCAGTGGATGAAACCCCATGGCTGCTCACTAGAAAAATATGAACATAGAACATGATGACTGCCAGCTAGACGTGTAATGCAAGTTTAGCTTGGCTTTCAATTATTTGCCTATCAAAATGGACAAGGTTTTTGAAAATAATAATGTACACTGTCAGCAAGGGTGTCCTGAGACCTATGCTGTCATATAGGTCATATGAACTTTCTAAAAGATAATTTAGCAATGTGTGTCAAAAACCTTAAAATTAAGCAAATTCTTAGATTTGGAAATTGTACTTCCATCCTGAGGAAGTAGTCATGGATATGTTAAAAAGATTTTGCCACAAGAATATTCACCACAGAATTTTTTACAATAATGAAAATTTGGCAACAACTTTAATATCCAGAAATGGGAGATGAAATAAACAAATTATGGTACCTTTAAGAAATAACACATTATGTAGCCATTAAAAATTATATTTTACAGTAACATATAAATGACAAAACATTCAAAATGTATTATTAAGTTTTAAAGCATTATTTTAAGCATTATTTAAGTATTTATTATTATTAGGTTTTAAAAGTGTTTTTAAAGCAAGTTACAAACTTGTAATGACATTGTGATGCCATTTTGGGGGAGAGATGTAAATTAGCAAAGGTCCTAGAGTAGCCAAGAAGACATTGCTGAAGAAGAAAGTCAGGGAAGGAGCTTGCATTGGCAGATATTGAGACTTATAAAATTGGAATGATTAAGGCAAGATGGCATTGGCACAAATATACATAAAAATGACCAATGGAACAAAATACAGAGCCAAGACACAGACCCACACAGATGTGGAACAGTGATATGTGTCAGAAGTGAAAGAAGCTGGTACTGCTGCTTGTCCATAGGGGAAAAAGTAAAATTGATTCCCAATCTCATATCAGACACTAACATCCACTCCAGATGGACAAAAAACTTTTGTGTAAAGATCAAAACTTTTAGAAGAAAAGATAGAAGAATGTTGTTTTTGGCCTCAGAGTAGAAAAGAACCTACTAAATAAGACCCAAAAAAGTGCTAAACAGAAAAGAAAATATTAATAAATTAAGCTACATTAAAATGAAGAATTTCTATTTATTAAAAGAGCCTTCAAATAAAGTTAAAGGCAAATCACAAACAGGAAGAACATATTTATGCCACAGATAATGGACAAACTTTAGTACTCATGTAATTAACATTTTGATTCATACAAAGCAGTAAGAAATAGATAAGCAATCCAATAGAAAGATGGGCCAAACATGCTACCTGAACTCCATTAAAGAGGAAAAATAAATGTACAAAAAGATGCTTGATCTCATTAGTAATTAAGGAAATATAAATTAAGACACTAGCGCCCTCTCCCTCTCCCTCTCCCTCTCCCTCTCCCTCTCCCTCTCCCTCTCCCTCTCCCTCTCCCTCTCCCTCTCCCTCTCCCTCTCCCTCTCCCTCTCCCTCTCCCTCTCCCTCTCCCTCTCCCTCTCCCTCTCCCTCTCCCTCTCCCTCTCCCTCTCCCTCTCCCTCTCCCTCTCCCTCCCTCTCCCTCTCCCTCTCCCTCTCCCTCTCCCTCCAGGGTCTCCCTCTGATGCCGAGCCAAGGCTGGACGGTGCTGCTGCCATCTCGGCTCACTGCAGCCTCCCTGCCTGATTCTCCTGCCTCAGCCTGCTGAGTGCCTGCGATTGCAGGCGCACGCCGCCACGCCTCACTGGTTTTCGTTTTTTTTTTTTGGTGGAGACGGGGTTTTGCTGTGTTGGCCGGGCTGGTCTCCAGCTCCTAGCCACGAGTGATCCGCCAGCCTCAGCCTCCCGGGGTGCCGGGATTGCGGACGGAGTCTCGTTCACTCAGTGCTCAGTGGTGCCCAGGCTGGAGTGCAGTGGCGTGATCTCGGCTCGCTACAGCCTCCACCTCCCAGCCGCCTGCCTTGGCCCCCCAAAGTGCCGAGATTGCAGCCTCTGCCCAGCCGCCACCCCGTCTGGGAAGTGAGGAGCGTCTCTGCTTGGCCACCCATCGTCTGGGATATGAGGAGCCTCTCTGCCTGGCTGCCCAGTCTGGAAAGTGAGGAGCGTCTCTGCCCGGCCGCCATCCCATCTAGGAAGCGAGGAGCGCCTCTTCCCGGCCGCCTTCCCATCTAGGAAGTGAGGAGCGTCTCTGCCCGGCCGCCCATGTCTGAGATGTGGGGAGCACCTCTGCCCCGCCGCCCTGTCTGGGATGTGAGGAGCGCCTCTGCTGGCCGCAACCCTGTCTGAGAGGTGAGGAGCGTCTCTGCCCGGCCGCCCTGTCTGAGAAGTGAGGAAACCCTCTGCCTGGCAACCGCCCCGTCTGAGAAGTGAGGAGCCCCTCCGTCCGGCAGCCACCCCGTCTGGGAAGTGAGGAGCGTCTCCGCCCGGCAGCCACCCCGTCCGGGAGGGAGGTGGGGGGGGTCAGCCCCCCGCCCGGCCAGCTGCCCCATCCGGGAGGTGAGGGGCTCCTCTGCCCGGCCGCCCCTACTGGGAAGTGAGGAGCCCCTCTGCCTGGCCAGTCGCCCCGTCCAGGAGGGAGGTGGGGGGGTCAGCCCCCCGCCCGGCCAGCCGCCCAGTCCGGGAGGTGAGGGGCGCCTCTGCCCGGCCGCCCCTACTGGGAAGTGAGGAGCCCCTCTGCCCGGCCAGCCGCCCCGTCCGGGAGGGGGGAGGGGGGGTCAGCCCCCTGCCCGGCCAGCCGCCCCGTCCGGGAGGGAGGTGGGGGGGTCAGCCCCCCGCCTGGCCAGCCGCCCCATCCGGGAGGGAGGTGGGGGGGTCAGCCCCCCGCCCGGCCAGCTGCCCCGTCCGGGAGGGAGGTGGGGGGGGTCAGCCCCCCGCCCGACCAGCCGCCCCGTCCGGGAGGGAGGTGGGGGGATCAGCCCCCCGCCTGGCCAGCCGCCCCGTTCGGGAGGTGAGGGGCGCCTCTGCCCGGCCGCCCCTACTGGGAAGTGAGGAGCCCCTCTGCCCGGCCAGCCGCCCCGTCCGGGAGGGAGGCGGGGGGGGTGGGGTCGGCCAGCCGCCCTGTCCGGGAGGGAGGTGGGGGGGTCAGCCCCCGCCCGGCCGGCCGCCCCGTCCGGGAGGTGAGGGAGGCCTCTGCCCGGCCGCCCCTACTGGGAAGTGAGGAGCCCCTCTGCCTGGCCAGCCGCCCCGTCCGGGAGGATGGTGGGGGGGTCAGCCCCCCGCCTGGCCAGCCGCCCCATCCGGGAGGTGAGGGGCGCTTCTGCCCGGCCGCCCCTACTGGGAAGTGAGGAGCCCCTCTGCCCGGCCACGACCCCGTCTGGGAGGTGTGCCCAGCGGCTCATTGGGGATGGGCCATGATGACAATGGCGGTTTTGTGGAATAGAAAGGCGGGAAGGGTGGGGAAAAAATTGAGAAATCAGATGGTTGCCGGGTCTGTGTGGATAGAAGTAGACATGGGAGACTTTTCATTTTGTTCTGTACTAAGAAAAATTCCTCTGCCTTGGGATCCTGTTGATCTGTGACCTTATCCCCAACCCTGTGCTCTCTGAAACATGTGCTGTGTCCACTCAGGGTTAAATGGATTAAGGGCGGTGCAAGATGTGCTTTGTTAAACAGATGCTTGAAGGCAGCATGCTCGTTAAGAGTCATCACCACTCCCTAATCTTAAGTACCCAGGGACACAAACACTGCGGAAGGCCGCAGGGTCCTCTGCCTAGGAAAACCAGAGACCTTTGTTCACTTGTTTATCTGCTGACCTTCCCTCCACTATTGTCCTATGACCCTGCCAAATCCCCCTCTGCGAGAAACACCCAAGAATGATCAATAAAAAAAATAAAAATAAAAAAAAAATAAAAAAAATTAAGACACTAGCAAGATACCATTTTATACCCACTATATTGTCAAGAAGCAAAAATATGACAATAACAAGTGTTGACGAGGATGTGGAGACTTAAAAAATTTACACTGCTAGGTGAGGAGCCCCTCTGCCTGGCTGCCCAGTCTGGAAAGTGAGGAGCGTCTCCGCCCGGCCGCCATCCCATCTAGGAAGTGAGGAGCGCCTCTTCCCAGCCGCCATCACATCTAGGAAGTGAGGAGCGTCTCTGCCCGGCCGCCCATCGTCTGAGATGTGGGGAGCGCCTCTGCCCCGCCGCCCCATCTGGGATGTGAGGAGCGCCTCTGCCCGGCCGAGACCCCGTCTGGGAGGTGAGGAGCGTCTCTGCCCGGCCGCCCCGTCTGAGAAGTGAGGAGACCCTCTGCCTGGCAACCACCCCATCTGAGAAGTGAGGAGCCCCTCCGCCCGGCAGCTGCCCCGTCTGAGAAGTGAGGAGCCTCTCCGCCCGGCAGCCACCCCATCTGGGAAGTGAGGAGCGTCTCCGCCCGGCAGCCACCCCGTCCGGGAGGGAGGTGGTGGGGGGTCAGCCCCCCGCCAGGCCAGCCGCCCCGTCCGGGAGGTGAGGGGCGCCTCTGCCCGGCCGCCCCTACTGGGAAGTGAGGAGCCCCTCTGCCCGGCCAGCCACCCCGTCCGGGAGGGAGATGGGGGGGTCAGCCCCCCGCCCGGCCAGCCGCCCCGTCCGGGAGGTGAGGGGCGCCTCTGCCCGGCCGCCCCTACTGGGAAGTGAGGAGCCCCTCTGCCCGGCCACCACCCCGTCTGGGAGGTGTGCCCAACAGCTCATTGAGAACGGGTCAGGATGACAATGGCGGCTTTGTGGAATAGAAAGGCGGGAAAGGTGGGGAAAAGATTGAGAAATCGGATGGTTGCCGTGTCTGTGTAGAAGGAAGTAGACATGGGAGACTTTTCATTTTGTTCTGTACTAAGAAAAATTCCTCTGCCTTGGGATCCTGTTGATCTGTGACCTTACCCCCAACCCGGTGCTCTCTGAAACATGTGCTGTGTCCACTCAGGGTTAAATGGATTAAGGGCGGTGCAAGATGTGCTTTGTTAAACAGATGCTTGAAGGCAGCATGCTCCTTAAGAGTCATCACCACTCCCTAATCTCAAGTAATCAGGGACACAAACACTGCGGAAGGCCGCAGGGTCCTCTGCCTAGGAAAACCAGAGACCTTTGTTCACTTGTTTATCTGCTGACCTTCCCTCCACTATTGTCCCATGACCCTGCCAAATCCTCCTCTGTGAGAAACACCCAAGAATTATCAATAAAAAAATAAATTTAAAAAAAAAAAAAATTTACACTGCTAGTGGGAGCATAAATTTATATAATTGCTTTGGAAAATAATTTGTCATTACCTTGTAAAGATGAACATTCACATACTCTGTGACCCAATAATTCTACTCCTAGGTAGAGAAACTTGCACATATGCCCCAGGAGACAAACAAGAATATGTATAGGGAAGGGGGAGAGGGGGAGGGAGGGAAAAGAGAGAGGGAGGGAGGGAGGGAGGGAGGGAAGGAAGGATGGAAGGAAGGAAGGAAGCAAGGAAGGAAGGAAGGAAGGAAGGAAGGAAAGGGGGAAGGGAGGGGAGGAGAGGGGAGGAGAGGAGAGGAGGGTAGAGGGGATGGGAGGAAAGGAGGAAGGAAGGGGGAAAAAAGAGAAGGAGGGAACAGTGTCCAAAGACAGGAGAATAAATCATGATATGCTCACAGAGTTGAATATACAATAAAGAAATGAATAAACTTCAGCTCAACCAACAGTGAGAATGTATTTTTTTTTTTTTTTTTTTTTTGGAGACAAAGTCTTACTCTGTCACCCAGGCTGGAGTGCAGTAGTGGTAGCATACAGCCCACTTCAGACTCAGCCTCCCTGGATCAAGTGATCCTCCCACCTCAGCCTCCCAAGAATCTGGGATCACAGGTGCATGCCACCATGCCCAGCTATTAGGTTGTTGCAAAAGTAATTGCGGTTTTGCCATTACTTTTCGTAGCTATGGGATCTCACTATGTTGCCCAGGCTGGTCTCAAACTCCTGGGCTCAAGCGATTCTCCTGCCTCTACTTCCCAAAGTGTTGGGATCATAGGCATGAGCCACCACACCCAGCCTCTTCTTGATATTTTCAGTATTTTTTTTTACAATGAACAAATATTCCTTTTATATAAAAGAAGTTAAGCTGGGCATGGTGGCTAACGCGTGTAATCCCAGCACTATGGAAGGCCGAGGTGGGAGGATGACTTAAGGTCAGGAGTTTGAGACTAGCCTGGGCAACATGGTGAAACTCTGCCTCTATGAAAAATACAAAAATTAGCCAGGCATGGTGCCATGCAGCTGTTGTCCCAGCTACTTGTGAAGCAAAGGTGGGAGAATCACCTGAGCCCAGGAGCTTCAGTGAGCCATGATCACACAGCACTGCACTCCAGCCTAGGTGACAGAGTGAGACTCTGAAGAAAGAAAGAGAGAGAGAGAGAAAGAGAGACAGAGAGGGAGAGAAAGATAAGAAAGAAAGAAAGAAAGAAAGAAAGAAAGAAAGAAAGAAAGAAAGAAAGAAAGAAAGGAAGGAAGGAAGAAAGAGAAGAAAGAGAGACAGAGAGGAAAGAGAGAGAGAGGAAGGAAGGAAGAAAGGAGGGAGGGAGGGAAGAAAGAAAGAAAGGGGGGAGAGAAGAAAGAAAGAGAGAGAGAGAGAAAGGAAGGATGGAAGGAAGGAAGAGAAAGAAAGAAAGAATGAAAGAGAGAGAAAGAAAGAAAGAAAGAAAAAGAAAGAAAGGAAGGAAGGAAGGAGGGAGGGAGGAAAGAAAGGAGGGAGGGAAGAAAGAAGGAAAGAAAGAAGGAAGGAAGAAATAAAGAAAAAGAAAAAAGAAAGAAGGAAAGAAAATTATTCTAAAAGGATATATATATATATACATAGTTGGATTGAAAATGTATATTAGCAAACACATATTGAGTGCCAACTATGTTGTGGGGCCTGCGATTGATGAAAGGTTGCAGAGATGGTAAAAAAAATTGCATGCCCTCGCACAGCTTTCAGTCTAAAAGAGATGTGAAGAAACCTGATTTCAGAAAAATCACAGAAACAGAGGAAAAATTAAGGGACGGCAAAGTTTTTTCATGGATATTTGTCCTGGGCCATTAGTCTGGAAAGCAAACCAACTACCAGGAAAACTGATAGATTCCAGGGACAAGGTCAAATAGGGCTTCTATACCTAGGAAGGACTCTGGATAGCAGAGGCCACGTAATTACCAGTGACTAAGAAGAATATGGATTGGACTAGGAAAAACAAGAATAATCTAGTAAAGGAAGAGGACTGCAGAAATCCCGAGGACTGAGTTGACCTCTGCCCATCTAAGCTGAGTCAGAACATCAGCCACTCCTGCACAGAACCTGTCCTCACGACCTGCCCTACCTTCCTATAGCCTTGGCACATGGACAGTCTCTCCAGACAACTCACCACATTTGCATTGCCAAGGATCTTTTCTTTCTTAACAGCTTTATTGATATATAACTCAAGTACCATACATTCCACCCATTTAAAATATACAATTCAATAGCTTTTAGTGTATTCACAAAACTGTGTGTCCATCACCACAATCAACTTAAGAATATATATATATATATATATATATATATATATATATATATATTTGAGATGGAGTCTCGCTCTGTCACCCAGGCTGGAGTGCAGTGGCACGAGCTCAGCTCACTGCAACCTCCACCTCCAGGGTTCAAGCGATTCTCCTGCCTCAGCCTCCTGAGTAAGCTGGGATTACAGGCGTGTGCCACCATGCCCAGCTAATTTTTGTATTTGTAGTAGAGATGAGGTTTCACCGTGTTGGTCAGGCTGGTCTCCAACTCCTGACCTCATGATCTTCCCGCCTTGACCTCCCAAAGTGCTGGGATTACAGGGACAAGCCACCATGCCTGGCAGATTTAAGGATATTTTAATGATCCCTCCTCCATTCCCTGGAAACTATTTTTCTACTTTCTGACTATGGATTTGCCTATTCTGGACATTTCATATAAATGAATCATACCATATGTGGTCCTTTGTATCTAGCTTCTTTCACTTACTATAATATTTTCTTTATTTTTATTTTTAAATTTTTTTTAGAGACAGGGTCCTGCTCTGTCAGTGAGGCTGTAGTGCAGTGGCATGAAGATAGCTCACTGCAGCCCCAAACTCCTGGGCTCAAGTGATCCTCCTGCCTCAGCCTCCCAAGTAGCTAGGACTACAGGTGCACACCATCACACCTGGATAATTTTTTTTTTTTTTTGAGATGGAGTTTTACTCTTGTCACCCAGGCTGGAGTGCAATGGTGCAATCTCTGGTCACTGCAACCTCCGCCTCCCCGGTTCAAGCGATTCTCCAGCCTCAGCCTCCCAAGTAGCTGGGATTACAGGCGTCTGCCACCACGCCCAGCAGATTTTTGTATTTTTAGTAGAGACAGGGTTTCCCCATGTTGGCCAGGCTGGTCTCGAACTCCTGACTTCAAGTGATCCATCCACCTCGGCCTCCCAAAGTGCTGGGATTACAGGCGTGAGCCACCGTGCCTAGCCTAATTTTTTTTTTAATTAGAAAATAATTTTACTTTTTTTATTTTTTGAGACAGGGTCTCACTCTGTCACCCAGGCTGGAGTGCAGTGGTGCAATCATAACTCACTACATCCTCGACCTCCCAGGCTCAAGTGATCCTCCCACCTCAGACTCCCAAGTAACTGGGACTACAGGCACACACCACCATGCCCGGCCAATTTTTGTATTTTTTGTAGTGATAGGGGTTTTGCCATATTGCCCAGGCTGGTCTCGAACTCCTGGGCTCAAGCGATCTTCCTGTCTTAGCATCCCAAAGTGCTGAGATTACAGGTGCAGGCCACTTACTATAATATTTGTAAAGGTTCATCTATGTTATAGCATGGATCATTGCCAAGGATCTTAAAGAACCAATGTAGCAGGAGAAAAGGCCACAGCCCCAAGAAGAAGCCCTGACCCCTGGCATGGCAGAAACACACACACACACACACACACACACACACACACACACACACACACACACAGAGAGAGAGAGAGAGAGAGAGAGAGAGAGAGAGACAGCAGTTACTAAATGTAGATATATGCACAGTCTGTAAAATCTAGAAGAATAGTATGGAGGATGAATTTGGACTTGGTCACCAAATCTGGAAATGGTAGGATGAGGGATCAAGACTTAATTCATTTAACTCTCAAAATACATCTTTGCATAAGGTGCAACTGCACCCACTGGAAAATCATTTCCTCACATCAGAAATATTAAGAAGCTTAATGAAGGCAAAGATACACACCTGAGATTATAACAGGAACAGCTGCTCCCAGCCAGCCCCCAAATGCCAAACGATTGGTCTGCACTCACCTCGGCTAGGGTTGCCTTATGCCACCTCCACGGCTCAGTCTGTTCACCTGGGATTTGCTGCCACCTAGGATCTTCCACGGTAATTATCTTGACCAAAAAGCCACAGTGCATTCCACATGAGAGCAGCAGTGTTTGACAGGTGAAATGAGCCCTTCCCAACTCATGTGGATTGTTGCCTTAGCTGTGACCTCTTGTCCGACGAGCATGCACTTGTGTTGTAGACAGCTGGAAGGTACATGTTGGATTTTTACACTGCTGAGGAAGTTACAAGGTATGACATCCATTCCAGCATAGAGAGGTCTACAAATCCTCTTGCCCTAATCCTGAGTGTGTGAGGAAATCACCTTCGGTTAAGCATTGACCAGCTGCACCTCCCACACTGTCTACACAATCTGATCCAGTTGGGGAGAGAAAAGGGGCACTCTCCACTAAGCTCCTGGATGGTGCTTTATTCTCCTCTCCTGCTACCATCTTTCCTGCACCCTCTCCAGTCTTCTGCTCAGCCCAGTCTTCTGGGTGCTTCTTGATTCCAGAGAAAATGGGAAAAGAAACACTGTGTTACCTGATGGACAACAGCCATCAACCTGCTTCTTCCTCTGTCCCCTCAACCCAACGTGCACTACCACCACCACCATCCCCATCATATTTTTTTCAGAGACTGGCAGGCCAAGCGTCCCAAGGACTAAACTTCCTCTAGGGTTACTGCAGGATAGTCAAATCCTGTTGAGGGGTAGCTGGTGCATGAGAAAACTCTGGACTTGAAGCCAAGAGTCTGGGTTCAAGTCCCACCTGTGCCTTTTACCATTCTTGAGACTGGAAAAATTGCCTCCATTTTCATACTATCTGCAAATGAATCCTCATGTGACAAACAGCGGTAATGCTCTTTTCCTCCTCTTCCTCATGAGGTTGAGAAGCACAAAACGGAAAATAAGATAACTCATATGATAATCGATCATTGCCAAGGATCGTGAAGAACAAATGTATGATAATTCATATGATGTGTGAAATCATAAAACACCATATTGCTTTATTTTCTAGAACCCCTCCTATTCTGCAATACTGGAAAAGAACAAACCTTATCTTCCTTGTCCCTACTGAGATATTGATCATCCCACCCTAGAGGGAAGAATACTGTCCCTTCTGGCTCTGGAATACATCTCATCAGGCCCATGCTTCTGCCTTAATCAACTATTCTCCCCTTGGACAGCATATCTGGTTGGCTACAAAGTGTGAAGACAAAGGGAAGATGCTTCTCTACATGGGAATTTCGGTTGCCCAGGATTCCTGGAAATGAAGAAACTACTTCCTGTCCTCCACCATCTGCACTCTACAGAGGAGTCAGTAAGCTGGAAGGGATTCAGCGGGAGGACTCAGAAATACTCACATTTGCCTAAATAAGGTAGAGGGGGCTGGCCCCCAGCATATCCTGCCCACACAGCTGCCCCAGGCTTCCGTGCTGGGCGCTGAGGCTTGCGTTGCTGCAAACAGACTCTGCACTGTCAGGGCTGAAGGGGGCATACTCTAGAAGGGTCCCATGTTTGGACCCCACTTGGGAGGGTTGGGGTGGGATTGGCTCAGGTGAGAGCATGCACTTTCTGAGAAACCTCCAAACATGGGGCACTCCTCAGGGGCACATTACGAAGCTGTCCCTGAACACCAAGCCTGAGTCTGATGCCCCTGAGGCCCACTTAGGAAAGGATGCAAACCTAAACATCTACACTAACAAGAACTGGGAACAGAACACTAGCCAAGATCAACACCCCCAGGCCTATCTCAGAGAGCCTCACAGCATACAGTCCTCCATCCACCCCCTCTCCAGCCCCACTGTGACAGTTCCATCCATCCCTACCACTCCATTTACCCAGGACCCTCCTCTTCAACATCCTAATACACTGTGATCAATATGCCAAAGCTTCAGTAACCTTGCACTATGTGAAACAAAAGGTCCCACACTGCATAGCCTGGCACTCAAGACCCCCTAATCCCAGTCTCCCTTGAATTACCGCCCAGACTCAGCTCCTGTCTTACACATCACCTTGCGCATCTTTTACTTCGGTTGAGCCACTCTATTCACTGTGCCCCACGCTGGCCCTCACTTTCTTACTGCACACTCGGGCCCCAAGTGTCCTACCATTGGGACCATCTTCTCCACCGCCTAGTCTCTAGGCCCTACTCTTGTCCCTTTTCCTAGCCTAAGCTAGGTTCTCCCTCTTTAGATATCCTTTTCTTGCACTTGGAATCAGGAATCCACAGTGTAGAACTGGAGTGTTTTTAACCTTTTTTAATTTAAATATAACACATGTACAGAAAAGTATACAAATCATAAGCTCAATGAATTATCAATAAAGTGAACACATTCATGTAACCACCACCCTGGTGAAGAAACAGAATGGTACTAGCACCCCAGAAATCCTTCTCAAGCTCCCTCCCCACATCCCAGCTGTAACCATTATCTTGATTTCTAACACCATGGATTAGTTTTGCCTGTTTTGGAAATTCATATAAATGAAATCATCTAATAGGTCTTGTTTTGTGTCTGACATCTTTTTCTCAACCTTATAGTTTTGAAATTCAATCATGTTGTGGTGTGTGACTCATTTTTATTGCCATATATTTCATCATTTCATTTGTGGTTATTTAGCCTCTGGGCAGATTTTTAAGTTCCTTGGGAACAGGGATTTTTTTCATAAAATTATTTTTGAATCCCCATAATGCCTAACTGGAAAAGCAAAAGTTGCTCAGTATATATGAATTTTAGTCCAAAAAGCTTCTAATTTCAATCTCACATCATATACCCCCATGAACAGGCAATAGTATCTAACAATTTCAGCAATTTCTTTTTCTCACATCTCATACCCAATTCATTAGCAAATCCCACTGGCTCTACCTTTATATATATGTCAAATCCAACCACTTATCACCATCCCCATTACCCTAGTTCAAGTCACAAACATTGTAGAAGAATAGATAATGAAGTAAAAAGAGTGTTGCAAAATAGTATAAATGACATCATCCTTTTTTTTTTTTTTTTTGAGACAGAGTTTAATTCTTGTTGCCCAGGCTGGAGTGCAATGGCATGATCACGGCTCACCGCAGGCTCTGCCACCTGGGTTCAAGTGATTCTTCTGCCTCAGCCTCCCGAGTAGTGGAATTACGGGCATGTGCCACCATGCCTGACTAATTTTGTATTTTTAGTAGAGACAGGGTTCTCCATCTCTGGAGAACTGGTCTCGAACTCCCAACCTCAGATAATGCACCCACCTTGGCCTCCCAAAGTGCTGGGATTACAGGTGTGAGCCACCGCGCCCAGCCTCTCTTTTTTTTGAGACCAAGTGTCGTTCTGTCACCCAGGCTGGAGTGCAGTGGTGCCATCTCAGCTCACTGCAACCTCTGCCTCCCAGGGTCAAGTGATTCTCATGCATCAGACTCTTGAGTTGCTGGGAGCACAGGCATGCACCACCATGCCCAGCTAACTTTTGTATTTTTAGTAGAGAGGAGGTTTAGCCATTTGGCCAGGCTGGTCTCAAACTCCTGACCTCAAGTGATCCACCCGCCTCTGCCTCCCAAAGTGCTGGGATTACAGGTGTGAGCCACCATACCCAGCTGATTCCATTTTTTAAAGACATATATTAATGCATAGATAAAAGAATATAAGTATATTAACTAAAATATTAATTGTGGTTATTTCTGCATGCCGGGATCTATTCTTTCTTTTTTTTTTTTTTTTTTTTTTTTTTGAGACAGAGTCTTGCTCTTTCGCCCAGGCTGGAGTGCAGTGGCGCGATCTCGGCTCACTGCAAGCTCCGCCTCCCGGGTTCACGCCATTCTTCTGCCTCAGCCTCCCGAGTAGCTGGGACTACAGGCGCCCGCCACCACCCCCAGCTAATTTTTTGTATTTTTAGTAGAGACGGGGTTTCACCGTGTTAGCCAGGATGGTCTTGATCTCCTGACCTCGTGATCTGCCCACCTCAGCCTCCCAAAGTGCTGGGATTATAGGCGTGAGCCACCGCGCCTGGCCTATTCTTTCTTATTTTTATATTATTGTGGTAGATAGGTCAATCATTGTGTTCCCCACCCAGAGCCCTAACTGCAGTGTTCCTACATATGAGTTGGCCACCCATCCGATTGGGTCACAGGTAGGCAAACAACCCAGGAGAAACTAAGCCAAAGGTGGGGATAAATGCAGCAGATTTCCTCAAGAAATTGAACCAAGAGGCACAGAAACTATGATAGACACCTGTTGTTTTAAACATTCTTTCTTATTTTCTTCTATTAACCACTACCTCATTCCCTTTTGGGAAGCAGCTCCTTCTCCATTACACAAACCATGTGATTCTAATGGGACTATATAATATCACAATATAAAGCCAAAGTTCATGAAAGGGAACACGATCTATTATAATATCCATCACCCAACCACAGTGACTGATCCAAAGAGTGACCATCCAACCCAAGGCAGGCCAGGAATCCCTCCTTTAGAATCCATATGTTGGAGCAGAGTTAGGAAAAGCTCTCTCCTCTGGGCTCAAAAGCTGTGATGATGTAACCCTGAGCTGCCAGTAGATCTACACCCAGCCTCACCCTTCCACTGTTGCACGGAGAGAGCCTTTCTGCTGTCTGGATTCATGAGGACAACACACCAATGGAAATGCAGCTAAGAGACAGAGATAGAATTTGGACACTGTTGTGTATGACTGGATCAGTCATGCCTGAGGCCTGCCAACAATATCCTTTCTGATTGTACAAGCCAAAAAATCCTCCGTTTTTCTTAAGTTCATTTGAATTATGGTCTTCTGCAGTCATAAGAGCTCTAACAAACACAGAGACTAATTAGTAAGACGCTGGTGGGTACTTTTCTGAAAAGTTGTGTAGAGTTGGGGCTGGAGTAGGTGCCATAGCAAACCAAAGTGATTCCTAAGCTGAAGTCATAGGGGAGCAAATAAACCATCAGTGATAGTAGAGACCTTGTTTCAAAGAGAAGTGTAACAGTAGCTTAGACTCAGAGACAAGTAATGACTGAGGGAACACGGGCCCACCGGAAAGGATGGTGGCAGCCTGAGCTGCTGACTTTCTTGTTCCAATCCCTGTGTGCCTTGTTCCTACTCTTGGATGCCCATGAGAGACTGCCTGATGTATTCTTTCTACAATCTTACACATACACACACACACTCACATACACACAAGACTTTAGTCAACTAGCTTGAGTAAGCCTCTGTTTTTTAAATTCAAAGTATCAATGAGTAAGAAAATAGTGTTCATACATCACATTTCTAATCAGAAAGTTATTTTTAAGATCCAAACAAACTTTTGCTCTACAGAAATTTATTTAACATAAATGACATTTATAAATTTATAGATTAAGGCAAAAATTCACTTTAAAGGTCAATGACCTTTGGACAATTTCTGTACAAGGACAATACTTCCAGAAAGTTTAAGGCTGTCAACCTTATTCTGCTTTAACTCCAGCCACTCTCATGTCTGCCTTCCCTTACTTGAGCATGGTAATGGGTCTGGCAACTGGCTAATTATAATAGGCGACAAGGATGAATATGTTTTAGGCCCAACCAACAATTTTATGATGTACTAGCAACTCTCATGAGGATGTCATTCATAAGTTGGTTTTTTTTTAAGTACTAGTTCCACTATATAATTGATGTTTTATATTAGCCATCTCCCCCTCCCCACAATTGTATATGATCATAGGAATAGAATTTTGAAGATGGAAGGACCCTAGTTCTATAACCTCCTCATGTCACAGAAGGGTGTTAAGTCTAACACAGGTCAAATGAATCACCCAAGGTAACAAAACTTTGAAGGCAAAAACTCCAGCTTTCTTGACCAGAGCAGTATAGAGAAGAAAATCAATGAAAGCTAGTGGTACAGGCACAGGATTCATGGAAGATGTGAGATTAAAATCAAGACTTAGCCTTTCAATACAGGGCAATGAGTACCACCAGACTATGAGTAGAAAGAGCCAGGTACTGGCTCAGGCTATGCCTTATCCATTTATATGACTCCCTGAAGGTAGAAACTAGGTTTTATTCTTCGTGGTATTCCCTACGCCCAATATCATAACAAAGACATGAGAGAAACTCAATAAAAAAGTGAATAAGGAGTGGGTGAGTAAGTAAGCAAATAGATAGGAAACCTAATACTCTGGAGAAGTCTATGTAGAAAAGGAAAAAAAGGGCCGGGTGCTGTGGTTCATGCCTGTTATCCCAGCTACTGAGGAGACTGTGCCCGGAGGATCCCTTGAGCCCAGGAGTTTGAGACCAGCCTGGGCAACATAGTGAGCCCTCATCTCAGAAAATGGGAATAGAGCCTCGGTGAAAGCCTTCAGTTAAAAGGCAGGAGAAGGAGTCACCACTGGGAACAAGAGAAAGAGTAGTGAGAAAGCAAACCAACAGAAAGCCAGTGGTACAGGATTAGCAAGCAGGGGAGGAGAAATCCAAGACGTAGGTATGTCAGCAGTGCCAGAAACTAGGAAAAGGTTATGAAACATGAGAGCGAAGGAAAAGTCATTGGATAAAAAATTTTTAAGGCTAAGTGTCTATTGCTAAGCAAGACTAGCAGCATATTTTGGCTAGGCAAGAACTGGGGTTCCAGTGTGGCTGAGAAGAGCAGAAAACATCCATCCCCAGCCTCGCACCACTGGCATGCTTCCTGAACCCACCCCTCAGAATATCTGCTTACATTAGTGCCTCTATTTCCACAGCAAATAGAGATAAGAAGAGTCCCTTTATATCTATTTGCATATACCAAATTATGTTAAAAATCAGGATTCTCCCAGGGGTAAAAACGGACTGGAAAAAAAAAAAAAGGACTGGAACGTTGATCCTCATTTAGATTCAAGAACATAAAAATAGGTCTGATGTATGCAAGTGCCCGTAGTCTGAGGTTAGGTTACAGAAAAGGATTATGGAGCCTCTAAGAAGGAACTCACCACAAGGGAAGAAGGACTCTGAACTGGTGAGCTGTGTTCAGGCACAGCTCCTTAAGTACACTGTATGTCTGCGATCCTGGCAGTGTAGAGAATCAGTGAGCATGTGGGCATGTGATACTGGTGGACCTCTTCCATGAATGCCTCTAATACTTTGAGACACAGTTCATTTCACTCTAAGGTCCCATACCTGTCAGAACTCACAGCATAGTTAACAGCAGGCCTGTGGTTTCTAGAAGAGGCAATGGCAACAGTGGCCCCTGGCTCCTTCAGTGGTGGTGGCAGAGACCCATGAGGTGACCAAAACCAGCTGTTGTGGTGACTCAGCCCACAACACCCATCAAGCACCCTCCTGGAACACGGTAGACCAAAGATGCTCAATAAAAGCAGCACAGCTGAATGACTGAATTCAGAGAGGCATTTAGGAGCAATTGGTATCAAAGTCACTGCAAATATTGAGTAGCAATGCAAGAACCTTCCAAGTGTCATTCCTCATCTCTTCCCTGTGAGAAAAGAAAAATAGCTGAAAGCAGCCTGAGCTCTGTGAGGCATGCAAAATTTATCAGGTCCAGGGACACATGAGTGTGGGACCTCAGTCACGCCCACTGTCCCCCACCATCCCCATGACCAGGGGCAAGTGTTTAAAGGTGTTTTGGTCTTGACTAGCTGCCTTGCCTATTATCTTCATGTTCCTGGCATTTGTGATACAAAGCACAATGCATAGCTAATTAATAGCTTATGTTATTTTGATGCAACTTCTTGGCAAACAACTTAGGAACTGCCTCTTTAAAAACTCACATGTAACTGCTGCTAACTAATCTCAGCACATAGTCAGGGCAACCTGAATCTATGCACCCAAATTGTAGTCCTCAAATCTGGCCCAAGTAAACTCCCTACTTTTATTAATTTTGTCTCAGTTTTTGTCCTTTAGGTCGACACCTGTGTCCTGGATCTCAGTTCACTAGATTAGGTCAGGACCAGTGGGTTAGGAGAGTGAAGGTTTCACATTCCATCAGCCCTGGCACTAAATGTCAAGAAGAATAGTGCCGGGCTGGGCGCAGTGGCTCATGCCTGTAATCCCAGCACTTTGGGAGGCCAAGGAGGGTGGATCACTTGAGGTCAGAAGTTCAAGACCAGCCTGGCCAACAAGGTGAAACTCCGTCTCTACTAAAAACACAAAAATTAGCCAGGCATGGTGGTGGGTGCCTGTAATCCCAGCTACTCAGGAGGCTGATGCAGGAGAATCGCTTGAACCCGGGAGGCGGAGGTTGCAGTGAGCCAAGATCGTGCCATTGTTCTCCAGCCTGGGCAACAACAGCGAAACGTCATCTCAAAAAAAAAAAAATTGAAAAATTGAAAAGAAAAAGAAAAATAGTGCCAGGGATGCAAGTACTGCCAGCCTCAAAGCACCTCGAGGCACTGATGCCGCTGGCATTTGCACACCTCAGCCTGGACTCTGCAGCGGCTGACAGGCACGTCTGCATCTTATCACTTAATAAACATTCATTGACACCTCCTATATCTTAGGCACTTTTGGTACATGCTGGAACACATTAGAGAACAAATCCAGTCCTTCCCCTCCAGGCATTTTTAGTCTAGAGCAGAAGCTTCAGAGTGTTCTAGCTTCAGAATTGTTCTTCAATTATACAAAAAAGGCCAGGCACGGTGGCTCATGCCTGTAATGGGAGGCCGAGGCGGGTGGATCACCTGAGGTCGGGAGTTTGAGACCAGCCTGACCGACATGGAGAAACCGCGTGTCTACTAAAAATACAAAATTAGCCCAGCTTGGTGGCACACGCCTGTAATCCCGGCTACTCGGGAGGCTGAGGCAGGAGAATCGCTTGAACCAGGGAGGTGGAGGTTGCAGTGAGCTGAGGTCGCACCATTGCACTCCAGCCTGGGCAAGAAGAGCAAAACTCCATCAAAATAAATAAGTAAATGAATAAATAAAATTATACAAAAAATTGTGTGTTTATGTAGATTGAGAGGGAGATGAGAACAGTCAAATTCTCAAATGGCTTTTTGACCCAGAAAAGGTTAAGAGCCTCCTAGTTGGGACCATCCATATCCCTCATTTCTAAATTCTTAGCAACTACCCCAGCACTTACTGACAGCACCTCTTGGGCATCTCTAACCTTTTGCAGTGTTCACAGTGCCTTCCTCACCAGCTCGTGGCAGACTCCTGGTGGAAGAGGAGGGAAGCACACCTCATTGTTGACATTGCCTCCTAGTTCCCGGGGAGCTCCATTCCAGGAAGGAATTTAACCAGGGAGTGGCTGTCCCTCTCTTTTGGATAACTTTGGGCTTATCCAGCGGACAAACCACTGCCTATTCCCTGACAGGCAGACTGACTCGGGGACATTTTTTCCCTGCCAAAGTACTGCTTGCTTCCCAAGACTTCTCCAGACTAAACATCCATTGACTGAGATGAAATATTACACTTTTCTTTTCCAAAGGGTCAAAGGGATTTCAGCAAGGTTCAGACTAAGGAAAAGAGGGCTGATTTGTGAATACACTGGGAAGAGCATTTTGGTCTAATGGTCTTATTTCTCATCCAAATTAATAACATGTCACTCTTGAGAACATTTTTGTTAATGACGCCTCAAAACACAACCCACCCAGCCCCAGACTGTGAGCCTTCAAAGACAAAGACAGGTCCCCGGCCTTCCCTTGGATGGCCCTACCGTTCTCTTCCCAGATGTTTTACGAGCCTGCTAATTTTTGTAAGATGTAATAAAATATATTTAAGGGAGAAAAAATGTACTAGACTGTTTTAATGAGCTTGAGCATCTATATTTTTGAAAATGTAATGTCAAGAAGCCAGGGAAAGTTGTTTTTTAAATTACCAGGAATTTTCTGATTCCACTTTTGGAGGAGACTTTGTTTGTTTATTTGTTTGTTTGTTTTTGAAAAACACTTCAATGGCTTTATGGCAGTAAAGCCAAAATCATATTCTCAGTAGCTTAAGACCGTGCTGAGCTACACAGCTCACCTTCATGACGCTGAGATGGCCTGCACTGTGGGAAGAGATCCCTCTCTACAGGTTAGGATGTGTCTTGAGAGGTGAGTCTGGGGCCACCATGGGGTTTTCCCTTCTCACTGGGCCTCCTGATCAGGGTCCAGCACCTGGCAGGGGAGTCATAGCAAATGGACCAGTGACAGACATGAGCAAAGACACTCCACGACAGAAGATAAGTCTCATGATAATGTGGCAGCAGAAAGAGAGATGAGCAGTGGGAGAGAAAAAACAAAATACCCTATCCAGATGAATGGCTGGTGGACTTTAAGAACAATAATCTCCTATATCTCATTGGATTTTTTCCCTCTTTCCTACACAATCCCCTCCTGTTATTCCAAAGCTTTCAATGAAACAGGGGTTACAATGGGCCTGACATACTCGGCAGATAATGTCATGGCATTGGTAAGAGTGTAGTAGTCAGGATGATCAGAGGTCACTCTCATTGCCATCTTGGTTTTGGTGGGTCCGCACTTGGTATGAGGAGGGGCGGGGAAAACAGGAGCAGTTGGAGAAACTCATCACAAGGTAGCCAGAAGTGACCAGCAGATCCCCAGAAGCAGCAGGGATCTGCAGGAAATGTAAGCCTTCGCTGATGGTTACATGTGAGGGGAACCAGAAAACTGCTAAAGTTGCAGTGGCTGATCACGACAAGGGCTTAGACTAGTAATTGTAAGCACTAAAGGAAAGGGTGGCTTTTGTAGACCAAAGAAATCAGACTTTGGAGTTAGTTTCTTAAATTGTATCAAAACAATTCATGGCCAAATGTTGTGAATGTTATGAACAGTAAGATGCAAAGGAGTTTAGAAGAAGGAGGGAGACTTAAAGGAGTTCTTCCCCATGATGGCTGGGAAGGCTTCACAAAAGAAGAATTCGAACTAGATCTTGAAAAGGGGGATCTTAGAAAGGGGGAGGAGGAGAAGAGGACTCCTTGTAGGAGAAATGGAAAGAGCTAAAGCATGAAGATGCCCAAGTGGAAGGTGTGCTTTAAGCAGGGAATGGCCCTGTCTGACTGAAGTCAAATCTATATTCTTGAGCATCCATCCTTCATACTTCATTTTGTCAGAGGCGTTTGAACCAGAGACACTCCACCTTGAGTAAGGGCTGGATAAAATAAGGCTGAGATCTGCTGGGCTGCATTCCCAGGAGGTTAAGGCCTTCTTAGTCACAGGATGAGAGGAGGTCAGCACAAGATACCAGTCATAAAGACCTTGCTGATAAAATAGGTTGCAGTAAAGACGCTGGTCAAAACCCACCAAAACCAAGATGGCAATGAGAGTGACCTCTGATCATCCTCACTCTGATCATCCTCACTACTACACTCCTACCAGTGCCATGACGGTTTACAAATGAGATGGCAACGTCAGGAAGTTACCCTAAGTGACCTAAAATGGGGAGGCATGAGATCCTCCTCTTGTTTAGCATATAATCAAGAAATAACCATAAAAATGGGCAACCAGCAGCCCTTCGCTCTGTCTATGGAGTAGCCATTCTTTTATTCCTTTACTTTCCTAATAAACTTGCCTTCACTTTATAGACTTACCCTGAATTCTTTCTTGCGTGAGATCCAAAAACCCTCTCTTTAGGGTCTGGATCTGGACTCCTTTCTGGTAACAAACTCACTTTAGGACCCATTTTTTTTTTTTTTTGAGACAGAGTCTCTTTCAGCCACCCAAGCTGGAGTGCATTGGTGCAATCTCCGCTCACTGCAATCACTGTCTCCCATGTTCAAGCGATTCTCCCGTCTCAGTCTCCCAAGTAGCTGGGATTACAGGCACCTGCATCATGCCTGGCTAATTTTTGTATTTTTAGTAGAGACGTGGTTTTACCATGTTGGCCAGGCTTGTCTTGAACTCCTGACCTCAGGTAATCCACTGGCCTCGGCCTCCCAAAGTGCTAGGATTATAAGCATGAGCCACCACACCCGGCCTGTTCTTTTTCTTTTTCTTTCTTTCTTTTTTTTTTTGAGACAGAGTCTCGCTCTTGTCACTCAGGCTAGAGTGCAGTGGCGGGATCTCAGCTCACTGCAAACTCTGCCTCCCAGGTTCAAACCATTCTCCTGTCTCAGCCTCCTGAGTAGCTGGGATTACAGGCACCTGCGACCACGCCCGGCTAATTTTTGCATTTTTAATAAAGACCAGTGGCCATGTTGGCCAAGCTGGTCTTAAACTCCTGACATCAGGTGACCCACCCACCTTGGCCTCCCAATGTGCTGGGATTACAGACGTGAGCCACCACGCCAGGCATTTAGGGCCCATTCTTGAGGCCCAGGGATGGAAACATATTAAGCTAGTCTTCACAGAACAATCAAAGTTGTTGACAACATCTTAAGTTAGCCAGTGCTAGCACTCAGAGAGAGGCCAGCCATCCCAGAAGGACAGGAAGTGGCCTAGAATTCACCCTTGGTTTTCTCATGCCTCCCTTCTTAGAAGGCTCTCCTGTTTAGAATGCCCCAACCCCCTGCAAAGTGCTGCAAAAAGTGCCCATGTCTTTATCAGCCCTACCCCACAGGCTACTTGATTTGTGACAGACTCCACTGGGCAAGAGGCATGTTGCCTTTTTAAACTGATCAAAAAACATTCATTCAGCACCTACTTTATGTCAAGCACTCTTCTGGGCACAAGGGCACAGCAATAAATAGGTCAAAGTCTCTGCCCTCAAGGAGTTTTCTTTCTAGTAGGGAAGACAAATACAAATATGTAAATAAAACATCAGGTAGTGCTATGAACAAAAGTAGAGCAAGGTAAGGGAAGAGAGAATAACAAGGAGGGGGGTCTTTTTAACAGAAGACAGGAAAAGTTCATCTATGGAGGTGACACTGAGCAAAGGCCACAGGGCTGGGGCCCCAGGCTCTGAGATGGGCGCTAGTGATGTGCTTGAAGAACAAGAAGGCCTCTATGGCTGGATCAAGCTCAATGAGCATGGGGGATAAAGAGGTGGAGGGGCAGAGGAGGAATTACCCTGCAGCTCCTGGCCCAGCATGGCCACACGGTGCACACGGCTCCTGCCCATAGCCATAACCCCAGTGGCCCCAGCCCTTGCCTGCCATATTTTCCTCAGGCCTTCAACAAGACTCATTAAACTTTATCTAAAGTTACTGTGTTCTGCAGCTGGGGGAAAAGGGCAAACTTCCACTCCTTAAGTTAGAGCAATCAACAGCCAAGGGATTTGGAAGTGGCTGGGGCCTTGTTATCTTAAGGTTGTAATGAGCCTCGTGAGAATACCCACAACTTCGCTCCAGAGAGGGGGAGCTTCCCTCAGCAGATCCATACTCGGGATTCCAAGTTTCAAAATTCCGTAGAAACTGGGAAGCAATCCAAATACACCAGGCCTGCACTAGATGCACAGAGTCACAAAGTCTCCCCAGAATGGCTTGTACCAAGGCTTTGTCGGGGATGTTGCTCTAATAATCCAGCAGGCTCCCTGGGGCTGCCTGTGGCTGCGCTTGATGAATCTCATTATCCACAGTTACACTTTTACCTCAAGAGGAAAGGACATGGGATGATTCACTAGCTGCTACCTCACCAACACAACCCAAAAGCAAGGGTCAGAGTCCTCTCATCTAAGAATTTAATATTTTCTGGGGCTAGAGAAGCAGGAAGCTCCTGGGAGCCTGGAAACCCCCTCCAGCTGGGTGACCAGGAAAATCCAAGAGTAAGTAACTGCTTCTCAGCCCTGAGGTAAGTTGGGGCCTGTTTAAGGTAGCTGAGCTATTGGAAAATAAGGAGCGTGTGGGGCATATCAAAGAGGATACAATATAATCATGCTAATAAATAATAATACCTTGGAATGGTGGCTCACACTTGTAATCTCAGCTACTTAGGAGGCTGAAGCAGGCAGATCACCTGAGCACAGGAGTTTGAGGCCAGCCTGGGCAACAAAGAAAGACTCCATCTCTAAAAATAAAAACAAAAACCAAAAAGAAAAATAATAATAGTCAACACTTACTGAACACTTACTGTGTACCATTCCAAGCATTTTACATGTTATTTCAACCTCCAAGCAAACTCTAGGAGCTAGGTGGTGCTATTGTAATACCCAGTCCACCAAGAAGGAAGCTGAGGCACAGAGACATTAAGGTACTTGCTTCCAAACTTACACAACTAATTAATGGGAGAGTCAGGATTTAGATTAAGGTCAGAATCCAGAAGTGGTATCCATAGGTGCTGTGCGTGTGGCACTCTGGAAACTATCCCATTGCCTAAATATCCTGGATATAGTCAGCAACAACTAATCTTTTGCACAAATTATTTTTCAATGGAAATGTGCCTGCCCCATGTCTTGAAGACTGCATCTCTTGGAAAAGCCCATGCTTTTATTTATTTATTTATTTATTTTGAGATAGAGTTTCACTCTTGTTGCCCACGCTGGAGGTCAATGACACAATCTCGGCTCACCGCAACCTTTACCTCCCGGGTTCAAGAGATTCTCCTGCCTCAGTCTCCCGAGTAGCTGGGATTACAGTCATGCACCACCACGGCTAATTTTTTGTATTTTTAGTAGAGACGGGGTTTCTCCATGTTGGTCAGGCTGGTCTCAAACTCCCGACCTCAGGTGATCCGCCCGCCTCAGCCTCCAAAAGTGCTGGGATTACAGGCGTGAGCCACCACGCCCAGCCAAGCCCATGCTTTTATAAGTGCCAGATTGGTGCGAACTCTGTTCCCAGAAGAATAAAGAGCTGGGCTCTGTAAACTCCAGAGTCCCTCCCTGCCTTGTGCTCAGAGTCCGATGGAATGGCTCTGGGTGAGATGCAAGGCAAAGACTAATTCACAGAGAGAACCTGTGGAGGCCAACAGGTCCACTGCAAACAGAACTTAATCTACATCCCCACATGGTACTGTCTGTTGTTTTCAGGGCAGCTGGACACTGTCCAGCTAACTCTATAGGGTCTTGTGAGTTGCAGCTGCCCTGGGTCTATCTGAGGAACCATTCTGCTGCCTCCTCTCTCCAATCAAAGGAATAGCCACCCTCCATAGGTGGCCTCCACCATCCTAGACAGAGAGCACCTATGGAGCTCTTAAGCACAATCAAGGACAAGAAGATGCATGGTCTCCTACGGAAGGACATTCCTTATTACATCTAAGCTAAGTATTTCCTGCCACCTCCAACCCCTCCAGCATCTCTGCTCTCCCTAAGGAAAAACAACAGAGGGCAATGACTGTTTGCTTATAACCCAATCAGTCATGGCAGACCCTCTGCCTTCTCTTAACATTTTTGTAACATTTTTTCTTCTTTTTTTAATAGTTAAATGGATCATTTATCCTACAGTGACAAACTGTAACCAAAACAAATTGTGAGGCTCTAGACTCCTGACAGCACCAAAAAATCAAATTGCATTTTTGTAGCATTTCTTGATGTCCTTTGTAATTATAGAAATCTAATTTTTTCCAGCTTTTAATTGCAAAATATTCAGATGTACAGAAAATCTTTAAAAATAGTACAAGGAACAACGAAGACCCATCACCTAATTTCATTTTAAAACTTTAAGTAAGCTAAGGATGGGGCACAGTGGCTCACACCTGTAGTCCCGGCATTTTGGGAGGCTGAAGCAGGAGGATCTCTCAAGCCTAGGAGTTCGAGACCAGCTTGGACAATATAATGAGACCTTGTCTCTACAAAAAAATACAAGAATTAGCTCATGCCTATAGTCCCAGCTACTAAGGAGGCTGAGGTGGGGGTAGGAGGATCTGCTTGAGCCAGGGAGATCAAGGTGCAGAGAGCCATGATCATGCCACTGCATTCCAGCCTGGGCAACAGAGACTCTGTCTCAAAAATAAATAAATAAAACTATTAGTAAGCTAAGGATAGGAGGAAATTTCAAACATTCATAAGAAGCCTAATTAATAATTATATTCAATGTTGAAATATTAAAATAATTCTAACTACAAAATCAGAAAAATATAAGCTCCATATTTTTTCATTTCATCTTGGTTAGAAACTGTAATTGAAGAGAAAAGCTATAAGCCTTAGTTAACAAACAACATTTGGCCTGTGCAGTGGCTCACATCTGTAATCCCAGCACTTTGGGAGGCCGAGGCGGGTGGATCACCTGAGATCAGGAGTTCGAGACCAGCCTAGCCAACATGGTGAAACCCCGTCTCTACTAAAAATACCAAAATTAGCCGGGCGTGGTGGCAGGTGTCTGTAATTCCCAGCTACACGGGAGGCTGAAGCAGGAGAATGGCTTGAACCCTGGAGGTGGAGGTTGCAGTGAGCTGACATTGGGCCACTGTGCTCCAGCCTGGATGACAAGAGCAAGACTCCATCTCAAAAAACAAAAACAAAAACAAAAAATAGATCCCATTATGTATGAGACTCAATATTAGTTTATTAGGTTGGGAAGTCCAAGATCAAGGTGCTAGCAGCGTTCGTGTCTGGTGAGGGCCCAGTCTCTGCTTCCAAGATGGCATCTTAAAAGGCTGTGTTCTCACATGGCGGAAGGGATGAAAGAGCAAAAAGGGACTAGCTAGTTCCCTCCAGCCCTTTTATAAGGTTGCTAATTCCATTCATGAGGGCTCTGTTCTCATTATTTAATCACCTCCTAAAGGCCTTACCTCTTAATACTGTAGCACTGGGGATTGAGTTTCAGCTTGAATTTTGGAGGGGACACAAATATTCAAACCATAGCACAGGGTTACAACTATCCTTGGGACTATTAAAAAATATTTTAATATTGTAGGAAAGCTCTTTGACCTTTTAGTTGGCTGATTTAGACAAATGCTCAATTCTTTAAGCACAGTATACAAAATAAAACATAGATTTAAATTTTTGAGTAACTGACATGTAAATGTTTTTGCTGACTGTCCTTATCTACCTAATAATATGAAATGATTGGTTTAGGACTTTCCTTTCTAAAAGCATCTATGTCAGTCCCCTTTCTTTCAAGGCATATTGTTTAATTTTTTTTCTTTTTTTTTTTTTTTTTTTTGAGATGGAGTCTTGCTCTTTGTCGCCCAGGCTGGAGTACAGTGACGCGATCTCGGCTCACTGCAACCTCCACCTCCCGGGTTCAAGTGATTCTCCTGCCTCAGCCTCCCGAGTAACTGGGATTACAGGCACCTGCCACCACGCCTGGCTAATTTTTGTATTTTTAGTAGAGACGAGGTTTCACCATGTTGGCTAGGCTGATCTCGAACTCCAAAGTGCTGAGATTACAGGTGTGAGCCACCGCACGTGGCCCATAATGGGATCCATTGTGGATCCTCCATTCTACTCTACCAATTTACTTGCTATTTTCATGTCAATACCATCCTGATTTGCTATGTAGTTTTTGATATGTGGCAAGCATGTCATTGCTATTTGTTAATTTTTCCCCACACACACACACACACATGCACACACACACACAAAATCCTTGACTACTTTGAAGCACTTATCTTTTATTTAAACTGTGTTTGTTCTATACATACACACACATACACACACATACACACACACACAGGTTACTATTCTAATTGTAATTGCATTAGATTTAATTTTGAAGGAATCAGTTTTTTAATATGAAGACTTCCCAAGAAGAGGTATGTCTTTTTTGTTCAGTTTTTGTGTCAAATTCTGTTCTTAGGCTGGGCATGGTGGCTCATGCCTATAATCCCAGCACTTTGGGAGGCTGAGGTAGGAGTATCAACTGAGCCTAGGAGGTTGAGGCTGTAGTAAGCCATAATTGTCCCACTGCACTCCAGCCTGGGTGACAGAGCAAGACCTTGTCTCAAATAAATAAATAAATAAATAAATCTGCTATTTGTAAGGATGTTATCTTTCTTGTTAAACTTATACATAAGCATTTTACAGTTCTTATTGCTATCATTCCATTCTGAATACATTATTTTCCCCATTTGCTTATTTCCTTATTAATTCTAGAGGTATCTTACTAAATCTCTCAAATTTTCTACATTTATATTGCCAGCTTGAAGGAATATGTTTGTCTTCTTTTTCAATGATTCAACCACCTATTTAATTTTGTGATGTTATAATTTGCTAGAAAGTCTAGAAGATAATGTCAAATAACAGTGTTGATAGCAAGCGTCCTTATCTGGTTCCTAATTTTAATTAAACCATATTTCAATTAGTCTTATTAGCATATTTGGTAATTAGTTAAAAAATTAAAATTGGTTTAAAAATTAATTAAAATTAGTTAAAAATAATTAATTAAAAAATTCTCTCTATTTTAAATTAAGAATAGCTGCCAAATTTTATCAAATACTTTTTAGCATCTATTGATATGGTTATATTATTTTCTATTTAACCTGTTGTTTTCAAGGATTATATGGCCACCACTTCCACCTAATTTTTAAAATTTTTTTGTAGAGACAGGGTTTCACTTTGTTGCCCAGGCTGGTCTTGAACTCCTGGGCTCAAGCAGTCCTCTCACCTCAGCCTCCGAAAGTGCTGGGATTATAGGCGTGAGCCACTGCATTCGGCATGATCCATTCTTAAAAAATCTGTGTTGTGTATATATGTGTACTTGCCAAAAATACATATTCTAAAATGTTAATTATGATATCCAGGTGATAAGCATGAGGGTGATTTTTTTTTTTTCCTTTCTGGTTTTTTAGAGACAGGGTCTCCTGCTGTCCCCAGGCTGGAGTGCAGTGGCATGATCACAGCTTAGTGTTACCTCAGACTCCTGGGCTCAAGTGATCCTCCCACCTCAACCTCCCAAGTAGCTGGGACTACTGGCACTCGCCACCGTGATGCCTGGCTAAGTTTTCGCTTTTTCTTTTTTTGTAAAGACAGGGTCTTGGTGTGTTACCCAGTCTGGTTTCAAACTCCTGATCTCAAGAGATCCTCCTGCCTTGGCCTCCCAAAGTGCTGGGATCACAGGTATGAGCCACCATGCCCAGCCTTATTTTTTTTCCTTTTCACTTGTCTAGACTTTCTTTCTTTTCTTTTTTTTGAGATGGAGTCTCCCTCTGTCGCCCAGGCTGGAGTACAGTAGCATGATCTTGGCTCACTGCAACCTCCGCCTCCTGGGTTTAAGCAATTCTCCTGCCTCAGCCTCCCTGAGTAGCTGGGACTACACGCCACCACGCCCAGCTACTGTTTTTTGTATTTTTAGTAGAGACTAGGTTTCACCATGTTGGCCAGGCCGGTCTCGGACTCTTGACCTCAGGTGATCCACCAGCCTTGGCCTCCCAAAATGCTAGGATTACAACCATGAACCACCATGCCCAGCCGCTTGTCTAGACTTTCTAAAATTTTCTATGCAGAACATAAATTATTTTGCATCAAAAAGAAAAAAAAGTTATTTTAATATATTTTTCCATACTAATGCATTCCTCATTGCTCCCAATTGAAACAAGGCCACAAAGATTCTATTTGTCATGCTTGCCACAACTGAATATTTATTTGAGTGAAAATCTGTTTGACATCACCCTCAAATCAAAGTGGTCAGGTGCAAAGACGTCCTTCAACGCACAGTGATAAGAACATGATTTCACAGCAAAAGACAGATAAAGAGAACATCATTTGCCAGCTACCTGGGGCAGCAGTGACATAGATTTCTGAAGTCAAGGAGAGGAGGATCTAAATCATCACAGCTTGACAACAAAGCACAAGCTGAGTTTGTCAGAGGCATTTTCATTGTCTGGGATGCTCATTTCAAATTCCTCTGGGAAGGCAAAGTTACTGCTGCTAAATTTTGTAACATCTGAAAATCTGTGACTTTTACAACCATAAAGAACAGTCCTGCAAACCTTGATAAGAAAGTTTGCATCGACTTCATCATTACAACAGATTTAAAGGTGAGAAAACAAAGGCAAACGATAGGTACTAACCCTCTAGTGGAAGTTCCAATCCAAAGCATGTTCATTATCATTACCAAAGCATGTAGCAAGAGGGCCACAGAGAATTTTCCTCTCATTTAGAACATTTTGCCTTCACACAAAAGGCTGCTGTGTATTTCAGAATTCAAAAAGACACTTTACAGGTAACCACAATACACTTCCATCCAATTTCACTTATATTTTTTAGCCTTGATCTGCCTAAACTTAATCAGATATTTCTGAGAACTGGAAGCAATTTAGAAACTCAAAATAGTGTTTACTCCAAACTGAAAAATTCTGCAAAGGGAAGTGTTGAAATAATAAGAAGAATGGTAACATTTATTGAACTTTTCCAGTGTGCCAGACACTGTATTAAGTATTCCACACATACTTTTCACAGATCCTCACAAAACCTCATGAAATAGTCAGTAATATTATCTATATGCAGAAGATTGTATTTTCTAAATATGGCCGCAACAGTGTCTCTCATCCCAAATACTTTCCCACAATGTGATCTTGCCACTCCTCCCATCAACAAGCTGGACCTTTGGTCTCCGCCCTTTTAATCCCAGTAGGCTTTAACCACTTGAGTATAGCAGAATGAGGTCATTAACTTTCAAGGCTAGCTCAGAAAATGTCATGCAACTTCTACGAGGCCCTCTTGTGATGTTTGTTCAGGGAGAAACCAGACACCACGCCACTTAAGAAGCTCTACTACCAGGATGTGGTGGCTCACACCTGTAATCCCAGCACTTTTGGAAGCCAAGGCAGGAGGATCGCTTGAGGCCAGGAGTTCAAGGCTGCAGTGAGCTACGATCATGCCACTGAACTCTAGCCTGGGCAATAGAGTGAGACTGTGTCTCTAAAATAAATAAATAAATTTTTTAAAACGAAGTTCTACTACCATTAGGCCACACGCTGGAGAGGCCACATGTAGGTGTTTCCAACCAATGGTGTCAGCCTAGTCACCAGCCAACAGCCAGCCTCCACTGCAAACCACGGAACATCCATCTTGGATTCCCAGGCCAGTCAAGCCTTCAGATGCCTGTATCCCAGTTGGCATCTGAATGCAACTGCATGGGCGAGTTGCAAGAATTTCCCACCTAAGTCCTTTCTGAAGTCCTGACCCATGTTTTATGCTTGTTCGAGTCCGTTCTTACATTGCTATAAAGAAAACCTGAGGCTGGGTAATTTATAAAGAAAAGAGGTGGCTGGGCACTGTGGCTCACACCTGTAATCCAAGCATTTTGGGAGGCCAAGGTGGGTGGATCATTTGAGGTCAGGAGTTCAAGACCAGCCTGGCTAACATGGTGAAACCCCGCATCTACTAAAAATACAAAAATAAGCCAGGCATGGTGGTGGGTGCCTGCAGTCCCAGCTACTCGGGACGCTGAAGCAAGATAATCGCTTGAACCCAGGAGATGGAGGTTGCAGTGAACCAAGATCATGTGACGGCATGCCAGCCTGGGCAACAGAGCAAGACTCTGTCAAAAAAAAGAAAAAAAAGAAAAGAAAAGAGGTTTGATTGGCTCACAGTGTTGCAGGCTGTACAAGAAGCATAGTGCTGGCATCTGCTTCTGCTGAGGCTTCAAGGAGCTTACGATATGATGGAAGGTGATGGGGAACCAGCATGACACATGTCCCATGAGAATGGGAGCAAGAGAGAGAGAGGGAGGAGGTGCCATACTCTTTTAAACAACCATATCTTGCATGAACTCAGAGTGAGAACTCACTCATTACTGTGAAGAGGGCACCAAGACATTCATGAGGGATCTGCTCCCATGACCCAAACGCTTCCCGCCAAGCTCTACCTCCAACACTGGGGATTACATTTTAACATGAGATTTGGAGGAGATGAAGCATCCAAACCATATCATTCTGCCCTTGCTCACCCCTCACAAAATTCTCATGTTCTTCTCACATTGCAACACTAATCATCCCTTCCCAATAGTCCTACAAAGTCTTAACTCATTCTAGAGTCAACTCAGTCAAAAGTCCAAAAGCTCATTTGAGATTTTCCACCTATGAACCTGTAAAATTAAAAACAAGTTATTTACTTCCAAGATACAATCGTGATACAGGCATTGGGCAAACATTACCATTATGAAAGGGAGAAACTGGACAAAAGAAAGGGGCTACAGGTCCCCACACAAGTCTGAAACCTAGCAGGGCAGTAATTAAACCTTAACTCTCCAAAATTATCTTTTTTGACTCCATGTCCTGCATCCAAGGCACACTGGTGCAAGCGGTGGGCTTCCAAGGCCTTCTGCTGTGGCTTTGCAGGGTTCAGCCCCTGTGACTGCTCACAAGTTGAAGTCTGGTGCCTGCAGCTTCTCCAGGCTGAGAGTGCAAGCTGCTGGGGGCTCTACCATTCTGGAGTCTGGAAGACAGTGGCCCCCTTCCCACAGCTCCGCTAGGTAGTGCCCCAGTGGGGACTATGGTAGGGTGGGGATGCTGCAACTTCACATTTCCCCTTGGCACTGCCCTTGTAGAGTCTCTCTGTCAGGGATCTGGCCCCATGGCAGGCTTCTGCCTGAGCACCCAGGCTTTATGATACATCCTTTGGAATCTAGGAGGGAAGCTGCCAAGCCTCCTTTACTCTTGCATTCTGTGCACCTGCAGACTTAGCATCAGGTGGAAGCTTCCAAAGCTTACAGCTTATGCCCTCCAGAGTGGTGGCTCAGGCTGTACTTGAGGCCCTTTGAGCCACAGCTGTAGCTGGAACATCTGGGATACAGGGATTAGTGTTCCGAGGCTGAGCAGGGCAATGAAGCCCTGGGCCCGGCCCCTGAAACTGTTCTTTATTCCTAGGCTTCTGGGCCTGTGATGGAAGGAACTGTCTCCAAGGTCTCTGAAATGCCTTCAAGGCCCTTTTTCCATTGTGTTGGATATTAGCACTTGGCTGCCTTTCAGTCATACTAATCTCTCCAGCAAGTGGTTGCTCCACAGCCTGCTTTTTCTATCACCGGGATAGGCTGCACATTTTCCAAATTTTTATGCTCTGCTTCCCTTCTAAATGTAAGTTCCAACTTTAAGTCATTTCTTTGCTCCTGTATCTGATCGTAGATTTTTAGAAACAGGCCACCTCTTGAAGGTTTTGCTGCTTAGACATTTCTCCCACCAAATACCCTAGGTCAGCAGTCCCTACCTTTTTGGCAACAGGGACCAGTTTTGTGGAAGACAATTTTTCCACATAGTAGGGAGGGGGGATGGTTTCAGGATGAAACTGTTCCACCTCAGATCATCAAGCATTAGATTCTAATAAGGAGTATGCAACCTAGATCCCTCGCATGTGCAGTTCACAGTAGGGGTCATGTTCCTATGAGAATCTAATACCACCCAAGAGGCGGCGCTCAGGTGGTAATGCTTACTTGCTCACCACTCACCTCCTACTGTGGAGCCCAGTTTCTAACAGGTCATGGACCAGTACTGGGGTCTCACTTTGTTGCCTAGGCTGGTCTCAAACTCCTGGGATCAAGCAGTCCTTCGTCCTTGGCCTCCCAAAGTGCTAGTATTACAGACGTGAACCATTATGCCCTGTCAGTCATCACTCTTAAATTCAAACTTCCACAGATCCCTAGGGCATGAACACAATGGAGCCAAGTTCTTTGCTGGGGCATAACACAGGTGACCTTCACTCCAGTTCCTAATAACTTCAACATTTCCATCTGAGACTTCCTCAGCCTGGTCTACACTGTTCATATTTCTATCAGCATTTTGGTCATAGCCATTTAGCCAATCTTAAGAAGTTCCAAACTTTCCTTTACCTTTCTGTCTTCTTTTGACCCCTTCAAACTCATCCAAACTCTGTCTGTTACCCAGTTCCAAAGCCACTTCCACATTTTCAGGTATCTTTGTAGCAATGCTTTACTCCTCAGTACCAATTTTCTGTGTTAGTCCATTCTTGTGTTGCTATAGGGAAATATCAGAGACTGGATAATTTATGAAGAAAAGAGGTTTAATTGGCTCACAGTTCTACAGGCTGTACAGGAAGCATGATGCCAGCAAGCTGCTCCTGGTGAGGGCCTCAGGAAGCTTACAGTCATGGTGGCAGATGACAGGGGACCAGCATGACGTGTGTCCCACAAGAACAGGAGCAAGAGAGAGAAAGGGAGGAGGTGCCACACTCTTTTAAACAACAAGATCTCATGTAAACTCAGAGTGAGAACTCACTTATTACTGCAAGGACGGCACCAAGCCATCCATTAGGGATCTGCCCCATGACCCAAACAACTCCTGCCAGGCACCACCTCCAGCACTGGGGATTACATTTCAACATGAGATTTGGAACACACGAAACATCCAAACCATATCAACACCAGTAAGTTTATGGTGATTTGCTACATAACAACTGTACCAAGAACACCCCATTTTGCAAATAAAGAAACTGAAGCTTAAAGAGTGACTTGCCCAAGGCTTAATCATCATTTTATTCTGCTCCAAATGTACTAACAAATTTTATACCATGCAGAAGAAATCCTTCTCAAGGTTCATGTCCATTTCAGCATATCCATCAGCAGAACACACTGTCAAAGGAAATGGACTTCAGTGAAGTGGAAGCAATCTATTTTACCTGCATTTTGAATGAGGCCATATTCTATGTTTCCACCTATTGATCCATTAACTAAAATATTTAAAACTGCTTACAAATTACTTGCAGTATTACAACAAGGATAAGTGCCCCCAAACTACTGTAGGCAAGCATTCTAATAAGAGAAAGTCCCAGGAGATGACTTAGTCATCTTTCTCTAAAATCACTTCTAGCTGGCTGGGTTGAAGTTTCAAAGGTCAGTTCTTTCAGAATGTTCTCAAAGCATGAGCTATATGACTAATATCTTGTGAAATTTTAGAGATAAGTTTAAAACAAATTTTATAGAACTTGGTTTGAAGAATAAAGTGTATGTGAAACATAAGTGAGAAATGAGTAAAACTTAAAGTTTTTGTGAAGTTTTAAAATGCTTGTGTGGATGTATGAGGCCCCAGATTTGATCCCCAGCACCTCCACAAAAAAATAGAAAGAAAAAAAGATAAGTTAAAAAAATAAAGAAAAAATAAAATGTTTGTGTGGAAGATGTATAAGAGAATGTACAGTAAATTAACCCTTCTAAGAGCTGAATCTTTAAATAACTTTTTAATGCAATTCAGCTTTATGCTCTTGAGAAGATGTCATTGTGGTTTATCATCAAAATAACAGACACTTAAAGATGTTTTCCAGTTCACAGTCCACTCCCCATTCTCTGGGCTGCTGTGGTCACATTTTTACTACACGCCTCTTGACCCCCTTTCCTCAGTTAATCAAACCAGGATAGACAACAGACTCTATCTCTTGAGAATCTGGAATTGGGACTCACTGATCCTAGTCATTCTATGCTCTTCACTTCAATAGATATGAAAACCCAGGAGATGTGGCTGCCATTGTGCAGCAGCCATGTTTGCTGAGGTCTAGCTAAGACAGCAAAAGGTGGTTCACAGATAGATGTTCACAGATATAGAGTTCATAGAGCAAAGTGGAAGGAAGCATAAACAAGGTACCAAAAAAATCAAAGGGGGAGAGATAGACAAAGAGAGAGAGAGAAGGACACAGAGAGAAAAGAAGGCACAAAGAAAGGCAGGCTTCTTGTCCTCCTTCCTTTCAGGTCCAGGACTTCGTATGAAACCAGACGCACCTCCTGCCCATGGAATCCAGGATACATTCTGGTATCCTGTGGTGGCCAGCCTCCAAGATGGCCTCCATTAATGCTAACCACTGGTATTCATGCCCTTGTACAGTGCCTACCACATTGAACAGCCTGGGTAACCAATAGAATACAGTCTTGCAGAAATGACAATGCATGACTTCCAAGGCTAGGTCATAAAACCAACAGCAGTTTCCACCTTGCTGACTCCTTGCTCATTCTGGGCATATCCTACCTGGAAAGAACTGGGGCTTCTTGCCAACGGCCAACACCATCTTCCCAGGTGCGTGCGTAAGCCATCTTGGAAGCTTTCAGCCCCAATCAAGCTTCCAGATGCCTACAGCCACAACCTACATCTTAACTGCAACCTCATGAAATGCCCTGGGCCAGAACCACCTAGTTAAACCTCTTCTGAATCCTTAACCCACAGAAACTATGAGATAAGTGTTTATTATTTTAAAACACTAATTTCATATATTGAAGTCCTAACCCCCAAAGTGACTGACTCTATGTGGAGACAGGGCCTTTATGGAGGTGATTAAGGTTAAATGAGGTCATGGGGGTGGGGCCCTAATTCAATAGGACTGGTGTCCTTGTAAGAAAAGAAGACACGCCAGAGCTGTATCTCTTCACACATACACAGAAAACGGGTCATATGGAGAAGGACAGGACAAGATGGCAGAAAAGAAGTCTCCACCAATTATACCCTGTGCAAGGATATCAATTTAACAACTATCTACACAGAAAGAACACCTTCATAAGAACCAGAAATCAGGTGAGCACTCATAGTACCTGGTTTTAATTAACTTCATTTTACTGAAAGAGGCACTCAAGAAGTAGGAAAAACAGTCTGGAATTGCTGGTGCCACTCCTCTCCCATCCCCTAGCAGTGATTGCATGGTGCAAAGCACTTCTGTGCCATGGGGAGAGGGAGAGCCAGCAATTGTGAGGCATTGAACTCAGTGCTGCCCTTGTTATAGCAGAAAGCAAAACCGAACCAAACTCAGCTGACACCCACCCACAGTGGGAGTATTTAAACCAGCCCTTGCCAGAGGAGAATCACCGATTCCAGTGGTTGTAACTTGCGTTTCTGCAAGCCTCACTACTGCCGGCTAAAGTGCTCTGGCACCCCAGACCAATGTGAAAGGCAGTCTAGGCCACAAGGACTGCAACACTTAGGAGAATCTTAGTGCTGAACTGGGCCCTGAGACAGTGGACTGGGGGGACATGCGACCTAGTGAGACACCAGCCAGGGCAGCCAAGGGAGTGCTGGCACTGCCCCTCCTCTAAACCCAGGCTGCTTAGCTTGCAGCTCCGAAAGAGACATCTTCCTTTCACTTAAGTAGAGGAGAGGGAAGAGTGGGGAGGACTTTGTCTTGCATCTTGGATACCAGATCACCCACAGCAGGATAGGAGAGCAGTAAGAGCTGTGAGGCCCCCTTTCCAGGCCCTAGATCCCAGACATTTCTAGATATACCCTGGGCCAGGAAAGAATCCACCACCTTAAAGGGAAGGGCCCAGTCCTGGTAGGATTCATGACCTGCTAACTGAAGAGCCCTTAGACCCTGAATAACCAGCAGCAATACCCAGGTACTATGTCAAGGGCCTTGAATGAGACACTGAGACTTGCTAGCTTTAGGTGAAACTCAGCACTTTACAGCTGTGGTGGCTATGGGGCAAAACTTCTGCTTGAGAAAAGTGAAGGGAAAAGTAAAAAAGACTGTCTCACATCTTAGGTACCAGCTCAGCCACAAGAAGGTGGAGAACCAAGTGGGTTCTTGGGGTCCCCAGTTCTAGGACTTGGCTCTTGGATGGCATTTCTGGACCTGCCCTGGGCCAGAGGGGAGCCCATTCCCCTGAAGAGTGAGTCTCAGGCCAGGCTGACTGAAGATACTTCAGGTCTTAAGGGAATATTGGCAGTAGTCTGGCAGTACTCCCCATGGGCCTGAGGTGCGAGTGTCCACAGGGTAAGACTCCTCTGCCTTTGGGAATGAGTGAGAAGCACTGCATCTTGTGGTTTGAGTGCCAGTTAAACCACAGTACAATAGAACACAAAGTAGACTTCCAAAGTTTTTGACTGTAGCCACTGGCTCCCAGGCAGCATCTCTGGACCCACCCTGGGGCTAGAGGAAATCAGGAAATTTCCTGAAGGGAAAGACATAGGCCTGGCTGGCTTTGCCACTTGTGGACTGTAGAGCCCCAGGGTTTTTAGTGAAATAGGTGGTAGCCAGGGAGTAGTTATAGCAGGCCTTGGGTGAGACCCAGTGCTGTGCTGGCTTCAGGTCTGACTCAGCACAGTCCTGATGGTGGTGGCCACAGGAGTGACTGTGTCATTCCACCCCCAGCTCCCAGTGGCTCAGAACAGACAGAGTCTCTGTTTGTTTGGGAGAAAGTAAGGGAAGACAACAAGAGTCTCTGCCTGCTTATCTAGAGAATACTTCTGGATCTTGTCTAAGATGATCAAAGCAGTATCTCTACAAGTCTGCAATAACCACAGTATTACTGGGCTTGGTGTCCCCCCCTAAAACAGATACAGCATAGATCACAACTCCCAAGTTCTTTTTTTTTTTAAATTATACTTTACGTTCTAGGGTACATGTGCACAATGTGCAGGTTTGTTACATATGTATACATGTGCCATATTGGTGTGCTGCACCCATTAACTCGTCATTTACATGAGATATATCTCCTAATGCTATCCCTCCCCCCTCCCCCGATCCCACAACAGGCCCTAGTGTGTGATGTTCCCCTTCCTGTGTCCAAGTGTTCTCATTGTTCAATCCCCACCTATGAGTGAGAACATGCGGTGTTTGGTTTTTTGTCCTTGCGATAGTTTGCTGAGAATCATGGTTTCCAGCTTCATCCATGTCCCTACAAAGGACATGAACTCATCCTTTTTTATGGCTACATAATATTTCATGGTGTATATGTGCCACATTTTCTTAATCCAGTCTATCATTGTTGGACATTTAGGTTGGTTCCAAGTCTTTACTATTGTGAATAGTGCCCCAATAAACATACGTGTGCATGTGTCTTTATAGTAGCATGACTTATAATCCTTTGGGTATATACCCAGTAATGGAATGGCTGGGTCAAATGGTATTTCTAGTTCTAGATCCCTGAGGAATCGCCACACTGTCTTCCAAAATGGTTGAACTAGTTTACAGTCCCACCAACAGTGTAAAAGCGTTCCTATTTCTCCACATCCTCTCCAGCACCTATTGTTTCCTGACTTTTTAATGATCACCATTCTAACTGGTGTGAGATAGTATCTCATTGTGGTTTTGATTTGTATTTCTCTGATGGCCAGTGATGATGAGCATTTAATTTTCATGTGTCTGTTGGCTGCATGAATGTCTTCTTTTGAGAAGTGTCTGTTCATATCCTTCACCCACTTGTTGATGGGGTTGTTTGTTTTTTCTTGTAAATTTGTTTGAGCTCTTTGTACATTCTGGATATTAGCCCTTTGACACACCAGTAGATTGAAAAATTTTCTCCCATTCTGTAGGTTGCCTGTTCACTCTGATGGTAGTTTATTTTGCTGTGCAGAAGCTCTTTAGTTTAATTAGATCTCATTTGTCAATTTTGGTTTTTGTTACCATTGCTTTTGGTGTTTTAGACATGAAGTCCCGCCTATGTCCTGAATGGTATTGCCTAGGTTTTCTTCTAGGGTTTTTATGGTTTTAGATCTAACATTTAAGTCTTTAATCCATCTTGAATTAATTTTTGTGTAAGGTGTAAGGAAGGGATCCAGTTTCAGCTTTCTGCATATGGCTAGCCAGTTTTCCCAGCACCATTTGTTAAATAGGGAATCCTTTCCCCATTTCTTGTATTTGTCAGTTTTGTCAAAGATCAGATGGTTGTAGATGTGTGGTATTATTTCCAGGGGTTCTATTCTGTTCCATTGGTCTATATCTCTGTTTTGGTACCAGTACCATGCTGTTTTGCTTACTGTAGCCTTGTAGTATAGTTTGAAGTCAGGTAGCGTGATGCCTCCAGCTCTGTTCTTTTGGCTTAGGATTGACTTGACAATGTGGGCTCTTTTTTGGTTTCATATAAACTTTAAAGTACTTTTTCCCAATTCTGTGAAGAAGTCATTGGTAGCTTGATGGGGATGGCATTGAACCTATAAATTACCTTGAGCAGTATGGTCATTTTCACGATATTGATTCTTCCTACCCATGAGCATGGAGTGTTCTTCCATTTGTTTGTGTCCTCTTTTATTTCATTGAGCAGTAGCTTGCAGTTCTCCTTGAAGAGGTCCTTCACATCCCTTGTAAGTTGGATTCCTAGGTATTTTATTCTCTTTGAAGCGGTTGTGAATGGGAGTTCACTCATGATTTGGCTCTCTGTTTATCTGTTATTGGTGTATAAGAATGCTTGTGATTTTTGTACATTGATTTTGTATCCTGGGACTTTGGTGAAGTTGCTTATCAGCTTAAGGAGATTTTGGGCTGAGACAATGGTTTTTTCTAAATATACAATCATGTCATCTGCAAACAGGGACAATTTGACTTCCTCTTTTCCTAACTGAATAATCTTTATTTCTTTCTCTTGCCTGATTGCCCTGGCCAGAACTTCCAACACTCTGTTGAATAAGAGTGGTGAGAGAGGGCATCCCTGTCTTGTGCCAGTTTTCAAAGGGAATGTTTCCAGTTTTTGCCCATTCAATATGATATTGGCTGTGGGTTTGTCATAAATAGCTCTTATTATTTTGAGATACATCCCATCAATACCTAATTTATTGAGAGTTTTTAGCATGAAGGGCTGTTGAATTTTGTCAAAGGCCTTTTCCGCATCTATTGAGATAATCATGTGGTTTTTGTCTTTGGTTCTGTTTATAAGCTGGATTACGTTTATTGATTTGTGTATGTTGAACCAGCCTTGCATCCCAGGGATGAAGCCAACTTGATCATGGTGAATAAGCTTTTTGATGTGCTGCTGGATTTGATTTGCCAGGATTTTATTGAGGATTTTTGCATCGATGTTCATCAGGGACATTAGTCTAAAATCCTTTTTTCGTTGTGTCTCTGCCAGGCTTTGGTATCAGGATCACGTTGGCCTCATAAAATGAATTAGGGAGGATTCCCTCTTTTTCCATTGATTGGAATAGTTTCAGAAGGAATGGTACCAGCTCCAGTAGAATTCGGCTGTGAATCTATCTGGTCCTGGACTTTTTTTGGTTGGTAGGCTATTAACTATTGCCTCAATTTCAGAACCTGTTATTGGTCTATCAGAGATTCAACTTCTTCCTGGGTTAGTCTTGGGAGGGTGTATGTGTCCAGGAATTTATCCGTTTCTTCTAGATTTTCTAGTTTATTTGTGTCGAGGTGTTTATAGTATTCTCTGATGGTAGTTTTTATTTCTGTGGGATCGGTGGTGATATCCCCTTTATCATTTTTTATTGCATCTATTTGATTCTTCTCTCTTTTCTTCTTTATTAGTCTTGCTAGCAGTCTATCAATTTTGTTGATCTTTTCAAAAAACCAGCTCCTGGATTCATTGATTTTTTGAAGGGTTTTTTGTGTCTCTCTCTCCTTCAGTTCTGCTCTGATCTTAGTTATTTCTTGCCTTCTGCTAGCTTTTGAATGTGTTTGCTCTTGCTTCTCTAGTTCTTTTAATTGTGATGTTAGGGTGTCAATTTTAGATCTTTCCTGCTTTCTCTTGTGGGCATTTAGTGCTATAAATTTCCCCCTACACACTGCTTTAAATGTGTCCCAGAGATTCTGGTATGTTGTGTCTTTGTTCTCATTGGTTTCAAAGAACATCTTTATTTCTGCCTTCATTTCGTTATGTACCCAGTAGTCATTCAGCAGCAGGTTGTTCAGTTTCCATGTAGTTGAGCAGTTTTGAGTGAGTTTCTTAATCCTGAGTTCTAGTTTGATTGCACTGTGGTCTGAGAGACAGTTTGTTATAATTTCTATTCTTTTACATTTGCTGAGGAGTGCTTTACTTCCAACTATGTGGTCAACTTTGGAATAAGTGTGATGTGGTGCTGAGAAGAAGGTATATTCTGTTGATTTGGGGTGGAGAGTTCTGTAGATATCTATTAGGTCTGCTTGGTGCAGAGCTGAGTTCAATTCCTGGATATCCTTGTTAACTTTCTGTCTCATTGATCTGTCTAATGTTGACAGTGGTGTGTTAAAGTCTCCCATTATTATTGTGTGGGAGTCTAAGTCTCTTTGTAGGTCTCTAAGGACTTGCTTTATGAATCTGGATGCTCTTGTATTGGGTGCATGTATATTTAGGATAGTTAGCTCTTCTTGTTGCACTGATCCCTTTACCACTATGTAATGGCTTTCTTTGTCTCTTTTGATCTTTGTTGGTTTAAAGTCTCTTTTATCAGAGACTAGGATTGCAACCCCTGCTTTTTTGTTTTCCATTTGCTTGGTAAATATTCCTCCATCCCTTTATTTTGAGCCTATGTGTGTCTCTGCACATGAGTTGGGTCTCCTGAATACGGCACACTGGTGGGTCTTGACTCTTTATCCAATTCACCAGTCTGTGTCTTTTAATCGGAGCATTTAGCCCATTTACATTTAAGATTAATATTGTTATGTGTGAATTTGATCCTGTCATTATGATGTTAGCTGGTTATTTTGCTCGTTAGTTGATGCAGTTTCTTCCTAGCCTCAAAGATCTTTACAATTTGACATGTTTTTGCAGTGGCTGGTACTGGTTGTTCCTTTCCATGTTTAGTGCTTCCTTCAGGAGCTCTTTTAGGGCAGGCCTGGTGGTGACAAAATGTCTCAGCATTTGCTTGTCTGTAAAGGATTTTATTTCTCCTTCCCTTATGAAGCTTAATTTGTCTGGATATGAAATTCTGGGTTGAAAATTCTTTTCTTTAAGAATGTTGAATATTGGCCCCCACTCTTTTCTGGCTTGTAGAGTTTCTGCCGAGAGATCAGCTGTTAGTCTGATGGGCTTCCCTTTGTGGGTAACCCGACCTTTGTCTCTGACTGCCCTTAACAGTTTTTCCTTCATTTCAACTTTGGTGAATCTGACAATTATGGGTGTTGGAGTTGCTCTTCTTGAGGAGTATCTTTGTGGCATTCTCTGTATTTCCTGAATTTGAATGTTGGCCTGCCTTGCTAGGTTCGGTAGGTTCTCCTGGATAATATCCTGCAGAGTGTTTTCCAACTTGGTTCCATTCTCCCCGTCACTTTCAGGTACACCAATCAGATGTAGATTGGTCTTTTCACATAGTCCCATATTTCTTGGAGGCTTTGTTTGTTTCTTTTTATTCTTTTTTTCTGTAAACTTCTCTTCTCATTTCATTTCATTCATTTAATCTTTAATCACTGATACCCTTTCTTCCACTTGATCAAATCAGCTACTAAAGCTTGTGCATGCATCATGTAGTTCTTGTGCCATGGTTTTCAGTTCCATCACGTCAGTTAAGGTCTTCTCTGCACTGTTTATTCTAGTTAGCCATTCAACTAATCTTTTTTCAAGGTTTTTAGCTTCTTTGTGATGGGTTCGAACATCCTCTTTTAGCTTAGAGAAGTTTGTTATTACTGATCGTCTGAAGCCTTCTTCTCTCAACTTGACAAAGTCATTCTCCTTCTAGCTTTGCTCCTTGGCTGGCGAGGAGCTGCGTTCCTTTGGAGGGGAAGAGGCACTCCAATTTTTAGAATTTTCAGCTGTTCTGCTCTGGTTTCTCCCCATCTTTGTGGTTTCATCTACCTTTGGTCTTTGATGACAGTGACATACAAATGGGTTTTTGGTGTGGATGTCCTTTCTATGCGTTAGTTTTCCTTCCAACAGTCAGGACCCTCAGCTGCAGGTTTGTTGGAGTTTGTGGGAGGTCCACTCCAGACCTTGTTTGCCTGGGTATCAGCAGCAGAGGCTGCAGAACAACAAATATTGCAGAACGGCAAATGTTGCTATCTGATCCTTTTTCTGGAGACTTCATCTCTGAGGGGCACCCGGCTGTACGAGGTGTCAGTCGGCCCCTACTGGGAGGTGTCTCCCAGTTACGCTACTCGGGGGTCAGGGACCCACTTGAGGAAGCAGTCTGTCCATTCTCAGATTTCAAACTCTGTGCTGGGAGAAGCACTACTCTCTTCAAAGCTGTCAGACAGGGACATTTAAGTCTGCAGAAGTTTCTGCTGCCTTTTGTTCAGCTATGCCCTGCCCCCAGAGGTGGAGTCTACAGAGAAAGGCAGGACTCCTTGAGCTGTGGTGGGCTCCACCTAGTTCAAGCTTCCCAGCTGCTTTGTTTACCTACTCATGCCTCAGCAATTGTGGACACCCCTCCCCCAGCCTCACTGCCACCTTGCAGTTCAATCTCAGATGGCTGTGCTAGCAGTGAGCAAGGCTCTGTGGGAGTGAGACCTTCTGAGCCATGCACAGGATATAATCTCCTGGTATGCCGTTTGCTAAGGCTGTTGGAAAAGCACAGTATTAGGGTGGGAGCATCCCAATTTTCCAGGTACAATCTGTCACGGCTTCCCTTTGCTAGGAAAGGGAATTCCCCGACCTCTTGCACTTCCCGGGTGAGGAGATGCCCCACCCTGCTCCATGGGCTGCATCCACTGTCTGACAAGCCTCAGTGAGATGAGCCTGGTACCTCAGTTGGAAATGCAGAAATCACCCATCTTCTGTGTTGCTCATGCTGGGAGCTGCAGACTGGAGCTGTTCTTATTTGGCCATCTTGGAACCTTCCCCCACATTTTTCAACTCCAGAATTTCTGTTTGATTCTTTTTAACTATTTCAATCTCTTTGTTAAATTTATCTGATAGAATTCTGAATTCTTTCTCTGTATTACCTTGAATTTCTTTGCGTTTCCTCAAAACAGCTATTTTGGATTCTCTGTCTGAAAGGTCACTGATGTGGTTTGGCTCTGTGTCCCCACCCAGATTTCATTTCAAATTGTAATCCCCATGTGTTGAGGGTGGGACCTAGTGGGAGTTGGTTGGATCATGGGGGCAGTTTCCCTCATGCTGTTCTTGTGATAGTGAGTGAGTTCTCATGAGATCTGATGGTTTAAAAGTGTTTTGCAGTCCCACCAACTCTTGCTGCCATGTAAGACGCCTTGCTTCCCTTTCACCTCCTACCATAATTGTAAGTTTCCTAAGTCTGTTGCAGGGGTAGAGCCCTCATGAAGAACTTTTACTAGGGCCATGCAGAGGGGAAATGTGGGGTTGGAGCCCCCACACAGAGTCCCTACTGGGGCACTGCCTAGTGAACCTGTGAGCTCTTCTCTGTCCTCCAAACCCCAGAATAGTAGATCCACCCATAGCTTGCACTGTGCACCTGGAAAAGCCACAGGCACCAATGCCAGCCGATGAAAGCATCTGCAGGGGCTGCACCCTGCAAAGCCAAAGAGGCTGAGCTGTCCAGGGCCTTGGGAGCCCACCTCTTGTGTCATTGTATCCTGGATGTGAGATATGGAGTCAAAGGAGATTATTTTGGATCTTTAAAATTTAGTGGCTGCCCTGATGGGTGTCAAACTTGCAGGGGTCCTGTGGTACCTTTGTTTTGGCCAATTTTTTCCATTTAGAATGGGAACACTTACACAATACCTGTATCCCCAGTGTATCTTGGAAGTAACTAACTTGTTTTTTATTTTACAGGCTTATAGGTGGAAGGAACTTGCCTTGTCTCAGATGAGACTTTGGACTTGGACATTTGAGTTAATGCTGGAATGAATTAAGACATTGAGGGATTGTTGGGAAGGCATGGTTGGCTTTGAAATGTGAGAAGAATATAAAATTTGGGAGGGGCCAGGGGCATAATGATATGGTTTGGCTCTGTGTCCCCACCCAAATCTCATCTTAAATTATAATCCCCCTGTGTTGAGATAAGTACCTGGTGGGAGGTGATTGGATCATGGGTTGTGGTTTCACCCATGCTGTTCTCATGATAGTGAGTGAGTTCCCATGAGATCTGATGGTTTAAATGTGTTTGTCATTACCCCAGCCCCCACTGCCATGTAAGATGTGTTTTGCTTCTCTTTCACCTTCTGCCATGATTTTAAGTTTCCGGAGGCCTACCCAGCCATGCAAAAGTGGGTCAATTAAGCCTCTGTCCTTTATAAATAATCCAGTATCAGGTAGTTCTTTATAGCAGTGTGGAAATGGACTGATACAGTCATACATCTCTGTTTCTCCAGGATTTATCCCTGGTGCATTATTTAGTTCATTTTATGAGGTCATGTTTTCCTGGATCATCTTCATACTTGTAGAAGTTTGTCTATGTCTGGGCATTGAAGAGTTAGGTATTTATTGCAGTTGTCACTGTCTGGCCTTGTTTGTGCCTGCCCGTTTGGGAAGGCTTTCCAGATATTCAAAAGAACTTTGGTGTTCCTGAAGGAAGCACTAAACATGGAAAGGAACAACCAGTACCAGCCACTGCAAAAACATGTCAAATTGTAAAGATCTTTGAGGCTAGGAAGAAACTGCATCAACTAACGAGCAAAATAACCAGCTAACATCATAATGACAGGATCAAATTCACACATAACAATATTAATCTTAAATGTAAATGGGCTAAATGCTCCGATTAAAAGACACAGACTGGTGAATTGGATAAAGAGTCAAGACCCACCAGTGTGCCGTATTCAGGAGACCCAACTCATGTGCAGAGACACACATAGGCTCAAAATAAAGGGATGGAGGAATATTTACCAAGCAAATGGAAAACAAAAAAGCAGGGGTTGCAATCCTAGTCTCTGATAAAAGAGACTTTAAACCAACAAAGATCAAAAGAGACAAAGAAAGCCATTACATAGTGGTAAAGGGATCAGTGCAACAAGAAGAGCTAACTATCCTAAATATACATGCACCCAATACAAGAGCATCCAGATTCATAAAGCAAGTCCTTAGAGACCTACAAAGAGACTTAGACTCCCACACAATAATAATGGGAGACTTTAACACACCACTGTCAACATTAGACAGATCAATGAGACAGAAAGTTAACAAGGATATCCAGGAATTGAACTCAGCTCTGCACCAAGCAGACCTAATAGATATCTACAGAACTCTCCACCCCAAATCAACAGAATATACCTTCTTCTCAGCACCACATCACACTTATTCCAAAGTTGACCACATAGTTGGAAGTAAAGCACTCCTCAGCAAATGTAAAAGAATAGAAATTATAACAAACTGTCTCTCAGACCACAGTGCAATCAAACTAGAACTCAGGATTAAGAAACTCACTCAAAACTGCTCAACTACATGGAAACTGAACAACCTGCTGCTGAATGACTACTGGGTACATAACGAAATGAAGGCAGAAATAAAGATGTTCTTTGAAACCAATGAGAACAAAGACACAACATACCAGAATCTCTGGGACACATTTAAAGCAGTGTGTAGGGGGAAATTTATAGCACTAAATGCCCACAAGAGAAAGCAGGAAAGATCTAAAATTGACACCCTAACATCACAATTAAAAGAACTAGAGAAGCAAGAGCAAACACATTCAAAAGCTAGCAGAAGGCAAGAAATAACTAAGATCAGAGCAGAACTGAAGGAGAGAGAGACACAAAAAACCCTTCAAAAAATCAATGAATCCAGGAGCTGGTTTTTTGAAAAGATCAACAAAATTGATAGACTGCTAGCAAGACTAATAAAGAAGAAAAGAGAGAAGAATCAAATAGATGCAATAAAAAATGATAAAGGGGATATCACCACCGATCCCACAGAAATAAAAACTACCATCAGAGAATACTATAAACACCTCGACACAAATAAACTAGAAAATCTAGAAGAAACGGATAAATTCCTGGACACATACACCCTCCCAAGACTAACCCAGGAAGAAGTTGAATCTCTGATAGACCAATAACAGGTTCTGAAATTGAGGCAATAGTTAATAGCCTACCAACCAAAAAAAGTCCAGGACCAGATAGATTCACAGCCGAATTCTACTGGAGCTGGTACCATTCCTTCTGAAACTATTCCAATCAATGGAAAAAGAGGGAATCCTCCCTAATTCATTTTATGAGGCCAACATGATCCTGATACCAAAGCCTGGCAGAGACACAACGAAAAAAGGATTTTAGACTAATGTCCCTGATGAACATCGATGCAAAAATCCTCAATAAAATCCTGGCAAATCAAATCCAGCAGCACATCAAAAAGCTTATCCATCATGATCAAGTTGGCTTCATCCCTGGGATGCAATGCTGGTTCAACATACACAAATCAATAAATATAATCCAGCTTATAAACAGAACCAAAGACAAAAACCACTTGATTATCTCAATAGATGCGGAAAAGGCCTTTGACAAAATTCAACAGCCCTTCATGCTAAAAACTCTCAATAAATTAGGTATTGATGGGATGTATCTCAAAATAATAAGACCTATTTATGACAAACCCACAGCCAATATCATACTGAATGGGCAAAAACTGGAAGCATTCCCTTTGAAAACTGGCACAAGACAGGGATGCCCTCTCTCACCACTCCTATTCAACATAGTGTTGGAAGTTCTGGCCGGGGCAATCAGGCAAGAGAAAGAAATAAAGGGTATTCAGTTAGGAAAAGAGGAAGTCAAATTGTCCCTGTTTGCAGATGACATGATTGTATATTTAGAAAACCCCATTGTCTCAGCCCAAAATCTCCTTAAGCTGATAAGCAACTTCAGCAAAGTCTCAGGATACAAAATCAATGTACAAAAATCACAAGCATTCTTATACACCAACAACAGACAAACAGAGAGCCAAATCATGAGTGAACTCACATTCACAATTGCTTCAAAGAGAATAAAATACCTAGGAATCCAACTTACAAGGCATGTGAAGGACCTCTTCAAGGAGAACTACAAACCACTGCTCAATGAAATAAAAGAGGACACAAACAAATGGAAGAACATTCCATGCTCATGGGTAGGAAGAATCAATATCGTGAAAATGGCCATACTGCTCAAGGTAATTTGTAGATTCAATGCCATCCCCATCAAGCTACCAATGACTTTCTTCACGGAATTGGAAAAAGCTACTTTAAAGTTCATATGGAACCAAAAAAGAGCCCACATTGCCAAGTCATTCCTAAGCCAAAAGAACAAAGCTGGAGGCATCATGCTACCTGACTTCAAACTATACTACAAGGCTACAGTAAGCAAAACAGCATGGTACTGGTACCAAAACAGAGATATAGACCAATGGAACAGAATAGAGCCCCCGGAAATAATACCACACATCTACAACCATCTGATCTTTGACAAACCTGACAAAAACAAGAAATGGGGAAAGAATTCCCTATTTAACAAATGGTGCTGGGAAAACTGGCTAGCCATATGTAGAAAGCTGAAACTGGATCCCTTCCTTACATCTTCTACAAAAATTAATTCAAGATGGATTAAAGACTTAAATGTTAGATCTAAAACCATAAAAACCCTAGAAGAAAACCTAGGCAATACCATTCAGGCCACAGGCATGGGCAAGGACTTCATGACTAAAACACCAAAAGCAATGGCAAAAAAAGCCAAAATTGACAAATTAGATCTAATTAAATTAAAGAGCTTCTGCACAGCAAAATAAACTACCATCAGAGTGAACAGGCAACCTACAGAATGGGAGAAAATTTTTGCAAACTACTTATCTGACAAAGGGCTGATATCCAGAATCTACGGAGAACTTAATCAAATTTACAAGAAAAAAATCAAACAACCTCATCAAAAAGTGGGCAAAGGATATGAACAGACACTTCTCAAAAGAAGACATTCATGCAGCCAACAGACACATGAAAATTAAATGCTCATCATCACTGGCCATCAGAGAAATGCAAATCAAAACCACAGTGAGATACCATCTCACACCAGTTAGAATGGCAATCACTAAAAAGTCAGGAAACAACAGGTGCTGGAGAGGATGTGGAGAAATAGGAATGCTTTTACACTGTTGGTGGGAGTGTAAACTAGTTCAACAATTGTGGAAGACAGTGTGGCGATTCCTCAGCAATCTAGAACTAGAAATACCATTTGACCCAGCTATCCCATTACTGGGTATACACCCAAAGGATTATAAATCATGCTGCTATAAAGGCACATGCACACGTATGTGTGCACTATTCACAATAGCAAAGACTTGGAACCAACCCAAATGTCCATCAATGATAGATTAGATTAAGAAAATGTGGCACATATGCACTATGCAGCCATAAAAAAGGATGAGTTCATGTCATTTTTAGGGACGTTGATGAAGCTGGAAACCATCATTCTCAGCAAACTATCACAAGGACAGAAAACCAAACACCGCATGTTCTCACTCATACATGGGAATTGAACAATAAGAACACTTGGACACAGGGTAGGGAACATCACACACTGGGGCCTGTCATGGGGTAGGGGGAGGGAGGAGGGATAACATTAGGAGATATACCTAATGTAAATGATGAGTTAACAGGTGCAGCACATGAACATGGCACATATATACATATGTAACAAACCTGCACGTTGTGCACATGTACCCTAGAACTTAACGTATAATAATTAAAAAAAAAGAAAAATGCAATTGGCATACTGAAGAATGCTTCTGTGTCTTTTAATAGCAGAATTATCAGGCAGAAGACAGAATTACTGAGCTTGAAGATAAGCTATTATAATATTTGAAAATACACAGTCAGAGGAGACAAAAGAAAAAAGAATAAAAAACGATGAAGCAGGCTGGGCATGGTGGCTCATGCCTGTAATCCCAGCACTTTGGGAGACTGAGGCGGGCAGATCACTTGAGGTTGGGATTTCAAGACCAGCCTGACCAACATGGAGAAACCCCATCTTTACTAAAAATAAAAATTAGCCAGGTGTGGTGCACATGCCTGTAATCCCAGCTACTGGGGAGGCTGAGGCAAGAGAATTACTTGAACCAAAGAGGCAGAGGTTGCAGTGAGCCAAGATCATGCCATTGCACTCCAGCCTGGGCAACAAGAGCGAAACTCCATCTCAAAAAGAAAAAAAAAAGATGAAGCACACCTACAGGATCTAGAAAATAGCCTCAAATCTCAGAGTTATTGGCCCCAAAGAAGAGGTAGAGAAAGAGATGGGGTAGAAAGTTTATTCAAAGGGATAATAACAGAGAACTTCCCAAACCTAGAGAAAGCTATCAATATCCAAGTACAAGAAGGTTATAGAACACCAAACAGATTTAGCCCAAAGAAGACTACCTCCAGGCATTTAATAATCAAATTGCCAAAGGTCAAGGACAAAGAAAGAGTCCTAAAAGGAGCAAGATAAAACAAACAAATAACATACAACAGAGCTCCAATATATCTGACAGCAGACTTCTCAGTGGAAACTTCACAGGTCAGGAGAGAGTGGCATGGCATATTTAAAGTGCAGAAGGAAAAAAATTTTTACCCTAGAATAGTATATCTGGCAAAAAATATCCTTCAAATATGAAGAAGAAATAAAGACTTTCCCCGACAAACAAAAGCTGAGGGATTTCATCAACATCAGACCTGTCTTACAAGAAATGCTAAGGGGAATATTTCAATCAGAAAGAAAATGATGTTAATAAGCAATCATCTGAAGGTACAAAACTCATTAGTAATAGTAAGTACACAGAATATTATAACTCTGTAATTGTGATGTTTAAACTACTCACATCTTAAGTAGAAAGATCTTAAGTAGAAAGATGTGAGTAGTTTAGTATTAGTAGTATTTTATGTGAAAAGATGAACTGAACAAAAAGTAATAACTTCAAGACATAGTACAAATAAGGTATGAATTAATAGTAACAACAAAAAGTTAAAACATGGGGGGACAAAGTTAAGGCATAGAGTCTTTATTAATTTTATTTTTGCTTGTTTGCTCATTTGTTAATGCAAACATTGTTAAGTTGTTATCAGCTTAAAATAATGGCTTATAAGATAGTATTTGCAAGCCCTATGGTAATCTCAAAACAAAAACCATATAACAGATACACAAAAAGAAAAAGCATGAAACTAAATTATATCACCAGAGAAAACCACCTTCACCAAAAGGAAGATAGAAAGAAAAGAAAGAAGAAAGAGAAGACCAGAAAACAAATAATAAAATGGCAAGAATAAGTCCTTATCCCCCATAATAACATTGAAGATGTTTTTCCTTTGCCGCATCTACTGAGAGAATGAAGATCATTCTCAGCAATCAGACTGTCAACATTCCAGAAAATGTTGGCATTACTCTGAAGGGATGCACAGTTACTGTGAAGGGCCCAAAGGAACCCTGAGGTGTGACTTAATCACATCAATGCAGAGCTCAGTCTTCTTGGGAAAAAAAAAAAAAAAGAGAGAGATTTACTGGCAAGATAGCCGAATAGGAACAGCTCCGGTCTGCAGCTGCCAGAGAGACTGATGCAGAAGGTGGGGGATTTCTGCATTTCCAACTTAGGTACCCGGTTCATCTCACTGGGACTGGTTGGACAGTGGGTGCAGCCCATGGAGGGCAAGCTGAAGCAGGGTGGGGAGCCATCTCACCTGGGAAGCACAACGGGTCAGGGAATTTTCTGCCCCACCCAAAGGAAGCCATGAGGCACTGAGCCTGAGGAACTCTGGTACAGACACTGTGCTTGTCCCATGGTTTTTGCAACCCGCAAACCAGGAGATTCCCTCCGGTGCCTACCCCACCAGGGCCCTGGGTTTCAAGCACAAAACTGGGCAGCCATTTGGGCAGACACCAAACTAGCTGCCGGAGTTCTTTTTTTCCATACCCCAGTGGTGCCTGGAATGCCAGCGAGACAGAGCCATTCACTCCCCTGGAAAGGGGTGCTGAAGCCAGGGAGCCAAGTGATCGAGCTTGGTGGGTCCCACCCCCACAGAGCCCAGCAAACTAAGATCCACTAGCTTGAAATTCTCACTGCCAGCACAGCAGCAGTCTGAGATCAACCTGAGACACGAGCTTGGTGGGGGGAGGGGCGTCCACCATTGCTGAGGCTTGAGTAGGTGGTTTTACACTCACAGTATAAAGAAAGCCACTGGGAAGTTCAAACTGGGCGGAGCCCACTGCAGCTCAGCAAGGCTGCTGTGGCCAGACGTCCCTTCTCTGGGCAGGGCATCTCTGAAAAAAAAGGTAGCAGCCCCAGTCAGGGACTTACAGATAAAACCCCCATCTCCCTGGGTCAGAGCACCTGGGAAAACAGGCAGCTGTGGGCACAGCTTCAGCAGACTTAAACGTCTCTGCCTGACAGCTCTGAAGAAAGCAGTGGACCTCCCAGCATAGCATTCAAGCTCTGCTAAGGGACAGACTGCCTCCTCAAGTGGGTCCCCGACCCCCATGTATCCTGACTGGGAGACACCTCCCAGTAGGGGCCAACAGACACCTCATACTGGAGAGTTCTGGCTGGCATCTAGGAGGTGCCCCTCTGGGACGAAGCTTCCAGAGGAAAGACCAGGCAGCAATCTTTGCTGTTCTGCAGCATCCTCTGGTGATACCCAGGGAAACAGGGTTGGGAGTGGACCTCCAGCAAACTCCAACAGACTGGTAGCAAAGGGGCCTGACTGTCAGAAGGAAAACTAACAAACAGGAATAGCACATCCACTCAAAGACCCCATCCAAAGGTCACCAACATCAAAGACCAAAGGTAGATAAATCCACAAAGATGGGGAGAAACAAGAACAAGAAGGTCAAAAATTCCAAAAACCAGAATGCCTCTTCTCCTCCAAAGGATCACAACTCCTCGCCAGCAAGGGAACAAAACTGGATGGAGAATGAGTTTGATGAATTGACAGAAGAAGGCTTCAGAAGGTGGGTAATAACAAACTCCTCCAAGTTAAAGGAGCATGTTCTAACCCAATGCAAGGAAGCTAAGAACCTTGAAAAAAGGTTAGATGAATTACTAACTAGAATAACCAGTGTAGAAAAGAACATAGATGACCTGATGGAGCTGAAAAACACAGCATGAGAACTTTGTGAGGCATACACAAGTTTCAATAGCTGAATCAATCAAGCAGAAGAAAGGATATCAGTGATTGAAGATCGACTTAATGAAATAAAGCTTGAAGACAAGATTAGAGAAAAAGGAAAAAAAGGAATGAACAAAGCCTCCAAGAAATACAGGACTATGTGAAAACCAAATCTGTGTTTGATTGGTGTCCTGAAAGTGATGAGGAGAATGGAACCAAGTTGGAAAACACTCTTCAGGATTATTATCCAGGAGAACTTCCCCAACCTAGCAAGACAGGCCAACATTCAAATTCAGGAAATACAGAGAACACCACAAAGATACTCCTTGAGAAGAGCAACTCCAAGACACATAATTCTCAGATTCACCAAGGTTGAAATGAAGGAAAAAATTTTAAGGGCAGCCAGAGAGAAAGGTCGGGTTATCCACAAAGGGAAGCCCATCAGACTAACAGCAGATCTCTCTGCAGAAACTCTACAAGTCGGAAGAGAGTGGGGTCCAATATTCAACATTCTTAAAGAAAAGAATTTTCAACCCAGAATTTCATATCCAGCCAAACTAAGCTTCATAAGCGAAGGAGAAACACAATCCTTTACAGACAAGCAAATGCTGAGAGATTTTGTCACCACCAGGCCTGCCTTACAAGAGCTCCTGAAGGAAGCACTAAACGTGGAAAGGAGCAACTGGTACCAGCCACTGCAAAAACATACTAGATTGTAAAGAACATTGGCACAATGAAGAAACTGCATCAACTAATGGGCAAAACAACTAGCTAGCCTCATATTGACAGGATCAAATTCACACACAACAATTTTAACCTTAAACGTAAATGGGCTAAATGCGCCAATTAAAAGACACAGACTGGCAAATTGGATAAAGAGTCAAGACCCATTAGTGTGCTGTATTCAGGAGACCCATCTCATGTGCAAAGATACACATAGGCTCAAAATAAAGGGATGGAGGAATATTTACCAAGCAAATGGAAAGCAAAAAAAAGCACAAGTTGCAATCCTAATCTCTGATAAAACAGACTTTAAACCAACAAAGATCAAAAGAGACAAAGAAGGGCATTACATAATGGTAAAGGGATCAATGCAGCAAGAAGAGGTAACTATCCTAAATATATATGCACCCAATACAGAAGCACCCAGATTCATAAAGCAAGTTCTTAGAGACCTACAAAGAGACTTAGACTCCCACACAATAGTAATGGGAGACTTTAACACCCTACTGTCAATATTAGGCAGGTTAACGAGACAGAAAATTAACAAGGATATTCAGGACTAGAACTCAACTCTGGACCAAGCGGACCTATTAGACATCTATAGAACTCTCCACCCCAAATCAACAGAATATACATTCTGCTCAGCACCTCATTGCACTTATTCTAAAACTGATGACATAATTGGAAGTAAAACACTCCTCAGCAAATGTAAAAGAACAGAAATCACAACAAACTGTCTCTCAGACCACAGTGCAATCAAATTAGAACTCAGGATTAAGAAACTCACTCAAAACCACTCAACTACATGGAAACTGAACAACCTGCTCCTGAATGGCTACTGGGTAAATAACAAAATGAAAGCAGAAATAAAGATGTTCTTTGAAACCAATGAGAACAAAGACACAACATACCAGAATCTCTGGGACACATTTAAAGCAGTGTGTAGAGGGAAATTTATAGCATTAAATGCCTACAAAAGAAAGCAGAAAAGATCTAAAATTGACACCCTAACATCAAAGTTAAAAGAACTAGAGAAGCAACAGCTAACAAATTCAAAATCTAGCAGAAGACAAGAAATAACTAAGATCACAGCAGAACTGAAGGAGAGAGAGACACAAAAAACCCTTCAAAAAAATCAATGAATCCAGGAGCTGGTTTTTTGAAGAGATCAACAAATAGATAGACCACTAGCCAGACCATGCATTCAGACCATACCAACAGCTTTATAAGTTCTCTGGTACAATCTTGCCTGGTATGCATGCCCTTGAGTAATCCCTTTCACACTGAATGGGGCTGACTCATATAAGCAACAGGATATTGAGGATATGATGGTGTGTGCATTTCAAAGTTAGGTCATAAAAGTCATTGCACCTTCCAACTTGCTGTCTCTCAGATCACTCGCTCTGAAGGAAGCCAGCTGCCATGTCATGAGTCATGTAAGCAGCCCTGTGGAGAGTATTACTGTAAGTGAGCAAAATTCCTCACCTGTTATTTAAAGTAGATAAATCAAATTGCTTAAAGTAGATAAATCAAGAAATAGTAGTATAAACATATTATTTTGGAATAGTAGATATAACCACCTGTAATCCCAGCACTTTGAGAAGCTGAGGTGAGCAGATTGCTTGAGGTCAGGAGTTTGAGACCGGCCTGGGCAACATGACAAAACCCTGTCTCTCCAAAAAAAAAAAAATTAGATGGGTGTGGGTGCATGCACCTGTAATCCTAGCTATTTGGGAGACTGAGGTGGGCGGATCACTTGAGCCCACCAAGTCGAGGCTGCAGTGTGCTGAGATCACACCACTGCACTGCAGCCTGCATGACAGAGCAAGACCCTGTCTCAAAAAAAAAAAAAAGAATAGTACACATAACTAACACATGAATTTAAAACAAAATGGTGAAAAAATAATAAAATAATAATTTATTTAATTGATATAATCAATAAAAATTCCATTTGATATTAATAGTAATGGCAGCTCTACAGGTGAGACTATCAGAGATATCGTGGGACAAAATAGAAGGTAAAGGAAGGAAACTAACTATATTAAGCACCTATTTTGTGAGTAAAATGAGGTTCTGAGAGAAAGGGTAACCCAGCCAGCAGATTGCAGAGCCAGTGTATACATCCATATTTATCTGACTGTAAGGTCAAAGTCTTTTCCACTGTATCAAGTAATTGACCAAGAGACACTAGCTCTCAGAGCAGCAGAATGTTGCCACATTTTTATTGACAAAGAATTAATAACATAAATTATGTTTATATTGCAAAGTTTATTTAGGGAAATTTGATACTCCTTTTTACATTTTACATAAATTTATTGAGTTATAACACTGCCTGATGCCAGGTAAAGCAAATACACATCTGGGTTCAGAGACTCACGTGTGCAACAAATTTAACTTTCTGGATATTTTAAAAACTCAGCTTAATTTCCCTAGGTGCCTCATTAGCCTGATGGCAGAAATTAAATCTCAGGCAATTCTGGGTTCTCCCACAAGTACACTTTTCTTCAGAGTTGTGCTGAAGTTCTGAGGAGGATGGGAAGGGACTAGGAAATGGCCAGTCCTTTGCCCATCTATCCTCTGGCATTCTCCCACCCTGTCCCAGGTTGTCAGTCCACACAGGTGGCTGGTGCATCACTCCTCATTCTTCTCAGTGAGGTCCTTGAAGCTTGGGCAGCTCTCCCTGCTACTTCTTTACCTCTCTCAGGCACTCTATACCTCATTACTCTATTTCTGCACCTCTGAGCTGCAGAAAACTCCTTGATGCTCTTGAAAATCCCACCTGCCTAGAAACTTTATGTAGCCTCTTCTCCTCTGTGGTATTGCCATTGCCTGAAGGCCCTTTCCAGAAAGCAAATCACAAGTTTTTTCTGTTCTCAGACCCACAACTCTATGTGTGGTTCTATCATTTCCCCTTTCAGACTTGGCCAGGAATTAGGAAAGGCAAAGCACTATGCCCCTTTCTGGAGCCCCATTAGCTCTGAACTGTCCTTTCTTCTCTTTCAAGTCTCCTCTTTCTCCCTAGTGTGCAGAATCTGAGGAAGTAAAAAGGCATGTTCTGACCCATCAGCTTTTTTCCACTCCATGAGTCTTAAACTTCAGAAAAGCTTTACTCTTCCTTCTGCATCATTTCTTTCCCAGTCTACCTACCCAAATTGAGAGGAATAAGAAATACTCATAAAAAATCATGGTTTTCCACACAGTGGCTTATCAAAACAAAATCATGGTTAACATTTCAATCTATATGATGTCACCATATAAGTACTTGTGCCAGATGCTGGAAATACAAAGAAAAATGTGATTAAATTCCTGCTGTCAGGATGTGTCCAGGGTCACATTGTTAGTAGGCGGATACAAAGAAAAAAACAGAAGTGATGATACAGTATTTAGTGCAATATCAGAACTATTTATAGACAAGAGAAGTATGATTGGGTGGAGGGAAGGGGGAAGTACTTAGAAAAGTTTTCCAATGGAAAACTCAACCTGCTTTTGGCCAAGGTCGGGAAAACATTTCAAGTAGGAAGAACAGCATATGCAAAGGCGTGGGAGCCCAAGAGAATGTGATAACTTTCATAACACATGCAGGTTTGTTACATGGGTGAATTGTATGGTGCTAAGGTTTGGGGTATGACTGAACCCAGCACCCAGGTAGTGAGCATAGTACCTGATAGGTAGTTTTTCCACCCTCTCCCCCACTCCCTACCTCCCCTATCTTGTAGTCCCCAGTGTCTATTTTTTCCATCTTTTTGTCCATGTGTACCCAATATTTAGCTTCTACATATAAGCGAGATCATGCGATATTTGGTTTTCTGTTTCTGCTTTAATTCACTTAGGATAATGCCCTTCAGTTGCATACATGTTGCTGCAGAAAACTATGATTTCATTCTTTTTAATGGCTGCATAGCATTCTTTGTTATATAGGTACCATATTTTCTTTATCCAATCCACTGTCAGTGGGCACCTAGGTTGACTCCATGTCCTTGCTATTGTGAGTAGTGCTGCAATGAACATGCAAGCACATGTCTTTTTGGTAAAACAGTTTATTTTCTCTTGGATATATACCCAGTAATGGGATTGCTGGGTTGAATGGTAGTTCTGTTATAAGTTCTTTGAGAAATCTTTAAAAAACTTTCCACAGTGACTGAACTAATTTACATTCTTACCAACAGTGTGTAAGTGTTCCATTTTCTCTGCAGCCTCACCAGCATCTGTTGTTTTTTGGCTTTTTAATATAGCCTTTCTGACTGGTATGAGATAGTATCTCTTTGTGGTTTTGATCTGAATTTCTCTGATAATTAGTGATATTGAGCATTTTTTCATGTTTGTTGGCTGCTTGAAAGTCTTCTTTGGAGAAGTGACTGTTCATGTCTTTTGCCCATTTTTTAATTGGGTTATTTATTTTTTGCTTGTTGAATTAAGTTTCTTATAGAATCTGGATATTAGATCTTTGTTGGCTGCACAGTTTGTGAATAGTTTCTCCCATTCTGTAGGTTGTCTGTTTAGTCTGTTGATAGTTTCTTTTGCTGTGCAGAAGCTCTTTAGTTTAATTAGATCCCACCTGTCAATTTTTGTTTTTGTTGCAATTGCTTTTGAGGACTTAGTAATAAATTCATTCCCAAGGCTGATGTCCAGAATGATGTTTCCTAGGTTTTCTTCTAGAATTGTTACAGTTTGAGCTCTTATATTTAAATATTTAATCCATCTTGAGTTAATTTTGTACATGGTAAAAGGTAGGAGTCCAGTTTCATTTTTCTGCATATAGCTAGCCAGTTATCCCAGCACCCTTTATTGAATAGAGAGTCTCTTCCCCCATTGCTTATTTTTGTCAACTTTGTTGAAGATCAGATGGATGTAGGGGTGTGGCTTTACTTATGGTTCTCTATTCTGTTCCATTGGTCTATGTGTCTGTTTTTGTACTGTACCATGCTGTTTTGCTTACTGTAGCTTTATAGTATATTTTGAAGTCAGGTAATGTGGTGCTGACAGCTTTGTTCCTTTTGCTTAGGATTGCTTTGGCTATTTGGGCCCTTTTTGCTTCCATATGAATTTTAGAATAGCTTTTTCTAGTTCTGTGAGAAATGACATTGACCAGAATAGCATTGAACCTATAGATTACTTTGGGTTCTATGGTCATTTTAATGATATTTATTCTTCCAATCCATGAGTGTGGAACGTTTTGCCATTTGTTTGTGCCATCAGTGATTTTTTTGAGCAGTGTTTTGTAGTTCTCCTTGTAGAGACCTTTCACCTCCTTGGTTAGATGTATTCCTAGGTATTTTATTTTTTGTGTGGCTATTGTAAATGGGATTGTGTTCTGATTTGGCTCTCAGCTTGAACATTATAGGTATATAGAAATGCAACCGATTTTTGTACATTGATTTTGTGTCCTGAAACATTACTGAAGTCATTTATCAGTTCCATTAGCCTTTTGGCAGAGTCTGTAGGGTTTTCTAGATGGAGAATAACATCATCTGAGGAAAGATAATTTGACTTCTTTTCCTGTTTGGATGTCTATTTATTTCCCTTGCCTAATTGATCTGTCTAGGATTTCCCAGATTTTTTTTTTTCTCCTCCGAGACGGAGTCATGCTCTGTCACCCAGGCTGGAGTGCAGTGGCATGATCTCAGCTCACTGCAACCTCTGCCTCCCGGGTTCAAGAAATTCTCCTGCCTCAGCCTCCCGAATAGCTGGGATTACAGACACCCTCCACCACGCCCGACTAATTTATGTATTTTTAGTAGAGACGGGGTTTCACCATGTTAGCTAGGCTTGTCTCAAACTCCTGACCTCGAGATCTGCCTGCCTCAGCCTCCCAAAGTGCTGGGATTACAGGCATGAGCCACTGTGCCCAGCCCCCAGATTTTTTAAATACATGAAAAGATACATATTAAGGAATCATGCTGTCCACCCTGACTCTATCCACCCCAAACTACCACCTACAAGTATTACTTTTATTGGTTTCTGGTACATTCTTCAATTACTTTCAACATATTGGCTTTTTTTTCTTTTTCATTTCAAGTTTTAATGAAAGCTTGTATATTAGATTATTTCATTCCTGCATCTTCTCTATTGTTTCTTCCTTGTATTTGCCCTTTTCCTTTCCTACTTGGTGAGATTTTCCTTTCCATTCAAGGACATTTTTGCAGTCTTTGTCCCGTTTTAGCCCAGTGGTAACCACTTTGCTGGGGTGAATGCTTACATGGATAGTTGTGCCATTAGCCTTTTCCCACTGCACCCATTCAATGTAGATGACATATTTCTTCCTGTAAACCTGGAGTACTTTGCCAGTTTGCTGACCTTTATGGTGTCCTCATACAACCTGAACTTCATCATCCTTTCAGATGGGCATGGATCAAACGTTGTACTTCTATCTCAGCTCTGTGGAAAGAGAGGAAGACATTGTCTTCCTGCAAATGTGGGAAGGTTCACTGAAATGCCTTTTGCAGTTCTTGCTTTGGTCAGAAGTCACAAAGGGATTGAACTTCATTTTGGCTTTTCCCACTTCAGTGATGGTCGCAAAAGGGAAGAGCACTTTCAACATATTGACTTTAATGCACACAGGTGGATACCTTTAGTAAATAGTTGGATAGATGTTTCTGGGGCTTAAGAGAGATGCCTGTGTTCATTATATACATTGAATCACCAATGCGGGAGTAAGTAAGAGTTGAAGATGTAAGCACAGATGAGACCACCAAGAGAGAATGGGAAACCTAAGGACAAAACTCTGTAGGACACCAGGGATGAATAACAAATACAAGGTAAAAGGGTGAAGACAGTAAACTTAAAAGTCTCTTTCCAAGAAGTAAACTATGTGCTCCACAGAGGAGCCTATGTTCAATCACCACTGTTTTTGTGGTGCCTAGCCCAGTGCCTGAAACCTAGTAAGTACGAAATAACCATTGAATAAAGTCCAGCTCTCAAAGAAGAGAAAAGAAGTAAAAGAAGTAAACTTTAGAAGACTCAGGATAAGAGGAAGATTGTTTAAAATAGAAAACTACTTTTTCATATTTATGTGCATGTGAAAAGCAGCAAGAAGAAGAAAGCATTTGAAGGTTCAGCATCTAAGACCACTAAAGAATGATGTCAGGAAGTGAATGAACTCAGTCCTTGTGATGTCCCTTCCTTATAGCTTCTCTTTGCTTCCCTGGAAATGGAAAGGGTGGTCTATCATTAATAATGAAGTTGCCTAATGTCACAGGACTCATTACTCCAAATATATTTGATTTTTTTTTTTTTGAGACAGAGTCTTGCTCTGTTGCCCAGGCTGGAGTGCAGTGGTGTGATCTCGGCTCACTGCAGCTTCCATTTCCCAGGTTAAAGCAATTATTCTGCCTCAATCTCCCAAGTAGCTGGGATTACAGGCACCTGCCACCACGCCTGGCTAAGTTTTGTATTTTTAGTAGAGATAGGGTTTCGCTAAGTTGGTCAGGCTGTTCTCGAACTTCTGAACTCAGGTGATCCGCCTGCCTCAGCCCCCCAAAGTGCTGGAATTACAGGTGTGAGCCACTGCAGCTGGCCTATTTGATTTGAATTGGATACAAGAGTCCATATGAGGTCATTCCTTGAAAGCCTCTGACAGTCTCAGGCACACCCTGTGAATTTGCTCCACTTGCTTGTACCAAAATGTTTTCACTACTCATAGAGATATTGCTAGGCTTTTCTGCCAAATTTGAGACCTATATTGGTAAAATATAAAATATAGGTTTAAAAACTTGTGTATTGTTTTATATAAATGCATTTCCTAATACCACTAATGTCATCAATTGACTACTGAATATTGATGATAGCTATAAGTTGGAACACAGCTATAATTCTGTTCTAGTGTTGTCTACACCAATAAGGCAATGGAGAATGTAGGCTCACCTAAGAGACATAAATACATCCTAGCAGTGCTTAGTCAAGTCAATGCATACAACTTATAGCCCAGCTATCCTACTCACATGTACGTATCCCAGGAAATTGCCACACATCCATAAGGCTACTTCTATAAAGACGCTTGTCGCAGGATATTGTTGGCAATCCAGATGACCATCATTGGGAAAATGGATCAATAAAATGTGGTAATGCACACTATGGAATAAAATGCAGCAATTAGAAACATTAAACTAAAAGTATACATATCAATAAGTCTTCATAGTACACTGCAGAGTAAAAAGAGTAAGAAAAAGAACAAGAACTATATAATATTTACATAAAATAAAAATACACTTTATATGTTTTACATAGACACGTGCAAATTCAATTACAGTGACCTCTTACAGGGCAAAAGAATGAGAGCTTGGAAAGTGGGTGGAAGGCAATGAATAAATACATACATACAAACATACAAACATACATGTAAGAGACATAATGGCATGCCATCCCATGCATTGAGAGTGTGTTGATTGTATGCTGGAGTCAGCTCCCATCAGCTTTTGAGAGCTGATTATGCACATTTCTTGCCAGGTCTGCATTTAGTAACATCACATTGGTACTTAAAAGCAGCCAGAGTGGGGCGCAGTGGCTCATGCCTGTAATCCCAGCACTTTGGGAGGCCGAGGCAGGTGGATCACCTGAGGTCAGGAGTTCAAGACCAGCTTGGCCAACATGGCAAAACCCCATCTCTACTAAAAATGCAAAAATTAGCTGGGCGTGGTGGCAGGCACCTGTAATCCCAGCTGCTTGGGAAGCTGAGGCAGGAGAATCACTTGAACCAGGGAGGCAGATGTTGCAGTGAGCCAAGAGTGTACCACTGCACTCCAGCCTGGGCAACAAGAGTGAAACTCAATCTCAGGAAAAAAATAAGTAAATAAAATTAGCCAGAATGAAAGTATTTACACCATAGAAATCGCAAGTACTACAAATCAAGGCACCTTTTGTTTTCCTGAGAGCCTGTTGTTAGACATTTGCCAGCCTCTAGTCCTCTGGACTAGTAATTCCAGTTCTAAGAATTTGTTTTCAGGAAATATCTCAAATATGGAAAATGTTTTATATACAAAGATATTTATCCAAGTCCTACTTTAATAATGACAAGTTGGAAACAACTTAAATGTGAAAAGGGAATGGTTATGTAAACTAATGATAAATCCAGCATTTAAAATTATATTTATGCGAAATCTTTAATTACATGAAAAACACCTCTATTGCTGGTTTAAATGAAAAAAAAAGCAGAATAAAAATATATATGTAAATACAATGTGATACTAAGCAATCACCCAGGGTTCTTATTAAAATAGAGATTCTGATTCAGGAGGACTAAAGTGATGCCTGGGATTCTGCTTTTTTTAACAGAAATAATGCCAATGCTGCTGGTGTACATACCACTTTTTGAGTAGTAAAGGCATGTAGAATACAATCACACTCATGTAAAAAATGTATCAGAAAAATAATCTGATGGAAAATTAAAGTGTTAAATGTATTGAGCTGGGGTCATGAATGAGGGATTTTTAAAAATATGTATTTAACTAGAGTTTCCAAACTTTCTATATTATAGGATTACTTGCTTCTATAGTGTGGTAAAATGACATTAAAAATAGTCTGCTTAGGAGGACTGGGCTTGGTGGCTCACACCTGTAATCCCAGCACTTTGGGAGGTCAACGTGGGCAGGTTTCTTGAGGTCAGGAGTTCAAGACCAGCCTGACTAACATGGTGGAACCCCATCTCTACTAAAAATACAAAAATTAGCCAGGTGTAGTGGCGCATGCCTGTACTCAGGAGGCTGGGGCAGGAGAATTGCTTAAACCCAGGAGGTGGAGGTTGCAGTGAGCAGAGATCGCACCACTGCACTTCAGCCTAGGTGACAGAGTGAGATTCCGTCTCAAAAGATAATAATAGTAATCTGCTTAGCCAAGTGTGGTGGCTCACACCTGTAATCCCAGCTACTTGGGAGGCTGAGGCAGGAGGATCACTGGAGCCTAGGAGTTCAAGGCTGCAATGAGCTATGATTGCACCACTGTACTCCAGCCTAGGTGACAGAGTGACACCCTATCTCTAAAATAAATAAATAAGTATAATTTTTAAAATAAAAATATATATATTTATGCTTATGCATGTGTAGGTGCAGGGAATATATGGGAAATCTCTATAACTTCCATTCAATTTCTCCGTGACCCTAAAACTGATCTAAAACATAAATCTATCTTTAAAAATCTGCTTTAATTTTCTCATAAACAGCATTAAAAATTGAATAACCAAGACCTTGTCGAAGAGCCCAATTGTACAGCCTGGTTGAGAATCAAGCCTATGTATGTTTCATTCTTTTTTCCCACTTTCTTAACGATGCCTTGAACGTGGGTTTCTGATCCTTTTTACCAAATGCTTTTATATTTTTAACCAAAGGAAAAAGACATTTAATCGCAGCTTTTTCATTTTCTTGCATTTTGTCCCTCTCTCCAGTACTCCGTCTTCAACCATGTCCCGGCCCTGGGAGGGAAGGGATCCTGCAGGACAGGACTGGCCAGAGTTCTACATTACTTGTGATGGTTCCTTATATCCCTAGAACAATAAGACTGCCTAGTGTTACACAGGAGTCCCCTATTTTGGAGGCATAATGTGATTTTTTTTTTTTAATTTTTGTAGAGACAGAGTCTCTCTATGTTGCCAGGGTGGTCTCAAACTCGTGGCCTCCAGTGAGTCCCCCTGCCTCAGCCTCCCAAAGTGCTGGATTACAGGCATGAGCCACCATGCCCAGCCTGGATTTATTACTTTAACTAAAAGTAGTTGTTATTCTCGATCTGAACAAACAACAGAAAGTTTTGTTTGCAAAGTTGTACTAAGTAACAGCCAAGAGACTTGGAAAGAGGCTGAGTGGGGCTCATTAGACTAACTCTCTGGGGATCCCAAGTCCCATCAAACTAGGGAGACGAATAGATCCCTTAAGAAAACAAAACTGCAACCCAAATCTTCCAGCCCTGATATTACCTTCACCAAAAGATGTTTACTTCAGAAGGAGCTTGCTGAAAATTGAAGATTTTGAAACACTCTATACTCTTCAGACCCTTTGAGCTGAATGATGGCGCCAAAGAAGCTATTCTTCTCTGAGTGACCAGGGAATGCAACTGCCCATTCAGGAAGCTTTGTAAGAGAACAGGTGTTCTTAGAAAATACCATCAAATTCATGAGAGATACAGAACTCACACCAACAGTATAGGACCAGCATTTAGAGCCAACAGACAATATTGCAACCTCAGGAAATAACCGTGAGAAGCAGTTATCTCCCGTAGTCCTGTGAGCAGTGTGTTTGGAATGGCCTGATTGGGAGTCTCCCGGAGGACTGGTAGACACCTGACCCTGGACCTGCCAAGTAATCTCCATCTTGGCACTTCAGGGGCTGGCAGAGCAGCAGTTGCTTCCTCAAACCCTTCTCTTGCTGGCACTTGTTTTTATATTTTGTCAGAAGGTCTGGCACATCAAGGACAGGCACTGGGTCTCATTTGTAACTTTAGCCCCACCCAAGTCAATGCTGGAACACAGCAGTGGGTAAGCCAATGTTTATTCAGTCAGAGCCATTACATTACTCACTTGCACTGAGGGACTTTGCCTGGCCTGATCTGCCCAATGTTGTGCCATGCTGTGCTCTGTGTAACTGTCCTCTTGGAAGACACAAAGCTCTGGACAACATGGAATCTGGGTGAAACTCCAAATGCTTTTGCTTTGAAGGGGAATATCTCATCCTCCTTCTAGGTGTAGTGGAACTGTTCAAAAGAGCATGAAGTCCAGGCACAGTGGCTCACGCCTGTAATCCCAGCACTTTGGGAGGCTGAGGAGGGTGGATCACCTGAGGCCAGGAGTTCGAGACCAGCCTGGCCAAAATAGTGAAACCTTGTCTCTACTAAAAATACAAAAATTAGGCGGGCATGGTGGGGCACGCCTGCAGTCCCAGCTACTTGGGAGGCTGAGGCAGGAGAATCACTTGAACCCAGGAGGCAGATGTTGCAGTAAGCCGAGATTGTGCCACTGCACTCCAGCCTGGGCAAAAAAAAAAAAAGAGCCTGAGTTCCTACCGTGGCAGGACACACCTCCAGGTCGTGCATACTTTTCCATGGGGCACTACACAACTGACCCTAAAAACAATGAATGGTCTGAAGTAGATGGTGCAGCCACGTCCAGGCTCTCAGACTGCTGGGCAAGTCTCCCCTTCACTCATCAAGCATGTAGAATAAAGGAGGAAATGCCTGGGATTCAGGAAGTGGCCTAATTTACTTTGGTTCTGGAAGGCCAAGAACTAGTGACCTCTGCTTTGAAACAGGAAGAAAAAAAAGTTCATCAGCGGCCCTGGCTAGATGCTATCTCCTTAGCTGGTCACAATGCCTTCATTTATCTGTGCTAAGCTCATGACTCAGCATGAACCTGGAGCTTTTTCTTCTAGTCCCATTCACAGCTGGCTCTTTATCACCTTAATCTCTGTTCTTATGTTTCTCCCAATGTGTACCACCCAGGACTTGCCTAAAAAATACTCTAATACTCATCCTATTACTTCCTGATGATGTTTCTGGGTGTCATGTTCATGTTGGATTCTGCTTTTGTCATGGGCCACCTGGGGTCATCTTTGAACAAAATGATGAGGCTACAAAAACCTATTTTTCCAATTGTTGATGGATCTAGACAATGTGAAGCCTAGAATTAGCCCATGAGAAATAGCCCTAGTTATATCCTCAAAGGCTGGTCAACTATTTTGTGTTCTTTAATAACTGTCAGCAAAAGTTAGAGATAAGGGTAGTTTATGGAATGACCTAGAATAATGTAGCCTGTGCTAAAAAGAAGGCAAAACCTTTCTAAGGTTTTTGTTTTTTGGGTTTTCTGCTGCTGGAAGCTCCCCAGCAAACCCAACCAGACCTCTGTCTACTCACTCACTCAAACTCCAGACCGTCTCAAAGATGTAGACTCTCCCTTCAGAGAATGATTGTGGAGCAATGCCTCCAACTTGTCGTGAGGAAAAGCAAACTCTCTTCAGATGGACCAATTTCAGATGAGTTGGCATGCTGCTGGCAAGGTTGCTGACCCCTAGGAAATGCTACATAAATTACATGTCCTCAACCACTTGTGTGTCAAACACCCACCGAATCCATCTCTCAGACATTTGAGATGTGGCTTACTCATTCAATAAATGTTGTTAAAGCTGATTATTTCAAGAAACTTGTTCTAATTACTACAGAAAATACAAAGGTTAATAGAGAAATTTTTGACTCAGTGAGCAAGAAGTGAAAAACAACTATAACAATACAATAAAAAGATGATATATAATAAAATTATGGGAGGTACAGAGGAAAGACACATTTATTTGGAAGAGAAGTCTTTATAGAAAAGATAGCATTTATTGAGGAAAGACTTAAAGGATAAATAGGACTTGAAAGGCTGATGATTCCAAACTGAAAGAGTGACATGAGCAAACACACAGTTGTGTGAAAATGGATAAAGAATCAAAATATTGCAAAGAATCTATTATATCCAAAGCTCAGAGTTTGTGGAAGGAGATAATGAAAGGAGAACCTTGGCAACAGGTCATTAAGAATGTTGAATATCAAACTCCCATTAAGGAGTGTTGATTTATGTGGATACTACTTGGATTTTTCCTTATTTGATTTGTGAGAGGTGTGCTTTTCTCTCACAGATTTCCTCTAGTCTTTTTATCAATCCAAAAACTAATGAAAGGTATCAAAGATTCTGGCAATGTTTAAACAGCAACACCCTCGAATATGAACTCTTTATGGATGAAGACCCAATATTGGTATAAACACAAGAACAAAAGTTATTGAAAGCAGGTAATATTAGTATAGGCAAAGGGATTCATTGAGAAATTAGGAGTAAAAGTTTTGGTTAAGAAAAGTAAGAAAGGATAAATTTTGGTTCTGAGCCTTTCTTGGGCCACCTTGCACATCATCACACTCTTGTCTAACACACAGATGCACCAGAAACCACACGTGAAACAGGTAACCCCAGAGGCTCTGCAGATAAGCCTGAGTAGTCAGTGGTGGGAAGATACATCCTTCACAGAAATAAAGTACACCTTCAGCCCTCTCTCCTTTCAGTTCCAGGTTGTTCTCAGGTCCCCAACATCACGATTCTTGATGCTGAACACCTTTGATCAGCCCTCCCCAGCAAAGGTCAGAGGAGCCATGGGGAACCACACCACCGTCACCGAGTTTGTCCTGCTGGGGCTCTCAGAGACCTGTGAGCTGCAGATGCTCATCTTCCTGGGGCTCCTCCTGACCTACCTCCTCACACTGCTGGGGAATCTGGTCATCGTGGTCATCACCCTCATGGACAGGCGCCTCCACACCACCATGTACTACTTCCTCCGCAACTTTGCTGTCCCGGAGATCTGGTTCACCTCGGTCATCTTTCCCAAGGTGCTGGCCAACATCCTCACAGGATACAAGACCATTCCCTCCCAGGCTGCTTCCTGCAAAGTTTGCTCTATTTTTTCTTGGGCACCACAGAGTTCTTCCTCCTGGCGGTGATGTCCTTTGACAGGTACGTGGCCGTATGTAACCCTTTGCATTATGCCACCATCATGAGCAAAAGGGTCTGTGTCCAGCTAGTCCTCTGTTAGTGGATGACAGGATTCCTTCTCATCATTATTCCAAGTTTTCTTGTCCTTCAGCAGCCATTCTGTGGCCCCAACATCATTAACCATTTCTTCTGTGACAACTTTCCCCTCTTGAAACTCATTTGTGCAGACATGACTCTGATAGAGCTCCTGGGTTTTGTTATAGCCAACGTCAGCTTACTGGGCACTCTGTCTATGACGGCCACTTGCTATGGCCACATCCTCCACGCCATTCTGCACATCCCCTCAGCCAAAGAGAAGCAGAAAGCCTTCTCCGCCTGCTCCTCCCACATCATTGTCGTGTCTCTCTTCTATGGCAGCTGCATCTTCATGTACATTCAGTCAGGCAAGAGTGACCAGAAGGAAGACAGGAACAAGGTGGCGGCATTGCTTAACACCGTGGTGACCCTGATGCTCAACCCCTTCATCTACACCCTGAGGAACAAACAGGTGAAACAGGTGTTTAGGCAGCAGGTGAGCAAACTCCTCATATAAAGCTGTGTAAAAAAAAAACTGAAGCTCAGCATCCCCAGACAAGCTAAGAGAATATAGGCCCCTTGAAACAACTGAGCCTTTCCGATTCAGAAAAAGCTCGGATGATATGTTTGTACATGATGTGTTTCTATGGGATCAGTCACTATGCAATTCAGCATAAACTCTTTGGACCCTCTGGCACTATTAATTAGTGGATTTGAATATTTCTGTTCATTCCATCTGTATCTGCCTGGCTTCCAACAAAATACAAGTTCTCTGAAAGCAGAAACTAGCTCTATAACTCACTATAAGCCTCAAGTGTCAATCCATTGTCATAGACCATATAGATTGTTAAAAAATACTTGTGTGCTGATTGATCACTCTGTGTCTGTTTCTCCAACGTCCTCAGGGGAAAGAACAGTTATCTATTAGTACTGTCCTTATTTAACACTGACAATCCTGTTACGGAAATATATTAGCAAGACATCGAAAATGCTAAAGCTAATTGCTTATCATTTTGCGTATAAGCTATTTATGCTCTTTTAGTATTTAAATTCCTAGAAATTCCTCATTCTTACTGATAAAGGCTCTTTCATCTACTAGTTATATTACCTCTCTGAGCCCCAGTTTTCTCATCTATGAAATGAGGATGACAATGGCCATTTCAAAGAATTGTAATAAAAGTCAAATGAGATTTTCTATGTAAAATTGCTTACATAGTGTCTGGTCCTCAATAAATATTCCTTCCTTTCTTCCAATTATAATCCTACTTTCCCACTCCCTTTTTTATTTTATTTTATACCAGTTATCAACAAAAGCATTTTTGAAGATTTTATATTCAAAATGTTATTTTAAATGTTAAAGTTAAATACAAGTCTAGTGATTTTTCTGGTCACTCCTACATAATTTTAAAAGTCCTCTATTAACTATCAGTCCATAGAATAGTGTTAGTAAACTGTCCAATTCTATGTAATTATTAAAATTTGGAACTTCATTTAAAGTTAAAACTTACTCTTTCCTCCACCTAGAGCTTGTTTCAGGCAAGACATCAGAGAGAAACGGTGTGTGTTGTTGGCTTTATCTGTCTTGACTCTGCAAGCACATCTACCCGTTACCTACCGTAACCAAATCAATTAACATTAATTCTTCCAAAGTGATTGTTACACAGAAGTCATGTTCAAGTAAATGTATGGTCTGGTAGATAATAATCTATGCCTTTGAAGAATCTGAAATCAAACAAAGACAATATGAAGTATGCAAATACTAGAATTCAGGGTAGAAAATGATAATGTGTAAGAAAATATCACATGTAACTCTTCAACAACCAATTTGAAAACCAAGAGGAAATGGATGATTTTCCAGAAAAGAAATTTTTTTTCAACTGACCTAAGGAGAAATAGAAAACTTGATTAGACATATTACTATAGAAAAACCTCAAAATCGGGTTACATATCTACTATAACTCAAAAACAAAAAGCAAACAACCCAATTCTACAAATGATCAATAAATACACGAAAAGTGTTACATCACTTAATCATTAGGGCAATGCAAATCAAAACCACAATGAGATACCACTTCACACCAATTAGGAAGTCTATTTTTTTAATTAAAAAAATAGAAAATAACAAGTGTTGTCAAGAATGTGGAGTGGCCACTTCCAAGGAGTTAGGATTACAGTGGCTCATCCCTGTAATCCTAACTCCTTGGAAGGCAAAGACAGGAGGATCATTTGAGGCCAGGAATTCAAGACCAGCCTGGACAACTGGGCAACATAGTGAGACCCCATCTCTACAAAAAAAACTACAAAAATTAGCTGGCCATGGTGGTGTGTACCTGTAGTCCCAGCTACTCAGGAAGCTGAGGTGAGAGAATCGCTTGAGCCCAGGAGTTTGAGGCTACAGTGAGCCATGATTGCACCACTGCACTCTAGCCTGGGTGACAGAGCAAGACCTTGTCTCAAAAAAAAAAAAAGAGAGAGAGAGAGAAAGAGAAAGAAAGAAGAAAAGAAGGTACAGAAGTCATCTAGACTTTCTTATAAGACTGGAAAAAAGTGTAAAGAAATTAGAACTCTTGCATATACACATTGCTAGTGGAAATGTAAAGTGGTACAGTCACTGTGGAAAACAGGATGGTGGTTCCTAAAACAATTAAACATAGATGTGCCATAAAATCCAGCAATTTTACTTCTGTGAATATACCCAAAAGAATGGAAGGCAGGGAGTTGAACAGATCTTTATACACCCGTGTTCACAGCATCATTATTCACAATAGCCAAAAGGTGGTTTAAAAAAATGTCCAACAACAGATGAATGGAAAAATAAAATGTGGCATATACATACAATGGAATATTACTTAGCCTTAAAAGCAATGAAATTTTGATGCACACTGTCTGTAATAAACAAATATTAAATCATAGATGAGCCTAGAAAACATTATGCTATGTGAAATAAGCCAATCACAGAAGGACAAATAATGTATAACTATACTTATATGAGGTACCTAGAATAGTCAAATTCAGAGATAGAAAGTAGAACGGTGGTTACCAGGGCCCAGGCCAAGGAGGAATGGAGGATTTATTGTTTAATGGGTGTAGAGTTTCAGTTTGGTCTCAATTTATTATTATTTTTTTAAGATACAGTCTCACTCTATCTCCCAGGCTGGAGTGCATGGGAGAAGAAAAGATCTCGGCTCACTGCAACCTCTGCTTCCCGGGGTCAAGAGATTCTTGTGCCTCAGCCTCCTGAGTAGCTGAAATTACAGGCACCTACCACCATGCCCGGCTAATTTTTGTAGTTTTAGTAGAGACGTGGTTTCACCATGATGGCCAGGCTGGTCTTGAACTCCTGACCTCAGGTGATCTGCGCATGCCCAGAGTTTCAGTTTTGGATGATAAAAAAGTTCTGGAGATAGATACTGGTGATGATTGCTCAACAATGTGAATTTACTTAGTGCCATTTAACTGAATAATTAAAAATGCTTAATATAATACATTTTATGTCATATATTTTTCACCACAATAAAAAATACAGATCTCAGATCAATAAAAACCCAAAAATATGTAATCTTTGACTCCCTTCTTTCTCCAATATCCTACAACCAATCCATTAGCAAATTCTGTGGGTTATACCTTCAAAATATATACAGAACCCTACTATTTCTTACCACTACCACTGTTAGCACCTTTGTCTGTGCAACCTTCCACTTCCTCTTGGTTCTCCATCTCCTACCTGTCACCTCTCTCACATCCACATAGCCCTGAGGGAGGGAGAAGCCACAGGTAACGGGTAGATGTGCTTGCAGAGTCAAGACAGATAAAGCCAACAACACACACCGTTTCTCTCTGATGTCTTGCCTGAAACAAGCTCTAGGTGGAGGAAAGAGTAAGTTTTAACTTTAAATGAAGTTCCAAATTTTAATAATTACATAGAATTGGACAGTTTACTAACACTATTCTATGGACTGATAGTTAATAGAGGACTTTTAAAATTATGTAGGAGTGACCAGAAAAATCACTAGACTTGTCCTGGATTTCATCAGGGATCAAGGAAAAATAACTACATGAACAGGTTTGAATGAGTATATAGGAAGAGGGTGGAGTGGAGAATATGTATTACAAATAAAGGGTTATTATCCATAATTTACAAAGACGAATTATCTATTATCTAATAGATAAATGAGATAAGGATATGCATAGACACTTCAGAAAAAAGCAAATTTAAAGAGCCAATAAATAAATTAAAAGATGTCCAATCATGTTAATAGTTAAAACAATAAAAATAAAAATAACAGCTCTTAATAATTAAGGAAGCATTTTCAGTTTTTAAAAGTAAATTTATACTTTAAAAATTACTCTTGTTTTAATAAATGCTAAAATATTTACAGAGAAAATGATATGATGTCTGGGATTTGCTTCAGAATAATAAAAGGAGGAGGGGAGTTGGTGGTGGTCTAGGTGAAACCGGTATGACTTGGTCATTGTTAAAGCTAGATGATGGCTACATTGATACATGGAGGTTTATTATAAAATCTCTTTGTTGTTGTTGTTGTTGTTGTTGTTGAGACAGAGTCTTGCTCTGTCGCCCAGGCTGCAGTGCAGTGGCACGATCGCGGCTCACTGCAACCTCCACCTCCCGGGTTCAAGTGATACTCTTGCCTCAGCCTCCCGAGTAACTGGGATTACAGGCACGTGCCAGCACGCCCGGCTAATTTTTGTATTTTTGGTAGAGACAGGGTTTCACCATGTTGGCCAGGATGGTGTCAAACTCCCAACCTCAGGCGATCCTGGAGGTAATATCATCCTCTCCCCCGATGGATATTAGGAACTATATCACAAGGGAATGTACACTCCCAGCGATATGGAGAGTAATATCATTCTCTCCCCTTCTGGATATTACAAACAATATCACAAGGGGGTGCACACCCCCTGTGATACAGGGAGAAATATCATCCTCTCTTCCCCTGGATATTACGAACAACATCACAAGGGGGTGTACACCCCATGCGATATGGGGAGTAATATCATCCTCTCCCTCCCTAGATATTACGAACAATATCACAAGGGGGTGTACACCCCATGTGATATGGGCAGAAATATCATCCTCTCCCTCCCTGGATATTATGAACAATATCACAGGGAAGTGTGCATCCCCTGTGATATGGGGAGTAATGTCATCCTCTCCTCCCCTAAATATTACAAACAATATCACAGGGGATGTACACACGCTGCAATGTGGGAAGTAGTATTATCCTCTCGCCCCCTGGAAATTAGGAACAATATCACAGGTGGGTGTACACCTCCTGCACTATGGGGAGTAATATCATCCTCTCCCCACTGAACATTATAAACAATATCACAGGTGGATGTATACCTCCTGCGATATGGGGAGTAATATCATTTTCTTCACCCCTGGATATTACGAGCAACATCACAAGGGGTAGCACACTCCCTGCGATATGGAAAGTAATATTATCCTTTCCCCGCCCTGGATATTATGAACAGTATGACAGCGGGATGTACACTTTCTGCGACATGTGAAGTAATATCATCCTATCCCAACCCCGGATATTACGAACAATATCACAGGAGGGTGTACACCCTTTGCGATATGGGGAGTAATATTATCTTCTCCCTCAATGGATATTATGATAATATCATAAATGGGTGTACACATTCTGCGACATGCGGAGTAATATCATCCTCTCCCCCCCTGGATATTATGAACAATACCTACAATAATACTACAAGGTCTACACCTTCTGTGATATAAGGAGAAATATTATTTCACCCTCCTTGAAATACTATGAACAATATCACAGGAAGGTGTACACCCACTGCGATATGAGGAGTAGTATCATCCTCTCTTCCCCTAGATATTACGAACAATATCACAAGGTGGTTTACACCCCCTGTGATATTGGGAGTAATATTATCCTCTTTCCCCTGGATATTAGAAACAATATATCACATGGGGGTGTACACCCCCTGTGATATTGGGAGTACATCTTCTTCTTTTTGGATATAACGAACCATTTGGTGGGTGATGCACACTCCCTGCGATATTGGGAGTAATATTATCCTCTCCTTCCCTGAATATTACGACCAATATCACAGAAGGGTGTACACCCTCTTCGATATTGGGAGTAACATCACCCTCTCCCTTTTTGGATATTACAAACAATATCACAGGGAAGTAATATCATCCACTTCCCTCTTGGATATCACAATGTCACACGGCGGTGTACACTCCCTGTGATATGGGGAGTGATATCATCCTCTCCCCCTATAGATATTATGAACAATATTACAGGAAGGTGTACAACATTCGCTATATGGGGAGTAATACCATCCTCTCTCTCCTGGATATGACGAACAATATCACAGGCCAATGTACACCCCTGCGATATAAGAAGTAATATCATTCTCTCCCTCCCTGGATACTATGAACAATATCACAGCGGGGCATGCACCCCTTGCGATATGGGGAATAATGTCATTCTCTCAACCCCTAAATATTACAAACAATATCACAGGGGAGTGTATATTATCCTCTCCCCCCATGAATATTACAAACATCACAGGAAAAGTGTACACCCTCTGCAATATGGGGAGTAATATTATCCTTTCCCCCATTGAATGTTTTGGAGAATATCACAGGTGGGTGTACACATTTTCCGATATGGGGAGTAATAATGGGGAGTAATATCGTCCTTTCCTTCCCTGGATATTACAAACAATATCACAGGGGGGTGTACACCCTTTGTAATATGGGGTATAATATTATCCTCCCCCCACCCAAATATTATGGACAATATTACAAAGGAGTGTACACCTCCTGCGATATGGGGTATAATATTATCCTCCCCCCACCCAAATATTATGAACAATATTACAAGGGAGTGTACACCTCCTGAGATATGGGGAGTAATATCATCCTCTTTCTCACTGGATATTATGAAAAATATCACACGGGGGTGTACAAGCCCTGCAATATGGGGAGTAATATTATCTTCTCATTCCCTGGATATTACGAACAGTATCACAGAAGGGTGTACACCTCTTGCGATATTGGAAGAAATATAATCCGCTTTTCTTTTGGATATTACGAATAATATCACAGGGGGTTCTATACTTCCTGTAATATCATTTTCTCCCCACCTGGATATTACAAACAATATTACAGAGGGGTATACACCTCCTGCGATACTGGGAGTAATATCATCCTCTCCCTCTCTGGATATTACAAAATATCACGGGAAGGTGTACACCCCTGCGATATAGGGAGTCATGTCATCCTCACCCCCCCAATATTACAAACAATATCACAGGAGGGTGTACACCCTCTGCAATATTGACTGTAATATCATCTTCTCCCCACCTGAATATTATGAACAGTATCACAGAAGGGTGTTAACCCCTTGAGATATGGGAAGTAATATCATCCTCTCCCCTCCTGGGTATTACAAATAATATCACAGGAAGTTCTACAGCTGCTGCGATGTAGAAAGTAATATTATCCTCTCCCTCCCTGGATATTGTGAACAATATCACAGGAGGGTGTACACCCCCTGCAGTATTGAGGTTAATATCATTTTCTTTCCACCTGGTTACTACGAACAATATGACAGAACGGTGTACACCCCCTGCGATATTGGGGGCGATATGCTCCCCCCCCCACCGGGTAATAGCAAAAATATCACAGGTGGGTGTACACCCCCTGCAAAATTGGGAATAATATCATCCTTTCCCCGCCTTGATATTACGAACAATATCCCGAGGGGGTGTACACCCCCTGCGATATTAAGAGTAAGAACATACTCTCACCCCTGGATATCATGAACAATATTACAAAGGGGTGTACACGCCCTGCAGTGTTAAAAGTAATATCATCCTCTTTCCCCCTGGATATTATGAACAATATCACGAGGGGTATACAATCTTTGCGACATTGGGAGTAATATCATTTTCTCCCCCAGTGCATATTACAAACAATATCACAGAAGGATGTACACCCTCTGTGATATTGGGAATACTTTTATGCTCCCCCCTGAAAAACTATAAACAACATCATAGGGGAGTGTATACTCCATGCGATATTGGAAGTAATGCCATCCTCTCCCCCTCTGAATATTATGAACAATATCACAGGAAGGTGTACACTCTGCAATATTGGGAGTAATACCACCCTCTCCTCCCCTGGATATTATCAACAATATCATAGGATGGGGTACACACCCTGTGATATTGGGAGTAATATCATCCTCTGCCACCCTGGATATGACGAACGTTATCACCGAGAATGTACACACAGGGTGTTTACGATATTGCGAGTAATATCAACTCCCCCCTAAATATTACAAACAATATCACAGGGGGGTGTACACCCCCAAAATCCACAGGGGAAGAGAATAATATTACTCCCAATATCGCAGGGGGAGTACAATCCCCCTGTGATATTGTACCTAATATCAAGGAAGAGAGAGGATGATATTACTTCCAGTGTCGCAGGGGGTGTATTGTTCCTAATATCCAAGAGGAGACAGGATAATATTATTCCCAATATCGCAAGAGGTGTGCATCCCCTCTGGGATATTGTTCCTAATATTCAGTGGGGGAGATGATATCACTCCCAATGTTGTAGACAGTGTACACCCCCTTTGTGATATTGTTCCTAATATCCTGGGAAAAAGAGAATGATGTTACTCCCAATATCGCAGAAAGTGTACACGCCCCCTGTGATATTATTCCTAATATTCGGGGGGGAGAGGATTATATTACTCCTAATATCGCAGGGGGTGTACGCCACCACTGTGATGCATTTCCTAATATCCAGGGAAGAAGAGAAGAATATTATTCCCAATGTTGCAGGGGGTGTATACCCACCCCATGATATTGTGCCTAATATCCAGAAGGAAACAAAATGATATTACTCCCAATATCGCAGGGGGTGTACACTTTTCCTGTGATATTCTTCCTAATATCACAAGGGTGAGAAAAGGAAAAGTCCCAATACTGCAGGGGGTGTACACCCCCACCGTGATATTGTTCCTAATATTCATGGGGGGAGAGGATGATATTACTTCCAATATCGCTAGGGGTGTACACCCCCACGTTATATTTCCCGAATATCCAAAGGGGGAGAGGATGATATTACTCCAAATATCGCAGAGGGTGTAGACCCCTTCTGTAACATTGTTGCTAATATCCAAAAAGGGAAGGGATGATATTACTCTCAATATCGCACAGGTCATACACCTCTTCTGTGATACTGTTCGTCATATCCACAGTTGAAAATAATGATATTATGCCCAATTTCACAGGGGGGGTACAACCCCCAGGTGACAATGTTTCTAATATCCAGGTGGAGTGAGGATGATATTACTTCCAATATCGCAGGGGGTGTATGCACCTTCTTTCGTATTGTTCCTAATATCCAAAGTGAGAGAGGATAATATTACACCCAATATCACCGGGGCTGTACACCTCACTTGTGATATTGTTCCCAATATTTAGAGAGAGAGAGAGAGAGGATATTATGCCCAATATTACAGGGGGGTGAACCACTGTTCCTAATATTCAGGGACGCAGAGGATGATATTATTCCCAATGTCGCAGGGGGTGTACACCCCTTCTGTGATATTGTTTCTAATATCCAGGGGAAGAGAGCATAATATTTCTCCCAATATTGCAGGGGGTGTACACCCACCTTGTGCTATTGTTTTTAATATCCAGGACAGAAGAGGATACTATTAGTACAAATATCAGAGGGGGTGTAAAACCAGGGGTAAAGAGAATGATATTACTCCCAACATTGCAGGGAATGTACATTCACCTTGTGATATGGTTTCTCATATCTAGAGAGGGAGAGGATAATATTACTCTCAATATCGAAGGGGGTGTACACCCCTCCTGTGATGTTAATATCCAGGTTAGGGGAGGATAATATTACTCCCAGTAATGCAAGGGGTGTACACCCCTCCTGTGATATTTTTCCTAATATCCAGGGTGGCAGAGGTTGATATTACTTTCAATATTGCAGGGATGTACACATCCCTTGTAGTATTGTTCCTAATATCCAGAAGAAAAAAGATGACATTACTCCCAATATTGCAGCAGTTGTACACCCCCTTTGTGATATTGTTCTTAAAATATAGCAGGGAGAAAATGATATTACTCTCAATATCGCGGAGAGTATACAACTCCCCGTGATATTGTTCCTAATATCCAGGTTCGGAAAGGATGATATTACTTTCAGTATCTCAAGAGGTGTACACCTTGCCTGTGATATTGTTCCTAATTTCCATGGGCGAAGAGGATAATATTACTCGCAATATTGCAGGGAGTGTACAGCCCTCCTGTGATATTGTTCTGAATATCCAGAAAGGAAGAAAATGATATTACTTCCAATAACGCACGGGATGTACACCCCCACCTGTGATATTGTTTCTAATATGCGGAAGTGGAGAGGATTATATTACTCCCAATATCGAGATGTTGTACAACCTTTCTGTGATATTGTTCCTAATATCCAGGGGGGTAAAGGATAATATTACTCCTAAGATCACAGTTGGTATACACCTCTCTGTAAGGCTGTTTCTAATATCCAGGGAAGGAGAGGATGATATTACTCTTTTTTTTTTTTTTTTTTTTTTTGAGGCGGAGTCACGCTCTGTCACCCAGGCTGGAGTGCAGCGGCGCGATCTCGGCTCACTGCAAGCTCCGCCTCCCGGGTTCACGCCATTCTCCCGCCTCAGCCTCCCGAGCAGCTGGAACTACAGGCGCCCTCTACCGCGCCCGGCTAATTTTTGTATTTTTTTTTTTTTTTTTTAGTAGAGACGGGGTTTCACCGTGTTAGGCAGGATAGTCTCGATCTCCTGACCTCGTGATCCGCCCGCCTCGGCCTCCCAAAGTGCTGGGATAACAAGCGTGAGCCACCGCGCCCAGCCGTGATATTACTCTTAACATCGCAGGGGGTGTACACTTCCCCTGTGATATTGTTTCTAAATCCAGAGGGGAAGTGGATGATATTACTCCTAATATCGCACGGCGTGTACACCTTTCCCACCATGATATTGTTCCTAATATCCAGGGCGGGAGAGGATGATATTACTCCCACTATCGCAGGGGTTGCATACCCCCTCTGTGATATTGTTTTTAATATCCAGGGGGCAGAAGATGATATTACTCCCAATATTGCAGAGGGCGTACAAAGCCCCGCCCCGTGATATTCTTCCTAATATCCAGGAGGGGAGAGGATGAAATTACTCTTTATATTGCAGGAGGCATACACATCCGTGTGATAATGTTTTTAGTATCAGTTGGGGAGAAGATGATATTACTTTCAAAATCGTGGGGGTGTACACCCCCCGTTGTGATATCGTTTATAATATCCAGGAGGGGAGAGGATGATATTACTCCCAATATCGCAGGGGGTGTGCACCCTCCCTGTGATTTTATTCCTAATATTCAGGTGGGAAGAGGATGATATTACTCCCAATATCGCAGGTGGGGAAAACACCCCGCCTGTGATATTGTTCTTAATATCCATTAAGGGAGCAGATGATATTACTCCCAAAATTGCAGTGAGTGTACACCCACCCTGTAATATTGTTCCTAATATCCCGGGAGGGAGAGTATGTTGTTACTACCAATTTCGAAGGGGGCGTACACCCCCTCTGTGATACTGTTTTTAATATCCAAGGGGAAAGAGGATTATATTACTCCCAATATCGCAGGGGGTGTGCACTCCTATGTGATATTGTTCCTAATATCTAGCGGGGGTAGGGGATAATATTACTCCAAATATCGCAGGGAATGTACACGTTCTCTGGGATATTGTTTTTAATATTTGAGGATGGAGGATGATATTACTTCCAATATTGCAGGGAGTGTACACCCACCCTCTCATGTTTTTCCTAATATCCAGGGGAAAAACTATTACTCTTAATATCACAGGAGGCGTACACACCCCAGCCCCCGATATTGTTCCTAATACCCGGGGGGGCGGGGAGAAGATAATATTACTCCCAATATCAGAGAAAGTGTACATTCCTTCTGTGACATCGTTTCTAATATCCATGGAAGAAGATTATATTACTTTCAAATTTGCAGATGGTGTACACCCCTCCCCCCCGTGATATAGTTCCTAATATCCAGGAGGAGAGAAGATGATATTACTCTCAATACCTCAATATCGCAGGGAATGTAAACACCCCTGTGATATTGTTCCTACTACCCAGGAGGAGGGGATAAAATTATATTACTCCCAATATCGCAGGCGCTGTACACCCCACTGTAATATTTTTCCTAATATCCAGAGCGAGAGAGGATATTATTACTCCCAGTATGGCGGAAGGCGTACACCTTCCCTGTGATACTGTTCCTAATATCCAGGGGGAAAGAGTATGATATTACTCCCAATATTGTAGGAGGTGTACACACCCCAGTGATATTTTTCTCTAATATGCAGAAGGGGAGAGGGTGATATTACTCTCAATTTCGCAGGTGCTGTACACCCCCTGTGATATTGCTCGTAATTTCCAAAGAGGGAGATGATATTACTCCCAATAACATAAACACACTGTGTTGACAACTCCCTGCCATGTGGCTCGTAATGTGGGAGAAGGGGGTGACATTACCCCCATATGGTGGGGGTGGACACCCTCCCACCGTGTGGCTCATAACCTCCAGGGCAAATGGGGGGAGTGATATTACTCCCCATATGGTGGGGGTGGACACCCCCCTGCCATGTGGCTCATAACCTCCAGGGGGGTAGAGGGGGGTGATATCACTTCCCATATGGTGGGGGTGGACACCCTCCCACCATGTGGCTCATAACCTCCAGGAGGGTAGATGGGCGTGATATCACTTCCCATGATGTGGGGGTGGACACCCTCCCACCATGTGGCTCGTAACCTCCAGGGCGAATGGGGGGAGTGATATTACTCCCCATATGGTGGGGATGGACTCCCCTTGCCATGTGGCTCGTAATATCCAGGGGGGAAGAAGGGGGTGATATTACTCCCCATATGGTGGAGGTGGACTCCCTCCCGCCATGTGGCTCGTAACCTCCAGGGTGAATGGGGTCAGTGATATTACTCCCCATATGGTGGGGGTGGACACCCCCCTGCCATGTGGCTCGTAACCTCCAGGTGGGGAGAGGGGGGTGATATTACTTTCCATATGGCAGGAGGTGGACATTATCATTATTAATTCATTTTTATATTATTATTAAGACTAATAAACATATTAAAGCAATGACTCAACAAATCTAGCTTTATATTATTTCACTTACCACTTCTATTTTTCCAAAACAACTTTTTAATTAAAATTATAAAATTAAATTAATAAAAAATATTGAATTAAATTATTTAATTAAATTAATAAAAAATTAATAGAAATTTTTTAAATTTTGTAGTTGCCTTTTTGAGAGTTTTTTTAGAATAGTTTTCTCTTTGGAGAATATAAAGTACACAGAATTTTCATACTCATAGTTTCTATCTTCTTATCATTCTTGTTTATATTATGCAATAATTTACCATGTAGATCTTCACTGCCTCTGTAAAGTATTGTTTGCATAATTCCATTGAGTTTTTCTGCTCAGCAATTATGTTTTTAAGCTATGATTTTTCTCACTTTTCTCAGTATTTTTTCTATAATTTCTAAATTAATTTTATATAATTTATATTAGTGCAATTATCGTTCAAATCACATTTTAAAATGTAAACATTAGGAAAGATTTTTCACAGCTTTGGGTTAGTTCTTTTCAGAGAAAGGTATTTGTTAAGATTTCACATATTAGGCTCTCTCTTTAAATTCCCAAATCAACCCACTTTCTCTGTTAGAAAAGGGTCTACAATTGCAAAGAATTTGGAAGTGATGTGGTTTTTGTCCGTCTTAATCTTGCACAAGCAACAGAAAATATTGAATGATTTTTCATCTGTCTATGGATTTCGTAGTCTGCACTGAGTAAGACAGGACATACATAGGCAGGGCGAATACTTGAAAAATATTTTGTCTTGCAAGCACTATAGAAAGTCAAACTAAATAATGCAAAAATCCATCTCTAATTGTCTTTAAAGGAAGCATCCTTGGTAAGGCTGAAGATTTACTCAGAATCTTGTTTACAGTAAGTGCAAACTGTAAGTGCTACATATAGTAGAATTCAGCCTATCCAAATGAATGCTTGGAACAATTGTTATAAATTCAGATGCAACAGATTTAAACACATATACCTTAATATCCAACTTCTCAAGCCCTGTTCTGAAGGACATGAGCTTCTGTCATTATCTTAACAAATAGCAGAAAAACAACTTTATCAATGTTAAGAAAAGATACTCTGGGTGACTTTACTCTGAGTTGAAAGGCCCTCCTTCTAAGGAATTAGTGTTCTGGAGTAAAACTTGGATTTCAAAAACCTAAATTCTAGCAGCACACACCACCCTCCCCCCTCAACTCTGCCACACACACACCCTTAGCTTGAGTTGGCATTTTATCTAAGGTACACTATGAGCAATCATTAGTTATGCCCTTGCATTTTATCCTTACCTTCAAAACTCATTTTTAGGCAGGTTTCTTATTCTCCTCACTGGATTGTTTCATATCTCACTTTGGTTTCCTTTACATCCGGTTTCTTGAAATGTCAATATTTAGATGATATTCTCTGGCTTCTGCTGAAATAGATAATTTTTCCTATTGAATTTATTTGATCATTTACATGGATTTTAAGTATATAACCTCAAATTTTTATTTTTAACCGAATATACTTTAATAATATGCATGGGTCATTTTATAAAATGTTTTTTAGCAATAATTATATTTCAGAAATATATTTTTTATTTAGAAATTTCACTTTCTGTGAACTGCCATATTTTCCCATGAAAGTAATGATTTTTCACGTTTAGCAATTCCTTGCATAAGGTAGGTTGTGCTTGCCTAATTTTGGCATGCATTCAAGAATGGATAAATCAAGACTGGCTACAACAAATGTTAGTGAGGATGTGGAATGACCTCCTATATTGATAATGAAAAGGTAAAGTGGTATAATGAAATTTGAAAAACTTTTTGCAATTTCTTATAAAATTAAACATGCATCTATTCTACAACCACACAATTCTATTCCTAGTTACTTTTCCAAGGAAAATTAAGATGTATGCCTACAAAAGACTTATAAAAATATGTTCACAGCAACTTCATTTACAACAGAAAAACTGAAAATAACCCAGAATTCAATCAGCAGTACGTACACACATTTTAGTATATTTGTTTAATAGAATACCACTTAATGATAAAAAAAAAAAGAAACACACAACATGGATGAATTTCAAAAACATTCTAAGGAGAAGAAAAAGCTGGGCACAAAATAATACATACTGTGTAATTCCAAATATATGAAGTTCTAGAACAGATAAGTGGTTGTTCTGTGCAGGAAGAGGCAGTAAGAAACTTTTGGGTGTAATAAACATGCTTTTATCTTGAAAAGGGTGGGGCTTATACTTGTGTATGCATTTGTGAAATGTATTAAGTTGTAAACCTAAGATTGGTCCATTTCACTGTATGTAAATGTAAGTTTAAAAAAAGCAAATAAGTGATAAGTTTGATGTTTTGAAATAAACATTAAACTCCATTGAGTTGGTTTTCTTTTATAGATTAGTCCATTGTCATGCTGCTATGGAGAAACACCCGAGACTGGGTAATTTATGAAGAAAAGAGGTTTAATTGACTCATGGTTCTGGATGGCTGGGGAAGCCTCAGGAAACTTACAGTCATGGTGGTGGAAGGCACCTCTTCACAGGGTGGCAGGAGAGAGAAATGCCAGGCAAAGCGGGGGAAAGCCCCTTATAAAACCATCAGATCTGAGGAGAACTCACTCACTATCATGAGAACAGCATAGGGATAATCGTCGCCATAATTTGATTATCTCCCAAAACACATGGGAATTATGGAAACTACAATTCAAGATGAGATTTGGGTGTGGACACAGCCAAACCATATCAAGTGGTATCTTTTAAAATTCTGAAACTATTTTTTATCAACTTAAGCAAATAAATTATCTTTTGAGAATTACAGGAACCAGATTTCTCACAGTTCGAACACAATGTTACCAATGGAAAGGCAGAAGACTAGAATGTACCCTGTGGTGTTTTGTTTTGTTTTTTTTTGACATCAGAAATGATGTATCAATATGCAATCATGGTTTCAACATATGTAAACTATGTGTCTATATCGTAGCTTTCTGCAGAAAGAGTCTAGAAATAATAACACACAAGTACCACTAAACTTATCTACTATTTGATTATTAAATGCCACGTTTCATTAATACGAACAAGAATTCCTTAAAGAAATTGCTGATCTCAGAGTTGGAAGTGAGAGCAAGTAGAAGATGGGCCTGAAGTAACTTTTTGCATCAGAAAATAAGAACGTGCTAGGTCTTAGTCTGTTCAGGCTGCTATAACAAAATACCGTGGACTGGGTGTAACAACAGACACTTATTTCTTCTACTTCTGGAGGTGAAGAAGTCCAAGTTAGAGGTGCCATCCAATTTGGATCTTGGTGAGGGTCCATTTCCGTCTCTTTCCTCTCTGGTGTCTTCAGTGATGGAGAGAGAGAGAGTTCTAGTTTGTCTTCCACTTCCAGTAAGGACACTAATCACATCATGAGGCCCTACCTCATGACCCAAACCAAATTACCTTCCAAATGCCCCTGGCTCCAAATGGCATACCCCTGGGAGTTAAAACTTTAACATATAAATTTGGGGGTGAGGACACAAACTTTCAGTTCTTAATAACATGACAAAAAATTGTTATAGTGATAAGCAGGAAGGAAAGGGATACAAAGTACATAATCTATGAGCATAGCTATATAAACTAATAAACAATAAATAAAAATTTAAAAATACAACAGAAGTACATCGAAATCAGGCCTGGAGCAGTGGCTCACACTTGTAATCCTAGCACTTTGGGAGGCTGAGGCTGGAGGACAGCTTGAGCCCAGGAGTTTGAGACCAGTCTGGGCAACATGGTAAAACCCTGTCTCTAAAAAAAAAAAAAAAAAAGAATCAGCCAGGAGTGGTGGTGCATGCCTGTAGTCCCAGCTACTTGGGAGGTGAAGGTGGGAAGATCAATTGAGCCCAGGAGGTTGAGACTGCAGTGAGCTAGGATTACACCACTGCACTCCAGCCTGGGTGACAGAGTGACATACTATCTCAAAAAAAAAAAAAAGTACATCAAAAATAATTTTTTGTTTTGTTTTTATTTTTGTTTGTTTGTTTGGAGATGGAGTCTTGCTCTGTTGCCCAGGCTGGAGTGCAGTGACACAATCTCAGCTCACTGCAACCTCCTCCTCCGGGTTCAAGTGATTCTCATGCCTCAGCCTCCCGAGTAGCTGGGATTGGAGGATTTATTGTTCAATGGGTATAGAGTTTCAGTTTGGTCTCGAATTTTTTTTTCAAGACCTTGGCCTCCCAAAGTGTTGGGACTGCAGGTGTCCGGCCAGTAGTACAAAAATTTTAAAGACGCTGAGTAACTGTGAGCAAAATTATGAGATTTTTACTCTGTTTGCCAGTCTTCATAGTCCCTGCCACACCTAATTCAACATTTTGTTGTTGTTGTTGTTGTTGCCTGTCTTTATGGAACCTATTTAAAGAAATCAACTTGATTTTTACACTTGTATTTCATTGGTTTATTTTTAGTTAGTTAAAATACGTAATTACAATAACTAGTCCATTTATGAAAGGAGGAGTTTGGAAACAACTGATTCTTGGTATAAGTCAACTGGTGGAACAAAAGTGTGTGTGTACAGAAGCCTACTAGCTGCAAAGGCTCAGCATGCTGTGGACATCAATCATTTGGGAGCACACAGATGGAGAACAGAGCTATTGGAAGCATACTATTTGCATTCATATCCCAGCTCAGCTACCTTTTAGCCATTTAATCTTGAACAAGAAAGATTTCTCTGTATCTCAGTTATACACATGGCAATATAGTATCTACCTTATAAAATCCTTATAAACATTAAATAGGTAAATATTTTGTTAGAATGCTGAACACAGGGCTTGGTACAGAGTAAGTACCATGTTAAGTGAAGGTATTATCTTTTAGAGAAGGAATCAGTTGAATAAATAAAGCTGAATTAAGAGATCTCAGCCAGGCACAGTGGCTCACGCCTGTAATCCCAACACTTTGGGAAGCCAAGGCAGGCGGACCAAAAGGTCAAGAGATTGAGACCATCCTGGCCAACATGGTGAAACCCCGTCTCTACTAAAAATACAAAAATTAGCTGGGCGTTGTGGCATACACCTGTAGTCCCAGCTACTTGGGAGGCTGAGGCAGGAGAATCGCTTGAACATGGGAGGCGGAGGTTGCAGCAAGCCGAGATTACGCCACTGCACTCCAGCCTGGGTGACAAAGAGAGACTCCATCTCAAAAAAAAGAAAAAAGAGAGAGAGAGATCTATCTTAGGGAAAAAATAAGTTAGATACTTCATATTTTAAACTGAAATTAATTCAAAATGAATTAAACAGATAAACATAAAACATGAACGAGAAGAAAAGTTTAGGTAGAAAATTATCTTATTTAAGGTGTGTAGAGTTGTTTTAATGGAAAAAATATGAAAAAATAAATGTAAATTTGGCTATGTAAAGTTTTTAAAGTTCTTTAAGTCAGAGAAAAATAATGTAATGGCCATATGCAGTTTCTACCTGCCTAGCATCCATTACCCATTCTTACCCTAATAGGATCCTGATTTTTCTCAAGAAAGCCCCTTTCCATTCTCAGTCTATGTAGCCCAGGTGGCACTGACTTCATTCTCAATGAATCAGAGCACGACCATGGTTATTGGCTTAGGGATGGCCTCACAACCATCTAATCAGGCCAATGAGACGAAATGAGTCAATTCAGAGACACTTATGAGAACTGATGGGAGAGAGGCTCTCTCTCTCTCTGAACTTGAAACTGGGAGAATGTAGACCTGAAAAAAGTAAAAACCACTTTCCAAATCATTTTAAGAGGCTAACAAAACCTTGATATCAAAACTGAAAAGGACATGACAGTAAAGAAAAATTACAAACGAATCTTTCTCACAAACATAGCTACAAAAATCCTAAATATCAGCATACTGAATGAAATGATACACAAAAAAAATAATGCATCTTGCAGGCATGGTGGCTCACGCCTGTAATCCCAGCACTATGGGAGGCTGAGGCAGGTGGATCATGAGGTCAGGAGATCGAGACCATCCTGGCCAACATGGTGAAACCCTGTCTCTACTACAAATACAAAAATTAGCTGGGCATGGTGACATGCACCTGTAGTCCCAGCTACTCGGGAGGCTGAGGCAGGAGAATTGCTTGAACCTGGGAGTTGGAGGTTGCAGTGAGCCAAGACTGTGCCACTGCAGTCCAGCCTGGTGAGAGAGTGAGACTCCATCTCAAAAAAAAAAAAATAGTTCTTTGCTGGTGCAGTGGTTTGCACCTGTAGTCCTAGCTACTAGGGAGGCTGAGGCAGCATGATCACTTGAGTCCAGGAGTCCAAGGCTGTATTTCACTAAGATCTAGCCTGTGAATAGCCACTTCTCTCCAGCCTGGGAAATAGAGCAAGACCCCATCTCTAAAAATAAAAATAAAAAAAAGAAATAACTCTTTATCACACTCTTAAGTTAAAGAAATATTTGTAATCTATTAAAGAGCAACTATAGAAACCTATAGCAAACATCATACTTTGTCGTAAAATGTTGAAAGATTACCTTCTGAGATCAGGAATAAATCACCATGCTATCACCCACTTCTACTGTACTACAGTTGCTATCCAATGCATTATAGCAAGAAAAAGAAATTAAAGGACTAAGTATTGAGAATGGAAGAAATAATGCTATTATTATCACCACTGATATGCTCTTGGAATTAATAATTTCAATTGATACAAGTTCAGTCCACAAAAAAAAGCTTTGTTTTATATATCAGCAAAAAATAGTTAGAAAATTAAAATGTTTATTTGTTAGTCCATTCTCATACTGCTATAAAGAAATTCCAGAGACTGGGTAATTTATAAAGAAAATAGGTTTAATTGGCTCACAGTTCCACAAGCTGTACAGGAAGCATGGCAGCATCTGCTTCTAGGAAGGCCTCAGGGAGCTTTGATTCATGGTGGAAGGCAAAGGAGGAGCAGGCATCTTGCATGGCAGGAGCAGGACCGAGGGCAGGGGGAGGTGCCACACACTTTCAAACAATCAGATCTCATGAGAACTCACTATTGTGATGACAGCACCAAGGGAGATGGTGTTAAACCGTGAGAAACTGCCCCCATGATCCAATCACCTCCTATCAGGCCCCACCTCCAACACTGGAGACTACAATTGAACATGAGATTTGGGCAGGGACATATCCAAACTATGTCAGTTTAGGAGCTAAGTGCAGTGGCTCACACCTGTAATTCCAGCTACTCAAGAGGATGAGGAAGGCTGAGCATGGTGGCTCACGCCTGTAATCCCAGCACTTTGGGAGGCCGAGGCAGGTGGATTGTGAGGTCAAGAAATTGAGACCATCCTGGCCAACATGGTGAAACCCCGTCTCTATCAAAAATATTAAAAAATTAGCCAGGTGTGGTGGCATATACCTGTAATCCCAGCTACTTGGGAGGCTGAGGCAGGAGAATTGCTTGAACCTGGGAGGCAGAGGTTGCAGTGAGCCGAGATTGTGTTACTGCACTCTAGCGTGGGTGACAGAGCGATACTCCCTCTCAAAAAAAAAAAAAAAAAAGAGGATGAGGAATGAGGATCACTTAGGGCCAGGAGTTTGAGACCAGCCTGAGCAACATAGCAGGAACCTGTCTCTAAAACAATTTTTAAAAATTAGCCAGCAGTGGGGACAATCAGTGACAGCAGGTGGTCTCTAAGCCCAGTTGCCGCCTAATCTTTCCCTAACTTTGGGTGCTACCTTTAGAGGGGACAATTGTGGGCAGAGAAGCTGCATCTAGATGGCTGTGAGAGGCAGGAGGGGTTCCTGGGGGCTCAGCTGGCTCTGCAGGGGAACAGGGGATAGGAGTCAGGATTGTCCAGGAGGGTGGCCAGTAAGGTAAGAGGTTACCTTACTGAGAGGTTACCAGAATAGGGCTCCTACCTGAGCTCCACACCTGCAGGGCCCCAGGCAGGACCTCCCTAGTGGTAGCTTCCACAGCTACAGGGCAAGTGAAGCAGGAGGGGCAGAGCTGATCTTGCTTGTCTGAAGGGCTTGAAGCCAGCACCCCTGGGCACGGGCTGTGAAACCAAGGAGCAGCCTGTGGAACCCCCATCATCCACCCTCTACAGAGGGCTCATAGAAAAAATTGTAATGTTCCTCCCAGCTTCTCCCTCTATCCACTTTTGAACAGAGTAGATTGCCTTGCTAGGCCCAGAGCCAACTTTGACAAGAAGCGGTCAGGCTGAATCTTCAACCCATAGCAGAGCAAGGTCCCCCTGGCCACCCAGAAATTCAGCACTCTGGACAACACAAAGAGGAAGCATTTACTGGCACCTTTTCCTCCACCCATTTCTGTACTAATAGAAATTTCTGTGAGGATGGAAATGTTCTATGTCTGCATGATCCAATGTGGTAGCCCCTAGTCACATGTGACTGTTGGGTACCTCAAGTGTGGCTAGTGCAACTGAGGAAATGAAATTTTAACTTTATTTAATTGTAATGTCTTTTCCTAAATGACAAAGATTTGTTTTTATGTTATGGGTGCTGTGAATCATTACAAGATCACATTTCTCTCTGTGCTGGCTGCTAGGAAGCTTGTCAGTTTTGGATCCTATGGTTGCAAGAGTATATAGCCTCATGGCATGCGCCTTTAATATAACCTCATTCTCAGCTTCCTTTTATTTTTACTTTTTCCCATTGCCCTGCTTAATTTTTTATCTTGTCAATGTGGTAAGCCTTGAATCCTTTGTGCTGGGATAACAGGTGTGAGCCACCACGCCTCCTGGCCCTAGAATGAAATTTTTAACTCAAAACTAAACTATAAGCTATTTATAGGAGGTAAAAGGATGAAAAAATATATACTAGAAAAACGTTAACTAAAAAAATCGGCATACGTTTATTAATATTAGGTAAAATAGACTTTAAAGCCAAAAATAGCATTATGAAGATGAGGAGGATCATTGCTTGAAGGGGTGGGTTGCCCCTCCACACCTGTGGGTGTTTCTCGTTAGGTGGAACGAGAGACTTGGAAAAGAAAAAGACACAGAGACAAAGTATAGAGAAAGAAATAAGGGGACCCAGGGAACCAGCGTTCAGCATATGGAGGATCCCGCCAGCCTCTGAGTTCCCTTAGTATTTATTGATCATTAGTGGGTGTTTCTCCGAGAGGGGGATGTGTCACAGTCACAAGACAATAGTGGGGAGAGGGTCAGCAGACAAACACGTGAACAAAGGTCTTTGCATCATAGACAAGGTAAAGAATCAAGTGCTGTGCTTTTAGATATGCATACATATAAATATCTCAATGCTTTACAAAGCAGTATTGCTGCCCGCATGTCCCACCTCCAGCCCTAAGGCGGCTTTTCCCTATCTCAGTAGATGGAACGTACAATCGGGTTTTATACCGAGACATTCCATTGCCCAGGGACCAGCAGGAGACAGATGCCTTCCTCTTGTCTCAACTGCAAGAGGCATGCCTTCCTCTTATACTAATCCTCCTCAGCACAGACCCTTTATGGGTGTCGGGCTGGGGGACGATCAGGTCTTTCCCTTCCCATGAGGCCATATTTCAGACTATCACATGGGGAGAAACCTTGGACAATACCTGGCTTTCCTAGGCAGCGGTCCCTGCGGCCTTCCACAGTGTTTGTGTCCCTGGGTACTTGAGATTAGGGAGTGGTGATGACTCTTAACCAGCATGCTGCCTTCAAGCATCTGTTTAACAAAGCGCATCTTGCACCGCCCTTAATCCATTTAACCCTGAGGTGACACAGCACATGTTTCAGAGAGCACGGGGTTGGGGGTAAGGTCATAGATTAACAGAACCTCAAGGCAGAAGAATTTTTCTTAGTACAGAACAAAATGGAGTCTCCTATGTCTACTTCTTTCTACACAGACACAGCAACAATCTGATCTCTCTTGCTTTTCCCCACATTGCTTAATGACATAAAGTTCCAGCACTGAATAACATAGCTGCAAAAAATATAAAGCAAGGATTAACATGATGAAAAGGAAATATTTCTAAAACCATCATCATAGTAGAATATTTCACACAATTATTTTAGTTATTGATAGTTGAGGCAGATAAAAAAATAAATCTTTTGTGATCAAGACAAGGTATAGAGAGTGATCAAACACACAGACCTATACCTCTGCCACTTTTTGCTCATGCCCTTGGGCCCTGACTGGACCCACAAGCAATTCACCCTGGTCAGCTGTGGTCTCTGCCCTTCCTCGGAGAGTTAGCTGCTCATTATCCCAGTCCACAGAGGCTGCTGTCAGCTGGTAGAGTACTTGGTCCCAAGCAGCTTCTCTTATAGGAGCTGATGCAGGCTGTGAGCCATCTCCACTCCCCCACGGTGTCTCCAGCACAACATCCTCCTCCCAACACATGGGCTGCTCCCCACACAGGACCCACATCACCACATGGCAGTGTGGAGCCTGGGGAGGCAGTGGCACTGCTGGAGGGGCTGACTCCCCATTGGGAGTCACAGCCATGAATAAGAGGAGTGGTTCCATCAGCATCTCCCAGTCCATGGGGGTTGAGGGGAGCAGGTTTCCTGTTGGGGAAGACAGCAGGGGCATGGGCAGTGTAGTACTCTGGACTTCACCTCCCCAGGGCCTCCTTGGTGTCAGGGAAACCAGCTCCCCATTCAAACCTTACTTGAATCATCCAGGCCCTGTTCCAATTGTTGGCCTGGCTCAAGGTCTGGCCCATCTGCTGCTGAGCCCAGAGAGGGGTGCCGGGGTTAGCTGGGGACTGGGTTCGCCTGGCCTGGAGGGTATGAGAGGCTTCAGCCAGCCAGAGCCACTCTGTGCCGACAGTCCAGCATCTCAGTACTCAAAGCCCCCACATGCTTGTGAGATAGGGTTGGGGGGGTCAATGATTAAGGAATGCAGAGCCCTTGACAATCATACACGCATGCGCAGCTGGCCCATGCCCCTTGTCTGAAACCTTGGCTGCCTGCTCACCACCTTGAGCAAGAAGGCCAAGTTCCTTATGGCCTACAATGACCTCTCTGGCCCTGGGCCCCTCCCAGCGTCATCCCACTCCACTCCCTATTCCCACTTGTAGTTGTTGCTTGTCTCTGTGTTTTCATTAATGTCTTCTCACTCTGCAGGGCTGCCTCCTGCTTATTCTTCCAGATATGGCTCTTACTTTCCTGACTACCTCAGGCAGAGTTAATCACCCTAACTCTAATCACCCATAATACATGTCCTTGTGCTCATCACTGGTTGTTTCATGGTATTATCATTATAGATTTACCCACTTATCTCTCTAGCTAAACTTAATAGTAAACTCTGCATAATGTCTGGCACACAACAGGTGGTAAATAAATATTTGCTGGATACAAGTCTCCCCAGTAGCTGGGATTACAGGCGTGTGCCACCACGTCTGGCTAATTTTTATATTTTTAGTAGAGATGGGGTTTCACTGTGTTGGTCAGGCTGGTCTCAGACTCCTGACCTCGTGACCTGCTTGCCTCGGCCTCCCAAAGTCCGGGGATTACAGGTGTGAGCCACCGCGCCTGGCCTGTTTGGTTCTTTATTCTTGGGAACTGAAGGTCCCTGTCTGTTACAGTGTAACCACCCAATGGGTTCAGCTTGCCTGCTGCCTCAACAGAGCCGATTTATCAAGAGAGGAACTGCAATAGAGAAAGAGTAATTTACACAGAGCCAGCTGTGCAGGAGACTGGAGTTCTATTATTACTCACATCAGTCTCTCTGGGAGCAGATTTTTTAAGGACAACTTCGTGGATGGAGGGAAGCCAGTGAGCCAGGAGTGCTAATTGGCCAGGTAGGAGATGCAATCATAGTGAATTGAAGCTGTCCTCTTGCATTGAGTCAGTTCCTGGGTGGGGGCCACATGAGACTGCCAGATGAGCCAGTTAATCAATCTGGATGGTGCCAGTTGATCTGTCAAGTGCAGGGTCTGCAAAATATCTCAAGCACTGATCTTAGGAGCATTTTGGGAGGTCAGAATCTTGTAGCCTCTAGCTGCATGACTCCTAAGCCATAATTTCTAATCTTGTGACTAATTTGTTAGTCCTACAAAGGCAGTCTAGTCTCCAGGCAAGAAGGATGATTGTTTTGGAAACGGGCTGTTATTGTCTTTGTTTTAAACGATAAACTAAGGCCAGTCCCGGTGGCTCACACCTGTAATCCCACCACTTTGTGGGGAGGAGGCAGGCGCATCATGAGGTCAGGAGTTCGAGACCAGCCTGGCCAATATGGTGAAACCCCGTCTCTATTAAAAATACAAAAATTAGCCGGGCGTGGTGGTGGGTTCCTGTAGTCCCAGCTATTCAGAAGGCTGAGGCAGAAGAACTGCTTGAACTCGGGAGGCAGAGGTTGCAGTGAGCCGAGATCACACCACTGCACTCCAGCCTGGGCGACAGAGCGAGACTCTGTCTCAAAACAAACAAACAAACAAACAAACAAAAAACTATAAACTAAGTTACTCTCAAAGTTAGTTCAGCATACCCCCAGGAATGAACAAGGACAGCTTTGAGGTTAAAAGCAAGATGGAGCTGGCTAGGTCAAATCTCTTTCATTATCTCAGTTACAATTTTGCAATGGCAGGTTTCTACAATAGGTGGCTAGTCAGGCATGAGCAGGGCAGGAGAGAGTTTCCCCCACCCACCAGAAATGTCAGGCCACCATCAGATTATGGTCTGACAGCTGTCACACTAAAATGATAATTGGTCACAGCACCAGGGAGAGGCAATTTCCCAACAGATAAAAATGCGGCTGGGCGCGGTGGCTCGTGCCTATAATCCCAGCACTTTAGGAAGCCAAGGTGGGTGGATTGCCTGAGGTCAGGAGTTCGAAACCAGCCTGGCCAACATGGTGAAACCTTGTCTCTACCAAAAATAGAAAAATTAGCCAGGCATGGTGGCTCACACCTGTAATCCCAGCACTTTGGGAAGCTGAGGCGGGTGGATCACTTGAGGTCAGAAGTTCGAGACCAGCCTGGCCAACATGGTGAAACCCTGTCTCTACTAAAAATAGAAAAATTAGCTGGGTGTGGTGGCACGTGCCTGTGATCCCAGCTACTCAGGAGGCTGAAGCAGGAGAATCACTTGAACCCACGAGGCAGAGGTTGCCGTGAGCCGAGATCATGCCATTGCACTCCAGCCTGGGCGACAGAGCAAGACTCCATCTCAAAAAAAAAAGAAAAAAAATTCAAAAATTAGCTGAGCGTGGTGGCAGACACCTGTAATCCCAGCTACTCAGGAGGCTGAGGCAGGAGAATGGCTTGAATCCGGGAGGTGGAGGTTGCAGTGAGCCAAGCCAAGATCACACCACTGCACTCCAGCCTGGGCGATGGAGTGAGGCTCCATCTAAAAAAACAAAACAAACCAAAAAACACTTGAAATCAGCAGCTTCCAATAAAATCTCAGGTAGTGAGTGAGTGGGCATGAGCATGCACAGTAAAACCCATTAATGCCTAGTGTTCCATTATTGGAACTCTAAGCATGTGGGAGTTATTTATATCCTACTGCTCAATGTCATCACGAAGGTCTGATTGCAAAAATTCAAAAAATTGCAACCTCAGGCATACATGGGTTAAGAGACAAAATGGCAGAGTATGACCTTCCAGGGGCATTCCACCAGAAAAGGGAAGAAAGTCTCAGGTGAGCATGCCTACAGCTTCTTTTTGTTTTGTTTTTTGTTTGTTGTTTTTTTGTTTTGTTTTGTTTTTGAGAGGGAGTCTTACCCTGTTGTCCAGGCTGGAGTGCAGTGGTGCAATCTCGGCTCATTGCAACCTCCACCTCCCAGGTTCAAGCGATTCTCCTGCCTCAGCCTCCCCAGTAGCTGGGACTACAGGCGTGCGCCACCATGCCCAGCTAACTTTTGTATTTTTAGTAGAGACAGGGTTTCACTATGTTGGCCAGGCTGGTCTCGAACTCCTGACCTCATGATCCACCCACCTTGGCCTCCCAAAGTCCTGGGATTACAGGCATGAGCCACCATACCCGGCCTAGAACTTTTTTTTTTTTTAGATGGAGTTTCGCTTTTTTTGCCCAGCCTGGAATGCAACAGTGCAATCTTGGCTCACTGCAACCTCCACCTCCCGGGTTCAAGTAATTCTCCTACCTCGGCCCCAGTAGCTGGGATTACAGGCCCCCACCACCACGCCCAGCTAATTTTGTATTTTTAGTAGAGATGGGGTTTCACCCTGTTGGCCAGGCTGGTCTCGAACTCCTAACCTCAGGTGATCCACCCACCTCGGCCTCCCAAAGTGCTGGGATTACAGGTGTGAGCCACCGCACCTGGCCTACAACTTCTTAAATACACTGGCCATGCTTACTTCTCAAGCACAAGGAAAGCACCATGCATATGGGCAGGTCACCCCAAGGGAAGAATCAGGAGAAAAGGGCCACAAGACCCCAGAAGTATGCCAACATATAAAATCCCAAGTCAAAAGGTCAAACACCACACTTGACCTCCACGGTCCCCTCTTGGGTCTTTTCCAAGTGTACTGTCTTTTCTTTCCTGCTCTAAAGCTTTTTAATAAACTTCCACTCCTGCTCTGAAACTTGCCGTGGTCTCTTTTTTCTGCTTATGCCCCTCAGTCAAATTCTTTCTTCTGAGGAGGCAAGAATTGAAGTTGCTGCAGACCCATATGGATTCACTGTCGGTAACTCAGATATTTGCCGCCCCTAATAGGCTGAGGCCACTCTTTGGTGGGATCCTGAAGCCCTAGAGAAGGGATACCTGTCCGTCATTGCCCAGAGGGGTGAGGGAATAGCCAGGGTTCTTTTCTATTTTCAGACTGCCAGTGAACCAGCTTGAGTACGCTTTGGCAATTGAGGGTGTCTGACCGAGGGCACTCCCTGGTGTTACCTAAAGCCAAGACAAAAGAGTGAATTTGCTATTGCTCATCAGGGTGGCAAGCCCACTTTTACTTTAACACTCTGTAAATTGTGCCTTGGAAACAAGCAGCAACGATTTCAACTCAACTCTGCGCAGACACATGCTACTAGTTGCAGACCTAATTTTGGATTCAATTTCATCACAAGCACTGCATCCCAAGTTATGGGTGAGTTCTCCTTCACATTAGGTTGGAGCTGACCACTCAAACAAGGGCATGCCTGGACTGGTCCTCCAGGCAAGGGCAGGCCCTCTATCCGTGGTGGGATGCCCCCAAGTAGAGTGAGCCAAAGGGAAAAGGAAGGTCCAAATCCCTCAGGGATGCCTCGGGGATCTTCTAGTCCCTTATCTAAACCCAACACGGGTGCAATTCATTCTTCAATTCATTCCAATTCACCCTTGGGTTGCATTCTTAAAAATTCATCCCATTTTAACCCACAAACTCTCAAAAAGAAGTGTGTAATTTTCTTTTGTATTTAGAGGTCCCATATGTTCAGGTCTTTTTGGCTTTATCCCAAAACCCAAAATTACATAAAAATTGTCACACATGCTTCCAAGGAACTTCCTCTCTCCCCAATTCTTTTTTTTTTTTTTTTTTGAGACCGAGTCTGGAGTGCAGTGGCACAATCTCGGCTCACTGCAACCTCTGCCTCCCACTCTCTCACCAATTCTGATGTCGTAGATGATCTTTCCTTTTGCCTGTCACACTCTCCTCAGCCTGCACCTGCTTCACCTATACCCTCTCCATTTGCTCCATCCCCGAGTCAACGCCCCTCCATATCCAGACACTTCATCCCCCTCACATACTCTCATGGGAGTCACATATGCCACTAGTACAGAGTCCTCAGAATATCCCAATAATGTTTTGCCTTTCCATGAGGTGACAAATGGAAACTTGGGAACAATTCAAGTCATGTCCCTTTCACAAATTTAATCCAAGTTGGGTTCATTTAGCCAGGATCCCTTTAAGCTCATTAAAGAATTGTGGGCTTTTGACTATTGCCTTTGATTTAACCTGGCAAGACATGTATGTGGTATTAACTACTTGTTGTTCCCACAAAGAAAAATCATGCATATGGTCTTTAGCTTGAGTTTTTGGGCAGATGAAGCTCATGCTCATAATTAATGGTAATAGAGCCAGGGCAATAGGTGACCACAACACAGAAACCAGCTGGCAATATCAGGCTGCTGATGCCAGCCCAAACAGAGGCGGGATTACATGATAGCTTGCTTGTTGGAAGGAATGAAAAAGCCTGTAATAAAACCTATTAATTTTTCTTTTTTCTTTTTCTTTTCTTTTTTTTTTTTTTTTTTTGAGATGGAGTCTCACTCTGTCGCCCAGGCTGGAGTGCAGTGGCGCAACCTCGGCTCACTGCAACCTCCACCTCCTGGGTTTAAGCAATTCTCTGCCTCAGCCTCCAGAATAGCTGGCATTACAGGTGCATGCCACCACGCCCGGCTAATTTTTTTGTATTTTTAATAGAGACGGGGTTTCACCATCTTGGCCAAGCTGGTCTTGAACTCCTGACCTCATGATCCACCTGTCTCAGCCTCCTAAAGTCCTGGAATTACAGGCGTGAGCCACTGCACCGGGCCAATTTTTCTAAATTACCGGAAATTACCCAGCAGCCATCTGAGAACCCCACCCTTTTCCAAATTAGACTGGTGGAGGCCATACATAAATATACAAATTTAGATCCTGAAAGCCCTGAGGGCCAGTTCACTCTGGCCATACATTTTATAAGTCAGGCTTCCCCAGACATCAGACAAAAACTCCAAAAATTAGAGCAAGGCCCACAGATTCCCTTTCCGACTTTATTAAATACAGCCTTTAAGGTTTTCAATAACTGGGAGGAAACCTCAAAAATAAAAAAGACTCAATTGGAGGAAGAACAATGCCATCGCCAAGCTAATTATGTGGTAACACAGCATTGACACGTTCTTTTTCGTTAGTTAATAACCCCAAGGCATGTCCCTATAATACTAACAGAATGGGGGCCTGTCATCACTGCAGAAATCCAGGATATTGGCGTAGAGAACATTCCAAACCTCCAGGTTACAAAGCTGCCCCCAGGATCCTGTCCTCATTGTAAACAAGAGGGTCATTGGAACAGCGAGTGTCCTTCTCTCCCTCATGAGGAGGGGCCACCTCCTCCTTCTGGGCCGTCGCAGCCACAACCTCACCAACCTACCCAACAAGGGGGTCCTGCAGAAAGAGGACAAGGGCAAGGGCAAGCACAAGCACCTCTAACTCTATTCCTGGATTATGATCGAGCCTCTGAAAGTCATCCCCTAGATGACTGATGGGGCCTTGAGGCCATCCAGGCCCTTACCTTTTCCAACTCTATGGAGGAGCCTCAGTCAATCCAGCTGTGGCTGAACAAGAAATAATGTTCCTCATAGATACAGGGTTCAGCTTCAAATGTTGACCAAATGTGCCAGTCCTCCATATTCCTCACGGGCATTGACGAAAAACCCCAATGAGGCTGTTTCACACAGCCACTCCCTTGAAAAATGGAAGGCTATTTCTTTACCCACTCCTTTTTAGTCCTACCAAGTTGCTCTGGGTTTTTTTTGTTGTTTTTTTTTTTTTTTTGAGACAGAGTCTTGCTCTGCCACCCAGGCTGGAGTCCAGTGACGTGATCTTGGCTCACTGCAACCTCCACCTGCCGAGTTTAAGCGATTCTCCTGCCTCAGCCTCCTGAGTAGCTGGGATTACAGGTGTGGGCCACTGACACCCAGCTAATTTTTGTATTTTTAGTAGAGATGGGGTTTCACCATGTTGGCCAGGATGATCTTGATCTCCTGACCTTGTGATCTGCCCTCCTCGGCCTCCCTAAGTGCTGGGCTTAGAGGGGTGAGTCACTGCCCCTGGCCTAGAATTATTATTATTATTATAATTATTATTATTATTACTATTACTATTTTTGAGACGGAGTTTCGCTCTTGTTGCCCAGGCTGGAGGGCAATGGCTTGATCTCGGCTCACCGCAACCTCCGCCTCCCAGGTTCAAGAGATTCTTCTGCCTCAGCCTCTCGAGTAGCTGGGATTACAGGCATGCGCCACCACGCCTGGCTAATTTTGTATTTTTAGTAGAGAAGGGGTTTCTCCATGTTGGTCAGGCTGGTCTCAAACTCCTGACCTCAGGTGATCCGCCTGCCTCAGCCTCCCAAAGTGCTGGGATTACAGGCATGGGCCACCACACCCAGCCCCTAGAATCACTGATGAAGCTGTAATTTCTATTCATCCTATTGTCCCAAATTCTTACACACTTTTTGGACAAACTCCCACCACCACAGCTTGGTTTATCATACTTGATCTTAAGGATGACTTTTTTGCATTCCTGTACACCAAGATAGCCAAATTTCGTTCACTTTTGAATGGCAATATCCACATACACAAATAACTCAACCATTAACTCATGCAGTTCTGCCCCAGGGATTCAGAGATAGCCTCCACCTTTTTGGACAGGCTCTAGCTAGGGACTTGTCCACCCTGCAGCTTCTCCCATATAGCAATCTGCTCCAGTATGTGGATGACCTACTAATCTGTAGTCCTAACGAGGCTGTTTCAGACCAAAATACAGTATTAGTACTAAACAAACTTGCTGATTGTGAATACAAATTATCTTCTTCTAAGGCCAAAACACCCACACAAAGAGTTCAATTTTGGGGTCTTATCTTAACCCTTGGTACAAAGAGCCTCTCTAGTGCTCGTAAAGATCTTAAACATGACAACTCTAGTAAATAAACAACAGCTTTGGTCCTTTCTGGGTAGAGTCAGGTTTAATATGGATTCCTTCCTTCAGATTAATAGCAAAATCTTTATATGAAGCTTTCAAGGGAACTGAGGAACAGCCTCTAACATGGACTAATGATATGAAACATGCTCTAAACACTTTTAAACAGGCTTTAATCTCAGCCCCAGCCCTAGCCTTACCAGATCTGACTAAGCCTTTCTTTTTGTATGTACACAAACAAAAGGGAATCGCTTTGGAAGTCTTAGACCAAGATCTGGAGCCCTCTAAGTGCCCTACAGAATATTTTTCAAAAACTTTAGACTTGGTACCCCAGGGATGGCACCCCTACTTAAAAATAGCAGTGGTCCAAGCACGGTGGCTCTCGCCTATAATCCCAGCACTTTGGGAGACTGAGGTGGGAGGATCACAAGGTCAGGAGTTCGAGACCAGCCTGGCCAACATGGTGAAACCCCGTCTCTACTAAAAAAATATATAAAAATTAGCTGGGTGTGGTGTGCACCTGTAATCCCAGCTACTCGGGGGGCTGAGGCAGGAGAATTGCTTGAACCTGGGAGGCGGAGGTTGCAGTGAGCCGAGATTGTGCCATTGCACTCCAGCCTGGGCAACAGACAAAAACTCCATATGGGGAGGGAAAAAAAAAAAGCTGCAGTGGCCCTCTTAGTCCAAAAAGCCTCCAACTATATTACCTGCTCCTCCTGGGCTCTTAGGGCTTTGTGGCACTGCCAATAATTATTTAAACTCTTTTCAAGCTTTGGCCCTATCCCACCTTGATAATTCTCTTCATTATGGTGATTGCACTCTGAGAACAATAGTTCCCATCCAAATCACTGTCTTGAATATAACTTCCAATTCAGAATTCCATTCTAGAAGAAAGGGAGCCCTAGGACTTATTATGGCTGGAGTTGTGGGAACGATTGCAACACTCACCCCTTGAGGGGGTTTTGCTTACCATGAAATCACACTACAAGGACATACTGTCTCCCTTGAAATAGCCTTAGCAAAAACTGGTGCAAGTCTATCAGCAATAGAAAAGTCTTTAGACTCGCTAGCAGGAATGGTGTTTGATAACAGATGAGCTCTGGATTATCTAATAGCTGAACAAGGAGGAGTCTGTGCTGTCATCAACAAAACCTGTTGCACCTACATTAATGTGTATGGAGAAGTGGAACTTCCAATGTCCAAAAAATTTTTTAATAAGCCAAGTGGCTACACACACCTTCCCAAAGTAGCCAAGACTGGGCCAGAACCTTTACTGATTGCTCTCCAAAAATCACTTGGCTTCTCCCATTCTGGACCTTTATTCCTTGTCATTCTTTTAATATTTGGTCCCTGCCTTTTTAATGCTCTCGTTAAGTTTACATCTTTGATATTAAAACAATTCCACCTACAGATGGCTATGCAATCCCAATACCAGCCTGCAACAGCAACTTCCATTCACATGGGGTCTCTTGATGGAATTCAGTCTTCCCCACAAGTCTTTCATGACCCTTCATTCCCTTCATGACAGAGAGCAAGAAAGGGAAAAACTCAACCGAAACCCTTAACACCCCTTTTCAGCAGGAAATAGCCAGACGTACTTGTCACCCCTCTTCACTGTGCCATTTTCCCTCTCTTGAGACCCCAATAGGCAGCAGGTAGCCATGATCATGAGGGAACATAAAGGGCCAAAGATTTGACCAAAATGTCTGTCAGGGAAAAAATGAAAACAGCAAATCACCTGGTGACCATCTAGCAGGCCCTGGAGACAAAAACTCCTTATCTGAGGAATTTAGAAGTAATTAAACTTCCCTCTTATCTAAAGGCATCTGGTTCCAGGCCTTTTCTCAACTTAAAATTTGTAAGTAACTAGAATTTCTTTTTTTTTTTTTTTTTTTTTGAGACGGAGTCTCGCTGTGTCTCCCAGGTTGGAGTGCAGTGGCGCGATCTCGGCTCACTGCAAGCTCCGCCTCCCAGGTTCATGCCATTCTCCTGCCTCAGCCTCCCAAGTAGCTGGGACTACAGGCGCCCGCCAACACGCCCGGCTAATTTTTTGTATTTTTAGTAGAAACGGGGTTTCACCGTGTTAGCCAAGATGGTCTCGATCTCCTGACCTCGTGATCCGCCCGTCTCGGCCTCCCAAAGTGCTAGGATTACAGGCGTGAGCCACCGCGCCCGGCCAGTAACTAGAATTTCTATACATCTCCAGAATGCATGCATGTTGAAACTCATTGTGCAACCCTTGCTGACATTAAGGCACCAAAATATCTGTAAATGTAATCATTTATTGTGCAAATTTCCCTTCAGCTCCTGCATTAAGGTCCATAAATACCCTAAGGAAAAATCCACTGGCGTTTTCACTCCTCTAGTGTGCCACTGCCATCTTCTGTAGCATTCTTTCTTTCTAATAAAACGTTCCTTTTTCTTTTTTTTTTTTTTTGTGAGACGGAGTCTCACTCTCCCAGCCTGGAGTGCAATGGCATGGTCTTGGTTTACTGCAACCTCCGCCTACAGGGTTCAAGTGATTCTCCTGCCTCAGTCTCCCAAGCAGCTGGGATTACAGGTGCATGCCAACACGCCCAGCTAATTTTTGTATTTTTGTAGAGATGGGGATTTACTATGTTGGCCAGGCCAGTCTTGAACTCCTGACCTCAGGTGATCCACCCACCTCAGCCTCCCAAAGTGCTGGGATTACAGGCATGAGCCACCGTACCCGGCCCAAAACTTTCCTTTTTCAAACCTATACTATAGTCGGTAGATTCTTCTTACCAACCTGCAAGTCCATCACTGCCCAATGCTGATGCCAGGGCTCTGACACCACACCCAGCAGTTTTCTAGCAGTGGAATCTGTTATACTAACTCTTTGAATGAGTAACTGAAACAGATTCTGAAACTGAAACTGCCTCTGCAAGGATTATGACAGTGGGAGAAATGGCTGTCATGACTGCCTCCATGACTGCTTCTAATCATGCCTCCAGGCCTCCATGACTGCCTCCATGACTGACTCCATCTTGCTTCTAAGCCTCACAGGCTGACTGTCCTCACTCATGCCTGGGTGTGGCCAAACTAACCATGGGAGGAATTCAATTTATAGTTTAACTTGCAGGCAAGAATGATAATAATCCTTACCTAACACTAACCCCCTCCTTCCTTGCTCAGGGACTAAAAATGAATGATAGGCCATGAGATTAGGATTATGGGAGGAGCCTGAATTCTGCTAAGGATGTAAACATAGTTTCTATAACCACTTACTGCTCAGGAGTCATGTTGCCAGAGGTCACAATATTTGTGATTTCCCCAACTGCCCCATAACCATACAATATAGGCCGGACAATATAGGTGGTGGCTCACGCCTGTAATCCCAACACTTTGGGAGGCTGAGGTGGGAGGATCATGAGGTCAAGAGATCGAGACCATCCTGGCCAACATGGTGAAACCCCGTCTCTACTAAAAATACAAAAATTAGCTGGGTGTGATGGTGTGTGCCTATCGTCCCAGCTACTCTGGAGGCTGAGGCAGGGGAATCGCTTGAACCCAAGAGGCAGAGGTTGCAGTGAGCGGAGATCTTGCCACTGCACTCCAGCCTGGCAACAGAGTGAGACTCTGTCTCAAAAGAAAAAAAAAGGCCAGGCGCAGTGGCTCACGCCTGTAATCCCAGCACTTTGGGAGGCCAAGGCAGGCAAATCACCTGAGGTTGGGAGTTCCACACTAGCCTGACCAACATGGAGAAACCCCATCTCTACTAAAAATACAAAATTAGCCGGGTGTGGTGGCACATGCTTGTAATCCCAGCTACTCGGAAGGCTGAGGCAGGGGAATCGCTTGAACCCGGGAGGTGGAGGTTGCAGTGAGCTGAGATCGCATGACTGCACTCCAGCCTGGGCAACAAGAGTGAAACTCCATCTGAAAAAAAAAAAAATTACAATGTAATAGTGATGCTAGGACCTAAGATTGGTCTTTTAAGATGTTTTCCAGACTTTTGTATTCTATCTCATGACTCAACTGATCCTGCAGCCCTGACCCAGAGGTAGATTCAGCACACAAGGATTGTTTTCTGCATTCCTATGATTTTATCCCCAACCAGTCAGCAGCACCCACTCCTTAGCCCCTGCTCACCAAATTATCTACAAAAACCCTAGCCTCTGAGTTCTCAGGGAGGCTGATTTCAGTAATAATTCTGTTTTCCACATGCCTAGCCAAGTTTTAATTAAACTCTTTCTTTACTGCAACGCCATGGTCTCTGTGAATTGGTTTTGTCTGTATAGTAGGCAGGAGAAACCTGTTGGGCAATTACAAAACTTTTTCTGGAGTTTCACGGTAAAAAAAAAAAAAAAAAAAAAAAGGCCCTTTCAAAATCCATTAATGGTAGGAAAAGTAGAGTCTATGTATGTGAGAGATCCTATAAAGAGTTATCAAACTGAACTTGGGTTCGCTCACCCAGCACAGTAAAGTCAAACATCCACACCAAGTTTTTTGCAGTGGGAGAAAGGAGGGCATTTATTTGCAGGGCACCCAACAAGGAGAATCAGGCAGCTCACACTTAAGACCCAACCTCCCCAGTGGCTTACAGTTAATGGTTTTTTAAGGCAAGGAAACAGCGGTTATGGGCAAAAATCATAAATTGGGCCAGGTGCTGTGGCTCACACTTGTAATCCCAGCACTTTGGAATGCCGAGGCAGGTAGATCACCTGAGGTCAGGAGTTCAAGACCACCCTGGCCAACGTGAAAAAACCCCATCTCTACTAAAAGTACAAAAATTAGCCAGGTGTGGTGGCAGGCGCCTGTAATCCCCAGCTATTTGGAAGGCTGAGGCAGGAGAATCACTTGAACCAGGGAGGCAGAGGTTGCAGTGAGCCAAGATTGTGCCACTGCACTCCAGCCTGGGTGACAGAGTGAGACTCTGTCTCAAAAAAAAAAATCATAAATCAATACATGGAGGCCATACAGGACATCTCAAATCGGGGCTCACAGGCCACAGGTGAATTCAAAGATTTTTCTGATTTGCAATTGGTTAAGGAGGGAAAACTTTGTAAAAAATTTAGGATCAGCAGAAAAGAATGTTAGCTCTGGTTTATGGGCATGCTCCCTCCACACCCTTCAGGAAGAAATTTATAACAAAGAATGGTGGCCAGCATTCATTCCTCAGTTTCCCCCTTATCTGAGGTCTGCGTGCCAGAGGAGCCATTTGATGGAGGTCTGGGTTTCTGAAAAACAACTCAGGGATATATGTTAAGATGTTATCTTCAGTTTCTAAAGGAAACCAAACATCCTGTGACTTCAACTTCCTTGGCTATTGTTTTAAGCTACCATTCCCTTCTTGCTTATCAAGTTGTTCATTTACTTCTCAAGGCTAGCTAGGTGCCTGGAATTTCCCTTGAAGGAATTCAAGATTTTTCTTTATTTCCATGCTTTGTGGGGAAGGTCATCCCTGGCAGGCCCCCAAGAGGGGTCTTTGCTCCATCTCAGAGTCTATGTGTGACTGGAACTCTCATACATTGCTAGTGGGAGTGCAAAATGATATAATCACTTTAGAAAATACTCTAACCTTCTCTTATAAAGTTTAACATATACTTACCATACAAACCATCAAATCCCTTTTTAGATGTGTACCCAAAGAAAATGAAAATAGAGATCTACTCAAAGACTTGTATGCAGCTTTATTAATGATAGCCAAAAACTAGAAACAGCCCACATGTCCATCAACTAGTGAATAGATAAGCGTATGGTGGAAGACCCATACTATGGAATGCTCCTCAGCCATAAAAAGGAACAAATTAACATATAATCTAGGTAAACTGACACCCATTTTACTTGGGAGGAATATGGCCTTCTAGTGAGAATGAGTAATGAAGGTGTGATATTGAAGAGTTGGCCCAGCTGTCCTCATGCACTGCTGTCCACTCTATCATTCATAGCCTTCTTCAGCCTCAGTTCCTGTTTTTTTAAAATAAGAACAACGTTCATCTCAACACATAAAACTGGCAAAATAGTAATAACTATGTTGTAGAGAATTCAGAAAACTGATGCTCTCCAACAGCTAGTGTGATCCTCAGGAGCGCAGTCTAGGAATGGGAAAAAAAAGCCTTAAAATGTGCAGACCTCCTGACCCAGCCATTTCACTTTTAGGCAATTTCCCTAAGACTATAATCACTTATGATGAAAATATTGGTCCTAGTGACATTGACAAAGTTACTCATTTTATCTGATGTATATTTGTTTCAGAAAAATAATGCCAATATTATTAGTAATAATAAAACTATGACCTACATAAACAAAAAAACTTTGTGTTATCTCACTTAAACCTCAAAACAGCCTGATGTGATACTTACAGATTTCACAGGTGAGGAAAATGTTGTGCCTAATGACACATATCTGGTAAGTATATCCTTAGTCATCAGGATGCAAACCTTGACTGTCTGAGACAATCCTCACTGTTAGCCACTGTCTTACACAGCCAGATATACAAGGCCTGGGCAATTGTACCCACTGTTAGAAATTCAGATAACTATGTTTTAGAGACTGCTAGTAATGACTATATCAAACAAATCAATACATTGAACATTAATTCTTTTTTTTTTTTTTGAGATGGAGTCTCGCTCTGTCGCCCAGGCTAGAGTGCAGTGGTGCGATCTTGGCTCACTGCAAGCTCCGCCTCCCGGGTTCACGCCATTCTCCTGCCTCAGCCTCCCAAGTAGCTGGGACTACAGGTGCCCGCCACCACGCCCGGCTAATTTTTTGTATTTTAGCAGAGACGGGGTTTCACCGTGTTAGCCAGGATAGTCTTGATCTCCTGACCTCGTGATCCGCCCGCCTCAGCCTCCCAAAGTGCTGGGATTACAGCCGTGAGCCACCGTGCCTGGCCGAACATTAATTCTTGAATTTGCTCATTGCTGTTCCCTATTTACAGATATGAGCCAAAGTGTAACTTTATAACAGACAAGTGTCACCTAACTCTTGTGAGTTTGATCCCAGGTTATCAATCTCCTACCCCTTCTAGTTTACTAGACAAAATATAAAGAACAGTTGGTCTGTCAAGGAGTTCTGGAAGTTTATTAACAAATTAACAGGGCAATAGAAGTTATTAGATTAGATTAGAGCTGAGGAATGATGGCAGGGTGTTCCCCTGCCCTACAAAGACCATTTTGACTTCCAACCTGGGGACAGAGTCCTGGTTATGACTTTAAAGGAACCTAAACGCCGGGCGTGGTGGCTGACGCCTGTAATCCCAGCACTTTGGGAGGCTGAGGGGGGTGAATCACTTGAGGTCAGGAGTTAGAGACCAGCCTGGCCAACACGGTGAAACCTCATCTCTACTAAAAATACAAAAATTAGCCGGGCGTGGTGGCGGGCACCTGTAATCCAGCTACTTGGCGGGCAGACACAGGAGAATCGCTTGAATCCGGGAGGCGGAGGCTGCAGTAAGCTGAGATCACACCACTGCATTCCAGCCTGGGCTACAGAGTGAGACTCTGTCAAAAAAAGAAAGAAAGAAAGGAGAAAGAGATAAAGAGAGAGAAAGAAAGAAAGAGACAAAGAAAGAAAGAGAGAGAGAGAGAAAGGAAGGAAGGAAGGAAGGAAGGAAGGAAGGAAGGAAGGAAGGAAGGAAGGAAGGAAGGAAGGAAGGGAAAGAAACAAAGAAAGGAAAGAAAGAAAGAAAGAAAGAAAGAAAGAAAGAAAGAAAGAGAGAGAGAGAGAGAAAGAAAGAAGGAGAAAGGAAGGAAGGAAGGAAGAAAGAAAGAAAGAAAAAAAGAAAAGAAAAAGAAAAAAAGAGAATAAAGGTCCTAAAAAGTCTAGCCTGACCACAGGTCATCTGGAAAGGCCAAGTTGATTCCACAGCCATTCTAAAATGTGCATTCTCTCCTTGATGGATCTGAAAACCTACTTTCCATCCCCACTCCAACCAACCCAGCCTTTCTATGGCAAGCGCATGCTCTGGGGCATGAGCACTGGTGAGAATCATTGCCCCTATAAAACTAAGACTAGAGTTGAGTTCTGTCCATCCCCAACTAGAAGGGAGATTATTTATCCCTTTCCATTATTTTCTCCCCTCTGTCTACTCCTTTCCCCTATTCTCACTAAACACTAACTCATCTTGCAAATATTAGTCACTTTAAGTCATAAAACAACCCATCACACTGGAATATCTTGAGGTGTCAAACTCTCAGTGTGTATCAATTCCTGAAAAGTGTTGGGTTCTAACTAAAGAGTCAGGGAAGGCCTGGTGCAGTGGCTCATGCCTGTAATCCTAACACTTTGGGAGGCAGAGGCTGGCAGACGGCCTGAGCTTGGATGTTCAAGACCAGCCTGGACAACATGGTGAAACCCCGTCTCCATTTAAAAGAAAAAAAAAGAGCTAGGGGGATATCAGAATGGCTCTTCCTCTTCCCTCTTCCCTGCCCTTCCTGCCTATCCCATGAAGGAGGCAGAATGCCCACCAAAGAGGCAGCCACAGGGAGGCAGAGAACCAAAGAAGATGCTGGCAAAGGAGGTGTCACCAGAGATGGGACTGAGAAGCTGAGAGGGTCAAGAAAAATGGAGTGACCTTCTCCCACATGGAATGGAAGAAAGCTAGAAAAAAATTGAGATATTGGATTGGAATTGGAGATACTGGTGTGAATTTATATTTGCTAGATGATGATTAGATAGATATAGATAATCAATGTGTGCATGTGAACCCTAGTTCCAATGAGCCTACTAAGCACCCAGATCTTGGTTTCTAAATACCATCCTCCACTAAAAGGAGCCAGGAATCCTTGGAGAAATGACAGATTCCAGTGCTGGGGTATAAGTTGAGTTTGGAATACTCTATAATAGCAGAAAATAAGGAAGTATTCAAAGAATGATGGAGATATATCCAAAGGAAATGGGACTCAGCTTTGAGAGGGTTTTCACTGACCAAAACTGGGACAATCTGAGCATTGTAATAAATGATGATAACAGATCCTAATCTATTGACTAACATAAGAATCCATGAGTTCACATTGACATGAATAAATGAATGAATGAATGAATGAATGATTAAGGAAGAAGGAAAAGTTTTTCTTTTTCTTTTCTTTTCTTTTCTTTTTTTTTTTGAGACGGAGTTTCACTCTTGTTACCCAGGCTGGAGTGCAATGGCGCAATCTCGGCTCACCGCAACCTTTGCCTCCCAGGTTCAAGTGATTCTCCTGCCTCAGCCTCCCAAGTAGCTGGGATTACAGGCATACACCACCATGCCCAGCTAATTTTGTATTTTCAGTAGAGATGGGGTTTCTCCATGTTGGTCAGGCTGGTCTCGATCTCCCAACCTCAGGTGATCCACCCGCCTTGACCTCCCAAAGTGCTGGGATTACAGGCGTGAGCCACCACACCCAGCCAGCTTAGTATTATTTTGGGGGCCACTCCTGCCAAAAATTCATGACCTGAGTATGGACAAGAGAAAGCATCAGACAAACCCCAACTGAGAGTACTTAGAGAATGAAATAGAATATACTGTTTAAACTGTAAAGGTCATGAAAGACAAGGAAACATTAAGAAACAATTCTAGATGGAAGAAGACTAAAAAGACACAACAAGTAATGCAATGTGATACTGGATCACATTCTAGACTACAAAGAGAGAATGGAACAGTTGGCAAAATTTGAACAGGGTCTGTTAATTGTGTAGTAGCGTTATATCAATGTTGACTTCCTGAATTGGGATAGTTGTATCATACAGGAAAAATGTCCTTGTTCAGGGGAAATTCACTGTAGTATTTAAGGGTTGGATCATCGTGTTTGCAACTTGTTCTTCAATGGTTTGGAAAAAGAATCATCATATACGTTAGAGAGAGAGAGAAATATGGCAAAATGTTAACAACTGGGAAATCTGAGTAGAGAACATGGAAGTTTTGTGTTTGAAATCCTGGATTGTGATTACGTGGGGGGTTCGTTTCATAAACTGTATCAAGCTGTACACTTTTGGTGTGTGCACTCTTCTGTATACATATTATACTTTTAAAAATAATTTACTTAAAAAAATTAACCCTCCCCAAAAAATTAAGAATTGGGCTTATTTGGTAACTTTTTATTTTGATATAATTTCAAATTTACAGAGAAGTTGAAGAATCATACAAAGCATTCCTGTATACTCTTTCTCTAGATTCATTAATTGTTTACATTTGTCCCATATTTTGTCATTCTCTCTCTGCAGATATATGTGTATACATTTTTCCTGAACACTTTGAGACTATTAAGTGGCAAACATCATGCCTATTTGTCCCTAAATTCTTTAATGTGCATTTCCTATGAACAAGGACATTCTCTTACATAACCATAGTACCATTATCAAAATCAGGAAATTTATCATTGATACAATACCATTATTTCTTTTTTCTTTTTTTTTTTTTTTGAGACAGAGTCTCACTCTGTTGCCCAGACTGAAGTGTAATGGTGCGATCTCGGCTCACTGCAACCTCCGCCTCCAGGGTTCAAGCGATTCTTCTGTCTCAGCCTCCCGAGTAGCTGGGATTACAGGCATGAGCCACCACACCCAGCTATTTTTTGTATTTTTAGTAGAGATGGGGTTTCACCATGTTAGTCAGGCTGGTCTCGAATTCCTGACTTCAGGTGATCCACCTGCCTCAGCCTCCCAAAGTACTGGGATTACAGGCGTGAGCCACCGCGCCCGGCCTACAATACCATTTTCTAATCCAGTACGTAGTCAGTCACCTGTCATCAGTTATGCCAACACGTCTTTTTTTTTTTAAGTCCAGTCTCCAATTCCAGGATTATGTTACATCCAGTTGTCATGTCTCTTTAGTCTCCTTTAACCTGAAACAGATCATCAGTCTTTCATGACCTTGACTTTTTTGAAGACTGGAGGCCAGTTTGTAGAATATCCCTCAATTGGAGTTTGTCTGATATTTCCTCATGATTAGATTCAGCATATGCATTTTTGGCAGGAATACCACTAAAATGATGTTGTGTCCTTGTTAATACATCACATCAGAAGGCCAGGTACTGTGGCTCACGCCTGCAATCTCAGCACTTTGGGAGGCCGAGGCGGGCGGATCACCTGAGGTCAGGAGTTCAAGAACAGCCTGGCCAACATGGCGAAACCCAGTATCTACTCAAAATACAAAAATTAGCCGGGCGTGGTGGCAGGTGCCTTTAATCCCAGCCACTCAGGAGGCTGAGGTGGGAGAATCACTGGAACCCGGGAGGTGAAGGTTGCAGTGAGCCAACATCTTGCCACTGCACTCCAGCCTGGGTGACAGATGGAGACTCTGTCTCAAAAAAAAAAAAAAAAAATACATCACATGAGAAATGCATGTTACTTGGTCCCATCATTAGTGATATAACTTTGATTACTTGGTTAAAGCAGTGTTTACCAGACAGCACCACTGTAAAGTTACTATTTTTCCCTTTGTAATGACTAGGTAACCTTCAGGGAGATTATTCAAGACTAGTAAATACCATGTTCCTCATCAAACTTGCTGGCTAACTTTAGCTACCATTGATGATTCTTGTCTGAAGCAATTACTAATATGGTAGTTATCAGATGGTGATTTTCTCATTCCATCATTCTATCTACATTTATCACACTTATTAGTTGGCATTCTGCTGTAAAGAGAAGGTGTTCTGTTGTCTTCCTTTTATAGGCTATTCATTTCTTCACGTACATCAGTTTGGACTCTTGGATTTCTATTTTGGTCAGTAAGTTATTATGTTAACTATCATTGTAACTTTGAGGCTCAAATTGTCCCAGAATTGGCTAGTGGGGAATCCAAGATGCATTCTCGCCCTGACTTCCTCATTACTAGCCAAGTCACATTGTACTCTCAACTTCTTCACATCAAAGTAAAATTAAATTGTGCATTTGAGTTGCACAGTGTACCCAACTACAACATATGTATAGGAGAAAAAATACAACATAAAAGAATAAAAAGGGGAAAGCAGGGAAATTCTATGATCTATAAGTAGCAAAATCTCCCTACTTTCAGCAATATAAGTTAACTCATGGTAAATGACAGCAGCAGGGATAAGTGTTAAGGCTCTACTAAAATCTGCCATGTTTGAAGGCCAGGTGTAGTGGCCCACACCTGTAGTCCCCGCACTTTGGGAGGCCAAGGTGGGCTGATCATCTGAGGTCAGGAGTTCGGGACCAACCTGACCAACATGGAGAAACCCCATCTCTACTAAAAATACAAAATTAGCCAGGTGTGGTGGCACATGCCTATAATCCCAGCTACTCAGGAGGCTGAGGCAGGAGAATCGCTTGAACCCAGAAGGCAGAGGTTGTAGTCAGCCAAGATACTGCCATTGCACTCCAGCCTGAGCAACAAGAGGAAAACTCTGTCTCAAAAAAAAGAAAAAAAAATCTGCCATGTTCAAATCAGGAATAAGTAACAGTTAAAGTTCAAAAAACTGTAGTCTTCTTTTTTCTTTGTTGTAGAGGCCTCTTTTTCCAACAACTCACAATGTTCAGTTCTCTTTCTATTTGGTCTAAAGCGCCATGATAGATATCAGCTAACAACACTGAGAACTAGAAGTTCCTCTATAACTTTGCACAATACCCAAAAAATTGTTTATAAGACCAGGTTATCCTTTCTTATTTTTATCCAGTCTCATAGGATGATGGCATTTTTCAAATTAGCATTTTTAATTTATGAATAGAATTATTCTCATACAATAATAAACCCTATTTTCTTCATCTTGAATAACAAACATAAAATCTCCGAGAGGCATTCTACTTTTCAAAATCAGGATCATGTTAAACAACTTCTACATTTAAGGAGAGAGAAAAGCCCAGCCTAGGCAACACAGTGATGTTGCAGGACTTTCCTTAGTTCAGCTAAAGACGGGGTTCTTGTCCGTCCCACTGCCACGAAAATTTAGGCTCACAGACAGTTTAAAGGGTGAGTGAAGTAGGGTTTTACTGAATGAAAAGGGAAATAAAAGGGGGAAACAAGGATCCTCCGCAAGGCCAGAGCCCCCTGCTAGAGCGCATCCCACCCACCCTTTGAATCTCAGGTTCCACACAGGAAGAGGGGCCAGGCTCCTCCCCGCTGCGAAAGTCATGAACTTCCCCAGGCTCCACCTCAGCTGGCAGGCTGGTTGGAGTTTCTCCAGGGACCACCTCCCATCTGGCTGTCTCAGTGAGACCCCATTTCTTTTTTTTTTTTAATTTTTAATTAGCTGTGTGTGGTGGTGCACCCCTGTAGTCCCAGCTACTTGGGAGGCTGAGGAGGGAGGATGGCTTGAGCCTAGGAAGTCAAGGCTGTGGTGGGCCATGATCGCACCACTGCACTCCAGACTGGGCAACAAAGCAAGGCCTCATCTCAAAAAAAAAAAAAAAAATTAAAAATTAAAAAAAGAAAGAAGAGAGAAAAGCCTGTCAAATGAAGTGGGTTTGTTTTTGTTGTTGTTGTTGTTCTTATATAGAGCACTGTGTGTTACACTTAGGGCAGAAAAACCTCCAGAACTCTAAGTTTAATGAATAAAACCAATACATGCCACTGGGACATAAACGTAAAAAGTCAGAAGATAGAACTTGATCGTATCCTAAACAATGAATTAATGTATCTAGATCAGAAACTGGAAGGTTAAAACGTGGAGGAATGAAAGGGATTGGAAGGGCAAAATGTGTTAGGGATTAGCTAGCTAGCATGGTTCAAGGGACAGACTATACAACAAGCACTATTCTCTGATGAGACTGGTTACTTTAGCCAACTTCTGACACAATCAAATAGTAAGACCTCTCAAGCTGAAGACAGACCCCTAGTTGATTTTATCATTGGACAAAATTATACAAAGCCTATCTTAGCAGCAATCAGTTTTCGGTGACACCATTATTTCTTCATGCCCCCAACAAACTGCAGTAGATATGTTGGAATTTAAGCTCAGCACATATAGTCATCCAAATTGTCTCGAAAGGTTACAAAAGATGGGAAGAAAATTATATGTTGTTCTATGAAAACTATGAAAGGAGAGAGTTAGAAAGAAAGATAATCAACAGTGTCAAATACCACTGAGAAATCTAAGACAATGAGGGATGAGAAAAATCCGCCACGCCTCAGGATGAGGAACCCAGGGTTGCCTTCAGCAATCAGTTTGAGTGGCAGAGATGAGGGCTGAGGGAGCAGCAGACGTCAAGAGGGCAGAACAAGGAGTGACTCTGCATTGAGAAAATGGAATTCTGTCCTCAAAACATGTAACAACAAAAGGATGAGGAAATTAGGATAAAAATTGCAGCAAGGTCAAATGAAGGCTTTGGGGTTTGGGGTTTTTGTTTGTTTTTTTCAGCAAGGAGGAAAAAGGATTATGTCTGCAGGCAGAGGAGAGAAGAAGAAATTAAAGGTGCTTAAGCTAGACAAAAAGAAGATAATTAAGACAGAAAATCTTTGATTGCAGATGTTATAGCACCCACCAGGGAGAAAAGGGAGAGAACAGAGAGGACTGAAAACATAAGGTTAGTTTAAACTTAGAAAGAGGAAGTTCAGTTCCTCGCCTAAGATGGGGAAGAGAAAGAAATTGCCACAGAGTTGTTTTGGAATTAAAAGGCTTATCTCGCATGGTCTTTATTTTGCCAGCAAAGTAACAGATAGCCCCTGTCAAAGGAGAAGGGGCACGGAGGGGCACCAAGAGGAGGGTGCAGGAGAGAAAAGGCTTAGAACAATGGTGGGCAGGAAACTGCAAAGAAATGGACACCTGACACCAGGTGTCAGTACCTACTCGGTAGATGTTTGAATAAATTGATAAGACATTTTAAAAGGCCAGACTCGGTGGCTCATGCCTGTAATCTTAGCACTTTGGGAGGCTGAGGAGGGATGATAACTTTGGGCCAGGAGTTCAAGACCAGTCTAGGCAACATAGTGAGACCCCGTCTTTACAAAAAAGTAAAATAAAATAAAAGTTTTTTAAAAGACATTTTAAAAAATAGCTGGTTAGTAATGGGGAGAGTCCCACTGATAAGATGATAAAATTTTCTTATAACTTTTATATCTTTCTGCAGTACCACTATAGTGTTGATAGTAGACTTGCAGAATCAAAAGAAGGAAGGATAAATTACTGTCTTCACTGTGACCTGGTGGCTTTCCCTAGTGGTGCTAGAGGAAAAGTAAGAGCTCCAGGGAACCTAGGCTTTTGCTTTGTAAGGATAGCCTCAATATTGGTACACACTTCGAAACATGGGCTGGGTAAGAATTTAAGTGTAGCCAGAAAAAATATCTTGGTATGAGCTTCATTTATCAACACTTTATCATAAATTCATCATTGTATCTTCAAATTTGTGATTTTTAAAAATGTTGCCACCTTTTCTTTGTGAGGCTGTTCTCAGCCATCTGCTCTTGGCACTTCACACCACTCACCCGAAGAGCTCAAGCAATCATAGTTACTGTGACCACATCAGTGCTGACGAGAACAAAACGTTTTCAGATCATGTCTCTCCCACAAACTCCAGGGCCATAGTTGATCTATGTACAAGTTATCTCCACTTGAATAGCCCGCTGTCATTGCAAATTCAATATTCTCAAAACCAAACCTGACACCTTTCAAAAAAAACACAGCTGCACTTCTGTAACTGGCAAGACCCAGTCAGGAGACAGAAACCACACCAGTGTATGGAAAGAATTAAATATAAAGGATTTTTAAGTAATTATAAAGTTGCTAATTAGGTAACTAAAAGAGCAAAAAGAGAACTCTAAAGGACCACAGAGGTAGCAATTGCAGAATGCAGTTGCCACCCCTACAGCTGAGGGAACAAAGGGAAGAGGCCAGGGTGATTAAAACTTTGAAGCTCAGGCTGGGCACAGTGGCTCACGCCTGTAATCCCAGCACTTTGGGAGGCCGAGGTGGGTGGATCACGAGGTCAGGAGATCAAGACCATCCTGGCCAACATTGTGAAACCCCGTCTGTACTAAAAATACAAAAATTAGCTGGGTGTGCTGGCACACGCCTGTAGTCCCAGCTACTTGGGAGGCTGAGGCAGGAGAATCGCTTGAACCTGGGAGGCAAAGGTTGCAGTAAGCCAAGATTGCACCACTGCACTCCAGCCTGGTGACAGAGCGAGACTCCATCTTAAAAAAAATAAATAAATAAATAAATAATAAAAAACTTTGAAGCTTAAACAAAGGCTCCCACAGAACTGAAATTCATACATCTGAGGAGAGAGCACCACTGATGTTCCTGAGTGGGCATGATAAGATGGGCTCTGCAAGTGTTAGAAAGATTGGAAACTGGATACAGCTCCTGGATGAGAGGCACTGCCGGAATGAAGAAGCGCCGCTTGATGGTGCTCACAGGATGCAATTAGATAGGAAACCCACATGGAACAAACTAGAGGTAACAATTCATTCTCCCACGTCCAGCCTTCTAGCCCTGCTCTAGCATCCCTCATTGGCAGAGTGGAACAGGGAGCCAGTTGGAGAAGCAGAAAAGCAGTTTGTGGAATACCAGCCCCAGAATCACAAAGCAGTGGGTTTGGAGCTAAGAGATAATAACTTAATAACTGATGCAGCTTCTGAACTATATTAGTTAGGGTCCAGCCAGAAAGCAGAAACCACTCTAAGTATTTCAGAAGGATTTTACCACAGGGAATTGGTACATGGGTAAGAGAAGAGCTAAGAAGCCAAAAGGGGCACAACGAAGCAATCTGGAAATGCAACAGCAGGCACCTGCCGCCACCTCCTAGGCTGGAGGGACAATGGGAGTTAGTGGAGTTAGTGGAGCCCAGAATCTAAGGGCATCCAGAGGTCAGAAGAATCATGGCAAGGTCTGCATGGAGGGAACTAGAATAGTGGAGAGAAAGGCTGTCTGGCCAAGGAGGAAGGGATGTTGCAGAGACATCTCTGCAGGAAGCAGAGACAGCAGGAGAGAACTACCCTGGGTTCTCTTCCCCCCGTCTACACTCTTGTGCCAGTGACTTTTGTGAACTTAAAAGTATCTGAGATAGGTCTCAATCAATTTAGAAAGTTTATTTTGCCAAGGCTAAAGACGCACCTGTGACACAGCCTCAGGAGGCCCTGACAACATGCGACCAAAGTGGTTGGGGTACAGCTTGCTTTTATAAATTTTAGAGAGACATAAGGCATCAATCAATACATGTAAGATTTACATTGGTTTGATCTGGAAGGGTGGAACAACTCAAAGGAGGGAGGTGGGGGATGGGCCTTCCAGGTCATAGGTAGATTTAACAATTCTCTGCCCAGCACCATGGCTCACGCCTATAATCCCAGCACTTTGGAAGGCCAAGGCAGATAACCTGAGGTTGGGAGTTCGAGACCAGCCTGAGCAACATGGAGAAACCCTGTCTCTACTTATTTATTTATTTATTTATTTATTTATTTATTTATTTATTTATTTTGAAACGGAGTCTCGCTCTGTCGTCCAGGCTGGATTGCAGTGGCTTGATCTCGGCTCACCGCAACCTCCGCCCCCCAGGTTCAAGCTATTCTTCTGCCTCAGCCTCCCAAGTAGCTGGGACTACAGGCATGTGCCACCACGCCTGGCTAATTTTTGTATTTTTAGTAGAGACGGGGTTTTACCATACTGGCCAGGCTGATCTCGAACTCCTGAGCTCAGGTGATCCGCCTCCCTCGGCCTCCCAAAGTGCTGGGATTACAGGCATGAGCCACCATGCCCAGCCCTTTTTTTTTTTTTTTTTTGGAGATGGCAGGTCTTACTCTGTTGTTCCCCAAGCCAGAGTGCAGTGGAGAAATCATAGCTCACTGCAGCATCAAACTTCTGAGCTCAAGGGACTCTCCCACCTCAGCCACCCTAGTAGCTGGGACCAAAGGTGTACACCACCATGCGCGGCTAATTTGTTTTAGTTATTTTTTTTTTCTTGAGATGGAGTCTCACTCTGTCACCCAGGCTGGAGTGCAGTGGCATGATCTCGGCTCACTGCAACCTCCACCTCCCAGGTTCAAGCAGTTCTCCTGCCTCAGCCTCCTGAGTAGCTGGGACTACAGGCACACACCACCATGCCTGGCTAATTTTTGTATTTTTAGTAGAGACGGGGTTTCACCATGTTGGTCAGGCTGGTCTCAAACTCCTGATCCACCCGCCTCAGTCTTCCAAAGTGCTGGGATTACAGGTGTGAGCCACCGTGCCCAGCCTGTCTCTACTAAAAATACAAAATTAGCCAGGCATCGTGGTGCATGCCTGTAAACCCAGCTACCAAGGAGGCTGAGGCAGGAGAATCGCTTGAACCCGCGAAGCAGAGGTTGCGGTAAGCCAAGATCACGCCACTGCACTCCAGCTTGGGCAACAAGAGTGAAACTCTGCTTCAAAAAAAGAAAAAAGAAACCATTATCTGATTGGCATCAGGTTGAAAGTGTTACTATCAGTAGAAAGGAATGTCTGGGTTACAGTGAGGGGTTGTGTAAACCAAGGTTTTATCCTGCACTTGAAGCATCCAGGTAGCGGGCTTCTGAGAGAGTAGATTGTAAATGTTTCTGATCAGACTTAAGATCTGTGTTGGTCAATGCTGGTCGGGCTTTTCCTGAATTCCAAAAGGGAAGAGGGTATAACGAGGCATTTCCAACCCTCTCTTCCATCATGGCCTGAGCTAGTTTTTCAGGTTAATTCTGGAATGCCCTTGGCCAAGAGGAGGGGTCTTAGAATTTTATTTTTGGTTTACACTTCCATTGCCAGAACCCACTCAGAAGCCAGGGGGCAAGTAGTTTCACGTGATATGAGTTAGAGAGGGTAAGAGCAGAAAAGGATTTGGGAGCATCCAGGCAAATGGCCAGTTCATGGATGTATCCATTTATGTCGGTGGCACTGCCCTGCCCTTTCCCCACTTCCCTGCTCAGAATCCCCAAAATCTTTCATTTTCTCCACTTCAAGTTCTGCATTCCAGTCATCACCTGGTCTGCAGTCCTTTTACCCTAAAAGGGCTCCAATATATCTCCATTTCCATCACATTGGCCCAGCTTAATTCTGGCCCTCCTCACTGCAGATATTAATTATTGCCGTATTTTCTTCCTAACTTGGCTTGAACCTCCAGTTTTTATCTGCTACTGTCCCTTCTACATGGTCTACTCCAGGAGTCACCACACAGTGGCCAATCAGCCAAATCTAGCCCACCACCTGTTCTTGTACATCAAGGGTTTTTTAACTAATATATAATAGTTGTTCATATTTGGGGGGGTATGTGTGTTATTTTAATACCTGTATACAATGTGTAATGATCAAATCAGTATAATTTGGATATCCTTCACCTCAAACATTTATCTTTTCTTTGTGTTGGGAACATTGCAATTTTCCTTGTACATAAGTTTTATTGGTACACTGAGTTAAAAGAAAAACTTCAGCCGAATTAAATTTAAAACAGTTAATTGAGCAAAAAAATGATTCATGAATCAGACAGCCTCCCGAGCTAGAGTATCCTCAGAGACTCTAGAGCAGCCACGTGGTCAGAAAAAGGAAAGTGACATACAGAAAATGGAAATGAGGTACAGAAACAGCCGGATTGCTTGTAGCTCGGCATTTGCCCTATTTGAACAGTTTGAACAGTTGGCCATGTTTGATTGGCCGAAACAGTGATTGGCACAAGAGTAGGCTACAGTCTGTTTACAATTCCATTTAGGTTGTAGTTCACAATGTACAAAGAAACCTTTAGGCTGAACTTAAAATATGTAAGAAGGTAGCTTTAGCTTAAACCTGAGATTTAGCAGCTGCCATGCTCATTCATTTAGTTATTGTCTGTCACTGCTTTCACATTATAATGACAGAGTTCAGTATTTGCAACAGAGACCATATGTATGCCCCAAAATATTTACTTTCTAGTCCTTCACAGAAAAGTTTGCTGATCCCTGAAATTAAACTGACACTAATCCATTCTTTTTTTTTTTTTTTTTTGAGACAGAGTTTCACTGTTATCTTCCAGACTGGAGTGCAATGGCAAGGCTCATTGCAACCTCCGCCTCCCAGGTTCAAGCGATTCTCCTGCCTCAGCCTCCCGAGTAGCTGGGATTACAGGCACCCATTATCATGCCCAGCTAATTTTTGTATTTTTAGTAGAGACAGGGTTTCACCATGTTAGCCAGGCTGATCTCGAACTCCTGACCTCAAGTGATCCACCCGCCTCCGCCTCCCGAAGTGCTGGGATTACAGGGATGAGCCACTGTGCCTGGCCCACTAATCCATTCTGTTACCAAACTAATCTTCCTAAAATACCCTTCCTGTGGCCGGGCACAGTGGCTCATGCATCTAATCCTAGCACTTTGGGAGGCTGAGGCAAGCAGATTACAGTTCAGGAGTTTGAGACCAGCCTAGCCAACTGGTGAAACCCATCTCTATTAAAAATACAAAAATTAGCCAGGCGTGGTGGTGCATGTCTGTAGTCCCAGCTACTCAGGAGGCTGAGGCAAAAGAATCACTTGAACCCGGGAGGCAGAGGTTGCAGTGAGTCGAGATCATGCCACTGCACTCTAGCCTGAGTGACAGAGTCAGACTCCGTCTCAAAAAAAATAATAAAAATAAATGGCCAGGCACTGTGCCTCACGCCTGTAAGGAGGCTGAGGCCAGTGGATCATCTGACGTCAGCAGTTTGAGACCAGCCTGGCCAACATGGGGAAACCCCGTCTCCACTAAAAATACAAAATTAGCCAGGCATGGTGGTGCACACCTGTAATCCCAGCTACTCGGGAGGCTGAGGCAGGAGAATCACTTGAACCCAAGAGGCGGAGGTCGCAGTGAGCCGAGATTGTGCCACTGCACTCCAGCCTGGGCAACAGAGCGAGACTCCATCTCAAAATAATAATAATAATAATAATAATAATAATAATAATAATAATAATAATAAATAAATAAAATACTCTTCCTCGTGTCATTTTCCTACCTTGAAATCATTCCTTATGTCTACCCAAAGTCCGCAGCTTGTCATGATTCAATGTTTTCCCAAACTTGATGCCACATTAAATCAATATTTAAATCAATGATTTCGTGAGACAGTCAAGATATCTTAATACAATGCCCAGTACACAGTGAACAATCAATAATTAAGGTATCATTGAAGTTATTTCACCTACCCTCCTATTGCTATTTGCCACATATCTTTCTACTCTAGTCAGGCTTGCCCCAGTTTTTGTGTCTGTATTACCAATAATATACCAATTACTTTTTAAATTAGTGTATAGGTTGAATTGTGTCTTCCCAAAATTTGTGTAAGTCCTAAGCCCCAGTACTTGAGAATGTGACTATATTTGAAGATAAGGTCTTTAAAGCATTGCTTAGGTTAAAATGAGGTGCTCTGTTTTTTTTTCAGGGTGGGCCCTAATCCAATATGACTGGTGTCCTTGTAAGAAGGAGAAATTTAGGCATACCAGGAGACACCAGAAACATGTGCAGACAGAGGGAAAACCATATGAAGACAGAGTGGGAAAGTAGCCACCTGCAAACCACGGAATCAGGCTTCAGAAGAAACCAGGCCTACTGGTACCTTGATCATGGACTTCTAGCCTCCAGAACTATGAGAAAATGAATTTCTGTTGTGTAAGCAACCAAGTGCATGGTATTTTGGTATGGCAGCTCTAGCAAACTAATACAAATATTATCTAAGAGCATAAACAAAATATGTAATCATTACAATAAATGTTAAAATTACAGAAAAATATAAAGATGGAAATAAAAATCACCTATAATTCCATCAACAAGTGATAACCATCATAAAATATTTGGAGGCCAGGCATGGTGGCTCATGCCTGTAATCCCAGAAATTTGGGAGGCTGAGGCAGAAGGATCACTTGAGCCCAGGAGTTCAAGACCAGCCTGGGCAACATAGGGAGAACCTGTCTCTATAAAATAAATACATAAATTATATTAAAGTAAATAAAATGTTTGGAGTATTTTGTTCCAGGCTTTTTTTCTAAGATATACATATTTTTTTTCATTTTCATAAAATTACCATCATAATGTACTTACAGTTTTATATTCTGCTTCTTTTACATAATTATGAACATTTTTCTTTTTTTTTTTGAGACGGAGTCTTGCTCAGTCACCCAGGCTGGAGTGCAGTGGCACAATCTCGGCTCATGCAACCTCCTCTGCCTCCCGGGTTCACACCATTCTCCTGCCTCAGCCTCCCAAGTAGCTGGGACTACCGACACCCGCCACGACACCCGGCTAATTTTTTCGTGTATTTTTAGTAGAGATGGGGTTTCATCATGTTAGCCAGGATGGTCTCGATCTCCTGACCTCGTGATCCACCCGCCTCAGCCTCCCAAAGTTCTGGGATTACAGGCGTGAGCCACGGCGCCTGGCCTGAACATTTTTATTTCATCATGGACATTTTACCACCTTGTTATCAAAAACATGTTTTGAAATGGCTACATATTGCTCTATTGAATGAATACAGTCTAAGTCATTTCTATTCCCCTATTGATTAAAATGTCAGTTGTTTCCATTTTTTAATCATTTTATTTTTCTTTATTTTTATACATTTTTGTCTTTTTTTGACTCACCTCAGGATCAGCCAGTACAAATATGAGAGAAATCAGTGTCACACAACAGTCACAGTTGTCATCACTTCCCTCCAATTTTCATCTTTTTTGGAGTTTTGTTTGTTTGTTTGAGACAGAGTCTCCCTGTATTGCCCAGGCTGGAGTGCAGTGGTGTGATCTAGGCTCACTGCAACCTCTGCCTCCTGGGTTCAAGCAATTATCCTGTCTCAGCCTCCTGAGTAGCTGGGACTACAGGCACATGCCACCACACCCAGCTAATTTTTGTATTTTCAGTAGAGAGGGGGTTTCACCATATTGGTCAGGCTGGTCTCAAACTCCTGACCTCGTGATCCACCTGCCTCGGCCTCCCAAAGTGCTGGGATTACAAGCGTGAGCCACCGCGTCTGGCCAATTTTCATCATTTTAAATAACACTGTAATGAACCTCTATGAATATAACTGTGATTAATTTCCTAAGTGGAAATCTTTATAAAGGAATTACAGGTTAAACTTTATTACAGGCCAGTCTTCACAGTGTCCTCCACATACCCCACTCATCACTGCTTCCAGGCCTGCTGTCTTGTTCCCTCTGCCTGGAAGCACCAACTAAAATCTCACCAACACTCCTTCATAAATGTCCCCTGAATATTGTGACCCCATGTCAATTTCACCCTCACAGTTACCCTGTTGTATTTTGTTACCTCAAACTTCATTACACACTCTACTTAAAAGTACTTTAATCATGTCATGTATAGGTATTTTCTCCATATCTAGACTATAAATTCCCCAGGCTTTTTTTTTTTTTTTTTTTTTTTTGGTATCCTGGAGTATTAAACACATTGCTGAAAATTTAACCAAAAAAAAAATCATGAAAAACCCATGTTTTAAAATAAATATATATTTGTTTAAAAGGAAGATTAAATAGAACTACTGGTATCATACTCTCTACCCAAAGTGGTTTTACATTCATTACAGAGTGATTTCTTAGAATGTTTGATATTAAATATAATTTAAGAATATTAGCAATGGCAACAAAACCAAAATAGACAAATGGGATCTAATTAAACTCAAGAGCTTCTGCACAGCAAAAGAAACTACCATCAGAGTGAACAGGCAACCTACAGAATGGGAGAAAATTTTTGCAATCTACCCATCTGACAAAGGGCTAATATCCAAAATCTACAAAGAACTTAAACAAATTTACAAGAAAAAAATCAAACAACCCCATCGAAAAGTGGGCAAAGGATATGAACAGACACGTCTCAAAAGAAGACATTTATGCAGCCAACAGACACATGAAAAAATGCTCATCATCACTGGCCATCAGAGAAATGCAAATCAAAACCACAGTGAGATACCATCTCACATCAGTCAGAATGGCAATTATTAAAAAGTCAGGAAACAACAGGTGCTGGAGAGGATGTGGAGAAATAGGAACACTTACACTGTTGGTGGGACTGTAAACTAGTTCAACCATTGTGGAAGACAGTGTGGCGATTCCTCAGGGATCTAGAACTAGAAATACCATTTGACCCAGCCACCCCATTACTGGGTATATACCCAAAGGATTATAAATCATGATACTATAAAGACACATGCACACGTATGTTTATTGCGGCACTATTCACAATAGCAAAGACTTGGAACCAACCTAAATGTCCATTGATGATAGACTGGATTAAGAAAACGTAGCACATATATACCATGGAATACTATGCAGCCATAAAAAAGGATGAGTTCATGTCCTTTGTAGTGACACGGATGAAGCTGGAAACCATCATTCTGAGCAAACTATCACAAGGACAGAAAACTGAACACCGCGTGTTCTCACTCATAGGTGGGAATTGAACAATGAGAACACTTGGACACAGGGCAGGGAACATCACACACCGGGGCCTGTCGTGGGGTGGGGGGATGGGGGAAGGATACCATTAGGAGAAATACCCAATGTAAATGATGAGTTAACGGGTGCAGCAAACCAACACGGCACATGTATACATATGTAACAAACCTGCATGTTATGCACGTGTACCCTAGAACGTAAAGTATAATAATAAAAAAAAAGAACAAAAAAAGAATATTAGGCCCCATGAGGGATAAATATTGACTTATGTGTATCTCTATTGCCTAGAATAGTACCAGATATATAATGGGCACTCGATAAATATTTTGTAGAATAAATAAATGTTGAATGATGAATGACCTTTTACATGGTACTGTAGCAGGAATTATTTAATTATAACGTAGCTAGTTCCACTTCTTAAATAGCAAATCCCTAGAGACTACATCTTTTAAAAGATTGCCTGATTAAGCCCAAACAGCATTCTGCATAGGGAGAAATCATCCGTGCATAATTAATGACTGAAAATTACACACAGGTCTTTAACACGGAGACGTGATATTACAAACAATGAAAACACAGAGTCCCTCAAAAAAAAAAACAGTGTATTTTTGCAAAAGGCAATATTGTTTTCCTTTATTGTTCATTCTGCCTGGAATGCCATGCTATTTTCTTTATTTTTATCTTTCTTTCTCTGTATCTATTAATTAAGGCCAAGATTAAAAATGGTTTCCTCCATGAAGCCATCCCTGATGTATTCTTAGACATAATCTCTCTCATCAGAACTACCCAAGCACTTTATTCATTTATCTCATAAGGCACCAAAGACTAAATGTCCATACCAGGTGACAAGGCAAAGTAATTATCCAGAGAATAAACTTTTTAAAATTTTTCACTCAAAATATATGAATTAATCGAGACAAATGTACTATTTTGACAGGGAAGTGTCCTCTGTAAACTGTTTTTTTACTTATGAATAAAATTTATTTATGTATAACTTACATAAAATGTGCCCATTTAAATGAATAGTTTGCTGAATTTTGATAAATGTATTCACCTACTTAACCACCACAATAATCAAAATATAGATTATTTCTTTTATTTTTTTGTTTTTGTTTTTTGAGACGGAGTCTTGCTCTTGTCGCCCCAGCTGGAGTGCAAGGCACGATCTCAGCTCACTGCAACCTCTGCCTCCTGGGTTCAAGAAATTCTCCTGCCTCAGCCTCCCAAGTAGCTGGGATTACAGGCGCCAGCCATTGTGCCTAGCTAATTTTTGTATTTTTAGTAGAGATGGGGTTTCACCATGTTAGCCAGGCTGCTCTCAAACTCCTGACCTTGTGATCCTCCTGCCTCAGCCTCTCAAAGTGCTGGATTACAGGTGTGAGCCACCGGCCCTAAATTTTTTTTAGAGATGAGATCTCACTATGTTGCTCAGGCTAGTCTTGAACTCCTGATCTTTTTTTCTTTTTTTCTTTTGAGATTAAGTTTCACTCCTGTTGCCCAGGCTGGAGTGCTCACTGTAACCTCCATCTCCCGGGTTCAAGCGATTCTCCTGCCTCAGCCTCCCGAGTAGCTGGGATTACATGCATGTGCCACCATGCCCAGCTAATTTTGTATTTTTGGTAGAGACGGGGTTTCTCCATGTTGGTCAGGCTGGTCTTGAACTCCCGACCTCCGGTGATCCGCCCACCTCAGCCTCCCAAAGTGCTGGGATTACAGGTGTGAGCCACCATGCCTGGCCTATTCTCTTAACTTTCTATTCCTTTTCTTACACTTACTTAAGGTCCAATGTGCTCTTTTCTTCTATCTTATTAAAATGGATGCTCATGTGATATCAGCAAAATGGTGGACGACAAAGCTCCAAGCTTTCATTATCCAACAGAAACTTCATAAAACAACCAGAAATGAGCTGAACTAACCTGTAAGAGCTCCAAAAAACAGTTAAAGGTTTACAGTAACCAAGTGAATGCCCACCTTCCAAATGTTAAGAAAGTTTTGTCGTGTCTTTATTTGCCCTCGTCCCCTCCTCCTCCCTGATGCGGCAGTGCTCTTAGTCTGGAAGAGGCAGCAGCCTAATTCCAAGTTCCCTCCCTTAAATGGAAGGGAGAAGAGCAAAGCTTTTTGCAAATTATTGTGCGCATATGGGGGTTACCTAAAGGACTGGCCTCAGGTCTCAGAAAAGCGGTAGTCATTGCTCATGAAAGCTGCAAGGAGACTACAGACCCACTGACATGTGGAGTAAAAGACTATGGGTGGATACATACAGTAGACCATGTAAGGCCCCAGGAGAAACCGGACTGAGACTCTTTAGGAAATAAGACATTCAAAAGCAGCCATGTATATGGGGAAATTGGGAAGTTACACATGCCCAGGTAAGACACTTGGTCAGAAAAGCCCTGAAAAGACCTTAAGCCTTCACCTCAGCTGATCCCTAGGCTCAAAGCAAGCCTTGCTCAGTGCTGAAGAACTGTACCAGTATAGAGCCAATCTGCAAAGACTAGGGGAGTTAGCTGTTTTTTCAAATGTCTACTTTTCAACAAAAACTACAAAAATTACAAGGCATACAAAGAAACAGGAAAACATGGCACATTCAAAGGAGTAAAATTAATTGGCAGAAACCATTTCTGAGGACATCCAGACATTTGACTTACCAAAGACTTTAAAACAATTGTCTTAAATTTGCTCAAAGAGCTAAAAGAAAACATGGGCAAAAAACTAAAGGAAATCAGGAAAATGGTATATTAACAAAATTAGAAAACCAAGAAAGGGACAAAAATTGTAAAAAGGAGCTAAACAGAAATTCTATAGCTGAAAGACACAATAACTGAAATGAAAATTTACTAGAGGAGCTCAAACACAGAAGAATCAGTGAACTTGAAAATAAGACAATTGAAATTTTCAAATCTGAGGAGCATAAAGAAAAATAAATAAAGAAAAGTGGATAGGCCAAGTGAGGTGGCTCATGCCTGTAATCTCAGCACTTTGGGAGGTCAAGGCGGGTGGATCACTTGAGGTCAGGAGTTCGAAAACAGCCTGGCCAACACAGCAAAACCTTATCTCTGCCAAAAATACAAAAATTAGCTGGACATGGTGATGAGTGCCTGTAATCCCAACTACTCAGAAGGCTGAGGCAGGAAAATTGCTTGAACCTGGGAGGCAGAGGTTGCAGTGAGCCAAGATTGTGTCACTGCACTCTAGCCTGGGCAACAGAGTGAGGCTCTGTCTCAAAAAAAGAAAAAAAGAAAAGTGGACAGAGACCAAGGAACTTGTGGAATACCATTAAGTAGACCAACATATGCATTACGATTCCCAAAGAGGGGTTAGAGAAAGGGGCAAAAAGATTATTTGAAGAAATGGCTGCAAACTTCCCAAATTTGATGAAAGGCACTAATCTACAAATCCAAGAATCTCAATAAACTCCAAGTAAAATAAATCCAAAGAGACTCACACTGAGACACATTATAATCAAACTGTTGAAAGACAGAGAATCTTGACAGCAGCAAGAGAGAAGCAACTCATAATGTACAAGTGATCCTCAATAACACTATCAGCTGAAGTCCAATCACTCTGAGGGAAAAGAAAAAAAAAAAGACTACTGGCCATTTTCTCAGCAGAAACCCTGGATGCCAGAACGCAGTGGGATAATACATTTAAAGTGCTTTAAAAAAAAAAAAAACTGTCAGGACAGGCATGCTGGCTCACACCTATAACCCCCAACACTTTGGGACACACCAAGGTAGCTGTGTAGATCACTGGAGCCCAGGAGTTTGAGACCAGCCTGGGCAACATGGCAAAACTTTATCTCTACAAAAAAACCCACAAAAATTAGTTGCACCTGTAGTCTCAGCTACTCAGGAGCCTGAGGCAGGAAGATCACTTGAACCTGGGAGATCAAGGCTACAGTGAGCCATGATCACACCACTGCACTCCAGTCTGGGCAACGGAGAGAGATCTTGTCTCTTAAAAAAAAAATTATGCGAAATCTACTCTGCCTGTGTTCTATAAAGGGAACAACAAAGCCTGGATGACAGCATATCTGTTTACCCTACAGTTTGCTGAATATGTTAAGCTCATTATTGATACCTACCCCTCAGAAAAAAAGATTCCTATCAAAATATTATTGCAGGCTGGGCACAGTGGCTCATGCCTGTAACCCCAACATTTAAGGAGGCCAAGGCAGGAAAATCACTTGAGGCCAGGAGTTCGAGACCAGTCTAGGCAACACAGCAAGACTCAGTCTCCATTAAAAAAAAAATTACTGACCATTGATAGTGCACCTTGTCACCCTATAGCTCTGATCGAGATGTACAAGGAGATTAATGTTGTTTTCATGCCTGCTAACACAAAATCTTTTCCTTAGCCTGTGGATCAAGAAGTACTTTTGACTTTCAAGTCTATTATTTAAGAAATATATTTTGTAAAGTTATGGCGGCCATAGATAGCAATTCCTATGATGGATCTGGGCAAAGTCAATTGAAAACCTTTTGGAAAGGATTCACCCTCCTAGATGCCATTAAGAGCATTTGTGATTCATGGGAGGAGGTGAAAATATCAACATTAACTGGAGTTTAGAAGAAGTTGATTCCAACCCTCATGGTTGATGTTGAGGAGTCTAAGACTTTATGGAGGGATGTAACTGCAGATGTGGTAGAAACAGCAAGAGAACTAGAATTGGAAGTGGAGTCTGAAGATGTGACTGAATTGCTACAATCTCATGATAAAACTTTAAGAGATGAGGAGTTGCTTCTTCTAGACAAAGTGGTTTTTTGAGATGACATCTACTCATGGTGAAGTTGCTATGAACATTGTTGAAATGACAACAAAAGATTTAAAATATCATATAAACTTAATTGACAAAGCAGCAGCAGGGTTTGAGAGGACTAACTCCAATTTTGAAAGAAGTTCTACCGTGGGTAAAATCCTTTCAAACAGCATCACATGCTATAGAGAAATCTTTCATGAAAAGCATAGTCAATTGATGCAGCAAACTTCATTGTCTTATTTTATGCCACCCCAACCTTCAGCAACCACCACCTTGATAGTCAACAAACATCAAGGCAAGACCCTCCACCAGTAAAAATATGACTTGCTGAAGGCTCAGATGATCATCAACATTTTTAAGCGATATAATATTTTCAAATTAAGGTATGTACATTGTTTTTTAAACATGTTATTGCACACTTAAGAGACTACAGTATAGTGTAAACATAACTTTTTCTTTTTTTTTTTTTGAGATGGAGTTTCACTCTTGTTGCCCAGGCTGGAGTGCAATGGCATGATCTCGGCTCACTGCAACCTCCACCTCCCAGGTTCAAGCAATTCTCCTGTTTCAACCTCCCAAGTAGCTGGGATTACAGGTGCCCACCACCACGCTTGGCTAATTTTTGTATTTTTAATAGAGACGGGTTTCACCATGTTGGCCAGGCTGGTCTCAAACTCCTGACCTCAAGTGATCCACCCACCTCGGCCTCCCAAAGTGCTAGGATTACAGGCATGAGCCACCACACCCGGCCTAGTATTTTTTTTTTTAAGAGATGGGGTCTTACCATGTTACCAAGGTTGGTCTCAAACTCCTGAGCTCAAGCGATCCACCTGCCTCAGCCTCCCAAAGTGCTGAGATTACAGGCCTGAGCCACCATGCCGGCCCAACATAACTTTTATATGCACTGCAAAACAAAAAAATCCCTGTGACTCACTTTATTATGATATTGGCTTTATTGTAGTGGTCTGGAACCCAACCCACAGTATCTTCCAAGTTTGCCTGTACATTTTAGCTATCTATTATTAAACAACTTAGTGGCTTAAAACTACAATAATTTTATTTATTTGCTTGTAATTTTGCAATGTGGGCTCAAATAGCCTTTCTTTGCTCCACACGCAGTCACCTGAGGTGGCTCCAGTGGGCTGGAGAATCCACTTTTTAAATGGCCTTCTTCACGTGGCTGGCAAAAGTTGGTGTTGACTGCTGGCTGGGAGTTCAACTGAGGCTGTTGGCCCAAACCTCAGTTCTTCTTCACATGGTTGGTTGGGCTTTTCACAGGCAGTAAGTCTGAGAAGTCAAACTTCTAACACAGCAGCTGGCTTCCCCCGAATGCAAAAACAGAAGCTATCAGGCCTTCTTAAGGCATAGTCCCAAACTGGCATAACATCACTTCCAACGCATTCTACTATTGATTAAAGCAAGTGACAGGCCCAATCAGACTCAAGAGAAGAGAACTCCTAAAGGTGCAAATATTGGGAAGCCTGGTTCATTTGGGGCCACCAAAGTAGCAGTGTACTGTAAGATAGTCACCCTGCCAAGTGTTCTGTAGCTGTATATTTGTAATTACTTCTAATTGTATTGAGTTTTAAAAGTAATCTCTAAAAAAAAATCAGTGTTTCCATATCAAAAATCTATTGATGTTTATAATAGCATCCAACATATGCAAGTGTTAGCTCATACCACTAATTATTACTAAATCAGTATTATAGTTCTTTGCCTCCTATTTTCGCCATATCTGTCAGGTACATTCATAATCGTTCCAAATGAGCAGTCACTGAAATAATTTCAGGTTATTGTATCTTTCTGAAACTATAATTTGTTGTTTAGAAAGTAATCTGCATATTGAGAGACTTTGTAAGGGTTCAAACATAATCAAACTCCACCTTTCTGACCAGTAACTTTTTTCCCTGAAGATGAATGCTTTTAACTTCAAGAAACAGAACACCCAAGCAACAGACTTAGAGTCTAAACAGTAAAGACCTTTAATCATCTTTTTTTTTTTTTTTTTGAGATGGAGTCTGTCGCCCAGGCTAGAGTGAGGTGGCTCCACCTCGGCTCACTGCAACCTCCACCTCCCGGATTCAAGCGATTCTCCTGCCTCAGCCTCCCTAGTAGCTGGGACTACAGGTATGCACCACCACGCCCGCCTAGTTATTTTGTTTTTTTGTTTTTTGTATTTTTAGTAGAGACAGGATTTCACCATGTTGGCCAGGCTGGTCTCGATCTCTTGACCTAGTTATCGAGACCACCTCAGCCTCCCAAAGTGATGAGATTACAGGTATGAGCCACTGCACCCGGCCAAGACCTTTAATTAACTTACACAACAAAGTCTGGAGATAGGCAGTTCCAAGCATGGTACAGCAGCTCAATGATATCATCAAGTATTTGGGTGTTTTCTATCTTTGCCCTCAACCATCTTCAGCACGTGAGTTTTTCTTTCCTTTTTTTTTTTTTTTTTGAGACGGAGTCTCGCTCTTGTTGCCCAGGCTGGAGTGCAGTGGCACAATCCCGGCTCACTGCAACCTCTGCATCCCGGGTTCAAGTGATTCTCCTGCCTCAGCCTCCCGAGTAGCTGGGATTACAGGCGCCCACCACCACGCCCGGCTAATTTTTGTATTTTTAGTAGAAATGGGGTTTCACCATGTTGGCCAGGATGGTCTCGACCTCCTGATCTCGTGATCCACCCACCTCGGCCTCCCAAAGTACTGGGATTACAGACCTGAGCCACCGCGCCCGGCCTGCACGTGAGCTTTTCATCTGGAAACTTGTCCCCTCATGGTCAGTCCTCACACCACCCCACTTACAGAAGAAAAAAATGGAAAGGTGAAGTCTCCTCTGGAAGCTTCGTCTTTTTATCTGGGAGGAAAATATTTCCCAGAAGCTGCCTTCTTTTAATTTCTGTCAGACTCTAGACTACCCTCAAATTTCACTGGACCTGCGATTACAATATTACCTAGCAATAAGAATCAAAAGAATCGAACATCATTGAGTGGGAAAAATCCTCTGCAAGTACAGCCAAGCCTTTTCTGAGGCTATTTTTAAACTTACAAATCAGAGGACAATCGCGACATTAGAGGAAAATTACCCAGGTTTACGCCATCACTAACGATGATAGCTTACGATGATAGCTAACCCAGCTCTTCAACTTCCTTTCAATCTCCAGAAAAGGCTCTCTGCGTGCTAATGGTAACGTGGCTTTACAGATTTTTACCCACTTCAAATATGGCCGCCAAGCTCCGTTCTCTTTTACCGCCTGATCTGCGGCTACAATTCTGGCTTCATGCCCGCCTCCAAAAGTGCTTCCTCTCGAGGGGTTGTGGTTCTTACTGCGCAGGCGCAAAAGCAAGTCCTCTTCCGGGCAAAATGGCGATGGGACTAATGTGCGGACGCCGGGAGCTTCTGCGCTTGCTACAGTCCGGGCGTCGGGTAAGGATGCCCCGGGGCAGAGCACCGGGATGCTGCCCTGACCCAGTGAACCAGGCCCCAGGACAGCTCGTGCTAGGGGTATCAGCAGACGCTGACCTGCTCACCGGGACCTGAATGTCATGACCTCGGGTCATGTGAGGACGCGCTAGGGTTAGTCCCCGACACTATGGGCCCAGCAGCCCGGTGTCAGCTTCTGGAATTGGCTTGGCTCCTGGCGAGAGCACCTCGGCCTCGTTCTCAGGGCCCTCCGATGTGGGTCTGCGATAACTGAGATGCGGGGAACCCAGGTTCGAGCTTCGCTCTGCAGGCACCACCCGCTGCATGCCTTCGGGCTAGCGGTCTGCGCGCGGTGATAGCAATGTCCTCCCCTGTAGTGGCCGAGCTGCCTGCTTCTTGGGGAGTTAGCATAATGAATCCCGTTTGCACCCACGCGAGGACTTCTGCTCCCGGTAAAGGGGCTCCATCATCCTTTTACACGCTCAGGTCCACAGCGTCGCAGGGCCCTCGCAATGGCTTGGGAAACCGCTGACCACACGGCTCCTATTCCCAGCAGCCCCGTGCTGCTGTCGCCCACACTACCTCTTCCTTGCGGCTTCCGGCCCCCGCAGCCTCAGTACCTCTGCTATCTCTTTTGCAGAAGTCCAGGTAAGAGGCCTTTCGTTCCTGCAATATTAGGAGTGGTGTTTCCTGGTTGGTTTCATATTTTGTTTTGTTTGGGAGCAGGGGGAATATGGAGCAGAGTTCTTGTCCACGCTCCACACAGCTCTCCAAAATGATAGCATCTCTGCTTAGGATGGATTTTCAATTCAGTGGGGAAATGATTGAAAGTACAACAGGAGAGATGTTATATTTGGTTTTCTGAGCTGTTTTAAAGAAAAGCAATTGTTTCATGTTAATATATGGCAAAAATCATGATAGTGATATTCAAATGGCTGAAGTTTGGAAAACAGTGATAAAAGAAATAACTTCCCAGCATGAAGGGAAGTCATGGATTCTTACTCAAAGTAACTTCTCTTCCTAACTATTGATAAAAATGAGATGTCCTTTTTAAGCTTGAAATCTGCAGACACTAGGCTAACCTGGAAGAACAAGAAGTAGAGAGAACAGAACCCAGTACTGGTTATTATAAAAAGATCTCACTTGCTTTGTGTTCGCTACTGAATAAATATAATACAAGGCTTTCTTTCACACAGGTTCAGGCCCCTCCTGTTGTTGCTGCAACTCCCTCACCCACAGCAGTACCTGAGGTGGCTTCTGGAGAGACTGCAGATGTAGTCCAAACTGCTGCAGAGCAGAGCTTCGCTGAACTGGGGCTGGGGTCATACACCCCAGTGGGACTGATCCAGAATTTACTGGAATTTATGCATGTTGATCTGGGCCTACCTTGGTGGGGGGCCATTGCTGCATGTAAGGGGAATATACCCTGGACATGGGTTAGGGATTTAACCTCATAGATGGCAATTCTTTGAATGGATTCAGGAAGTAGTTGCAGAAGCTCTGGGGTCAGAAGAGCAGATGATTTCAAATGAGCAATAGAGGTTCATGATACCTAGATGCACTCTGCCTATATTTCTTAAAGAGCATTATAAAACCACCAGATCATCTGGGATTCAAGAAGTGTAGATATTTGAATACAAACATGGGGTTAGAGTCAGGGGACCTTATTAACAGTCATGAAGCTATCCTGGTTTAGAACAGAGGTTCAGGTCAGGCACTTAAACCCCTAAATTGGGAAGCCACTAGCATTGCTTTTGTAAAGGCTAGAACTCTGCTTTGAATTATGTGTCTTTCTGCCACGTTGCTCCATCAATTATCTTTTCTCCCCTGTGTCTTCAGCATTTCCCTCCTCACTGCCCTACCCCGAACATGTAAACATGCTCAGGCACACCCATGTGTTACCTGGGGGAAGGTTTCTTCCCTTCATCCTTAGTTCCCCTTCACTTACTATCCTATCTTCTTCCTTTGATGGCTGTTATTTATTTTGTTGTTGTTAATTTTTGTGGATACCTAGTAGGTGTATATATTTATGGGCTACATGAGATGTTTTGATAGAGGCATGCAAGGTGTAATAATCACATTATGGAGAATGAGATATCCATCCCCTTAAGCATTTATCCTTTAAGTTACAAACAATCCAATTACACTTTTATTTTATTTTTTATTTTATTTATTTTTTTAAACGGAGTCTTGCTCTGTCACCCAGGCTGGAGTGCAGTGGTGCAGTCTCAGCTCACTGCAACCTCCACCTCCCAGGTTCTAGCGATTCTCATGTCTCAGCCTCTCAAGTAGCTGGGACTACAGGTGTGCCACCACACCTGGCTAATTTTTACGTTCTTTATTTAAAAATATGCTATTATTACTGACTATAGTCACCCTGTTGTGCAATCAATAGTAGATCTTATTCTAACTTTTTTTTACCCATTAACTATTCCCAACCCTGACTACCCTTCCCAGCCTCTGGTACCTTCCTTCTACTCTCTGCCCATGATTTCATTTGTTTTGATTTTTAGATCTCACAAATAAGTGAGAACATGGCGATGTTCGTCTTTCTGTGCTTGCCTTATTTCACTTAACATAGTGATCTCCAGTTCCATCCACGTTGTCACAGATGACTGGGTTTCATTCTTTTGATAGCTGTTACTTAAAAGACTGCTCTGCATCCAATTAGCCTACTTCTTTCCATTTACTCCCTCAGCCGTCTGGCTTTTACTCATATCACCTCATTCGAACTGCCAGTAACATAATTGCTAAATCCACTCCTGTCAGCTTTTTGTTTGAGGAAACAAACAGGATTCCTAATCATCTGCTTAGAGAAGTTAATGCCATACTTTTGTGATGCCAAATTAGAGAACTGAGCCTTAAAGCAACTAATTCATTCCCCTGACCTTATTTCTGGGCCTCTTAGGCATGAGTCATAGAATGGACAAGGCAAGAATAAGACCCTTTCAGTAAGGACCTAAAAGCCTTCAACCTTCTAGCTGCAGAACTGCTTTAATTTCACTCCAATCCTAGTTTGTATTTTCCAGGTACAGTCTTTGCCCGCTGCCTGATTTTTCCTCTCATCGTGACGGGCCAGCGAGAGGCAGCCAGGATCCACAATCACTTGCCAGAGATCCAGAAGTTTTCCAGTCGAATCAGAGAGGCCAAGTTAGCAGGAGACCATATTGAGTGTGAGTCAGTTGCAGAATGAGCGTGGGAGAAGTCCACATTTGCACTTTTCCTTACATTCTGCTGGGGGAAAGGAACAATGTAAATCAGAAGTTGCCACAGTCGGGAAAGTTCTAAAGGTTTATCTGTTTCTTAGACCTAATGCTCCCAAGGAGTGGCCAGGGTTGGTTAGAAATTTCACAGGCCAGGTAGATAATGAGGATGTTCACCTCCACTGATGTAACTGTTACCCCAACCATTAATTTCCCCTCACCTCACAGATTACAAGGCTTCCTCGGAGATGGCACTTTACCAGAAAAAACATGGTATTAAACTCTATAAACCTCTCATTCTCCCTGTGACTCAGGTGAGCAAAAACATTTCCTTCCTTATTTCATCCAGTACCCATGAAATTTCCTCTCTGTGTTTCATGTGTCCCAGGTCCCCCAAAAAACAGGTGGTGGTGGATTATACATGGCTTTCAGTAGTGGGGTGATGAAAATGTTCTCTCTGGTAAAGCATGCTGACACTGTTTATCTTGTGTAATAGGCCCCAATCTTCATCTCCTTCTTCATTGCTTTGAGAGAGATGGCCAACCTTCCTGTGCCCAGCCTGCAGACAGGTGGCCTCTGGTGGTTCCAGGATCTCACGGTATCCGATCCCATCTACATATTACCACTGGCAGTCACTGCTACAATGTGGGCTGTTCTTGAGGTAAGCCCAGATTGGCCAAGTGCCAGGCCTGCAAAGTGAACTGGGGTTGGAGGGTAAAGTAGTTGTACAGAATGGTCATCCTTCACTTGCTGGAGAAAGAGTTGATGGGTAAGAGATTAGAGACAGATTCACTGAAACTGACAGCTTTCCCGACTTTTCCACCCCACTTCTTTTGGCAGCTAGGTGCTGAGACAGGTGTGCAAAGTTCTGACCTTCAGTGGATGAGAAATGTCATCAGAATGATGCCCCTGATAACCTTGCCCATAACCATGCATTTCCCCACGGTATGTAATGCCTTATGGGCTGGCTCCAAGGCCTTCTGCCTAGCCTAGCCACCTAGCAAGCTGACCAGGGATACAGCTTCTGAGTCCCTTCTCTGTGTTCTCACCCAGGCAGTGTTTATGTACTGGCTCTCCTCCAATTTGTTTTCCCTGGTCCAAGTATCCTGTCTCCGGATTCCAGCAGTACGCACTGTACTTAAAATCCCCCAGCGTGTTGTACATGACCTGGACAAATTACCTCCACGGGAAGGCTTCCTAGAGAGCTTCAAAAAAGGTAAGGGCTCATCCTCTGTGAAAAAGGACTAGGGAAAGGGGTCTAAAAATAGGAATGCAACTGACTCTCTTGCTTCTCTTTACACAGGCTGGAAAAATGCTGAAATGACGCGTCAGCTGCGAGAGCGTGAACAACGCATGCGGAATCAGTTGGAGCTAGCAGCCAGGGGTAAATAGTCCTTTCAGGCCAAATTCTGTCTTTTGTTTCTTCCTTTCTGTTCTTCGTTGAAATTTGTTTTCTCTTCTCCCCTCAGGTCCTTTACGACAGACCTTTACCCACAACCCTCTCCTACAACCTGGAAAGGATAACCCTCCCAATATCCCTAGCAGCAGCAGCAAACCAAAGTCAAAGTATCCCTGGCACGACACACTTGGCTGACTTATGTTCTGTGCGCATTCTGGCAGGAATTCTGTCTCTTCAGAGACTCATCCTCAAAACAAGACTTGACACTGTGTCCTTGCCCCAGTCCTAGGAACTGTGGCACACAGAGATGTTCATTTTAAAAACGGATTTCATGAAACACTCTTGTACTTATGTTTATAAGAGAGCACTGGGTAGCCAAGTGATCTTCCCATTCACAGAGTTAGTAAACCTCTGTACTACATGCTGCTTCCTGATACTTATTGAACAGGGAAATCAGTGTGCACTTCAGAAAACTGAAGAATACCCAGCATTTTGGGAGGCCGAGGTGGGTGGATCACCTGAGATCAGGAGTTTGAGACCAGCCTGGCCAACATGGGGAAACGCCATCTCTGCTGTTTTACAAAAATAGCCACACGTGGTGGTGCACACCTGTAGTCCCAGCTACTCGGGAGGCTGAGGCAGGAGAATTGCTTGAATCCGAGAGGCGGAGGTTGCAGTGAGCCAAGATCGCACCACCGCACTCCAGCCTGGGCAATAGAGGGAGACTGTCTCAAAAAAAAAAGAAAACTGAAGAATAGAGTGAGTCATGATTGCTTTTGCTGGCCCATGGCCTTGGAAAATATAATGTTTTAACCTGGCATTAAGGGTTTAAACTTCCACCCAGGCGCAGTGGCTCACGCCAGTAATCCCAGCACTTTTGGGAGGCCAAGGCGGGCGGATCACGAAGTCAGCAGATCGAGACCATCCTGGCCAACATGGTGAAACCCCGTCTCTACTAAAAAAAAAAAAAAAAAAATTAGCCGGGCATGGCGGCGGGTGCCTGTATTCCCAGCTACTTGGGAGGCTGAGGCAGGAGAATGGCGTGAACCCAGGAGGCAGAGCTTGCAGTGAGCCGAGATTGCGCCACTGCACTCCAGCCTGGGCAAGAGAGTGAGACTCCTTCTCAAAAAAAAAAAAAAAAAAAAAAAAAAAAAAACAGTTTAAACTTCCAACCCATGCATGTGTTGTTCTATGCACATTTGGATTGCAGTCTAGAGGTGTGGCTGATAAGTTGAATGTTGAGATTGTATCTAAATATAGTAACCGCACTTCTTGATCCCAAGATTACTTTAAAAATTTCAAGAAGTAGATGTGTGCAAATTCTTAGTGATAATTAAGAATGAAAGTTCCAGGCTGGGCAAAGTGGCTCACACCTATAATCTCAGCACTTTGGGAGGCTGAGGTGGGTAGATCACTTGAGTCCAGGAATTTGAGACCAGCCTGGGCAACATGGCGAGACCTTGTCTCTGCTAAAAAGTTAGCTGAGCATGGTGGTGCTTGTCCATAGTCCCAGCTACCTGGGAGGCTGAGGTGGGAGGATAGCTTAAGCCCAGGAGGTTGAGGCTGCAGTGATCCAAGATCATGCTGCTATACTCCAGCCTTGGCTACAGAGCAAGATCCTGTCTCAAAAAGGAAGTTCATGTCATTTTTATGTAACAATCCAACATTTGACTAGAGCAGTTTAAGTGTTCTGTTGTCTGCCTTTGTGTAGAGCCTGGTTTATCAGCCTTCAGCAGCTAGCTTGAGAGAGAAAAGATGGATATACTTTCAAGCATAAGATTGATTTTAGTCTTTGTGTTTCTAGGCTAATGGGAGCTGTCCTAGAGATAGATACTATATAAAATGAAGCCACTCAGACTTTAGGAACATAAACTTTTATTGTCATCCAGCACCTGTGATAGTTTCATGTCTCTCTAAAGGAGACAGGAAATTGGAGCATTGTGGGCCCTTTTAAAAGAAAAGAGGAGTAGGTAGGCACACCCAGGTGCTTCTAAAACAACCAAGCCCAAACCTGACATGCTCCTCCCCACAGTCACCTTCATTGTCCCCTTTAAAAGTCTGGAACAGTATGTAGCAAAACAAATAAATTACTTTTCATTTCAAAAAGTAAGTTCAAAGGTTGAAGCTGCCTAGGCCAGGCTTCTGGACAGGTGCCTCCAAAGAAGTGAGCTTTCCTTTTCAACTTCCTTAGCTCTAGCCAGTAGACCAGAAACCCCTGCTTTCCACATCAGGATTCCAGATGGTGTTTAGTTAGATTTGGGATCCCGTTGCTTGGGCATCTCTCCTCCATCTTCCAAATCCATTTCTGCAGCAACTGACATACACAGGACCTGGAGGTACCTTGTGGCAGACCCTACAAAGAGAACTTTGAGTTGGAATTGAGAAGAGGTCAGCTGGGCTGAGTTCAAGTGTCACTGAATGGAACTCAGTGTGAGGGGAGTGATTCCACTAAGCCGAAGGGTTCATAAGAAGGGGCTAAGGCAAAGATGTCTTTGGAGGCTGGATTTACAGAAAAAGGCAAAAACCAAGCTCTGCAATAGCTGAGCGGACTTAAGGATGCACGGCTTACCCACGATCCTTCGGAGGTAAAGCGGTCGCTTATGTTCTGGCACTCTGATGATGAGGAAGTAAAAGGGCAGGCCTGAGAGGGCAATGGCAATGCCGATGAGGGAGTTGATAGTATCACTGTAAAGTGGAACAGCCACCAGGAAGATGGTGCAGAGGCAGAAGACAATCGGGAAGAAAACGCTGAGCTAAGGGCACAGGAAACATAACTGGAGTGGACAACTCAGGATTCTTAACAGCTAAAATAACCCCACCTCCCATAAGGATTAGCGCACTGAGCCTTCTTTCCATACCTTTAATTTCAACACATTACTAACGACCAAGTCCCAGGCAAAGGTTTCTAAATAAAGTGCTTTGTCATAGTCCCTTGTAGCAACAACTCCAGCTGTTTCAGGTGGAGCAGAGGTAGGATGGAGTTGCCTTACCTTGAGGGGACGAGGTCGATCAGGCTCCTTCCAGCGCAGATAAAGCTGACCCACAATAGAAAGCCCCACAAAGAACCAGTAGCTGAAGCTGTAGTAGTTAATGAGCTGGAAGATGTCTTCCACGCACAAGTAGATCAATGCCATGATACCCTGTAAGCGTGAGCCTAAGTCAGCTCTTCTCAGGGCCTTTGTTAATCCAAAGGCTTTTCACTCCCTTTATACCCCAGAAATCCATCCCCTGTCAATCCTCAAAGTCTCCTGGTCCTCTTCTGGTTTTAATCCCTTTAACACCCTAGTTTCAGTACCTTATCCCCTCTCTTATAAGTCAGTAGTCTCAACTGGCTTTTCAACCCATTCTTCAAGTTAACCCTGTATAAAGCAAGCTCGAAACAATCCCTCAAAAGTCTTGCATAGGACCCTTTCCATAATGGCTCCAACCTACAATAACCCGCTCTTATCTCCTCCTACATGTTGAGTATCCCTGTTCTGAAAATCCAAAATGCTCCAATGAGCATTTCCTTTGAGTGTCAAGTCAGCACTCAAAAAGTTTCAGATTTTTAGAGCATTTCAGATTTTGGATATTCAGATTAGGGATACTCAACCTGTATTAAAACCCATACTGCTTTATCACAGGATTTTCTGATGCTATTTCTCCTACCTAAAGCCCATCTCTACCATTTGCAACCCTAGCCATCAAGATGCACTTTTTTTTTCTGAGAACACTTTGGTGGATTTTAAGACACACACACACACTTCTAGATGTAATTCTTCACCCTCTACTCCCATGGAAGTGATCGTTTCTTCTCTTAAACACCGTATCACTCACTATCTGTCATGGCAATCAATCATTACAGTGTATTCCATGTACTTTTTGCCTTATCTTAGAGCAGAGGTGTACCATTCCTTAGAGCATTTGGATTTCCCCTGTAGCGGTTAGCATAGTGCCTTGCCCGTGGTGAACATTCTGATCCACCAATAGTTTTTCTATTGGAATCTTTCAGAGCTTTCAGGAAGCTAGAACAGTCGCTTCTGCTGTTACTAAAGTTTCCCCCGCAATCTGGCTTTCAGTCTCATCCTTGAGTTCACTTACATTGAAGAGCAGAGAAGGCACTGGTGTGAACCGCTCAACATGGATCATGCAGATGGCATCAGGGAGATGGCCTTCTCTTGAGCCCACAAAGAAAAGCCTATGTTAGGTAAGATAGGAGAAGCTGAGAAAATTGGTGGACACGGTGCAGCCTGGTTCACCTGCCACATGGCCCTCCCTCTCTGCCATCCCTTCCTTCAAAAGTATTTGGATAATATGGACTGGAGCTCAGTATTAAGATTAATGACAACTGCAGGCTTCTGCTAGAAACAAGAAGAAAGAGGTTGTGGTATCGGTTGGAGAACACAAGTAATCAAAGGCTGGGTCCTGTAAGTTCTGTCCACTGCATAGCCCTTTGATGATACACCCCTCACAAAAGTTGCCACTCTTACCTAGAAGCAGCCACAATGGAGGCATTGAGGCCACCAAAACAGGATAATGCAACTGACAGTGGAATTATCCAGTTAAATATTCCAAATATCTGATCTGCAAAAGTCTAAGGGAAAAGAATGGAAGAGTCATTAGCAGGATCTAAAAGGGATGAAAGACATGGATGGGCATGCCCCCAGATTCCCCTTATTAGGTATTCCAACCTTTCTTCCACAGTGGGGTTAACAGGACCTTCTTGCAAGCCCGGTATTCTAAATGAACTCCTTTCAAGGCTGTCTACCCCCTTTCCAGGACTTTCAAGAGCCAGAATATACCCAGTACCCCACAAGACACCCTCAACCTTCTGCTAGTGAAAATCCTTTACCACAGCAACAGCATCACTGGCCAAGATGTCTCTCATGTCTAGCACAGTATAATAGGCCACATTGGTCAAGATATAGATGATGGTGACAATGGGCATGGAGATGCCAATGGAGAGGGGCAGGTTCCTACAGCCAAATAGAATAAAATGCACATTAGTCCCACAGTCATATCCCTATCTCTCCTTTAATCCTTAGACTCTCCCTGCCACACCGGTCTTTCCAGGGATGGAGACTGTTGCTACATTTCCTCAATGCATTTGTCTTTGACGGTGCCCTGGATAGTGGCTGAAGCTCTGAACACTTAAGAACTAAAGAACATTAGGGGAAAGGAATATCATATTAGGAGACAGGACTGTGCAGCTGGGAGCAGTGGCTCATGCCTGTAGTACTAACACTTTGGGAGGCTGAGGCAGGGAGATGGCTCGAGTCTAGGAGTTGGAGACCAGCCTGGGCAACATGGCAAAACCCTGTCTCTACAAAAAACTAGCCAAGCAGCTGGGCGTGGTGGCTCACGCCTGTAATCCCAGCACTTTGGGAGGCCGAGCCGGGTGGATCACCTGAGGTCAGGAGTTCAAGACCAGCCTGGCCAACATGGCAAAACCCTGTTCCTACTAAAAATATAAATAATTAGCCAGGCATGGTGGCATGCACCTGTAGTCCCAGCTACTCAGGAGGCTGAGGTACGAGAATCACTTGAACTCGAGAGGCGGAGGTTGTGGTAAGCCAAAATTGTGCCACTGCACTCCAGCATGGGCGACAGAGCGAGACTCTGTCTCCAAAAACAAACCAAAAAAAAAAAAATTAGCCAAGCGTGGTGGTGCATGCCTGTAATCCCAGCTATTTGGGAGGCTGAGGTGGGAGGATCACTTGAGCCTGGGGAGGTCAAGGCTGCAGTGAACCATGACTGGGCCACTGCACTCCAGCCTGGGCAAGGCAGCCAGACCCTGTCTAAAAAAAAAAAAAAAAAAAAAAAAGCAGGGCGGGGGGGATTAACAAAGACTGTCCCCAGCATCATAACGCACAGGAAAATGGGAGGTTGTTTTGTTTTATACCCCAAAGATCTTTTGGTGTCAGGATTCCATCTCTAAGATTATCAACATTGGCAATTTTGCCTCAAGGTTGAGAAATATAAAAAGAAATTATGGAGGCAAATTGTGAAATTTAACATCTTCAGAGAATAAGATAGGCCTTCAGTAGGAAGAGAAGTGTATGTATCTGACTAGCAGCCTGGAAGATATGTCTGCCCACCCCTTCCTCAGTTTGAGAACCTCAGGAGCCATCCTAACTGGTGGGCAAAAGAAAGATGCAAAGAGCTCTCAAGGTCCCTGTAGCCCAATAAAGCCATGATCTTTATAAGCATCCTTAACAGTAAGGCTGCCAAAAAAAAAGCACAAAGTGGGGCAAATACTCTGCAAATAGAGTCATGCAGTTTCTGTCCGGTAGGTGGAAGTACCACCCAGGCCTTGATCCTGCTTCTGTTATCTCTGTTCCCATAGCGTTACCACTAGTTGTGTACCAAGAGTGCTCTTCTGTTTCTCAAGCCAAAAGGAGTTTATTGGTATAAGAATTGTGATTCTTTTCACTTAAGCATTTACAGAAAGCTGGGCACAGTGGCTCATGCCTGTAATCCCAGCACTTTGGGAGGCTAAGGCGGGCGGATCACCTGAGGTCAGGAGTTCGAGACCAGCCTGGCCAACATGGTGAAACCCATGTCTCTACTAAAAATACAAAAATTAGCCAGGCGTGGTGGCAGGCACCTGTAATTCTAGCTATTTGGGAGGCTGAAGCAGGAGAATCACTTGAACCTGGGAGGCAGAGGTTGCAATGAGCCAAGATCACGCCATTGCACTCCAGCCTGGGAAATACAGCAAGACTCTCTCCAAAAAACAAAAAACATTTTACCGAAACTCCACTCCCTGGCAAATCTTAGTTCCCAGAATCATAGAATTTTAGAGCCAGGAAAGGCCATGGAGATCACAGAATTTAACCCCCTCAATTACAGATAAGGAAACAGGCAAAGAGATGGCCGGGCAACTCCCTCAAGGTTAGCCAACAAGTCAGTGGAAAGATCAACTCTAGGTCCTTGACTTCCTGTCCAGTTCTCTTTTCACTCTATATATAGACTACAGAGCAATAATGGTAGGGTGACTTAATTGAATGACTGAAACTATACCACAATGTCAGTATGAATTTAGGAAACAAGGAAGGTATCAGAGGGAAACACAGGAAGGTTTCTGGAAGTCTATATCCCAAAGCTATGTATGTGGGGATAAGGGTGGATAAAATATCTATCAAGGAAAATCTGTTTTAAAAACATACATAAGCATATAATACAACCTGCTTTAATTAATGCAGAAATTAATGAACAAATGTAAAAATGCCTTTAAAAATTTACAAAGCATACATGAGTAAGTTCATATTTTAGCCCTGTTACTGTGATCATAGACAAGTTACTTCTCTGAGCCTCAGGCCTCCCATCTATTAAAATGAGGCTGGTAAAATTAACCTCATAGTGGTTGTGGTATGCTGTCTGGCACGTAGTAGGAGCTCATTAAATGATGGCTATCACTGCTATGGAAAGTTGGTGGTGCAGTACCTACCTCTCAGGATTCTTGATCTCTTCAGTGACATAGTTGAGGGTGTCCCAGCCTGAGTAGGAGAACAGAGCTGAGTACAGTGCCAGGGCAATGTCACCCACTGCAAATGATGAACCCTCAAAGGAATTCTCAAAATGAGTAGAGGCTCCTGGAACCCAAGAACATTGGAAGGCAGGGGATTAGTGGCTCATTCTCCCACTTCAAGATGGTCAAGTAAAGGACTGACAGAATATGGTAATATAATAGCAGGTAAGTGGCCTACAACACCTTTGGCAGCAAGAGTACCAGTAAGGGAACAGGAAACAGAAGAGAGACGTCTATAGAGATAGACCAGAATGCCCTGCATCCTAATGACATAGATGGGGATCTTGACAGGAAGGGTCCAGGGTAGCTTTCTAGGATAAGAAACCACCATAGAGCAGAAAAGCTGGAGAATAGAAACAATGCAGTTCTGTTCTGCTCTGCAGGCTGCCTGATTCCTGCCTCCTATCACAATCTGCCAAAGGCAGCTCCCAGGGCATGGCTGTCAACCCTTTGCCAAGATCAGCCTCCTCTGGGAGGCAGCGTGCATGGAAGTTAAAGGACAGACTTTTGGGTCAGTTGTCCTGGATACAAATTTCAACTCCTCTACTTACCGGTAGCAACTTGGGCAAGATATTTAATTCTTTTTTTTTTTTGGGGGGGGGACAGAGTCTCGCTCTGTCGCCCAGGCTGGAGTGCAGTGGCGTGATCTCAGCTCACTGCAACCACCGCCTCCTGGATTCAAGCGATTCTCCTGCCTCAGCCTCCCGAGTAGCTGGGATTACAGGCGCCTGCCACCATGCCCGGCTAATTTTTGTATTTTTAGTCGAGATGGGGTTTCACCATCTTGGCCAGGCTGATCTTGAACTCCTGACCTCATGGATCCACCCGCGATGGCCTCCCAAAGTGCTGGGATTACAAGCACGAGCCACTGCGCCCGGCCCAAGGTACTTAATTCTGCAGGCTGTTTCCTCATCCATAAAATGAGAATAATAATAGTGCCCACCGAATAAGGTTATAGTAAGAAATGAGATAATGCACAAAGAGCACTTAGAGGAGTGCGGCTCACAGAAAATGCTTAAAAAAGATTAGTTGCTACTAATATTATTTCTTACCCTGGCCAAGTCTAACAATGCCTGCAACGATGACCGCGATCAGTGCCAATACTTTAGCATAGGTGAAAATATCTTGTACCAGGGTTCCCCATTTGACATAGGCACAGTTAATGAAGGTTAAGAGACCTGAAAGAAAAATAATACTGATTGGTGACTTACCCTTACCACCCTAGGGCCTTAGACTCCCAAGCAATTTTTCCAGTACCAGTCACCAAGATATATATACCCTTCAGCCAAAGACAGACCCTCTGACCTGCTCTGCACTGGAACCCTCGGGGCCCCAGAATGTCCTCACCATTATCATACAAAGGCCTCTATACTCCCCACCCCCAGCACCTTATATGGGAGACACAAAACAAAGTGACTGCAGATCTGCTTACATAAAAAATACATCCAAATGTCCAATCACAGCAGTGGGAGGCAACTGGGAACTGTACAGGATTAGTGATTGTTCCGGCTCTTGGCTCTGAAAAGTCATGGTCTCTCCCTCCTACCTCCCATTCCCCATGGGCTCCAGGACACAGCACTCTGACTCTGTGGTATTACTGTTAACCTTGAGGAGTTCTGCTGTGACTTATCCAATGCTGAGCCAGCAGGTCAGGCTGTGTGGCCAAGGATTAGGATGAAGGCCAGACTTCCTGCCCACTGCCTGGCAGCTCAGCTGCCTGCTTTTGTGCTTGGAAAGATTCTTGCAGCTAAGAGTGGTTCCTGTAGAATGGGGACAGGGCATTTTTCCTGATGGGACAATAGAGAAGTAAGAGCCACACACATTCCCCCAGTCCTTCTACTCAGAAGTACAGGTTTTAAAAGTACCTTTTATCAGGGTTCTTAACTAGGGCCTCCATGAGGCTCGAAATTCTCTTTCAAAGTGTTATGTCCATATGAATACAGACATACCTAAGAAAAAGTTTCATATCTTTTCTTAGAAAGGGATCATAGCTTTTATCAGAATCTCAAGTCCATTATCCCTCCCCCAACAAAAAAGTTACAATCTACGACTTGAATTTGAATTACTTGAAGAAGTTCAACAAGGGAGGCTCACGCATGCTGTGAGGTTGACCAGTAGCCCCAGAATGTGGCCGAGAAGAAAGTTGGAAAAAAAAATACAGATCTTCCCACTGGTAGCATAGCGAATCGCTTCATTGCTCCCTCCTTCCCAGCTCAGCAACTGGAACACTATAAGGAGGGCTTAACTTTAAAGCCCTTCTCCCAAGGGCTCCAAGGGCAAGGTCAACATCACCCTGCCTTACCAGTCAAGAGAATGAGGCCTAGTACAGTTCTTGCCTACTTCAGGCCACCAACACAGTCAGAAACACCCTCTGAGTTCTCCTGGCAGTGGTGTGGCCTTGGTGTCGCTAGTCCTCCTATTTTGTGGTGTCCTGGCCTCACCACATTCTGGCTACTTCATCCTGAGAAGCAGGGAAGTCTGGCCTCTCAGAACAGCTGCCCCATCTTCTCTCTCTCACCCTCCCTTCCACCACCACCCTCATTCTACTGACTGCCCAAGTTCCTTTCTGCTCTTCCTGAGAAGGCACATTCCTGTCCTATATAAATGCTTGCCTTTCTGCCTAATAAACAACAAACCTTATCACAGGGCTGGGCAAAAATGTACCCACAGCTCCAGGCCACCCCAGTGCTAAGTTAATAATTTAAGACACAAGTGTGCAGCACCCCACAAAATGACCAAAGTGGCTGTATCTTGCCCTCCACAAATCTTTCAAATCTGTCACTCCTCCTCAGCCAGTCACCCATCCTTTACTCCCCACTGGACTCCAGCCTCCAGCCACTCAACAGCTTAGTGCCCCTTCTCCCCAGCTTGTAACCTCTGCCCTTATCCTAGGCTCTGCGGCTGGCTCATAACCACAACATAGCCAGGTTTCCAAGTAGAAACACCAGACACAAAGGATGCTGCCACATTGTCAGGAAAATGGGATCCCCAAATACAAATTTATGATTCCCTGCAGGGTAACCATGAGTCATAACACCAAACTGGAATAAGCTTACAGGACTAGCTCTAGTTCAGACTCAGAGTCTGAGCTGTGTGCCACAAGGTTCTTCTCAGTTCTGTCCAGGGATGTAGGCAGGGAAAAGGAGGGATAAGCAACCAATTCACCACCTGCTACCACAGCAGATTCTGAAATGGAAATACATGGCTTGTTTATATTTTATTTTATTTATTTTTCTTTTTCTTTTTGAGACAGAGTTTCACCCTTGTTGCCCAGGCTGGAGTGCAATGGCGTGGTCTCGGCTCATGGCAACATCTGCCTCCCGGGTTCAAGCCATTCTCCTGCCTCAACCTCCCAAGTAGCTGGGATTACAGGTGTGCGCCACTATGCCCAGCTAATTTTTATATTTTTAGTAGAGATGAGGTTTCACCATGTTGGCCAGGCTTGTCGCAAACTCCTGACCTGAGGTGATCCACCCACCTCAGCCTCCCAAAGTGCTGGGATTACAAGCATGAGCCACCGCGCCCGGCCTATATTTTATTATTTTTTTTTATTTACTTATTTATTGACTTATTTATTTATTTATTTATTTATTTTATTTATTTTTTGAGACACAGTCTTGCTCTGTCACCCAGGCTGAAGTGCAATGGCATGATCTTGGCTCACTGCAACCCCCACTTCCCAGGTTCAAGCAATTCTCCTGCCTCAGCCTCCCGAGTAGCTGGGACTACAGGTGTGTGCCACCATGCCTGGCTAATTTTTGTATTTTTAGTAGAGATGGGGTTTCACCATACTGGCCAGGCTAATCTCGAACTCCTGAGCTCAGGTGATCCGCCCACCTCGGCCTCCCAAAATGCTGAGATTACAGGCGTGAGCCACCACACCCGTCCCTTTTTGTTTTTTTTTTGGAGATGGGGATCTCACTCTTTCACCCAAGCCAGAGTACAGTGGAGAAATCATAGCTCACTGCAGCATCGAACTCCTGAGCTCAAGGGATCCTCCCAGCTCAGCCACCCTAGTAGCTGGGATCAAAGGTGTGCACCACCATGCCCAGCTAATTTGTTTTAATTTTTTTTTTTTTTGAGATGGAGTCTTGCTGTCACCCAGCCTGGAGTGCAGTGGTGCGATCTCAGCTCACTGCAACCTCTGCCTCCAGGGTTCAAGCAGTTCTCCTGCCTCAGCCTCTTGAGTAGCTAGGACTACAAGTGCCCACCACCACACCTGGCTAATTTTTGTATTTTTAGTAGAGACAGGGTTTCACCATGTTGGTCAGGCTGGTCTCGAACTCCTGACCTTGTGATCTGCCCTCCTCAGCCTCCCAAAGTGCTGGGATTACAGGTGTGAGCCACCGTGCCTGGCTGTTTTAATTTTTTTAGAGACGGGGTCTTGCTATGTGGCCCAGGCTGGTCTCGAACTCCTGGCCTCAGGCAATCCTTCCACCTCAGCTATCTGAGGAGTAACTGGGATTATAGGGAAGAGCCATGGCACCTGGGTGGCTTGTTTACATTTTAATCCCTATTGCTTCTCTACTTCTTTTTTTTTTTTTTTCGAGACAGTCTTGCTCCGTCCCCCAGGCTGGAGTACAGTGGTGCGATCTCAGCTCACTGCAACCTCCGCCTCCTGGGTTCAAGCGGTTCTCCTGCCTCAGCCTCCCGAGTAGCTAGAATTACAGACATTCAACACCATGCCCAGCTAATTTTTGTATTTTTAGTAGAGACAGGGTTTCGCCATGTTAGCCAGACTAGTCTCAAACTCCTGACCTCAGGTGATCCGCCTGCCTCAGCCTCCCAAAGTGCTGGGATTACAGGTGTGAGTCACCGGCGTGGCGTGCCCAGTCTCTTCTCTACTTCTCTATCCATCCATTTGTATCCCTCTCTTTGTCCACCAGTATCCCACCTCCCCCACTCCTGAGCCTGATTTCTCTGACCCACCTTCTAGCCCTGATCTGCTCTCTGTACTGAGCACAGAAGGCTCAGTTTGAATGAGGAAGGGAATCCTACAGAAAGAAACCAGGGAGCAGAGGGAACTGCCTGAAGAGAGCTAGCCCTCCTCTTCCTCAAAGCCTAGCTTCCTCCAGGGCCTCTTGACTGTGGGAGCAGGAAATGGGTATGGCAGGCAGCAGTGCTGACAGGGCTTTTTGTCCCCACCTCAGCGGATACAGCTGACCACTGGCCCCAGAGCCCAGCTAAGTGCACTGCTCTTGAAGTGGAGCCCAACCTCCTGCTTCAGGGCCAAGGACAGGAGGGGACCATGGGGTTAGGATAATATGGAGGCAACTGCAAGTTAACCTCAAGGGCAGAGATGCCCTCCCCTTCTACCTCTAGGGGCAATTCAATCCCCACCCAACACTGGGCCAAGTCTATAAGAGGATAACCTGAAATCACCTTTGACCCTTGACTCGGTGCAGCAGCACTCCTGCTTTGACCCCAGGGGGAGAAAAAAAGAATCTGCAAAGAAGTCACTCGTGGCCGGGTGCAGTGGCTCACGCCTGTAATCCCAGCACTTTGGGAGGCCGAGGTGGACAGATCACGAGGTCAAGAGATCGAGACCATCCTGGCCAACATGGTGAAACCCTGTCTCTACTAAAAATACAAAAATTAGCTGGGCATGGTGGTGTGTGCCTGTAGTCCCATCTACTTGGGAGGCTGAGGCAGGAGAATCACTTGAACCCAGGAGGCGGAGGATGCAGTGAGCCAAGATCACACCACTGCACTCCAGCCTGGTGACAGAGCAAGACTCCATCTCAAAAAAAAAAAAGAGAAGTCACTCCTATAACCATCTAAAAAGATGTTCCTGAATGGATCATCAAACCCAGCCTACATACGGTCCCCGGGAGTAGGAGACTAGTTCTAGTGGTAAGGCCCAGCATCAGCGCTAGAACTAAAAGCCAGAAAGCACCAGACCAGGTGGATCCAGAACAGAACAAAGCTTGCAGGCCCACTCTGGATCAGATGCTCAGGTTTAGTTTAGACACCTAAATGAAACATTTCCTGAAAAAGAACATTAAACCCACAATTCTGTAAGCACTATTACCTTTAAATACACACAATGTAACACACAAAACTTATGATTACAGGCGTGAACCACCATGCCCGGCGTCATTCCATTTTAAAAGTGATCTATAGAGCCAGGCGCGGTGGTTCGCGCCTGTAATCCCAGCACCTTGAGAGACTGAGGCGGGCAGATCACTTGAGGCCAGGAGTTTGAGACCAGTCTGGCCACCATGGCGAAACCCCGTCTCTACTAAAAATATAAATATTAGCTGAGTGTGGTGGCGCATGCCTGTAATCCCAGCTACTTGGAGGCAGAGGTAGGAGAATCATTTGAACCCGGGAGGCAGAAATTGCAGTGAGCCAAGATCACGCCACTGCACTCCAGCCTGGGTGACACAGTGAGACTCCATCTCAAAAAATAAAATAAAATAAAGTGATCTATAGCTCTTCCTTTTACTAAGCCAACAGCGTCTTCCTCCCAGCTTCTACCAGTAGTGCCAGACCCCTCCTCTGTCTCCACACAGAATGAAGCTAAATCCTCTTCCACCCAATGGCCCTTCTTAACATTAAAGATGAATATCACGGCCAGGCGCTGGCTCACGCCTGTAATCCCAGCACTTTGGGAGGCCAAGGCGGGCAGATCATCTGAGGTTGGGAGTTCGAGACCAGCCTGACCAACATGGAGAAACTCCGTCTCTACTAAAAATACAAAAATTGGCCAGGCGTGGTGGCACATGCCTGTAATCCCAGCTAGTCGGGAAGCTGAGGCAGAAGAATCACTTGAACTCGGGAGGTGGAGGTTGCGGTGAACTGAGATCTCGCCATTGCACCAGCCTAGGCAACAAAAGCAAAACTCCATCTCAAAAAAAAAAAAAAAAGCCAGGCGCGGTGGCTCACGCTGTAATCCCAGCACTTTGGGAAGCTGAGGCAGGCGGATCATGAGGTCAGGAGATCAAGACCATCCTGGCTAACACGGTGAAACCCCATCTCTACTAAAAATACAAAAAATTAGCCGGGTGTGGTGGCAGGCGCCTATAGTCCCAGACACTCAGGAGGCTGAGGCAGGAGAATGACGTGAACCCGGGAGGCGGAGCTTGCAGTGAACCGAGATTGCGCCACTGCACTCCAGCCTGGGCCACAGAGCGAGACTCTGTCTCAAAAAAAAAAAAAAAAAAGCCAGGTGCAGTGGCTCACGCCTGTAATCTCAGCACTTTGAAAGGCCAAGGCGGGTGGATCACGAGGTCAGGAAATTGAGACCAGCCTGCCCAACATGGTGAAAACCTGTCTCTACTAAAATACAAAAATTAGCCAGGCATGGTGGCACAAGCCTGTAGTCCCAGCTACTCGGGAGGCTGAGGCAGGGGAATTGCTTGAACCCGGGAGGCAGAGGTTGCAGTGGGCCGAGATCACGGCACTGCACTCCAGCCTGGCCACAGAGCAAGACTCCATCTAAAAACAAACAAAAAGGATGAACATCCTGTCCCCTTGAGTCTTTACTCCTTCAGGCTAAAACCCAGATTTTACAACCCCTTGTGGAGCAAATGTGGCTTCCAGACCCCTCACCATCCCAGGACTGTCATTTATTTCACTTTGTCATTTACTGCATATACTTCACTGTGTCAGTATTTCCCCAGAAATGCAAGACCCCACACAGAAAACTCCAGACCGTGTTGCCGACTACGGAGTCTCAACCTGAAATCATTGTTTACTACAACTCCTTTCTTTCCCACCTCAAAGTGATGAGATCTTTCCTCCCCTCTTTCTGGACCTATAAAAATGATTTTTTTAGCTGGGTGCGATGGCTCATGCCTATAATCCCAGCATTTTGGGAGGCCGAGGTTGGAGGATCGCTTGAGTCCAGGAGTTCAAGACCAGCCTGGGCAACATTGTGAGAACACATCTCCACAAAACATTTTTTTTAGTTAGCCAGACATGGTGGCACACACCTGTGGTCCCAGCTACTTGGGAGGTTGAGGCAGGGGGATCGCTTGAGCCCAAGTGGTCAAGGCTGCAGGGAGCTGTGATCGCACCACTGCACTGCAGCCTGGGCAACACAGTAAGATCCTTTCTCCAAAACAAAAAAAGTGATTTTTTCCCCCCAGATACAGGACTTCATATTTAGTCTTAGTGACTTTCCTCTGAGTTTTTATGCATTATTCTTATATGATATGGGATTTTTCCTTCTTCATTTTATTAGTTCAAATCCCTTCTTTAATTTTGTGAAATCTGCAAATTTGATCAGCATACCTCCTGAGTCTTCACTGAAGTCACCCTAAAAATGTTGACTAGGGCCGGGCGCAGTGGCTCACGCCTGTAATACCAGTACTTTGGGAGACCGAGGAGGGAGGATCACCTGAGGTCAGGAGTTTGAGACCAGGTTGGCCAACATAGTGAAACCCCGTCTCTACTAAAAGAACAAAAATTATCCGGGTGTGGTGGTGGGCACCTGTAGTCCCAGCTACTCGGGAGGCTGAGGCAGGAGAATCGCTTGAACCCAGGAGGCGGAGGTTGCAGTGAGCCAAGATTACACCACTACACTCCAGCCTGGGCGACAGAGTGAGACTCCGTCTCAAAATAAATAAATAAATAAATAAATGTTGACATGGGCTGGCAGCAGTGGCTCACGCCTGTAATCCCAACACTTTGGGAGGCTGAGGCAGGCAGATCACTTGAGGCCAGGAGTTCGAGACCAGCCTGGCAATATGGCAAAACCCCATCTCTACTAAAAGGAAAATGCAAAAATTAGCAGGGTGTGATGGCACACGCCTGTGGTCCCAGCTACTCAGGAGGCTGAGACATGGGAATTGTTTGAGCCTAGGAGGCAGAGGTTGCACTGAGCCAAGATTGTGCCACTGCACTCCAGCCTAGGTGACAGAGCAACACTCTGTCTCAAAAAAAATTTTTTTAATAAAAAAATTAAAATGTTAGGCCGGGCACGGTGGCTCACGCCTGTAATCCCAGCACTTTGGGAGGCCGAGGCAGGCAGATCACAAGGTCAGGAGATCGAGACCATCCTGGCTAACACAATGAAACCCCATCTCTACTAAAAATACAAAAAGTTAGCCGGGCGTGGTGGCGGGTGCCTGTAGTCCCAGCTACTCGGGAGGCTGAGGCAGGAGAATGGCGTGAACCCGGGAGGCGGCGGTTGCAGTGAGCCGAGATCGCGCCACCGCACTCCAGCCTGGGTGACAGAGCGAGAGTTCGTCTCAAAAAAAAAAAAATTAAAATGTTGACTAAGATCAACAGAGCTGTATAGTCTATCACTGTAGACCTTTCTGTATTTGTCATTATTCCACAATGTTATTCAGCCAACTAAGAATCTACCAAACTTTATTTTTATCTAGTCTACCTTGTCAACAAGAATATCATGAGAATTTGCCACGAACCTCTCCGAAATCTGCATACACATGCCTCTGCTCTAACAATCTAATGATGCTATCAAACAATTCAAATCAAATTAGTATATATTTATGTAGAATATTCATAGTTACACCCTTGCAGTAGTCAAAAACTAGAAACAACCCAAATGCCCAGCAACAGTAGATTGAATAAATACTAAACAGCACTAAGAATAAACAATCTGTAATCCTAGCACGTTGGGAGGCCAAGGCGGGCAGATCACAAAGTCAGGAGTTTGAGATCAGCCTGGCCAACATGGTGAAACCCCCGTCTCTACTAAAAATACAAAAATTAGCTGGGCGTGGTGGCGGGCACCTGTCATCCCAGCTACTCAGGAGGCTGAGGCAGGAGAATCGCTTGAACCCGGGAGGTGGAGGTTGCAGTGAGCCAAGATCCTACCACTGCACTCCAGCCCGGGCGACAGAGTGAGACTCTGTCTGGGAAAAAAAAAAAAAAAAAGTGAACAATCTACGACTACAGACAAAAATACAGAAGAATCTCAAACATAATAAGCAAGCCAGATGCAAAAGTGTACATATAGATTATATCCATTTACATAAAATCAGAGAAAACTAATCAATGCTACTAGAAGTCAGAATAGTGATTTCCCTTTGTGTGGGGTGGAGAGGCAGGGACTGGGAAGAGCATAAGAAGGGCTCAAGGGTGCTAGTTACACATGTGCTCAACTAGTGACAATTCATTAAGCCATAAACTTATGAGATTGCACTGTTCCTTCTGTATATTATATTTGAATAAAAAAATTAAAATTGAACCAAAAAGTGAGGTTAGCAGAGTATGGCTTGTTCTTAGTGAATTCATACACGTTACTAATGATTTCCCACCCTTCTGCTCGTACTTCACTAACCAGATTTAACTTACAAGCCTAGAATTTGGGCAAGAATCCACCTTAAGTTATCACTTCAGAGTGCTGCTCATCCACCTCCGGTGGAAAGCTGGGCTATCACTTGTGGTAGGTAGACTAATGGCCCCCCAAAGATGTCCACCCCCTAATCCCTGGAACCTGTGAGCCATGTTATATTGCATGGCAAGGGAGAATTAAAGTTGCAGATAGAGGCCAGGCGCAGTGGCTCATGCCTGTAATCCCAGCACTTTAGGAGGCCAAGGCGGGCAGATCACCTGAGGTCAGGAATTCTAACCAACATGAGTCAGCCTAACCAACACGGTGAAACCCCGTCTCTACTAAAAATACAAAAAATAGCTGGGTGTGGTGGTGGGTGCCTATAATCCCAGCTACTCAGGAGGCTGAGGCAGGAGAATTGCTTGAACCCAGGAGGCGGAGGTTGCAGTGAGCCAAGATCACACCACTGCACTTCAGCCTGGGCAACAGAGCAAGACTCTGGCTCAAAAAAAAAAAAAAAAAAGAAAAAAGTTGCAGACAGAATGAAGATTGCTAATCAAGTGACAAAACAGGGAAATCATTCTGTATTCTCTGGGTGGGCCCAATGTAATCACAAAAGTTCTTAAAGATGAAAGAGGGAGGCAGAAAGGTCAATGTCAGAGTAGTACAATATGAGAAAGACTCTCCCAGTTACTGCTGACTTTGAAAATGGAAGGGTCCATGAGACTCTAGAAGCTGGGAAAGGCAAGAAGATGGATCCTCTCCTTAAGCCTCCAGAAAGAAACACAGTGCTACTTCATATTAGCCCAGTGAGACCCATTTCAGACTTCTGACCTCCAGAATTATGAGATGATAAATTTGTGTTGTTTTCAGCCACTCAATTGGTGGTAACTTGTTAGAGAAGCAATAGAAAACTCATATGTTGGCTGGGCACAGTGGCTCGCTCCTGTAATTCCAGCACTTTGGGAGGCCAGGGTGGGCTGATCCCTTGAGCTCAGGAGTTTGAAACCAGCCTGGGCAACATAGAGAAACCCTGATTCTACAAAAAATACAAAAATTAGCTGGGCCTGGTGGCGTGCACCTGTAGTCTCAACTACTCAGGAGGCTAAGGTGGGAGAATTGCTTGAGCCTGGGGAGGTCAAGGCTGCAGTGATCCTTGATTGCACCACTGCATTCCAGCCTGGGTGACAGAGCAAGACTGTCTCAAAAAAAAAAAAAAAAAAAAAAAAAAAACCTAACTGCAGGCAGAAAACTGGAAGTAGCACTGGGTGGTACTATTCATTACATTTGTTGAAAAATGGAGAAAGGGGAAGTGAAACCCTTGACAGCTCACTGGATCTTGGTGTACTGAAATTTCCCTCTCACTGCAATCAAAAGAATCTAAATGTGACCTTATGCAAAGAAGGCAGGCATCCCTTATGATAGCAGATCCTCAAACAAGTATGTACCTCTCTCTTTAATGTACTACATGAATCCCAGCTCTTCTAGCAAATCATCATTTTTGAACAAAGTATACTCTTTCATTATCATATTCTAATCAAATATCGCTGATGCCTATGAAATTGTTTCCTCCTTTCAGTAAAAGGTCAAATACGGGCCGGGCACAGTGGCTCATGCCTGTAATCCCAGCACTTTGGGAGGCGGAGGCAGACGAATCACGAGTTCAAGAGATTGAGACCATCCTGGCCAACATGGTGAAACCCCGTCTCTACTAAAAATACAAAAATTAGCTGGGTGTGGTGGTGTGCGCCTGTAGTCCCAGCTACTGGGGAGGCTGAGGCAGGAGAATCACTTGAGCCCAGGAGGCGGAGGTTGCAGTGAGCTAAGATCGCGCCACTGCACTCCAGCCTGGTGACAGAGCGAGACTCCGTCTCACAAAAAAAAAAAAAAAAGGTCAAATACGTTTATTAGCCTTACTTGTAATATTTGTAGATAAGAGTTCAAAAGCATCATTTCTGATCTTCCATCCCATTTTCTCCAAATGCGTTACTGAGCAACTCCTCTCTGCCTTTATTCTCTGCTATGTAGTCTCCAAAATACCCAGATTTATACTTTTATCTAGGCATTTTTCTCCTTGCCTCTAAAATTTCCATTCTAAAGCCTTATTATACACATCTCTCCCAATCCCTATAAACCTCCTCTATCCCTTACCAGGAGTTTATCTTTCTGGTATCTTAGAATCTTAGAATTTACGGTTAGGAACTCTGTTCTGTGTTCTTTTTTCTTTCACATACACAGCCTTCAGCTGACAAAGAGACGAAAATTCCACCTGCCACTCAGTTTGCTACTTTAAACTTCACGTCACCAGTGAGACATCTCAGCTATCTTCTGACTGGTGACATCATTCATCCCACAGCAATTAGCAGAAGGATAGCAGTCCCTAGGCTTAATTGGTGTGAGCAAGCTCTTGGTCACATGTTGCTCAGAAAAACTGCACATTTCTAGGTTAGGCTGGGTCTGTGTATAGTCAGATGCACACTATTCCTGGGGGAAGGCCAAACCCCACAACTGGCATACTCAGGCCTGCTAATACCCTGGTGTCTCCAAAATACTCTACCACTGCTGTTTCCTCAGAAGGTCCAGATATAAGCTCTCTGGAAACGCCTCATATCTGTTACCTAAACCCAGAGATTTCAAGTCTCTTCTTCCTTTTCTTTGCTGCATCCCCATTTGTTTTGTCTAATGTTGGTTTGGGAAAATCTCTACACCTTTTTTTTTTTTTTTTTAATTGAGATGGAGTCTCGCTCTGTCGCCCAGGCTGGAGTGCAGTGGCGCCATCTCGGCTCACTGCAAGCTCCGCCTCCTGGGTTCACGCCATTCTCCTGCCTCAGCCTCCCGAGTAGCTGGGACTACGGGCGTCCGCCACCACGTCCGGCTAATTTTTTTGTACTCTTAGTACAGACGGGGTTTCACCATGTTAGCCAGGATGGTCTCAATTTCCTGACCCCGTGATCCACCCGCCTTGGCCTCCCAAAGTGCTGGGATTACAGGCTTGAGCCACCGCGCCCGGCCTGGAAACTCTCTACACCTTGAAATCACAATTTCACCCTGGCTTCTTTGATACATTATTTCTTCCACTCTCCCTAGGTGCTGTTATTTCTCTCAGATAGCAGATGGCCTTCAAATTATTTTACCTTTCAGACTACAGAAACCTTTTACTCCAGGTGCAGTGGCTCATGCCTATAATCCCAGCACTTTGGAAGGCCAAGACGTGAGGATCACTTGAGGCCAGGAGTTGGAGACCAGCCTGGGCAGCATAGCAAGACCCTTTCTCTACAAAAAAATTACAAATTAGCTGGACTTGGTGGTGCACACTGATGGTCCTAGCTACTTGGAAGGCTGAGGTGGGAAGGTCACTTGAGTGCAGGATTGAGCCCATAACCATGCTACTGCACACCAGCCTGGGCAACAAAGCAAGACTTCGTCTCAGAAAATAAAATAACATTTTTGACCAGGCGTGGTGGTGGCTCACACCTGTAATCCCAGCATTTTGGGAAGCCGAAGTGGGCGGATCACCTGAGGTCAAGCGTTCATGACCAGCCTGACCAACATGGCAAAACCCCGTCTCTACTAAAAATACAAAAATTAGCCAGCCGTGGTGGCGCACGCCTGTAATCCTAGCTACCTGGGAGTCTGAGAGAGGAGAATCATTTTGAACCCAGGAGGCGGAGGTTGCAGTGAGCCGAGATTGCACCACTGCACTCCAGCCTGGATGATAGTGTGAGGCCCCGTCTCAAAGAAAGAAAGAGAGAGAGAGAGAGAGAGAGAGAGAGAAAGGAAAAGAAAAGAAAAATATCTTTTTTTTTTTTTTAAAGACAGAGTCTCGCTCTGTCGCCCAGGCTGGAGTGCAGTGGTGCGATCTTGGCTCACTGCAACCTCCGCCTCCCGGGTTCATGCCGTTCTCCTGCCTCAGCCTCCCAAGTAGCTGAGACTACAGGCGCCCGCCACCAAGCCCAGCTAATTTTTTGTATTCTTTAGTAGAGACAGGGTTTCACCGTGTTAGCCAGGATGGTCTCGATCTCCTGACCTCGTAATCCGCCCGCCTCGGCTTCCCAAAGTGCTGGGATTACAGGCGTAAACCACCACGCCCAGCCAATTAAAATAAAAATTTTAAAGAAACAACCAATTCGCTTACTCAGGTGTCATGGGTGAGAGCCTCTGTAATTGCAAAATTTTGACTGAGACAGTGAAAGAGATCTAACTTAACTGACTCCATCTTGCTTCTAACCTCCAAGCTGCCTTTATTCATTCCCAGGCATAGGCTGAACTAACTTTGGGAGAAACTTAGTTTATAATTTAGACAAAGAGGATAACAGCCCTTTCCCAAAGCAGACCTCCTTCTTGCCTGGGGACTAGATTGCCTTTGTAGGACTAACATTAGCCACAAGATTAGAAATTATGGTTTAGGGCTGGGCACGGTGGCTCATGCCTGTAATCCCAGCACTTTGGGAGCCATAGGAGGGCGGATCACCTGAGGTCAGGAGTTCAAGACCAGCCTGGGCAACATGGTGAAAACCTGTCTCTACTAAAAATAAAAAATAAAATTAGCTGGGTGTGGTGGCGTGCACCTGTAACCCCAGCTACTAGGGAGGCTGAGGCAGGAGAATTACTTCAACTCGGGAGGTGGAGGTGGCAGTGAGCCAATATCACACCACTGCACTCCAGCCTGGGTGACAGAGCAAGACTCCATCTCGAAAAAAAAAAAGAAATTATGGTTTAGGAGTCACGCAGCTGGAAGCTACAAGATTCTGACCTTCCCTAAACTGCTCCTAAGATCAGTGCTTGAGGTATTTTGTAGACCCTGCTCTTGGTGGATCAGCTGGCCCCCACCCAGATCAATAAACTGGCTTAGCTGATCTTGTGGCCCCCACCCAGGAACTGACTGAGAGCAAGAAGACAGCTCTGATTCCCTGTGATTTCATCTCTAACTAATCAGCACTCCTGGCTCACTGGCTTCCCCTGACCCACCAAGTTATCCTTAAAAACTCTGCTCCCAGAATGTTCGGGGAGACTGATTTGAGTAATAATAAAACTCCGGTCTCCCGCACAGCCGGCTCTGTGTGAATTACTCATTATTGCAATATCCCTGTCTTGAAGAATTGGCTCTGTCTAGGCAGTGGGCAAGGTGAACCCCTTGGGCAGTTACACCTCTGGCAAGAAGACACACCAAATGCAATCCCTGTGGGTCACTGGATCAGAGTCCTCCCGCTCTCCTTCCTGGAACTCAGTCAGCACTTTGGTCCCTGTGGCTCTGACCACTCTGAGGGAGCAAGCAGGCAGTTTGTACCAGGAGGGTCTTATAGTAACAACCCCGTGAGTCCCTTCTCCAAGCCGTGTAAATCCAATCCTTATTGGTTTGCTTAGCTAGGGGTCAGTTCAAGTCCTCAGGTACCAGATCTCAAGCCTGAGTGAGCATCAGTACCACCTGAGGAATTTGTCGACCCACAACTTCAGGGCCCCACACCCCAGAGGTTCTGATGCAGGAGACCTGAGACAGTTTCGCAGGCTAATCTGAGGATCTGCTTCTCTGGGTGTGTTTCCTTAGGTAATCACCTACGGAAATAACCACACACAGAGCAGCTGTATCAGAACAGTCGCAACCCTTTGCTAACTCAAGGCTCCTCTATCCTGGCTGCAAACTAGCATCACTTGACGAGCTTTAACAGTCCAGTGCTCAGGCCCCACCCAGACCAATGAAGTCAGAAATTCTGGGGTGGAACCCAGGCATCGGCATGTTTTTAAAACTCCCCAGGTGACTCTGAAGCATGGTGACAATTGAGAACGGCTTTTCCCACCTCTAGTGACACAAGACCCTCATCAATTCTCCTCAAAAGCAATTTTTCTGCTTCCTTAATTCTCGTTCTCCAAGCCAATTCTCATCTCATTCTTCTCCCCAGTGGTTCAGATTTATGTAGTCAGGGAGTGGGAGTGATGAGTATTGTTTTCTTTCTTTCTTTTTTTTTTTTTTTTTTTTTTGAGACAGCGTCTCACTCTGTTGCCCATGCTGGAATGCAGTGGCACAATCTTGGCTCACTGCAGCTTGGACCAAATGGGCTTAAACAATCCTCCCACCTCAGCCACCTGAGTAGCTGGGACTACAGGCATGCACCACCATGCCCAATTAATTTTTTTTTTTTTTTTTTGTAGAGACCAAGTTCTCCAGACTGGTCTCCTGAGCTTAAGCCATCCTCCTACCTCAGTCTCCCAAAATGCTAGGATTACAGGTGTGAGCCACCGTGCCCAATCTGAGTATTGCTTGCTTGCTTTCTTTCTTTCTTTCTTTCTTTCTTTCTTTCTTTCTTTCTTTCTTTCTTTCTTTCTTTTCTATTCTTTTCTTTTCTTTTCTTTTCTTTTCTTTTCTTTTTTAATTGAGACAGAGTCTCACTCTGTCGCCCAGGCTGGAGTGCAGTGGTGCAATCTCGGCTCACTGCAAGCTCCGCCTCCCGGGTTCACACCATTCTCCTGCCTCAGCCTCCCGAGTAGCTGGGACCACAGGCGCCTGCCACCACACCCAGCTAATTTTTTGTATTTTTAGTAGAGACGGGTTTCACCATGTTAGCCAGGATGGTCTCAATCTCCTGACCTTGTGATCTGCCCGCCTCGGCCTCCCAAAGTGCTGGGATTACAGGCGTGAGCCACCGTGCCCGGCCTTGTTTTCTTAATTCTCCAGATGATTCCAATCCACAGCCAGAGTTAGGACCCACTGCTGCCCAGCATCTTCCGCAACCTCCTCTAGGCTACCTGCCCAGCTTCTTCTGAGGCAGAGAGAAAAAGAAAGGAACATAGAAACATAGAACATAGAAAGGAAGAGAGCAAGGATGAGCCCCCAAAGGGACTTGATGATCAAAGCAGCATAAAGGTCTACCCCTTCACTGCTGGTCAAGAGTTTGTTCCAAAGTTCACAACAAACCCACACTAGAACCCAAGGCTCTGATGAAAGCCTATTTCTTGAGGTGAATATGGGCCAGAAAAGGTAAGTTTCTTCACCTCCACCCTCAGATGGCTCTTGGGAAAAGCCCTCTGAAAAAGGCAACTAGCTTCCAAGTAGAAGGTTCAAAGGGCAAAAGTCCGTTGGGGGGCCCAGCATCTGACTGTTCCACCTCATTAGCCACAAGTACATGAGATCAGTCATTCTGGTACCAGGAGAAGCTGCACGAGGACACCTGGCCAAAGCTCTCAGACACACAGAGATCCAAAGTCCTTCACAGCCCACAGCGGCTCTGGCAGACTCAGGGTAAGCTGTCTGCCCCCTTCCCACAGCAACCCTCAGCCCCCACCAGCACCCTGAAAGGCAAAAGCACGAAATACCCTTCTCAGCCAAGTTGAACCTGGAATCATATCTTCTGTTCATTCATCCAGCCAACATTTATTGAAGAACCCACTACATGCAATTCACTGTGGCCACATGTGTATGACACGAAGAATCTTTGCCTGATCCCTGAAGAACAGTACTCTGTAAACAAAGAGCCCTGAACTGCCAGGTACTGCTGACTCACTGGTACAGGGGACATACTGAAGGCATAGATGGTAAAAATGTCCTGGTAGTGTCCTGAATGGCAAAACAACTAGGTCTCAGTGTGGGCAAGTGTAGGTAAGGCAAGAACAGTCATGTCCACCTGTGAACAGTGGGCCAAAACACCTTGGCTCTGAGGAAAGGACAGTCGGGTGGAGCTGGACTTCTGGACACCTATCCTCTTGCTGAGAGGAAAGTTCCACCTCTCTTGCAAAACAGAAAGAAAAGGCTCAGCCCTCCTTTCTGATCCCTGAGCTATTGTGAAGTAAAATGTAAACTGCTTTTAAGTCATCCAAAGACAGCATGCGGAAGGTAAAGCTTTTAGAAATCAATAAGATGCATATGATATGAATATAACTTGCAGTAATAGATACTATTTTTAACTGACAACTGTGTGCCAGGTCACTATGTACTTACACCTATCTTCTAATTTAATCTGACAGAGAGTAAGTTTTATTATCTTTATTTTACACTTGAGAAAACTGAGGTCAGGCAGTGACTAGCTCCAAAGCCTACATCCATTCCACCACACCACATACCTCCCTAACTGTATGCAAGAATGTGAGACGGGGAGTGGGATTATCTCCCCCTGTGGTAATGGAGATGCCTAGAACTTCAGAGCACTGGGGCAGTCCACGAATTTCTCCAAGAAGTCAGAATAAGCAGCTTCAGGAGGTGCCATCTGCACACCTCTCTGTTTGGGAAAAGCAACCATTTCTACTACCCTAGACAGGACAGTGAGGCTCCTTCAAAACTCAGAATTCCTTCACTCACTCACTCATTCATTCATTCATTAAGCTTATATTGAGTACCCACTGTGTTCCAGGCCCTGTGCAGGCTCTGAGATTAAGATCCAGTCTCCAGCCTTCACTCAAAAGTGGACATTGACAATTACAAGAATCAGTTGCTATGAAAGTCACTGAGAGGCAACCTATCTACCCACACGTCACTGGAGGAGTGAATGGGGTGCAGGCAAGCACCAGGATCACTGTTATCTGGACTGAGTGCATGGAGGCTGCTGCTGGGGTGGGGGAGGGGAAGCAATATTCCTGACAGAGAGGGCAAAACGTTATTACCCTGACAATGAAATCAGCAATGAATGAAGTCAACCACCCGTATAAAAAAACCTACTTAAGCAATAACCAGTAAATGATTTCAAGGTCTATTAGTAATACCAGACTATCTAGGGCTGTAGTTCAACAGCTCTAAAGGTAGACTATGCCTGCCAAAAGACTGCAAACAACTGGCAGGAGCAGAGACTCTGTGTTTGCTCTTTGGAAACTGTCATGATTTGAATAGAAAAAGATGAAAATATGGTACAAATATAGATCACATTTCTATGAGGTAGGGACCCCATTTTATAGAAGAGAGAACTGAGGGCTGGGCACGGTGGCTCATGCCTGTAATCCCAGCAATTTGAGAGGCCGAGGAAGGTAGATCACCTGAGGTCAGGAGTTTCAGACTAGCCTGGCCAACATGGTGAAACCCCATCTCTACTAAAAATACAAAAAATTAGCCGGGCATAGTGGTGGGCACCTGTAATCCCAGCTACTCGGGAGGCTGAGGCAGGAGAATCGCTTGAACCCAGGAGGCGGAGGTTGCAGTAAACTGAGATTACGCCACTGCACTCCAGACTGGGCAACAAGAGTGAAACTCTGTCAAAAAAAAAGAAGAAGAAGAAGGAGAAGGAGGAAAAGGAGAAGGAGAAGGAGAACAAGAGGAAACTGAGGCTAATAAATTTGACCTAGCATTGATTGAATCCTGCCTGATTCCACGCTGTTCACCACCATGCACCAGTGCCTTCCAAAGGGATAAGGGTATCCCCTACACTGTTCAAGAAAAAGAAGTCTGACTCAGGGCACCCAATCATTACAGCCATGGAGAAGGCATCATTGTAGGGTAGAGATATTTCATCCAACTTTTCCAGAAACATACCTCAACCAACCTAAGGCAGGCTTAACTCTTTTTCATAAAATCGTCCCTCAACCTTGGTCCTTTCCTCTAACAATCACCCTCCATGCTTTCAGAATCATTCATCTGAAGAGCATGTCTACATTCCTTCCCGTTCCTGGGTCTCTACAATGCAGTCTGAGATGTTGCAACTCCTTCCTCTTTCACCCTGCAAAAGTTTTCCTTTGACCCTCTGAGTTGCCAATTCCAAATGACATTTTATTCCTTATTTTAAACTTAATAGCTCCTCCAGAAAGGCTATTTTTGAGTGTAAACCTGCCACCTCTGGTATGCTGCCCTTGCTCTGTGCTCTCACCTCCCCAATTAACTACACTGCATTAGAACAGTGTACATATGTCTCTCCCACCCACGAGAGCTGTGTGAGGGCAGAGAGTGGATAACAGTTATCCTTGTACCCATGGGCATAGTCCTGAACTAGACACACAGTAACACTTAATACATTTTGCTGGGTGAATAAATGATATTTCTGAAACCTGATTTCACCCTCACTGCCCTGAAATTTCATTGCCTTAGGAGAAAGCCCACATGAAAAGCCACCAGTGACCTTCATATCAATAAATCCAATCAACTATACTCAATCTTTACCTAGCTTGACCTCTTAGCAGATTGGACACAGGTAGTCATTCATTCCTTCTCAATTCACTCCCTTCCACTCACCATCTTCCAGGTTTCCACCTATCTCTCTAGATGCTCCTTCTCCATCTTTTCACAAAATACCTATCCCTCAAATGTGGGTATTCCTCAGAATGCTTCTAAGCCCCTTTGTCCTCCCTTTCTACATCTTGTCCCAAGGTCATCTCATCTGTTCCTGTGGTTTCTTTTTCTTTTTATTTTTTTCTTTCTTTTTTTTTTTTTTTTTTTTTTTTGAGACAGAATCTTGCTCTGTCACCCAAGATGGAGTGCAGTGGAGCTGTCTCGGCTCACTGCAACCTCTTCCTCCAGGGTTCAAGCGATTCTCCTGCCTCAGCCTCCAGAGTAGCTGGGACTACAGGTGCACACCACCATGCCCGGCTAGTTTTTGTATTTTTAGTAGAGACAGGGTTTCGCCATGTTGGCCAGGCTGGTCTCGAACTCCTGGCCTCAAGTGATCAGCCCACCTCAGCCTCCCAAAGTGTTGGGATTACAGGTGTGAGCCACCGCCCTGGCCTGTTCCTATGGTTTCAATAACCATATATACAATGATGACTCCCAAAAGTATATCATCAGCCCAACTGTCATGATTCTAGATATATATGAATATTCAACCACCTACTGGACATTACCAGGCACATCAAACTCAACATGTCCAAAACTGATTCCATCAATTTCTCCCAAACCTACTGCACCTTCGGTGTTCCCCATACAAGTAACTGGCGTCACCATCCACCCATTTATGCAAGCCAAAGACCTGGGCATGTTATTGTCATCAACAACTTCCACTCATATCTACTCATAGTCCAAGTCTTAAGTCTCCCTGTCCCCAAAACATGACTCTAGTCCAAGCCACCATCATTTCTCACTAGGATCATAGCAGCAGCTTCCCACCTGTCTCCCAGCTTTCAATCCTACATAGAAAAACTAATCTTTCTTAAACTCACAAATTCTAAAATCTAAATCACAAATGCCACTCTTCTGCTTTTAAAGGCCTTAAGAGTTTTCTCATTGCCTTAGAAGACAGCCCACCAAACTCCTTAATATAGTTGGTGCAATAGATTGGAGTTTTCCAATATGCCTCAACGTCTCCCATCCCATATTCCTTTCTTACAATGTGACTTTGACACTCTACCCATCAAGAGGCAGGGTCTGTACCCCTCTTCTCGAAACTGGATGGTCTTCTGTGAATGCCTCTACCTATAGAGTATGACAGAATTGACACCATGCAACTTCAGAGACTAGGTCATAAAAGGCAATGCAACTTCCACTTTGGGTGCTACAACACTCATTCTGGACGCTTTCAGCTGCCTGCATAAGCAGTCTGACTGCCCACGAGTCACCACGCTGTGAGAAAGCTCAACACAGTCCATACGGAAAGACCACATGGAAAGACTGACACAATTTGATAAAGAAGGCCGGGTGCGGTGGCTCACACCCGTAATCCTAACACTTTGTTTGGGAGGCCGAGGCGGGTAGATCACCTGAGGTCAGGAGTTCAAGACTAACCTGGCCAACACGGTGAAACCCCGTCTCTACTAAAAATATAAAAATTAGCCGGGCGTGGTGGGGCACGCCTGTAATCCCAGCTACTCAGGAGGCTGAGGAAGGAGAATTGCTTGAATCTGAGAGGTGGAGGTTGCAGTGAGCCGAGATCGCGCCACTGCACTCCAACCTGCACAACCGGAGCAAGACTCCACCTCAAAAAAAGAAAAAAAAGAAGCCCAGATTGTCTGCAACTTCCTCAGCAACCGTTTTTCCAGCTCCTGTCACCATCTGCTGCAACCACATGAGGGACCCTGACCTAGAACTGTCCCACTAAGCCCTTCCCAAATTTCTAAGCCACAGAAATCATAAAAAAAATGACTACTGTTTTAAGACACTACGTTTTAGACTATTTGTTATAGCACAATAATAACTAGCACAGCTTATAAAGCTTTGAACAACCTATGCCTTGACTCTATTTACCTCTGCAAGCCAACTCTCAACCTTTTCTTCCTGAAATTCAACACTGCAGCCCACCCTGAACTCCTTTCAGTGCCTGAAAGGAGCACTTCTGGCATTTAGGTTTTCATACATTCTGTTCTTGCTGCTTGGAACACTCCTCTTCTACTCTTGATTAATTCTTCTTCGCCATTCAGGTATCAGCTCAAACTTCTACAGGAATGGTTTCTAAATGCCTAGGTTAGGACTGGTCTCCTCCTGTGCCTTGTTCTACCTTGCAAATCACAACACCATCACAATCCATTAAAACCCTGTATCAGAGGCCAGGCACGGTGGCTCACGCCTGTAATCCCAGCACTTTGGGAGGCCGAGGCAGGCGGATCATGAGGTCAAGAGATCAAGACCATCCTGGCCAACATGGTGAAACCCCGTCTAAAAAATACAAAAATTAGCTGAGCATGGTGGTGCATGCCTGTAGTCCCAGCTACTCAGGAGGAGACAGGAGAATCTCTTGAACCTGGGAAGCAGAGGTTGCAGTGAGCTGAGATTGCGCCACTGCACTCCAGCCTGGTGACAGAGCGAGACTCCGTCTCAAAAAAACAAAACAAAACAAAAATCCCTGTATTGGGTTGCCCATCCTGACCCCGGCATGCACCCATGCATGCGGTCACACACACCCACGCACACACATAAAGTGCTCCAAAAAGACAATGACAGTGCAGGGAACGTGGCAACCTCTTCGCAAATACTTGTTGAATGTTTAATCTCCAACCCTATCTCTTTCCTAAATTCCAAAGAGCATATCTGCCTACTATGCTAAAAATAAATTCCAAATTCAACATGCCCCCATCCTCCTCCTCACAGTAAATGATATCACTGCCTACAAATTGTCTAAACCAGAAACATCATCTCTTCATTCAAAGACTATTTATTGAGGGCCGGGCACGGTAGGTGGCTCACGCCTGCAATCCCAGCACTTTGGGAGGCCGAGGCAGGCAGATCACTTGAGTTCAGGAGTTCGAGACCAGCCTGGCCAACATGGTGAAACCCCATCTGTACTAAAAATACAAAAATTAGCAGGGCGGGGTGACATGCACCTGTAGTCCCAGCTACTCAGGACACTGAGGCAGGAGAATCCCTTGAACCCGGGAGGCAGAGGTTGCAGTGAGCCAAGATCCTGCTACTGTACTCCAGCCTGGGCGACAGAGCAAGACTCTGTCTCAAAACAACAACAACAACAACCAAACAAACAAACAAAAAAAATATTTATCAAGCTTCTCTGTTTCCTTGCTGGGGATACAGTGGATTATAGATAGGCACAGCTCTTCTGGCACAAAACTTACAAGATGGTAGATGTTTTCCTTGACACTTCCCTCTCCCTTATACTTGACATCTTAATAGGTCTCATTGGTTGTATTGATTATACCTTCTAAATTGTGCTCAGATCTATCCTTCCTTGTCCACCCCAACTGCCATCACCGTAGTTCAGGTTTTTGTCATTTCCTGCCTGGATTGCTACAAGAGCTTCCTAATAGTGTCTCTGCCTCCAGCCTTGTCCCCTAAGTTCCACCCCAGCTATATCACTCCCCTGTTTAAAGTCCTTTAATGGTTCCTCATATGCTTTGAATAAATTCTAAAACCCTACAAAGATATACCTTGTGTTCTAGCCCCTTGCCCATCTTGGTCCCCTCATATCCCACAATCCCCCATGCACCCCCACACCCCATACATTTTTTTCATCTTGTGCCTTTACATTGGCTTTCCCTGTGCCTAAAACGTCCTGCCCCCTTCTTCATTCAACATACAATTATTGAGCACCTAGCAGATACCAGGCACTGTTCTATGTGCTGGTGATTCAGCAGTGAGTAAAACAAAGTCCTTATTCACATATGTTTATATTCTAGAGGGAAAGAGAGACAAGTAAATGATGTGTTGAACACTGTTATAAAGAAAAAGAGGCCAGGCACGGTGGCTCATGCCTGTAATCCCAGCACCTTGGGAGACCAAGGCGGGCAGATCGCCTGAGGTCAGGAGTTTGAGACCAGCCTGACTAACATGGTGAAACCCTATTTCTGCTAAAATACCAAAATTAGCCAGGCACAGTGGCAGCGCCTGTAATCCCATCTACACAGGAGGCTGAGGAAGGAGAATCGCTTGAACCCGGAAGGCGGAGGTTGCAGTGAGCTGAGATCGTGCCATTGCACTCCAGCCTGGGCAACAGAGCGAGACACCATCTCAAAAAAAAAGAAAAAGAAAACAGGATGGGGAACTGAGAGTGACCATTTTAGATACGATAGGTCTCTAGTAAGGTACTATTTTTGCAAAGAGGTGAATGGAGTAAGGGAATAAGCTCTGCAGGCATCTGGAGACGTGCCTTCCTTGCAGAAGAAACAAATACAAAATCCCTGAGACATGTATGTGCCAGGAAAATGCAGGAGAGGCAAGAAGGCCAGTGTAGCTGGAGCAGACAAAGTGAGGGCAAGAAGTCCAAGGTGAATCAAAGAAGTCAGGTGGAGTAGGGCCACATAGGCCACGGTAGAAATGTGGGTGCTTCAGCCCAGCCTGACTCCTTTCATCCTTCAGTGCTGATGCAGACATCATCCCCTGAACAAGCCACTCTCCACCCCTGCAAGCACCTGCCACATATACATGTTTAAGTGACTATGTCTACCTCGCTTCCCACCACACTGTGCGTTCCCTACAGGCAGGGGCTCCACCTTTCAGTTCCATGCTTTATAGAGCCCAACATGTTCAGAAAAAATTTCTCAAATTATTCAAACTTTCTTCTTTTGTTCCAATTCCACACCCTGCAAGCAACTTCCTGATTACTAGATTGGTTTCCCAGTTACTAGGGTATCAGGGAGGGGATGCCTTGATAGTGAACACACACCTTCTGGTCATTAGAAATTACTCATGTGGGAAAGGATTCCGTATTTAATAAATGGTGCTGTGAGAACTGCCTAGCCATATGCAGAAAATTGAAACTGGAGCCCTTCCTTATATCTTATACAAAAATTAACTCACGATGGATTCAAGACTTAAATGTAAAACCCAAAACTATAAAAACCCTAGAAAAAAATCTAGGGTTTTATAGCAATACCATTCAGGACATAGGCACGGGCAAAGATTTCATGGCAAAAATACCAAAAGCAATTGCCAAAAAAGCAAAAATTGACAAATGGGATCTTATTAAACTAAAGAGCTTCTGCACAGCAAAATAAATTATCATCAGAGGGAAGAGACAACCTCTACAGAATGGGAGAAAATTTTTGCAATCTATCCATCTGAAAAAGGTCTAATAACCAGAGTCTACAAGGAATTTAAACAAATTTACAAGAAAGAAACAAACAATCCCATTAAAAAGTGAGAAAAGGACATGAACAAACACTTCTCAAAAGAGGACATTCATGCGGCCAACAAACATGAAAAAAAGCTCAACAGCACTGATCATTAGAGAAATGCAAATCAAAACCACAATGAGAAATCATCTCACGTCAGTCAGAATGTCAATAATTAAAAAGTCAAGAAACAGTCAGGCATGGTGGTTCACATCTGTAATCCCAGCACTTCGGGAGGCTGAGGCAGGTGGATCACCTGAGGTCAGTAGTTCAAGACCAGCCTGACCAACATGGAGAAACCCCGTCTCTAACAATACAAAATTAGCCAAATACAAAATTAGCTGGGCATGGGGGTGTGTACGCCTGTTATCCCAGCTACTCAGGAGGCTAAGGCAGGAGAATTCCTTGAACTTGGGAGGCGGAGGTTGCATTGAGCCGAGATTGTGCCATTGCACTCCAGCCTGGGCAACAAGAGTGAAACTTCGTCTCAAAAAACAAAAAACAAACAAACAAAAAAAGGCAAGAAACAACAGATGCTGACAAGTTTGCAGAGAAAAAGGAACACCTGGCCAGGTGCAGTGGCTCATGCCTGTAATCCCAGCACTTTGGGAGGCCAAGGCAGGTGGACCACAAGGTCAGGAGTTCAAGACCAGCCTGGCCAAGATGGGGAAACTCCATATCTACTAAAAATACAAAAATTAGCCAGGTGTGGTGGTGGGCTCCTGTAATCCTAGCTACTCAGAAGGCTGAGGCAGAGAACCACTCAAAACAAGGAGGCAGAGGTTGCAGTTAGCCAAGATCATGCCACTGCATTCCAGCCTAGGTGACAGAGCAAGACTCAGTCTCAAAAGAAAAAGAAAGGTACGGCAAGTAAGAAAATGTGGTACATATATACCATGAAATAGTATGCAGCCATAAAAAGGAATGAGATCATGTCCTTTGCAGGGACATGGATGAAACTGGAAGCCATTATCCTCAGCAAACTAATGTAGGAACAGAAAACCAAACACCAAATGTTCTCACTTATAAGTGGGAGCTGAACGGTGAGAACACATAGACAAATGCGGGGGAAGAACAACACACACTGGGGCCTGTCGGTAGAGGTTGGTAGAGGGAGGGCATCAGGAATCATAGCTAATGGATGCTAGGCTTAATACCCAGGTGATGGGTTGATCTGTACAGCAAACAATCATGGCACATGTTTACCTATGTAACAAAGCTGCACATCCTGCACATGTGCCCTGGAACTTAAAATAAAAGTGGAAGAAAAATTAAATAAATAAAAATTTTAAAAAAAGAAATTACCCATGTATGCTCATCAATAAACTGTACATACATCAAAGGCCGAGGGCGGTGGCTCACGCCTGTAATCCCAGCACTTTGGGAGGCTGAGGCGGGCAGATCACGAGGTCAGGAGATTGAGACCATCCTGGCCAACATGGTGAAACCTCGTCTCTACTAAAAATACAAAAATTAGCTGGGTGTGGTGGCAGGAGCCTGTAATCCCAGCCACTCGGGAGGCTGAGGCAGGAGAATCGCTTGAAGCTGGGATCTCGGCTCACTGCAACCTCCGCCTACTGACATAGCGAGACTCTGTCTCAAAAAAAAAAAAAAAAAAAAAACTGTACATACATCAGTAAACTGACATTATCATTCACACATCAATCTCTTTTTTTTTTTTTTTTTTTTTTTTTTGAGACAGAGTCTTGCTCTGTCGCCCAGGCTAGAGTGCAATGGTGCAATCTCGGCTCACTGCAACCTCCACCTCCCAGGTTCAAGCGATTCTCCTGCCTCAGCCTCCCAAGTAGCTGGGATTACAGGTGCCCGCCATCATGCCCGGCTAATTTTTTTGTGTTTTAGTAGAGACAGGGTTTCACCATATCGACCTCTTTTTTTAGGTAAGCGTGACTCAACTGCTGGGAAAATGACCCAAATCTGTGTCATGACACCCAAAGAAGGCGCTGCTCATGGAAGGGCCACATAAGCAGCCTGGCAGAAGACTTGGATGCCCTGTCTACCTCACACTCAGCCCACCTTCCCTATTTTAGATGGCAGCCCCATCACCCACACCTGTCCAAGCTCAAATCTCTAGCTTCATGAACTCTGAGAGCTTCCATATTCCCCATACCTAGAATATATGGGTAATGGGGTGTGCATGAAGGATTATGGGATATGAGAAGGCCAAAGCGGCAAAAGCACAAGGCACACCTTCCTAGGGATTTAGATTTTATCCTAAAGCATATGAGGAGCCACTGGAGGATTTTAAACAGGGAGCAACATACTGGGGTGGAAACCTATGGGCAAGGCTGGAGGCAGGGCTTTACCTGTGAGAGCTCCCCGACCCCCGGCAAAAAGTCCTTGAAAGTCCACTGTTAACTTTTTTTTTTTTTTTTTTTTGAGACGGAGTCTCGCTCTGTCGCCCAGGCTAGAGTGCAGTGGCGCGATCTGGGCTCACTGCAAGCTCCGCTTCCCGGGTTCATGCCATTCTCCTGCCTCAGCCTCCCAAGTAGCTGGGACTACAGGCTCCTGCCACCATGCCCGGCTAATTTTTTCTGTATTTTTAGTAAAGACGGGATTTCACTGTGTTAGCCAGGATGGTCTCAATCTCCTGACCTCGAGATCCACCAGCCTCGGCCTCCCAAAGTGCTGGGATTACAGGCGTGAGCCACCGCGCCGGGCCAACTATTTCTTTATTCATACCCTCATCTCTGTTCCTAAGGCCACTCCACAGTGCAGATATTCATCACCCTTCACATGGATTCAGGTTTCAGCTCCCTAAACCAGTCTCCCCACCTTCTGTCTCTTGCTCTTTCCAAAAACATTCTCCATGTGGCCACCAGAGTTCTCCTTTTAACTAAGTCTCATTATTTCACTAGTCCCCATACCCCTGCTTAATAATCAGTAGCTGTGTAGCTTTGTAGCTCCCACCTGTAATCCTAGCTACTCAGGAGGTAGGAGGATTACTTGAGGCCAGGAGTTGGAGGCTGCAGTGAGCTATGACTGCACCACTGCACTCCTGCCTGGGCGACAGAGCAAGAACCCCCATCTCTAAAAATATAAAAATAAACAATAGCTTCCCCTTATCTTTTAGATAAAGTCCAACCTGATTATAAAACCCATCTCACCCAGGGCTGTCTCCTCGCCCTTCTCCCACCCCACATTCCAACCATACCAAACCAACGACCTGGAATTCTCTGAACATTCTGTACCTTGCACCTCCACACCTTTGCACATGCAGTCTCCTGTGTGAAAGGTCACAGGAGACAGCTATATTTATTTTCAAAATTCAGCTCAGACACCATGTTCTCTGCGATACCTTCCTAAGCTATCCTCCCCTACAAAAATAAAGTTGTCCCATTTAGGTCGGGCGTGGTAGCTCATGCCTGTAGTCCCAGCAATTTGGGAAGCTGAGGCGGGCAGTTCGCCTGAGGTTAGGAGTTCGAGACCAGCCTGGCCAACGTGGTGAAACCCCGTCTCTACTAAAAACACAAAAATTAGCCGGGTGTGGTGGTGCACAGCTGTAATCCCAGCTGCTCAGGAGGCTGGGGCAGGAGAATCGCTTAACTTGGGACATGGAGGTTGCGTGAGTGAGGCGAGATCACACCACTGCACTCCAGCCTGGGCAACAAGAGTGAAACTTCATCTCAAAAAAAAAAAAAGAAGTTGCCCCATTTGCTCTTATGGTGCCTCTATCAGTGTACAAATTATATTGCATGACAATTATTTGTTAACATGTCAGTCTCCTTTCTGGACTATAAATTATTGAATGGCAAGGGCCAGACATCATTCTTCTTTGTTTTTCAGCACTAAGTAAAATATCTAGCACACACATAGCATGCCCTAATTAAATTTTTTCTAAGGGAGGGAATGTATGAAAGCTCTAAATTAAAGCCCTTCTCTTGCTAAATCTGAAGATTCTGCCTAAGTTCTCACTTAGGCTAATCAGAATGTCTTCATAGGTCCCAGCATCTGACTTGTGTCAGGTGCTTATTCAACAGTGCCTGAAGACCAGGCACAATGGCTCACGCCCGTAATCCTAGCACTTTGGGAGGCCAAGGCAGGCAGATAGCTTGAGCCCAGGAGTTTGAGACCAGCCTGGGCAACATAGCGAGACCCCATCTCTATTAAAGAAAATTAAAAAACAAAACCAAAACAGTGGCTGAAGGAATAAACCCATGAATCATATGTCACTAAATTCTTAGTCTTGGTTGCCCTTCTGAACCTTCTTTAGATCTCTATGCTCCTCTGAAGTTATCAAAGATAGAACAAAGTCCAGATATTATCTATGCAGTAATATTTCATTTATCTAACCATAACTACTCAGATGAAGCCAAGAAGCAGGAAGAGGAACAGGACTATAAGTGACCAAGAAAGACAGTAATTTGAAACATAATTCATAATTCATGGTTTTCACTGAATCTCATTCCATTCTCACAACAGCCTGGAATTAAACAGTCAGTGCACCTGGCTCAAGGTCACATAGCTATTGAGCCCAACCTCAAACACAAGTGTGTGCACAAGTGCTGTGCACCTTTCACTCTATCAGAGAAATCTCAAATGTGTGTCACACATGTGTGTACAAAACTCTATGCATTTTACTCACTGAAGAGCTCTGCATACGAACCATAACTGCGGCTACTTTGCATGTATTCTTTTTGTTTTGTTTTGTTTTGTCTTTTGAGACAGAGTCTCGCTCTGTGGCCCAGGCTGGAGTGCAGTAGCATGATCTCGGCTACTGCAACCTCTGCTTCCCGGGTTCAAGCGTTCCTCCTGTGTCAGCCTCCCTAGTAGCTGGGATTATAGGCACCCACCACCACACCCAGCTTTTTTTTTTTTTTTTGAGACAGAGTCTGGCTCTGTCACCCAGGCTGGCGTGCAATGGCGCGATCTCTGCTCACTGCAACCTCTGCCTCCCGGGTTCAAGCGATTCCCCTGCCTCAGCCTCCCAAGTAGCTGGGACTATAGGCACGCACCACCACACCCAGCTAATTTTTTTGCGTTTTTCATAGAGACGGGGTTTCACCATGTTGGCCAGGATGATCTTGATCTCTTGACCTCGTGATCCACCCATCTCGGCCTCCCAAAGTGCTGGGATTCCAGGCGTGAGCCACCATGCCCGGCCTTTTTTGTATTTTTAGTAGAGAGGGGGTTTCACGATCCGCCCATCTTAGCTTCCCAAAGTGCTAGGATTACAGGCATGAGCGACTGCACCCGGCCTTTGCATGTATTCTTACAAGGATGTACAGGCACGTGAATGTGTACATGGGTGAATGAGGATTTAAACATGTATGTCTCTATACCCAAATTAGAAGCAGAAAATTGGCCAGGTGCAGTGGCTGTGAAATCCCATCTCTTCTAAAAATACAAAAAATTAGCTTGGCGTGGTGGCGGGCGCCTGTAATCCCAGCTACTTGGGAGGCTGAGGCAAGAGAATCGCTGGAACTCGGGAGGCGGAGGTTGCAGTGAGCTGAGATCGCACCATTGCACTCCAGCCTGGGCAACAAGAGGGAAACACTGTCTCAAAAAAAAAAAAAAAAAAAAAAAAGCAGCAACAGCAGAAAATTAAAAAGGGTTGACTGGCAGAGGTAGGCACAAGGTCAGAATCGAGGAACAAGAGCTGTCAGAAATGACACAGACAAAGATAGTTAAAATAATAGAATTCTAAGGCCGGGAAGGTGGCCCATGCCTGTAATCCCAGCACTTTGGGAGGCCGAGGTAGGCGGATTACCTGAGGTCCGGAGTTCGAGACTAGCCTGACCAACATGGAGAAACCCCATCTCTACTAAAAATACAAAATTAGCCGGGCATGGTAGCACATCTGTAATCCCAGCTACTCGGGAGGCTGAGGCAGGAGAATCACTTGAACCTGGGAGGCAGAGGTTGCGGTGAGCCAAGATCACGCCATTGCATTCCAGCCTGGGCAACAAGAGCGAAACTCCATCTCAAAAAAAAAAAAAAAAATAGATTTCTGGTATTTTAAAGGAATGCAGCCATCTTAGAAATATTACTTAGATGAAATGATCCTTCTCTGCACATGATATAATTAACCATATGCCCACATTTGAGGGTGCTCCAAGACCAATAGATCCTAAAATTAGTTTTGCCAGTAAGCAACCTACCAGATCATCTGCAAGTAATGCAAGAGAAATCACAGATCATATTTAAGACCTCAGTGAAGGCTGGGCACAGTGGCTCATGCCTGTAATCCCAGCACTTTGGGAGGCCAAGGCGGGCGGATCACCTGAGGTCGGGAGTTCAAGACCAGCCTGACCAACATGGAGAAACCCTGTCTCTAATAAAAATACAAAAATTAGCCAGGCGTGGTGGCACATGCCTGTAATCCCAGCTACTTGAGAGGCTGAGGCAGGAGAATCACTTGAACCCGGGAGGCAGAGGTTGTGGTGAGCCGAGATTGTGCCATTGCACTCCAGCCTGGGCAACAAGAGTGAAACTCCGTCTCGGAAAAAAAAAACCTCAGTGAAAACCCCCTTCTTGCAACACAAAGCAGTGCCTTCCACCCCTCCCTGACTGTTGCCATGTATGACAAACATCCCATATGCAGAGATGAGTCCAGGCCAGACACAAGGACACACAAAACACAGAAGGACCCCACAGAAGACAGCCAGTTCTCTACACAACAGTAAAATCAGAGAAGCTGGAAAGGAAGTTGAGGAGTGAATGGGGCAATACAGAAATTGAAAGAAAAAAGGACACAAACTGATTGGAGAGCGGTGAGCCAATGAGCAATTGCACCTGGTGCAAAATTCCTGTGCCCCAACTGCTAGAGCAGCTGCCCCTCAAATTGACAGAATGTCTGAGCTTCTTCACAGTTGCAGGGTGGAAGGCATCTCTAAGGTCCTAGGCTCTCCCAGGTTGGAAGGGCATTTTTCAAGAATAGTGGCATCTGAGGGATGGGGCTATGGAGAATCATCATCTCAGCACCTCCAATGGCTTTACTGAATGTACAGATTTAAATAATGTTTTATTTATGAGATGGAGAAAAAGCCAAGGTGGACTGAAATGACAGTATTAAAAATCTAGCCCACAGAGGCCGGGTGCAGTGGCTCACGCCTGTGATCCCAACACTTTGGGAAGCCAAGGCAGGTAGATCACTTGAGCTCAGGAGTTCGAGTCCAGCCTGGCCAACACAGTGAAACCCCGTCTCCACCAAAAATACAAAAAAATTAGCTAGGCATGGTGGCACATGCCTGTAATCCCAGCTACTAGGGAGGCTGAGGCAGGAGAATCACTTGAACCCAGAAGATGGAGGTTGCAGTGAGCTGAGATTGCACCACTCAAGCCTGGGCGACAGAGTGACTCTATCTCAAAAAAAAAAAAAAAAAAAAAGGAAGAATCCAGCCTACAGAAATACTCATGCAGCTGCAAAAAGATATTCACTGGAGCATTATCTGTAAGACTGAGAAACTGAAACCAACGTACATGGCCATTAACAGAGGACCAGCTAGATAAATAAACTACTATGCATCCTTAAAATTCACATGAAATAATATGAAGCATTTTTTAAAAAGTAGATCTGTAAGTAGAAAAGAATGTCACTGATAATGCTAGAGGAAAAGCACACTGTAGAATTACATGTAGACTAGTATGACCTCATTTTTGTAAAAGAACAAAACTACACCTCTTTTTTTTTTATTTTTATTTTTTTGAGATAGAGTCTCACTCTGTTGCCCAGGCTGGAGTGCAGTGGTGCGATCTTGGCTCACCGCAACCTCTGCCTCCTGGGTTCAAGCGATTCTCCTGCCTCAGCCTCCTGAGTAGCTGGGATTACAGGCACCTGCCACCACACCCAGCTAATTTTTGTATTTTTAGTAGAGATGGGGTTTCACCATGTTGGCCAGGCTAGTCTCGAACTCCTGACCTCAGGTGATCTGCCCACTTCAGCCTCCCAAAGTGCTGGGATTACAGGCATAAGCCACCACACCCTGCCAAAACTACATCTCTTGAAGGAACAAGAAAAAAAAATCAGTGTGCCTGTGGTCCCTGCTACTCAGGAGGCTGAGGCAGGAGGATAGCTTGAGCCTAGAAGTTCGAGGCTGAAGTAAGGTATAATCACACCACTGCACTCCAGTCTGGGTGACAGAGCAAAATACCTGTCTCTTTAAAAAAAAAAAAAAAAAATCAGGAAGAATATGCAAACTGCTAATAGTGCTTACTGTGAGAAGCTGGGGAAAAGGTGAGTGTTTTTGCGATACACTGTGGTACTGTTTGAATTTTCACACAAAGCATACTTTAACTATATATATATATATATATGTTGTCAGAGACATTCCTCTCTATCTCCTTCTTACTCCCAGACTGCACTCACATCCCAGCCTCTGTCCAGCCCTCCACCCACCACCTCCTACCCCAGCCCCACTTACAAATGCAGGCAGCAGCCAGCAGGCGGCTGGCAGCATAAGGGGCGAAGCAGCTCGGGAAGAGAGGCTGTACCATGTAGTTGGCAAAGGTGATGGCAATGATGGCCTGGCTGGTGGGCTCAATGATGAGCAGGGAGGTCCAGAGTCTGATGAAAGCAAGGAATCCTCCAAAGGCCTCCAGGATATAGGCATAGCTGGCCCCAGATTTCTTAATGGTGGTGCCCAGTTCCGCATAACAAAGGGCCCCAAAGACGGAGAAGAGGCCCCCGACAGCCCAGATGACCAGAGAGAGACCAAAGGAGGCACTGTATATGAGCACACCCTTGGGGGAAACAAAGATGCCCGAGCCGATCATGTTCCCCACAATCAGGCACACGCCGTTAAGCAGTGAGATCTCCTTCTTCAGCTTCACCTGCTCCGGCCCTGGGCTGGCCCCATCACCCAAAGGGGAGGTTTCCACCTCAGGCTGGGAGGCCACTTCATACTCAGTGCTGTCAACCATGGTGGAGGAGAGGAAACCCTTCACCAGCTTCCTGGCATTGCCCTTTAAGGAAGAAAGATGATGCTATAGATTAGGTGGTTGGCAATTACATAGAACCTCTACCCGCCTCCAACACAGGGTAATACGGGCAGCTCACCAACCAATGCGGAGACCTCCAAATAACCTTTTCTCCAGCTCACTCATCAAAACAACCCCAACTTGAATATTTGTCTATCTATCTATGTATTTATTTATTTATTGACAGAGTCTCGCTCTGTAGCCCAGGCTGGAGTGCAGTGGTGCAATCTCGGCTCGGCTCACTGCAACCTCAGCCTCCCGGGTTCAAGCGCTTCTCTTGCCTCAGCCTCCCAAGTAGCTGGGATTACAGGCACCTGCCACCACGCGTGGCTAATTTTTTTTTTTTTTTTTTGAGATGGAGTTTTGCTCTTGTTGCCCAGGCTGGAGTGCAATGGCGCGATCTCAGCTCACTGCAACCTCCGCCTCCCGGGTTCAAGTGATTCTCCTGCCTCAGCCTCCCAAGTAGCTGGGATTATAGGCATGCACCACCACACCCAGCTAATTTTGTATTTTTAGTAGAGATGGGGTTTCTCCATGTTGGTCAGGATGGTCTCAAACTCCCGACCTCAGGTTATCCGCCCGCCTCGGCCTCCCAAAGTGCTGGGATTACAGGCGTGAGCCACCTTGCCCAGCCTCCAACTTGAATTTTTAAGAGAAGGCACTCATTCGCCAGAGAGAAAGGATCTGTCTCTCATCATTAGGACATTGCTGCCCACCCGACTCACCAAATAGAGAACTAAATCTTGGGCCGGGCGCTGTGGCTCACATCTGTAAACCCAGCACTTTGGGAGGCCAAGGCGGGCAGATCACCTAAAGTCGGGAGTTCGAGACCAGCCTGACCAACATTTAGAAACCCAGTCTCTACTAAAAATACAAAAATTAGCCATGCGTGGTGGCACATGCCTGTAATCCCAGCTGCTTGGGAGGCTGAGGCAGGAGAATCACTTGAGCCCGGGAGGCAGAGGTTGCGGTAAGCTAAGACTGGGCCATTGCACTCCAGCCTGGGCAACAAGAGCAAAACTCTGTCTCAAAAAAAAAACAAAATCAAAAACAAAACACTAAATGTTGGTTCTCTCTGAGCCTGCTATAATACAAGACAGGCATGGGGGCAGTGTGGCGGCTCCCAGAAAATAACTATAATGGCTTGACCCCGAGTTTTCAGCCTTATCCAAAACCCGTCTTCCCTCCAATTTCAGCTTCAGGGATCACCTGTGCTGAGGTACAACATTAGGAACTGACCCTACCAGCAGCTAATCTGTGGGAGCGTCTCATGACACTGCTCTTTTCCCCAAGGACTCTACGTCTGCCAAAACTAAAGGCTTCAGAAACCTGCTGGAAACCCACAACCATCCTCCTGCCCAAAGAGCATCCCTTAACCCTTAGCTGGAGTCTTCAGCCCTGGCAAAGCCCAAGTAGACCCACTTCACCCTGAAAGAAGACAGGCTATTATCTTTTCCTTGCTTTTCCTTTCCCATTCTCTGGTATTCTAAGCCTCCTGCTATCGATCCCTCACATCAGCATCGTTGAATCACCCAAAAAAGTATGAATGAGAGAAGGGCGATCCAATGTACCATAAAACCTAGGGATGATTGGAGGCAGCTGATGGCCACTCCCTACCCCAGAGTTGCTGCTGGAGAGATATCACCCCGAGCCAAGGCAGGGAGACAGCTGCAGCCAGGCAGCACATGCTGGAAAACACCGAACAGGAGACAGCTGAGAGGAAAATGGGAGAGGCTAGTCAAGCAATGGAGAGATGTTAGGGTGAGAGGCACTCGGGAGAAGAAGCGATTAGACACTGCACAGCAGCAAAGAGGAGGGTTAGCAAGGTAAGTGGAGATGAGAAGAGGGTGGAACGCACACTCACTCCTTGGTCCTGGATATAAGCAGGTTCTCACGGCAGTGTGAGCAGCAGTCAGGGAGAGAAGTGCCTTCCAGGATCTGTGGTCTGATGCTCCTCCTTCCCAGCCAGCAGTAAAAGGGAAGGCCAGACAAATGCCTATGGATTTAAGCAAGAAGGGTGGAGGAGGTGAGGCAGCCCGCAAAGGAAGGAGTGAGGGAGGGGGAAAGGAGTATTAAGCAACCATCTGGGTCCAAGGTTCACTGGCCCTTCACATCTGCAAAAGGGGCAGCTAGGAGCTCTTGGCTCAGCACTTTCTGTGATAAGAAGGTGCTCTCTCAGGAATCTCCTTTGTCAGCTCTGCTCTGGGACCAGGGGCCCAGAAGAAAGGACAGTCAGCTGAGTGCAGTATCTGTAGCCCTGGGGAAGCTGTCCCAGAGCAAGTTAGCTGAGGACAGGACAGTAGCGGGGAAGGAATACACAGCACTCTCTCTCTCTGTGTCCTCCATGCCCCACCCTAGCCTCTCTTCTCTCTCACCCCAAGCATTTAAGAAAGGGAGGAAGGTTGCACAGTGTGACACAAAGGCTTGTTCCCATGCTGAGATTACAGGAAGTGTAAGAGCAGTCTCTACACCATGTGACTGGGTGTTCTAAGAGAACTCTGCACACTTCCCCATGCAAAGAGAGACTGGGGGGTTGCCTCCAAGCCTGGGCCACTGCCCCAAAGTCTGAGCCTCAGACTACTTCAAAAGAAACACAGTCAAGAGATCAAATATCTGACTGCATCCCCACCAGACCCACGTGCCTTTTCATTCTTGACAAAACATACCAAGATCTCTGGGATAAGCATAAATTCCTATAAACGCCTTCCTCAAATATAAGTTGACTCCACTTTCCTAAAAAATATGAGGAAATCAGGCCAGACGCGGTGGCTCACGCCTGTAATCCCAGCACTTTGGGAGGCTGAGGCAGGCGGATCACAAGGTCAGGAGATCAAGACCATCCTGGCTAACACGGTGAAACCCCGTCTCTACTAAAAACACAAAAAAATAAAAATTAGCCGGGCGTGGTGGCGGGCACCTGTAGTCCCAGCTATTCGGGAGGCTGAGGCAGGAGAATGAGGAGAATGGCATGAACCCGGGAGGCGGAGCTTGCAGTGAACCCACATTAGGCCACTGCACTCCAGCCTGGGCAACACAGCAAGACTCCATCTCAAAAAAAAAAAATTAAAAAAGAATATGAGGAAATCAGATTTCACTGAATTCTGTTGGACAGACAGGCCCAGAACAGGCAGAGGAAGCTGAGCACTTTTTGGAAATCACATAGTTTATGCTATCTTTATTATTTACTTTAAATCTGGTATTCTGAGTCTCTTTTACCAACAGAAATAGACCCTATCCATTCTGAAATCCAACTGTCTGTTTCTTCTCCTATCTGTTCTAACCCTCTTTGGTTATTCTACAACCAGAGAATAGAGATCTAAATATCTCTGGGAGACATCTCTACCATACATCCTCCCATTCTAGCTCTTTAAACTTTTAATTTAATCTAGGAGGAGGATTCTGGTGTGAGCGTTCCCAGAGATCATGCTTCTCCCAAGACAGGCTCACAATGATCTGAAATCCTTCTGGAGGAGACTCTCCTTTTCTCCAAAATGCTCCTGTAATAATAATTGCTATCACTTATTGAGCACTTACTGGGCCAGACACACTGCTAAGGACTTAAGCACATTATCTCATGGAACCTCCAGAGCTCATATACTCTTAATCACACAAGTATACTATCTCTCCATCTCCCCATCCCCCTGGCCTGCCTTAGTCTCTAGGCCTTCCTTTTATTTTTTTTTTTTTTTATTTATTTTCTTTTTTTGAGACAGAGTCTCACTCTGTCCCCCAGGCTGGAGTGCAGTGGCACGATCTTGACTCACTGCAACCTCCACCACCTCCTGGTTCAAGCAATTCTCATGCATCAGCCTCCTGAGTAACTAGGATTACACCTGGCTAATTTTTGTGTTTTTATTTCGGTATTTTTATTTTATTTTATTTTATTTTATTTTATTTATTTTGAGACAGACACTTACTCTGTCGCCCAGGCTGGAGTGCAGTGGTGCAATCTCGGCTCACTGCAACCTCCACCTACTGGGTTCAAGCAATTCTCCTGCCTCAGCCTCCCGAGTAGCTGGGATTACAGGTGCACACCACCACGCCCAGCTAATCTTTTTTGTTTTTAGTAGAGTCGGGGTTTCACCACATTGACCAGGATGGTCTTAAACTCCTAAACTCAGGCAATCCGCCCACCTCGGCCTCCCAAAGTGCTAGGATTACAGGCATGAGCCATTGTGCCCAGCCTAATTTTTGTATTTCTAGTAGAGACGAGGTTTTGCCATGTTGGCCAGGCCGGTCTTGAACTCCTGGCCTCAACTGATCCACCTGCTTCTGCCTCCCAAAGTGATGGGATTACAGGCGTGAGCCACCGATGCCACCTTAGACCTTGCTTTTGGACAGGAATTATCTACATGAATTACCTGGGGGAAGATGTAAGCAGACTAGATTAAAAAGAAAGAAAGCCTCTGTCATCCTTCAGTCTATAGCCTAGACGAAAGGCTCCAACAAAGTTTGTTAATCTCCTTCCTGGCTGCCCCTCCCCTTTCTCATTCTTTGCAGGGATAAGAGGTGATTACAAGTCCTCTTGGCAGTGCTGCTATTGCTAGGGTGCCCACTTCTAAAGCAAACAAAAAAAAAAACACAAACACATCATCACGCCTGCCCTTTTAAGACCAAATTCACTGGCACCAAGGGGTGGGCATGTGTCCTAATATGACGTAAAAGAAAGGAAGGAAGGAGGGACAAAGGAAGGGAAAACTGTGAGGGGGAATGGAGAGAGAAGTGTACAGGGTTTCATTCCTGACTGGTAGCATCTGAAAAGTGAAGTCCTATCCGTGGAATTTTGAGACAGAAATCTGCTGGGGGTAAAACCCACACTCCAGCAAACAGCACGCCCTAGTGGTAGCACCAGGAAGTGCTAGTGGACTCTAACCTACTTCAGTCTGCCCGTGCGCACTAGGCAAGGGAGGCTGCCATGCATTGAGAACATGAAGACCCCCTCTTTTCTCAACCACTACCTAGCACCCTGGACAAGAAGGCACCATCTTTGGCAGCTCACATTTCTCCCTGAGACCCTGGGTCTTAGGGTAATGCTTCCACCATTCAGGCAGCCCCACCATTCAGGCAGCCTGGGACCAGCAACACCCCTAGGCTCTCCCAAAGGGGCTCTTCTACCCCAGGTTTTTGGTTTTTTTTTTTTTTTGGTTTTTGGGTTTTTTTTACCCGAGATGGAGTTTTGCTTTGTCCCCCAGGCTGGAGTGCAGTGGCACAATCTCTGCTCACTGCAACCTCTGCCTCCCGGGTTCTCCTGCCTCAGCCTCCCAAGTAGCTGGGATTACAGGTGCCCGCCACCGCGCCCAGCTAATTTTTGTATTTTTAGTAGAGATGGGGTTTCACCATGTTGTCCAGGCTGGTCTCGAACTCCTGACCTCGTGATCCTCCCACCTCAGCCTCCCAAAGTGCTGGGATTAAAGGTGTGAGCCACCGTGCCTGACCCACCCCAGGTTTTACATGAGAAACCCCATAAGATAACAGCAGCCCTTGTTGCCTTTCCCTGTCTGAGATGCATTCATCTCTGAACACCCAGTGAAGATTACAGGACAACACACTCATCCTACAGCTTGTGGAAGAAATTTGATTCAGAAACTGGCAGCAGGGCCTCCAGTATGCAGTGCTGGGCAGGACAGCCAATGGAGCCCCTCACCCTAACCTCACCCTCGAATGACAACACCAAAACACAATTTCTCCAGGAACTAGTACATAATTCGGGGTCTTGGCTCCTCAGCCAAGCTCAGGGAACTACTATAAGAACACACTTTCTCTCCCAGAGACCCCATGTCCTGCCTTCCTGGCTCCAATCAGTCTGTGCTGCCTCCCCTAACAACAGAAACAGAAAACAGATACACTCTGGTATGACTAGATTTCCCCATCACTCCAAGCTAGAAGCTCAGCTCCTCCCTCCCCAGTTCTCTGTTTGTTTTTCTATATTCCACTGTGGCTAAGACAGTCTCTTTAAAAAAAAAAAAAAAAAGTGAAACAAAAAAGAAATTGTTTACTCCTGTGGCCAGGGCTTCCATTAAGGAAGGGCTGAAGTCTCTGGGCAGAAGGTTCAGCCCAGGGAGGGACAGGGCTGGGATCAAGAAACAGGAGGCTCTTGGGTCTCCATTCAGCCAATTTTTAGGACTCCATCCTCCTCCTGCACTTCCCCTCTCGCCCATTGTCCCTCCTCTCCCACCTCTTACCTGTCCAGTGACCTTTGGGCAGGTGCGGGGAGGAGGGGCTACCAGCTGAGTCAGGGGAGAGGGGAAGGTGCTAGTTAGGAGAACCAAGCGTATCGCTCATGCTGCAACAGCTGTTGACTCTGAGGAGCAGAAAAAGCAGAGGGTAACGGGGACTGAAATGGAAAACAGGAAAACACATGTGTGACTCTGGCCGGCAGCGGGGAGGGGCCAGGGGACGGGCTGGAGCTGGGACTGCCTGGTCAGACCCAGAGGACCTCAGTGCCTGCCCGCCTCCAGGCACCTTCTCTACTACACTGGCACCAAATACCTGAGTCTCAGCTCCTTCTCCTCCCTACCTCAGCCTCACCCCCCCCTTCCTTGTTGCCCTACATTTACTGAGCACTTAAGCTTTCCCCTCCATTGACAGTGACCTCTGATGCCTCTTGCAACTCCACTCATCCCATTTCCTACTCATCTCCCACTCATGTACTATCCTTAGTTCTGCAGAGGGGATACGATCCCATGGTTAGGGGAAGGAAACTCTGCAGTCCCATCTCAAGAGTGTCAGTGCCATTTCAGCCCCTAAAGCAAGCCAAGGGGAGGTAATGCAAGCCAAGGAAGACCACTTATAGGGGGACAGCCAAGCACACATTTAAACACCAAGCAAGCTCACTCACAGCTGAGATCTCTAATTGGTTCAGGTGATATCGATATATGTCGCCAGGTAAGAGCCAACTGGGCCATGGCACCCTGGGCAGACTAATGAGTTGGCATCCCTTCGAACCAGTTTTATTTAAACATCCGTCGAACGTTTACTTAGCAGAGGTGGGGGAAATATCAATTTTCCTGGAATACAAATTGTGTAAGCCTCTTTATATTTAAAATTAGAAATTATTACACATCAGCCGGGCACGGTGGCTCACGCCTGTAATCCCAGCACTTTGGGAGGCCGAGTCGGGCAGATCACAAGGTCAGGAGTTCGAGACCAGTCTGGCCAACATAGTGAAACCCCGTCTCTACTAAATTTACAAAAATTAGCAGGCGTGGTGGCGGGCGCCTGTAATCCCAGCTACTTGGGAGGCTGAGGCAGGAGAATCGCTTGAACCCGGGAGGCGGAGGTTGCAGTGAGCACTCCAGTCCAAAAAAAAAAAAGAAAAAAATTATTACATATCTTCATCACATGCAATCTTCTGAAGCAAACAACTTCTTGGTAAGCATAGTAAACCACTTAAAATGTGGATAATAGTATAAATCTCTTGCCCTCAGGGAGCAGCATTCACAATGCATCAGGAATTTTTGGAATTACAACTGTGACTAACGCCTTTAAGCAACTGTCAGCTGGCTGGCCCCAGGGCTACATCCTGCAATTTGCACCTGTCTGTTGGAAAATTACTCCAGACACAAGCAGTCCAGGTAAGGAGTTGTCAATAAGTCTATGTCACTGGATGAAAGCCAACTCATATTTCACCAAGACACAGAAATCATAGTACACTGGCACCAAATACCTGAATTATTCCAAAGATATTTTAGTGTCCTTTAGACACTCTCAGCCTGCTACCCAACTTGCCGGCCCCTTAATTGCACTCTGGAGTCGGGTCCAAGTCGTAAGGGAGGTCCTAGAAAGAGAGAAGCTGTCCTTGTCTGCATGGGCCTCCCTGCTGTCTTCCCCACTCCACTCCAGCTTCACTGGCTTCCCTGCGGTGGCCGCACAGCAAGCATGCTCCCGCCTCACAGCTTTTGCAACTCCTGTTCTCCCTGCCTGGAACATGCTTCCCAGTGATATTGTCCATTCCCGGTGTCATTTGTTTGCTGTCAGCACTCCCACTAGAATGTAAGCGTCACAAGAGCTTTGTTCACTACTGTATCCCCGCAGTGCAGGGCTCACATAGACAGTTAATAAATGTTTGCTGGGTTAATAAATGAATGAATGAACTATGTTATCTATTTGATTTCCCAGGTGGCTAGGCTCCTGCGCATGTCCTTGAATTTGCTCTCCAGGCCCTCCTGTTTGGCTGCCGCTCTGGCTCCTAAGCAAGGAGTACCCGGAGGTACTCTTTTTGACAGTAATGCGTTAAAGGCAAAGAAGAAAGTATGGCTTTCACAGTTTTACTGGGAGGCCTAGAATGATTTGAAACGGACTTTTGTTTCATTAATGGGAAAAGCAAAGCAAAACAAAAAGCCTATCATCTAACACTCTTTCCCTGGATCCAGGAAATTCTTGTCTGCTCTACCTCACACCCAAGCTCAGGTGACCGGTCTGGGTGCGGCGTGGAGATGGCGAGAGCTAAGTGCTATGGCCGCGAAAGGGTGAAGGGCAGGGGAGGAAAAGGCCGAGGGGAGGCGAACGCTCAGGTTCACACATATGCAAGTGGGCTCTACAGCGGACTTCGAAGCATACACTCAACTCCCCACCATGCGCCGGCCCGCTGCTCTACCCCTGAAAAGCTCTCCCCTGGCCCGCGATCCTTGCTGGCCTACCCCTTGGTCGTTCCCATCCCCCTCTCCGCCCCCGCCCAACCTGCTGGCCTCACTCACCTTTGTCCCTTTCTCCCATCCCCACCCCCCCACCACCCTCGCTTTCTCCGGGCCCCTCCCTGTCGTTTGTCTCCCTTTTATTTCCCTCCTTCCTTTGGGCCCCCAGTCTGCGGCCCTAGGACAACGCCTTCCCAAGCTCGGACCCAGCCACCGTCCGCCTTCATTACCCCTCTGAAGAACAGGGTGGCCCCGAGGCCCAGGTCTGGCTGTGGGGGACCAGGACCTCACCCCAACAGGCGTCCCTTGCGTTCCCTCCACCTGGCCAAGCAGCCCCCGCCCTTCCCCCGACTCTAGGAAGCGCTAGAAGAGGGAGTTGTGGTGGGTGTAGGCGAAGGGCGCGCAAAGGTCCAAGCACCGAGACCTCGCAAACCGCTCCCTGTCCGCTCCTCGCTCCCGCACAGCTGGATTACTGCGGGGAAATGAAAATGACCGCGGATACCCTTAGAGACTGGTCCTCCACCCCATGAACGCTCAGCTTCCTCTTCCCTCCCTCCCAACCCTGCATAAGCTGGCGGCCAGACAGGAGTCTGGGCGAGCGCCCCAACCCCTGACCACAACTGCCTCCGGCCCCGAGATGCTTGGCTGAATCTCGGTAGTGCCCCCAGACGGGAAGCCCCTTGTTGGGGGGGCGGGGGCGGGAGGCGGGGCGAGGAATGTGCCTCCTCGGAGCCGGAGGAGGGGTCTCCCGAAGGCCGTCTCTTCCACCCCGGGTTCCCGACTCCCCGCCCCCTCGGGGTAGCTGTTGCATCAGCTTCCAGATTCCAAACCAAAGAAAGTGGGCTCCACTAAGCTGGGAAGGCGTCGGGCAGCAAAGCCGCCGCCAGGAGGCAGCGCTTAATCAAAAATGTCCGGGCCGAGGGGGCCCAGGATACCGGAGTCCCCGGAGCGTCTTTCATCTGAAGTCTTAGCAGCAGCGCGGACCTAACAAAAAAGGGAGTTGCTGAATTAGTTCAAGAAAAGGCAACTGGAAATGCTTCATCACGTTTTAAGGCTAAAAGATGGCTTGTAAATAATATAACTACCTTTTATATACCTTTTGGATAATCTAGCTTTGGGGTTTTTTAAGCCAACGTTGGCGCTCTGCGGAGATCCACAGAGAGCCACCGCCTTCAAGAGCAGTCTGATAGAAACACACAGAGCTTACGGAATTTCCCAGCCGCCAGGCAAGGAGGAATGTAGTCCGAAGTCATGATTTGCCCATCTTGAAGCTCAATCATTTAACACCTAATTTAGCCAGTACTGATATAGCAGAGATTTGACAGCTCTGGGAAAAGAAGCAGAATATGTCGCAATAAATTATGTAAATAGTAAGGAAATAATATGCAAAGTAGTGTATTGAGTAATTTGTAGCCACAGTTCTCACATTTCTTGCATGAGGTGACAGTGATTTGTTCTTTGTACTGTCCTAAAAAGGGAGATAATGAAAGAATTCCCAAACAGTTCACTCTTCTCTCCACAACTTCTTCAATCTTAGAATGTTCTCACAGGCATGCAAAAAGGAAAAGAGATTGCAAAATGAAGTAGAATTGCCTACCCAGAGTCAGCTTCCTTCGTCTTATGTTCCTTCTCCAATGTCATTATCAATCACAACAATTACAAGGCACCTAATTTCCCAGAGCAAAGCACTTGTACAAAAGTAACTGTAGGGGCCGGGCGCGGCGGCTCACGCCTGTAATCCCAGCACTTCGGGACGCCAAGGCGGGCGGATCATGAGGTCAGGAGATCAAGACCATCCTGGCTAACACGGTGAAACCCAGTCTCTACTAAAAATACAAAAAAAAATTAGCCGGGCGTGGTGGCAGGCGCCTGTAGTCCCAGCTACTCGGGAGGCTGAGGGAGGAGAATGGCGTAAACCCGGGAGGCGGAGCTTGCAGTGAGCCGAGATCGCACCACCGCACTCCAGCCTGGGTGACAGAGCGAGACTCTGTCTCAAAAAAAAAAAAAAAGTAACTGTATAAATACAAACTTACAGAACAGAAGGAGGCTATTTGGATAAACATATTAGACAAAACATGAGCTCACTACACCCTTGACCTTCTGGGCTAAAGCAATCCTCCAGCTTCAGCCTCCCAAGTAACTGGGACTTGGTGGTGGGTGCCTACAGGTGGGTACCCAGCTTTTTTTTTTTTTTTTAGATGCAGTCTCGCTCTGTCGCCCGGCTGGAGTGCAATGGCACCATCCCGGCTCACTGCAACCTCCGACGCCCTGGTTCAAGGGATTCTCCTGCCTCAGCGTCCCCAGTAGCTGGGATTACAGGCACGCGCCACCAAGCCCAGCTAATTTTCGTATTTTTAGTAGAGACGCGGTTTCACCATACTGGCCAGGATGGTCTCAATCTCCTGACCTCGTGATCCGCCCGCCTTGGCCTCCCAAAGTGTGGAGATTACAGGCGTGAGCCACTGCGCCCGGTTTTTGTTGTTGTTGTTGTTTGTTTTGTTTTGTTTTTGGGGGGGGGTTTTGGTTTTTTTTTTTTTTTAAGAAACAGAGTCTTGGCTGTCTCTAAAAACTACAAAAATTAGCTGGGCATGGTGGCATGTGCCTGTAATCCCAGCTACTCGGGAGGCTGAGGCATGAGAATCGTTTGAACCCAGGAAGCGGGGGTTGCAGTGAGCCGCGATCACGCAGCTGCACTCTAGCCTGGGCGATGGAGTGAGACTCTGTCTCAAAAGAAAAAAAAGAGAGAGAGACAAAGTCTTGCTGTGCTGCCTAGGCTGGGATAACAAAATGTTAAAGCCAAATACAGGGCATGATGCCCTTGAAAAGCAAAGCAGTTTAAGAGAGGAAACACAGGAAGCACAGATGCCTGATGCTTCACATTATTCTTAACTCCAGTCTTTGCCAGTTGAAGTCCAGAGGTTAAAAGACATTCAGTTTAGGATGACGAAGCTGCTTTCCTGTGGCTTCTGAGGCAGATGAAGTCATAGAGGAGTGCTGTCCAGGTGCCAGACCCCTCCCTCCAACAGAGTTCCATGAGGTCCCTGAGAATGCTGATGATGTTAGTTGTCAGCGCTCTGGGGTTCTGTCTGTCTCTCTCTCTCTCTCTATCTATCTATCTCTGTGTCCAGGTAGGCTGAGATGAGAGGTAGCTGTTTGGGTGAGGAGCCCTTTTCTGGTATTTACAACCCATGGATTGTCCCCCTGCTGTATCACACTAACCACATCAAAGGTTAAATTTAGGGAGGCCCAGACAGGAAGATTGCTTGAGCCTAGGAATTCAAGACCAGCCTAGGAAACATAGCAAGACCCCATCTCTACAAAAAAAAAAAAAAAAAAAAAAAAAAAATATATATATATATATATATGGGCTGAACTTGTCTTCCTTCTTCTTCTTCTTTTTTTTTTTTTTTTTTTTTTTGAGACGGAGCCTCGCTCTGTGGCCCAGGATGGAGTGCAGTGGCACAATCTTGGCTCACTGCAACCTCTGCCTCCTGGGTTCAAGTGATTCTCCTGCCTCAGCCTCCCGAGTAGCTGGGACTACAGGTGTCCACCACCGCACCTGACTAGTTTTTGTATTTTTAGTAGAGATGAGGTTTCACCATTTTGGCCAGGCTGGTCTTGAACTCCTGACCTTATGATCCACCTTCCTCGGCCTCCCAAAGTGCTGGGATTACAGGCGTGAGCCATGGCGCTTCTAAAGACGCTTCTCTTCCCAGATTTCCTAGTTCCAATGACAATTCCCATCCTGCTCCCAAAGTCCTCCGGCTCTGGCTCCTTGACTCCCACATCTGTTAAATAATTGTACTTGTCCACTTTTGCATGCCGTGTTCATATTATACACATTATTTGTTCACCTAAATGCATATGCCCCACTCCACCCCAGATGTTTTTTTTTGTTTGTTTGTGACAGTATCTTGCTCTGTCACCTAGGCTAGAGGACAGTGGTGTGATTACAACTCACTGCAGCCTTGACCTCCCCAGGCTCAGGTGATCCTCCCACCTCAGCCTCCCACATAGCTGGGACTACAGGCACACGCCACCATACCTGGCTAATTTTTTGTTTTGCTTTTTGTTTTTTGTTTTTCCGAGATGGAGTTTCACTCTTGTTGTCCAGGCTGGAGTGCAATAGCGCGATCTCGGCTTATTACAACCTCCACCTCCCACGTTCAAGTGATTCTCCTGCCTCAGCCTCCCAAGTAGCTGGGATTACCGGCACATGGCCACCACATCCAGCTAATTTTTGTATTTTTAGTAGACACAGGGTTTCGCCATGTTGGCCAGGCTGGTCTCGAATCCTGACCTAGGTTATCCACCTGCCTCAGCCTCCCAAAGTGCTGGGATTACAGGCATGAGCCACACCGCCCAGCCAATTTTTTGTATTTTTTGTAGAGACAGGGTCTCACCATACTGTCCAGGATGACCTCAAACTCCTAGGCTCAAGCAATCCTCTCACCTCACTGACCTCAACATCCCAAGTAGCTAGGACCACAGGTGCATGCCACTATGCCTGGCAAAACACACACACACACAAAAATTAAATTTTAGTAGAGGCAAGGTCTGACTGTTGCCCAGGCTAGTCTCAAACTCCTGGGCTCAAGTGATCCTCCAACCTCAGCCTCCCAAAGTGCTGGGATTACAGGCCATGAGCCACAGTACCTGGCCAGTTTCTCATCTTTTCTGTGTGTGTGTGTGTGTGTGTGTGTGTGTGTGTGAGTTTCACTCTTGTGTGCAATGGCGCGATCTCGGCTCACCACAACCTTTGCCTCCGGGGTTCAAGTGATTGTCCTGCCTCAGCCTCCCGAGTAGCTGGGATTACAGACATGCACCACCACACCCAGCTAATTTTGAATTTTTAGTTTGGGGTTTAGACGGGGTTTGACGATGTTGGCCAGGCGGGTTTCAAACTCCTGACCTCATGATCCACCCGCCTCGGCCTCCCAAAGTGCTGGGATTACAAGCGTGAGCCACCGCGCCCAGCCTAATGAGGGCCTTTTAAATACAAACATGCACACATGTATCCACAGACACACGCATCTTGGATATTAGCCTTTTAATTAAGCTGACTTTTAACTATTGAGCTCCTTAACAAAAGAAAAAAATATATTTTTAAATCTCATTACCATATTTCAGCTATGACAAAATGCTACTAAACTAACGATGATCACACTAATTATACAGTTTCTGAGTGCTCTAAGTGTAAGCAGAAATTAACACCTGCTGGCTGTTAAATGCTAACTTTAGTCGTTTAAAAGGAATTTGCAAGACAAAATCCCAAACCAGTTTCTTACCTAGTGATGGGTCTCAGGCTGTAGACTGTTCTCTACCAGCCTAGAAGCAGGAAAAAAAAAAAACTCATCTTCCCTATTGGAAGTGAGTTCAAACTCATGGAAGCAGGAAAATGTAGGAAGCAAGTAAAACTCCAAAAAAAAAAAAAAAAACAGTTGTACAAAATAAACTTTAGATCTCGACCAAATTTTGGAAGATCAGGGATTCTCTGGAGGGGATGCTCTCAGACCTCAGCAAATTGTCCTACTTGTTTGAGCCATAAAGTTAGCTCATGCTGGTACCAAGCACCGATAGGAGATTTCTTTTATTTTTTTGAGACGGAGTCTCGCTCTGTTGCCCAGGCTGGAGGGCAGTGGCACGATCTTGGCTCACTGCAATCTCCGCCTCCTAGGTTCAAGTTATTCTCCAGCCACCCGAGTAGTTGGGATTACAAGTGCATGCCACCACGACCGGCTAATTTTGTATTTTTAGTAGAGATGGGGTTTCACCATGTTGGCCAGGCTGGTCTCAAACTCCTGACCTCAAGTGATCCACCCGCCTTGTCCTCCCAAAGTGCTGTGATTACAGGCATGAGCCACCACGCCCAGCCAATAGGAGATTTTTTTTTTAAGGTCAAGGGCATCTCCACTCAGAATTCCTCTGTGCTTACCAAAATGTGAAACCCCAAAATTTGAGACAGGTCTCAGTTAATTTAAAAAGTTTATTTTGCCAAGGTTGGGGATGTGCCTGTGACACAGTCTCAGGAAGTCCTGAAGACATGTGCCCAAGGTGGTCCGGGCGTAGCTTGGTTTTATACATTTTAGGGAGACATGAAAATGTAAGAAGTCACATTAGTTCTGTCCAGAAAGGCAGAGACAGCTCAAAGCAAGGCCCCCTCACTGGGGGCCCCCAGGTCACATGTAGGTGAGAGACAGATGGTTGCATTATTTTGAGTTTCTGACAAGTCTTTCCAGAAGAGGTAGTCAGAATATGCATCTGTCTCTGTGAGTAGACAGATGACTTTGGATAGAATTGGAGGCAGATTTGCCCTGAGTGGTTCCCAGGTTCTCAGCTTGAAGAGGACCAAGATATTTTCCCTTCACACCTGGCAGACAGTTAATGGGCTCTTTTGTAGGAGTTTCAGGATTTATAAAGCACTTTCACTCACATTATCACTTTTAGATCGTTTTCACAAATGTAACATATTAAGCATTTTTAAAATTAAAAAATGAAGGATAAATGACTTCTCCAAGACAGTACTGAATAGCAAGTGATAAAAGGAGGGGAGTCGCCAATCAGGGTTTGCCACTTTCTAGTACCTACCTCACAGGGTTGTTGCAAGGATAATATTAAGCAATGTGCGGTGGTAGCACTTATAAAAATGGAATGTCACATCTTAGCTCCAATACAATACCCCTTTCTCAGGAAAGTCATCTTTGATGGTCTACTGTAGATCAAGTTCACACTATAAACTCACAAACAACATGTATTTCCTTTCCCAGCACTCAATGACAATATTCATGTATGTCATCATTTGATTGTCTGTTTTTTTTTTTTTAGTTGGAGTTTCACTCTTCTTGCCCAGACTGGAGTACAATGGCGCAATCTTGGATCACCACAACCTCTGCCTCCCGGGTTCAAGCAATTCTCCTGCCTCAGCCTCCCGAGTAGCTGGGATTACAGGCATGTGCCACCATGCCTGGCTAATTTTGTATTTTTAGTAGAGACAGGGTTTCTCCATGTTGGTCAGGCTGGTCTCGAACTCCCAACCTCAGGTGATCCGCCAGCCTCAGCCTCCCAAAGTGCTGGGATTACAAGTGTGAGCCACTGCACCTGGCCTGTCTTGTTTCTTTTATACCGAGAGCTCTATCAGGATATTGATGTCTGGTTTTGTTCTCCATAAAATCTACGCCTAATACAGCACTTATCACACAGAATTTTTTTTGAGACAAGGTCTCGCTCTGTTACCCAGACTGGAGTGCAGTGGCATGATCTCTGCTTACTGCAGCCTTCGGCCTCCCAGGCTCAAGCCATCCTCCCACCTCAGCCTCCCAAGTAGCTGGGACCACAGGCATGCGCCACCACACCCAGCTAATTTTTCATTTTTTTGTAGAGAGGGAGTTTCGCCATGTTGCCCAGGCTGGCCCAATTTCCGATTAACTCTAGATTTGATTACTTTTCTTAGTCTAGGAAAACTGTGTTACAGTGATGCGAGGATCTGTAGAATGACGTGGATGTTACCCCTGAGATCAAAGTTACTATTAATATCAATTTCAATGAACTAGAGACCGCTGTAGGGAGGTTGTGGGAACTGTTCAGAACGGCTTAATCTGGGAGGACACGACTTCCACTGAGAATGCATGCGCTGAACGACAATTCGTTTTCACCTCAAAAACCTGTACTGCAGTTTTGTCTCTCCTTCCGTACGATGACCCAAGATGGCGGAGCCGTGATTGAAAACCCAGATTCAAGATGGCGACTTCCTGCTTCCCCGATAGCGTCGCGCGTGGCCACCGAGGCCACGCCTACTTCCGGCTACCCCGGCTACTCCTGCTCAGCATGGCTGCTTTAGGGACTGTTCTCTTCAGTGAGTGGGTATAGATAGGGACCGTGGACTCGGGGGCCCTTTGGGGACGGGCACAGGACCCCTGATCCGGCTGCGCGGCCTCTCCCCCAACTCTGCTCTGTTCTCCCAGCAGGTGTCCGGAGGCTGCACTGCAGCGTAGCCGCTTGGGCGGGCGGCCAGTGGCGACTACAGTGAGTCCTGGGATGAGGGCACCTGGGGGACCAGAAGCTGGGCTAGGTCCTCACAGATCTGTTTTTCTCCACACAGGCAGGGACTGGCTGCCAACCCCTCCGGCTACGGGCCCCTTACCGAGCTCCCAGACTGGTCATATGCGGGTAAGCGCTGATCTGGCAGTTAACTCCACTGGGGAGATTTTCACCTAGAGGGAACGCCCCTGGACGGGGAGCTGGGGGTATCAAGGTGGGGGCGTGTAAAAGTGTTTAACTTTTTATTTGGAAAACGGAATTTGGGGAAAGAAACCCTCTTGTTTATTTTGTAGATTGCATTTCGACTAAGGAAGGTAAAGCTAAACAGGATCTTGGCTTGTGGAGATAAGCAGAAGATAATTCTGACTTGGGGCCGCCAGGGTGGAAGGGGGTGACAAGACTTCTGCGTTTTTCAAAGGGGGACATTTTTTTTTAACCAAGAACCACTTTTCTCTGTGGTTAGTGAATTTTCAGTATTTGGTACCAAATGCAGGGAGAGCTCTTTGAAAAGCTGCAGAAATAAGCGTCTCAGAGGGGTAGAAGGATGAAGACTATGGATGGCAGGCTCCCTTCAGAAAATTCTTTTACCTTTACTTACAAAAGAGAGAGGGAGGGAGAATAAATATTAGCCCTAGAAGGGAGAACCTTAGAGAAGTTGAAGCTACTCCCCATTCTCCTTATGAGACTCCAGTGTACAAGTAGGAAATTTGAGGCCTACAGAAGTGAATTGCACATGATCATACAGCTAGGTAGTAGCAAATCCAGGACTAGAACATAGGCCAGTCCTCCTTGACAACACAGAGATCTGAATATTTAATACCCTATTGTTGCTCTCTAGGGGTATGATCCTGCTTAATTGGATAATTGGTGACTGAGGAAGATGGTGAAGATTTTTTCTACTTGTTATTTACTGTAAGAAGCCTGGCATCTCCTTGTAGTAGTATGGACTATTGGAAAGACTCTGGAATTACATATGACTGCTTTTTTTTTTTTTTTTTTTTTTTTGAGATGGGGTCTTGCCCTGTCACCCAGGCTGAAGTGCAGTGGCATGATCATCGCTCACTGCAGCCTTGATCTCCTGGGCTCAAGCAGTCCTCCCACCTCAGCCCCCCAAGTAGGTGGGACCACAGGCACACACCACCATTCCTGGCTAATTTTTTTTTTTAACTTTTAGTAGAGACAGGCTCTTGCTATGTTGCCCAAGCTGGTCTTGTACTCCTTAGCTCAAGTGATCCACTTCAGCCTCCCAAAGTGCTGGGATTACAGGCATGAGCCACCACGCCCAGCCTATGGACCTTATTCTTAATCCAGGCTTCCCTTCTCGCTAAGTTTGTGGTCTTGGACAAATTACTTAATTTTATCTTAGTCTCAGTTTCCATATCTGTAAAAGAATACCTATCTCATGTGGTTCTTTTAAGGATAAAATGAAACAACCAATGTAAAGCATGTGGCATACACAATATTGGTTCCCCTTCCTGGTAAATAACACCTCTTCTCTGTCTTGCCTTCAAACTTTTGGGCAGAGTTTTCACTCTGTTTCTTTCTTTGCGGAAAGTAAACTACTTGGGTTAGATACTGCATCTTTTCAGCAAGTCAGCAGGTATTTATGGATTTTTATTAACATGCTTATGTGTCTACACTATACTGTGAATAGCAAAAGCTAGCAACACAGTCCCTGACCCAAAGAACTTAAAGTCTAACTGGGACAAAGCATGGACTTTTTAAAAATTAAGTAATAGTATTCAGGGCCATGCATCTACAGTTCCAGATACTCGGGAGGCTGAGGCAGGAGAATCGCTTAAGCCCAGGAGGCAGAGGTTGTAATAATCTGAGATCATGCCATTGCACTCCAGCCTGGGCGACGGAGCGAGACCTTGTCTCAAAAATAATAATAAATAATATTTCAATACTCTGCGCCTTTCCAAAAGGACCTGAGGTAGCTAAATAACACTTAAAAAAATAAAACAGAAGAGTACAGTAAATGTCCCAAGGCAAATAGGTGAATATTAAATATTCAGTACTTCTTTCAGAAGAGAAGGCTGATGGACTTGAAGAGATGAGCGTTTCTGGGAAAGTTAGGGTTTGAGTGGACCTAAGGATGAAGATTTGGCTGGAAGAAAAGGAAAAGAGGGCATTTCATTGTGGAGTGGGATGGAATTTAGCAAAGGTACATAGAACAACAGTGATCACATTGCTTAAGAGTTTCTGGTTTTTTTTGTTTTTTGTTTTTTTTGAGATGGAGTCAGGCTCTGTCGCCCAGGCTGGAGTGCAGTGGTGCGATCTTGGCTCACTGCAAGCTCAGCCTCCCGGGTTCAGGCCATTCTCATGCCTCAGCCTCCCTAGTAGTTGAGACTACAGGCGCCCACCACCACGCCCGGCTAATTTTTTGTATTTTTAGTAGAGACAGGGTTTCACCGTGTTAGCCAGGATGGTCTCAATCTCCTGACCTCGTGATCCGCCTGCCTCAGCCTCCCAAAGTGCTGGGATCACAGGTGTGAGCCACCACGCCTGGCCAAGAGTTTCTGAAGACAAAACAGTAGATTCAGCATTGCAGAGGACCTCAAATACAAGGCTAGTGAGAGTTCAGTGAAATAGAGTAGTAAATTAGCCGGGTGTGGTGGTGCGCACCTGTAATCCCAGTTACTCGGGAGGCTGAGGCAGGAGAATTGCTTGAACCTGGGAGGCGGAAGTTGCGGTGAGCTGAGATCATGCCATTGCACTCCAGCCTGGGCAACAAGAGCAAAAGTCTGTCTCAAAATAAAAAATAAAAAAGGCCGAGCACGGTGGCTCATGCTTGTAATCCCAGCACTTTGGGAGGCCGAGGCAGGTGGATCACGAGGTCAAGAGATCGAGACTATCCTGGCCAACTTGGTGAAATCCCGTCTCTACTAAAAATACAAAAATTAGCCAGGGATGGTGGCACGTGTTTGTAGTCCCAGCTACTCGGGAGTCTGAGGCAGGATAATCTCTTGAACCCGGGAGGCAGAGGTTGCAGTGAGCTGAGATTGCACCACTGCACTCCTACCTGGCAACAGAGCGAGACTGTCTCAAAAAATAATAAATAAATGAAATAAAATGAAATAGAGTAGTAATATGTCTAGGAGCTTATTCTGGGTTATCGTACCTCACCCTTGAAGATGATGGACATATTTTAGGATAATTAAGCTACAATGTATATGAAATGGAAGAGAGGAGCTAGAGATTGGTTCTTCCCTTATTCCTATCACAGTATTTGCACAAGGTGATGCAGTCCATCTCTAACACTTGACTTTTCTCTCACTTCTACTTGTAGATGGCCGCCCTGCTCCCCCAATGAAAGGCCAGCTTCGAAGAAAAGCTGAAAGGGAGACGTTTGCAGTGAGTGGTTAGAGCAACAGCCAGGGCTACCTGGAAGGAGAACATTTAAATCATAATTTGTCTTGAGCTGTGTTGCACCTAAGCAAACATGTACCCCTCATACAGAGGTTTTATTAATAACAGCCAAAGGTTTTTTTTGTTTTTGTTTTTGTTTTTTGTGAGACGGAGTTTCGCTCTTGATGCCCAGGCTGGAGTGCAATGGCGCTATCTCAGCTCACTTCAACCTACTCCCGGGTTCAAGCGATTCTCCAGCCTCAGCCTCCTGAGTAGCTGGGATTACACACGTGTGCCACCACACCCAGCTAACTTTGTATTTTTAGTAGAGACAGGGTTTTTCTATGTTGGTCAGACTGGTCTTGAACTCCCCACCTCAGGTGATCCGCCTGCCTCAGCCTCCCAAAGTGCTGGGATTACAGGTGTGGGCCACCATGCCTGGCCCCAGCCAAAGGTTTTAATAGCACTGTGAGAAGGGAGGAAGAGAGTGGGGCACTCCCAGGACAGGAACCAGTAGTAGACATCCTGCTGCACATTTTGCTGTCTCCCTCTGCTTCCCAAGCCAGAACTCGCTCCCACTGGGGAGTCAGCAGCGTCATTTTCCAGATGAAACCTCTGAATTTGTAAGTGGAAGGATATATAGTATAGCGCTGAAGTCCCAGATGTTATCCACACTGTTTTCCTGTCTGTTTCAGAGACGAGTTGTACTGCTGTCACAGGAAATGGACGCTGGATTACAAGCATGGCAGCTCAGGCAGCAGAAGTTGCAGGAAGAACAAAGGAAGCAGGAAAATGCTCTTAAACCCAAAGGGGCTTCACTGAAGAGCCCACTTCCAAGTCAATAAAAAGCAACTCCTGCCTCCCTTCCTCACCCTGTCTCTGGATTTCTTTTCTATCACCTAGATGCTTCATCCAGCCAGAAGATAGCCTTCACGTTCCCCATCTGTCTTCAGAGAAAAAGAGCTGGGACACCAAGAACAAGCTGTTAGATCACTGCCTGGGAGGCTTGGCTTAGTACTCTCATCTCTGGTTCCATTCCAGTTCAGCTAAGTCTTGCTTTAAAATTTTTACCTCCTAGCTGGGTGCGGTGGCTCACGCCTGTAATCCCAGCACTTTGGGAGGCTGAGGCGGGCAGATCACAAGATCAGGAGTTCGAGACCAGCCTGGCCAACCCAGCCTGGTCAACATGGTGAAACCCTGTCCCTACTAAAGATACAAACAATTAGCCGGGCGTGGTGGGGTGCGCTTGTAATCCCAGCTACTCAGGAGGCTGAGGCAGGAGAATCGCTTAAACTCGGGAGGTAGAGGTTGCAGTGAGCCAAGGTCACACCATTGCACTCCAACCTGGGCGACAGGGCGAGACTCCGTCTCAAAAAAAAAAAAAAATTTACCTCCTTTGCAGGCCATAGGACTAGCCCAACTATGAGAAATAGCTGTTCTGTGAACGTGAAAAGGGGACAGCAGTTTTCCCAGTTTTGGCCAGGCAGTCAAGCCTTTAACAGCTCATGCACAGTTTAGGCCATGTACAGCTGGCATCTAATAAATGTTTTCATGAAAAAGATTTTCTAGCCAAGGTCCCTTTTTTGGCAAGCATCTGGTGTCAGTCTTCCTAAGATTCAGATATGTGGTCCAGGAGGTTACCCCCACTGGGAAGGCTGATGTGGGAAGAATCATACCTGGGTGTTGCGTGTTCTGCCGAGAGTGGGGTCCTGAGGTCTCCATGGTTCTGAATGCATTCCAGAGATTGGTTGAAGAGGGGCCTGTACCTCCCAACCCCAGCTTGTGTAGGAAAGCCCTACATAAGGGCTCAGCCCTCAGTCACTGTGGGGTAGGTAGCTGTTTAATAACACACACCATATACCTCCCACAAACCTGGAGGCTCCACAGGACCTGAAAAGCTTTTCATTTTATTGATCATGAATCTGAGGGCAAAAGACCTTTGTTTTCATTACAATACTGAGCACTAGACTTCTATTCTTCTGCCACAGAAGTGCATCCCTAGGATTTCTGGAGCTTCCTACCTGACCTAATTTCTGTCCACCCTCCTCTATTCCTTCCTTTGCTTTCTTCTCCCTTCCTCCTCGCACTACCTCTGTCCTCTCTCACTGGCCAAATGCAATTCTTGGATCTTAGATTTCGCTGATAGTCTAGTTTTCTGTCTCCCACACTTTTCCTGCTTCTGTTGTGCTTCTTTTCCAGACCTGTCTAGTTCCCAACTCATCTGTCTCCCTTTCTCACGGTCAGCTTTATCCTGCCCTCTCCCTTCCCTACATACCTCCACCTTTTGTTCTGAGTCCAGTAAGTCCCTAAAGGAGATTATAACTCTTTAAGAATTGCCTCCTTTTTCAGTGTAGAGGTGGAACTAAACCCCAGAGTCCCAACTCCCAATCCCTTCTTTTACAATAATTTCACCCAACTTGATTTGCTTTCCCCCAGATCCCACGGCCTTGTACCCTTTTCCTCCCAGCGAGTTCCAATTAAAGGTGCAGCCACATTACAAATGACAATAAAGGAATCACCTTTGTCTTTCTACAAAGGTTGGAGCCACAGATCCGGTATGGTTGTGGGGTTTGTTGTTGGTAGTTGGGTTATAGTTTGGATTTTTTAGCAGCAGAGGGAGGGACATAGACAGTTGTCTACAGGGCCCAGAAGATAACCCCCTATTAGTAAACTGGCCCCTTCTCCCTCTGCAGGTCTCATGGGCATGGAAGAAGACCCCACCACCATCCCACACTCTGAGCTCCTCGTTGCCCCTAGCCACATAGCCCCCAATAATTCCCACCCTGAGGTGAGACAAATGCTGAATACCAGAGGAATCAAGCCACTCAGAATATGCTTATAGGGACAAAGTCTCCCACATCCCGTCCCCTGGATCCCCCTACAGCCCCCTGCTGTCCATCGCGGCCTCAACCCCTGCAGATGGCAGCCTGCACCACAAAAAGGCAACTTAGAGGTGTTTTTTTTTTTTTTCCTTCCAGTTCTTGGTTGTAATTGGATTCAGGCTAAAACAACCACGTCCCCAACCAGGAAAGGAGGGCACTGGGGCGGGGACGGAGGAGAGGCTGTGGGAGAAGGGAGGGACCAGAGGAGAGAGCGAGAGAGGGAACCAGACCCCAGTTCGCCGACTAAGCAGAAGAAAGATCAAAAACCGGAAAAGAGGAGAAGAGCAAACAGGCACTTTGAGGAACAATCCCCTTTAACTCCAAGCCGACAGCGGTCTAGGAATTCAAGTTCAGTGCCTACCGAAGACAAAGGCGCCCCGAGGGAGTGGCGGTGCGACCCCAGGGCGTGGGCCCGGCCGCGGAGCCCACACTGCCCGGCTGACCCGGTGGTCTCGGACCATGTCTCCCGCCCCAAGACCCCCCCGTTGTCTCCTGCTCCCCCTGCTCACGCTCGGCACCGCGCTCGCCTCCCTCGGCTCGGCCCAAAGCAGCAGCTTCAGCCCCGAAGTAAGTGAGCTTCCCGGCCCTTCCCGGAGTCGCGCCCGCCGGGAGGCGAGCCCGGGGGTCTCCTAGGGGACAGCCTCTATTCGGAGAGGAGGGCTTTTGGGATCTCCGCTGCTCAGGCCTGCAGGATTCCCCCTCCCTTTCTTTTTCCTCTTCGTCTCCAAACTTCCAGATCGATCCAACTTTTGCCCGCTTCCAACCAGCTGCCCCCACCCCCTGCGCCGCCGACTCTCCTTCCCATTCCTTCTTTTTTCCCAGTCCTTGGAAGAACTTTACAACTGGGGCGAACTCCCCCTTCCCCGATTCCCTTGGGCTCTGCTCTCAGCTCTGGAACCGCCTGATAAACATTTGGACTCCGCTCAAACCCCGCGCTGTCCCGGCTCCTCGTCATGCGCGAGAGTTTGTTGTTTCTTCGACTTCCCAGCTCTCCAGCGCTCTCCCGCCGGCGCGCCCTCCGATGGGCGCTTCGGCCTCCCCGGGTGGCCCAGGCCTTCAGCGGACGAGTCTGCGGCCAGGTGGGGGTCGAGGGTGGACGGCCGAGCGTCCAGGGCCACAGCCCCCGTCTCCCCGAGAGGACCCCGCTGTGTCCCTACCCGCATCCCTGGCGTCGAGGGTCGCAGCGCCGGCGCGCTGGCCGCGTTTCCGTACACACAAAGCTCTCCTTGTGAGCCGGGCGATCGGCCGGGTCGCTGCCTCCCCCTATCCCCACCCGCGTCGGCGCCTTCAGGCCCTTTTTGTTGTTAATAGTTTTTCTGTGTTAATTGCAGGGAGCCTGGGGGCGTCGCTTGGGGAATGGGGAGAGGGTCTGGTCCGGGGTGCCCTCACGTCGGGGCTGGCTCGGGCGCCCCCCACCCTCACCCCGGCCCAGACGGTGGCCCACCGGGCCCCAGAGGAAGCTGCGTGGGAGTTGTCTGAGGAGGTTTTTCCTCTCTCTCTCTTATTTTGGGGTGAAGGTGGGAGACGGATTTAATGAGCTTCTTATTTTGGGCCATCTCAACCCACTCAGCCTGGCAAGGGCCTGGGTGCGGTTGGGAGGGGCCAGGAAGGGCCCTAGAAGGGGGATGGGATATGGGTTTGGCTTCTCCTCCTTGGTCCCACCCCGGAGAAAACTCTTTGGAAAGAATACTGTCTTCTCTCTGCGTCCCTGAAAGGGTCTGGGGCCGACTGGAAAAGTATGGCCCCAGGAATCGGGGTGGAAGACGAAACGTGGAGTGCTCAGAGACCAGGGAGAGTAAAAACCTGCCCTGGTGCTGGAGGCTGAGCCTGACTGTCCGGGAGGAGTCGTCCTCTTCCCAGGCCTAGAGTCCTCTGAGACCTGAAAGGGAGCGCCCCTAACAAAACGAGCCTGAGCATCTGGGGAGCTGCCGACCGCCAACTTCACTGCCTTACCTTTTTTCCCTCCCCTGCTTTGCTGGGTCCCCCAGGGGAGGGGCGGCTGCCCTGGCTCCGTTTTAATTGGGTCATGGGCGGTCCCAGTGCCAGAACCACCATTTGCTTCTGGGCCCAGGAAGGGAGGGAGGAGCAGCCCCAGAGGCTAGGATCCAGGGCCTACTGCAGAGCTGGAGGTCCCCCCACCCTCCCCTGGACCCCTAAGCCAAGGTGGGAGGTGTTCCGTTGACTTTCTCCTAGGGGATACCTTGCATCTCTCTCATTCGCAAAGACAAAGCCAGCCGACTGGGTTCTTTGACCCAACATAGTTGCTTTTTTCTCCAGGCCAATGTGGAGGGAAAGCTGGGGTGGTGCAGGCCTCATGCAGCTGGGTCCCTCCTACCAGGCCTCCAGAGTCCTGCACCAGCTCCAGGACAGCCCTCTCCTCCCCATGGCCTGTCTGGCGCTGGGCCCTTCCTCCCACCCAGCCGCAGACACAAGAGTCCTCTCTTCTGTGGTTTCGACCTCATAGTCTCTGTGAGGAGAGAAACTTGCCTAGGCCTGGGGGGAGGAGAGGGATGGGGGCACTTCCTTTCCAGGCCTTGCGGCTCTCTTGACTCCAGGGAAGTCCTTCATTTGACTGAGCCTTCATTTTTCTCCCGAGGGTATGGGGTGGAGGTTGTAGGTGTGAATATTTAGACCCCCCTAGCTTCTTGAACGACTCCAGAGGGGATTTCCCCCAGAGCTCCTGGATGTGGATTCTCCCCATCTCTTCTGTCCCGTCTTCCTTCTGTCGTTCTGTCTTCTCCCCATCTTCCTTCTGTCGTTCTGCTCTAGGCAAATTCTCTCAGCTTTGCTCTCTGAGGGTTGACGGGGCCTGGCCTCAGTCCTCCTGCCTTCCAGCGTCAGTAGACCAGTCCCATCCTTCCCCAAGTCCTGAAGCAGCTGCTCCTCAACCAAGGGTCATAAGCCCGGGGTGTGTTTATCCTGCAGGTATGCTAGGGGCAAAAGACATTTCCTGCATAGTTAGGCACAGGCCACAGCAGGCCTCCCCAGGCACTGGCTGTGGCATCAGCCAGAACAGGTCAGGGCAAGCCTGCAGCTCCCTGAGAGCAGCCCCGGACTGGTGTGGACTGCTTGGCTCCCTCTGGTATACCAAAGGTTAAATGTCACTCCTTCCTCTACCCCTGAGGAGGGGCTCTCAGAGCCTCAGAGCTAGGTGGTGCTAGGGTTGTTCTAGCCAAGACTGTTGGCTGGGAAAAGGCTGGGTTGTTTACATCTCGGGTTCTAGCTCGCATCAGCCTTGGGGGGGGATCACTTCCCAGAACCATGTTGCAATTCTTGCCCCTGTGGGCTCAGGTCCCCAGTCAGCTGCTCTTGAGTCACCCCCAGTCCCCATGCAAGACTACTGCCCCATCACCAGGACCTGAGCCCAGAGGTGAAGGACCATGTGGCAATCCAATCCTGATGACCTTGGCTAGGAGATACAGCACCCAACAGCAGCCTCCCCCATCTCCCCTCCAAGATCCCATCCTGGGCAACCTACAGCCGCTTCCTGAACTCCCTAAGAAAGCAAAGCTGGAGCAGGGACTAGAGCTATCTGGGTGGTGTCTTCTCCCCATAAAAGAATCCAAGCATCTTCATATTTCATATATAACTTGGCTTGTTTTACTTTTTTTTTTTTTTTTTTTTTTTTGAGACAGAGTCTCGCTCTGTCACCCAGGCTGAGTGCAGTGGCGGGATCTTGGCTAACTGCAACCTTGGCCTCCCAGGTTCAGCAATTCTCCTACCACAGCTTCCTGAGTAGCTGGGATTACAGGTGCCCACCACCACGTGCAGCTAATTTTTGTATTTTTAGTAGAGACAGGGTTTCACCCTGTTGGCTAGGCTGGTCTCGAACTCCTGACCTCAGGTGATCTGCCCGCCTTGGCCTCCCAAACTGTCGGGATTACAGGCGTCAGCCACCACGCCCAGCCTGGCTTGTTTTACTTTGAGGCTTTAAGAAAATACTCCATTGTTCTTACAATAAAGGCTGACTTTCTCCTCAACAGGGCTTTGCAGTGTGTGTACCTTTTAATCAAACACCAAAAACCTAACATTAATTTAATTTAAGGCAATATGCCAGCCTTTATATTATGACCAATTCACAACATACCTGAAATAAAATACAGTCACCAAGTCTCCTCCTCCACCCCTATGTCCCACTTCCTCTGTTGAGAATCTTTTTTTTTTTTTTGAGACGGAGTCTTGCTTTGTCTCCCAGGCTGGAGTGCAGTGGCGCAATCTCAGCTCGCTGCAAGCTCCGCCTCCTGCGTTCACACCATTCTTCTGCCTCAGCCTCCTGAGTAGCTGGGACTACAAGCGCCCGCCACCGTGCCCGGCTAATATTTTTTGTATTTTTAGTAGAGACAGGGTTTCACCGTGTTAGCCAGGATGGTCTCGATCTCCTGACCTCGTGATCAGCCTGCCTCGGCCTCCCAAAGTGCTGGGATTACAGGTGTGAGCCACCGCGCCCGGCCACTGCTGAGAATCTTAAATAGGCCTTTAGGTTCCAAGCCATAGGTCAGATGCTGCTTGGATAAGGACAGCGGCAGGATCCTGGCTTCAGCTGGATCACACCTCTTACCACATTCCAAGTTCCTAGTTTCCCCTCGTAGCAGCCAGCCTTAGCTCTAGCTCTTTTTTCTGCCCTCCTTTCTAAAAAGATCTCAGCTGTGAGGGTCCTGGGGACATGGCACTCCCATCCCAGGAGGGCCTCAGGTCAAGCCCAATAGTAGAGCTCACTCAGCCTGTCAACACCCCTCCCCACACATCATGGGCATAGCCCAGTCCCAGGTGGAACATGCTATATTTGTAAGAACACTGACATGGGGGAGAAAAGTGCTAGAAGGAATCACAGCTCTGAGAAGACATCTCAGAACCCCATTAAACCACCAGGGCTCTCTCTCATTTTCAAGAGAGCTACAGCCAAAAGCCTGTTTGGGCCCATAGCCCCGAGGGGACAAGCTATAGCCCCGAGGGGCCTGGGCCAGAGATCAGGTCTAGCCTGGGAGTTCCTCCAGACCTGCTGCCGGAGCCAAGCTGGGAACCCACTGCCCTTTCCTTGCCAAGCCAAGGCTGTATGCTGGGCATTGTCGGGGAGGTAGAGGCACCCTATGGGCCAGGTGGGGACACTCTAAGCCATACCCCTTTCCCTACAGGCCTGGCTACAGCAATATGGCTACCTGCCTCCCGGGGACCTACGTACCCACACACAGCGCTCACCCCAGTCACTCTCAGCGGCCATCGCTGCCATGCAGAAGTTTTACGGCTTGCAAGTAACAGGCAAAGCTGATGCAGACACCATGAAGTAAGTGCTAGACCCTGGCAGGAGTTCTGCCTAGCATCCACTGACAATGCCAGCGCCAGAGATGTTCCTACCTGAATGCCTGGCTTGTGCACCCCACTCCCCCATATCTCATCCCCACGTGCTGATCCTGACCCTCTCATATTCACCCTGACCTCATAACCTTGGCCTTTCCCCACATTGACACACAGCAAGTCTTACCCAACACTGATCGTGGAGACCTTTCTCTTTCATACACTGCACTGATCCCAATCCTCGCACCCAAACCCACTCCAGGGCCATGAGGCGCCCCCGATGTGGTGTTCCAGACAAGTTTGGGGCTGAGATCAAGGCCAATGTTCGAAGGAAGCGCTACGCCATCCAGGGTCTCAAATGGCAACATAATGAAATCACTTTCTGGTGAGTCCAACAGGCAAGCAACCTTTCTCACATCTGGTTATTATTTCCTACCCATTGTGCTTATGCAGGGACTCAGAGACCCCCTGCCCCACTCCCCTCAGTTCCTGGGAAGCATCCGTGGGAGTGGGGAGGAAAATGGCTCTCATCCTTGAGAGAGGTGTAGCCATCAAGGGTGCACCCCAGTGCCAGAGAGCCAGAGCCTGAGGATCCCTTGTTCTTGAGACAGAGGCGTTGCGCATGAGGTAGCAGGAAGAGCTGGGTCAGGCAGAGGTGGCTGGGCCGCGCAGTCAGACCTGGGAGAGTGCAGGGAAGGAGAATGTTGCCCCTCTTTATCCTAACACACCCCATCCTCTCCCCACGTGGCTGGACCTCAGCATCCAGAATTACACCCCCAAGGTGGGCGAGTATGCCACATACGAGGCCATTCGCAAGGCGTTCCGCGTGTGGGAGAGTGCCACACCACTGCGCTTCCGCGAGGTGCCCTATGCCTACATCCGTGAGGGCCATGAGAAGCAGGCCGACATCATGATCTTCTTTGCCGAGGGCTTCCATGGCGACAGCACGCCCTTCGATGGTGAGGGCGGCTTCCTGGCCCATGCCTACTTCCCAGGCCCCAACATTGGAGGAGACACCCACTTTGACTCTGCCGAGCCTTGGACTGTCAGGAATGAGGATCTGAATGGTGAGCCAAGTATCCCTGGGACTTACTCTGGAAAAAGCCAACAGTCATTTGTAGGGGTGGTTCCCCTCCCTCCTTCCAAAATCTCCGGGCTAGAAGGGACCACAGAGACCTTCTGATCTAACTTCTGACAAAAGCAGGAGTCCTGTTTGAGCTATTTACATCTGGTCCCCCCTCTCACCCACTGACTGGCTTTCCAGTCAAAGACTTCAAAGCATCCTTATTGCCCACTTTTCCAGACCGATGTCATGTCTCGCTCCCGGGAGAAACTGGGGACTAGAGAGAGCCTTGGCTTCCCTTACCACAGGTCTTCCCGGGATCGGGGTCCTGCTTCCAAGCACTCTCTCACCTCCACCCAGAGGAGCTTGCTGACTGGCTTTGTGCTTAAATACCAGATAAAAAGCTAGACCTCAGAATTTGGCCACTTTGGATTGAAAACATGGGCAGCAGGCTTGGAGGTGAAACCAAAGCTGCTGGTGGGGAAGCAGGGAGGCTGAGGGAAGGGACTCAGGCTGCTATCGTCACTGTCCCCATCCTTCCAGGAAATGACATCTTCCTGGTGGCTGTGCACGAGCTGGGCCATGCCCTGGGGCTCGAGCATTCCAGTGACCCCTCGGCCATCATGGCACCCTTTTACCAGTGGATGGACACGGAGAATTTTGTGCTGCCCGATGATGACCGCCGGGGCATCCAGCAACTTTATGGCGAGTAGTCTACACCCACGCCTGCTCCCTCCTCTGCTGCTTGTTCCCTCCTGGTCTACGCATTTCCCCTCTTTTATGCCTTGCAGTCTCCGCACCGCCCCCTGCCAACCTGCCCCTGCCTCTATCAGCTCCACTTTTGAGCCCATCTTTTGTGTCGCCTCCCAGTTGGTTGCTTCAGCCTCCCCTAGAAGCCCATCCACACCTTTCCAAGGGTATTGTCTGCCCATCTGTCTGTCCTTCCGTCCCCGCCTCCTCCTAAGTCTGAAATGCCCCTCGTGTTTTCTGCCCCAGGGGGTGAGTCAGGGTTCCCCACCAAGATGCCCCCTCAACCCAGGACTACCTCCCGGCCTTCTGTTCCTGATAAACCCAAAAACCCCACCTATGGGCCCAACATCTGTGACGGGAACTTTGACACCGTGGCCATGCTCCGAGGGGAGATGTTTGTCTTCAAGGTGAGAAGAAGTGGGCTGGTTTGAAAGACAAAAGGGCCCTATGGGCTGGGCATGGTGGCTCATGCCTGTAATCCTAGCACTTTGAGAGGCCAAGGCAGGTGGATCACCTGAGGTCTGGAGTTCGAGAGCAGGCTGGCCAACATAGTGAAACCCCGTCTCTACTAAAAATACAAAAAATTAGCCAAGTGTGGTGGTGGGCGCCTATGATCCCAGCTACCTGGGAGGCTGAGGCAGGAGAATCACGTGAACCTGGGAGGTGGAGGTTGCAGTGAGCCGAGATAGGGCCATTGCACTCCAGCCTGGACAACAGTGTGAGACTCCATCTCAAAAAAAAAAAAGGCGGGGGGGTACTCTGTGGTAGGGCGGCTGGGTGGAAGTGACAACAGCTGGACTAAAAACTAAAACTGAGGAACAAACAGCAGTGCGGGAGCTTTGGGGACTGAACCAGAGACCTAGGCCGCAAGACATAATGGACTTTTCCTGCATTGACCGGCTTCCAGGAGCGCTGGTTCTGGCGGGTGAGGAATAACCAAGTGATGGATGGATACCCAATGCCCATTGGCCAGTTCTGGCGGGGCCTGCCTGCGTCCATCAACACTGCCTACGAGAGGAAGGATGGCAAATTCGTCTTCTTCAAAGGTAACCAGGCACTCCACTTTAGTCTTTGGGAGTGAGGCGGGTCTCCCTAGAGGAGCTGATTTCCTCTAAAGTCCCTAGAGCCTAAGTTGAACCCAGACGTTGCCCTCCTGTCCTCCCCAGGAGACAAGCATTGGGTGTTTGATGAGGCGTCCCTGGAACCTGGCTACCCCAAGCACATTAAGGAGCTGGGCCGAGGGCTGCCTACCGACAAGATTGATGCTGCTCTCTTCTGGATGCCCAATGGAAAGACCTACTTCTTCCGTGGAAACAAGTAAGACCTCAACCCCTTAACCCCAGGCCTCCCTCAGAAACCACCACCACCCCAAATTCCCTCAGTTCTGGAGAAAGACCCACTTTACCCCCAACATGCTTCCCTGGAGAAGGAGCTGGCTGAGCCTCTGCTGTTGCCTAGAAATGGGCAGCCTCCTTTGGGCACCGTGTGAGTGGGATGTGACCGGGTCATTCCAGACCTGGTCATTTGGCGCCTCCTGCCCCCAGCACTGCGCCTCCACCCCAGCAGCCAGGCACTGTCATTAGGGCTACTGGTGGCTCCTTGCAGCCTGGGCCCTCCCTTCCACCCCCACCTTCCGCCGCTTTCAGCAGCAGGTCCTCATTACTCAAAACCCCTGTCCCCACCCTGTCCACAGCTATCCTTTGCCCACTGGTGGATTCGGTCCGGGTCTTGCGCCTCCTGAGGACATGCCCAGTGTCCGCCACTGCCCTTCCTTTCCCCTTCCCCAGGTACTACCGTTTCAACGAAGAGCTCAGGGCAGTGGATAGCGAGTACCCCAAGAACATCAAAGTCTGGGAAGGGATCCCTGAGTCTCCCAGAGGGTCATTCATGGGCAGCGATGAAGGTGAGAGGGGCAAGGGAAGGTGTCGCTGAGAGAAGGATGGGAATAGGGAGTTGAGGAAGAGCGGGAGGGAAGCCTGAGGGAGTGCTGTGTGGAAAACAACGGCGATGATAATACCACATACCAGGCGCTGGGCTAGGTGCTTCCACACGTGGTGCCCATTCATCCCCACCACCTTCCAACCTGGTACTATAAGCACCCCCATTTTACAGCTGAGGAAGCTGATGCTCACGAAGGTGGAGGGAAGCTCAGCTGCCCTCACATTAACAGAGCTTCCCTCGCTCCTCTCCTCTCCTCTCTTTGGGTCTTCCCTTCCTTACCACCTTCTGATTCACTCCCTGCAGTCTTCACTTACTTCTACAAGGGGAACAAATACTGGAAATTCAACAACCAGAAGCTGAAGGTAGAACCGGGCTACCCCAAGTCAGCCCTGAGGGACTGGATGGGCTGCCCATCGGGAGGCCGGCCGGATGAGGGGACTGAGGAGGAGACGGAGGTGATCATCATTGAGGTGGACGAGGAGGGCGGCGGGGCGGTGAGCGCGGCTGCCGTGGTGCTGCCCGTGCTGCTGCTGCTCCTGGTGCTGGCGGTGGGCCTTGCAGTCTTCTTCTTCAGACGCCATGGGACCCCCAGGCGACTGCTCTACTGCCAGCGTTCCCTGCTGGACAAGGTCTGACGCCCACCGCCGGCCCGCCCACTCCTACCACAAGGACTTTGCCTCTGAAGGCCAGTGGCAGCAGGTGGTGGTGGGTGGGCTGTTCCCATCGTCCCGAGCCCCCTCCCCGCAGCCTCCTTGCTTCTCTCTGTCCCCTGGCTGGCCTCCTTCACCCTGACCGCCTCCCTCCCTCCTGCCCCGGCATTGCATCTTCCCTAGATAGGTCCCCTGAGGGCTGAGTGGGAGGGCGGCCCTTTCCAGCCTCTGCCCCTCAGGGGAACCCTGTAGCTTTGTGTCTGTCCAGCCCCATCTGAATGTGTTGGGGGCTCTGCACTTGAAGGCAGGACCCTCAGACCTCGCTGGTAAAGGTCAAATGGGGTCATCTGCTCCTTTTCCATCCCCTGACATACCTTAACCTCTGAACTCTGACCTCAGGAGGCTCTGGGCACTCCAGCCCTGAAAGCCCCAGGTGTACCCAATTGGCAGCCTCTCACTACTCTTTCTGGCTAAAAGGAATCTAATCTTGTTGAGGGTAGAGACCCTGAGACAGTGTGAGGGGGTGGGGACTGCCAAGCCACCCTAAGACCTTGGGAGGAAAACTCAGAGAGGGTCTTCGTTGCTCAGTCAGTCAAGTTCCTCGGAGATCTGCCTCTGCCTCACCTACCCCAGGGAACTTCCAAGGAAGGAGCCTGAGCCACTGGGGACTAAGTGGGCAGAAGAAACCCTTGGCAGCCCTGTGCCTCTCGAATGTTAGCCTTGGATGGGGCTTTCACAGTTAGAAGAGCTGAAACCAGGGGTGCAGCTGTCAGGTAGGGTGGGGCCGGTGGGAGAGGCCCGGGTCAGAGCCCTGGGGGTGAGCCTGAAGGCCACAGAGAAAGAACCTTGCCCAAACTCAGGCAGCTGGGGCTGAGGCCCAAAGGCAGAACAGCCAGAGGGGGCAGGAGGGGACCAAAAAGGAAAATGAGGACGTGCAGCAGCATTGGAAGGCTGGGGCCGGGCAGGCCAGGCCAAGCCAAGCAGGGGGCCACAGGGTGGGCTGTGGAGCTCTCAGGAAGGGCCCTGAGGAAGGCACACTTGCTCCTGTTGGTCCCTGTCCTTGCTGCCCAGGCAGCGTGGAGGGGAAGGGTAGGGCAGCCAGAGAAAGGAGCAGAGAAGGCACACAAACGAGGAATGAGGGGCTTCACGAGAGGCCACAGGGCCTGGCTGGCCACGCTGTCCCGGCCTGCTCACCATCTCAGTGAGGGGCAGGAGCTGGGGCTCGCTTAGGCTGGGTCCACGCTTCCCTGGTGCCAGCACCCCTCAAGCCTGTCTCACCAGTGGCCTGCCCTCTCGCTCCCCCACCCAGCCCACCCATTGAAGTCTCCTTGGGCCACCAAAGGTGGTGGCCATGGTACCGGGGACTTGGGAGAGTGAGACCCAGTGGAGGGAGCAAGAGGAGAGGGATGTCGGGGGGGTGGGGCACGGGGTAGGGGAAATGGGGTGAACGGTGCTGGCAGTTCGGCTAGATTTCTGTCTTGTTTGTTTTTTTGTTTTGTTTAATGTATATTTTTATTATAATTATTATATATGAATTCCATTCAAATCGTTCCTTTTTGTTAACAAGGGGCATGGGGAGGGGTGGGGGTGGGGGGGCAGAGGCGTCTGACCCCAGGAACCTGCAGGGCGGGGCTGGGTCGGTGCCCTCTAAGGACAATTTTGACCTTGTTCAACCTTTCCACAAAGAATAAATTGTGTTTCACATTCCTTGTGTGGCTGAGCTCTGTAGAGGGTGACGGGCTGTGGGTGAGAGGAGCTGGATGAGGGGCGGGCACACATCATAAGCAGCGTTTTCCATGAGGTGGGGCTTTGGCATTTTTCATAAAGGAGTATGTTTATTCTTAGTGGACTAAAGGGATTCAGGGGCCAGAGTTGGGGAGCAGGGCATACCCATAGGGGGCAGCGGGGTGGCTGACAGAGCTCAGCTGCTCTCCCACCACCTGGCTTAAAAGGCTGCCTTGAGACCCAAGGCTCAGAGACAAGAGGAAGTGGTCAAGCTGATGCCACTTGGAAAATCTTCCTAAATTGCATTACCGTGTCCTGTGATCCACCCGCAGACCCTCAGTTTCCTCATGCCTCTCTGCCTGAGGCAGGGGGATTCCCATGATCATATTCGACCTTGGGCTCACTGGCTTTATCCGAGCCCTCAGGACCTAAGAAGCCTCTTCCAGGCCTGGGGCTCTGCTGCTAAGACAGAAGGAGACGAGGGAGAAAGAGAAAGAGGTGTCGCTGCGGGGCCTGCTAGGAGCAGCCCGTCTCTGGCCAAACAGAGATCTCATCCCAATTGCCCGGAAGAACCAGGATGGTCAGGTTGGAAGGGCAGAATAACAAGGCTTTGCTTCCTCTTTCCTTAGAAACTCCTGCCCCAGACAGGGTTCCCAGGCTTCCTCTGAAACCAGCCTGGAGGGAGGAATCAGTTCAGTGCTGAGTCAGCTCCGCTGGAGGAGAGCAGCCCCTTTTTCTCACCCCCCTTCCCTTCCTGCCTCCACCCAGCCCACCCTGGGCTCCAGCCCAAACTCCCTCCGCCGCCTGCCTTGCAGAGTCCTGGCCCCATCTATGCCAGTCAGTCTATCCAGCTGCTATTCAGGGCTGGTTAGTGTGATTGCTTTGGCAGAAGGGGTACTCCACCTTCCTGCCTGCCAGGAACCCTGACCCTACGCCTGGCCTCCTGCGCCTCCCCCTGCCAACAGCTGTTTGGCAGTCTGTGTGTCTCGGTGGAATTGGACACCACCTCACCACCACCCTTACCGGAGGGGATGGGGACCTTGATAAGGTGGCAGGGGAAGTCAGGGGCATCTGAGGGTGGTAGGGTCTGTGCGGGTGGCAAGGAACTCAAAGATGAGCTCATGGCCCCTTTGTGTTTTTGTGGTCCACATCTGGAGGCAATTACAGATGTTATCCAGTGGGAGTTTTGCAAAACACAGCTGGAGCCAGTGGAGGAGCCTGGGGAGGGGGGACTGCCAGAGAGAAGAGGAGGGGGAGCCTAGGGCTCCCGCGCTGGAGTGCGGTTTCCCCATCACGAGGAAATTGTTTGGCCCTGATTCTGGAATCACAAGATGCTCTCTGGAGCCAAGGGGGAGAAATGGGAATGGAGGACCAGAGACAAAGGGGAAAGAGGTGGAAGATGGGCTTATAAAACCCCCCACTGCTAAATTTGACTGGTTTAAAAAAATAAAATAAAAATTAAAACAAGCTTCACAAGCGGAGAGAATTTCAGGGTGGAGGCGGCAGGGTCCCGTGCTTCTGACGTGCCTGGGCCTGCCTGATCCACCCCAGTGAGGCTGCCCGGGGACCCTGGGAGGTGCCTTAGTGATCACAAGTTCCCGCTGAGTGAACCGCCAGGTCAGGCTGGGGTGAGGGGAGAGCAGAGGGCTCTGTGGCTTCCGAAAGACCTGCAAACTCGGCTTTCACTGGCCCTACCCCGATCTGTCCATTGGGCCTGACCCAGTTTCTATGGTTCCAAGTTCCTTTATTCGAAAGCAGCACATGTGAGTTGGAGCAGCCAGGAGGGAGCCAAGGGGAATCTTCAAGGAGGTTTGGGCAGAACCCAGGAAAGTTGGTGCTAAGGAGACGCTGGACGGGGGGCAAGGGCCGAGGAGGAGCAGCACTCTGCCCACGACTGCACCCCACACATCTGGAGGGGGGCCACGGACTCCCTTGTCATCACCTCCCCTTCTCCAGGGCTCCTGGCACCAGCTGGGCCCATGACTCCAGGGCTGCCGGCCAGGCGCTGGGTCAGCGGGAAGGGAAGGGAAGATCTAAGAGGAGCTAGGTCCTCTAGAGGAGAGAGGACTGGGCAGAGAGACACCCCCACACCCCTCCAGACCCCAAAACATAATCTGGCTAGCTCTGCCAGTCCTTCACTGTCCCTCCCCCAGGGCCCCTTCTCCCCACAATCTGACAGACTTTCCAGTGGTCTCTTTCCACTCTGTATCCCTCCTTCCCTTCCAGCAATGGTGAAACTAACATTTGCTGAGGTCCTTACAACACACAGTGACACAGGCACTAATATTGTCCCCATTTAACAAATAAGGGAACTGAGGCCCAGAAAGATAAATAACTTGGTCAAGGTCACAGGTTGTTAGTCCAAATTTAAAACCCAGATCTTTCCAATTTATTTATTTATTTTTCTATACTGGCAGATCCTGGCAATCTCTTGGTGTCTCTTCCAGCATGGACCCTGGGTAGCTGGGCGTTTTCATGGCAGTGTGTGTTCTGGGGATCTGTCAGCACATATGTATTTGCTTATTATGGCTTTTGTTGTTGTTGTTGTTTTGAGACAGAGTCTCACTCTTGTTGCCCAGGCTGGAGTGCAATGGCACGATCTCAGCTCACCGCAACCGCCACCTCCTGGGTTCAAGCGATTCTCCTGACTCAGCCTCCCAAGTAGCTGGGATTACAGGCATGTGCCACCACGCCCGGCTAATTTTGTATTTTTAGTAGAGACAGGGTTTCTCCATGTTGGTCAGGCTTGTCTCGAACTCCCAACCTCAGGTGATCCGCCTGCCTCGGCCTCCCAAAGTGTTGGGATTACAGGCGTGAGCACCCGGCTGTATTTGCTTATTGTGCAGCAATATTATGGGGGATAGGAGTGCAGAGGGAAAAGGACCCCACTTTGCCAGCCCATCGCCTCCCTTCCTGGGGACAGGAGCCGTACTCTGAAGGAAGGAAGGTGGCACCAAGACTCAGAAGCCAAAGGGATGGAATGAGACAATGGCAGCAGCTAAGGGAAGGGTGGGATTGGTGAATGTTTCTGTGCAAGGGCATGGGGGGGCAGGGGGCTTCAGGGGTGGTGCCCATTCCCAAAGTCCCCAAGGAAACTCCAGCCAAGGCTGCTCCGTCGTCCTGCAGCTCCTGTCCCGTTTCCTACCTACCAACCCAAATCTGAGTACACCTCTTTTAAAAGCTCAAGTCTGCACACCTAGCCCCAGCCTTGGGGGTTTCTGCCCTCCTCTCTCAGTCTTGTGAAAGTAGGGAGACCGGAGGCCGCCTGCAAGGGGCTGGGCAGCCAGGGCCTGGAAGGGAGGCAGGCCTGACTGGCCAGAAGCCACCTTCCAAATGAGCTCACACACATATTTTCCACCCTGGCCCAGGGCCGATGGCTCAGCTCCTTCCAGGCCAGCCTTCCCCAGCCAGGCCCAGCCCCCTCTGTCCTACCCTGCCACCAGTCCTGGCCCTAGGGACTCCAAAGCAAGATTACTGGCAGCCTCCTGGCCAGGGCAGTCACTGGCATCCCCAAGGAGCAGCCTCCTCTGCCTCCATGCTGAGGCCATTTGCCCCAGATTGCCCTTATTCCTTTGTGACTTACAGAAGAAGGAGACCAGCTCCCTGCCTCCAAAGACCCACACCTGGATAGGGAGGGATGGTAGAGGTGATAGAAGAGGCGGTGGAAGTAATGAATGGGCGGAAGGGCTTCCTTTGAGTGCCCGAAGTAGCTCATTGACTCAGGGACCAGCCAGGTCTGGGAGCTGCCTCATCACCGGCCACATCCTGCTCACTCACTCAGTTTCCTGCTAGGGGCAGTTCCCTGACTTGGAGCAGGATGGGGTCTGGGTGAGGCAAGGCCAGGCTGACCACAAAGCTGAGAAAAAAGACTGGCGTGTCAGAAGGCCTAGTGGATTCATACACACGCAACAGGCTCCATTTCACTTTGGTTTGTCAAAGACATCACTCATTGCCCAACTTACAGAGACATGTAGCACCAGGCCAGAGAGCAGGATCAATTCCCCAAAAGGCTCTCTCGCCTGCTCAGCACCTGATTCTGTGCTAGGAGTATGGCTGCCCTGACTCTATTTCCTGGCTCCAGTTTTGTCCCCTGGAGTTCTGTGAGTTAGTATATTCAGACACGGCAGACAATTCTTCCCATTCTGGAGTCCAAGATGACGGTCACTGTGAGTAGATCACACAATGTTGCTCTCTCATACCAGGTGATGGTATAGTTCTGTCAAGGAATTACTATAATTCATAATACCAACCCTATCACAGCCACTGGAAAACAGGTTCTAGCCTCACTTTTCTTACAAACGGGTAAAATAGTGCTAGACACACAGGAGGCACTCAGTAAAATTTGTTGAATTGAATTACCAGTGGTAGTTGTGATTACATAAGTATTGTATACATATGTACATATTATGGACACATAAGTAGTGAATACATAACTCAAATAATTGAGCTGAACACTTAAACTTAGTGCACTTTGTGAGCATCATGGTACATATATATTTTTGTGTGTGTGAGACAGAGTCTCGCCCTGTCGCCCATGGTGGAGTGCAATGGTGCGATCTCGGCTCACCGCAACCTCCGCCTCCCGGGTTCAAATGATTCTCCTGCCTCAGCCTCCTGAGTAGCTGGGATTACAGGCGCCCGCCACACCCAGCTAACTTTTTTCTTTTTTTTTTTTTTTGTATTTTTAGTAGAGGCAGGGTTTCACCACGTTCACCAGGCAGATCTCAAACTCCTGATCTCATGATCTGCCCGCCCCAGTCTCCCAAAGTGCTGGGGTTACAGGCGTGAGCCAATGTGCCCGGCCTTTCATGGTATATTTTACCTTATTATTTTTTTTTTAGATTAGTCAAGTGCAGTAGTGAGAAGGGGGAAAAGAACAGAACAAGGAGTTTGATCTGTAACTGACTGTGAGCAATCAGTTGAGATAACACACTACCTTCAGACCAACCATCACGTCAATCTTTAAAAGGTTTTAAAAAAGAAAAATATATTGAGGTAAAGAGGTTCATACCCCCAGAACTCCTACTTTGTCCCTGTAGGCCCCATCCCCTCCCGCTTAGGTGTCAACTCTCCACTCCCTGCCTGCCCTTAATCTGGGAGTGGTTGGTATCAGTTTGTGTTGACCCAACTCTTCTGGAAATACCCAGCCTTTGGCTTGCACTCCCAGCCCAGCCCACACCTAGACTCTGACCTGGAGGGCCCAGCCAGGAGGCCTCTCTTCCCTCTATCCCTCTAAGCTCTATGTCAGATTCCCCAAACTCTCCTCTGCTTTGCTGGCCTGTGCTCCAGAGGTCTCCCCACCTCATCCCTGCACAAGATTGCATGTAGGTTCTGAGAGGAGGAAAGCTGGGTAAGGGACTTAGAGGAACACACCCCACTCTCTATGGCTGCGCCCACTCCATGTGCAAGACCCGCGGGGCAGGGTTTGCAGGGTGGTAGCGCCCCCTTGTGCTGGATGTTGGGACTGCAAACCGAACCTAGGGAACTGAGAGGCAGAGGCAAAGCCAGTCCCGCCAGGGCCACGGGCACTACCAGCCTCTTCCTTCCCCTGTTCCACTTTCCATGTTTCCACCCTGGACACCTGTACTTAAAGGGGTGGGACTCGGCGAGACGGGCAGACAAGCCGCTCTTAGCTTTCCAGCTGCAGAGAGGGAAATGTCAGAGTTTCCGTCTGCTGTCCCTGTGTGGAGGTTGGTGGGCAGCCCTCACTAACTCCAGGAAAGGACAGGGAGTGGGGGGGCGGCGGGTGGTACAGGACAGATGGTCCGCGGGAGGGGAGAAGGTTGGCACTTCTGTGCCCTCTCCTTGGAGCGCCTCTGAGTTGTCACACTGCCCCCCTGTGGGCGCCTCAGACACGAATCACTCCAGGATGCCTGTCCCCGGGGTCCCAGGGTAAGAGTCCAGATGAGACTCTGCACTCCTGGACTGCAGAATGCTATCACAGAACTCCTTCTGACCAAGACAAGCAGGCCCCTGTGTCCCCTTTATCTAAGAGTGGGACATTTCTGTGCCAATTCCCTGAGGCTTTTGGAGATAACACCCATGCCTCTTGAGGGACCTCTAACCTGCACCCATGCCCCTGTCCTCGTCCTCACCCTGGTGCCATGAGAATCCTTTGGTCTCAGCCTCACATTTATAAAGGCCCTTAAATTTCTAATTTTGTAGTTAAAAAAATTCCTGTTGGTTCTTGTAAATAGTACTATATAGCTGTGTTGTTTGTACCAAGTTTGTATTTGTTAAATGTTTAAATATACCAAGTATTATCAAAATCATCTTAGCATTTCTTAGTTGTTTTTATTATTATTATTTAGAGTCTGGCTCTATCACCCAGGCTGGAGTGCAGTGGCACAATGTCGGCTCATTTGCAACCTCATTTCCTGGATTCAAGCGATTCTCGTGCCTCAGCCTCCTGAGTAGCTGGGATTACAGGCACCCGCCACCATGCCTGGCTAATTTCTGTATTTTTAGTAGAGATAGGGTTTCACCATGTTGGCTAGGCTGGTCTCAAACTCCTGACCTCAGGTAATCCGCCCTCCTCGGCCTCCCAAAGTGTTGGGATTACAGGCATGAGCCACTGGGCCCAGCCTTAATTTTTTAATATACCAGAGGCTCAAAAAATGGACATGATTTGAGGTTACGCTCAAATTTCCAAGGGGTGTTCCCACCCCACATAAAAAATTGAACTGCGGCTGGGCGCGGTGGCTCCCGCGCTGAGGAGGGTGGATCCCTGGGAGGCTGAGGCGGGTGGATCACCTGAGGTCAGGAGTTCGAGAGCAGCCTGGCCAACATGGTGAAACCCCATCTTGTCTCCACTAAAAACACAAAAATTAGCTGGGCATGGTGGCGCATGCCTGTAATACTAGCTACTCAGGAGGCTGTGGCAGGAGAATTGCTTGAACCCAGGAGGCAGTGGTTGCAGTCAGCCGACATCACACCATTGCATTCCAGCCTGCACAACAAAGCAAAAAACTCTGTCTTAAGGAAAAAAAAAAAAAAAAAGCCTGGCAGGGTGCGGTGGCTCACGAGCTCGTGCCTCTAATCCCAGCACTGTGGAAGGCCAATCATGAGGTCAAGAGATCGAGACCATCCTGGCCAACATGGTAAAACCCCATCTCTACTAAAAATACAAAAATTAGCTGGGCATGATGGCACACACCTCTAGTCCCAGCGACTCGGGAGGCTGAGGCAGGAGAATCGCTTGAACCCAGGAGGCAGAGGTTGCAGTGAGCTCAGATTGTGCCACTGCACTCCAGCCTGGCAACAAAGCGAGACAACTTACTTCAATAAGCTCCCTTTGCCCCTGTCTTCTGTGAAGTGGGCCATCCTGAAACTGATGAGTCACAGAGTTGTCAAGGAGTACTGATGGCCCCAGACAGGTATCCCTCTATATCAACACTTGCCCTCAGCCTCTGTACCTCAAGCAGGAAGTAGACTGACTTTATTTGCTCCATGAATTCCAGTTTCTGGCCTTCAGAGTATACAGAATAAACAAATTCTTGTTCTACACTACAGCTTGTCAAACATTTCAATCTAGTTTTCACTAAAGTTAAGCTCTCCAGCCGGGTGCAGTGGCTCACCCCTATAATCCCAGCACTTTGGGAAGCCAAGGTGGGAGAATTGCTTAAGCTCAGGAGTTCGAGATCATCCTGGGCAACATGGTGAATACCCGTCTCTACCAAAAAATACAAAAATTAGTCAGGCATAGTGGCGCCGGGCTGTAGTCCCAACTACTTGGCAGGCTGGGATGGGAGGACTGCTTAAGCCTAGGAGGTAAAGGTTGCAGTGAGCCATGATCGTGCCACTGCACTCCAGCCTGGGCAACAGAGTAAGACCCTGTCTCAAAAAATAAATAAATAAATAAAAATAAAGGTTAAGCTTTCCTTTAGTTGAAAAGCATTTCTAGTTTCATAAACAGCTTATCATATGACATGACTTAGAGACATTTCAACATTCCTGTCACCTTCCTCCGCATTATTTCATTTTACTAATCTTTTATAATGTGGCTTCCAGTATATGAGGAGGCAGTAACAGGTAGTGGCTAGGAACAAGGGCTCTGGACTTGGCAATTAGTGTGTGAATCTAGTCTTTACTGCTTACTGGTTGGGACCTTCAGCAAGTTATATATCCTGCTGGAGCTTCAGTTTCCTCACCTTTAACATGGAGCTAATAATACAAAGGGTAGTTGAGTAGATTAAAAGACATCATCTATGTGATGCCTGTCACTAGTGGTCACTGATTCATTCACTCAAAAAGCATTTATTGAATACCTACTATGTGCTAGACATTGTTTTTGGCACTGAGGATACGGCAGTAAACAAATAGACCCTGCCCTCATGGAACATACATTCTTGTGAGAAGAGCAGGGATAAATGTGATGAATTAATAAAATAGTTTATTAGATAGTGCTAAGTGCTAAGGAGAAAAATTAATTGAGGAAGGGAGATAGACATTGTTGGGGGTGTAATTTTATACACTGGGGTCAGAGAAGGCCCCACCAAGAACCTGAGGATATGAGGGAACAAACCAAGTGGTTCTCAGGAAGAAGAGCATTCCAAGCAAAAGCAGAAGTAAATGCCAAGACTGAGGTGAGTACATGGCTCCCATATTCATGTCTTAGTGAACAAGGTAGTGTGGCTGGAACAGAATGATCAAGGAAGACAGCAATAGAAGAGGAGATCAGACAGGTCATGGGGTGACATCCCATAAAACCCTGTAAGTCATTGTAAAGACTTTGGCTCATACTCTAACTGAAAGGAAGGAAGACTGCAGTGGCGTAAAGGAAGGACGTGGTATTTTAGTACAGTGTAAATACTCATTATTATTATATATTATTATAAATACTCATTATTATTATATATTAAATAAATATTTTTTTATTTATTTTTCTTTTGAGATAGAGTCTTGCTCTGTCACCCAGGCTGGGAGTGCAGTGGCGTGATCTCCACTCACTGCAATCTCCGACTCCCGGGTTCAAACAATTCTGCCTCAGCCTCTAGAGTAGCTGGAACTACAGGCACATGCCACCACACCAGGCTAATTTTTGACCATGTTGGCCAGGCTAGTCTTGAACTCCTGACCTCAGGTGATCCACCTGCCTCAGCCTCCCAAAGTGCTGGGATAACAGGTGTGAGCCACCCTGCCTGGCCAGTGACTTGTTTCTAATGGAGTCTGGCAGCAGTGACAGTGTGTGACTTCCAAGAATAATAAGCAATAAAAGACATTATAAAAATCTAAAATCTAAAATCAAAAATATGTTTTGCTGTCTTTTGGATCACTCATTTTGAAGAAAGCTAGCTGCCATGCTGCAGGACACTCAAGAAGTCTTATAGAGAGGTCCACAGGTAAGGAACTGAGGCCTCCTGCCAACAGCCAGCATGAACTTGCCAGGCATATGAGTGAGCCATCTTGGAGGCAGATCCTCCAGCCACGGTCAAACCTTCAGATGATTACTGTCCTGGCCAACATTTGGACTGCAACCTAATGAGAGATCCTAAGCCAGGTTCATCTAGGTAAGTCACTTTCAAATTCCTGGCCAATATAAAATGATTACAACAATAAATGTTTATTTTATATTTTAAGCTGTGAAATTTTGGGATGATTTCTCATTCAGCAATAGATAACTAATAGGTTTGGGTACTAAAAGTGGAGTGCTGCTGTGACAAACAACTAAAATGTAAGAATGACTTTGAAATTCGGCAAAGGGCAGAAGCTGGAAAGACTTTGAGAAGAGTGTTAGTGAAAGTCTAAAATGCCTGGACGCGACAGTTAGTAGAACCACAGTGGCCTCTTTTTTTTTTTTTTTAAAGACAGGGTCTTGCTATGTTGCCCAGGCTGATTTCAAATTCCTGGCCTCAACTGATCCTAAGTCACTGAGATTATAGGCACAAGCCACCATACCCAGACATGATGGTCTTTGAAGAGGCGGCCAGTGAAGACTTAAGGAAAGTGAGGAAAATGTGTTTTAAAACTGGAAGAGGCCGGGCGCGGTGGCTCACGCCTCTAATCCCAGCACTTTGGGAGGCCGAAGCAGGCGGATCACGAGGTCAGGAGATTGAGACCATCCTGGCTAACACAGTGAAACCCCATCTCTACTAAAAATACAAAAAATTAGCCAGGTCTGGTGGTGGGCACCTGTAGTCCCAGTTACTCGGGAGGCTGAGGCAGGAGAATGGCATGAACCCGGGAGGCGGAGCTTGCAGTGAGCTGAGATCGTGCCACTGCACTCCAGCCTGGGCAACAGAGCAAGACTCCATCTCAAAAAAAAAAAAAAAAAAGAAAGAAAAAAAGAAACTGGAAGAAAAAGGATTCTCGTTATTCAGCAAGTTTAGCAACTATAGTTAGTGTGTAGTAACATGGAAAGTAAAAAATGTAATTAATGAATGGGAAATCTAGCTAAGGAGATTTTCAGGGAGAATGTTGAAGTTAACACCTGGTTTCTTCTTTGCTGCTTATAGTAAAGTGCGAGATAGATAGCTAAGAAAAAAAAATACCACTTAAAAAGAGCCAGGAGGCCGGGCATGGTGGCTCACGCTTGTAATCCAGGCACTTTGGGAGGCCAAGGCGAGCAGATCACAAGGTCAAGAGATCAAGACCATCCTAGCCAACATGGTAAAACCCCGTTTCTACTAAAAATACAAAAATTAGCTGGGCATGGTGGCGCTCACCTGTAGTCCCAACTCTCGGGAGGCTGAGGCGGGAGAATCACTTGAACCCAGGAGGCGGAGGTTGTAGTGAGCCGAGATCTCGCCATCGCACTCCAGCCTGGCGACAGAGCAAGACTCCGTCTCAAAAGAAAAACAAAAAGAGAGCCAGGAATTTTTGGATTTTAAAATTCTCAGCCTCTCCAGACAGTAAATGATGTTAAATTTTTTAAATAGCTTCTGGGCAAGTATCAAATTCAGGGCACTCTCAGGAAAACATGGTATAAAGACAAAGCCAAGATTGAGTGTAACATGCTTTGTTAATATCAGAAGGATCTAAGGTGGTACTCAGGAAACCATTTAGTCTAACAATATGGTTTTTGGGGTTTTTGGTTTTTGGTTTTGGTTTTGGTTTTTTTTGAGACAGAGTCTCACTCTGTCACCCAGGCTGGAGTGCAGTGGCATGATCTTAGCTCACTGCAACCTCCGCCTCCTGGGTCCAAACAATTCTCCTGCCTCGGCCTCCCGAGTAGCTGGGACTACAGGAACGTACCACCATGTCTGGCTAATTTTTGTATTTTTAGTACAGACAGGGTTTCACCATGTTGGCCAGGCTGTTTCAAACTCCTGACCTCATGTGATCTACCCACCTCGGCCTCCCAAAGTGCTGGGATTACAGGTATGAGCCACAGCACCCAGCCTAACGATATAGTTTTTAAGAATCTTAAGAGCCAGGCATGGTGGGTCACACCTGTAATCCCAGAACTCTAGAAGGTCGAGGTGGGAGGATTGCTTAAGGCCAGGAGTTCAAGACCAGCCTGGACAACATAGCATGGTCCCATCCTACAAAAAAATTTTTAAAATTAGTGGGCATGGGCCTGGTGCGGTGGCTCCCAGCACTTTGGGAGTCCAAGGCAGGCGGATCACAAGGTCAGGAGTTCATGACCAGCCTGGCCAATATAGTGAAACACTGTCTCTACTAAAAATACAAAAAAATTAGCCGGGCGTGGTGGCACATGCCTGTAATCCCAGCTACTCGGAAGGCTAAGGCAGGAGAATTGCTTGAACCCAGGTGGTGGAGGTTACAGTGAGCCAAGATCACGCCACTGCACTACAGCCTGGGCAAGAGAGTGAGACTCCGTCTCAAAAAAATAAAAATAAAAATAAAAATAAAATAGTGGGCATGAAAGTATGCACCTGTAGTCATAGCTACTCCAGAGGATGAGGCAGGAGAATAACTTGAACCCAGGAGTTCTACACTGCAGTGAGCTATGATTGTATTATTGTACTCTAACCTGTGTGACAGAGAAAGATCCTGTCTCTAAAAAATTTTAAAAAGAAGCTATGGCTGGGCGCGGTGGCTCATGCCTGTAATCCCAGCACTTCCGGAGGCCAAGGCGGGCAGATCACAAGGTCAGGAGTTCGAGACCAGCCTGGCCAATATGGTGAAACCCTGTCTCTACTAAAAATACAAAAATTAGCCAGGCATAGTGGCAGGCACTGGTAGTTCCAGCTACTCAGGAGGCTGAGGCAGGAGAATCACTTGAACCCAGGAGGCAGAGGTTGCAGTGAGCCGAGACTGCGCCACTGCACTACAGCCTGGGTGACAGAGCGAGACTCCATCAAAAAAAAAAAAAAAAGAAGAAGCTTATGAGTGTTGCCCCTCAGCAGTCTAAACTGAAGCCTGAGTTAGAAAAGAGTTTATCTCAAAGAGATTTGTGAGTACAACTTTTATCTAATTGAGTGAACCCCAATAAGATTTAATGGAGATTCGCAAAAGTTTTAAGAAAATTGTATTGGCAGAAATGCTACCAGCTTGTATTGAAACAGATAGAGGGAATACAAAATAAGAAGAAGTTTTTGGACCCCCAAACTTTTTTTTTTTTTTTTTTTTTTTTTTTTTTTTCAGATGGAGCCTCACACCCTGTCACCCAGGCTGGAGTGCAGTGGCATGATCTTGGCTCACTGCAGCCTCTACCTCCTAGGTTCAAGTGATTCTCCCACCTCATACTCCCCAGTAGCTGGGATTACAGGCGTGTGTCACCATGCCTGGCTCATTTTTGTATATTTAGTAGAGACGGGGTTTCACAATGTTGCCCAGGCTGGTCTTGAACTCCTGACCTCAAGTGATCCACCTGCCTCGGCCTCCCATAGTGCTGGGATTACAGGCATGAGCCACCATGCCCAGTCTTGACCCCCACACTTCTGCAGCAAAAGCAGGCTGAGAAAACAACACAGCTGCAAGCATGAGCCTTTCTATAAAAAGGAAAGGTGGCTCAGAGGGCAGAGCACAAAGAGCCCAAAGCTGGGGCCAAGAGCTATGAGAAATTATGCTCAGATCCTGAGCTCTACTCAAGGAACAGCCAACCTGTATCCTTCAGTATTTTTCTATAGAATAGAGACTACTTCCTATGTTTATTTATCCTTTTTTTTCCCTGCCCCCAGGGACCTCTCTTTTTTTTTTTTTTTTTTTTTTTCCGAGACGGAGTCTAGCTCTGCTGCCCAGGCTGGAGTGCAGTGGTGCAATCTTGGCTCACTGCAAGCTCTGCCTCCTGGGTTCATGCCATTCTCCTGCCTCAGCCTACCAAGTAGCGGGACCCTGTCACCATGCCCGGCTAATTTTTTTGTGTGTTTTTAGTAGAGACGGGTTTTCACCGTGTTAGCCAGGATGGTCTTGATCTCCTGATCTCATGATCTGCCCACCTCGACCTCCCAACGTGCTGGGATTACAGGCATGAGCCACTGCACCTGGCCTTTTTTTTTGAGACAGAGTTTTGCTCTTCTTGCCCAGGCTAGAGTGCAAAGGCATGATCTTGGCTCACTGCAACCTTTGCCTCCCACATTCAAGCAATTCTCCTGCCTCAGCCTCCCAAGTAGCTGGGATTACAGGCATGTGCCACCACGCCCAGCTAATTTTGTATTTTTAGTAGAGACGGGGTTTCTCCATGTTGGTCAGGCTGGTCTCGAACTTCTGACCTCAGGTGATCCGTCTGCCTTGGCCTCCCAAAGTTCTGGGATTACAGGTGTGAGCCATCATGCCCGGCAGACCTCTCTCTTTTTGTGAATAGAAATATTTGTAGAGGTAATCCTATGCTTTTCCCACATCTCATCATTGTATGTTGGTGATGGAGGAGTAGGACAGGGAATATGAGTTCTCTTTTTAGTTCATAGGTCTTCAGATCAAGAAGAGCTACTCAAGGAGCTGTACATAGGAATTAGTCCAGAAGAACCTCACCTGGAGGCCTGTTTTAGATGACAAGATTCTGGACTTCAAGCTGATTTTGTAATGGGATGAGACTTTTGAGTCCCTTGGGAGGGTTGAACAGATTTGCATTTGTGAAGGACATGAACCTTTGGGAGCCAGAGTGTAGACTAGTGTAGACTAGCATAGCCAGCCTTCAGGATGGACCTCAATGATCTTTACCTGTCAATATTTGTGCTTTTGTGTAATCTCCTCCTACAATGCATAGGGCAGACCTGTGTTACTAAGGGATATTGCAGAAATGATGGGGTGTGCTTTCTGAGACTGAGTGTTAAAAGCATTGTGACTTCCACCTTGCTCTCTCTTACATTGCCCATTCTAGGGGAAGCCAGCTGCCATGTTATGAGGACACTCAAACAGCTTATAGAGATGCCCATATGGGGAGGAACTGAGGCCTCCTGCCAACAGCCAATACCTACTTGCCAGGCACATAAGTGAGCCATCTTGGAAATGGATCCTTCAGCCCCAGTCAAGTCTTCAGATGACTGCACCTTCATGAGAAACACCAAGTCGGAATCACCCAGCTAAGTTACTTCTGAATTACTGACACACAAAACCTGTGAGAAAATAAATGGTCACTGTTTTAAGCCCTAAGTTTTGGGGCAATTTGCTATGCAGCAATAGATAACTAAAACACTAATATTAGCATCATCCTTACTTTATACATGGAGAAAATTGGGCATAGAAAAGTAAAAACTTGCCAAGTTCATTCACCTGATAAATGGCAGTACTGGCCAGTTCTGCTTCTCTAATATGTTAGCTTTTATGCAACCACGCCATGCTAATTCATTCAGCACCAGCAGAAATCTCTAATCTGTCAATTAAATTTATTTGTATTTTTATTTTTTGTAGAAACAGGGTCTTGCTATATTGCCTAAGCTGGTCTCAAACTCCTGTCTTCAGGCAGTCCTCTGACCTTGGCCTCCCAAAGTGCTGGGATTACAGGCATGAGCCACTGTGCCTGGCCCCTAGTTTTTATTATTTTATTTTATTTTATTTTATTAATTTTTGAGACGGAGTTTCACTCTTGTTGTCCAGGCTGGAGTGCAATGGCGCGATCTCAGCTCACTGCAACCTCCGCCTCCCAGGTTCAAGCAATTCTCCTGCCTCAGCCTCCCAAGTAGCTGGGATTACAGGCACACGCCACCACACCTGGTTCATTTTTGTATTTTTAGTAGAAACGGGGTTTCACCATGTTGACCAGGCTGGTCTTGAGCTCTGGACCTTAAGTGATCCACCTGCCTCAGCCTCCTAAAGCACTGGGATTACAGGTGTGAGCCACCGTGCCAGGCTCCTAGTTTTTATTTTTAAAGAAGGGGTCTTGCTATGTTGCCCTGGCTGGACTCAAACTTCTGGGCTCAAGAAATTCTCCCACCTTAGCCTCCCAAGTTTCTGGGCTTAATTCCTCTTTACATAAACAATAATTAAGCTACCTGTCCTTTCTGTAAGTTGGTGTTTTTAACCTAAGTTGTAGGATTTTGCAATTTTTTTTTTTTTTTTTTTTTGAGGCAGAGTCTCGCTCTGTTGCCCAGGCTGGAGTGCAGTGGTGCCATTTCGGCTCACTGCAAGCTCTGCCTCCTGGGTTCATGCCATTCTCCTGCCTCAGCCTCCTGAGTAGCTGGGACTATAGGCACCCACCACCACGCCCAGCTAATTTTTGTATTTTTAGTAGAGACGGGGTTTCACCTTGTTAGCCAGGATGGTCTCGATCTCCTGACCTCATGATCCGCCCACCTCAGCCTCCCAAAGTGCTGGGATTACAAGTGTGAGCCATCGCGCCCAGCCTGAATTTTGCATTTTTATCTCCTCTGTCATCGTAGATCTCTCAGATCCATCATCCTAGGTTGTCAAAATCTTTAGATTCCTTATTTTGTCTTCTAGCTCCCAATTCCAATTCATGTCATCTTAAAATCTAATTAACTCTTATTCTACATCTTCATATAATTTTGTTTTTTTTTTTAAAACAAGGTCTTACTCTGTCACCCAGTCTGGAGAGCAGTGGCTAATTTTTGTATGTTTTGTAGAGATTGGGTTTCACCATTTTGTATAGGCTGGTCTCAAATTCCTGAGCTCGAGCAATCTGCCCACCTCAGCCTCCCAAAGTGTTGGGATTACAGGCGTAAGCCACTGTGCCCGGCCTTAATTAATTTTTGTATATGTTGACTGGGACTCTGCAGATTGACATCAGTTTTGATGTGTGCATTATGAATACCTATTTCAACTTGAGGGTACTAATCGTATTATCATTCAGCCCATATTTTCCTATTGGCTTAAATCTAGATAGTCTATGTTTATGGTACTAAGTAATACTCCCAAAAAAGAAATTGATTTGTACTTTTATTTATTTTTTACTTTTTATTTATTTATTTATTTTTTTGAGATGGAGTCTTGCTCTGTTGCCCAGGTTGGAGTGCAATGGCGTGATCTTGGCTCACTGCAACCTCCGCCTCCCAGGTTCAAGCAGTTCTCCTGCCTCAGCCTCCCGAGTAGCTGGGACTACAGGTGCCCGCCACCACACCCAGCTGATTTTTGGTTTTGTTTGTGTGTTAGTTTGTTTATTTTGAAACAAAGTCTCACTCTGTCGCCAGGCTGGAGTGCAGCGGCGTGATCTCAGCTCACTGCAACCTCCGCCTCCCGGGTTCAAGCGATTCTCATGCCTCAGCCTCCCAAGTAGCTAGGATTACAGGCACCCGCCACCACACCCAGCTAATTTTTGTATTTTTAGTAGAGACGGGATTTCACCATGTTGGCCAGGCTGGTCTCAAACTCCTGACCTCAGGTGATCCACCCACCTCAGCCTCCCAAAGTGCTGGGATTACAGCCGTGAGCCACCACGCCCGGCCTGTATTTTATTTATTTATTTTTTTGAGACGGAGTTTCACTCTTGTCACCCAGGCTGGGGTGCAATGGCATGATCTCAGCTCACCACAAACTCTGCCTCCCGGGTTTAAGCGATTCTCCTGCCTCAGCCTCCCGAGTAGCTGGAATTACAGGTGCCCGCCACCATGCCTGGCTAATTTTTTTGTATTTTTAGTAGAGACAGGGTTTCACCATGCTGGCCAAGCAGGTCTTGAACTCCTGACCTCAAGTGATCCGCCCACCTTGGCCTCCCAAATTGCTGGGATTACAGGCATGATCCACCGCACCTGGCCAGCTAATTTTTATATTTTTAGTAGAGACGGGAGATTCACCATGTTGGCCAGGCTGGTCTTGAACTCCTGACCTCATGATCTGCCTGCCTCGGCCTCCCAAAGTGCTGGGATTACAGGCGTGAGCCACCGCGCCCAGTCGATTTTTATTTTTAATTAATTAACTTTTTTCTTTTTGAGATGGGGAATGCACCCAGGCTAGAGTAAGGTGGTGGGATCACAGCTCTCTGTAACCTCGACCTCCTTGGTTCAAGTGATCCTCCCACCTCAGCTTCCCAAGTAGCTGAGATCACAGGCATGTGCCACCATGCCTGGATAATTTATTTTTATTTTTTGTAAAGATGGGGTCTCCTTATGTTGTCCAGGCTGGTCTCAAACTCCCGGGCTCGAGCAATCCTCCCACCTCAGCCTCCCATAGTGTTGGGATTACCGGCATGAGCCACCACCCCCAGCCAAGAATGATTTTAGAATGATGTGTCTAGTTGGTGAACTATGCCAGGTACTAGTGATGATTACCTCCATGGGTCAGAATCTGGTCAGGTAAACAATCCATAACAGTTAATTCAGTAGAAGAAATGTAACAAAGAACGAGAAAAATATGATGAAATTGCTAAAAGTCCAAAAGGAGATGGTGAGGTAGCCCAGAGATAAGCAACAGCAGGAAGCTGGAGGAACAAAGGGAGGAGGTGGTGTCACCAGCACCTAAGAAGCCAGGCTACCCAGTGGGAACTAGAACCATGGAAGATGCACGGCTGCTGCTAAAGACAAAGCTGAGGCAGAGGGGATGGGGCCCGCCCTGGGTCCTCCTTCCCTGCCTCCCCTCCAGTCTCCCACTAGTGCCTCCTGCTGGCTGAATCTACCCCAAAGTCACTTGGCCAGAGAGCCTGGGAAGTGCAGTTTGCAGGAAGAGGCAGCAGGATTAATCTGAACACAGACAAGTAAATGACTGGCATCCATTCTAGAAATTAGCCAGGTGTTAGATTCCTTGCTCTGAAGATTCTAGAATCTACCATGTTTAACAGCAAGGCCTCTGATTCAGACAGCTTATGTCTTGGCTCTTGCAGATGCTAGTAGTTTGATCTTGAGCAAAGTGTCAAACTGTCTATTTCCTCAATTAAAAAATGAGGACAAAAAATAACACCTACTTCCTAATGTGGTCAGGATTAAATGAGATAATGTATGTGAAGTGCTTAGAACCGTGCCTAACATATGGTGAGTCCTCTATAAAAGTTAGATATTATCATCTTAAAAACTAAACATCAGCCAGGCACGGTGGCTCACGCCTATAATCCCAGCCCTTTGGGAGGCCAAGGCAGGAGGATGGCTTCAGGCCAGCAGTTTGAGATCAGCCCGGGCAATATATCAAGACCTCATCTCTACAAATAAATAAATAGAAATTTAAAAATAAACATCTGTCCATTTCCCACTACTTTCACTATTTTTCATAGTTCCTCAAAGATTTCCAAGAATATTTCCACAGTCCCATTCCCAAAGGTACTTGATCATTTAGGATATGATTTTTATGGGCCTGAACACTGAAACTCACTAAGCTAATTAAAGCTTAAACTCATTATAAAGACCTAGGTCGTCTTGAATTTTTCCCTCATCTTTTTTTTTTTTTTTTTTGGCTTGCATTCAATCTTGAATATTAACTCCCAGTGTCTGCCACAGTGTCTTGCACTTGGAAGGCACTTAAATATTTACAGAATGAAAGTGTGTTCTGCCTGGGTGCCATTTATTCCTGATGATGATTATGCCCAACAGCACAGGTCTTGACTATTTTCTGCAAATTTCAGTTTATTCAGCATTCCAGACCATGGGTTCTCTTCCCCCTTTCTTCACCCCCATAACTCTTCCCATCTCACTACCACCTTTCCTGCTTCCTTTCCAAACTCCTACTCCCTGAGATGCCCATTCCCATGGGTACTCCCCATGGCTGTCTGGCATTGTTAATTTATGTATCTGATCTCTCTTTCCAACTAGACTGTAAGCTCCTTGAAGCTAAAGTGAAGTCTTAAGAATTCCAGGCATCCAAAAAGAATATAGCCAGTGCTCAGCTGAAACTTCCGTGACCACTTTTAGGACATAAACATTTTCAATTTCCCCAACCTCTTTGCCCTGCTTCCTTTTGCATCTGCCTCTCACCTTCAGGGTTCTTTTTCTTTTCTTTTCTTTTCTTTTCTTTTAATGGGGTCTCACTCTATTGCCCAGGCTGGGGTGCAGTGGTGCAGTCTTGGCTCACTGCAGCCTCAACCTCACGGGCTCAAGCAATCCTCCCACCTCAGCCTCCCAAGTAGCTGAGACTACAGATGCACACCACCACATCCAGCTAATTTTTGTATTTTTTGTAGAGACGGGGTCGTACTATGTTTTCCAGGCTTGTCTCAGAACTCCTGGGCTTGTCATTTATAGTTATCCCAATCCCAATCTGCATGAGATTCGAGAGATTAGCTTCAGGATCCCTGAAGATATCAAAAATCCCTGGCTTCCACCTTCACAGTTCTATTCAATCTTCTCATTAATCTTGGGAGCAAAGAGAGAGTTAGGGCGTGGGACCAAGGTCCAAGTGGAAGAAGAGCCTTTTTATGGCCAACTCTATGGTATCAGGCCCAACTAAGGCCCTACAACAATAAATGTCATTAATAGAAAACTCTTCTGAGTCTGGGTGCGGTGGCTCACACCTGTAACCCCAGCAATTTGGGAGGCCAATGTGGGTGGACCACCAGAGGTCAGGAGTTCGAGACCAGCCTGGCCAACATGGTGAAACTCCGTCTCTACCAAAAAATACAAATATTAGCCGGGCATGGTGGCACGTACCTGTAATCCTAGTTACTTGGGAGGCTGAGGTGGGAGAATCGCTTTAACCCAGGAGGTGGAGGTTGCAGTGAGCCAAGATCGTGCCACTGGACCCCAGCCTGAGCGACAGAGTGAGACCCTGTCTCAAAAAAAAGCAAAAAACAATCAAACAAACAAAAAAGAAAACTTCTGGCTGGCTTGTTACAGTGGTGTTCACAACTAGTTGATCACAATCAGTTACAGATTTCTTTGTTCCTTTTCCACTCCCACTGCTTATTTGATTAGCCTTTAAAAATAATAGGGCCGGGGCCGGGCGCGGTGGCTCACGCTTGTAATCCCAGCACTTTGGGAGGCCGAGGCGGGTGGATCACGAGGTCAGGAGATCGAGACCATCCTGGCTAACACGGTGAAACCCCATCTCTACTAAAAATACAAAAAAATTAGCCGGGCCTGATGGCGGGCGCCTGTAGTCCCAGCTACTCGGGAGGCTGAGGCAGGAGAATGGCGTGAACCCGGGAGGCGGAGCTTGCAGTGAGCCGAGATTGCGCCACTGCACTCCCGCCTGGGCGACGGAGCAAGACTCCGCTCAAAAAAATAAAAAAATAAAAATAAAAATAAAATAATAGGGCCGGCCAGGCGCAGTGCCTCACACCTATAATCCCAGCAATTTGGGAGGCTGAGGCAGGCAGATCACCTAAAGTCGGGAGTTCGAGACCAGCCTGACCAACATGGAGAAACCCTGTCTCTACTAAAAATACAAAAATTAGCCAGGAGGGCGTGGTGGCACATGGCTGTAATCCCAACTACTTGGGAGGCTGAGGCAGGAGAATTGCTTGAACCTGGAAGGCGGAGGTTCTGGTGAGCTGAGGTCGTGCACTGCACTCCAGTCTGGGCAACAAGAGCAAAACTCCATCTCAAATCAAATCAAATAAAAATAATAGGGCTGAATGCAGTGGTTCATGCCTGTAATCTCTGCACTTTGGGAGGTCAAGGCAGGTGGATCACTTGAGGTAAGGAGTTCAAGACCAGCCTGGTCAACATGGCAAAAACCGTGTCTCTACTAAAAATACAAAAATTATCCAGGCATGGTGGCAGGCGCCTGTAATCCCAGCTACTTGGGAGGCTGAGAATCACTTGAGCCAGGAAGGTGGAGGTTACAGTGAGCTAACATTGTGCCACTGCACTCTAGCCTGGGCAGTGAAGTGAGACTGTCTCAAAAAAAAAAATTAAATATAAACAAATAAATAAATAGGCTGAGTGGAGTGTCTCATGCCTATAATTCTAGCACTTTGGGAGACCGAAGCAGGAGGATCACTTGGCCCAGGTGTTGAAGACCAGCCTGGGTAACATGGTAAACCCCATCTCCACAAAAGATACAAAAATTAGGCCAGGCACAGTGGCTCATGCCTGTAATCCCAGCACTTTGGGAAGCCGAGGTGGACGGATCACAAGGTCAGGAGATTGAGACCATCCTGGCTAACACAGTGAAACCCCGTCTCTACTAAAAATACAAAAAATTAGCTGCCATGGTGGCATGTGCCTTAGTCTCAGATACTTGGGAGGCTGAGGCAGGAGAATCGCTTGAACCCAGGAGGCTGAGGTTGCAGTGAGCCAAGATCGCGCCACTGCACTCCAGCCTGGGCGACAGAGCAAGACTCCGTCTCAAAAAAAAAAGATATGAAAATTAGCCCGGCATGGTGACACACGCCTGTAGTACTCAGGAGGCTGAGGTGCGAAGATCACCTGAGCCCAGGAGGTTGAGGTTGCAATAAGCCAAAATTGTGCAACTACACAATTTTGTAGAGTGAGACCCTGTCTCAAAAAATAAATTAATTAAAATTAAAAATTAAAATTGCCGGGCGCAATGGCTCACGCCTGTAATCCCAGCACTTTGGGTGGCCAAGGCGGGTAGATCACCTGAGGTCAGGAGTTCGTGACCAGCCTGACCAACATGGTGAAACCCCGTCTCTACTAAAAACACAAAAATTAGCCCGGCGTGGTGGCACATGCCTGTAATCCAAGCTACTCGGGAGGCTGAGGCATAAGAATCGCTTGAACCTGGGAGGTGAAGGTTGCAGTGAGCCGAGATTGCGTCACTAAACTCCAGCCTGGGCAACAAAAGTGAAACTCTGTCTCAGAAAAAACAAAACAAAACAAAACAAAACAAAAAACTATTTTATATCATTTGTAGAGGGGAGAAAGTGGTTAAGATCAGAATGTGCACTCTGTCCAGAGCCAGATTCCCTGGGTTCAAACCCTAGCTTCATGGCCGGGCGCAGTGGCTCACACTTGTTAATCCCAGCACTTTGGGAGGCCAAGGCGGGCGGATCACCTGAGGTCAGGAGTTCGTGACCAGCCTGACCAACATGGTGAAACCTGGTCTCTACTAAAAATACAAAAATTAGCTAGGCGTTGCGGCGCGCACCTGTAATCCCAGCTACTTGGGGGGGAGGGGGCGGGGGAGCTGAGGTGGGAGAATCGCTTGAACCCGGGAGGCAGAAGTTGCAGTGAGCCGAGATCGCACCACTGCACTGCAGCCTGAGCAAGACTCTGTCTCAAATATACATATAGGAATAGTCAATATACTTTATTGTTTAGGGAATAATGACAGGGAAATAAATTATGTACATATTCAAAACAGATGCGGCTGGGCGTGGTGGCTCACGCCTGTAATCCCAGCACTTTGGGGGGCCGAGGCGGGTGGATCACCTGAGGTCAGGTGTTCGAGACCAGCCTGGCCAACATGATGAAACCCGTCTCTACTCAAAATACAAAAATTAGCCGGGCATGGTGGCAGCGGGCGCCTGTAATCCCAGCTACTCGGGTGGCTGAGGCAGGAGAACTGCTTGAACCCGGGAGGCGCGAGGTGGAGGTTGCAGTGAGAGATCACGCCACTGCACTCCAGCCTAGGCGACAGAGCAAGACTCCGTCTCAAAAAACAAACAAACAAACAAAAAAAAACAGATGCAATTCCACTCAATTCCCCCAACCCCACCCCTGATAATATTTTCCATCTACGATCAGTTAAATCTGCGAATGCAGAACCCAAGATATGGAGGGCCCACTGTACTAGATCTTGGGCAAAATACTTAACTTTTCTGTGCCTGCATTTCTCGGAATACCTTGGAAATTGGAAGTAATAATAGTATGTACCTCACAGGGTTGTTTAGAGGATTAAACCCGCAAATGCTTGTAAAGTGTTAATGTATTTAGTATATACTAAAATAGTTCCTAAGTATTTAGTAAAGTGCTTACTTAGATCTGTGCCTGAAAAGTGGAAAAATCTAAAATTGTTTGCTATTTGTTGTGTTTATTTTTTCACTGAAAATTCTGAGCTTCAATATTGTTTATTAATGTTATCTATCAGTGCCACAGGAAATCGGTAACCTCCAGCTCACACAAATTAGAAACACCTTCTGTGACTGATAATAATAGTTGCTACCAGATATGGAGCACTTCCTGTATGTCAGGGAACTTGCTCTCCTTAAATGTTAGCAACAACCTTAAGAGGAAGTTGCACTATCATAAGCCTCATTTTATACCTGAGGAGAACAGAGAGGTTAAGTAATTTCCTGGAGGTCACAGCCAGCAAATGGAGAAGGCGTACTTATTCATTTATTTACCATTTATTGAGTTCTTCCTGTGTCTCAGCAGGAGAGAAGCCCTGTAGGTGCAAAGGTAAACAGTCTAGGCCCCAGCCTACGGGAAGTTTCAGTTTGCAGAGAAGGGGCGGGGCGGGGGCGGGAATGACGAATAAATAGTTACCGTACCGTGTGGTAATAGCTGTAATAAAGTCTCACTCCGAAAAGTGCTGCCGGATCTCAGACCCTGGGACAAGAAAAGTACTGAGAGCTTAGGGCCCAAAGGAAAGACATCACAGTTATGGAATAAGCAGACGTCCTTTGACAAACGTGTGACAAACATATGACAAACATGTCCTGTAACGACAAACGTGTTACACCCCAAGGATTAAACAAAGCAGGGTTAAATGTGGAAGCTGAAGCTGCAAGTCAAGGGCCCGTCTGACAAGTCCGGCAGGGCCGGGAAAGGGGTTAAGGCGAGCAAGTGGGTGTGGCCCGTGCGTTGATTGGCAGGGGTGGGACCGGGCTTGTCACCCGCCCCGGCTACTCCAACCCCTGGGCGGGCGGGGGTACCGCCTGGGCAAGGGCCGGGGCGCCGGGCCGAGCCACCTCTTCCCCTCCCCCGCTTCCCTGTCGCGCTCCGCTGGCTGGACGCGCTGGAGGAGTGGAGCAGCACCCGGCCGGCCCTGGGGGCTGACAGTCGGCAAAGTTTGGCCCGAAGAGGAAGTGGTCTCAAACCCCGGCAGGTGGCGACCAGGCCAGACCAGGGGCGCTCGCTGCCTGCGGGCGGGCTGTAGGCGAGGGCGCGCCCCAGTGCCGAGACCCGGGGCTTCAGGAGCCGGCCCCGGGAGAGAAGAGTGCGGCGGCGGACGGAGAAAACAACTCCAAAGTTGGCGAAAGGCACCGCCCCTACTCCCGGGCTGCCGCCGCCTCCCCGCCCCCAGCCCTGGCATCCAGAGTACGGGTCGAGCCCGGGCCATGGAGCCCCCCTGGGGAGGCGGCACCAGGGAGCCTGGGCGCCCGGGGCTCCGCCGCGACCCCATCGGGTAGACCACAGAAGCTCCGGGACCCTTCCGGCACCTCTGGACAGCCCAGGATGCTGTTGGCCACCCTCCTCCTCCTCCTCCTTGGTAAGAACCGAAACGATACCAACCCCCAGCCTTCTGTCACCGGGCCAGCAGCTCTAACTCCCTCCAGTGCGGCCCCGCACTCTATCCTGCCTGCCCATTCCCCCCAGCCCCTGCCGCCAGCCCCAGCACTGCCGGCCCCAACCCCCAGGAAGTCTTCAGCTGCTCCGCTGGGCCCTGGTCCTCTCTCCGGCTTCCCCTAGATCACCCCACCAACCCCACAAGGCCCTGCTGCCGGACCTTCCTTCCATGGAAGTCCCACGCCGCAGCCCTCTCCCGCCCCCCACTCCCTCTTCCGATTAACTGCCCGGAAGTCCCGGATGGCTCCCTTGAGTTGCTCAGGTGAAGAAGAAAACTCCTAAGGAGTGTCTCACGCTCCTGCCCTTTCTCGTTCCTCCTCTAGGAGGCGCTCTGGCCCATCCAGACCGGATTATTTTTCCAAATCATGGTGAGTTGAGGGAACCTCTGGGGCTCCGTGGGCTTGGGAATGAGGGAGCAGTCGAGAAGGACTCTCTGTTCCCTGAATTCCATGGGACCTACCAAAGTTTTAGAGGGGAGATAATTTAGCCTTTATTTATAGATAAGGAAGCTGAGGCTCGGTGTGGACCTTCATCTGGTAGTTGCTATGTACTATTTTATTTTTTCTGGGAATATCTATGCTTGATCGTCCTAACCAGGATGTAGTCTCCCTGAGGGTAGAGGCAGTATTTCCTGCTCCTCCTGGTTCAGTGGCTGGCACAAAGCAGACGTCAGAATTGTTCGTGATATTAGTATTTACTGGTGAAGCTATGAAGAATGTGGAGAGAAAGAGCGAAGCTAGAAGGCTGTAACTCTAGGCTGTGTGTGGGCAGGGGCAGATACTCTGCTCCTCCTTGCAGAGCCCAGACTTTTGGAAACCTCAAGCCTCCAAGCGGAAGGGGAAGGGTGGGATGCAAAGGGGCTGTCTACTACCCGTGTCCTACCTTCCTCTCTCCAGCTTGTGAGGACCCCCCAGCAGTGCTCTTAGAAGTGCAGGGCACCTTACAGAGGCCCCTGGTCCGGGACAGCCGCACCTCCCCTGCCAACTGCACCTGGCTCATCCTGGGCAGCAAGGAACAGACTGTCACCATCAGGTGAGAAGCAGAACAAGAGCAAGAACCCATTCTTCTCCCCTGCCCCTTCCCCTCCATTGGAAGTCTTCAGGGATCACTTCTTTTTTTTTTTTTTTGAGACGGAGTTTCACTCTTGTCACCCGGGCTGGAGTGCAATGGCGCGATCTCAGCTCACTGCAACCACCACCTCCCGGGTTCAAGTGATTCTCCTGTCTTGGCCTCCCGAGTAGCTGGGATTGCAGGTGCCCGCCACCATGCCCAGCTAACTTTTTTGTATTTTTAGTAGAGACAGGGTTTCACCACGTTGGCCAGGCTGGTCTTGAACTCCTCACCTCAAGTGATCCACCCGCCTGGGCCTCCCAAAGTGCTGGGATTAAAGGCATGAGCCACTGGGCCTGGCCCATTCAGGGATCACTTCTCTATGGAATTTCCATCCTTGTCAACAGGTAAAGAGTAGAATTTGATTTGGCCTAGTGTGCCCTAAAAGTCTGACTTTTTCTGGGTCAGACTCAGTGAATTGAGGTGGAGCTGGGCTGGAGTGGACATCTAGCTTGAGTCCTGCGCATCTCCAAAGGACAGAGGCCCCTCTGCAAACGGTCCTCAGCTCAGATAGAACTGTTCTGAAGAGTCCTTCCATTCATTGCATGTCCTGCCTGAGATTCAGAACTACTCCTTAATCAGCTTAGAACATCCCTCAGCCTCTCTGGATCTTTTAAACATTCCAAGTCACCCCAGGCTCCCCTGACCTTGGTCATTGTTTGGGGATCATATTAAGTACCTGGCTGTTTGCCTCACATAGTTCATTTTCCATGAATTTACCCAGAAAGGGGTAGGCAAAGAGAGAGGGCAATCTGTGGAGAGGCTGGTGGGGCAAAGGGATCAGAATGCCATGGAGAACCAATCCAGGTCTCACATCTGGCACAGTGGGGTGGGATAAGATGGTGAGTTCTGGTTAATTGAACTGTATGGTAATCACCAGTTACTGCTGGTACCATACTTGGGTGACAGTGCTACAACAACTGGAATGCAGTGCACCTCTTCTTAACTCAGTCCCAGAACACAAGTCAATTTTTCCAAAGGGCTCTAGGATATATTTTATGGTCTCATGGCGATACCATGAGGTATTCCTACCATGTTAGGAAGATCCCCATTGACTACATTGACTTAAAAATAATTTGGCTGCCGGGCATGGTGGCTCACGCCAGTAATCCCAGCACTTTGGGAGACCAAGGCGGGTGGATCACCTGAGGCCAGGAGTTCGAGACCAGCCTGACCAACATGGTGAAACCCCATCTCTATTAAAAATACAAAATTAGCCAGGTGTGGTGGCGGGCACCTGTAATCCTAGCTACTTGGGAGGCTGAGGCAGGAGACTCACTTGAACCCAAGAGGTGGAGGTTGCAGTGATCCAAGATCACACCATTGCACTCCAGCCTGGGTGACAAGAGTGAAACTCTGTCTCTAAATAAATAAATAAATAGGCTAACTGAGTTTTCATTTGGCCATTTAGATCATGGATAAGCAGATGTTTATGCTTCCTGGGACACAAGGGGCCTGGTGGCACCAGGGGAGGAGAAAGCCAGCAGCAGTCAAGAGTATCTCATGTCCTGCTCTCCTCTACTCCCATAGGTTCCAGAAGCTACACCTGGCCTGTGGCTCAGAGCGCTTAACCCTACGCTCCCCTCTCCAGCCACTGATCTCCCTGTGTGAGGCACCTCCCAGCCCTCTGCAGCTGCCCGGGGGCAACGTCACCATCACTTACAGCTATGCTGGGGCCAGAGCACCCATGGGCCAGGGCTTCCTGCTCTCCTACAGCCAAGGTAGGCTGGACAGGGATGTCTGAGGAGCAGGCAGTGAAAGCCCCAGGCAGAAGGGGAGGATCCTGAGGGTTCTGGTGCTTCACAGCCCCTCTCCATGGTGCCTCTGCAGATTGGCTGATGTGCCTGCAGGAAGAGTTTCAGTGCCTGAACCACCGCTGTGTATCTGCTGTCCAGCGCTGTGATGGGGTTGATGCCTGTGGCGATGGCTCTGATGAAGCAGGTTGCAGCTCAGACCCCTTCCCTGGCCTGACCCCAAGACCCGTCCCCTCCCTGCCTTGCAATGTCACCTTGGAGGACTTCTATGGGGTCTTCTCCTCTCCTGGATATACACACCTAGCCTCAGTCTCCCACCCCCAGTCCTGCCATTGGCTGCTGGACCCCCATGATGGCCGGCGGCTGGCCGTGCGCTTCACAGCCCTGGACTTGGGCTTTGGAGATGCAGTGCATGTGTATGACGGCCCTGGGCCCCCTGAGAGCTCCCGACTACTGCGTAGTCTCACCCACTTCAGCAATGGCAAGGCTGTCACTGTGGAGACACTGTCTGGCCAGGCTGTTGTGTCCTACCACACAGTTGCTTGGAGCAATGGTCGTGGCTTCAATGCCACCTACCATGTGCGGGGCTATTGCTTGCCTTGGGACAGACCCTGTGGCTTAGGCTCTGGCCTGGGAGCTGGCGAAGGCCTAGGTGAGCGCTGCTACAGTGAGGCACAGCGCTGTGACGGCTCATGGGACTGTGCTGACGGCACAGATGAGGAGGACTGCCCAGGCTGCCCACCTGGACACTTCCCCTGTGGGGCTGCTGGCACCTCTGGTGCCACAGCCTGCTACCTGCCTGCTGACCGCTGCAACTACCAGACTTTCTGTGCTGATGGAGCAGATGAGAGACGCTGTCGGCATTGCCAGCCTGGCAATTTCCGATGCCGGGACGAGAAGTGCGTGTATGAGACGTGGGTGTGCGATGGGCAGCCAGACTGTGCGGACGGCAGTGATGAGTGGGACTGCTCCTATGTTCTGCCCCGCAAGGTCATTACAGCTGCAGTCATTGGCAGCCTAGTGTGCGGCCTGCTCCTGGTCATCGCCCTGGGCTGCACCTGCAAGCTCTATGCCATTCGCACCCAGGAGTACAGGTCAGTGGGAGTGGGGCTGGCAGTAGAAGAGTAGACCCTGAGGGTGAGGCTGGGCTGTGCAGCTACAGGAGACCACGAAAGTGCCCACCTTGGGGAGAGGCTCCCATGATCAGCTTGTCAGTTGTGTCCTGTAAGGGACAGGTCCAGATCCTGAAAGCAGTTTCAAGGGAGGAGGGACCTCAGATGACCTTTGGGAAAGCCATGGCACAGCTCCAGCTGGCCTGGCCCGGGTGTGGAAGTGGGAGGACTGTCCAGGCTGAGGTGGTCTACTCTGGCCGAGAACTACCAGTGACTGAGCAGTCCTCATTCCTTCTAGCATCTTTGCCCCCCTCTCCCGGATGGAGGCTGAGATTGTGCAGCAGCAGGCACCCCCTTCCTACGGGCAGCTCATTGCCCAGGGTGCCATCCCACCTGTAGAAGACTTTCCTACAGAGAATCCTAATGATGTAAGTCACTCCCCACAACCCTAGCACCTCCTGGTCCCAGTTCTGCTGTGGCCCCGCCCCTGTACCCTCCTTCATTCAGCCTTTGGCCCTCTGACTCTGAGGCCTCCTCATTTCCTTGCAGAACTCAGTGCTGGGCAACCTGCGTTCTCTGCTACAGATCTTACGCCAGGATATGACTCCAGGAGGTGGCCCAGGTGCCCGCCGTCGTCAGCGGGGCCGCTTGATGCGACGCCTGGTACGCCGTCTCCGCCGCTGGGGCTTGCTCCCTCGAACCAACACCCCGGCTCGGGCCTCTGAGGCCAGATCCCAGGTCACACCTTCTGCTGCTCCCCTTGAGGCCCTAGATGGTGGCACAGGTCCAGCCCGTGAGGGCGGGGCAGTGGGTGGGCAAGATGGGGAGCAGGCACCCCCACTGCCCATCAAGGCTCCCCTCCCATCTGCTAGCACGTCTCCAGCCCCCACTACTGTCCCTGAAGCCCCAGGGCCACTGCCCTCACTGCCCCTAGAGCCATCACTATTGTCTGGAGTGGTGCAGGCCCTGCGAGGCCGCCTGTTGCCCAGCCTGGGGCCCCCAGGACCAACCCGGAGCCCCCCTGGACCCCACACAGCAGTCCTGGCCCTGGAAGATGAGGACGATGTGCTACTGGTGCCACTGGCTGAGCCGGGGGTGTGGGTAGCTGAGGCAGAGGATGAGCCACTGCTTACCTGAGGGGACCTGGGGGCTCTACTGAGGCCTCTCCCCTGGGGGCTCTACTCATAGTGGCACAACCTTTTAGAGGTGGGTCAGCCTCCCCTCCACCACTTCCTTCCCTGTCCCTGGATTTCAGGGACTTGGTGGGCCTCCCGTTGACCCTATGTAGCTGCTATAAAGTTAAGTGTCCCTCAGGCAGGGAGAGGGCTCACAGAGTCTCCTCTGTACGTGGCCATGGCCAGACACCCCAGTCCCTTCACCACCACCTGCTCCCCACGCCACCACCATTTGGGTGGCTGTTTTTAAAAAGTAAAGTTCTTAGAGGATCATAGGTCTGGACACTCCATCCTTGCCAAACCTCTACCCAAAAGTGGCCTTAAGCACCGGAATGCCAATTAACTAGAGACCCTCCAGCCCCCAAGGGGAGGATTTGGGCAGAACCTGAGGTTTTGCCATCCACAATCCCTCCTACAGGGCCTGGCTCACAAAAAGAGTGCAACAAATGCTTCTATTCCATAGCTACGGCATTGCTCAGTAAGTTGAGGTCAAAAATAAAGGAATCATACATCTCAAAATTTTGCAAATTAGCTGCGAGCCTGAGCCCCGCCTCTGCCCATCTCAGTCTATGCTCACCTCATCCCACTCCTCCCTGTGGAGCCCTTTGCTTGGCCCTCTACCTCCTGCCCTCTTCCTGTTCATCTCCCAACCACTGCACTCTTGATTTTTATACCACACAGAAGGTAAGAAAATTCTAGGAACCCTAAGGATCAATCCTCTCCATTTTCACTCAAATGCCTGGGGCCCAGCTCTGCAATGACTGACTCCAGGGCCTCTTTCCTCACTGCCAGCATAGAAGTCAGGGGAGCCAGCTGGGCCCTGCGGTCAGGAAGGTTCTCATTTTTGGAGCATACCCTGAGCCCAGATCATAGGAGCAGCTGTCCCTGGTGGGACACAGGAGTCATGACTCCTACCCTCCACCCTCCACACCCACCAGGCATTTAGCAGTCTGTCCTATGCAAGACAGATGAATTCTCAGCCAGGATACCTCAAGGCAGGCAAAGGTGAGTGGAGGGAGAATTCACAAACATTCAGGGTGTGTGGTGCTGGCATCACCATGGCCAAATCCAAGAGGTCTTCCTGGAAGAGGGCCCAAACTGGAACCAAAAGAATGCTGTCAGCAGTTGGAATAGAGCTGTGAATTCTAGACAGGGGGAGTGTCCCCAGAACAAGCAAACGGAGGAGACAAGAGGGCAAGGGTTATAGGAAAGACCCTGGGCCTGAGAGCACAAGCAGCGGCCAGAGCTGCAGCGCTGGGGTGGGTGATGGAGGGAATGATTCGCAAGCAGTGTTGGAACCCAGCCCCTAGTGAGCAAAGTGACAGAAGCTGCCCCAGAGTTTGGAAGGAAGATCGAGGCAGAAGATGTAGAAGGAAGCTGTGGGGGTGGGAGTGATGCCTCAGGAACAAAACTGAGGAATTCCCTAACGGACCCAGTCCCTGGGGAAAGAGGCTCCCCTCAGGCTCTCCTTGTCTAGCCCCACACCTGGCAGAGCCTGTCACCCAGCCTAGCCCCACGCCTGGCAGAGCCCATCACCCAGCCTAGCCCCACACCTGGTGGAGAGGCCCTGTTGATTACACCCTGTCAGCCTCCTCAAACCCAGCACTAATTGCACAATTTTCCTCTCTTCTAGTGAGCAAGAGCCTGAGGAAGTAGCAGAGAGGGGTGTGGGCCCATGTGCAGTTCTGGGACCCTGGCACCTTGGCTCAGGGAAGACCCGAGCTCCTTTCACTGCAGACCCTCTCCAGAGACTGGGGAGAGGGCTCTGGAGAACCTGGTTCTTGCTTACTGTTCTCCCTTTGGGCCCTCCTTCCCAAACGCAAACAATCCAGGATCCACTCAGCGTCAGGCCCAATGGAAATAGTGAAGCAGTGATTTTCCCTCCCCTGCCTCTCCATAGCCTGGTCTTTTGCCCTCTCCTTTGCTCTTCTCTTCCCCCATAGCCACCTCAAATACCTGCAGCCTGATATCTTCATCCCTTCATCCAGACCTTTTCTCTCCTAGTGGTATTGCAAACTGAAAGTGGACAAAGACTTAAGGTAAACCTGCTCCTCATGGTGGAATGCTTCCAAATGCTGGAAGGAGGACTTTAGGGCAGAGTTCACTAAGGAGGCTTGTGCTTATAGATCAGTGGGCCTGAAAGAAGTTTCTCTAGGTTCTGGTTGTGTGCTGTACGAGGTGTAGGTAGTAATAATACTCTTGTCAGCCACAGTGAAGCCCCAAGCTAGCCGGGATAGGGGACTGACCTTGTACAGGCAGCATGGAGAAACTAAGACAGAGTGTCCTGCCCAAGTGATGGCACTGGGGAGCAGTCACTCAGGTTTATTTCCACCAGGGCCCAAGAAAAAAAGAAATGAGGCAACCTAAAATTCCATCAAGATAGATACCAATATCCAAGGTGCTTGGTCTTAGCGGTGTGGGACCCACGTTAAGGCTCTTGGTGGGAAGGTGGGAGGTGTTTTCAGCATGAGATAGGGTTCAGGCTGTGAATCAGAGTCTAGAGCCTAAGATAAAAGAAGATACCAGGGCTGGGCCACGGTGGCTTTCGCCTGTAATCCTAGCACTTTGGGAGGCCAAGGCAGGCAGACTGCCTGAGCTCAGGAGTTCGAGACTAGCCTGAGCAACACGGTGAAACCCTGTCTCTACTAAAATACAAAAAAGTAGCCAGGTGTGGCGGCATGCACCTGTAGTCCCAGCTACTCGAGAGGCTGAGGCAGGAGAATTGCTTGAACCCGGGAGGCGGAGGTTGCAGTGAGTGGAGATCGCGCCACTGCACTCTAGCCTGGGTGACAGAGCGAGACTCCTTCTCCAAAAAAAAAGAAAAGAAGATACCAGAACTCAGTCCTTAAGAAACAAAATTCTGCCAGGCGCAGTAGCTCACACCTGTAATCCCAGCACTTTGGAGGGGCCAAGGCAGGCGGATCGCTTGAGGCCAAGAGTTCAAGAACAGCCTGGGCAACATGATGAAACCCTGTCTCTACCAAAAATACTAAAAATTAGCCAGTCTCACAACCTGGTCTCAAAATAAATAAATAGATTTAAAAAAAAAATCATGGGCCTGAACCAAGCTCCAGACCTCACTAGGAGGGGAGAAGGACCCCCCAGCCACACAGCCCAAGGCTGCAGAAGCACCTAGGTGGTTAGAGAGTGAGTGCCTGGATGGGGCGCAGTGGCTCACACCTGTAATCCCAGCACTTTGGGAGGCCGAGGCAGGCGGATCACGAGGTCAAGAGATCAAGACCATCCTGGCCAACATGGTGACACCGTGTCTCTACTAAAAATACAAAAATAAGCTGGGCATGGTGGTGCGTGCCTGTAGTCCCATCTACTCGGGAGGCTGAAGCAGGAGAATCACTTGAACCTGGGAGGCAAAGGTTGCAGTGAGCTGAGATCGCGCCACTGCACTCCAGCCTGGCAACAGAGCGAGACAAGACTCCATCTCAAAAAAAAAAGTGAGTGCCCGATGATGCCAGATTCTTCATCACCTGAAGTGAACCCACACAACAGGGCTGGGCCATGGGCATCATAAACCCCATTTTGCAAGCTCAGGAGGAGCTTTAGGGAAATCAGAAGACTGGCCCAGTCTCTACCAAGTGGTGGATTTAGAGCCGGCATGGCTTCGTTCCAAATCTCACCCTTGTCCCACCATTCCATGGGACCTCCCATTCCTGAGGGAGCCTGGATACGGGCAAGTGCACAACCCGGGAGGTTGAGGTTACAGTGAGCCATGATCGCACCACTGCAGTCCAGCCCGAGCAATAGGGTGAGACCCTCCCTCTGAAAAAAATAAAAATACTCATTTTGGAAGGAAGTCATTCTAAAATGTTACACTTGTCTTCAGCATATCTGCAATATAATAATTTTCTGCATAACTGAGGATCATTCACAGAAACCAATGGCTTTTCTCCAGCAGTGTCTTCTGAAGTTGTAACAGTAGGGGCACGGGGAGCTATTTGCTTTTATGCTAAATGACCTTAGACCACTTATAAAATGCATATGAGTGCTTTAAATGTTATTTTGTGTGTGTGTGGTGTTGCCTCCCTGACTACAAGGGGTCACTTGCTACTCTAAATGTGTTTCTAATCTACTAGTACAGGAACACACATGGACACGTTAAAATTGTGAATAAAAGTAAGTAAAAAGTAAAAGTAAGTAGGCCATGACTGAGGACTGGAGAATCTACCCAGTGAGTAAAGCACAGGAGTATTTTAGCAGCTGAGGGGTCCTTTCTGCTCCCTCAAACCCTGCACTGTTGCCCTATAGCTGACCTCCAAATAAGTGAAGTGTCACTGCACATTGTTCCCAAGATTATTCTTTGCCTCTTCCATTGGAAGAGTCCACTGAGGATAGCAATATAGACTGTTCCCAATAATAGGAGACAGTTGGAATATTTAAGAGAAGGAAAGCTGCACAATGTAGAAATGAAAAATCCTTGGCACTGGAAAGATGTGGGTGGGATTCCTGGTGTTCCCATTTTCCAGCTGCAAGATTGCTTTAGGGACGGGGCACCCACCTACCACTGTGGGCCTTGGGCTCAAGAAGATGAAAGGAGATAATGCAAGAAAGTACTTAGCACAGCATCTGGCAAAAACGGGGCAAGGAAAGGAAATCGGAACGTGTGTCTGGGAGCTTAAGGGTGTCAGGAAGGAGGACAAGAAGGAAAGGGGCAGGAGAAGGAACCTGAAGGGAAAGGGAACTGGGCAGAAAAAGAACGGTAAAAGAGATGTGCTATCTGGGCTTCCTACAAACAGGCAGACATCACCCATTGCGTACCTGCCTTGCATAGCCCAGAAGGCCTGGCAGCTGCACCAAAAAAACATTAACAGTGGGTAGGGGAGTTGGGGGGTAGCTGGCACTCCCCCTTCCCCACCCACTTAAGATTGGGAACCTCGTGTTTGAGATAGCTAGCTTTGTCTCACCCTTTTTTCCTGCTCTGATTATCGTTAGCTTGGTGGGCCTGGCAGGGAGAGAAGGTGGAAGAGTCTCCACAGTGGTTTGCCCCTACCTGAACTTAGTGGCAAAATGAAGCTGCCCAAATGAAGCAGCTGAATTTCCTTCCTCAGAGCCCGCATCTGCCTAGGGGCTGGGAAATGAGTACTTTCGTGGCTCTTAGCCCAGAAGAGGCAGGGTGGAGAAGGAAAAGGTGGCAGGGTGGCTGACCCTCAGTCCCCACACCTCTTTTGGCCTGCATCTCTTTGTCTTTCAGACCAGCTTTTAATCTTTCTGCCTCTTGCCCCTGTGCAGCCACTGAGCACGCTCTCTGGGCTAGACACTGGGCTAGGGGTCTGGAAATACAAAGACAAATGATGCGTAGTCCTGGCTGCTGGAGAAAGACCTTCACCTCCCCAGGTCCCTGCCTTCTGTCACCCTGAGCTCCCTTACCCACTGACACCCCCTGCAACCCTTGTCTGTTCTGCCCCTTGACTGTTCTGTCATAACTCAACCAAGCTCTGCAGTGTGTGTGCTCCCAGAGAGAAGCGACACAAAGAAAAGGGAGGGGGGGCAGAAAGGAGGGAATCCCGCTGACATCACTGCTCATTAGCATGTGTGACCTCATCAGGGGGTGGGACAATTTCCCCAGGTGTCTAGGGGGGAGGGCATGTGTGTGTGTCGGGGGGGGGGGTGGTATTTAAAGGGAAAAGCTGACAGTGCTGCTGAGTGAGGGAGAGGGTGCTGCGAGCTGCTGGGCTGCACACGCACACGCACACGCACACGCACACTGATGCACACGGACCTGGACACAGACATGGACATGGACACAGAAACCACAGCACTCTGCCCCTCTGGCAGCCGCCGGGCCTCCCCTCCAGGGACGCCCACACCAGGTGAGGGCTAACCTGGGCAGGTTCCGGCTGAAACCATGGGGGTGGGAGCTGAAGCTTTGGTGGGGAGGTCAGAACTAGGGGTTGAGGGAGCTTGAGCTCAGTCAGCAAGAGGAGAAGAGCAATTGAGAAAGTGGAGAAGACCCCTGCTCACACAAGGGATTGGGGCTGGGCTAGGGTGGAGGGGAAGAGCTGCCTAAATGCCCCCTCCCCCAGCACTCCCAGGGCTTTGCTTGAGAAACTGGTACATGGCCCCTAGCTCAGCCTCATTCCCGAGGCTGGAACAGGCAAGAAGGAAGGGGAGAGGAAAGGGGCAGCCCACAAGCCTGGGAATCACAGGCAGGGGCTACCCCGGGGAACTATTGTAAGGGTTCTTCTGGCTGCTGGAGGCCCTGGCTGCTGGCCAAGTATTGATCCTGGGCTATTTCCAGCCTCCCTCTAGCCCCCTTTGTTGTGTCTGTTGTTCCTCCTCCAGTTACCCTGACCCACGCATTGTCACTCTCCCTTTCGCTCACACACACACACACACACACACACTATCTCTCTCTCTCTACTTCTACTGCTCTATGAACACAATATTCTCTCCCACTCACAGGGACAGACAGGGATGCAGGATTCTCACATCCAACCACGCAATGAGGGATGCTCACCTACAGGGCCACGGGAAGCAGCAGCCCCTCTCTCTCTCTCACACACACACACAGAGAACCCACAGAGACCCAGCACGCACATCATCTCAAAAAGCAAAGGCCCTTTCCTAGGAAGAAGCTCACTACAAAGTTTTTTACTCTGCTATACCTACTCCCCAGACACTGGGCAGCAGTTTCAGCTTGTCATCCTCTCTGCTCCTCAGTTTGGGGATTACCAGTGCTGGAAACAGGAGGAGGAAGGGCCTCTTGATGGAAAAAGAGGCAGCTTCCCCAAACCTCCCCCAACTCCACCGTACAGGGCCAGAGGCCTAGTCTGGGGGTTTGCCTGTGTATCAGTGTAAAGTGTGAGTGGGTATGTGAGCCTGCATTCAGGTCCCTTCCCTGCATGGGGCACGTTTTGAATAGGTTGGGGTTGGGACCGCATTGGAGAAGCTATCATGTCAACTCCAGTTCAGGCTTCTGGAGACTTTAGTGTAAGAGGTCAGGCCAGACATTCTCAGTTCCTTCTGGGTAATGGTCATCAAGTGGGTGTAGCTGGGCCTCTGATACTGGAACAGCCTGGATTGAGCCTTCTGCATATGGTTGAGCATATCCCACTCATAGCTTCCTTTTCTTTGCCCTCCCATTTTATTTTAGAAGCAGATGCCACGCTACTAAAGAAGTCAGAGAAACTGTTGGCAGAGTTGGACCGGAGCGGGTTACCCTCTGCCCCTGGGGCCCCCAGACGAAGAGGCAGTATGCCTGTCCCCTACAAGCACCAGCTCCGGCGGGCCCAGGCTGTAGATGAACTTGACTGGCCACCTCAGGCCTCATCCTCTGGCTCGTCTGACTCCTTGGGCTCAGGGGAGGCAGCCCCTGCTCAAAAGGATGGCATCTTCAAGGTCATGCTAGTGGGGGAGAGCGGCGTGGGCAAGAGCACCCTAGCAGGCACTTTTGGTGGTCTCCAGGGAGACAGTGCTCACGAACCGGAGAACCCAGGTATTTGGGGAAGCCCTCCAGGGGTTGAGGGGGCTCTGGGGCCCTGGTCAGGGAAGGAAGTGCTCGTGACCTGAGCAGCCCCTGAAGGACAGAGCTTAACAGAAGCTTTTCCAATGCTTTCTGTGGCAGCCTCCCTGAAGAGGGGCAGGGTTCCCTGGTGCTGAGATCTGAGGTGTCCCTGGTTACCAGGTCTCACAAATGTTGGGAAACCTCCTAATGGACTTTATACCCTCTCCCTATTTCCCAGCAGAGGATACCTATGAGAGACGCATCATGGTGGATAAGGAGGAAGTGACTCTAGTCGTTTATGACATCTGGGAACAGGTGAGAACTAAGATGTGGCTGCAGGCAGGTGATGAAGCTGGGAGAACTGGGGAAGGGCAAAGTCTGGCTGAAGGCTGGTGGGACTGCTGGTCCTGGTTTCCACATGTACTGGAACCTGACCTTTCATTCATATCACCTCAGAAAGCAAAGACCCACACTACAGCCTGTGGCTGTTAAGACCCACAGTCTTTCCAGGATCTTCTGACTCAGAGCAAACTTAGGATGGGAATTTGACAAACCCTGCAGCTCCAAGCTAGGCTGGACACCCTGAAATTGACTCCATCCATAAATTTTTCAGCCTGAAGGAATCTGATGTGACAAGACAAGAGCTCAGGGATCTGGAATATCAGGGAAGGGGGAAAAAAGTGAGGACTTCTGAATATTTGGACATAAAGGTTACTATGTAGAAATAAGAGGCCAAATTACAGACGTGTGAATAATATTCATTTTTGAATCAAGAGCTTAAGAAATTAGGATGGCTACCCTAGTCTAGGATCCTCATATTACTAATTTCTTCCGCCTCCACAAACACTCTGGGTAGGGAGATTCTGCCATTAACTAGCTCTGCTGTCCTAAGCAGGTGGCTTCTTTCTGCCTCACAGCCCTGTTCCTCCTCTTTGAGGTGTAGGTGCTGGACAGGATCTCCTATGCCTCCAGCCCTAACGTTCCTCTGCCTGTCTGCAGGGGGATGCAGGAGGGTGGCTGCGGGACCACTGCCTTCAGACCGGGGACGCCTTTCTCATCGTCTTCTCAGTCACCGACCGACGGAGTTTCTCCAAAGTTCCAGAGACCCTACTTCGGCTCCGGGCTGGGAGGCCGCACCACGACCTACCCGTTATCCTCGTTGGAAACAAGAGCGACTTGGCCCGCTCCCGGGAGGTATCACTGGAGGGTGTGTATCCTGAACAGATTCCATACTTGCGATCTCAGGGGAATGCTCTCCCTTCCAAGTCACCTCTTCTCCCTAAGGCCTTTTTACCATCGCGGACGCACTCACTTGCAATCAGACCCAGGCTAGGGGGACACTCCCAATGCCCCACTCGAGGATCCTGAGAATCCCTTCTTGTCACTTCCCCTCACCTCTCTCCTAGGCCTCCTTCTCCCTCTCCTTCGCACCTCCACAGACCCACCATATGAGCTCAGCCATGTTCTCTCGGTTGCAAGATTCACTAGTACCAATCCCTTGCCACCGCACGCCCAGGCCCTCCCTAGACCCACCCTCGCCCCGGGTCCCGTACAGCCCAGCGGGCGCCTGAGCCGGTGCCTTCCTGCAGAGGGCCGCCACCTGGCCGGGACGCTGAGCTGCAAGCACATCGAGACGTCGGCCGCACTGCACCACAACACGAGGGAGCTCTTCGAGGGCGCGGTGCGCCAGATCCGGCTGCGGCGGGGCCGAAACCACGCCGGAGGCCAGAGGCCCGATCCGGGCAGCCCCGAGGGCCCTGCGCCACCTGCACGCCGCGAGAGCCTCACCAAGAAAGCCAAGAGGTTCCTCGCCAACCTGGTGCCGCGCAACGCCAAGTTCTTCAAGCAGCGCTCCAGGTCGTGTCACGACCTCTCGGTGCTCTGAGCCGCGGTCGCCATGGCCACTGCGGTCGCCATGGTCACCGCGCCCTCCGCTCGCCCCCCCTCGCCCCGCCCCGCCCCCGTCCGGCTTCCTTGGTGGAGGCCGTCTAGGAAACCAAAAACTCCCAGGATGCCCCGGTGTGACCGCCGGGGGCGGCCCGGGGCCGCTCGGCGGCACCTCCACACCCGCCCCAACGCGTTCTCTGGAGCTTTGGGCCTCAGGGCGCCTAGAAGGCGAGGACGCAGACCTGAAGGCGGCCGGTGAGCGGGGCGGGTTCTGCTGGGTCGGGAAGAAAAATAATTCTGCAAGGTATTTTGTTTTTTATTAATTCGCGCTTGGCCACCTCATCTGTAAAGAGATTCTAAAAGCAAGATCTGGAAAAGTGCTTCGTAGACTCCTTGACGGAGTTTGCCTCCTTTGTACGCTGCGTGAACATGCCTCACCTTTAAGAGAGTCTTAAAGGTAAAGACACGAAAACACTTCCTCCAGGGACCTTCCCGAAAACGTTCTGGCTCTCATCTGGTGCGGCATGTGTCCACTTTGCCTTTAAGGAGTTCTTAAAGGCAAGGGCCTGGAAGTGCTGTTCCTGAGATGGATTCTCTTGACTTACCAGTCCACCACGGCACTTCCCCTTTAAGGTTATTAAAGGTAAGGGGTGGACAGACTTTCTGCATTCAGATAATGAGCAGTGGCAACCCCTTTTGGCCAGGGCCAGGGGGGCACCAGCAAGGGGCCACCCTTTCCCTTTTCAATAAATAATTTTTGTACTGCCTCTGTTCACTTTTGACTCTGTTCTTGGAGTCTTTGGGGAAGGAATGGGTGTTGATGGAAACTGCTGTTACCCACCAGAAAACTCAGGCCCAGAGGAGCAAGGAACCTAACTCTCTAAGGAGGCTCTGGAACTGACTTGGCCTGGGGTAGTCCATGTCATAGGGCCACAGGCCCTTACAGATAATCAGGTCCACTTCTTGCGTTTGCCGATGAGAAAACAGGCTTGGAGAGGAACAGGGACCTCCTAGAAGTCATTTGTAAATTAGTGACACAGTGGGACCAAATCTCTAGATTCTGAGCCTCATCTCCTTACCCCCACTCTATCCTGCAGGGAACAGGCTAGAGGCTACACTTAGCTCCCAGCGGTACTCAGCTTTGACTTGGGCTGGTTCAAAGTGGGGCCCATATCCACCAGGGAAGCCCATCAGCTGTGGCGTGATGGGGGTCTGTCTGTGCCTCCTCTGGCAGGGCTCCACAGCCCCAGCTGTCACCTGCAAAGCCCGTGTGAGTACTGAAACTGTCACTGCCTCCCCTGGGGACGCCCACGCCTGCTGCTGCCTGAGCCATGAGTTTGAACAAAGGGAGCAGAGGCAGCAGCTCCCCTCACCACCCCTAGACATACAATACAGCTACCTGAGCACCTGAGGGCCAGCCTCCATTCTACCCCACACAGCCTCCCAGAACTTGATGGAAAGAGGGTTGCAATGCTTCCTGAGTCCTTGTAGCTGGGGAGGAGCCAAGGGGACCATCCCAGCATGGGTACTTATAATAAGATGAATAATGGCCCTATCCTTAGGACTTTATACACTTTATCTGTTAATTCCTTAAAGACTATATAAGGTCCAGCCTGGGAAACATAGTGAGAGCCAGTTTCTACAAAAAAAAATATAAAAATTGGCCAGGCATGTGGCTCACACCTGTAATCCCAGCACTTTGGGAGGCTGAGGCAGGAGGATCATTTCAGTTCAGAAGTTTGAAACCAGCCTGGGCAACATGGCAAAACCCTGTCTTTACAAAAAATTAGCTGGGTGTGGTGTCATTCAGATAGTCCCAGCTACTTGAGAGGCTGAGCTGGGAGGAACCCTTGAGCCAGGAAGTTAAGGCTGCAGTGAGCTGTGATTGTACCACTGCACTGCAGCACGGGCAACAGAGCAAGACCCTGTCAAAAAAAAAAAAAAAAAAAAAAAAAAAAAAAGCAGTGCACCTGTAGTCCTAGCTACTCAGGAAGTGGGAGGATTACTTGAGCCCAGGAGTTCAAGGCTGAAGTGAGCTGCAATCACTGCCTTCCAGCCTGGGTGATAGAACGAGAACTTGTCTCTTTAAAAAAAAAAAAAAAAGGGCCGGGCGCCATGGCTCACACCTGTAATCCCAGCACTTTGGGAGGCCAAGGTGGGTGGATCACAAGGTCAGGAGTTCGAGACCAAGCTGGCCAATATGGTGAAACCCCATCTCTACTAAAAAGTGCAAAAATTAGCTGGGCGTGGTGGCAGGCGCCTGTAATCCCAGCTACTAGGGAGGCTGAGGCAGGAAAATAGCTTGAACCCAGAAGGCAGAGGTTGCAGTGAGCTGAGAACGTGCCACTGCACTCCAGCCTGGGCGACAGAGTGAGACTCCATCTCAAAAAACAAACAAGCAAAAAAAAAAAACCTATATAAGGTGTTACTACCTGTTTAACAGTAGAAGAAACAGAGTGTAAGTAACTTGCCTGAGGTTACCCGGTAAGCAGTAGAGTTGGGATTTCATGTCTGCTTGATACTTTTTTTTTTTTTTTGAGATGGAGTCTTGCTCTTGTCACGCAGGCTGGAGTGCAATGGTGCGATCTCCACTCACTGCAACCTCCACCCCCCGGGTTCAAGTGATTCTTCTGCCTCAGCCTCCCGAGTAGCTGGGATTACAGGCACCCACCACCACGCCCAGCTAATTTTTTGTATTTTTAGTAGAGATGGAGTTTCACCATGTTGACCAGACTGGTCTTGAACTGCTGACTTCAGGTGATCCACCCACCTCAGCCTTCCAAAGTGCTGGGATTATAGGCGTGAGCCACCGCGCCCAGCTCTGCTTGATACTTAATGATGATTTTATCCAGCTTTGCATCTGAGGCTCCCTTTCCAATAAGGATGGGAGGAAGAGAAAGAGGGGACAGCAGTCAAGATGCGGGGACACAATGGGCAGGGCCATGTGCAGTGGCTGTGGTGAAAGGTCCAGAGAAATTACATGGCTGTAGTGGAGTAAGCAAGTTCTAAATTCTGAAGACCATGAACAGAGGCAGCTCAAATTTTAAAACACAGGAAAACACACTGGGCCCATTAAGGGACCAGATGGCTGTACAGTTGGGTTGAAACCTCAGGGACATGAAGAGGAGGGGTAAGAGATGAGCATGGAAAAGAAGGTTTGGAGTCCCACTGTAAAGGACCTTAAATGCCAGGAAAAAGAGTTTGTGCCCAACTCTGTAGGCAGGGAGAGTCACTGCAGGTATCTGAATGTGGAAGTCATGATTAGGATGGTCTTTTGGGAAGAGGAGGCTGGGAGAGGTGTGTATGGATTGGAGCTGCAGAGGCAAGTACTGAGGAGCTGAGTTTAGGGACCAGTTAATAGTGATACATACAGAGGATAATGAAAGGCCATCCTGAGGGGGGTGGCAGTGGGAAAGGAAGGAGGCATGGGTTTGAGCATCAGAATCAATGGGACTTGGCAACTTAGTGGATGAGTATAAAGAGAGGAAAAAGTTGTAGGTGGTGAGAGGATGGTGCAGAACTTGGAGTAAAGGGGCAGAGGAGGTAGTGAGAGTAAGGAGCTCCATTTTGGAGACACTGAATTTGAGATGCTAGAAGAACATCTATATAGAGTTTCAGCAGCTCTCTAGAGTTGAATCTGAATCTGAAATTCAGAACAAGTTGGGACAAGAGAAACAGATTTGAGAATAATTACCATAAAGATAGTAGTAGAAGAGCAAGGAGAAAAGGTGACCTGTGCAGTCACATAGGGCCCTAAGCTTAGTTTAATGTTCTGCTGTTATGTTCTTAAAATTCTTCGAACAAGGAGCCCTGTATTTTCATTTTGCAAGGGGATCCACAATTATACTAAGGGAGAAGGTGCAGTACAGGCTGGGATCCTTACCCCAGACTACTGATGGAGTCTGCGTCTTGTGAAATGGTACATACAATCTGATGTATTTGTGTAGTCATACCTGTGTCTGAGAATAGGGTTCATGAATTTCATCAGATTCACAAAAGGGTTTGTTACAGGCCAGGCACAGGATGGCTCATGCCTGTAATCCCAGCACTTTGAGAGGCCGAGGCGGGTAGATCACCTGAGGTCAGGAGTTCGAGACCAGCCTGGCCAACATGACGAAACCCCATCTCTACTAAAAATACAAAAATTAGCTGGGCATGGTGGCACATGCCTGTAATCCCAGCTACTTGGGAGGCTGAGGCAGGAGAATTGTTTGAACCCAGGAGGTGGAGGTTGCAGTGAGCCGAGATCGTGCCACTGTACTCCAGCCTGGGCAACAGAGTGAGATTCTGTCAAAAAAAAAAAAAAAAAAAAAAAAGATGGTACTGGCTGCTTCTGGAAAGGGGAACTGGGTGAGTAGAAGACCAGGATGGGAAGCTGACTTTTCATTGTATGCCCTTTTTCTTTTCTTTTCTTTTCTTTTTTGAGACGGAGTTTCACTCTTGTTGCCCAGGCTGGAGTGCAATGGCACGATCTCACTGTAACCTCCGCCTCCTGGGTTCAAGCGATTCTCCTGCCTCAGCCTCCCGAGTAGCTGGGATTACAGGCATGTGCCACCACACCCGGCCACTTTTGTATTTTTGGTAGAGATGGGGTTTCTCCATGTTGGTCAGGCTGGTCTCAAACTCCCAACCTCAGGTGATCCGCCTGCCTCAGCCTCCCAAAGTGCTGAGATTACAGGCCTGAGCCACCGCGTCCAGCCTGTATGCCCTTTTTCTACCTTTGGAAATTTTTTTTTTTTTTTTTGAGACAGAGTCTTGCTCTGTTGCCCAGGCTGGAGTGCAGTGTGGCACAATCTCAGCTCACTGCAAACTCCACCTCCTGGGTTCAAGCGATTCTCCTGCCTCAGTCTCCCGAGTAGCTGGGATTACAGGTGCCCACCACCACGCCCAGCTAATTTTTGTATTTTTAGTAGAGACGGGGGTTTCACCATCTTGGCCAGGCTAGTCTTGAACTCCTGACCTCATGATCCACCCACCTCAGCCTCCCAAAGTGCTGGGATTACAGGCGTGAGCCACCGCGCCTGGCCTACCTTTGGAACTTTTAACTGTGTCATTTAGTACCACTTCAAAAATGAAACGAAATAGGCCGGGCACAGTGGTTCACGCCTGTAATCCCAGCACTTTGGGAGGCCAAGGCCGGTGGATCATGAGGTCAGGAGTTCAAGACCAGCCTGGCCAAGATAGCGAAACCCCATCTCTACTAAAAACTACAAAAATTAATCAGGCGCAGGGGTGGGCACCTGTAATCCCAGCTATTCGGGAGGCTGAATCGCTTGAACCTGGGTGGCAGAGGTTGCAGTGAGCTGAGATCATGCCACTGCACTCCAGCCTGGCGACAGAGAGAGACTCCGTCTCAAAAAAAAAAAAAGAAAGAAACAAAATAATTTAAAACAAAGCCTTAGGGGTCCAGAGAAAGAAGAGGGAACAAGGAGATCCTGGGGATATATAGATGGAGAAGGTGGAGAAGCAGCTGCCAAAGAGGTAGTGGGAGAACTAGGATTGAGCCTGTTGTGACTGCTGCCAGAGGAGGGGTTTCTAGGAGAGTATCACCAATGGTCAGATGTGGCCAGAGAGGAGGATGAGGAACAAGAAAGGCCCAGTGCCTTTTACGTGGCAGAAGCTTAAAACATGTCTTTCGTGTATGGAAGACCATGATGGCAAGACCTCCCCCACGAGGGGAGCCACACACCATGAGCCTCCCTCCCCCAACTCAGCCAGTCCCATCAGCCCGACCCATCTGTGTGTTCCCTCCAGACGCCTACAGGGAATAGCTCAGAACAGACGGAAGCTGAAGCCAGGCTCCCGCCAGACTTGGGAGAGGTGAGGCCTTCTCTGAGAGCCAGGCCATTCTCTCTTTCTCTCTCAAGGCAAAGTAGAGCCATTGATCTTGGCTGGGGTGAGAGGTCAGCAGAGGGCACTGGGACCTGAGCTGCCATGCCAGGTAAGGTCCTTTCTGTCCTCATGCATCTCTTAACCACTGCAATTTTGTCTTGGAGTCCGTGTTCCCTTACCAGCCCCTGCCCAGCCCCTGCTACTCCCACTCCCCTTTGCCCACAAGACCGCCTCATTGGCCCAGAGCATAGACTTTGTGTGCTCTCCCCTGAGGGTCAGAGGAACGGGGGAGTCCTGCATCTGGAAATTTTTCCACTCTGGGCCTCTGCCTACAGATGAGCTTTTAGGCCGTGCTGCATCTGAGCCCTCTAGAGAGACTGGAACAGGGGCTCTTCTCTTCTGAAAGACTGCCGGGGTCATACGTGGAAGTCCTCTGGGTTAAACCCTCACTCCCAGGAAGTTCACACACACACATCTTTTTATTAATCTAATATAGTTTCAATCCACATCAATCTAAGTAAATTTTCCTGGACATTTTAATCTTTCATCCACAAATGCTAGAAGACATTTTGTTTCTCTCAAGTACTAAACATCTGCAATATGCCAATCAGTGTGCCGGGCCCAATGGGGAAAACAAATACAAATAAGACACAATTTCTGCCCGTCAAATAGCTTGCAATTAAGCTGGGGAGATGGATGAGGTGATACAGCACAAAACAGGCAAAATAGCAGCAAACAATACCACATTCTATCTAACTGGGGGCTACCTCATGTGCTCCAGGAATTCTGAATGGAAGAAACAGTAAATTTGGAAGACATATTTTAGAAACTGGGCCTTAAAGGATATGTAGGCTATAGATAGTTGAGAGAAAGAAGGAAAAGCATTCCTTGTGGTCAAACTACATGAGCAAATGCACAGAGAAGAAACAGTGGGCAGCCCACCACATGAGGAAAAGGCCCTTCCTATAAAGAAGGCAGCAAAATTTGGGTGGATGGTGCAGTCGTCAAAGGACACAAATGCCGGACAAGAGCATACTGCTTCTCAGGCCTTTATCATCTCGGTGACTCCCTGATGGATATGCTTAAGGTCCCTTTTCATCTATTTGAATATTGATGTCAAGTTTCCACAGCTTAGTGGCCTTGAAAACTCCAGATGTGAATGCAAATTCAGTAAGCCCTTGAATGCTTTTCAATTAGTGCTCAGGATGTTTCCTGGATGGGGGTCTGTGGATGAAGTCACTCTTAACCTGTCTGGTTTGCTGAACTCAGCTATGCTATCCCAACTCTAAAATGAAGAATACCTACCTTATAGCGAAGTCATGAGGACTAAATAAAAGAGCAAAGATCTTTGTAATTTCTCAAGCATTATACAGAGAAGCGGTGGAAGTAGTAATGCCTTTTGCAACCTATGTCCTGGCCCTTTATTTAGGCATCAAAGCAGCTTGCTAAACTCTCAAAGCACAGCACCATTTGGAGATAAAAATTTAAGTTATGGTCTACAAAGTCCAACGTGCCTTCCATAGGACTCACGGGTAACACTTTTTTGGGTTTTGTCATCTGATGGAAGGTTGGGGGACAGATTGGCAATTGAAGCTCCACGATGGTATTTTACTGCATGATTTTCCATTTTTGTGTTCAAATTACAACTTGACTTTAAGCAGAGGACCTGTGCTGATTTAAAATACTTACTCAGGTCGGGCAATTGGCTCACGCCTGTAATCCCAGCACTTTGGGAGGCCGAGGTGGGTGGATCACTTGAGGTCAAGAGAGAGACCAGCCTGGCCAACATGGTGAAACCCTATTTCTACTAAAAAAAATTACAAAAATTAGCCAGGCATGGTGGTGGGTGCCTGTAATTCCAGCTACTCGGGAGGCTGAGGTGGGAGAATCACTTGAACCCGGGAAGCAGAGGTTGAAGTGAGCAGAGATCGCAGTGAGCAGAGATCATGCCACTGCACTCCAGCCTGGGTGATAGCATGAGACTCTGTCTCAGAAAAATACATAAATAAGGCCCAGCCGGGCGCAGTGGCTCACGCCTGTAATCCCAGCACTCTGGGAGGCCGAGGCGAGCGGATCACTAGGTCAGGAGATCGAAACCATCCTGGCTAAAACAGTGAAACCCCATCTCTACTAAAAAATACAAAAAATTAGCCGGGCATAGTGGCAGGTGCCTGTAGTCCCAGCTACTTGGGAGGCTGAGGCAGGAGAATGGCATGAACCTGGGAGGCAGAGCTTGCAGTGACCCGAGATTGCGCCACTGCACTCCAGCCTGGGCGACAAAGCAAGACTCCATCTCAAAAAAAATTAATTAATTAATTAAAAATAAATAAATAAGGCCCAGTGCAGTGGCTCAGGACTGTAATCCCAGCACTTTGGGAGGCCAAGGCGGGTGGATCACCTGAGGTCAGGAGTTCGAGACCAGCCTGACCAACATGGAGAAACCCTGTCTCCACTAAAAATACAAAATTAGCTGGGAGTGGTGGCGCACGCCTGTAATCCCAGCTACTCAGGAGGCTGAGGCAGGAGAATCACTTGAACCCAGGAAGCAGAGGTTGCGGTGAGCCGAGATCGCACCATTGCACTCCAGCCTGGGCAACAAAAGCGAAACTCCATCTCAAAGAAAAAATAAAAATAAATAAATAAAAAAAATACTTATTCAGAAAGGAAAATGCCAGTGTAGGGCTAGGCTCTGGAGACCAACAAAGACAGGTGCTTGGGGGAGGCTGAGACGCTAAGGAAAGGGTGGTAACAGAGGGTGCTCTCAGGCAGTTGTGGTGGCTCACACCTATAATCCTAGCACTTTGGGAGGCTAAGGAGGGAGGATCACTTAAGCCCAGGAGTTCAAGACCACCTGGGCAACATAGCAAGACCCCATCTCTACAAAAAATACAAAACTTAGCTGGGCATAGTGGCACATACCTGTAGTTCCAGCTAATCAAGAGGATCATTTGAGCTCAGGAGGTTGAGACTGCAGTGAGCTGTGATGGCACCACTGTACTCCAGCATGGGCAACAGAGCCAGACCCTGTCTCAAAACAAAACAAAACTGAGTGCCCTGGTATTTTTCCCCTGCCAGACAAAGCTAATGGTGTTAGGTACCTTGAAGGTACCTGTGAGGGGGGCTCATTTTGATTTTTCGAAACCATCTGGTTAAAATCTAACTATGTGGACAGAGCCTCAAGCATAAAGAGATTGGGCTAGTGGGATCTGTTTTCCTGAAAACTAGGCAGGTTGTGTGTGACCCAAGACCTTGTAAGCTTGGGGCTTCAGTGCAGGAACAATTTATTTATTTAAAAATGAAGATTTATTTTCACCATTGCACTGCCCTTGCTTTTCCCCATAAACCTTGAGCTCTAAAGTTGGGGAGAATGAAGTCAGCTAGAAAATCAAGTGAGTAGGCATCCAGAGGAGTGAAAATACTGAGGACAGTAATGAGCCAAGTTCCAAACCTTTCTCAATGAATTCTCACAACATCCCTATGAGATAGGTGTTATCATTTCCTTTTTACAGATGAAGTGTGAGAGAAGTGAAGTAACCTACCCAAGCTTATTCAGCTAGTTTGTGAGGGAAGAGGGATCTGAACCATGCTGTGTGGTTCCAGAGTGTGACACTCGGCTACAGGGTGGAGGTCCCCTAGCTTGCTTATGCTCAGGAGTTGAGGAGGCGAATTCTTAGCACCACTAATTCTAAGCAAGTAGGCTTCCTGATGCCTGAAAGCTGACTGAAACTCCCATCCTTTCTGGAACATTGGCAAGTTTGACGGGTCTCCGATTTCCAAGGTCATTGTTTCTCCTTTCTACAATCCGGCACTGACTGGCTGCTTTCCAGTCTTCAGGCACCTCATCCATCTACCCATTGCTCTCAAAAATAACTGCTTAATGGCTCTCCAGAAACTCCAGCCAACTCCTTAAGGGCTCTTGAGAGCAGATCATCTGAACAACTAATAGACTTCATCCAACTTTTTGAAGTGATCTTTGCTCAGCTCTTTCCTTGCACCCACCTTCCCACGTGATCTAAGTTGGTTGGTCTGCTTCACCTCACTTTCACAGAGCTCTCTCAACCAAGGGCACACCAGAGAGCAAACCAGTCCTGGATATAAAGCGCAAAAGTTATGAGAGAGGGGAAAGGATGTCTGAAGCTAGAAGATTCAGATATGCAGCTTCTCAGACCGGAATTCCTTTCCTGCATCCAGCTCGTGACTATTGCCTTCACCTGGTTGCCATGGAAACATCAGTCTCTGGTGGATGGCAAGCAGCACTTTAGAAAGAAAGTATCACAGGCTACCATGGTAACATCAGAAAGAGTAAAGCTGCATCTTCTCTCCTGGTGGAGTGAGGAAGGAATGGATGAGGCTGCTGGGAAAAGCAGCCTAGAAGGGGCAGCCTTTGGAAAGCCTGGTGCTGACTTTAACACTTTAATGAACAGCATTCATTCAATTCTACAGACATTTAATATGTGCAAGGCAAAGCAATCATGAGAAAGACATCCAAGTCTGGCCTCATCAGGCTGTAACCATCAAGTAATGGAGTTTTCAATAAAATAATTTTTATTGCAATTATTTTATTTACTAAATAAAAGTAGAGTAAGATGACCCACAAGAGGACAAAGAATACTGAAAAGAGAGATCAACTCCACCTAGGAAAGCTTCAGGGTCTTAAAGGACAGGACTTTGATCAGCAGAAGGAGGAAAGGAAGAGAGATAGCTGGCAGGTTAGATCACTCCCATGCCTCCTAGCAAGATGCTGAGCCTACAGTAGGTCTGGCCTCAAGCTGCTTCAAGATAAGGTCTGAGGCTGGCTTCTCAATGCACATGCCCATGCTATCTCCCAGGGCCCTTGTAGCAGAAAGAGCACCTTCAAGGTTCACCCACAAACACTGTCACTCAAGATAAGCAAAGACATGGCAGTGGAAAAATTCTGAGTCTACGGAGAGCTATGGGTACAGGGATAGGAAAAGTGACACTTCCTCACTGACTCCAAGGCCTTGTCTTCCATGGTGGTGCTGAGAGGCAGGTAAGGTTAAGATCAAGGGATCTGAAGCGAGAGTACTTGGATTGGAATCCCTAACTTGCTAACTTTGTGCTTATGGGGAAAATTATTTAACTTATTTGGATATGTTTCCTTGTTTACAAAGTAAAGATAATAAACTACTTGAGAGGATTGTTGTGAGGATTTTGTGACTTAATACACGATTAGAACACCTAACCTACAACCAACCTTGCATAAATGTTAACAATGACCATTATGCCACCTCCTGTCACCTCACCTTTCAGAGTCTCTTTTCACTGTCCAAGTGTTGCTGCCTGATTTTCACTAAAGCCTTTCCATTACACGGAAAAGAGGGACTGTGATATAATTCCATCCTTCAGGTTTTTACTCAATTCCCTTCATGATATGCTCCAGGACTAAAAGTTCACAGGTCAAGCCTCTGCTTCTACTGGTAACTCCTATCTGGGGGTTGTTGGGAGTCTGAGGAAGCAGGCAGAATTCCTGTGTCAAGAGCACAGCAGTTTAAAGAACAGGGAGGAAATGCTGCCACCTTAGTGAATACAGAAGCATAGACTGGAAGTCAAAAATCAGGTGAGAATCTTTTCTAGAACTGAAGACTGGTAGGGAAATTCTAACTATGCTGGCAAAGGATCTAGATCACAATGTCACCCCTACGCCACCAGCCACCATGTGCAGGTAGATGTTGAGGGAAGTTTCTTTTACCTTAAGCTGGGCCCAGAGTCTGTTCACAGCCCGCTTCTCTCCACTCTAACCACCTCGTATGGAGGGATGAGTAACAAGAAGGCACTGAGTCACACACGGACAGCAACTGTCACTCACTAGATACCATCACCTTATATGGAGTAAGACTGGAAATTGTCTTAGATACGTCCTTACTTCCAACATTGTCTCTCTCCCAGCAAGAGGCTATGTGAGGAACTAAGAACAAGAAAGAACTGAGGTGGAAGGATCCGAGTGTAGGAAGGCCAAGGTAGCTAGGGATGGAAACATAAGGAAACCAAGCAGAGGAAGGCAGGGAGGCAAGGCCTGTGGATATTTATAATAGTCTGAAGGAGCCAAGCCAGCCATGAGAAGACCCAGTTCATGGCCTCAGGATGACTAACAAAAACGGTACCCACTGCACTTCTCAAGATACATTAGAAGCCAAATCAATAACTGTAGGGGTGCTGGGTCATAGCCAGCAGCTTCTACCTAAAAATAGTGCATCCTCCTTCCCTTTTCCCCCGGTCCAGAAAGCAAACTAGGATAAGATGGGGGAAGGGATGGGGGTGGTAACCAGGAGAACAGCAACATCATGTGAGATCTAGGCCTGGAAGAATCAGAAATGCTGTGGTTTGAATGTGTCCCCCAAAAGTTCACATTGGAAATTTGACTCCCAATGCAACAGTGTTGAAGATGGGGCTTAATACGAGGTGACTGAGTCACAAGGACAGAGCCCTCATGAGTGGATTAATGTCACTATCACACAGCAGGTTATCATGAGAGAGGGCTGTTATAAAGCAAGTTTGGCCCATGGTCCCTTTGTCTCATGTACTCATTTCTACCTTGTGCCCTTCTGACATGGGATGACCCCCACCTGATGCAGGCACCATGCTCTTGAAATTCCCAGCCTCCAGAACTGTGAGAAATACACTTTTCTGTTTTTTTGAGATGGAGGCTCGCTCTGTTGCCCAGGCTGGAGTGCAGTGGTGCATCCTCGGCTCACTGCAACCTCCGCCTCCCAGGCTCAAGCGATTCTCCTGTCTCAGCCTCCTGAGTAGCTGGGATTACAGGCACCCACCACCATGCCCAGCTACTTTTTGTATTTCTAGTAGAGACAGAGTTTCACCATGTTGGCCAGGCTGGTCTTGAACTGACCTCGTGATCCACCCACCTCGGCCTCCCAAAGTGCTGGGATTACAGGCGTGAGCCAGTGCACCCAGCCTACACCTCTTTTCTTTACAAATTAGTCTGTGCTATTGTTACAGAAGCAGCAAACAGACTTAGGAGCTAGAGTCCCACTGGCCTTTTATGACTCAAGCAGGCTTCAAGTATTTAAATGATTTTGTGTTAAAAGCAACCCCAGAGGCTAACATCACTGGCTTAGAAGTCTGAGAGCTGACAAATTAAAACCTAACAGCAATTATCCATATTTTTAGCATAAGAAAGTCTTAGCATTTTGTTGCCATAGAGATCAAAAAAGGAGCCCCACAGAGCCCTGCCCCTGAATTCAGGCCTTCTCATTTGGTCCCTAAGCTGGGTGAGACAGCCTCTCTCCCACCCCCTTATTATTAAGGCAGTGGTAGGTGCACCTTCCCTTTCACAGAGGTATTTCTGGAATACTCAGTTCCCTACAATTCACTGGTCCCAGGCCTGTGTTATCCCAGGCAGAGCCACATGGAAAGCAGGAGTTGAGGGGACTGACAGAGGAACAACAGTAGACATCAGGTCAGGAGAACCCTGCTGTTATACAAGACCCAAACCCCTTTGGATATTGGATTGGGATCGCTACTACAAAGAGGGTCAAAGGCAGGTACAAAGGCCAATAGAGTTAAGAAAGCTCAGCTTAGCTCTGGTACTTAACTCTTCAAGATCACAACCCCCCCCCCTCCCCGCCCCGCCCCACTAGAAAAAAACAAGTGTAGAATGCAGTACTGTCATAGTGCCATCTGCTGGAAAGATCTGTCATTAGGCACAGAGAAGGAGCCTGTTAAGTCTAAGTCTGTCCTGGTGCTGCAACTTGGCTGTTTGGGTAATTCTGTCCAGTGGGTAGCTGGGATGGAGATAGTTAGGATGAAGATAGATGGAGAAGACAACCATAGATCAACAGTGTAATGCAGATACAGAATGGGAACCCCACCCAGGTGTGAGTTTTCATTTTTCTTTCTAAAGGTGGTTAAATAAATAAACACAATGATGTTACTAATGTTTTATATCCCTAGAAACATCATAAGTTGGGCTAATGAGAAGTTGTCAGACACACAACAAAGACCACACACAAATGGGCAACAGCTGCCACAAGGAGGAGGCTTGCCTTTTGTACAAAGTTTTTATGTATATATATATGTATATATATTTATGTACACAGACACAAGGGTATAAAATCCAGTGAGAAGGGCTCACACATGCCCAGGTAAGGGATGGGAGTAGCTATAATTGCCAGGGTTGAGGCCACAGTAGAGGCACACAGGAAGTGGTAGAGTAGCAGCCTCCCTCCATCCTCCTACCTCGGGCCAAAGGGAGGAAATGGGAGGAAGGACAAGTATACAAAGGAAGATGGAAGATACTGGAAAGGCATACTCCACCTTTTACTAAATTCCTGAAAGCCCCTAAATGCCTCACAGGACAGATCACTCTCACACCTCCTGGCAGGACAGATCACTCTGAGGCCTCCTGGCAGGATAGATCACTTCCATGCCTCCTAGCAAGATGCTGAGGCTACAGTAGGTCTGGCCTCAAGCTGCTTCAAGCTAAGGTCTGAGGCTGGCTTCTCAATGCACGTCCATGCTATCTCCCAGGGCCCTTGTAGCAGAAAGAGCACCTTCAAGGTTCACCCACAAACTCAGTCCTCTTGATTCAGAGGTCCTAAGGGTTTTCCTTGACAGACTAAAGGTTAAAGGTACAGGAAAAGGAGAGAGGTCAGTTCCTTCAGTATGCCCTATGGCCTTCCCAATGGGGGAGAAATTGAGGAATCACTAAGGTGTTGGAAAGGGCAAGAAGGTAATCTCAGAGACGATACACATGGAGAAACAGGTATTCAATGCAGGTGTGGATTCTGTTCTCTTCAACTGGTGGCTTTGCTCAGCAGAGTCCATTTCCAGTGGGACCATGGGCAGGAGCTTTTCTTGGTATCTTAAGGGTGGCCCCAATTTCCTCAGAGACAATGTCCATGCCCTCAGGATGGCTTGGTCCACAAAATGGAGAAATGGGGCCATGGAAGAGTAGATGTGAAGTGGCAGGATCCAGAGGCACAAGGAGGCAGTATACTGTGCCACTGATTTACCTGTGGAAAGAAGAGGTAAATGGGAAGCCAAAGGAAAGAGAATAATCAAAGGCTAGAATGAGCTAGACCCTGAGACTCACATGGTCTGGGGGGTAAAGAGGCTGGAGAGCTGGAAACACTGGGAGGCAAGGTTCAGGGCTGGACTCAGAGCTAGAACAAAGACAGGCAGAGTGAGTGAGCAAGCACCGCGCACTCCTTCTTTCCAGACCCCCAAACCTTCCCTTCCTTTCCCATGTCCAAGACTACCAGTCAGAGCTGCTGGATTCAGGGCCCCCAAGGGAACTGCTCCATTCAGTTGCAAGGCAGCAGCCTGGGCGGCGGCGGCAGCAGCAGCAGCAGCAGTGCTTGGCAGTTGGATTCCAGCGCCTAAAAGGAAAAGAAAAGGTGGGATTAAGCCCCAACCCTTCATCTAAAATTCAACCCCATAATCTTCACCTTGCGGAGATATTTTACCTTCTGCCAGTTTTGCCATGAGCTGAAAACGTCCACCTGCTGATCCCAGATCCAGCTCCTGGTCCCCATCAGGAAAAGTGATGTCTGTGCCACCATCCAGTCGCTCAGTCACATGGCCAACCCTCATAGGTCGACCAGCAAGCTCAAACCCATTCAACTGTTCCAGGGCCCGCCGGGCACACTCAGAATCAGAGAACTATGAGAAACCCAGGCCATGTTAGTCACCTACTCACCAAAGACATGCTCTCAAAGACCCAGTAACACTCCCTAGTCCTACTATCCCAGGAAAATTGTATGCTCACTGAGGTACAAACTTTTCTTTCCCAGAAAATATGACCTAGGCCCATCACCTCAAAATGGTTCTCTGAAAAGGACCTTTTCCAATGGACTCAATGGCAGTCACTTTTCAATCTTTCAGCTCCATTAAGAATCTAACAATGCAAAATTTTATTATTGTAGGAAACCTAGCCTGACAAGTTATTTCACAAATGGGTATATCAAATGGAAGACAAGCTAAGAACAAGGCTCCTGGGCTTTTAATTCAGTTCTCTATCCTAGTAAGTTTTAGTCTTTTTTTTTTTTTTTTTTTTTTTTTTTTGAGACGGAGTCCCACTCTGTCACTCTGTCACTGAGGCTAGAGTGCAGTGGCACCATGTCAGCTCACTACAACCTCCATCTCCTGGGTTCAAGCAATTCTCCTGCCTCAGCCTCCCGAGTAGCTGGAATTACAGGCACCCACCACCATGCCCAGCTAGTTTTTTTATTTTTATTTTTTAGTAGAGATGGGGTTTCACCACGTTGGTCAGGCTGGTCTCGAACTCCTGACCTCAGGCGATTCACCCACCTTGGCCTCCCAAACTGCTGGGATTACAGGTGTGAGCCACCGCGCCTGGCCAAATTTTAGTTAAGTACTAGGAATCTGGAACTCCTAATTCCAGGCTTAAGAGGGAACACACCCTAGTGCTGACAGCAAGGCAGAACCCACACCCCCACATACACACAAGAGCTGTTGACTAAGTGACCTGCTGACCAGAAGGCCTTTACTCTCTAGTCCCTTTTATCAGCAGCACCCAGCAACACACTGGTACAAAGAGGATTCCCAGTCTGCTGTTTGTTTAAGTGTCAAGGTTGTTGACCCAAAAGGCAACAATGCAAGGGCAAAAATGCCCCACAGAAGCCTTTCCATATCTCAGTCACACAGAGAGCGAGAAAAGGTTACAAAAGTTACTTGCCACCACAGAATTGTCAACACCACAGCTAGCTTGTTTAGCTAGCTAGCAGCATTACCTGCCTTAGGGCCTGGCATGTGGTACTGACAGTTCCTAGGCAGGTGTTATACATGGCTTGCCTTTACTGGATATTTTTGAGGTGAGCAATTCCAATGACAGAATACAACCTACTGCCCTCTGCCCTGTGGGTCACTGTGGGAGTGTATGCTGCCTGGTTTAAGCCCAGAAAATACAAGCTTCTATCAGACTTTGTGGCTGGCAGCCAGTTCTCAGCCTGGAGTCACATGGGGCTGGAAGAACCAGTTATAGGAATTGGCAACCATTTTGTTGGAATGTCAGGAAAAGGTGAAGCTTGCCCATAATTAGGTGGCCTCACTATTCTCCCCATAGTGCTACGTTAATAACTGATCCTTCTCGGTGCAGAAATTGCTTCAAATGGGGTAGCACCAGAGGGAAGTATAATTTCCTATTCCCATCCCTGTTATGAGAAACATCAATTCTATAAAGCATGTCTTTAAAAGCCCATACCTAACCTCCCTCACACCCCCAACCTTTTAGCTGCAGCCTGGTTACTATTACCCAAAGAGCCAAGTTGCAGCACCAGGGAAGCTGGGTGAACTCCTGAACACCCCCATACCAGGGCCACTGACAGAGTGTAGGAGCAAAGCCAAGATCTCAAGCAATGCACTCATCTCAAGGGGTAGAAGGCTAGTCCAAGCTTCAGGCACCAGGGTTTATGGGTCATTTAGACAGTTCCTAAAGGAGGAGGATGAAGCTAAGCTGCAAAATCAGACAAGTGGACAAACCCAAAGTAAAATAAAAAAATTAAAAGACTAGAGACTCACCGTGATGAAACCATAACCTTTAGAGCGGCCTGTATCTGAGTCCTTCATCAGGACAATATTATCAATCTGTAGAAGAGTGAGAAATTATCAGTAAACTTTTGACTAGCCCACATCTTCAATCTTTCCTACCCAGACTGCTTTTTTTTTTTTTTTGAGACAGAGTCTCAAAAAGTCTCACCCACTCCAGCCTGGGTGACAGAGTGAGACCTTGTCTCGGAAAAAAAAAGATTAGTCAGTAGAAATATTTTGGTAAAAGGTGGACTTTTTTTTTTTTTTCCGAGGCTCACTACAGCCTTGACCTCCCAGGCTCAAGTGACCCTCCCACCTCAGCCTCTCGACTAGTTGGGACTATAGGCGTGCACCACCACATTGGCTAATTTTTGTATTTTTTAATCTTTCTTAACCTGGCCTATTATTTGATTTGTGTCTAACTTATTTGTCCACCAAGCACATGAACAGAGATGGAGCCAAACTTTCACAGCATAGACTCATATGCCCACTATGACGTATGCAGCAGGTTAATCACGGCCAGGCACAACAGAGAAGTACACTCAAACACTCACCCTCCCCACTTCTTCCAATTCCCTTCAGAGGTTTCTCTCACTTCTACTCACTTTACCAAAGGGCTCAAAGATGCCCCGGAGCATGTCTTCAGTGATATTGAAGTGCAGGGAACCCACATAGAGGCGCATTGGTCCACCATTGCCCTTTTGCAGGTTGTTGGCCATGGCTGCCAGTCGGTTTTTCTCTGCCTGGGGAAGGAGGAAATGATGGGTCATGTCCCACATTCCCTCTCCCCTTAAAATCTTATGTCTGTTTCTCAGCCTGCTCACCTGTGAAGCCTGTACAATGATAGGCACTCCCAGCAACCGCTGCCCAGTCAGCCCAATGGCCAGTGGCACAGACTGGATTTCACAGAATTCCACGTAGGCAATGCCCTTAGAACGACGTGAGTTCCGATCTGAGATGATACGTACATCGCGAACCTATCCAGGACGCAAAAGAAATCCTGAGTTAGGCATAAAGGGAGATACAAGCTAAGCTACTCAGAAGAAAACTAAGGTGGGAGGGTTACCTTGCCTACAGCAGAGAAAAAGTCCTCCAGATCTCGAGGCCGAATTCGGGCAGCTAACTGCATACAGAAAACTGTGCGGGCATCACGCTCCTCAGGACTCAGATTATCAACTGGCTCCCTGAAGAGTGAAATGTGTTGAGACCAGCCCTCCCAATACCTGGTCATTGTTCTCCAGCTAACCCTCAAGTATTACACATTCCTGTAATTTGGCTCAAATAACCTTTTATTCATACCTCACAATCCCTAAAACAGTGTTCATTATCAACCCACCTGACTGGGCTCTTCTCTCTGAAATGAGGACTCTTACTGTGTCCATACCTATAACTAAAGAATAGAGAAAAACAAAAGGTGAAACCTTATTCTCATTGGTCCAATGCTGGGTCTTCCATGGTGAGAAAACCAGATTCCAGTACTTCATCTCATTGTTTTTTTAAGACAGGGTTTCCGCTGTCACCCAGGCTGGAGTGCAGTGGCGCCATCTCGGGTCACTGCAACCTTTGCCTCCCAGGCTCAAGCAATCCTCCCACCTCAGCCTCCTTGTGTGGCTAGGATTACAGACACACATGACCATATCTAGCTCATTTTTGCATTTTTTGTAGAACCAGGGTTTCGCCATGTTGTCCTGGCTGGTCTTGAATTCCTGAGCCCAAGTGATCTTCTGGCCTCAGTCTCCCAAAGTGCTGGGATTACAGGCATGAGCCACCACACCAGTAAATTTTGAATACCAACCCTTTCTGTGCCTGAGTATCCTGCCAATCACAATGTGTTATAATAAGCACCCTCAAGCAGGGTTCATAGTGCATTTGTTGTTTTATCCAGATTATTATACAAAAGTGAATCTATTAGCAAAAAGTGATACCCAGTGGCAAGTGGAGGACTCCTGTAATGCACACGATCCTCACGACGATGGTCCCGACTTCGCGACTCACTACCATGTCGACGATCCCAGCTACGGCTACGGTGACGACACTGCCGACCTGGACTTCGGCTCCGACTATTTCTCCGTCTATACCGATCCCGATCTCGACTACGACTACAGAGGGAAACAACTACAGTCATGCCCACATCATGTTTAGGCCAACAACCAAGTGCATATACAACAGTGGTCCCATAAGATTATAACGGTGCTGAGAAGTTCGTATAACCTAGTGATGTTACAGCCACTGTAATGTCGTAATGTATTACTTATGTGTTTGTGGTGATACTGGTGTAAACCAAACTATTACCTACTGCACTCCCAGTTGTATAAAAATACAGCACATCCAATTATGTACAAAGTGAATCTCATGAAGATAGAAAGACTAGTGTTTACTAGAGGCTGGGAAGGATGGAAGGATGGAAGGATGGCGGCTGTGGGTGGAATGAACAGAAGTAGATGAATGGATACAAATATGTCATTTAATAGAAAAAATAAGACCCAGGGCTGGGCGCGGTGGCTCACGCCTGTAATCCCAGCACTTTGGGAGGCCAAGGCGGGCAGATCACCTGAGGTCGAGAGTTCGAGACCAGCCTGACCAACATGGAGAAACTCCGTCTCTACTAAAAACACAAAATTAGACCAGGCACGGTGGCTCACGCCTGTAATCCCAGCACTTTGGGAGACCAAAATGGGTGGATCACTTGAGATCAGGAATTCCAGACCAGTCTGGCCAACATGGTGAAACCCCATCTCTACCAGAAATACAAAAATTAGCCAGGTGTGGTGGTGCGCAACTGTAATCCCAGCTACTCAGGAGGCTGAGGCAGGAGAACTTCTTAAACCTGGGAGGCGGAGGTTGCAGTGAGCCGACGTCGCGCCACTGCACTCCATCCTGGGCAACAGAGTGAGACTCTGTCTCAAAAAACAAACCAAAAAAATTAGCCAGGCATGGTGGCACACGCCTGTAATCCCAGCTATTCAGGAGGCTGAGGCAGGAGAATCACTTGAACCTGGGAGGCAGAGGTTGCGGTGAGCCAAGATCACGCCATTGCATTCCAGCCTGGGCAACAAAAGCGAAACTCGGTCTCAAAAAAAAAAGAAAAAATAAGACCCAGTGTTCAACAAATCAGTAGGGTTATTACTACAGTGTACAATAATCTATTATACATTTCAAAATAGCTAGTAGAGAATAATTTGAATGTTTCCTAGCATCATGAAAAGATAAACATTTAGGTCAAGGATAACTCAAGTACACTGATTTGATCTTTACAAATTATATGTATTAAATTTCACACATACCAGAAACTACATACAATATGTATCAATTAAAAATTGTTTAAAAATAAAACAATTACGTACAGTATATACTTCACGATAAAAAGTAATGATGTCACTGATTCATGTATTTACTATATTTATCATTCTAGAATATATTACTTCTACTTCGGTTAACTATAAAACAGCCTTAGGCTGGTCCTTCAGAAGGTGCTCCTAAAGAAAGCACTGTTACAGCAGAGTACAACTCTATGTGTATTAATGCCCTTGAAGACCTTCCAGTGGGACAAGATGTGGAGGTGAAAGACCCTCTGCAGGCCTAGGCTCATGTGTCTTTGTGTCGTAGTTTTCAACAATAACAATAATGTTTAAAAAGTAAAAGACAAAAAAATTTAAAAATAGAAAAAAGCTTATAGAATAAGGACATAAAGAAAACTTGTAGAGTTGTACAATGTGTTTGTGTTTTAAGCTAAATGTTTCAATTTTTTATTTTTATTTTTATTTTTTTTGAGACAGGTTCTCCATCTGTTGCCCAGGCAGGAGTTTAGTGCTGCAATCTCGGCTCACTGCAACCTCGAACTCCTGGGCCCAAGCAATCCTCCAGCCTTAGCCTCCCAAGTAGCTGGGAGTACAAACATGTACTACTACACCTGGGTAATTTTTAAATTTTTTGTAGAGACAGGATTTTGCTATGTTGCCCAGGCTGGTTTTGAACTCCTGGCCTGAAGTGATCCTCCCGCCTTGGCTTCCAAAGTGCTAGGATTAAAGATACGAGCCACTGTGCCTGGCCCAGAATTACTGACCTGCGCTTTCTATCCCTGCTTTTATTATGGCTCCGACTCCTCTTCTTCCTGTGAAAGAGAGTACATTCTTCTTTTTTTTTTTTTAATTTTGAGAAAGAATCTCGCTCTGTCGTGCAGTGGTGCAATCTTGGCTCACTGCAACCTCCGCCTTCCAGGTTCAAGCGATCCTCATGCCTTAGCCTCCTGAGTAGCTGGGATTACAGGCATGTACCATCATGCCCAGCTAATTTTTTATATTTTTAGTAGAGACAAGGTTTCGCTATGTTGGCCAGGTTCATCTTGAACCCCTGGCCTCAAGTGATCCACCTGCCTCAGCCTCCCAAAGTGCTGGGATTACATGCATGAGCCCCGCGTGAGCACCGCGCCAGGTCAGGAGTGTAAATTCTTAAAGAGAAGGTTTCGTTATTGCTGCCAAAGAAAAGGAATTACAGTAAGGCCAGAATGAAACAGAAAGCATGAAAAAACCAAAGACCCGAAGATGATCCAGCAGTGGTTCACAGCAATTGCACAATACCAACTTACAGCCCTGAAAGCTGTCAGGCATCTGAAGAGGCCATTTTTCCCCCTAATGCGAAGCAAAACCTGGTGTTTCCAAATCAGGGGTCCTCTTGCTATTTTTTTTTTTTTTGAGACAGAGTCTCACTCTGTTTCCCAGGCTGGAGTGCGATGGTGCGACCTCGGCTCACTACAACCTCTGCCTCCCATGTTCAAGCAATTCTCCTGCCTCAGCCTCCTGAGTAGCTGGGATTACAGGAGCCTGCCACCGCGCCCAGCTAATTTTTGTATTTTTAGTAGAGACGGGGTTTCACCATGTTGGTCAATCTGGTCTCGAACTCCTGACCTCAGGTGATCCACCCACCTCGGCCTCCCAAAGTGCTGGGATTACAGGTGTGAGCCACCACGCCCAGCCCCTCTTGGTATTTTATTCAAATGAAGTATATTGATGCTAGGACTAATCCACAAATCTACACTGGAAAATGAAGACTAGATAATTAAATCAAGTCACCATTATTCTCATGACCTAGGTGGAGCCATTACTAACAGTCAGCAGTCTTAACAGAAACAATCTCCCTATTCTGGTTATTTTTCCAATGGACAAAACTGTTTCCCTTCCCCAAGTTGCCAACCCATTTCTTCCTCCCACACTCACTTGCTTGTCTCCCCGATGGTGCTGCTTCCACTGGTCTCATTGCCACTGTTGCTGGTGCTGCTGGTGGTATTGCTAGGATAATCCTTTTTAACTTCTTTCCTTTGTTGCTCATCCTGAGGCATTCACCAGGAAAATGTCACAAGGTATAAGGTGGCAGACACACAGATTCCAATGGGCAAAGGGAACAAAGGTGGACAAGGAATAAATCAAACCACTTGATTATCTAGCCAGATTTTCAGCACCCTTATTTCCTAACAAAGGGAGTAAGAAAGGAATCAAGGAAACTACCTAAAAGGAAGAGATCAGCATGACAGATTTTGATGTCAAACTTCAGTTACCCAACATCTGCTCCACTAACATTTCCCAGGAGAGTTACAAATTGGTGCTAGGCTGGGGGCAGTGGCTCACGCCTGTAATCCCAGCACTTTTAAAGGCTGAGGCAGGCGGATCAATTGAGGCCAGGAGTTTGAGACCAGCCTCGCCGACATGTCGAAACCCCATCTCTACTAAAAATACAAAAATTAGCCAGGCATAGTGGCACACGCCTGTAGTCCCAGCTACTTGGGAGGCTGAGGCAGGAGAATCATTTGAATCTGGGAGGCAAAGGTTGCAGTAACTGGGATTGTACCACTGCACTCCAGCCTGGGCAGCCTAGTGAGACTCTGTCTCAAAAAAAAAAAAAAAAAAAAAAAAAAGAGGCTGGGCGCAGTGGCTCACACCTATAATCCCAGCACTTTGGGAGGCCAAGGCAGGCGGGTCACCTGAGGTCAGGAGTTCCAGACCAGCCTGACCAACATGGAGAAACCATCTCCACTAAAAAGACAAAATTAGCCAGGGGTGGTGGCACATGCCTGTAATCCCAGCTACTTGGGAGGCAGGAGAATCGCCTGAACCCGGAGGCAGAGGTTGTGGTGAGCTGAGAACGCGCCACTGCACTCCAGCCTGGGCAATGAGTGAAACTTCATCTCAAAAAAAAAAAAAAAAAAAAAAAAAGAAAGGAAAAAAGAAAGCGGTGGGGGGGAAAGGAAGGGAGAAGGAGGGAGGGATGGGAGGAGAGGGCAGAGGGAGGGAAAAGCAAGCAAGCAAGCAAGCAAATTGCTGTTAAGTGGGCCAGGTGCAGTGGCTCACTCCTGTAATCCCAGCACTTTGGGAGGCCAAGGCAGATCGCTTGAGCCTGGGAGCTCGAGACCAGCCCAGGCAACATAGCAAGACCCTGTCTCTATAAAAAATATATTAAAAAAGAAACTGGGACGGGCGCAGTGGCTCACGCCTGTAATCCCATTACTTTGGAAGGCCAAGGTGGGTGGATCATAAGGTCAGGAGATCAAGACCATCCTGGCCAACATGGTGAAACCCCGTCTCTACTAAAAATACAAAAATTAGCTGGGCATGGTGGTGCTTGCCTATAATCCTAGCTACTTGGGACGCTGAGGCATGAGAATGGCTTGAACCCAGGAGGCGGAGGTTGCAGTGAGCCAAGATTGTGCCACTGCACTCCAGCCTGGCAACAGAGCGAGACTCTGTCTCAAAAGAAAAAAAAAAGAAATTGGTGCTAGGTCTGAGGTACAGTGACTTTCTACTGTGTCACTTCGAGTTTTGAGCAAAGCACAGATTACCAACACCACATTATGTGCCCACTCCGGTTTCTGAGGTTGTCTCTAAAAGTATGGCTCTTAACCATAGTCTCCAGCAAAGCTTACTAAGACTATGCCTTTTATGATTAGTTATTCTACATAATAAATAAGCAGGGAAAGAGGATTCATAAAATGTTGAAAGTTGAAAGTGATGATCGACAACTACTCTTTCTCATTAACCCAATTCCAGGAGTGAGGTGGAAAATATTACCTCTTCTTTTTTATAGGGAGCTTCCAGCATGGCCTCAATCACTATGTCAAAGTCATCAGATGCCATCCTGTCAGATCTGGGGAGAGGATATTAATATGTAAGAATCTGTTTTATATTTTTCCTCCCTTTCCAGCACCACACATTTCTTTCCCACTCCAAGAAAGAGACTTCAGGATATACAGATTTCAGTTCTGTTTCTTGAACTGCAAAGAAACCTTACCAGCTGTCACTTACTCTAGGTTTATTTTTACACCCTATAGATCTGAACTAGTTCGACTTTGTGGCTTGGAACAGTCAAGGATAGTCCGGGCGCAGTGGCTCACACCTGTAATCCTAGCACTCTGGGAGGGCAAGGCAGGCAGATCACCTGAGGTCAGGAGTTTGAGACCAGCCTGGCCAACATGGCGAAACCCCCTCTACCAAAAATATAAAAATTAGCTGGGTGTGGTGGCACACACCTGTAATCCCAGCTACTCAGGAGGCTGAGGCAGGAGAATCACTTGAACCCAAAAGGTGGAGGTTGCAGTGAGCCAAGATCACGCCACTGTACTCCAGCCTGGGCAGCAATGTGTGACCCTGTCTCAAAAACAAAACAAACAAACAAAAAACACAAAAAACAATACATAAAAAAATAGTCAAGGATATAGAAGAAAACTGAGTATCTAGGAAGAAACAAAATACAACACTGATCCTGTTCTATGAAGAGAAAATGATGGTGGCCAAACTACTGTTCACTATAAAATAGACATTAGGTCTCCACTCTACTGTTCAAAATTCTGAATAAATACCTGGTTTAAACTCAAATAATAAAAACAGGCCTGGCTGCTACAGATGTGAGAAAAATATAAAACGAAAAAATAATAAACAAATATAGGCACATTATGTCCAATAAAAAGATAAAGAGGCACGACTAAAAATCAGAAGCAAGTCAAAGCAACACCAAAATGCAGATTTGCCCTAACGTCTTCCTCTCCGCATACCCTGAACACCAATAATTAGGGCCTTATCCCTGAGCATTTTCTAACCAATACCAACTACAGTTTAGGTAACTCAGAAATATGATGATTAAGACAGGCTCGACTAATCCCATCTTGAAACCTTTCTCTCTGGCAGGCAAGGTAAAACGTGCCTCCCCAAGCTTTCACATCTAGAAACTGCCTCTCCCCAGGCTGTCTACCACCAGTTTGTCAAATAAGAAAAACAGAAAATACCAAAGAAAACCAATAGGATAAATTATTCAAATGTTATTGGTCTGGAATTATCAACCCACACATGGATGAATCTCAAAATAATTACACGGAGTGACAGAAACCAGCCCCCCCCACAAAAAGTACACAATGAACAATTCCATTTACATAAAATTCTAAAAAATGCAAACTAGGCCAGGCGCGGTGGCTCATGCCTGTAATCCCAGCACTTTGGGAGGCCGAGGCGGGCAGATCACGAGGTCAACGACGAGGTCAACATATCGAGACCATCTAGGCCAACATGGTGAAACCCCGTCTCTACTAAAAATACAAAAATTAGCTGGACGTGGTGGCACGCGCCTGTAGGCCCAGCTACTCGGGAGGCTGAGGCAGGAGTATCACTTGAACCCAGGAGGCGGAGGTTGCAGTTAGCCAAGATTGTGCCACTGCACTCCAACCTGGAGACAGAGTGAGATTCAGTCTCAAAAAAAAAAAAAAAAAAAAAAAAAAAGCAAACTAATCACTATATCAAAGAAAGCAGAAAGCACATCAATGGTTGCCTAGGGATAGAAGTAAGGGGAAGGGCTGGGAGAAAAAGATTTTAAAAGGGCACAAGAAGGCCGGGCGCGGTGGCTCATGCTTGTAATCCCAGCACTTTGGGAGGCCGAGGCGGGCGGATCACGAGGTCAGGAGATCGAGACCATCCTGGCTAACACAGTGAAACCCTGTCTCTACTAAAAATACAAAATATTAGCCGGGCGTGGTGGCGGGTGCTTGTAGTCCCAGCTACTCGGGAGGCTGAGGCAGGAGAATGGCATGAAGCTGGGAGGCAGAGCTTGCAGTGAGCCGAGATCGCGCCACTGCACTCCAACCTGGGCGACAGAGCAAGGCTCCGTCTCAAAAAAAAAAAAAAAAAATTAAAAAAAATTAAAAGGGCACAAGAAAAACTTTGGGACCAACTTTGGGGCCAGGAGTTGTGGCTCACACCTGTAATCCCAGCACCGTGGGAGGCCAAGACAGGTGGATCACCTGAGGTCAGGAGTTTGACACCAACCTGACAATATGGTGAAATCTCGTCTTTATTAAAAATATAAAAATTAAGGCTGGGCACGGTCATGAGGTCAGGAGTTTGAGACCAGCCTGGCCAATATGGTGAAACCTCATCTCTACTAAAAATACAAAACATTAGCCAGGCGTGGTGGCACGCACCTGTAGTCCCAGCTGCTTGGAAGGCTGTGGCATAAGAACTGCTTGAACCCAGGAGGTGGAGGTTGCAATGAGCCGAGAACGCGCCACTGTGCTCCAGCCTGGGTGACAGAGCAAGATTCCATCTCAAAAAAAAAATACAAAAATACAAAAATTAGCCAAGCATGGTGGCGCATCCCTGTAATCCCAGCTACCTGGGAGGCTGAGACAGGAGAATTGCTTGAACCCGGGAGGCGGAAGTTGCAGCCAGCCGAGATGGCACCATTGCACTCCAGGTTGGGTGACAGACCAAGACTCTGTCTCAAAAAAAAAAAAAAAAAAATTTGCTGGGCATGGTGGCTCACACCTGTAATCCCAGCACTTTGGAAGGCCGAGGCAGTTTGATCATAAGGTCAAGAGATCGAGACCATCCTGGCCAACATGGTGAAACCCCATCTCTACTAAAAACACAAAAATTAGCTGGGCATGGTGGCGCACGCCTGTTGTCCCAGCTACTCAGGAGGCTGAGGCAGGGGAATCGTTTGAACCCGGGAGACAGAGGTTGCAGTGAGCCAAGATCGTGCCACTGCACTCCAGCCTGGTGACAGAGCAAGACTCTGTCTCAAAAAAAAAAAAAAAAAAAATAGCCGGGTGTGGTGGCAAGCACCTGTAATCCCAGCTACTCAGGAGGCTGAAGCACTAGAATTGCTTGAACCCAGAGGGCAGAGGTTGCAGTGAGCCAAGATCACGCCATTGCACTCCAGCCTGGATGACACAGCGAGACTGTCTCAAAAATACAAAAACAAACAAATCTTTGGGAGTGATGGTTTCACGGGTGTTTAACATATCAAAACGCATGAAAGTGTACACTTTAATGTATACAGTTTTATCGTGTGCCCATTAAATGTACCTCAATCATGCCGTTAAAAAAAAAAACCTGAGGAATTTCTATGCAAGGAGGCTATCATAATCAGACTTTTTCATAACTGTAAGAACTTTGTTGGCCAGCCGTGGTGGCTCACCCTGTAATCCCAGTACTTTGGGAGGCCAAGGTGGGTGGATCACCTGAGGTCAGGAGTTCAATACCAGCCTGACGGATATGGTGAAACCTCATCCCCATTAAAGACACAAAAATTAGCCGGGCATGGTGGTGGGCGCCTGTAGTCCCAGCTACTCAAGAGGCTAAGACAGGAGAATCGCTTGAACCTGGGAGGCAGAGGTTGCAGTGAGCCGAGATCACACCACTGCACTCCAGCCTGGGTGTAAGATGGAGTAAGACTCCATCTCAAAAAAAAAAAAAAAAAAGAGGAACTTTGTCCTCTTTAAAGCAGCTAATGCACTATGCAACAATGCTGCCTTGGTTGCCCTAAGAGTCCATATCCTATTTTGACAATTAAATAAGTGTAATAATTACAACTATGATTCTATGACTTACAGTACCTACAACTGCTAGACACTGTGCTAAGCATGTTATGGAGAGAGAAGATTCTTAGAGAAAAATTACTTGGAGCCAAATTTAAGGCTTAAATGGAAATTAAACCCAAATCAAATTGGTATACATAAAAACCAGTAAACTCAATTGCCTCTGCCTCCCAGGTTCAAGCAACTCTCCTGCCTCAGCCTCCTGAGTAGCTGGGATTACAGGCATGCGCCACCACATCCAGCTAATTTTGTATTTTTAGTAGAGACCAGGTTTTCCGTGTTAGTCAGGCTGGTCTCGAACTCTCGACCTCAGGTGATCCGACCGCCTCGCCCTCCCAAAGTGCTGGGATTACAGGCATAAGCCCCATGCCTGGCTTTTTTTTTTTTTTTTTGAGAAGGAGTCTAGCTCTGTTGTCCAGGCTGGAGTGCGGTGGCACAATCTCAGTTCACGCCAACCTCTGCCTCCCAGGTTCAAGCGATTCTCCTGCCTCAGCCTCCTGAGTAGCTGGGATTACAGGTGCCCGCCACTACGTCCCACTAATTTTTGTATTTTTAGTAGAGACAAAGTTTCACCATGTTGGCCAGGCTGGTCTCAAACTCCTGACCTCAGGTAATCCGCCTGCCTCGGCCTCCCAGTGCTGGGATTACAGGCATGAGCCACTGTGCCCGGCCTTCTACTTCTTCCAGTAACACTTTATATTTATTTAGCAATCAAAGGTAACAAATGCTGCAGACAGGTAATATATGATTCATACCCAAATTTTTTAAAACTAACGTTTTTTGAACTGCTCAAAGTCATACATAGCTCAAGGGCCAGGCAGAGGGGGTGGCTCACGCCTGCAATCTCAGCACTTTGGGAAGCTAAGGCTGGAGAATGGCTTGAGGCCAAGTCAAAATCAGCCTGGGCAATACAGTGAGGCCCCATTTTTACAAAAAATATAAAAATTAGCCACGCATGGTGGTGCGTGCCTGTAGTCCCAACTACTCAGGAGCCTGAAATGGAAGGATCGCTTGAACCCAGGAAGTTGAGGCTGCAGTGAACTGTGATCATGCCGCTGCAATCCAGTCTGTGCAGCAGATTGAGATTCTGTCTCAATCCCCAAAACAGAGAAGGTCACACAGCTCAAAGGGAAGAATGTTTTTTTTTTTTTTTGAGACAGGATTTCACTCTGTTGCCCAAGCTGGAGTGTAATGTTGCAATCTCGGCTCACTGCAACCTCTGCCTCTCTAGCTCAAGCAATCCTCTAACCTCAGCTTCCCCAGTAGCTGGGACCACAGGTGTGCACTATGATGCCAGGCTAACTTTTCATATTTTGGGCTTTTTTTTTTTTTCTGGTAGAGACATGGTCTCACTATGTTGCCCAGGCTGGTCTCAAACTCCCGGACTCAACAGATCCACCCACCTTAGCCTCCCAAAGTACTAGGATTACATCTGGCCAGAGGAGCTAATTCTTGATCAGAAAGGTTTTCTGACTTCAAATCTAACATTATATCTATTATATCAGATTACTTCTCATATGGTTTGTAATTAACTTTAAAGGAAAAAAAAAAGGACACAGTATACCAAGATACCTACTTTTAAATATATACTCACTGAACATGAATGTTCTTCTCATATGTTTATCAAAATAATCAGTCCCATTAGCTAAACCTCATTGTGAGTCTCCTATATCTGAGGCATGTACAGTGTATGCTTAAAGGTATTAGACTAATATACACTATGGGAAAATAGTTCTAAAAAGAAAAGTTTGTTTTTGTTTTTTTTTGAGAGAGTTTCACTCTTGTTGCCCAGGATGGAGTGCAATGGCGCAATCTCGGCTCACTGCGACCTCCACCTCCCAGGTTCAAGCAATTCTCCTGTCTCAGTCTCCCAAGTAGCTGGGATTACAGGCAGGCACCACCACACCTGGCTAATGTTGTATTTTTAGCAGAGACGGGGTTTCTCCACATTGGTCAGGCTGGTCTCGAACTCCTGACCTCAGGTGATCCGCCTGCCTGGTCCTCCCAAAGGGCTGGGATTACAGACATGAGCCACCGAGCCCGGCCTAAAAAGAAAAGTTTTTTATACTCAAGCTGTTTCAGTCATTTTTGCTGCCAAGTCTACACAAATTTTCTGTTATGAACTATTTTTTACAATCTGCTTTTTCCCCTCCAAATGAAATGCTTGATTTCAAGAACTGCTCATTGTTGAGTGCTAATGCGGGGTAAGAACAACTTAACACACACACTAAAACTTACACTTAAGTTTACAAGCCTCTACAAATAAACCTCTACGTAAAAAGTTTTCACTCAGAAACAAATATATCCGTTTAAGCAAAGCCATATACAACACAATATTTTGAAACTTGCAATCTCACTGGGTTTAGTGTCTTTCTAGATGTGCTAAAAGCAATAAGGTAGCAAACACTATGCATTTTCAGGCTGGTAGTTTTTTCTTTTTTCTTCTTTTTTGTTTTTTTTTTGTATTTTTAGTAGAGACGGGGTTTCGCCGTGTTAGCCAGGATGGTCGCGATCTCCTGACCTCGTGATCCGCCCGCCTCGGCCACCCAAAGTGCTGGGATTACAGGCGTGAGCCACTGCACCCGGCCCAGGTTGGTAGTTTTCAAACGCTCTCTTCATGTCCCAACTTATGGGTCAAGGTCCACTCAATCTCATCCACATAGAGTATGTTTTCTTCCATCCTGCTCCAAAAACAGTATTAGAGACCCACAATCACGTCAGTTCCTAGACCTCGTCATAGCACAAGCCAACAGATAGACCCCACTGCTAAAGGAGCAGAGAGAACCACTGTCAGACCAATTCGGGAAGAATTCACGAAAAGCTGGAGCCCCAGGGGTGATGGTAGCGCCATCCCCAGGGTCTGATCACTTAGCTGGGCACAAACACCTACAAACTGAAGGCAGCTTAACAAAAGAGGAACAATGAGAACGATAAAAGCTACTTGAAGGACCACCCTCCCCATGTTGTGTAGCTTTAAAAAATGGTCCTATAGGCCGGGCGCGGTGGCTCACGCCTGTAATCCCAGCACTTTGGGAGGCCGAGGCGGGTGGATCACCTGAGGTCAGGAGTTCGAGGTCAGCCTGGCTAACATGGCAAAACCCCATCTCTATTAAAAATACAAAAATTAGCCGGGCGTTGTGGCAGGCGCCTGTAATCCCAGCTACTCGGGAGGCTGAGGCAGGGGAATCGCTAGAACCCGGGAGACAGGATGCAGTGAGCCGAGATCGCGCCACTCCACTCCAGCCTGGGTGACAAAGCGACACTCCGCCTTAAAAAAATAAAAAAAAAGAGGTCCTATAGGCAACCAACTGGCACAATCTCTGCGGGAGCCAGTGTCCCAGGGCTCAATCTTCATATGTGGCATCATAATACGCCTACTGGAATGAGTGCTTGAAAAAGTTAAATGGGAAAAGCCCATAAAGGTCAACATAGTGAACATGAATCTTCGACAGACTAGAGATTGAGGAAGAAAGCTCAATTCCCTTCTCTCTCTCTGAATGGTGGTGCGAGTGGCTGAAACTGATGATGCGTGTCCTCTCAGGCCGCGGAGGGTCGATGCTCCCTCTCCAGTGTGGGCGACCCTAAGTGTCACGGCTGCAGAGACCCGGAAAGAAAAATCACAGGATTCTAGAAACCGCATCTTTATCGGTGCAAGATACAGCCACGAGGGTGCCCAACTCTAAAATCGTGGCAGTGGGCTACATTTAAGTAGCTAACACTTCCAGGTCAAAACAAACAAAGGTTTTTTTAATGTTAAAAGTTCGCCTGAATCTCTTCGTGACGCCATTTTCTGCCCGTGACGTCAGGGGGGAGGCGCCGTGCAGCAACGTCACGCATTGGTGACGTCTGGTGGGGACCGGGTTTTGGGGTTTCTCACCAGTTCCGGGTCCCCGCAGGGGGGTCCCGGTTCTCTCCGTTCCTTTGAGTATGTTGTGGGGAGTGGAGCTCGGATAGTTCCTAGAGTCTAGGCAAGAAAAGCAGCACTGCAGGTACAGAGCCTCCTCTTCCCGCAAAATGGCGGCAGCTCTGCCGTCTTCCAGAACCTTCCCCAATCTGCGCATGCGCCAAGACTCCCCGGCTTTGGAAATAACCTCACTGGTTTCGCGGCAACCGTCCAAAGTACAGGTTCTCATTGGCTAAAGTCCTAAGTATGGGTGGAGCAAACTCAAATGCGTCTTAGCAACCACCGAGTTCCCATTGATTGGCTAACCTCAGAGACTCCAGAAAATGGAAGCGTCCTTTGGTAGCCGCCCATCACTCTCTCATTGGTTAAATGACTTGCGGAGGGCGGGGAAAACGGGACTGAAAACGGGAGTGAAGAAGCCACCAACCCCACTCCTGGTGCTCGCGTAGACTAGACCAGTGCGATGGGCGGAGCCAACGAGGAGGCACAATTTACATCCTTGGCCGTCCCTACTCGGATTTGCTGAAGGAGTCACGTCGGTCGTTAAGGTTAAGCTTTGTAGAGAACAGCGGCGTTTGTTTAACGTCCGGGGATGCTGAACTCGAAATCCCCGTTCTGAGCCGGCTACCTAAACAACCTTCCCGACCACCTCTCCTGACCTCGGTGCTTGGGACCAGGGAAAAGCAGATCTTGCCACAGACTTGTCTTGGCCCACACTCTGCCCTATCGTCATGGCCTGCTCCCACAGGTCATAACTTCCGTTCAAATCAGTACCCCCACATTTCCCACTGCAAGGGTAAATTTGAAAGTTTCTCAGGTGACTCCTTGGATGTAGCAGTACTGAGTCCTCTAACCGGAAAGAAGGAACTGATGTCCACCCTCACTTTCCAGGGGCCTCCAGGAGCCCCTAGACACTTCTGTGGTCTACTGTAGCTACCAAAAATGTAGCTGGTTATAACATGGGGAGAGCCAGAGTCGGAGGACCTGACTTCCAATTCTGACTTGGATACTAATATCACATCATTGTACCCATTTCAAACTCCCCCTCTGTAAAATGGAAAATTGGACTAGATGATCTCTTAGGACTTCAAACTGTAACCCTGTGGTTTTATTCAAAAAAAACAGGTAGCTTCTTGCTGGAGATTCCTGGATGGATTCCAGTCTTCCCAAGAGGTAACAAAGGAGAGGTAACCAGTTGCCCGTGCAGTAGCTCAAGAATACAGAAGAGAAACTGGCTTCACTCACTATTCCATCTTTTTCCAAGGTGGCAAACTCTATGCCTCCTCCCCAGAGAAAAGCCTAACTGTAGGTTCTAATGGACAAGAGCTCACTGTAGCTGGTCAGAAAGGCCTATATCCAGGACTACAATAGTCATTGCTCAGCTTCCTAAGTAGGGAATACAACTAGGCCCCTTTGGGTCTTGGATAGGCTAAGAGGACAGATCTGAACATGCCTGGGTCTAAGTGAGGTGTGGGAAAATAGTGGCAGGGGGCAGCATGGTCGTGCAGTAAAGGGCTATAACTTTATTTGTATTTCCTCTTACACAAAACCATCAAAACAAGAACAGAAAAAGGCTGAAAATCCGTTCAAACCCCATGTTCTCAGGGATATTCCAGGGAGTTCTTGAGGCTGAGTGCGTAGCTTCAAATCCAGCACTAATTCCTCACCCCCTGGCCTGAGGTCTTCATAGATTGGTGGCTTGAGCCCTGCAATTAATTATAATCCCTTGCCCACCTTGATGTAAGGCAGGAAAGCAGATTGAAATGCTCCTCTCTGATGGGCAAGGGGAATCACAGCCCATAGATGTACTGCACCTTCTGTACTACAGGAGCAGAACCTGAAGCTGCTTCCAAGGCTCTGGACACTTGGCACGCAGGGCTAGAGGCCAATGGTATATGAGCGGCCTGTGGGGTTATGAATAGCAGAACAGACTGGTGCTGTCACAGCCCACTCATACCACACCTTCTTGGAATTGCTGCATCGCCAGAAACGCACACAGATGGTTTGGCCTTCACGTACCGTTATGGGCTGCTGTAAGAAGAAAGACAGGAAGGTTCAGGGTGAAGCTATGAATTATACATGGCAATGTATTAAGGTAGGTGTGGAGATAAAATGATAAACATGACAAGACTGTCCCAACCCTCATGAAAGTTATTTGAAGCCTATCAGAACACAAATAATCAAAGGTGTGGTGAGAGCTGTGAACATGTACAGAGTCAGAAAAACACCTATGAAAGGGAACACTAACCTAGTCTAGGAGATCAGAGAAAGTTTATCTCACAATAAAAATGTTTAAAGAAGACCTAGAAGATAGGTTAACTGTGTGAAGAGACAAGCAAAGAACTCTACAGGCAAGAGAAAGGCATGAAAGCCTGAGGTAGGAAAGAAGATAGACAATTAGAACAAAAAGAAGGTCCATAAGGCTGAAGCAGTGTAAGCAAGGGGACAGTAGCTGCAAAGGCAAGCAAACACTCGATCACATCAAGTCTTACAAGCAATGTCCCAGATTTTGACTTTTATCCTAAAGACAATGGGAAGGCATTGAAGAGTTTTAAGCAAAAAAGAGAGATAAGATCAGGCCAGGCGCGGTGGCTCACGCCTGTAATCCCAGCACTTTGGGAGGCTGAGGTGGGCGGATCATGAGGTCAGGAGATCGAGACCATCCTGGCTAACACGGTAAAACCCCGTCTCTACTAAAAATACAAGAATTAGCCGGGTGTGGTGGCTGGCACCTGTAATCTCAGCCTCAGGGAGGCTGAGGCAGGAGAATGGCATGAACCCGGGAGGCGGAGCTTGCAGTGAGCCGAAATTGTGCCACTGCACTCCAGCCTGGGCGACAGAGTGAGACTCCGTCTCTTTAAAAAAAAAAAAAAAAAAAAGACAGCAAGAGAGATAAGATCAAATTTGAGTTTTTAAAAGATGACTCTTGCTCAAAGTAGAGAACAGACAGAAGAGTAGCCAGAGTAGATGCGGGAAAGCCAGGCAGAAGGCCACTCCAAATACTCCCAACACCTACCACTGGGATCCAAGAGCATATGAAATCAGGAGAACATGAGTCATAGTCAACTATCTTCCTGGGAGAAGGAAAGAAGCACAACACCAAAGGCAAAGGTTACTGCTTAACTAGAGAGTCTTAAAAGCAGTTCCTACCTTAATAGGGAAGAGGATGGGAAACCATGAGAACATCCCAGGAGAGTGAGTCTCTGGACGGATACCTGTGTGGACAAAATAATGAAAAAACAGAGGTCTCCATGGCTGTGACTTTTGCCTATGCTGAAGAGGGTCTCTTCTCTAATCACACAAAGATCTCCATTCATTGAGCACTGGGCCCCCCATAAATCTAAATGACACATGTACATATAAGCTGCCCAGGAAGCACACCCTCATACTCTGCCATCTACTGCCATAGACACTCACTCAGAGTGATGTCCTGATAAAGCACAGTCTCAAAGTAGCCGGCAAAGCCATGTAGTACTGTGTTCACCTCCACAGGAAATTCCAAGGTGCAATAGCGGTTGTTGTCAATCATAGGATCTGTCAGGAAATAATTATGTGGGTGACAAGGGGCCAGAAGCTCTAGACAACTTGATAAAGCATGAGCAAGACCCAGGAAAGGAAGAGTAGATAAGGCAGACTAGGGACAGTAAGGGAAGAAAGCAGGAGGAAGGAAGAAGCCCGTACCCCTCTAGTCAGAGGACAGCCATAAAAGAACCTACCTCTGTTGGGATGGCTGAAGGTGAAACAGGGCTGGGGTGCAGAGAGCTGGTGGAAGTTGTGCAGCCGTACCACATAAGGCATCTCAAACTGGGCCTGTCAGAGACAGAAAGAGAGAGAGAGTGTTGGGGAAGACACACAAGAGAGAACTACTTCCCCAAGGATTAAAAAAAGTTTTACTTTAGTGCTTCCCCAATCCCTAACTTCTCCTTCACCTCTTCATCCCCAGCAGAAGAAAATAGCTGATGCAAATACAGAAAAAGAAGAGGACTAAAGAGTACCACTTCTTTCCAGAGAGAGTGGTTCTTTACCTCAGGGTCACGGTCCTTCTCCCTACAGGCTCGGACCTCATTGTACAGCTTGGAGGAAGAGATGGGAGCCAGAAAGGAAGTGTACTCCCCGGGGATGCTCACACCATCATCTGCACAGCAGGAGAGTCAAATTAGTTCCAGAGGGAGGGAAATGGTATGTCTGTACTAACTGAAGGATCAGAAGGATCAAACCTCCCATGTCAAAACCAACCAACGTTGGCATGGGCATGGAAGAAAGAGACAAATGCATGTTGTCACATTACTAAGCCAGCCTGCTTCCAACTACTGTCATGGAGGATTCCACTACTAGGTTAATTTACAGAGTCACACAGATTAAAACTGAAAGAACCCAAGATAGTCTAATCTGGTGGTTCTTAACTTTTGTGGGGTCACAAAGTCCCACAAAAGTTCCTGATGAAAGCTAAGCTCAGGGTACATATGTCATATTTATTTATTTATTTATTTATTTATTTATTTATTTGAGATGGAGTCTCGCTCTGTTGCCCAGGCTGGAGTGCAGTGGCACAATCTCAGCTCACTGCAACCTTCTCCTCCCAGGTTCAAGTGATTCTCGCGCCTCAGCCTCCCGAGTAGCTGGGATTACAGGCGTGCACCGCCACGCCTGGCTAATTTTTGTATTTTTAGTAGTGATGGGGTTTCGCCATGTTGCCCAGGCTGGTCTCAAACTCCTGACCTCCCGCCTTGGCCTCCCAAAGTGCTGCAATTACAGGCATGAGCCACCGCGCCCAGCCCACTCCCTTCATTTTACAAATATGAACACTAAGGTTTGGAGAGATGACTTCATTTGCTAGGGGCACAGAGGCAGTGAAGCAGTGGCTCTCAAACTCATATGATGTGACCCAGGTCCAACCCACTTTCCCCTAAACCCTGTACCCTCCTCCCAGGTTGCTGTCTCACCCATCATCACCCTCCACCTACACCCCAACCTGGGGGCACCTTTTAGGAAGTGCTGGGCTCCATCCAGGCACTCAGGCGACAATTCATTGTCAGCAAATGAGCCCAGAAGCTCACTGACAATGATGTCTGCTTTCTCTGGAGCCACCCATTCCCTCATGTCTGATGAGACTACGGTCACTTGGCTTCCCCATTCTTCAAACTGCCAGTTCTCTAGCCTGAAACAGAGACAATAAGGTAAGGAGAGATGTTAAGGAAATTTGGCAATGAGGACTAACTTCCCAGCAAGCAGGTTGCTACTCACGTCACCACGGCATTTGGGTTTTTCTCCACAGCATACAGCTTTATCCGCCGGTCGGCCTGCTTGGCTGCCCGCAGGGAAGCGTTCACCAGGGGTCCCCGTCCTGCTCCCAGCACCATCAGTACCCTAAGAAAGAAAGGGAAGAGTCAAGCAGACTTGGCATATACAGATATAGGTATGCAAGTCCCTGAGATTGAGGGGAAAGCACTCACTGGACATTGGTATCCTTCTCCTCTTCTGGTACTCGGTCTAGCAGACATTTATAGATGGCCTGGAGGGAGGAGAGAATATCCCATGGTTGTAATCCCATCCTCCCCAGGTCATGCTGGCCCTGTGCTTTCCTCACCCTGGGCACCACACAGTACCTGCTGGTACTGAGAGTATTTGATGGGGTCCTTTTCAAACACTTCATATGTCTGAGATTCCAGATTGTCCATCAGTGGCTGATGAATGAGGAAAAGGACAAAGTTAGCCAGTTTCTGGCAAAGGACAATGCACTAAAATATCAAAAACTTTCCACTGCTTTCTGAGTTTTAGTAAGATTTGGAGGCATATATTCTCAAGAAACATTTTCCATCCCACCTTCCTCCTCTAAGTGCACTCCAGACCCACCTGAAGCGGGGACTGCAGATAGTCTTCATAGCCCTTGGCAAAGAGTTCATAGGCATTAGGTGGAGGACGGTTCTGGCTTAAGTATTCCAGGTATTGGAGGTAGGAGCAGAACTCCTTCTCTGAGTGGTGGTTGGTGCCTGTGATGATGAACTGCACCTCCAACTGTGAGAAAAGTCAGACCATCAGACACAGCCCTCAAACCAAGATTCTGGAATATTATGGTATATGGCCAAAGAGCCCTAGTGTAAAATAAGGCCCAGATCAACAGTTCTCTTTTTTTTTTTTTTTAAAAAAAAAGATGGAGTCTCGCTCTATTGCCCAGGCTGGAGTGCAATGGCGTGATCTTGGCTCACTTGCAACCTCCACCTCCCAGGTTCAAGCAATTCTCCTGCCTCAGCCTCCCAAGTAGCTGGGACTACAGGTGCGTGCCACCATGCTTGGCTAATTTTTGTATTTTTAGTAGAGACGGGGTTTCACCATGTTGGACAGGCTGGTCTCAAACTCCTGACCTCAGATGATCCATCCGCCTCAGCCTCCCAAAGTCCTGGGATTACAGGCGCGAGCCACTGCACCTGGCCCAGACCAACAGTTCTCTAGCGTCTGTCCCAATACCAACAAAGGCAGCATGAGGCTTCAGTAAACTTATAAAAAGCCCCCTTGGCCGGGCGTGGTGGCCCACGCCTGTAATCCCAATACTTTGGAAGGCCGAGGCGGGTGGATCATTTGAGGTCAGGCGTTCAAGACCAGCCTGGCCAACATGATAAAACCTGTCTCTACTGAAAATACAAAAATTAGCCGGGCAGTAGTGGTGCATTCCTATAATCCCAGCTACTCAGGAGGCTAAAGCAGAAGAATCGCTTAAGCCTGGGAGGCAGAGGTTCTGGTGAGCTGAGATGGTATGGCTGCACTCCAGTCTGGGTAACAGAGTGAGACCCTGTCTCAAAAAAAAAAAGAAAAAAGAAAAAGCCCTCTTATGCCATGAAAGTATCAACACCCAAACAGCCTCATGGATCCTTGCTGTAACTTCCTAAATGAAACCTTCTGCAAAGTTCTCATGAGGTTTGGTTTGTTTTGAAAGGTTTCTAGGGCTACTACTGGCATTTACCTTTTTGTTCTCAAGATTCCCAACTTCACTGAAATTGCTCCCCAGAAACCAAAGAAAAAGAGTCAGCCTCACAGGAAAAAACGATCATACACAGGTAAATAAGGCAAGATGTATAGCTGGACTACCTTTAGAACCCTCCTACCACTCACCTTGAGGAGCCGGAAGATGAGCCTCTGGTGCATCTTAGAAAGAACAGGAAATCCCTTCTTATTGGTCAGGAAAATGCTAGTGGGGAGAATGGCTGCTTTGATGGGCTCCCCAAGCCAGCGATCAATGACATGATTAGATGGGAGGTCAGCCCCAATTTCAAGAGCTACATGAGGCAAAAGAAAAACTGTCAACCACTGCCAGGCAAGAAACCCTTCCTTGCTCCTTTGCGCAAAATCTGTTTACTTCTTTAAGAGAAAGCCAGTCTGAGACAGAGGGGAAGTAGCAAAATTGTATACTATATATGAAATTCCTGATTCTTATTCACAGGAGGTAAGAGAAGCCACACCCATCCCAGGATTCTCATGGACTCACCCACTGCAATCCTCTTACTATAGTCACACAAAGTCCGGAAGTTGTGCCACCTGTTCAGTCAAATACAGAAAAGTACAGTAAACTAGATATGGCCGACCAATCACCACAGCTCAAGGAGACCTCCCTACAGGTTGCACCCTGTACTTCCCCTCACCCTATCCCTTGCACCCTGGTACAGCAGCAAAGGGAGACATACCACATCCACGTTTTCTCCTCCCCACTGTACTCCTCTGTGTGTGTAGTTGGTGCATTCTCAATTATATCATCTCTCAGGTCCTCTGGTGCCACCAAGGGTACCCGCATCCAGAACTGCACATGAACAGTCACCCTTTTAGAACTCTCTTTTGAACTCATTGGGTCCAGAAAGTTTCCCTCAATAAAAAAAACTTCATCCAGACCTCGTTAATCCCTTTATATGCTTTTCCCAATTTGTAATTTTGTAAGTGAACATGTACCTTATATATAGATCCTTATGTAAATATCTGCCTTGTCTTACGTAAGTTTCCAAAATAATTACATTTACATGTTTTGAAACTCTCTTCATACCACTTTTAGATGGAGAGGTGCGCAATACTGACCTTTTTTTTTTTTTTTTTTTGAGACAAGGTCTGGCTCTGTCACCCAGGCTGGAGTGCAGTGGTGCAATCTCAGCTAACTGCAACCTCCGCCTCACAGGTTCAAGTCATCCTCCCACCTCAGCTTCCCAAGTAGCTGGGACTACAGGCGTGTGACACCCCACCTAGCTAATTTGTGTTTTTTTGTTTTTGTTTTGGTTTTGGTTTTTTATACAGACAGGATTTCACCACGCTGCCCAAGCTGGTCTCGAACTCCTGAGCTCAGTGATCTGCCCACCTCAGCCTCCCAAAGTGCTGGGATTACAGGCATCACCCACTGTGCCCGCCAATACTGATACTTCAATTCTGCCAAACACACCCTTCACTGAATGGCTAGGCACAAGAAGGTACTTAGCACAATCTGACTACTATGATATGCAGCAGGAAAGGAGCCCCTCAGCTATACCATGGAAGAGTGATGGCCAGTGTGGATGTGGTTGGTCAAAACTCTGGCCAGGTTGGTGTTATCTTCCTGATTAAGGGGCAGCAGGAAAGCTGGAAGACCCAAATATGCACCAAAATTCAGCTCCTGTAACATGGCCTGGAACGGAGATGAAGAGGAAAAGTTTGAGCTAACAAGCAAACAGCTTTTTTTTTTTTTTTTTTGAGACAAAGTCTCACTCTGTCACCCAGGCTGGAGTGCAGTGGCACAGTCTCCACTCACTGCAGCCTTGACCTTCCCAAGCTCAACTGATCCTCCCTCCTCAGCCTCCTGAGTAGCTGGGACCACAGGCATGCACCACCATGCCTGGCTAATTTTTGTATATTTTATAGAGATGGGGTTTCACTACGCTGCCCAGGCTGGTCTCGAAATCCCGAGCTCCAGTGATCCTACAGCCTCAGCCTCCCAAAGTGCTAGGATTATAGGTGTGCACCACAGCACCCAGCCTAATAGCTTTAATTTCATTCTATCAGTTAATTTACCAAGTTATTGGGGATGGGAGGGGACCACTCTCCCCACCCAGCTTGGTTAGAAAAATCCAGCAGAGAAGTCAAACAGTCTTACCGCCTCGGAGTTCCTGCGAATCTTCTCCACTTTTGAGTCTGGACGAATCCATGGAGAAAGCTTTCCCACAATTAGCGTATTCCAGTCTGCACTCCCCCACCCAAGAAAGACAAATACTGAATAAGGTTCAGCACTTTACTTGTTCAATTTTTAGTTTTGGGAATCAAGAGTAGAAATGAGAGACAAAGGTTTTTTCTACATAGACATGGGATAGCCTGATGCAGAATAGAGAAGCAAGGAGAAAACAAGTTATCTATATCCCAGGGACTAACAAATATATCCAAGTCAGAAAAGGAGGAGAATGAGGGCCCCGATAAAGCAGAAGTTGTTATTGCCTCTAATAATTAAGGGGCATATGGGATGGTCCCTACCCCTTCCTGACAGCAGTAGGTCTGATCGTGTCTGGGGACCGGGCCGATTCTTAGCAGGTTCCTGAATGAACTCCCTCTTGAAACGCGGATGGAAGACAGGCATGCAGAGGAAATCAAACCTACAACCGCGACAGACCCAGAATCATGTAAAGACAGCAGCAGTGCCAGAGAGCCAAGCAACTGGATTTAGGCTATCTTGATTTTGCACAGCCCTTTCAGCTGCCATCAGTTCAGCCTACTAGGCTGCTGAGTTCAGACCACCTTGGGGGATATCAACTCTGCTGTACTGTGCCTCAATTTCTCCCTAAAACACAGCCATGGGACATATGAGTAAGGAGAAAATGATGGATATCCACAAGTAGAATTTTTTTCTCCTCAGGTGTCAGTATGTTTCCAAGACCATCACATCCAGATTTGCCCCAGTTCTGCCCATGCCTCCCCCGTCAAAATTAGCCTCTTCTCTCCCTTGCCCCCTAACACCTCCTCCCACTCCCAGACAATAATCGCGACCTCCAGGGCCCTTTAGAGTTTACCCAACAACTCTCCCAACTTTGGGACTCAGTGACCACAGGCCTCCCACAAGTTATTTTCCTCACGTTACTGGGTCCGAGGCTCCTCCCCTCCAAAGAGTAATAGTCTCTCCCCTCCTCATCCTAGCCGACCCCCTCACCCCTGCTTCTCCGGGATGACTAGTCTGCCCTTCTCCGTCCCCGAGTTCGGACCCCGCATTCCGCTCGTGGAGGTCCGGCCCTCACCCCTGCTTGGCCACAGCCCCTAGTGTGTCAGCTATTTCGGGGACGCAATTCAGGTCCCTCCCGCTGGACACGCGGCTCCCACCAGCACCCCCGACCGCCATCGCCGCCATCTTTCTCCTCGCGCTGTCCACGCCGGGATTCCTTGATACTAGTAGCCAATCACAAAGTCAAACTAGTGCCCCAGAAGGCGGGACGAGTCGCCTTAACAACCAGAGCGTCTGCCACAGCTCCCGAACAGGAGGGATGGGGAGTGGCTTTTCCTGCCAATCCGCGGGCTGCACAGTGGCGTACGGCATGGATCCACCAATCTCAGGGTCTGGTTCCTGACGAACTTCAATCTCCCAGAATGCTTAGTCTATCTGAAGAACGCCGTTGAGAGACTACACCGCCCATGAAACCCTGCAGTATAACCTTGAAGTACCATCACGGAGAGAAACAGTGCCATCTCAGGGCCAGTGGCGCAATGGATAACGCGTCTGACTACGGATCAGAAGATTCCAGGTTCGACTCCTGGCTGGCTCGGTGGGGTTCCTCGCAGCTTCGCTGCGTGAGCATTTTGTAATTTTCCTTTCCTTTCGCAGCTTGATGCTTCTTTATTATCTTCACGCTTTCATTATCAGATCCTGAGTCGGTTGGGTTATGCAGCCATGTAATGTCAGCTTTTCCCGTAACTACCCTCAAAAGTGTTTTTCTTGTGTCATTATTTACGTCCATATGAACACTGAGAAAACTGGGTTAATGGCTGGTGCTATTAAAATGAGCTTTGTCACCTTACTATGTTACATATTAAAATAAACTGCTAACTCAGCTACTACTTCCTAGTGATTCTAGGAAGTAGTGTTTTGTGTTTCAAACACAAAAGGTGTAAATAAACGCCTAAACACACACACACACCTCAAGATAGAGAAAAGGAATTCATTAATTACAGTGGGCAGCAGTCATGAAATTGGCTGGCATGGAGGCCAGAGAGAATCTACATTTTCTCATGTCATTAGCTGCTAGAGATGGAAAGGAAGGAAGCAAGGAAAGACATAGGGAGGTAAATGGGAACTCCAGAAGGCAGGGGGCCCACTGGTGTTGAGGGCTCGGCAGCAAGGATGGAGAGGAGAACACGGTACAAGAGACCCCACGCAGGCGCCGCTGGCAGAACTTAGGGACCGACTGGCAAGGAGTCCTGAGAAAGCAAAGTAGGGGGTGATGCCTAGGATTCTGTCCATGCAGTGAGCAAGAAATGCGGAAAGAGGGTTTGGGAAATCAGGGTTTGGGTTTGGTCATGCTGAATTGAACGTCTAGGGGGCGCTGTGTAATAGAAAGTTGGATGGAGGTCGCTAGAAGAAAAGAACTGAGGCCATGCGACTGAGATCACCATAGCTCGTTGGGGACAGAGCCATAGGAAATACGAAAAGGGTGTGGGGTAGGATAAGTTCTGGGGAACCCTGGGTGCAATGCAAGTGCCCCAAAAGAATGAAAGCCGGAAAACCGGCCGGGCGCGGTGGCTCACGCCTGTAATCCCAGCACTTTGGAAAGCGGAGGCGGGTGGATCTCCTGAGGTCAGGAGTTCGAGACCAGCCTGGCCAACATGAAAACTCCCCGTCTCTCCTAAACGTGGTAGCAGGCGCCTGTAATCCCAGCTACTCGGCCAGCTACTCGGGAGGCTGAAGCAGGAGAACTGCTTGAACCCGGCAGGCGGAGGTTGCAGTGAGCCAAGATCACGCCACTGCACTCCAGCCTGGGCAACAAGAGCAAAATAATGTCGGGGCAGGGGGAGGAGGAAAGGAAAGTCGGAAAAACCAAAGCATTTAAAAAATGCACCATGAAGGCCAGGCTGGGCACAGTGGCTCACGCCCGTAATCCCAGCACTTTGGGAGGGCGAGGCGGGCGGATCACCTGAGGTCGGGAGTTCGAGACTACCCTGACCAACACGGAGAAACCCATCTCTACTAAAAATACAAAATTTAGCCAGACGTGGTGGCGTGCGCCTGTAATACCAGCTACTCAGGAGGCTGAGGCAGGAGAATCACTTGAACCTAGGAGGTGGGAGGTGGAGGCTGCAGTGAGCCTAGATCATGCCGTTGTACTCCAGCCTGGGCAACAGCAAGACTCCGTCTCAAAAAAAAAAACAAAAAAAAACCCCAGCACTTTGGGAGGCCGAAGCAGGCGGATCACGAGGTCAGGTGATCAAGACCATCTTGGCTAACACAGTGAAACCCCGTCTCTACTAAAAAAAATACAAAAAAAATTAGCCGGGTGTGGTGGCAGGCGCCTGTAGTCCCAGCTACTCAGGAGGCTGAGGCAGGAGAATGACCCAGGAGGCAGAGCTTGCAGTGAGCCGAGATCGTGCCACTGCACTCCAGCCTGGGCGAGAGAGCGAGACTCCATCTCAAAAAAAAAAAAAAAAAAAGCTCCATGAAGCCTGAAGTGATTGGAGGTGCTTTTGTCCACTATTATCGTTACTATTTTTCTGCTCCAGGATCCCATGCAGCATATCATATGACATTTAGTTGCTATGTCTCCTTAGGCTCCTCTTGGCTATGACAGTTTCTCAGATGTTCCTTGTTTTTGATGACTTTGGTAGTTTTGAGGAGTACTGGTTAGGTATATTGTAGGATGCCCCTCTATTGGAATTTGTCTGTTTGTCTCATGATTAGACTGTGTTTTGGGAAGGAAGGTCACAGAGTTAAAGTGCTGTTTTTGCCGGGGGCAGTGGCTCAGGCCTGTAATCCCAGCACTTTAGGAGGCCGAGGCAGGCAGATCACCTGAGGTCAGGAATTCGAGACCAGCCTGGCCAACATGGTGAAACCCCGTCTCTACTAAAAATACAAAAATTAGCCAGGAATGGTGGCATGCGCCTGTAATACCAGCTACTCGGAGGCTGAGGCAGGAGAACTGCTTGAAACTGGGAAGCAGAGGCTGCAGTGAGCCGAGATCACACCACTGCACTCCAAGCCTGGGTGACAGAGCGAGACTCCATCTCAAAAAAATAAAAGTGCTATTTTAATCACATCATATCAAGGGTACATACTATGAACATGATTTATGACTTAATGTTGACCTTGATCACCTGAAAAGAAGTAGTTTATCCAGTTTTTCCACTGTTAAGTGATTCTCTCCCACCCTCTCCCCGGCCCCAACTTTCCATACTGTATTCATTGGAAGGAAGTCACTATGCTCCCCCTCCTTAGAGTTGGAGTATCTACAGAATTTATTTGGAATTCTTCCCTCCAGGTCTTTCCAATAAATGGTTGTTCTCAGCAAGTGGGTGAGTACTCCACCAGCATTTTATTTATTTATATTTTATTTCATTTTTCATTTTATTTTGAGACAGAGTCTTGCTCTGTCGCCCAGGCTGGCGTGCAGTGGCATGATCTCAGCTCACTGCAACCTCCACCTCCCGGGTTCAAGCAATTCTCCTGCCTCAGCCTCCCAAGTAGCTGGGACCACAGGTGTGCACCACCATGCCTGGCTAATTTTTGTATTTTTAGTAGAGACGGGGTTTCACCATGTTGGCCAGGCTGGTTTCAAACTCCTGACCTCAGGTGATTCACCCACCTCGGCCTCCCAAAGTGCTGGGATTACAGGTGTGAGTCATGACGCCCCACTTTCACTGGCATTTTAAGAGGTAAAAGAAAGAGTTGTTGAGGAGGTCTGCTTGTTCTCTGCCCTAGTTGTGCCCAGCCAAACTCTACATTCACAGAAGACTTGTTAGATGTTTTTTCTTCTTTAGAAGCTAATTGTCTAGATTGTGGACCATCTGTGCTCCTGGCATCTCACTCCTGATGTCAAGCAGGTAGCTGCTCTGTTGGTTGTTAACTAACCCATCATGGGTGACAGGGAGAGAGGACAATCTATAAAACAATAATGTCAGTTTTGCCATCAGTTAAAGTAATTTTCTAAAGGATTCATGTAAAAAGAACCTAGAATTTCTGACTGACCCTAAAGTAAGTTTACATGGGCTGAATTTCTTTGGTCTGTGCTGTCTTTGTCTTTTCATTCCAAATGGCCTCGGCATTGTGGCTAGCATCATGCTGAACAGTTCTCAGTAACTCCATACCACGTTGCTCTCAGCCTTTTCTATAGCACTTTCCTGTGCCATAAAACACAGCATGTAACCGTGGGTCTGTCTACATGAGTTGTAGAGGAGCAAGAAGGGAAGGAATGAAGAGAAATAGAGCGCCTTGAACAGGTCCTGTCCCTAGGCGTTAAGTCAAAGTTGGTGAAGTCTACATTATGTTCTGCTTTGCTCTGCTCTGCATGCTGAGTTTTTGGGCCCAGAAGTGTGTGAATCACTGTTATACTATGGGACTTTTGCCTTGGCTGAGATGAAGATAGGGAAATGGTGGGACAGAAGGGCAAATACCCTGGGTGAGAAATAATGTTACTTTCTCCAACAGGAGCCAATGACCAATAGGCCAGAGCACTGGAGACTTTCTGGAAGAAAGAGGTACCCACTCCCAGATAATGCTCCCACTTATCCCCCTGGCTTTCCTCGCTTTCAGGCCCAATTCTTCCACCTTATCTTGTTCTTTTGTCCTTGTTTAAACACCTCTAGCCCATTGAAAACCTCTTGGCATCTTCTACTGTGCTCCCCTCCTCCCTCAGCGCTTGCCTCCCTCCCCAGGCCCACCTTCACTCATCTCTGTGCCTGCCCAGCCAGCCACACTCTTCAACACCAAAATAATGGCCTGTTTGACCCTCCTACTGCTCCAAATTTCTTTTTCACAATCAAGGCTGTACTCCAGCTATGAAAGTGGCAGAGTTACTGAGGCAAAATAATCTGTGCAGATTTGCATTCTCTTTTTTGTCATCTCTATTATACAGTGTTTATCTGTCAAAATGAATAGAAAGCAGGAACTGTTCTGAACATAGAAAAAGATGGAAAACTACCCAATTTATTTATGAAGACAGAACACATCTAATATCAAAACCTGTCAGAAATAACACTCCCAAAAAAGCTATAGACCCTTACTTATGGATATAAATGTTAGATTCCTAAAATATTTAAGATTAATAAATAAAACGTAACAGTATGTTAATATAGTAATTATATAATACAACCAATTAGGGTTTATACCAATAATTAATACAAAGGTATTAGGAAATTTCTTTATAGAATAGGTCAAAAATAAACCAAACAAAAAATATTTGACGGTTGTTAATTGTCAAAGAAGAGAACACAGTATGTTAACTGCATTTTCTATAAATATTCTTTTTTTTTTTTGAGACAGTCTCGCTCTGTCGCCCAGGCTGAAGTGCAGTGGCGCGATCTCAACTCACTGAAACCTCCATCTCCTGGGTTCAAGCAATTCTCCTGCCTCAGCCTCCCGAGTAGCTGGGACTACAGGCGTGTGCCACCATGCCCGGCTAATTTTTTTTGTATTTTTATTACAGACAGGGTTTCATCGTATTGGCCAGACTGATCTCAAACTCCTGACCTCGTGATCCGCCCGCCTTGGCCTCCCAAAATGCTGAGATTAGAGGCATGAGCCACCGCACTTGGCCATAAATATTCTTAATAGTTTTGATATTCATCATGTATGTGTATATATAAGATCAAAAACTTATGTAAAGATGAAATGAGCTGCCCTGCATGGTTGTAAGTGCCTGTAGTCCCAGATACTCAGGAGACTGAGATGGGAGGATCCCTTGAGCCCAGGAGCTCGAGGTCAGCCTGGGCAACACGATGAGACCTTTTCTTAAAAAAAAAAAAAAAAGATACAAGAATATCTAGTCTCATCACTGAGTTATTTAGTATTATTCTGAAAAATCCAATATAATAAGATTGGAAATAGAAAAAAAGGGGTTACAACTTTTAGGAAGGGAGAGGTAAATTTATCATTATTTGTAGATAATATGATTGTACACATAGAAAATGCGTAAGAATCCATTTTAAAATGATGAGAATTAATACTAGAATGCAGAGAAGTAACTTGATGTAAGATAAGTATAAAATAAATCTGTAGCTTCTCATATACTAAGATTAACCAGTTAGAAGACATTATTGATTTTTAAAAATCCCAATAATATGATAGTTAAGAGTATGGCCTGCTAAACCAGATAGCAAGACGTTAAAGCCCTGTTCATTCATTTACTAGGACTGTGAACCTAACCCTTCTGGCCTCAGTTTTCTCATCCACAAAATGGGAATGTAAATAATAGCTCTTATAAAGTCATTATGAATATTAAATTAGTTAACATAGTAAAGCATTTAGAAGCTACCCTGCACATAGTAAACCTTCAATACATATTGGCTATTGTGATTATTATTTTCCCCATTCACAGTGGTAACAGTAACACTACTATAAAATATTTATCTTTACTGAAAAATGTGAGAAACTGACATAAAGAAAATTATAGGCTGGTTACAGTGGCTTATGCTTGTAATCCCAACACTTTGGGAGGCCGAGGCAGGAGGATTGCTTGAGCCTAGGAGTTCAAGGCCAGCCTAGGCAACATAACAATACCCCATCTCTACAAAAAAATTTTAAAAATTAGCTGGGCGTCAGCCTGGCCAACATGGTGAAACCCCGTCTCTACTGAAAATACAAAAATTAGCTGGGTGTGGTGGCACATGCCTGTAATCCCAGCTACTCGGGAGGCTGAGGCGAGAGAATCCCTTGAACCTTGGAGGCAGAGATTACCGTGAGCCGAGATTGTGCCGCTGCACTCCAGTCTGGGCGACAGAGTGAGACCCTGTCTCAAAAAAAAAATTAGCAGCCGGGCACGGTGGCTTGTAATCCCAGCACTTTGGGAGGCCGAGGCAGGTGGATCACCTGAGGTGAGGAGTTCGAGACCAGCCTGGCCGACATGGTGAAAGCCTATCTCTACTGAAAATACAAAAATTAGCTGGGCGTGGTGGCAGGCACTTATAATCCCAGCTACTCAGGAGGCTGAGGCAGGATAATTGCTTGAAGCTGGTAGGCGGAGGTTGCAGTGGGCCAAGATCGGGCCATTGTTCTCCAGCCTGGGCAACAAGAGCAAAACTCCATCTCAAAAAAAAAAAAAATGACCTGGGCATTGTGGCACACACCTGTAGTCCCAGCTACCCAAGAGGCTGAGGTGGGAGGACTGCTTGAGCCCAGGAAGTTGAGTCTGCAGTGAGCTGTGATCAAACCACTGCACTCCAGCCTGAGTGACAGAGCAAGACCCTATCAAAAAGGAAAAAAAAAAAATTGCTGCAAGATAAAATAGAAGACTAAAAAAAAAATGGAGAAACAAGCCATAATCTTAGAAAATAATGAATCTTATAAAGATGTAAATTCTTACCAAATTAATTTCTCAAGTTCTCACTTTTACAACATTCAATTACGATTCTTTTTTTTTGTTTTTTGAGACGGAGTCTCGCTCTGTCACCCAGGCTGGAGTGCAGTGGCACGATCTCAGCTCACTGCAAGCTCCGCCTCCCAGGTTCATGCCATTCTCCTGCCTCAGCCTTCCAAGTAGCTGGGACTACAGGCGCCCGCCACCACGCCCGGCTAATTTTTTGTATTTTTAGTAGAGATGGGGTTTCACCGTGTTAGCCACGGTGGTCTCAATCTCCTGACCTCGTGATCCACCCGCCTCGGCCTCCCAAAGTGGGGGGATTACAGGCGTGAGCCACTGCGCCCGGCCCATTCAATCACAATTCTAATGGAATCTTTTGTTACTTGATAAAATAATTCTACTGTTAATCTGCAATAAAAATCAGACAAGAAAAGCAAGGAAAACTCAAAAAGAGAGGAGAAAGAGGCCAGGGAGTGGTGGATTTTTTTTTTTTTTTTTTTTTTTTTTTTTTTTGAGACACCTCTGCCTCTCAGGCTCAAGTGATTCTCCTGCTTCAGCCTCCCAAGCAGCTGGGATTACAGGCGCACGCCACTACTGCCCGGCTAATTTTTGTATTTTCAGTAGAGACGGGGTTTCACCATGTTGGCCAGGTTGGTCTTGAACTCCAGACCTCAAATGATCCACCCACCTCAGCCTCCCAAAGTGCTGGGATTACAGGCGTGAGCCACCACACCCGGCCTCAATGAAATCTTCAGCAGCCATTAAAATCAGTGTTGTCAAAGAAAATGTAGTAACATGGAGAAAGTCTTATGACATGCCATTAAGAGACACACATTACAAATTTTACACACAGAATGACCTCAACTATGTGGAAAAATTGTATTTTCCAAATGTTCTGTATAAGCGTGTTTATATTACACGTAAAATATTTTTTAAAATACATATAAAACCTGTTACCTTGGCCGGGCACGGTGGCTCACGCCTGTAATCCCACCACTTTGGCAGGCTGAGGCAGGCAGATCACCTGAGGTCAGGAGTTCAAGACCAGCTTGGCCATGGTGAAACCCCGTCTCTACTAAAAATACAAAAAATTAGCCAGGCATGGTGGTGTGTGCCTGTAATCACAGCTACTTGGGAGGCTGATGCAGGAGAATCACTTGAACCCGGGAGGCGGAGGTTGCAGTGAGCCGAGATCGCGCTATTGCACTCCAGCCTGGGCAACGAGTGAAACTCTGTCTCAAAAAAATAAAATAAAAATAAATAAACCTGTTACCTCTCCCTGATCTTTGTGCTTATGTCCTTTCTTTTGAAGGTCTAGCCAAGGCCTCCCTCCTTCTCTATAGGCTTGTGTAGCTATCCAGTCTTCAGCAATCATTCTTGCCTCATAACATGATAGTCCTAGCCAGGCTAATATTTATTTATTTATTTATTTTTGTGAGATGGAGTCTCACTCTGTCACCCAGGCTGGAGTGCAGTGGCACAATCACGTCTCACTGCAAGCTCCACCTCCCGGGTTCAAGCAATTCTCTGCCTCAGCCTCCCAAGTAGCTGGGATTGCAGGTGACCGCCACCATGCCTGGCTAATTTTTGTATTTTTAGTTGAGACGGGATTTCACCATCTTGGCTAGGCTGGTCTTGAACTCCTGACCTCGTGGTCCACCTACCTCGGCCTCCCAAAGTGCTGGGATTATAGGCATGAGCCACCATACCCTGCCCAGGCTAATATTAATTAAGCTCTACCACATGCCAGGCACTTTAAATATATTATCTCAAAAGGCTGGGCGCAGTGGGTCATACCTGTAATCCCAGCACTTTGGGAGGCCAAGGTCAGCAGATCACTTGATGTCAGGAGTTCAAGAACAGCTTGGCCAATATAGTAAAACCCCATCTCTACTAAAAACACAAAAAAATTAGCTGAGCCTGGTGGTGCACTTATAATTGTAGTTACTTGGGAGGCTGAGGCAGGAGAATCGCTTGAACCCAGGAGGCGGAGGTTGCGGTGAGCCAAGATAGCGCCATTGAACTCCAGCCTGGGCAACAAGAGCGAAACTCCTTCTCAAAAAAAAAAAAAAAGAAAAAAAAGGAAACAAATATTTTAAAATTTTCTCAGCCCGTTGCAGTGGCTTACCCTTGTGATCCTAACACTTTTGGGAGGCAGAGGTGGGAGGACTGCTTGAGCCCAGGAGCTCCAGACTAACCTGAGCAACAGAGTGAGACCACGTCTCTGCAAAACAAAACAAAACAAAAACCCAGCATGGTGGCACGTGCCTGTAGTCCTAGCTACTAGGGAGGCTGTGGTGGGAGGATCCTTTGAGCCAAGGAGGTTGAGGCTGCAGCTGCACTCCAGCCTGGTTGACAGAGTAAGACCCTGTCTCCCAGAAAAAGAAAACAAACAAGCAAAAAAACTGGGCAAAGGACATGAACAGACACTTCTCTAAAGAAGACATAGATGTTGCCAACAAATATATGGAAAAAATGTTCAATATTACTAATCATTAGAGAAAGGCAAATCAAAACCGCAATAAGATACCATCTCACACCAGTCAGAATGGCTATTATTAAAAAGTCATGCCGGGCGCAGTGGCTCACACCTGTAATCCCAGCACTTTGGGAGGCCGAGACGGGTGGATCACGAGGTCAGATCGAGACCATCCTGGCTAACACAGTGAAACCCTGCCTCTACTAAAAATACAAAAAATTAGCCGGGCGCAGTGGCGGGTACCTGTAGTCCCAGCTACTCGGGAGGCTGAGGCAGGAGAATGGCGTGAACCCGGTAGGTGGAGCTTGCAGTGAGCAGAGATCGTGCCACTGCACTATAGCCTGGGCGACAGAGCAAAACTCTGTCTCAAAAAAAAAAAAAAATGAAAATTAAAAAGTCATGGCTGGGCTGGGCACGGTGGCTCATGCCTGTAATCTCAGCACTTTGGGAGGCCAAGACGGGTGGATCACCTGAGGTCAGGAGTTCGAGACCAGCCTGACCGACATGGTGAAACCCCGTCTCTACTAAAGATACAAAAAAATTAGCCGGGCGTGGTGGCAGGCGCCTGTAATCCCAGCTACTCGGGAGGCTGAGGCAGGAGAATCGCTTGAACCCAGGGGGTGGAGGTTGCAGTGAGCCGAGATCATGCCGCTGTATTCCAGCCTGGGTGACAGAGCAAGACTCCGTCTCAAAAAAAAAAAAAAAAAAGAAAGAAAGAAAGAAAAATAAATTAATGTGAGAATAGAAAACAAAACACCGCTAGTTCTCACTTATAAGTGAGAGCTAAACATTGAGCACACACGGACATAAAGATGGAAATAGACACTGGGGACTGCTAGAAGGGGAAGGGAGGGAGGTACTATGCTCACTAACTGGGTGACGGGATCATTCATACACTAACCCTCAGTGACACACAGTTTACTCATGTAACAAACTTGCACACGTACCCCCTGAGCCTAAAATGAAAGTTGGAAAAAAAAAAAACTGTAGCATTACTTCTGCTTGTTTTCAGCCTGCTGGCCTGCCCTACAGATTTTAGACTTGCCAGCTCCCATAATCACATGAGCCAATGAGCCAATTCTTTAAAATAAATCATATATAGATCTTTTTTTTTTTTTTTTTTTGAGACACAGTCTGACTCTGTTGCCCAGTCTGGAGTGCAGTGGTGTGATCTCGGCTCACTGCAACCTCTGCCTCTAGGATTCAAGCAATTCTCCTGCCTCAGCCTCCCAAGTAGCTGGGACTATAGGCGCGAGCCACCATGCCCGGCTAATTTTTGTATTTTTAGTAGAGACAGGGTTTCGCCATGTTGGCCAGGATGGTCTCAAACTCCTGACCTCAGGTGATCCACCTGCCTCGGCCTCCCAAAGTGCTGGGATTACAGGCATAAGCTACAGCGCCCAGCCAACCTTACTCTTTAGATAACCCTTTTCTAAATCCTAGGCAGGTCATTTGCTGTTGGTTACACACTATTTAGCCAGGCTTGGTAAATTTAGGACTCTCCAAACTTCAGTTGTTTTTTCCTGAGACCAGAAGTTAGCCACTTTGGCTGGACCTCAGCAACTCAAAAACAAACCATCTTTTAGAGTAAATTATTTCTACACATTGTTTAGTCCATTGTAAATTCACTCGTATTTTTGCTGTCTCAAGGGATAAGGAAGCCTGCTAGTTCCTTTAACAAAACCTAGTCCAGGTCCTTCAAGATGGATCATATGGAGAGATTCTTTTTTTTTTCTTTTCGAAAGAGAGTCTTGCTTTGTCGCCCAGGATGGAGTGTAGTGGCCCCATCTCACCTCGCCTTACTGCAGCCTCCACCTCCCAGGTTCAAGCTATTATAATGCCTCAGCCTCCCAATTACAGGTGCGCACCACCACACCTGGCTAATTTTGTATTTTTCAGTAGAGACCTGGTTTCACCATGTTGGCCAGGCTCGTCTCAAACTCCTCACCTCAAGTGATCCGCCTGCCTCAGCCTCCCCTCCAAAAATTGCCGGGATTACAGGCGTAAGCCACCGCGCCCAGCCAATATGGAGAGATTCTTTATAGGGTGAGGGGCACCCTTCTCCTTTGGAGATGCCAAAGTTGGCCCTTAGGGGGCGCTGGGTCTCCTGTTTGTGGTGGCCGAGGAAGAATGCAGTCACTCCCCAGGACACCTCCATATTCACCTTTCACTGAAAATATTCAGGGAACAGATTTTGTTTATCCAAGAGTCCCAGAGTTGATCCTGTTCCAAGTTCTGAAGGTGATTTCCTTTGCCTCTCATTACAAGGGAAGAATCTATAAGACTTACCAGATGTGGTAAGAGGCAAGTAAAGAGAGGTTCGACTGTGAAAGAACGAAGGGAGGCAGTAAATGCAAATCTTTTCTAAGCAGTGTGAGGGAAAGAGAGCAGCTAAGGTCCAAGATGCTAACCCTCAACTGTCACTTTCTTTTTTTTTGAGAAGGAGTCTCGCTCTGTTGCCAGGCCTGGAGTGCAGTGGCGCGATCTCGGCTCACTGCAACCTCTGCCTCCCAGATTCAAGTGATTCTCCTGCCTCAGCCTCCCGAGTAGCTGGGACTACAGGTGTGCACCACCACGCCTGGCTAATTTTTGTATTTTTAGTAGAGACGAGGTTTTGCCATGTTGGCCAGGATGGTCCCAATCTCTTGACCTCGTGATCCACCTGCCTCAGCCTCCCAAAGTGCTGGGATTACAGGCGTGAGCCATGGCGCCCGGCCCCTCAGCTGTCACTTTCATGCAGACCCTTCTACTTGTCCTCCAAAGCTCCTTCCCATATTTGCCACAATAGAGAGCAGCATGTATGAAGGGCACCTCCAACAAGTCTTCCACCTCCAGTCAATGTGCAGAATGAATGCACCAAGAGAAACAGCTGTAGTGCTCCCTCAGGCCGCAGTGGACATGATTTTTGTTCCTTTTCCCCTACGAAGGAACTGTTTTGAAAGTTTTTTTTTCCACCAGACTACATTCATAAGCTCAATCAGTAGTTTATTTTTTTCTGGTCGGGCGCAGTGGCTCATGCCTGTAATCCCAGCACTTTGAGAGGCCGAGGACAGGCGTGTCACCTGAAGTCAGGAGTTCGAAACCAGCCTGGCCAACGTGGCAATACCCTGTCTCTACTAAAAATACAAAAATTAGCTGTATGTGGTGGCACGCGCCTGTAATCCCAGTTACTCGGGAGGCTGAGGCAAGAGAATCGCTTGAACCTGGGAGGCGGAGGTTGCAGTGAGCCGAGAACATGCCACTGCTCCCAGCCTGGGCAAGAGTCAGACTCTGTCTCCAAAAAAAAAAAAAAAGTTTATTTTTCCCATAAAATAACTAATATACTGATTTACTGTAATACCAGCAGAAAGCAAAGGCACCTGAGCAAGATATATGTGCAATGACATCCAATGAAGCATTTTTGTAACAGGGCAAGAGGGAAACAACCTTAATATCGTGAAGGGAAGGGTTAAATGATAATACAGCCATACTCTAATAATAATATTAGCCACATTTTTAAAACTTTTTCTTTATTGATTTGATTTTTAGAGACAAAGGTCTTGCTCTGTCACCTGGGCTGGAGTACCTTGGCACAATCATAGTTCACTGCAGCCTCTAACTACTAGGCTCAGCCTCCTGAGTAGCTAGGGCTATCAGAGCACCACCATGCCCAGCTAATATTAGCTAATATTTATGTACATATGGTTGCATATTTATAGAAACAGATCTGACACACAGTGATCTACACACCAAATCACTCTGGTTACTCTGGGGAGGTAGATTGGAGTAACAGGGTATTTGTGTGGGGGGTGTCTGAGGGTGCATGGTTCAATCTTTTACTTTTTACTGTATATAATTCTGTTCTGAGTATTTTTACAAAGCATGTGCTCTAGTTGTTTTTGTTTGTTTGTTTGTTTTTTAAGATGGAGTTTCGCTCTTGTTGCGCAGGCTGGAGTGCAATGGCGCGATCTCGGCTCACCGCAACTTCTGCCTCCTGGGTTCAAGCGATTCTCCTGCCTCAGCCTCCCTAGTAGCTGGGATTACAGGCATGTGCCACCACACCCGGCTAATTTTGTATTTTCAGTAGAGACGGGGTTTCTCCATGTTGCTCAGGCTGGTCTCAAACTCCCAACCTCAGGTGATCCACCCACCTCGGCCTCCCAAAGTGCTGGGATTACAGGCGTGAGCCACCACGCCCAGCCTGCATGTGCTCTAGTTTTAAGCCAATGAAGTTTTTTAAAAAATAGTTTGGGCCGGGCGCAGTGGCTCACACCTGTAATCCCACCACTTTGGTAGGCTGAGGCGGGCGGATCACGAGGTCAGGCGATCGAGACCATCCTGGCTAACACGGTGAAACCCCGTCTCTACTAAAAATACAAAAAATTAGCCGGGCGTGGTGGTGGGCGCCTATAGTCCCAGCTACTTGGGAGATTGAGACAGGAGAAGGGCATGAACCCAGGAGGCGGAGGTTGCAGTGAACTGAGATCGGGCCACTGCCCTCCAGCCCAGGTGACAGAGCAAGACTCCGTCTCAAAAAAAAAAAAAAAAAAAAAGTTTGTGCAGGGCCGGGCGCGGTGGTGGCTCACGCCTGTTATCCTAGCACTTTGGGAGGCTGAGGCAGGTGGATCACCTGAAGTCGGGAGTTCGAGACCAGCCTGACCAACATGGAGAAACCTCATCTCTAATAAAAATACAAAATTAGCTGGGCGTGGTGGCGCATGCTGTAATCCTAGCTACTTGGGAGGCTGAGGCAGGAGAATCACTTGAACCTAGGAGGCAGAGATTGCAATAAACCAAGATTGCGCCATTGCACGATCCAGCCTGGGCAACAAGAGCGAAACTCCATCTCAAAAAAAAAAAAAAAAAAAAGTGTGTGGAGAACTGTCGCAAGCAAATGTTCCATTTTCTTTTCTTTTTTTTTTTTTTGAGACAGAGTCTCACTCTGTAGCCCAAGCTAGAGTGAAGTGGCACGATCTTGGCTCACTGCAACCTCCGCCTCCCGGGGCTCAAGCAATTCTCGTGCCTCAGCCTCCTGAGTAGCTGGGACTACAGGCACGCATCACCACACCCAGCTAATTTTTTTATTTTAGTAGAGATGGGGTTTCACCATGTTGCCCAGGGTGGTCTCTAACTCCCGAGCTCAGGCAATCTGCCCACCTCCGCCTCCCAAAATGCTGGGATTACAGGCATGAGCCACTGTGCCCAGCCCATTTTCTTTAGGCTTTTTAAGAATACAAGAAATAGCTCACTCTCCATCCCCATGCCATTTAGAGAGCCAGGGTGAGGACCACTGCCTTGGAAGCCATTTCTCAGGCAGTCGAAATTGAAATGTTTCTCAAACCCCAGCTCTCCAGATTCTCGATTGAAGCTATAGGATATTTGTTTCAAATTTTGTTCACTTGAAATGAAAGCTCTCCTTGGTACATGATTTGCCCATTCTTAACTCTGTGCCTTCCCATAGTGCTTCTTTCCTTTTCTCTGTCTTCGCTGCTTTTTCCATAACTCTATTCCTTTTTCTTTTTTTTGAGACAGAATCTTGCTGTCACTCAGGCTGTAATACAGTGACATGATCATAGCTCACTGTAACCTCAACCTCCCAGACTCAAGCAGTCCTCCCACCTTAGCCTCCTGAGTAGCTGGAAATGTAGGCACATGCCACTATGCACAGCTAATTAAAAAAAATTTTTTTGGCCAGGTGCAGTGGCTCATGCCTGTAATCCCAGCACTTTGGGAGGCCGAGGCGGGCGGATCACAAGGTCAGGAGTTCGAGACCAGCAAGGCCAATATGGTGAAACCCTGTCTCTACTAAAAATACAAAAATTAGCCAGGCGTGGTGGTGGGTGCCTGTAGTCCCAACTACTCAGGAGACTGAGGCAGGAGAATCACTTGAACCCAGGAGGCAGAGATTGCAGTGAGCCGAGATTGCGCCACTGCACTCCAGCCTGGGCGACAGAGCGAGACTCCGTCTCAAAAAAAAAAAAAAAAAAAAAAAAAAAAAAGAGAAAAAAAAGTTGAGTCAAAGACATTAATTGTCTTGTAAATAAATCCACACCATCACCCCAAGACAATTTCCTTGGAAAGTGGTTTCAGAAACTGAGTAGGCTCTTCTAAATAAAGGTAGAGGCCTTCTGTTTCTGTCCACAGTCCCCTATTTTGACACCAGCCAGGACTCTGCCTTGTTCTAAGCTAAGTAGACTGTTGAACTTGGTTCCTCAGGGGGAATCTCCTCCAAACCTCTGCTTTTAGAGAAAAATGTAGCTCTCAAACCACACCAAGGGAACCAGGAACACAAGTGGCTTGTGTCCTTTCCTATAACTGAGCTGGCCACTGGCTGCCTTTTTTTTTTTTTTTTTTTTTTTTGAGACAAGGTCTCACTCTGTCACCCAGGCTGAGTGCAGTGGTGCCATCATGGCTCACTGCAGCCTTGACCTCCTGGGTTCAAGTGATCCTCCTGCCTCAGCCTCCTGAGAAATTGGCACTACAGGCACATACCATCACGCTTGCTAATTAAAAAAATTTTTTTCAGCTGGGTGTGGTTGCTCATGCCTGTAATCCCAGCACTTTGGGAGGCCAAGGTGGGCGGATCACTTGAGGTCAGGAGTTTGAGACCAACCTGACCAACATAGTAAAACCCTGTCTCTACTAAAATACAAACATTAGCTGGCCATGGTGGTGCATGCCTGTTAATTCCAGCTACTAGGGAGGCTGATACACAAGAATTGCTTGAGCCTGGGAGGCGGAGGCTGCAGTGAGCTGAGATCACACCACTGCACTCCAGCCTGGCAACAAAGTAAGACTCTGTCTAAAAAAAAAAAAAAAAAATTTTTTTTCACAGAGACAGGGGTCTTGCTACGTTGCCCAGGCTGGTCTCGAACAGCTGGGCTCAAGTGATCCTCTTGCCTTGGCCTCCCAAAGTGCTGGAATTACAGGTGTGAGTCACTGCTCCCAGCCTCAGCTGCTTTATTATAACTCCCACACTGATACCCATAGTGAGAAAATAGTTCCCTACCTGCCTGAGTATCTAGCACTCCTCTGGAGATTATAGTTCTTCAAGAGCAAGCCCAAATTTAATCCACTGTACTCTTCCAAAATGAAGGCTCTAAGACTTGATGTAGGCAAGCTGGCATGTCTACTTCTTACTCTTTGCATAAGCATCATGTATCTGTTTCTATTTGGATCCACTCAGTTCCCCGCTCCTTACCCATATAGCCTTCAATGTTCTTTTTCAATCTTTGCCCAAGGAAAATGACTAAAATCCTAAGATATAATATCATAACTTTATTCAGGAGATAATCAAATACAATACAGGGCTGACACTGACACACAGCTATGCATAAAAATTATATAAATCTCCTTGCTAGATTTTCCAGAAGAGGCCCAGTCATAAAAAATAAAGAGAAACCAGGAGAGTGCCTAAATGACTGCAGTGTTTCAAGCGTAAGCATTTCCACACTCCCTTGTACTGAAGGCAGCCCCAGGTGAAGGTGGTCCCACTAGCAGGAAGATTAGGAGGCAGCAGCTATGCAGAAGCCATGTCTCCTGGCCCTGCCAGAGCTCAACGGTAGACCTTGCTGAACTCCTGGAGGGCCCACCGCTTGTTCTCTGTTGCCTGCTTGAGTACGGTGTACTCTTTCACCAGCCTGTCAAACTCCTCCCCAAGGACCTCATAGGAGTTCAGGACCTGTCTTGAGTTCTCCATGTCCTGCTCCTGTAGGTGAATGGCTCCCTCCAAACGGTCCCTAAGAGCCCGGGCAGAGAAGGCACAATATAAGGGTGCTGCTCCTCAGAAAGTAGTGGACAAAAATGAAAAACTTTTTTTTTTTTTTTTTTGTCAGATGGAGTCTCGCTCTGTCACCTAGGCTGGAGTGCAGTGGTATGATCTTGGCTCACTGCAGCCTCTGCTTCCTGGGTTCAAGCAATTCTCCTGCCTCAGCCTCCCGAGTAGCTGGGATTACAGGCACATGCCACCATGCCCAGCTAATTTTTGTATTTTTTAGTAGAGACAGGGTTTCACCATATTGGCCAGGCTGGTCTCAAACTCCTGACTCAAGCGAGCTGCCCACCTCGGCCTCCCAAAGTGCTGGGATTACAGGTGTGAGCCACTGTGCCCAGCCAAAAATGGCAACATCTTTAAATAAACGAGTTTAGGGAATGTGAGAACCACCTGTGAACAGCTGTACCAGACTCTTAGGAGTTCTCACCTAATCAGACGATGAACTTCCACTTTCTCAACAGTGTAAGTGTCGGACAAAATCTTTAGCTCCTCCATCCTGACAGAGGGAAGAAAGAAATGTCAAGGCAGGAAGGTCCCTGATAGCAGCAGGGTTGGGAATGGACGTAGTACCTGCCGACGGTCAAGGTGTGGGCTAAGCACTGATAGGATAAACAAGGTCACTCTGAATTCCCGAGCAATTGATCTCACAGTAAAGTGCCTATTTCAGAAGACTGTAAAAGAAAAGTCTCAAGGATGTTGAAAGCTTTTGGGTAATCCAAAAGCTAATACTGCTATGTGACATTTACTGGATACCCACAAGGCGCTAGGATAAGGGAGAGGAAAGAGATTAGGGTAAGGGATAGAGGGCTGATAACGTGAGACAGAATCCCTTAAGATCCACAGGGGTCACAGCTCACCTCAGCTTAAGGATCATAGCACCGCACTTGACTTCCAGGTACTGGGCATTGATGCGGTCTAGCTCGGATTGAGTCTTCAGCCGGTGTTCTTGAAGAAGCCTCTGCAGCAAAGTGAGGCAGCGGAGAAGCACCTGAGCCCAAGATGGAGGAAGAAGAGGGCATAAATAAAGATAGTAGAAAGGAGGGTAGATCAGGAATCTTTGTCTTCCCCAAAAGTGCTCCTGGGGTCAGGATAAAGGAAAGGGGCTGTCCCATGCCCTGATAAACCTGGGAGTAAGCAGCACTCTTCTTCTCCAGCAGCAACATCTGCTCCTTCTGCTGGCTCTTGGCATCCTGGCACTGCTGCTGCTCACCCACCAGGACCTCTGCGAGTTTCCACACCTTTGCTGCCTTCACGGTTTCACTGTCAGCATCTGAGCAAAGGGGCAGAGGACTGACAGGAAAACCCTAATCGCTACAATCCCTGTAAAGCAACCTTCCAGTGCCCCTATCCTGTATCTAGACCCACAAATCCTGCCTTATGACAGGTTTTCTTCTAATAATCTATTAAAAATGGCCCCATTCTGGGCTGAGCATGGTGGCTTACGCCTGCAATCCTAGCACTTTGGGAGGCCAAGGCAGGAGGATTGCTTGAGCCCAAGAGTTCAAGACCGGCTTGGGCAACATAGTGAGACTCTGTCTCTATAAAAAAAATTCTAAAATATTAGTTAGGCATACTATGCGCCTGTAGTGCCAGCTACTTGAGAGGCTGAGGTGAGAGGATCACTTGAGCCCAGAAGGTCGAGGCTGCAGTGAGGTGTGATTGTACCACTGCACTCCAGTCTGGGTGACAGAGTTTTTAAAAAAAAAAAAGCGGGGGGGGGGAGGGCATCTGGTTCTCATAATTATTAAATAAATTATCTTCACTCTTACCTTTGATTCCGGATTTGGACCTTAATTCTTTTTATTTTTTTGAGACGGAGTCTCTCACTGTCACCTCGGCCGGAGTGCAGTGGCGCGATCTCAGCTCACTGCAACCTCCACCTCCCAGGTTCAACCAATTCTCCTGCCTCAGCCTCCCAAGTAGCTGGGATTACAGGCACCCGCCACTACACCCAGCTAATTTTTTGTATTTTTAGTAGAGACGGGGTTTCACTATATTGGCCAGGTTGGTCTCGAACGCCTGACCTCATGATCCACCTGCCTCGGCCTCCCAAAGTGATGGTATTACAGGCGTAAGCCACCGCGCCCGGCCCGGACCTTAATTCTTAAGTCATAGAAATGGTTTAAGGAGACCAAGTGTGGTAGCTCATGCCTGTAATCCCAGCACTTTGGGAGGCCAAGGCGGGCAGATCACCTGAGGTCAGGAGTTTGAGACCATCCTGGCCAACATGGTGAAAACCTGTCTCTACTAAAAATACAAAAAAATTAGCTGGGCAGGGTGGCAGGCGCCTGTAATCCCAGCTACTTGGGAGGCTGAGGCAGGAGAATTGCTTGAACCTCGGAGGCGAAGGTTGCAGTGAGCTGAGATCACGCCATTGCACTCCAGCCTGGGCGACAAGAATGAAACTCCGTCTCAAAAAAAAAAAAAAAAGAAATGGTTTAGGGAGGAAAGTTCAGACTCAGGTGTTAAGCTTTATTATTTTCGTAAAAATGATACACATTCAGGGCCAGGCACAGTGGCTCACGCCTGTAATCCCAGCACTTTGGGAGGCCAAGGTGGGTAGATCATGAGGTCAGGAGACTGAGACCATCCTGGCTAACACGGTGAAACCCCGTCTCTACTAAAAATACAAAAAATTAGCCAGGCGTGGTGGCGGGCACCTGTAGTCCCAGCTACTCGGGAGGCTGAGGCAGGAGAATGGCGTGAACCTAGGAGGTGGAGTTTGCAGTGAGGTGAGACTGCGCCACTGCACTCCAGCCTGGGGGACAGAGCGAGACTTCGTCTCAAAAAAAAAAAAAAAAAAAAAAGAGATACACATTCATTCAGGGTGGTCAGACTCAAATAAGAAAATCATTACACAGAAGCAAGTAAAAGCTGAAATATGAATACTACGTCTAGAAACACATTATTATAAACAGCTTGACATAAATGGTATTATACCCTCCAAGCTTATACAGAGAGTATAAGGTGTTCTATGAGTCTGAACTTTCCTCCCTAAACCATTCTGAACCTCCTGAGAGAACTCATCCTTCCCTGCAGCAGGAGGACACTCCCACTCAGTATCTTGCTGAATAAAAAGAGTCCTTACAAAGGTCCTTGTTTTGGCCGGGTGTGGTGGCTCACACCTGTAATCCCAGCACTTTGGGATGCCGAGGCAGGCGGATCACCTGAGGTTGGGAGTTCCAGACCAGCCTAATCAACATGGAGAAACCCCATCTCTACTAAAAATACAAAATTAGCCGAGCGGGGTGGCGCATGCCTGTAATCCCAGCTACTCGGGAGGCTGAGGCAGGAGAATCACTTGAATCTAGGAGGAGGAGCTTGCGGTGAACAGAAATGGCGCCATTGCACTCTAGCCTGGGCAACAGGAGCAAAACGCCATCTCAAAAAAAAAAAAAAACAAAAAAACAAAAAGTCCTTGTTTTTATTCTACCAGCAACAAAACAAATAAGCATCTCTGATGGTTCTAAACCTCTGTCCCAAATCTAAAATCAAAATATATTATTCTCAAAAGAGCAGACCAGGAACCCTGAAGTCCAGCTGTGAGCAGAACAGACAGCTAGCACTCACCTGAATTGGGATCATAGTAGCAGAGCAGAGTGAAACATTTCTTTTTGAGCTGCTCCTCTACTTCTTGCTGTAGCCGAGCCCTCATCCACACAAAATCCTACAGTCATAGAAGTAAAGGCAGAAATGCGAATAGACTGTAAAAACTAGGACGTCTCAGCCAATGAATACATGATGATAACCTCAATAATAGCCAAAGAAAATGCATCAAGAGACATCAGAGAGACTCATTTTTCACCTATCAAATTAGCGAAGAATAAAATGACTGTCAAGACCCCATGTTGGTGAGAACATGGGGGATCCAGGAGCCCTGAAAATACCTTTCTGGATAGCAGTTTGGCATTAGGTACCAATATTCTGTATGAGTATGCACTGACTCAGGAATCCCACTTTTAGCACCAGCATTACAGAAATAATCATACAAAGGTAAAGACACATATGAACCAGCATGTTCATCTCCCTGTGGTTTCTAACAGCAAAAATGTGGAAACAACCTTAATATCCACCAATAAGGTTAAGCAAATTATTCTACATCCATATAATAGAATCCTAGCAGAGATTTAAACTGATGACATAACACTAAGCACTATGTGCCTAGATACTTTGCTAACAGTGCTATAGAAGCTATCATCTTATTTACATTTATGTATTGACTTGAAAAGAAATCCAAAATATATTACATGAAAATAGACTGTACTTTTCTTTTTTTGAGACAGGGTCTCACTCTGTGCCCAGGCTGGAGTACAGTGGCATGATCACAGCTCACTACAGCCTTGACCTCCCACCCTCAAGTCATCCTCCTGCCTCTGTCTCCCGAGTAGCTGGGACTACAGGTGTGCACCACCAAACCTGGCTTTTGTTTTGTTTTTTTTTTGGTAGAGACGAGGTCTCACTATGTTGCCCAGGCTGGTCTTGAACTCCTGAACTCAAGTGATCCTCCCACCTCAGCCTCCCAAAGTGCTACGATTATAGGCGGAAGTCACTACACTCGGCCTTATACTCTCTATATAAGCATGAAGGGTATAATACCATTTATGTCAAGCTGTTTATAATAATATTGTGCTTCTAGATGCAGTATTTCAGCTTTTACTTGCTCCTGTGTAACGTTTTTCTTATTTGAGTCTGACCACCCTGAATGTGTATCATTTTTACAAAAACAATAAAGCTTGACAAAAAAAACATTTTAAAGATATGGGAGAAATTAAACCATTTCATTTATTTGGTTCCAATATCTCCCCGCCAACCTCTGAGAGTGGCATGAGTTCCAGAAGGTCCGCTTTCTCCAGCCCCAGCAGTGGAGGTATCTCCCTCTCCTGGCTAGGACCTAAGAGCCGCATCAGTTCAGTTACAAGCAGCCGCTGTTCAAGGGTCTCATGAAACTGAGAGAGAGAGAATAAAAAACAAAAAGAGGCAACTATAAAACTTCTCCCACTCCACCTCTTCCATCCTTATGAACCAGTTTTTCACATATTTTCAAAGTCCTCAAATATATCATCCCCCCTCAGATAACTCAGCTGCGAGTGACTTCTGTCAATGTTTCTATTACAAACTCTGATAACACATCCACTCCTTCCCCATAACTACAGTCCATTTCTCTTTTGACAAACCATTTCTCAAAGCTCCTACTTCCCCTAGATCACATCATCAGACAAAGCCACAGTTGGCCTGGTCATTCCTGTAACTGGTAACCAACCCCACCTCATTTCTTTCACCTCACTTTTTTTTGAGACTGAGTTTCGCTCTGTCACCCAGGCTGGAGTGCTGTGGCGCAATCTCGGCTCACTGCAATCTCCGCCTCCCAGGTTCAAGCGATTCTGCTGCCTCAGCCTCCCGAGTAGCTGGGATTACAGGCGTGTGCCACTGCACCTGGTTAATTTTTGTATTTTTAGTAGAGACGGGGTCTTACCATGTTGGCCAGGCTGGTCTCAAACTCTTGACCTCAAGTGATCAGCCTGCCTGGGGCTCCCAAAGTGCTGGGATTACAGGTGTTAGCCACCACGCCCAGCCTTTGCCTCACCTTTTTGTCCTCAGAAGTTACATTTGTGTCTTGTATCTTCACATAGTAGTCCACAAGCAACTCTTGAATGACTCTGTGTAAAATCTCAGACCTCAACCATGTTGTCTTATGCAGTCGAACTTCCTTCCATGCCTAGAAATCCAAAAAATCTCAGGTAGGAACCTCTCTCTCAGGATTTTCCCTTCTTCTTATCTCTTCTCCCAAAGCCCTTACCTGAGCCTGCTCCTTTGCTAGGGTGAGGCTTAAGCCACTCTCATCCACATGCTGTGAGAGATTCAGGAGAAGCTTGCTGAAGTATGGGTTCTGTAACAGGTCCTCTTTACTCAGGTTACAAGGAGGAAGTTGTTTGCTGCACACTTAACATCATGTCCCCACAGGTACAAAAAAACAAAAAAGGTGTGGACTCTTACTTTACATAACTGAGCATAACTTAATACTTCCAAAAAACCCCTAGGATTTTTATAGGAAAGATTGCTAAATCTAATGAGATTTTTTAAAAATCCACAAATAAACAAGGGTAATATTCAAGGTAACAAGCATTTATATTATATACAAGGATATTAAGGGGGAATAAGTAATAAACTAAGATCTTAGGAAACGGAAATGCAGTTGGTACATATTAGACAAATAGAATAAAAATTAAGGGACCGTTAGTAGGAATCACAATACACAAAATGCCTCATTCATCCAAAATTAATAGAGTTCTTGAAGTAGGGGGAAAGAAACACAACACGTGAAGTTCCAACTTTGGATGTGATATGTAGTCGCATAAACAAGACTAACAGAATACACTTAGAGTAAGTTAAACGTTCAACTAACCAATTTTTTTTTTTTCTTTTTGAGACAGGGTCTCACTCTGTCACCCAGGCTGGAGTGCAGTGGCACAATCACAGCTCACTGCAGCCTTAACCTCCCCAGATCAAGCGATCCTTCCACCTCCTGAGGAGCTGAGACTACAAGGCAAACCACGATGACTGGCTAATTTTTTTTTTACAGACAGGGTCTCACTACATTGCCCAGGCTGGTCTTGAACTCTTGGGCTCAAGTGATCCTCCCACCTTGGCATCTCAAAGTGCTGGGATTACAGGTGTGAGTCACCACAGCTGGCCCAAATTCTTTTTTATTTTTTTCTTTTGAGATGGAGTTTTGCTCTTGTTGCCCAGGCTGGAGTGCAATGGCGTGATCTCGGCTCACTGCAATTTCCACCTCCCGGGTTCAAACGATTCTCCTGCCTCAGCCTCCCGAGTAGCTGGGATTACAGGCATGCGCCACCATGCCTGGCTAATATTTTTTGTTTTTTGTTTTTTTTTTGAGACGGAGTCTCACTCTGTCACCCAGGCTGGAGTGCAATGGCACGATCTCGGCTCACTGCAAGCTCCACCTCCCAGATTCACGCCATTCTCCTGCCTTAGCCTCCCAAGTAGCTGGGACTACAGGCACCCGCCACCACGCCCAGCTATTTTTTTTTTTTTTTTTGTATTTTTAGTAGAGGCGGGGTTTCACCTTGTTAGCCAGGATGGTCTCAATCTCCTGACCTCGTGATCTGCCCGCCTCGGCTTCCCAAAGTGCTAGGATTACAGGTGTGAGCCACCGTGCCCAGCCTCTAATTTTTGTATTTTTAGTAGGGACGGGGTTTCTCCATGTTGGTCAGGCTGGTCTCAAACTCCCAACCTCAGGTGATCCGCCCGCCTTGGCCTCCCAAAGTGCTGGGATTACAGGCATGAGCCACCACACCTGGCCAGCTGGCCCAAATACTTATAATTGTCAGTAGAGTTGAGTAACCCATGTAGATACAAAACAGCACAGGCATGAGAAAAAAGTGTAAGAAATTGAGATCCTCTGGTTTTTCCATATGCTCAAGGAGCTTTCTTTCCATTTCTTTTTCCATATGCTCTCTGTTGGGGTCTTTTACCTCTACTTGCCAAAACACCCAAATTTTCATTCTTTGGAACATTATACCCAAAGTCTTTTTGGGAAATAAGAAATCTCTCTTTTTCCCTAAGGTACTGAAGCATCCAATATGGAAATAGTCAAGATATAGAAAATGCAAGCTCTTGAAGGATTCAAGATATAGAAAGGATCTGAGATATGGAAAGAACTCAGGATATAGAAGGATCTGAAATTTTGGAGACTAAGATATGAGAATATTTAAGACACAGGTAGGAAGGACACCTTCAAGGAATTTGCTGGCTACCCTTATTTTTATAATATGCTTGCTAACATCAGCATGGGAGCATCTTGAGTTTTTAGCCTACTACACAAGCAGATATTGAACCAACATTAACAGGAATTAGTGTAGTCTGTTTTCCAATAAGAGAGTGTTCAAGGATCTTCATGTATTCCAGTTTCCTCAGAAACACATGCTTCTGTGAGGAAAACCATACTGGGGAAACTTATAAATCCTTTTTTTTTTTTTTTTTTGGAGTCTTGCTCTGTTGCCCAGGCTGGAGTACAGTGGCACGATCTCAGCTCACTGCAAGCTCCGCCTCCCAGGTTCACACCATTCTCCTGCCTCAGCCTCTGGAGTAGCTGGGACTACAGGTACCCACCACCACGCCCAGCTAATTTTTCGTATTTTTAGTAGAGACAGGGTTTCACCGTGTTAGCCAGGATGGTCTCGATCTCCTGACCTCGTGATCCACCCACCTCAGCCTCCCAAAGTGCTGGGATTACAGGTGTGAGCCAATAAATGCTTTTTACTAGAAAAGGCAAGAACCTGGATAAGACCTCTCTGGATAAATCATCAAACCTTTTGCAAGTGGCTACTCTTACCTTGTTGAAGTATTTCCATCCCTTCTCCAGGTGAGCAGAAATCCCCGGATGCCATTTGATTTTCTTGGGATTCTAATCTGTGGAACCAAGAAGTGAAAGAAAACAAAAAGATGAATAAACAGCTGGCTGCTCCAAGGACACTACCTTATGTTCAAATTTCTGCTGTCCACAAGCTGGAAAGGAACCTCAAGGATGACTTTTACAGAGGGCCTATACCACACATCCTGGGTCCCAAGCTCTTACACAAGCTTTATGGACAAACAGATTTACAAGTGCCAAAACATGTCACATTCTAAGCACACATGTGTTTCCACTTGCTCCAAGCTGTCCAAAAGGAGCATCCTAAAAAGAGAACTTTCCAATTCACTGAGTCTAAACAAGAGGATTCTCCACCACCACCACCATTATGCCAAAGTTAAAACTGAGCTGCAGCTTCCCAGTTATGAGTGAACTGGGGGAAAAGGGAAAAAAATCAAAGTCTACTTTTTCCCCCCAAATAACTCAGCTATCAAATTCCATAATAGTTTTTTTGTGCTTCTTTTTTTGTCTAAGATCTGTTGGTAGTTTTTTTTTTTTTTATCATTAACTCTAGAATCATCCTTCAGGAATGACAAATCATTCCACACTTGAACAACTGGTTTTCACATAACAGCCTAAGAAAAGAGCACCTGGAGGAAACAGCGTGACAAGAAGACTGACAGTGAGGTCAGTGGCAAAAGAGTAATGCAAAGGTGTAATGTGGCTACAACGAGAACGTGAGCTGTGGGTGTTTTGCCAGAACATGGAGTGCGCTGAAAGGAATGACACCAACACAGGGGCAGTAAAGATGGGCACAGTTTGACCTCAGGAGACAAAAATTTTCCCTTGACATTACTTTTCATGTTTTTGCTCTGCCCCTCCTCTCTGCAAGGTATCAAACTCCAAAGGGCAACTGAGCCTCCCAAAGCTGAACAGGCATTGAAGGTTATTATGATTTAACGCTTCATGTTTATAGAACATTTGGTTTACTCGATCGTTTTATGAGTAACATCAAAGTAACTACTCATTTGTTTTCTAACATGGTCTAGAGGGGGACGCAGCTGAGGAGGCAGAATGCTGGGACTTAATTTGCAGCTCGGCCGGCCGTTGCTTCTGAGAACTTAAGGAAAATGCTTTTTTCTGTGCCAAACTTTTCCCACCTGCAAAACTGAGATAACGATTCCTGCCTTGGATGAGACATTAAGAATTAATAACACAATCGACTTGTCAACAAAAGCCACTACTTAGTTAAGTTCAGTGTTTTAACAATTCTGTTTATCGTTGATCTATGACTGCAAATAAAAAGTTTTGCAGGCAAATTTCGCACTTGGAAATGAAGACCAACCCAAATTCCAAAAAGCTAGCTGTTCGTCCCCCCCTAGGGTAAGTGTCCCCTTGCGTTTTTTAGGGTGCCTTTCTTTACCCTTCTTAAAGGTTACAGGGCGTGAACGGCAATCAGGCTCGATTCTCCACCCTCTGCACTCAGACGTGTTAAAACGCTGCTACAGGGACCCAAGCATTTAAATGTTCTGACTCAGGCGTCTTTTAAATTCTTAGAGCTGTCTTTACACGCTGCACTGAACGTTAAATTGATTTTACAGGTTATTTTCACAAGATATGACCCTTACAGGGCCCGAGATGAATCAAAATGCAGAACGGGCTCTCCGGCGCCTACTTCCCTTCTGTCTGGGCGGCCAAGGATTCCCAAGAGCGACGACGGTCTCCGGCCACTGGCCGGAATGACTCTCCCAGAGCTCCTCTTCCCCGAAGCTCCGCCCGCCGACCCTCTAAAGCAAACCTGCACACCCTGGGGCAGCTGAAGCTCTCAAGGCGGTGCCGAGAACCTCGGCTGGGGCGGGCTGGCCAGCAGCGTCTACACCCCAGAACCCGCCCGCGCCGGGGCTCCGGAACCTCTCGTTCGGGCCGGGCGCAGGGGCTGGGGGAAGCGAGGCCCGGAAAGACCAAGCTGAAAGGCCCGGGAAGGGGAAGGAGCCGAAAGTGCACTAGAGGCCGCGACGAAGGAGGTGGAGGCGGGGCCACACTCGAGGCGGGAACGGCAGGCCCCGCCCCTCGACGGGTGCGCGCTGGGTTCCCAACGCCCTGGGTTCGCATGCTCGGGTGGTGGAACCCGGACTGGGAAACAGGATGGTCTCGGAAAGGCTTTTTTGCCCCTTCTCATTAGTGCCTCCCCAGTGAAGGGCAGATGCTGAGAAAATGGTGGTAATTGCTAACATTTATTGAGGGCCTACGATGAGTCAGGCACTACGCCAAGCATTTTGCTTGCCTTGCCTCGTTTTTTTTTTGAGACGGAGTCTCGCTCTGTCGCCCAGGCTGGGGTGCAGTGGCGCAATATCGGCTCGCTGCAAGCTCCGCCTCCCGGGTTCAAGCAATTCTCTGCCTCAGCCTCACGAGTAGCTGGGATTACAGGTGCCCGCCACCACGCCCGGCTAATTGTTGTATTTTTAGTAGAGACGGGGTTTCACCGTGTTAGCCAGGATGATCTGGATCTCCTGACCTCGTGATCCACCCGCCTCGGCCTCCCAAAGTGCTGGGATTACAGGCGTGAGCTACCGCCCTCGGCCAGGCCTCGTTTAGTTCTTAAAGCGTCCTGTGAGAAAGTCACCATTATACTCATTTTACAGAGGGGGAGAACTGAGGCACAAAGGGTTAAGTTCGAGGTCGCCATTTGGGGGGTCTAAACCTGTCCCAATAGCTCTCGGAAGGAACCTTCCCAGACCTGCCACCCAAGCCGCGTCCTGCGAGTCTCCTCACTAAGGCCTGGCTCTGAGGCGCTGCCGCCCAGCCCAGCCCAGCCCAGCCCAGCCCATGCCGGGCACCATACAGTGCTTCCTCAGGGTCACCTTCCTCTCGAATTCCCACCACAGACTCCCTATTAGCGCGCATTCCTCATTCGCCTGTTTTGTTTGTTTGTTTGTTTGTTTTCTTGGGGGTACGGAGTTTCGCACTTGTTGCCCAGGCTGGAGCGCAGTGGCACGATCTCGGCTCACCGCAACCTCCACCTCCCAGGTTCAAGCGATTCTCCTGCCCTAGCCTCCTGAGTAGCTGGGATTACCCGCACGAGCCACCACGCCTGGCTAATTTTTATATTTTTAGTAGAGACAGAGTTTCACAATATTGGCCAGGATGGTCTCGCACTCCTGACCTCAAGCAATCTGCCCGGCCAAATATCTTTCACCTGTCTTAATCTTTTTTTTTTTTTTTTTCCAGACGGAGTCTTGCTCTGTTGCCAGGCTGGAGTGCAGTGGCGCGATCTCTGCAACCTTCACCTCCCGGGTTCAAGCGATTCTCCTGCCTCAGCCTCCTGAGTAGCTGGGACTACAGGCGGGCGCCACCACGCCCAGGTAATTTTTTTTGTATTTTTAGTAGAGACGGGGTTTCACCACGTTGGCCAGGATGGTCTCAGTCTCCTGACCTCGTGATCCGCCCGCCTCGGCCTCCCAAAGTGCTGGGATTACAGGCATGAGCCACCGCGCCCGGCCCACCTGTCTTAACCTTAAACCCAACCCTCACTCCCACCCACACCTTCGGTGAATTATTTCAAAAATATAAATTTAAAAAAATAAAGAGCTGGGCATGGTGGCTCACGCCTGTAATCCCAGCACTTTGGGAGGCTGAGGCGGGCGGATCACGTGAAGTCAGGAGTTTGAGACCAGGCTGGCCAACCTGGTGAGACCCCCGTCTCTACTAAAAATACAAAAAATTAGCTCCAGAGGCTGAGGCAGGAGAATCGCTTGAACCCAGGAGGCGGAGGTTGCAGTGACCTGAGATCGTGCCACTGCACTCCAGCCTGGGCAACAGAGTGAGACTCGGTCTCGAAAAAAATTAAAAATAAATAAAAATTAAAAATAAAGAAAATGTTTAGGCGGGGTGCAGTGGCTCATGCCTGACCCAGCACTTTGGGAGGCCGAGGCAGGAGGATCACTTGAGCCCAGGAGTTCGAGACCAGCCTGGGCCACATGGCGAGACGATCCCCATCTCTACAAAAAAAAAATACAAAAAGAAAATATGCAATACTAAGTAAACTGTGCCAAGTATATCACATCTTTTACATTAGATAAGGTGATAGCCTGGAGTGATAGGAAAGGAATCTCCGTTAGGTGTGCTGAGAGATGGGGAGTTTCGCCTTTTCCTTCAGTACCAGCTACAGAATTCTATTAATATGCATAGAGGAATGGTGTGGTCCAGTGAAGAAATTTTATATTCTTGGTCAGCTCATCAGCTGCCACCTTTCATGCTTAATATTGAACTGCTGTCATTTTCTGAAGCTTTTAAAAATCATTTATGCTTCCTCAGCTCTGAAGCACAGCAAAGTTAAATATCAGGCATAATGTCCATAGCAAACGGCACTTGGAACAAAATAGCAAGTATGCTTTGGTGACTCAGAGCTGATCGGAAATCTACTGAAATTTTGTCTCTCAGATTTGTCAAGTTCTCTAATATGGTACTACGAAGCTTTGGCTAAAGTACTTTGGGGAATGAGGGGGTGAAGGATGGAGCAAGCTGTCTTCAGGTAGGAGGACAGAGGGGATAGTGATGCAAAGAAGCCTTGAATTGGATCAGACCTTCATGTGCAATTATCTGTTCCATCTCTGTCTCTACAAGTTGTGTGACCTTGGGCTTCAGGGTCCTTATCTGTCAAAAGGAGGAAATAACTTATTTCTAGCTCCTCCAATCTCATAGTGTCGATGTAATGATCAAATGAGATAATGGCTGAGAAAGTGCATTGGAAAGACTAAAAGTGAGGTGTTTTAAATTGACACTTATTATGCACCTATTAAGTGCCTTGGGAGAGACACAAAGCTAAATATGGCCCAGTCCTTGCCCCAAAGATGTTCATAATCTAAAAGATAAGACGTATGCACATGAAAAGCAAATAATACAAGGCAGCAAACTGGTGTCAAAAGAGCAGTTTAGATTATAAATACTAGAGAAACATGAAGAAGGTACAGAATTCTTTCTGCAGAAATAGATAGGATAGAATAGATGAAATAAATCTTACTTTCATTGGGCCTGAAAGGATAGAGAAAATTTGGATCATTTAGAATGAAGGAAACATCCCAGCAAATGGAAGCAGAGACAAGGGGAGTATAAACTGCATTCTAGGTCCAAGAGGAGACAGGACCAACCGAAGTGAAGGATTTTATAGGCCAGCTCTACGTAAGACTGGAAAGTTAAGCCTATAGTCCATCCTGGCAGTTAAAAATGCAGCAAAGGCCGGGTGCGGTGGCTCAAGCCTGTAATCCCAGCACTTTGGGAGGCCGAGGCAGGCAGATCACGAGGTCAGGAAATCAAGACCATCTTGGCTAACACGGTGAAACCCCGTCTCTACTAAAAATACAAAAAATCAGCTGGGCGTGGTGGCGGGTGCCTGTAATCCCAGCTACTCAGGAGGCTAAGCCAGGAGAATGGCGTCAACCCAGGAGGCGGAGCTTGCAGTGAGCGGAGATTGCACCACTGCACTCCAGCCTGGGCGACAGAGAGAGACTCCATCTCAAAAAAAAAAAAAAAAAAAAAAAGAGTGCAGTGAAGTGCTGGGAAAAAAAGTTTATAATCAGACACCATCCGGTGTCCTTGAACAAGAAAGAATTGTAAGAAAGGACCTAGAATTCATTCATATTCTCTCTCTCTCTCTCCCTCTGTCCTTCTCTTTCCCTCTTTTTTGCCAGAATTTTAAAAAACAGCTTCATTGAGGTATTTTGGCACACAGTATTTAAAGTGTACAATTCAATACATTTTGATATAACTATATATGTGTGAAACCATCACCAAGATCAAGATAGTGAACATATGTATCACACTCTAAAAGTTTACCTGTGCCCGTACGTAATTCTTTTCTCTAGCTTCTCCCTGCCCTACTCAACCATCAACTCTGTTTTCTGTCACTATAGAATAGTTTGGACTTTCTAGAATCTTATGTAAATTGAATCAAATAAAGATGTACTCTCTATGTTGGGGTCTCACTATGTTGCCCAGGCTGGTCTCGAACTCTTGGGCTCCAGTGATCCTCCCACCTTGGTCTCCCAAAGTGCTGGGATTACAGGCATGAGCTACCACGCCCGACCAATTCATTTTTAAGTTAATGTCATTTTATTGCTGATAAATATGAAATCCTATTTAAAACCTTAATTTGGGCCGGGTGCGGTGGCTCACGCCTGTAATCCCAGCACTTTGGGAGGCCGAGGTGGGCGGATCACGAGGTCAGCAGTTCGAGACCAGCCTGACCAACATGGTGAAACTCTGTCTCTACTAAAAATACAAAAATTAGCCGGGAGTGGTGGCAGGTGCCCTGTAATCCCAGCTACTCAGGAGACTGAGGCAAGAGAATCGCTTGGACCTGGGAGGCAGAGGTTGCAGTGAGCCGAGATCGTGCCATTGCACTCCAGCCTGGGCAACAGAGCAAGACTCTGTCTCAAAAAAACAAAAACAAAAAACAAAAACAAAACCTTAATTTGTTTGGGTTTATATTTAAGGAGGTGCTTCTAACAGCCCCAGGGTACCTATCTCCATACTTAATTGTTGGTTCCGAGTTCCAGTGAGGCACTTATTTGTTGAAAAACGAATTTTCGGCCACAACCACACTACAAATACCTTACATCGCTTTGTTTATTCCATGGAATGCTTGGCTTTTATAGGCCTGTCCTTTCATTAGTGTTGTTCATCTCACCTTCTGTTATGCCATATGCAAAATACAATCATTCACTTCTTAAATGCTCTTTAATGATAAAGCCAAGAACATACTCAAGTATTCCTGAGCTAGACTCCTGTAAGGGTGGGAGGTCAGGGTGTAGGAAGATAAATTAGACATAACTCCTGCCCTCAATCCAACTCTACCGTTTCAGACATTGCTGTTGACCTGGTCTTCTAAAAACTATTCATGTATGTTTTTAATTTAGTGATAAATGTAAATGAGAGTCTGAGAAAAAGTCTACATAACCTTTCAGACTTGGACATTCTTTTGCTGCATTGTTTAGAATTGCAGAGAATGGAGATTTGTAAGAACATTGCAGGCACTTTGCCTCCCACACTAAGGCCGGGAAACAAAAATTCCAGAGAGAAATTCCAGGTGAGTATTTAGTACTGTGAGTACTAGTACTGAGTATTTTAGTACTAGTATTTAGTATTTAGTACTGTGAGTACTGTGAGTATTTATGATACCAATAGAAATCTTTGAGTAGAATATGTTCTCACTAAAAATATGGGCTTCAATAACCAGTTGCAAAGCTAAGACATTAAAATAGCATTGGAACTTGGAATCACTGTTGTTGTTTTTTTTTGGAGACAGGGTGTCTCTCTGTCTCGCAGAGGTATGATCACAGCTCACTGCAGCCTTGACCTCCCAGGCTCGGGTGATCCTCCCACCTCAGCCTCCTAAGTAGCTGGAATTCCAGGCACATGCCACCAAGACCAGTTACTTTTTTGTCTTTAGTAGAGACAGTATCTTGCTATGTTTTCCAGGCTGGTCTTGAACTCCTGGGCTCAAGTGATCTACTTGCCTTGGCCTCCTAAAGTGTTGGGATTACGCGTATGAGCCACCGTGACTGGCTGGAATCATATTTAACTGATCAATAATTTAGAAAAACTTGAAAAATAAGCCATATCACTTTGAAAGTATTTGAATACATTCTGATATTATATGGACTGAGAAACTAGTTTCAGAAATAAAAAATTTTACATGCAGTCAAGAGATTTTAGATTTATTTTCAAGATTGTTCACTGGAAAATGAAGGTATTCAGAGCTACAACTATTGATGATTAAGCTAGAAAATTTCATGCCTACTGTAAGCACATAATTTAAGAAGAAAACAAGTGGATAAAAAAATATGTAATCAACCTATGACATCAAATGAAAATTTTAGAACAAATGTTCATAATGTGCCATTTTTTCAATTGCTTAACACCTCCAAGGGGATTTCAAAGCTAGGCCCTTGAGGCTTCAAGGGTTGCCTGTCTGTTCACAGAAATTTCTGTTATACAAACTAGAATGAGCCTGGTTTTACTTTGAGACACTATTGTGAACTAGTATATGAAGTAGGCCTGATAGAAAATTTTAGAGCTCAAAGAAAAGCTAAGAAATTTGGCTCAAAAATGGGACAGATTGAAACCATTTTTAAAGGAATATGAGACTATAAAGGAAACTGATTCAGGAGGGGAAGACCAGTATCATTTTGAAAAGCTAGACATGAAGCACAAGGTGGGCAATTCTTGTTATAATGATTGAGTATGCTGCTATAACTTGAAAGCGTGTGCCAGGGTGATAAAAGTATTTCCCTGGATTTTAATTAATTAATTTAGAGACAGGGTCTCACTGTCACCCAGGCTGAAGTGCAGTGGCACCGGTTTCAGTCACCCAGGCTGCAGTGCATGGGTCACTGCAGCCTCAAACTCCTTAGCTCAAGGGATCCTCCCTTCTCAGCCTCCCAAGTAGCTGGGACTACAGGCATGCACCACCATGCCCCAGTAGTTTTTTAAATTTTTTGTAGAGACAGGGTCTCACTATGTTGCTGGGCTGGTCTCGAACTTCTGGCCTCAAGCCATCTTCTTGAGCCTCAGCCTCCCGAAGTCCTGGCACTACAGACATGAGCCACTGCATCCAGCTTTCCTTGGATTTTTGTTTGTTTGTTTGTTTTTTGAGACAGAGTCTCGCTCTGTCGCCCAGGCTGGAGTGCAGTGGTGCGATTTCGGCTCACTGCAAGCTCCGCCTCCCAGGTTCACACCATTCTCCTGCCTCAGCCTCCTGAGTAGCTGGGACTACAGGCACCCGCCACCACACCCGGCTAATTTTTTGTATTTTTTAGTAGATACGGGGTTTCACCGTGTTAGCCAGGATGGTATCAATCTCCTGACCTCGTGATCCGCCCTCCTTGGCCTCTCAAAGTGCTGGGATTACAGGTGTGAGCCACCATGCCTGGCCTCCTTGGATTTTAAGCTGGTGGTGACACTGTTTTATACCAAGTTGCACATGAAAGAGATATTCTCCTTTAAAAATTATATCAGAACCAGTGGGAGAAATAGAACAACTAAAGGACATTTGGAGTTTCATGCTTGGGAAGAACACACATTGTGAATTTTGAAACGCCTCCTATGATTAAGGTATTATGGCAAAAAAAGCAAAACCTTGAGAAAGTTAGCAACTTAGTAGACTTTCTATATTCCACTTATCGAAGGGAAATTTTGCTCAGTTAATTTGCAGTATGCAGCCATAGTAGCCAAGTAGATTATTCCAGCAGGGTTTCCCATGACTGAATTGCCTTATAAAAAAACCCAGGCACAGATAATTCTGAAATGGATGCATTTCTTGGGCAGCATTTCAAAACTAATTTATTGCTTTCTTCAAATGATTAATAATGGAAGGTTTGATGGGGAGGGAGCCCATCAGAATCATACAAATCATGGGATACTGACCCAAAAGTCTACAGGAGCCAGGAGGGTAAATAATGTGTGAAGGGTGCAGACTTCAGAGTGGTGGAGACTGACAAAGAAGAGACTACACCAAACAAAGGAGCAGCCATCATTCAGTCCCAGTGGACAACTGGACCTAATGCCGTAGGGTACAGAGTGATGATGGGTCCAGAGTCATGACAGAATGATTGCTGCCATGTGGGAATGGAAGCTCAGGGATGACAGATCTTCTGATTATTAAAAAAACAAACAAACAAACAAAACCTTAGAAATCCAGCTCTTCATATAAAATATCCAGATTTTTATGTGAAATTTCTGTTATAAATGTTGGCAACCAGTTTTTTTTTTTTTTATTTTATTTATTTATTTATTTATTTATTTTGAGACAGAGTTTCGCTCTGTCGCCCAGGCTGGAGTGCAGTGGCGCAATCTCGGCTCACTGCAACCTCAGCTTCCGGGGTTCAAGTAATTCTCCTGCCTCAGCCTCCCAAGTAGCTGGGGTTACAAGCTTATACCACCATGCCCAGCTAATTTTTGTTTTTTAGTAGAGACGGGGTTTCACCATGTTGGCCAGGCTGGTTTCGAACTCCTGACTTCAAGTGATCTACCTGCCTCAGCCTCCCAAAGGGCTGGGATTACAGGCGTGAGCCACCACGGCCAGTCCTTTTTTTTTTTTAAGACCGAGTTTCGCTCTTGTTGCCCAGGCTGGAGTGCAATGGCATGATCTCAGCTCACCACAACCTCCACCTCCCAGGTTCAAGTGATTCTCCTGCCTCAGCCTCCCGAGTAGCTGGGATTACAGGCATGCGCCACCACGCCCGGCTAATTTTGTATTTTTAGTGGAGACACGGTTTCTCCATGTTGGTCAGGCTGGTCTCGAACTCTCAACCTTAGGTGATCCACCTGCCTCGGCCTCCCAAAGTGCTGGGATTACAGGCGTGAGCCACCATGGCTGGCCCACGCCCAGCCTTTTTAAAATTTTTGAATAGAGATGGGGTCTTGCTATGTTGATCAGGCTGGCCTCAAGCAATCCTCCCATCTCCACCTCCCAAAGTGCTGGGATTACAAGCGTGAGGCACCATGCCTGGCCTTTTGTTTCTAATAATTACTTTGCAATTGTTGACATGTTGCTTGTAATCTTTTCAAGTCATTTTATGCATTCATTTGTCTCCCTGGCTAGACTGTGACCTCCTCAAGGACAGGGACTCTCAGTATATTTCCTTTGCTTCTCCTAATGTGTTTTTTTTTTTTTTTTTTTTTTTGAGACGGAGTCTCACTTTGTCACCCAGGCTGGAGTGCAGTGGGACCATGCTGGCTCACGGCAACCTCCGTCTCCTGGGTTCAAGCAATTCTCCTGCCTCAGCCTCCTGAGTAGCTGGGATTACAGGCGCCCACTACCACACCCGGCTAATTTTTTATATTTTTAGTAGAGATGGGATTTCACCATGTTGACCAGGCTGGTCTCAAACTCCTGACCTCAGGTGATCCACCCGCCTTGGCCTCCCAAAGTCCAAAGTGCTGGGATTACAGGCGTGAGCCACCATGCCCTGCCTCCTTTTTTTTTTTTTTTTTTTTAGACAGAGTCTTACTCTGTCACCAAGGCTGGAGTGTGGTGGCGCAATCTCAGCTCACTGCAACCTCTGTCTCCTGGACTCAAGTGATTCTCGTGCCTCAGCCTCCAGAGTAGCTGGGACTACACGAATGAGCCACCACACCCAGCTAATTTTTGTATTTTTATTAGAGACAGGGGTTTCACCATGTTGGCCAGGCCAGTCTCAAACTCCTGACCTCAAATGATCCAGTCACCTCGGCCTCCCAAAGTGCTGAGATTACAGGCGTGAGCTACTGCACCCACCCTGTTTCTCCTAGTGTGCTTTTAAAGGTACTTTGGCTACTGCTAGTCCTAATGAACAAAAAAAAACATCGGTAAGAACCAGACGTTTTCATTATTGCTGCTTGTGTTCCCCGGCTTTCCCACTAAAAGTTTCCCTAATTCTCTATCATAATGAAGTGCTTATCTCATTTACAATACGTAAACCTTTACAGTTTACTTGTGCTGTGGGAATCCCTATGAAAGGGGGTGGAAGAAGGGAGGAAGGCAAACGGCCCTTTATTGGTCTTCAAAAGTTGGAAAGTCATTATCCAGCTGTGTGACCTTGGGAAAGTGACATCATCACTCAGTTTCTATTCTTCATTCAGTAAAATGAGGTGACTGGGTTATCTCGAAAATCACATCCCACTTGGTTTGAACCGTCTAAGCCTGACTGGTATCTTTTATTAACCATCGCTCCCTGCTTGGATGGTAACCTGGTTCCCTTCCCGTGGATTAGCACTATGCTTTCCAAGTAAGGTCAATTGTAGGTGAAATGACACCCACAGTAAACAGAATTTGTCTCTGATGACTCTCCTATCATCACAGTTATTCTGGTCTAATCTATATGTCCCAGTAAAGATTTGCTCATGTTTTCAAGGTAAAACTTCAGTCCTTCACAACCAGTGCCAAGTGTGGATATTCCAGAGGCCCCTATAGAAGCAAGAAACCCATTCTTAGGTATTCCTCACTGTAAGGTAGGAGAGGGCAGAGAGAACTGAGATTGGTTAGACTCTTTTCATGGAACTTTACCATAAGGGCTCTGAATGACCCCAGACCAACTCTGGGGGCATGGGAACTTCTACATCACAAAACTAAATAACGCCTTAGCTTACCTGTTTCTTCTAATCTTATTTCAGTCCTTTGGTTCTTTTCTGTTTTTTTTTGTTTGTTTGTTTTTTGACACAGGGGTCTCACTCTGTTGCCCAGGCTGGAGTGCAGAGGCACCATCATGGCTCAGTACAGCCTCAACCTCCCAGGCTCAAGTGACCCTCCCACCTCAGCCTCCAGAGCAGCTGGAACTACAGACATACGACACCACTCCTGGCTAACTTTTTTATTTTTGTAGAGTCAGGGTCCCACTATGTGGCCCAGGCTGGTGTTGAACTCCTGGACTCAAGCGATCCTCCCACCTCAGCCTTCCAAAGTGCTGGGATTACAGGCATGAGCCACTGTGCCTGGCCATCCTTTTCCTTTTTTTTGAGATGGAGTCTCACTCTGTCACCCAGGCTGGAATGCAGTGGTGTGATCTCGGATCACTGCAAGCTCCGCCTCCTGGGTTCACGCCATTCTCCTGCCTCAGCCTCCAGAGTAGCTGGGACTACAGGCACCCGCCACCACACCCAACTAATTTTTTGTATTTTTAGTAGAGATGGGGTTTTCACCGTGTTAGCCAGGATGGTCTCGATCTCCTGACCTCGTGATCTGCCCGCCTCAGCCTCCCAAAGTGCTGGGATTACAGGCCTGAGCCACCGCACGTGGTCCCCCTTTTTTTTGAGACAGAGTCTTGCTCTGTCGCCCAGGCTGGAGTGCAGTGGCCTGATCTTGGCTCACTGCAAGCTCTACCTCCCGGGTTCAAGCGATTCACCTGCCTCAGCCTCCCGAGTAACTGGGACTACAGGTGCCCGCCACCACGCCCAGCTAATTGTTGTATTTTTAGTAGAGATGGCATTTCACCATGTTGGCCAGGCTGGTCTCGAACTCCTGACCTCAGGTGATCTGCTGGCCTCGGCCTCCCAAAGTGCTGGGATTACAGGCGTGAGCCACTGCACCCGGCCCCTTTTCCTCTTTTTATTCCCTTCTTTATAGGTACAGTCTGAAGGTTCTCATCCAGCTGGCTTTATGTGCTTGGAAGTAGGTCTTTCTCTACATCCTCCTTGACTGAGGACAGTCTCCAGCCTGATTATAAATGGCATCTTACCATTTCCCTGGTCCTGAGAGAGCTCCAAGTGGTGGAGGGGAAGATACTCTCTAAGGAGTAAGGCAGAGAGAAAACCATCACCAGATTTATTTATTTTTTTTATTTTTTTTATTTTTTGAGATGGAGTCTTGCTCTGTTGCCCAGGCTGGAGTGCAGTGGCACGATCTTGGCTCACTGCAAGCTCCGCCTCCCGGGTTCATGCCATTCTCCAGCCTCTGCCTCCCGAGTAGCTGGGACCACAGGCACTCACCACCACGCCCGGCTAATTTTTTTGTATTTTTTAGTAGAGACAGGGTTTCACCGTGTTAGCCAGGATGGTCTTGATCTTCTGACCTCATGATCCACCCACCTCGGTCTCCCAAAGTGCTGGGATTACAGGTGTGAGCCACTGCGCCCGGCTTTTTTTTTTTTTTTTCTTTGAGACGGAGTCTCGCTCTGTCGCCCAGGCTGGAGTGCAGTGGCATGATCTCGGCTCACCGCAAGCTTCACCTCCCAGGTTCACGCCATTCTCCTGCCTCAGCCTCCCGAGTAGCTGGGATTACAGGCTCCCACTACCACGCCTGACTAATTTTTTGTGTTTTTAGTAGAGATAGCGTTTCACCATGTTGGCCAGGCTGGTCTCAAACTCCTGACCTCAGGTGTTCTACCTGCCTCAGCCTCCCAAAGTGCTGGGATTACAGATGTGAGCCACCGCGCCCGGCCACCAGCTTTATTTTTGATAACCCATTCAGGCCTGTGGTGAACAGGGCTGGCCAGAGCAAAGACTGAAGTCTGCAGTCAAAGCCTAACCCTTGTCCTGTGACTGTCATCTATAAAGACAGACTTGGTCCATAATTCCTCCATTTTCCCCCTTTCTGCATCTCAGCACTAGTAGTTGTTGATTAAATCAGGTGGCAAGTTGGCCAAACAAGCTCCACCTTTTGATGTATATTTGGCAGCACCTCACGAATCTTTCATCATCAACTGTAAATACTAAAAAACTGTAAATACTAAACAGAAATATTGAGGAGGATTAGTCTCCCAGCAAATAGGAAGAAGGGAAGCTCTTGTGATGCAGGGTACACCTGGGAGCCTGCCAGTGATGGTGCTGGGGTGGCTAGGACTGCTCTTTTTTCATGGCCTGCCCTTATCAGCTGTTATCATTTATTTTTCCTCAGGAAGAAGTAGCCTCAGTGGCAAGAACAGAGTCTTGGGGAGCCCCAAGGCTAGGACAATCAGCACAGACCTAGAAAGGAATGAGTCGGATCAGGAACAGAAGAGGCCAAAATCAGAGTAAGAAACAAAGGGTCAGGAGCTGGGCACAGAAGCTCATGCTTGTAATCCCAGTGACTTAGGAGGCCAAAGTGGGAGATCACTTGAGGCCAGAAATTCAAGACCAGCCTGGGCAACATAGTGAGATGCTGTCTCTAAAAAAAAATTTTTTAAACTTAGCCAGTCATGGTTGTGCACACCTGTAGTCCCAGCTACTTGGGAGGCTGAGGCGGGAGAATCGCTTGAACCCGGGAGGCAGAGATTGCAGTGAGCCATAATTGTGCCACTGCACTCCAGCCTGGGTGACAGAGTGAGACTCCCAACTCTTTTTTTTTTTTTTTTTTTTTGAGATGGAGGCTTGCTCTGTTGCCGAGGCTGGAGTGCACTGGCATGATCTCAGCTCACTGCAACCTCTGCCTCTCGGGTTCACGCCATTCTCCTGCCTCAGCCTCCCGAGTAGCTGGGACTACAGGAGCCCACCACCACGCCTGGCTAATTTTTTGTACTTTTAGTAGAGACGGGGTTTCACCGTGTTAGCCAGGATGGTCTCAATCTCCTGACCTCGTGATCTGCCTGCCACGGCCTCCCAAAGTACTGGGATTACAGGTGTGAGCCACCGCACCTGGCCTTTTTTTTTCTTTTTGAGATGGAGTCTTGCTCTGTTGCCCAGGCTGGAGTGCAGTGGCGCGATGGCTAACTGCAATCTCCGCCTCCCGGGTTCAAGCGATTCTCCTGCCTCAGCCTCCCAAGTAGCTGGGACTACAGGTGCACCCCACCATGCCTGGCTAATTTTTTTATTGTTAGTAGAGACGAGGTTTCATCATGTTGGCCAGGATGGTCTTGATCTCCTGACCTCATGATCCTCCCACCTCAGCCTCCCAAAGTGCTGGGATTACAGGGGTGAGCCACTGTGCCTGGGCAAGACTCCCAACTCTTAAAAAAAAAAAAAAAAAAAAGAGGCAGGGCTCAGTGGCTGACAACTGTAATCCCAGCACTTTGGGAGGCCAAGGCAGGCGGATTACCTGAGGTCAGGAGTTTGAGATCACCCTGGCCAACATGGCAAAACCCTGTCTCTACTAAAAATACAAAAATTAGCCAGGTGTGGTGGCGCCGGCCTATAATCCCAGCTACTCAGGAGGCTGAGGCAGGAGAATCACTTGAACCCAGGAGACGGAGGTTGCAGTGAGCTGAGATTGCACCATTGCACTTCAGCCTGGGCAAGAGAGCGAGATTCTGTCAAAAAAAAAAACCCTGAGAGCCGGGCACAGTGGCTCATGCCTGTAATCCCAGCACTTTGGGAGGCCGAGACAGGCAGATCACAAGGTCAGGAGATCGAGACCAGCCTGGCTAACACAGTGAAACCCCGTCTCTACTAAAAATACAAAAATTAGCCGGGTGTGGTGGCGGGCGCCTGTAGTCCCAGCTACTTGGGAGGCTGAGGCAGGAGAATGGTGTGAATCCGGGAGGCGGAGCTTGCAGTGAGCCGAGATAGCGCCACTGCACTCCAGCCTGGGCGACAGAGTGAGACTCTGTCTCAAAAAAAAAAAAAAAAAAAAAAATATCCCTGAGGGGATGGATGTAAAGTTACACAAGCTTGTCTGGATTTCCCATCATAGGGCCTTTGTATTCACTTATTTAATAATAGTTCAGAAGAAGCTATCTCAGCTGTACAAGAAGTAATTCAGTTTCAGAACATTTCTCACTCCAACAAGGTGCATTTTCCCCTCTGGCGCTCAGTTGTATAAATCTGACCTCTTTCCCTCTCACTCAGAGATCTCTTTTATGTATTTCCCAGGTTGGCTGGCATAGTCACCTTAGAATAGCCCCCAAATGTGGAAATTCTGTTGTCAGGAGTCATCATTTCCAGTAAGAAACTCACTGAGTGACAGAAAATGAAGACTAAAGATCAAAGATTACTAAATTAATTTGCCTAAAACCAATTCACCTAAAACCAATTAGTCTAAAATAAATATTTATCAAATCTGCAGCATTTCAAAAGGATTTAGCAGATTCACCCTTTTAGTTATTACTGTTGTCTGTATAACTTTTCATTGTAAGTCAACTGAATATGCCTCATGCCTATTCATTTGTTTAAGATATACTGGCCTTTTTAACAGTAGGAATGTAGAAGTTAGACCAAAGCATCAAAATCACATTGAACTCCATTATATTTTTCAAGGCATTTAATTTGTAAAGGAATATTGGATTAAGAAACAAAAAAATGATACACAAAATGTCTGTACCAATTGTATTTATTGCTAGAAACTTTAAACTTTTTAAAAAAGTTTTTGAATGGTAGATAACATAGAAAAAGACATCCATAAAGGTAGGAAGCAATCTCATCATTTACAAAGTGCTGCAAATTTGATAAATTTATGTTGCTGATAATAGCTCAGAAGTACTCTTGGATGAATAGATATAAATCCTTGAAATATCCAAAGCATGACAAAAAAGAATAGGACACCTAAATGGATATAAACACACCAAAATAGGAATTGAGCTTTTGGCAAATTAGTCATTAAGTCATTAACTTTAAGCAAACAAGTTTTCAGTAAATTGGTTTTAAGAGATCTAGCTTTAGGTGAACTAGTTTCAAGCAAACTGACTAGTATCAAATCAGTGTTTTGCTCCCTCCAGTTCCCCCCAACTCTAGTTTTGGGATTGTGATGGATGCAATCCGGGACCCCTCTGAGAGGTGGCAAGTGAGCTTCTACTAGGAAACCAAGTGTACAAGTGACCTGAGAAGAGAGTAAGAAAGAGTGAGAGAGAGACAGAGAGACAAGAGAGAGAGTGTGTGTGTGCATGAACACACCCACACATGCATACACTGGGCTATATGGCTCAGTGCACCTAAACTTGGGAATGTGGCTAAGCTGAAGCTTCCTAGACATCCCCCCAACAAGCTCCACACCCACAGAGATCTGCTCATTACCTCCCCCAGCCAAGGAGAAGAGCAACCACGTACAATCACCTACCTAGCCTCCCCAGACCCATGTAAGTTCCTGAGAAACAGGGAATACAGGCAGCAACCCCACTCAGAGCTGGTCCCCATTCTCAGACAGATAAGGAGCTCTCCTAGTCCTTAGAAGAAGGCCAAGAAATAACTCATTAATGAGGTCCAGAGTTTCTACCTCTTCATCCAGATATAGGTGCGGGACCCCATATCTGACACCATGTGTCACAAAAAGTGAGGAGCTTAAATTTGGTTGCCTAGCAGGAACTCACCACCCTAGACTTGCTACCTCTCAGGGACATCCCACACTGCATCAACCACAACCCCAAAACTCTGGGGTTTGGGGGAGCTGGAGGGAGAATTACACTTTGATTTGGTTCTAGTCAGTTTAGCTGAAACTAATTGATTTAAAGCTAGGTCCTCTACTCCTGGAATCCAGGACCAGAACATTGCGTGACTCATGCATAATCATACACTAGGCCAGACACAGTGGCTTACGCCTATAATCCCAGCACTTTGGGAGGCCAAGGTGGGAGGATCATTCGAGCCCAGGAGTTCAAGACTAGCCTGGGCAACATGGTGAGATCCCATCTCTAAAACAAACAAAATATATATACTGAAGATACAGAATCAGATGTTCAGAAAGTCCTGGAACCCTCCTGTGTGTGCCTAAGCTCAGACTGCACACATGGGAAAAAGGCCAGTCGCCCCCACCCTGGTAAATATAAGGTTTCTCTTCCACAATCCATTTGGAATATCATGATCTTTGGGTCTCCGGCCCTTGGGGTCCTCCCCAGAGGACTCTTCTGCCAGGCCTGCAGAGTGCATTCTTTGCCTTGGCTGGCCTCAGAGGGGCCCACTGGCCACAGCAGTTTGTCTGCAGGGTGACAGCAGCAGCAGTGATTGCAGCTCAGATATAGTTGGCAGGGGGTTGTCGGGCATTGAGCCGCTGCATGTGGCAACCATGGCAGAGCAAGTGCCCATCCAGAGGGAAACAGCAGCAGCCTTCCTCATCACTCAGCTGCATCCGGCAGTCCTAGGGAAGAAGGCACCTAGTTCACCTCAGCCTAGGCACCTTGGACACTGAGGGTATCTTAGGAGTCTGCCCTGCTCAACACCTGACTCCTAATAACTGGAAGAAAGGGATGGGGTGGGAAGGGAAGGATGGAAGGGATGGAAGAGCAATCTGAGAAAATACTAATACCTCAGCTGGACACCAGGTGTCACTGCTGCAGCAGAAATAATGACACAAGCCTGTCTTTCAAGAAGTTTGACCAGAGTCCCTAGTCTTAGAAAGTCCTGACTCTGGGAGAGTCAGATTCAGAAAGGACTAAGCTACTTGGACCAGAGAGAGTGGCTGGAGGACAAAAAAGAGACTGAAGATAGGTCACAATATCTTTCTGGTTTCCCATGCCCTACACCTCTCCCATAGATGTCTGGTTGTTGCAGGACTTGACTCCTCCCCTCTCCCCATTTCCACTTCTTCTCCAGCACCGCTGAACCCCAACACTCACCTCACAGTGGTAGCACTCAAAGTGATAATCCCGGTCCATGGATATCACCCTCACGATGTCCTCACAGCCCTGAAACATGCAGACCCCCATGGAGATGAGAGCAGCATGTTGCCTCACCTCCACCTTTCCCTCATATACAACCCTTCCCACCCCATGGGAAGATCATACAAATGCCCCCAGAGTCTCTCTGCAATCACCTGTAGTTTTAAGATGCTTCTGCAAATCCTACCAGAACTCTCATCTCCTTCACTGGGCTGCACCCATGGAGCACACTCCCTCTGTACAACAGCCCTGGCCTTACCTGCGTCTCTCAGTTGTGCAGGAAGCAAAGGGAAGGGAAGGGGACAGGAGGCCTAAATAAAGTAGGCTAGGCTGGGAACAAGGGGATCCAATAAGATCTGGTCCTCACTGGCTTTTGGTTTCTCTCCATAGGCACATCCCCTACACTCAGCTTAAATCATTTCTGACCCCTTCCTACCAGTGCTGAGGATTCTTCCCACCTTTTTCCAGCCCCTACATCTGCAGTCTGGTGACCTCGACCTCAAAGAAAGTCTCCTCCTCTGGACTGGGATAGAAGAGATGGAGCCTGGGCCCAGTTAGGCTTTCAGACATGTCCAGGCCCGGATATTAGGGTCAGGGTGGTGACCCCAAGAGGCAGAGTCACACGGGAATCTTCACAGAGTACATTCCTTGGCACTACCACTTCTGGCAGGAGGCCAGGCAGCATGTCCCTATCCCCTCCCCAAAGGCAGTGGCACTGGCTGCCCTGAAGGAGAACCCAGACATACTGACCTCAGAGGGGAGGATGGGTTGGCCACAGGCTGCACACTTAGGAGCATAATTTCTGAAAGAGAGAGGGAAGAGATGAGCTGAGGCTGGGGAATCCCTGGACCCAGTTCCACACTGCATCCCAAGGGGCAGACTCACTTGTGGTAGTCGGTGACACAGTATACTTGGTTGGAGAAGTCCACTGTGAAGGGGATGCCATCCAGGCACTTGTTGCAAACAATGCATCGGAAACAGCCTGGATGATAGGACTTCCCCATTGCTTGTAGGATCTGGCTCATGGGGTAGCAAGAGAATCAGTCTCCCTCCAGTCCCAGCTCTCCAGCTGCCCATTATGCTCCTTATTACTCCCATTAACCTCATCCAACCCGCTGCTATACTCCCAGAACAATGCTATGTAATGTCGGTGAAGAAGTCGTAAAATGGAGGCGGAGACCCTGAAAAGTGCCTGAGAGAGCATTCAGGCCAGCAGTGTTTCACTCTGGCTGCATATCAGGATCACCTAGGCAGCTTTTAAAAAACATCAATGCTTTGGCCCTCCTCCAGGCCTATTATCACAATCTGTGGTGATGGGATCCAAACACTGTTTTTTGTTTTGTTTTGTTTTTTAGTTCTTCCCAGCTGATCTGCTAGGCTACCATGATTGAGAATCACTGATTTAATCCTATCTTTTGTTTTTACAGAAAAGAAAACTGAGTCCCAAGTGATTCTAACCAGTAGCAGAAAGGGGATTAAGACTCAGGACTGGCCGGGCGCGGCGGCTTACGCCTGTAATCCCAGCACTTTGGGAGGCCGAGGTGGGCGGATCACAAGGTCAGGAGATCGAGACCATACTGGCTAACACAGTGAAACCCCGTCTCTACTAAAAACACACCAAAAAATTAGCCGGGCATGTGGCGGGCGCCTGTAGTCCCAGCTAGGCAGGAGAATGGCGTGAACCAGGAGGCGGAGCTTGCAGTAAGCCGAGATCGCACCACTGGACTCCAGCCTGGGCAACAGAGTGAGACTCCATCTCAAAAAAAAAAAAAAGAAGACGACTCAGGACCCCAGGCTGGGCATGGTGGCTCACGCCTATAATCTAGCACTTTGGGAGGCTGAGGCAGGAGGATCACTTGAGGCCAGGAATTCGAGACCAGCCTGGCCAACATGGCAAAACCTTTTATCTACTAAACATACAAAAATTAGCCAGGCATGGTGGCGCATGCCTGTAGTCCTAGCTACTTGGGAGGCTGAGGCACTAGAATCACTTGAACCTGGGAGGCGGAGGTTGCAGTGAGCCGAGATCATTCCACTTTGTCAGAGCGAGACTCTGTCTCAAAAAAAAAAAAAAAAAAAAGACTCAGGACCCCACACTCCTAGCTCAGGCTGGAAGGCCTGGCTGTGCCTGCAGAGTTAGGGAGGGGCTAGGTCATAGAAGCCTGGGTTGACAGGCTTTTGAGCCCAGACTTGATCCCATAGGCAGAGGGAAGCCACTGTAAACAGTTGCTCTGGGGAGGAATGGGATGAAAGTGATTCATCTGGTGACAGGCTTCTTTCCCCAACCTTCTCTCAATATCCATTTAGTCCCTGATCCCGCTCCTCAGCCTCACAGTGAGACTTCTCAGCTGAAAGCACTTTACTTACCTTCTCCAAAATCAAGTGACCACAGACACAGCATTTCTCAGCTGCCTCCTGAAACCCTGAAAACTAAAGTAAAAGACAAGACGAACGGAGGCTGTTATCAAACTGAGAATGATGGGTGGTACTCCAATGGGCCACCAAGAAGGGGGTCAGTATGGAAACCAATTCCAGGTCCAGGTGACCCTTACTCACCAGATAATCTTCCTCACAGTACACAGAGCCATTGACACTGTAGAAAGCCTTGCAACGCAAAGTTCGCCCTAGAAACAATAGAGAAGGGGCTGGAACCTATCCCACAGCCCAGGTGCAAGACTTCTGGGGTCACTGCTCCCCGCTGCTGCATAATATATTTAAACCTGGACTTTGTGCTTTTCCTCCTAACTGCTGTCTGTCCTTCCCCGCACAAAAATTCCATCTGATGCAATTCCAATTTGCTTTGGCTTCATTCCAGCCAACTTCCCCTCTCCTCTGCTTGCTGCTCCTCCAGCTCCTGCCTCCTTAACAGTTTTCTAGGGCCCCTCCCCTAAACAAACTGCCTTCCTCTCCAGTGCATAGGAAGCCACCTGGGAGAGTAAAGCCAACTACGTGCTGGAATACGTGAGCTCTTAATAAGGTGCTATATGATTTGCATAGAGAGAACCACATTGTTAACAGGCCTTTCCCTCTGGGACCCTTCAACCTAGAAGCCTCTTTGCCTGAGCATATCTATCCTGCTCTCAAATGCCTGTCTCCTTCCAGGGACAGACTCCATGGAGGTCAGGACTGGAGTTACTGCAGAAGGACAAAGTGCTTTGTTTGGAAGCAAAGCAGGTCCCCTCTCCTGTTTGTATAAGGCTGCTTCCCTAAGCTTAGAGGGACCCAGAGTCACTGGGGTAAGAGACAACCCAGGATCTTCTTCCAGCAGACAAGGCAGGACAATTCCCCATGTGACCAACCCCCAGGAACTGCTCCCAGGTGTCTACATTATCAGGGATAGGGAAGGAGTGAGAACAGGTGGAGCATGAGCAATTTTCCCACCTTTGCCTTCTTCCCCTCAAAATCCCTACTTCCAACTCTGTCCAGTGGGTTAGGAAAGCTGACTTAGAAGCTCATGAGACACAGGGGAGGAAAGATAGGGAAAGAGATATAGCCAGAAGAGGCCCTGTAAACAGAAGGATAGACAGACAGATGAGCCTAAAGAGAACCAGGCAGAAACTGGGGGAGTGAGAAAAGCTGAGTGCTGAAGTCAGACAGGCAGAGATAGGAGATTAAAGGTTTAGCAAAGGAATCAGAATGGGTAAGCAGTAAGGAGGGGGTAATGAGGGAGGGGAGGGGGGCAGTTAAGGCCGCTGGGAGCATCCCCCCTTTCCAAGTGGGCCTCCTGAGCTAACAGTGGCAGGCATTCCTGGAGCGTGATGTCATCAGCTTGGCATGGCCCGGTGGCCTGCACTCCAGTGAGGTGGCTGAACTCTGACCAGCCAAGAGAAAACCCCCCTCTCCGCCCCAAACAGCTCCCCACTCCCCCAGCCTGCCCCCACCCTCCCCACATTCCAGTCTTTCACTGTCGCCCCAGGCAACTTGGCTGCCCAAGACCAAGCCCCACCAAGAAGCTGGAGGGCCAGGCAAGTCCAGGATGGGCAAGCAGGGAAGCACGAGAGGGAGAAACAGAGGTGAGGAAGGAAGGAGGGACTCCAGAAAGGGGACCCACCAGGCGGAGGGAGAGCCAAGTAGAGGACAGACAGGGAAGCAAGAGAGGCAGAGCAGCTGCGGACCTCCAGACACTTGGTGGGGATCCAACAGCTGCTCTGTGAGCAAATGAAGAGGCACAAGCTCTCCTCCTGTTCCCCATAGCACTTGTAAGTGTGTATGTGGGCAGGGGAGGGGAGTGCTTGAGTATTGGGGCTACACTCACCACAAGAGCAGCAAACAAAGCACTGGGTGTGGTAGAGGCTGTCCAGGGCCTGGCAGGCATTGCTCTGCCCATAGATGCCTTTGTTGCACTTGATACAGGTGCCTGAGAAGAGAAAAGTGTCACACTCTACTCCCCCAGGTCAAAACCAGGGATTCCCAAGCTTTCCTGACTGCCCTTTCCTGATGTGCCAGGGGTCACAGTCTCCCTTTGATGGGCTCCCTTCTGAGTAGAGAAGATAACGAGTAATGAGATGCAGCAAGATCTTGGCTGAGCAGATCCATTCTTGTTTATTTAATTACTCAACAGATATTTTCTGAGCATCTGTTTTGTGCTTAACACAGCACCACTACCTAAGGAAACCTGGAGAAAGTCGAAGATATGGTCCCTGGCATTCAGATGCTTAGTTTCTGTTGGGGAGAAAAGACTACACAGGCAAGGTATGATCTCTGTTGCAGTGTGTAGGATGAACGGTCAAAGATGCCAGTCCACAGGTGCTCAGCAGCAGACTTGAAAATACTTTCTAGAGAAAGCAGGCTAGGCCCAGAAATCGTCTCTGGGACTTCAGTTTCCCATCAGTCAAACGAGCTGTTCAGTTATAGAATGATTTCTCTCCACTGCAGACTTCCAAGGATGGAGAAAAGGATCTGGCTTGGCAGAGGGCTCCGTGCAGAGGGGACCATGTGAGCATGATTCCTGTGGGGAGGTGGCTGCTGAGAATGCAGGGTGTGTTCCAGGAACCAGGGTTGAACAGGAAAGCAGGGAGAGTAGCAGAGCCCCTGATGCCTCCTAGTCACCTTCTATCATGGGAAGAATACAGAACTGAACTGCTTGCTATTCCCCAAAATCCCCCACTAAGATATATACACCTGGCTCTGGGACTTGCCTTTCCTGGGTGTGTTCTTCCCTCCCTCCACTCCCCAATTCCAGGCCCATGAGTGAGGGCTAGGGCCTGTCTTTGGGGAGCAGATCCCAACGGGCCTGCCCCACCTCTCCCCCTCGGCACGCTGCCACACTCCCTGCCTGTTGGGGCCCATCCCAGTCTTTGCCCAGGGGCTTGGGAGCCTGTGCAGCAGCTGCAGCAACTGATGGGCCCAGGCCTGTCCTGCTCCCACCCTCTGGCAGCTGGGCAAGGCTGAAGCCAAGGAAGAGGGCCCCTACTAGGGGCAGGAGGAGGGTACAGTCAAGCTGGGGCTAGCGGCACAAGGGGTATGTAGGGGTTCTGTCAAAGGAGGCAACCTGACTCCCAAGGAGAAGGGGCCCCCATCTCTGAATTCAAAATGTGGCTTCCTCATGGAAGTGAAGATCTGCCCCAAGATTGCCATGCCAGGGGGTCCTGTCGGAGCCATTCTTTAGGAAACCTTGGACGTTATGGGAAAAGCAAACGAAACTGCTCAGGCACGTTGGCCTCACCTCCTCTAACCCAGCATATCTATACCTATGTTCTTCCTGCCATTTTATTGCAGTTTCTCTGAGTTCCTTTCTTCCTTTTGGCTCTGATGGTTCAGCCAAAAAGACTTCTTTACTAGCCACCTCTCCTGGGCCTCAAAATGAAACTGCTAAATGGGCCCTGTCATTCAGTCTTCCTTGATCAAAGCGGTTTGGCATCATCTCCTCTGGGCTTTCCTCTCGGTGGATTTGGAGGTGGGGAAAAGAATGGGGGTGGAGGCTGGGGGTTGAGTTATGCCCTTATAGCCTGCCGCCCTGCTACCTCTGAACCTCCTACCCAACCATCCCTCCCTGGCCGCGTTCCTCTTCCTATTCACTTTTCTAGCCATAGAGTTCTACAGCATGGGGTCCAGGAGTGGGGCATGAGTGGTAAGAAGAGATGCTTAGAAAAGTGAAAGAGGCCCACAGCCCTTAGGCGGTAAGCCTGCCACTTCTTTCCAATCACAATCAGATTCGAAGTTTTTTATGTGTGTAGCAGTGCCTGTGAATTTTGACTAAAAGATCTTTCAAGACCCTAATGTTCCTCATAGCTGAGACATATAATCAATCAATACTTCCTGAACAGAGTAGGGGAGGGAGACAGCGACCAGGTTTCCTTAACAGTGTCAGGAAGTAAGGCGCTACTTCTGGCCTGAATTCTGAGAGGTTATAAGCAGAATTCAAGGCCAAGTTATTTCTGGCAATAACACAGGGTCGTTATCCATCCAGAGGTAATGGTGTCCCAGTAGTCATGACTTTTACCCTGACTTCCGGAGGATGGGGAAAATAGAAGCTGGTACTACTGGGTCTCTGATTAAATGCCCACGCACGCACCTAGCCAACAGGACTGGGGAGGGACAGCAGTTGGGTCCCAGGGCGCTCCATCCTGTCTCCCAGGCTCCATTTCCCCGACAGCCGCCACTACTCCGCGTATGCTAGGGAGCGTCCCCCGATCCCCGAACCCCACCCCTCCGCCGCGCGGCGGCAGCCGCCCCGCCCGCGGGCACCTGGAGCGCCCGGGCAGGAGTCGGCACGCACGCGGCCAGCCTGCCCCGCCCCCCCACCCGCGCATTCTCCGAATTCCTGCGGGCGGAGCCTGGGCCCGGGTGGGGGCGCGGCGCGCACAAACCTCCAGGGGCACCGCCGTGAAAGGGGGGAGCAAGTTGGGGGGGATGCGCCTTCACTGCCCCACTTGGTCCCTTCCCTACGAGGCCTCCTGCCGCAAAAAACCGAGGTTCAAATGCTTGAGAAACGGACTCACGAGATACCAGGGGGGTTGAATTTAGCAGAAATAAGGAGCCCTGGTTCATCTGAAAACTAGCAGGAAGGGGACAGTGCTCTGGGGCCGCCCCCATCCATCCCTCTTGCTTCTTTCCTAGTCCCGCGTCTTCACCTCGGACCCCGGGGCACCGGCACTTTGGGCCGTCGGGGCAGTGGAGAACCGAATACCGTGACGGGTCCCTTCCCGTCCCTAACCACTTCTCTCACTCACCGAAGTAGTCCTCCCTGGCCTCTGGCTCCCGCATCCGGGCCCGGGCGGCCTCCGGAACGAAAGGACCTGGTGGCTCCTCCAGACCCGACGGCTCAATCCCCGAGGGTTCTCCGCGGGCTCCGGCTTCTCGCCCACCGGTGCCCACCGTCAGGCGAAGCAAAGCTGTTAGCTCGTCCTGGTACCGGGCGCCCACGGCGCAGTCCCCGTAGCCGGTCACAGAGTGTCGTCCGGGTTGCGCCCCCCGTCTCTCCAAGGGCCCCGCCGCTCCCACTCCGGCCCCGGCTAGAGCTCCAGGGCTGCCCAGGGCCGGGGGATACGAGTGGCGGCTTTCCTGGCAGCCGAACCCCGCGGGCCGCTGAGCGTACAATCGGTCCAGGGCGGCGTGGAGCTCCGGGTAGGCGGACGGGACCCCTCCGGGAGAATAGCCTGCCGGTGCTCCGGCCAGGGGTGGGCCAAACAGGCACGGCCCCGCTGGCAAGGGGCTCCCGTGGCGCTGGTCGTAGCCCATGCTGATGCCGCTGGTGCGATTGCTGCAGGGCCGGCTACCTCCAGCTCCGCCAGCCCCCGCCCCGTCCAGCAGCAGGCTGCCCCGGGGGCTGGACGGCTTGCTCGCGTCGCTGGCCGAGCTACTGGCGAAGCTAGAGCGGGGGCTGAGGGCCGGGGCCGTGGGCTCCAGCCGAAAATCGGGGGGCAACGACTGAGGTAGAGGCAAGGCCCGGGTGGGCGGCGGCCCCGCGGGAAAAGAGCCTTCGTAGCGCGGCGCCTCAAAGGAGCCGCGCTGATTTCGCTCAGCGTCCAGGGAACCTTGCTCCCGGGCCGGCTCCAACGGCTCATCCCCAGGTCCCCCAGTAGCTCCTCGGGGCCCTGACTTCCTAGGTCCCCCCAACCCACTTAGGCGCCCCTTGCCCGGCCCGGGGGTCCCGTCAGACCCAGACCGGCTAGATTCACCCTTTCTGCGGCCGAACTTCTCCAGCAGGCGACTGGCTTTCTCTCCTAACCGCTCCATGCCCTCGGGCCTGGGGCCTCTCGCCCCCTCCCCGCCTGGCACCCTGCGGCGTCTCGGCGGCCGGTTCTCTTTCCCTGCAGCCGGACTCTGGTTCCCCAGGGGCACAGGGGAGGCACAGGGGCTTAGCGGGCGGCCTGGATGCCCTGCGCCAGGAATCCCACAGCATCCCCCAGCGGGAGGGGCTGCGTCCCCCCGCGCATCTGGGGCTGAGCGGGGCTAGCAGGGTCTCTGGCCGCGGCTGTCCAGTCCGCAGGTCTATCTGTTCACGCGTCGACTCGCCCGACTGCCCCACTCTCCCCGGCCCCCGCCCCCCTAGCTCTCACGCTAGCCACAGACCGAACTTCTCTCCCAAACTTTTGTCTGCCTGGCCGGATCTACTTTCCTAGGGGGGCGGAGCGCGGTGTGTGCGAGAGCGCCGGGGGTGTCCGCGCAGGGATAGCTGGTGTGCGTGCAGCGGAAGGCGCTAACTGCCCTGGATGTGGAGACCCGCGGACTGGACGTGAGAGGCGGGCAGGGGCAGTTGGGGCAGCTGCCCCTACAACACTGAAGAATTGGAATAGGAAAGAGTGTGGGGGTAGGGGACGGGGACTCTTTGTCTGCAGTTGGAATGCGCGGAGGGGCATGGTGGAATGTGTCGCGTCCCGGGACCGGACGACAGGAGGCATGTTCTGCGCTAGCACCGTGACTTTGTTCCCAGCGTGGGGACTGTGGGAGAGATGGAGAGAGACTGGTACAGAAATGGTGAGACAAGGAGAGAGCCATAAAGAGGAAGACAGAGAGAAAGAAGACAAATGCATAAAGAGGTTCAGAGACGTGTACGTAAAGATAGCCCTGAAAGGCGACGAAGCCCACAGAGAGAGGTGGAAGAGGGAAGAGGTAGCGAAAGAAAGGGAGAGCTGAGGAGCAAAGAGGAGTGTGGACGATGCAGAGACCGAAGGGTGCGCAGACAAAGGAAAGGACAAGCTTGTCCAGAGAGAATGAGAGACAAACAGATAAACTGCAATAAAAAGGCACCACCTTCTGGACCCAAAAGTTTTGTGATTTGTAAAAGCAGTGAAAAGGAGTCAGGAAAATGGGACTAATCTCTACTTTGAGAGGGAGGGAAAGAGATATAGTGTGTATGTAGAAGCAGTGAAAAGGAGTGAGGAAAAGGTTTGGGACTAATCTCTACCTTAAGGGTAGGACAGTTAGAGGGATAGACACCCCCTGGTGTTGGGAAATGAGATTTTTCTCATTTCAGGTGACTGTGGAGATCGAAGGCCTGGTTTTAGGGCTAGCGAACACCTTCTCCCTTTGGTTTTGGTCCACAGAAGACTGGTGATACAGAGTAAGTATTAAGAGGAAGAAAAGAAATGCCGTGTAGAGGAAATTGCAAATGAAAATGATCAGGATGGAAAAGAGGCTGATATTGACTATTTTAAAAGGATCAAGAATAAGGAAAAGAAACCCTGGCTGAAGCAGCCGGGCGCGGTGGCTCACGCCTGTAATCCCACCACTTTGGGAGGCTGAGGCGGGCGGATCACTTGAAGTCAAGAGTTCAGACCAGCCTGGCCAACATGGTGAAGCCCTATCTCTACTAAAAATACAAAAATTAGCCAGGCGTGGTGGCGCACGCCTATAGTCCCAGCCACTCGAGAGGCTGAGGCGGGAGAATCGCTTGAACCCGGGAGACAGAGGTTGCAGTGAGCCAATATCACGGCCACTGCACTCCAGCCTGGGCGACAGAGCAAGACTCCGTCTCAAAAAAATTCTCAAAAATAAATAATAATTTTTTTTAAAGAAACCCTAGATGAAGCTAAACATACCTAATTAAATACCAGCCAACGGCCGGGAGCGGTGGCTCACGCCTGTAATCCCAGCACTTTGGAAGGCAGAGGCGGCGGGATCACGAGGTCAGGAGTTTGCAACCAGCCTGGCCAGTATGGTGAAACCCCGTCTCTACTAAGAATACAAAAATTAGCCGGTGTGGTGGCGTGCACCTGTAGTCCCAGCTACTTGGGAGGCTGAGGCAGAAGAATCGCGTGAACCCAGGAGGCGGAGGTTGCAGAGAGCCGAGATTGTGCCATTGCACTCAGGCCTGGGCGATAGAGGGAGATTCCGTCTCAAAAAAATTTTTTAAAAACCAGCCAACTACTTTTGCCCAGACTAAAACATCAGGGGCAAGGGGTGGAGGAAGTAGAATGGAGAAGGAAAATGACTCCTTTGTATTTAGATAGTAAATGAGTATGAAAATTATATGCAAACAAGTCATGCATATTATTTTCATCTCAACATTTTGAACACCTTTTATAATCTTAGTGTAGCCTTAGGGAATGTGGAAAGAAACGAGGTTAATATCTTTTGGGAAATTAATTTGTGCCAAACTATTTGGCTTCTTCGTCCTAGTTGCATTGTCTCCCTGACCTCATCTCCCCTGAGAATCAGCCTCTGTTTCCCTGGTCAAGGCCACGGCTTTTCTCTGATCCTGAGGAGAGTTTCCTACCAGAGTGGAAGCAGGGAGGACTGAAAGCACTAGGAACAGAGGGGAGCTATCGGATTGCATCTAGAACCTGCTGTGAGCAACATCTTCAGAATTAACCATAATGTGTTCCCTCCTTTCCTGTGTCCAGATGAGGAAGGAGAACTTTGATTCTTCCTTCCAATTACATCCAAAATATCCACACAACTACTAATATTTGGAAGCTTTGATCCTTTGGGGTGAGGATGCGAGAGGAAATCTTATGAAATGTTGGGAGGCCATTAAAGGAGGCCCATGCAAGAGTTGGTGGTAGCAATGGGCACAACTGGGATGAACAGCCTGTGTTTTCAAGGGATAACTGGAAGCAGAGATGAGTGAAGGGGAAGAAGTAGAAGACGCATATGCTAATAGGGCATGCTCCAATAGTGCTCATGACCTCAGGTGGCCTCTCCACAGTCTAAACTGGAGCTGGGATCTCCAAAGGCCCTCTTCGTTCCCAAGACTTTAATTATAATCTGTATATGCAGGTGACTCCCTAATCCATATTTCCAGCCCAGTCTTTCTTGGAATTAAAAACTCAACTAACTACTAGCATCTCCAATGGCTGTCTCAGAAGCACCCAATATCCTAAACTGATCTCATCTTCTCTGCCTCATGAAACTGGCTCCTCTAACATTCTCTGAGTAAATGGCACAATCCTGTTAGCTGCTTAAACTAGAAATCTGAGCGTCAACCCTATGTCCTCCTTCTCCCTTAACCTCAAATCCAACCAAGTCCTATCAATCACCAAGTTCTATTAATTCTGCTTCCTAAACATCTTCCAAATCTGTCCTCCCCTCATCACCACTATATATGTCAAGTCACCGTCTTTCCTCTCCGAAACCAATGCAAAAGTCTCCTGGCCAAGGCTTGCTCCCTGCAATCCATCTTATACCCTGAGGTCAAGTGATTTTTTTCAGTACAGAAGCTTTACGACTTACAATGGAGTTATGTCTGAATAAACCCATCCATTATAAATTGAAAATATCGTAAGGCAGAAGTGCTTCTTCAACTTCACCATATTTTCAGCTTAAAATGGGTTTATCTGATATAACTGCATCATAAGGTGAGGAGCATACTGAATCATTTCGCACCATCGTAAAGTTGAAAAATCCTAAGTCGAACCATCGTTGAGTTGGGGACTGCCTGTAGGCAAAACCTGTCGTTTTATTTCCCTGCTAAAACAAACTTTCAATGATTTCTCACTGCCCTTGGGTTGAAGTCTGTACTCTGTATTATGAGGTCTGTCTCACTCTCCAGCCTCTCCTCTAGCATTATCCCTTCCCCAAAAGTCTGCAGTAGAACTGGACCTTGTCTGTACTCTCTCTTGCCCCTGGACTTTTGTACCTGCAGTTCCCTGTTTGGAACACTCTCTTAGCCTCCCCTTTCCTTCTGGTTAACTCTTCCCCAGTTTAGACATTACACCCTCTCAGAAGAAGCCTTTCCAGACTGCAAGAGTAGGTTAGCTACCCCTGCTGTATATTGCCATAGTGCACTACACTCCACCATGGTCACCCTTATCACAGTTCATTTCATTGCCTACTCCACTGCCTGGCTTCCTGACTAAACTAAAAAAATCTCTGAACAGCATCCAACCTTATCAACAATGTATCCATAGCACAGTACCTGACACCTAGTAAAGCGATCAATGTTTGTTATAAGACTGAATAAATGTAAAGCCATTTTTGCTTTTCAATCCATCCAAAATGCACACCCCTTCCTCAAAATACAGCTTGGCTGACAGGACCAAGAAACAGCTACAAAGCTGTGTATTTTGCTTGGTCACATAGTGAGAGAGAGGCTGCCGGTGAGACACGGGAACTCTTTAAGCCTTAATTTCCTCATCTGTAAGATAGGAATAGTAAAATTTTCCTCATGTAATTCAATAAACAATAGCTATTATATCAGGAACCCAATTCCCCAATAGTGATAGAACTTGTGTTCCCTTGGTCAGAAGACTCAAGCTCATGACTGAAACTGCCCACCAGGTGGCGGTATTAACCTGCACTGGTCATGTTCGGTTTCCACTGCAGAGCAAGACAAGTAGTCACAGGGAAGCAAAAGGTACAACCTGGGCTGCTTCCTCAGAGCTTTGGGTGGAACTGGGCAGGGGCAGAAACAACTCAGAGACAGGGCATATGTCAAGAAGGCCTCATGTTTCTTGGACCCATCCTCCTCATTTTCTCATCCCAGGCTTCTCCGAGATACTGTTTATGCTGAGGAATAAGCATATTCTGGCTTACTGTTCACAGTGGAGGGAGTTTCTCCCCTTCTAGATAAGTTTTTATCCCACCAGTGTTCTGCTTCCCCAGTAGAGACTGTGTTAAGAAAAGAGGCAAATTTGCTTTCTCAGACTGCACAGAGCATCTCATTATTTTGTGAAGCCCCATGGCCACCTATTTCTGAGACATGGGGCATGGCGGAAGCCAGAGTTATTCTTGGCTGTAGATTTTATTCATCCTTTTCCACCTTGATTTCAATGAATGAGTTCAAGTCAGGACAGCAGGTTTTGTGGGGTTGGTCAAAAGATGGGGAGCCAGGTGCATTCTCATCCCCTCCCTCATCTTCCTCTTCTTGGAAATTAGGATTGTAAAGTTCTGGTGGAAGGAGCTGGGCTTCAGCAGAAGGCAGTCTGTCTGAGGGAGGCCCATACACACGGTTGGCTTTGGTGCCATGCTTAGAGTTAGCATCCAGGTGGTAGCAGAGCTCTGTGAGGCGCTGGGCCCGGAAACGGGGAGGGCGGGCCACCCACACACCTGGCTCGTTAAGACTGTCCTCTTCATCTGACATCAGTTCCTCTGTCACATCATTCCACAGACGTTGGTCCTCAGGTCCAAAATGCCTCATGATACTGGATCGGTTGGCAAAAAGCTAAGGCAGGAACCCAGGAGATAGATTAGGAAGGTAAACATTCTATGGATTAGATTTGGGGAAAAGGTTTGGTGGGGAAGGCTGTGTAAAATCTGTGCCTAAGTGAACCCAGTCCCCAAGTCAGATCTTAGCATTGGCTCACTGTTCTTCTCTATCTTCCTACATTCCTGGCTCTCAACCCTATTCTCATATGCCATGTCCTCTGGCCCTTCCCACTTAGGAAAGGGTTTAGAGTTTAGTATCTTGAAAGAAAGGCCTAGAAACCTACCCGATATCGGCGACTTCGAAGTTTCTTCTCCTCTTTTTCCTTCAGGCCTTTAAAGGGGTTCAGGGAGTTGCGGTACTCACGCCTCTTAGTAAGGAAGTAGGCCACACAGGCTCCTGGCGGGGAGGGAAGGAAGGGAGCAAGAAGGAGGGTCCTCTGAGTAGTGGTCCCCAGCCCGTTTTTCTGCCCTAACACTATTGAATGGGAGGTTGGCGATCACTACTTAGATGAGGGCTTTTTTTTTTTTTTTTGAGATGTAGTTTCACTCTTGTTGCCCAGGCTGGAGTGCAATGGCACAATCTCGGCTTACCACAACCTCCGCCTCCTGGGTTCAAGCGATTCTCCTGCCTCAGCCTCCCGAGTAGCTGGGATTACAGGCATGTGCCACCACATCCAGCTCTTTTTAGTAGAGATGGGGTTTCTCCATGTTGGTCAGGCTGGTCTCAAACTACTGACCTCAGGTGATCCACCTGCCTTGGCCTCCCAAAGAGCTGGGATTACAGGCGTGAGCAGCCGTGCCTGGCCTAGATGCTGGGCTTTCTTGGCATAGGCATTAGCATCTTCACTCCTCTTTGGTTAGGATTCTTTTTATTTATTTATTTTATTATGATTTTGTTATGAGACAGGGTCTCGCTCTGTCACCCAGGCTTGAGGGCAGTGGCATGGTCATGCATGCTCACTGCAGCCTCCAACTCCTGGGCTTAAGTGATCGTCCAGCCTCAGCCTCCTGAGCAGCTGGGACTACAGGTGCACATCACCATGGCCGGCTAATTGGTTTAGCTTTCTTTGCCCACCTCCATCTCCAACACTAACTCCTCCCAAATATCTCCCACTGGAAAAAGACAACTCCAATCGCTTCTGTGTCTCCCCGCTCCCTCCACCAAATAAAACCTACCCCTTCTTGGGCGTGGTGGCTCACACCTGTAATCCCAACATTCTGGGAGGCCTCCTGCTGAGGCAGGAGGATTGCTTGAGCCCAGGAGTTTGAGACCAGCCTGGGCAACATAGTGAGACTCAGTCTCTATTTAAAAAAAAATTTAAAAACAACAACAATCTACCCCTATTGCCACTCTGATGGAAGATTACAAGTATTTTTTTATTTTTCGTTGAAACAAGGTTTGCCCACAGTGGAGTTCAGTGACACGATCTTGGCTCAATGCAACCTCCACCTCGCAGGCTCAAGCAATCCTCCCACCTCAGCCTCCCAAGTAGCTGGGACTACGTCATGCATGCCACCCCACCCAGTTAATTTTTGTTATTTTTGTTTGTTTTTGGTAAAGATTGGGTTTCGCCATGTTGCCCATGCTAGTCTCGAACTCCTGGACTGAAATAATCCTCCTGCCCTGGCTTCCCAAAGTGCTAGGATTACAGGGATGAGCCACGTTACCTGGCTCTACAAGTACTTTTTCAGCAGAAGCTTTCATAATACTTCAGGGTTAGCTACAAATAACAAAAGAGAGCAAGGAAAGAGAAAGCCTGGGAAATAATATTTAGGGACCAAGGGGCAGGCCTGGCTTCTGAACATAACACCTCCTCATAACACCTTAGATTCCTCCTCCTCGTAACACCTTAGGTGCAAGACCTGCATAAACAGAATGCATGATGCTGTTCTAGCCCTTTCCTTCTCTCATTTTCGTTTCAGACTGAGAGGGAAATAAACAGGCAATTTGAGATAATTCTATGAATATATTGAAGGTGAGAATAGCCAAAAAATGTTTCAAATCCACTATTTTCAAAACCACCTAATCATCTCTATTATTCCTCTTCTCCTCTGACCAAGAAAGAGGAGTGGGAGGAGAGGGGGAGAAAGGATGGCATAGGAGTTAAACCAGTTTTTCTCACCTTTTAGCTCCTTATCAGTGTAATTGTGGGGACTGGTCACCAGCTCTTGCTTGAGCTTTTCCAGAAGAAACTTCACTACTGAAATATTCCAAGAGGACTTGATGCTGCCACAAAGAGAAGAGAATGAATAAAGTTGTCGGCTTTGTAAGAGCCAGACAAACAGAGATACCCAGCACTAATCAACTTTGTGGCAAATCCCTCCACAGCCTAAGAAGGTATGGTGAGATCAAAGCCTTAGTCTCATTGCTGTATTGGAGCATCCCCCTCTACTTCCCTGTCCTTAGCAAAGTACCTTCTAATTCTTTTTCCTCAAGGAGACCATACCTTTCAGACCCATTGAATCTCTTGTCATTGGTGATGTGGTTATGCACATTGTGGACCAGTTTCTAGGAGGAAAAAAAGAAAACACAATCAAGCCAAGAGTGGATGTTATGAAAACTCTCCTCTGGTCCCTAGGGTAAAAAGGTATTGTCCCTAAGGGGCTCTCTGCCTGAATCCTTTCTAAGCCAAGAGCCTATCCAAGTTACTATTTCTAGTGTGGTCTTCCCTGACTTTTCATTTCATGTGTGTCAGGATTCCAGGATCATCCCTGGCCTTACTTCTGCTCCTGAGTAGTGTGATCACTGGAGCAGAGGGTCTCAAACATTTCCATGAACATACCCCTGATAGCAACGAGAAAGCAAGTATACACCAGGAGTACTGCGAGTGAACATTTCTTTTTTACTTTTCTTTCTTTTTTTTTTTTTGAGATGGAGTCTTGCTCTGTCGCCCAGGCTAGAGTGCAGTGGCGCGATCTCGGCTCACTGCAACCTCTGCCTCCCGGGTTCAAGCGATTCTCCCGCCTCAGCCTCTCGAGTAGCTCAGAGTACGGGCACCTGCCATCATGCCTGGCTAATTTTTGTATTTTTGTAGAGACGGGGTTTCACCATGTTGGCCAGGCTGGTCTTAAACTCCTGATCTCAGGTGATCTGCCCGCCTTGACCTTCCAAAGTGGTGGGATTACAGGCATGAGCCACCACGCCCAGCCAAGTGAACATTTCCTGAAGTCCCCTTCTCTTGCACTTTTTTTTCTTTCCTTTTCTTTTTTTTTTTTTTGAGACGGAGTCTCGTTATGTCGCCCAGGCTGGAGTGCAGTGGCACGATCTTGGCTCACTGCAAGCTCTGCCTCTCGGGTTCACGCCATTCTCCTCCCTCAGCTTCCTGAGTAGCTGGGACTACAGGTGCCTGCCACCACGTCCGGCTAATTTTTTGTATTTTTAGTAGAGACGGGGTTTCACCGTGTTAGCCAGGATGGTCACAATCTCCTGACCTCATGATCTGCCCGCCTCGGCCTCCCAAAGTGCTGGGATTACAGGTGTAAGCCACTGCGCCCGGCCCCTACTCTTGCACATTTAAATTTTTTCTTCAAAATGTATTTGTATTTCTTTTCTTTTTTTTTTTCTTTCTGAGACAGAGTTTCACTCTGTCACCCAGGCTGGAGTGCACTCATTAAAAAGTTTTGCCAGCCGGGCGCGGTGGCTCATGCCTGTAATCCCAGTACTTTGGGAGGCCAAGGCAGGTGGTGCCATCTCAGCTCACTGCATCCTCCGCCTCCCGGGTTCAAGCAATTCTCCTGCCTCAGCCTCCTGAGTAGCTGGGACTACAGGTGCACCACCACCACATCCAGCTAATTTTTGTATTTTTAGTAGAGATGGGGTTTCACCATGTTGGTCAGGCTGGTCTCGAACTCCTAACCTTGTGATCTACCCACCTCAGCCTCCCAAAGTGTGCTGGGATTACAGGTGTGAGCCACCGCACCGGGCCTGTTTAATATAAAAATGTCTTCTGCAATTTTTCTTTTTTCTTTTTGAGACAGAGTCTCACTCTGTTGCCAGGCTGGAGTGCAATGGCGGGATCTCGGCTCACTGCAACCTCCACCTCCCGGGTTCAAGCAATTCTCCTGCCTCAGCCTCCCGAGTAGCTGGGACTACAGGTGCACCACCACCACATCCAGCTAATTTTTGTATTTTTAGTAGAGATGGGGTTTCACCATGTTGGCCAGGATGGTCTTGATCTCTTGACCTCGTGAACCACCTGCCTCAGCCTCCCAAAGTGCTGGGATTACAGGCATGAGCCACCGTGCCTGGCCATCTTCTGGAATCTGCTAGTAAAACTGATGACCCAGGCAAAAGCCCCGGGTTTGTCTGTGGCTTTATGTATTTCTTCATGTGTTACCACAAATCTCTGGAGTATATACACCATGGTCTGAAAAACAGAAATCTAAAATAACAGAAACGTGAATCGGAAAAGACCGTGGAGGCTATATTATATTACCCAATCTCCCTTTCACATCATTAAACAGGCTGTCTTTCCACTTTGTTTATACCCATCTAATGATGAGTTCTCCATTCTGAGTCAGCTTATTCTATTGTTGAACATTTCTACTCATTAAAAAGTTTTGCCGGCTGGGCGTGGTGGCTCATGCCTGTAATCCCAGTACTTTGGGAGGCCAAGGCGGGTGGATCACCTGAGGTCAGGAGCTCGAGACCAGCCTGACCAACATGGTGAAACCTCATCTCTACTAAAAATACAAAAATTAGCCAGGCGTGGTGGCGTGCGACTGTAGTCCCAGCTACTCAGGAGGCTGAGACAGAGGAATTGCTTGAACCCAGGAGGCGGAGGTTGCAGTGAGCTGAGATCGTGCCACTGCACTCCAGCCTGGGCAATAAAGTGAGACTCTGTTTCAAAAAAAAAAAAAAAAGAAAGAAAAAGTTTTGCCTTAGATGCTTCAAAATCTGTTCCCAGTTTTGCCCATAATAGCACCTAAAATATTTATTTATTTATTTATTTATTTATTTTTATTTTTTATTTTTTTGAGATGGAGTCTTACTCTGTAGCCCAGGCTGGGGTGCAGTGGCGTGATCTCGGCTCACTGCAACCTCTGCCTCCAGGGTCCTGGTTCAAGCAATTCTCCTGGCTCAGCCTCCCTAGTTAGCTGGGATTACAGGAATGCACCACCATTCCCAGCTAATTTTTGTATTTTTGGTAGAGATGGGGTTTCACCATGTTGGCCAGGCTGGTCTTGAACTCCTGACCTCGTGATCCACCCACCTCGGCTTCCCAAAGTGCTGGGATTACAGGCATGAGCCACCACGCCCAGCTTTATTTATTTATTAAGAGACAGAGTCTTGCTCTGTTGTCCAGGCTAGAGTGCAGTGGTGTGGTCTCAGCTCACTGCAACCTCCGCCTCCCAGGTTCAAGTGATTCTCCTACCTCAGCCTCTCAAGTGGCTGGGATTACAGGCGCACGCCACCACGCCCAGCTAATTTTTGTATCTTTAGTAGAGACGTGGTTTCACCATGTTGGCCAGGCTAGTCTCAAACTCCTGACCTCAGGTGATCTGCCCGCCTTGGCCTCCCAGAGTGCTGGGATTACAGGCGTGAGCCACCGCACCCGGCCCTAATGCAGGGTTTTAACATGTCCTTCAATTAAGTTTAGTTGTTTCTGATTGTATTTTCATCCCAAGCTCCCTCAGTCAGTGGAAGTTACCCAGTCCCAAACTGACAGATTAATATCCTGATCCAAGGACTTTTCAGCTCCATATTCAGAAATCCCCAATTTATCCTTCTACCTCTATGGCTGATTCACCATACCAACTTAGGAAAGTATTGTCAACTCTTTATGGCTAGGGTCTCCACTCTGTAAAAAGGACCATTATTATACTAGCTGCATATTCAACATAGTTATTTTACCTCTTAGTAGTCCACACTTAAGGAATCACAAAGGAGTGGGCGAATGTTTCAGAAAGTATTTGGGAGAGTTTCAAAAAAACAAAAAACAAAAAAAGGGGAAAGAAAAAAGGGAGTTACAAAGCTTCCAACTCAAGTGGCTTGGAAGAGATCAGCTGATAAAAATCAAAACAGGCTTGACATGGAAAGGGAAAATACTCTAGACAATAAGTGTGAGGACTGTAAAGGCTGTTGGCTCACCTACCTCCTGAATAAGCTAAAAATATTTCCCCAAGGAGTGGCTGGGATCTGCAGCATTCCAAGGAATTAAGAATTCTGGTTTGATCCTTTTGGTTCACAGGATCCCTAGCAGCAATCCTCAAGAGCCTCAGCAGATTGGAGAGATGCCTCTTTGATTCTGTCCCAGAGCTAAAGATTGGAATAACTGTCCCTCCCCCTCTAAACCCACAGTCTGCCACAAGAACATTTTAAACCTTCCTCCATGATGGGCAGCAGAACTCCCTGACTAGTCCTCCAGATCCTTCTCAAGCACAGAATAGAGAGAGCATGATGGTGAGTGAGGATACTGTCCTTCCTGCAGGTCTTCAGTTCCACCACACTCTCCTAAGGGAAGGAAGAAGCCAGGCCTCAATGCTGTACCTCTCTCTGGAGGCAGCAGGCACAAGTGGAATGGAAGTGATGGAAAATCCTGCTTTTATGCAAATTGTAACTATAAACTCATTATAGTCAATATGAACATTGTATGGCTAAAGAATATCTCCAGCCAGGCATGGTGGCTCACGCCTGTAATCCCAACACTTTGGGAGGCCGAGGTGGGTGAATTGCCTGATCTCAGGAGTTCAAGACCAGCGTGGCCAACATGGTGAAACCCCATCTCTACTAAAATACAAAATTAGCCAGGCGTGGTGGTGCAAGTCTGTAATCCCAACTACTCGGGAGGGTGAGGCAGGAGAATCGCTTGAACCTGGGAGGCTTGCAGTGAGCTGAAATCACGCCACTGCACTCCAGCCTGGGTGACAGAGCGAGACTAAAAACAATATCCCCACAGTTGTCAGAAAAAAGCTTTTGTGAGACCAGCCTGGGCAACTAAAATACAAAAATACAAAAAATAAGCCAGGCATGGTGGTGCATGCCTGTAATCCCAGCTACTCGGGAGGCTGAGGTGGGAGATCACTTGAGCCTGGGAAGTCGAAGCTGCAGTGAGCCATGATCACACCACTGCACTCCAGCCTGGGCAATGGGAGTGAGACCCTGTCTCAAGAAAGAAAAAAAAAAAAAAGAAGTTTTTGGGTACAGAGTTGATCCCAAAGACTGTGGTCACTTTAAAGAAGGTTTCTCAACCTCTTCACTATTGGCATTTTGAGCTGGATAATTCTTTGTTATGGGGGCTGTCGTGTGCACTGCAGGATGTTTAGCAGAACACCCACTAGATGTCAGTAGCATTCTCCTTCCCCTGCCCCCGGCCACCCACCAGTTGTAATAATCACAAACGTCTCCAGATGTTTCCAAATGTCTCCTGAGGGTAAAATCACCCCAGGTTGAGAACTACTGCCCTAGAACTTCTCTAGGTTTGGTCAGCTGCCAGGATGGGGACTCCCAGCTCAGCAGGATGTTCTTTGGGCTCCCAGCCACGCCAAGAAGTGTTCAGGCAGACCTGGTTCAGGCCAGTCCCTTCCTGGCTAAGAGCTCTTGGAATGACTGGAATCTCCAAACCTCTATAACTGAGCTGAAGGTCTAGTGACTCTCTGCATCTCTGAAGCTTGAGACCACCTCAGGACAGCTTCACTTGCTTTTCCACCCAAGGTGCCCCTTGTCACTTACTCTGCACACTAGCTTAATTTGCAGGCAATTTCCAGAGTTACCCTTTGGTGACCAATCTGCTCAATCCCTTAAAGATCTTCTCATCAGGATTATTAGAACACTAGGAAGGCTGGGCATGGTGGCTCACGCCTGTAATCCCAGTACTTTGGGAGGCCGAGGCGGGTGGATAACCTGAGCTCAGGAGTTCGAGACCAGCCTGACCAACATGGCAAAACCTGGTCTCTACTGAAAATTCAAAAATTAGCTGGGGGTGGTGGCACGTGCCTGTAATCCCAGCTACTCAGGAGGCTGAGGCAGGAGAATCGCTTGAACCTGGGAGGTGGAGGTTGCAGTGAGCTGAGATCATGCCATTGCACTGCAGCCTGGGTGACAGAGTGAGACTCTGACTCAAAAAAAAAAAAAAAAAAAAAAAAGAACACCAGGAGATGTGATATAAAGGAAGATATCACATTATCTGGAAAAGCCTAAAAGCTTGATGTTTAGCAGGGGACTTCCTATCCCTAGTGTTACAGAATAACCTCTCTCCTTATCCCTCCCACTCTGGTAGGATTCAGTACAGCATTCATTCAATATGGGAGGCCTAAAATCAACCCACCCATCACTCTTCACTTATCTCTCCAGACTGAAGAAAAATTTATAGAAACTGAGCTCACTCACAGAGAGTACAAGATCCCGCTTGCGCCTGGAGTTCTTCTGCCCACTTCCTCTGGTCCTGCATGGGGAAACGGTCAGCCCTAGAGAGTGTCTCAGCTCCCCAGTGCTCCCAGGGCCTGACTCTTCCAAGGCACTGTCCAGCGCAGCAGCGGCATTGAGCATGTCCTCAGGGCGGGGTGGTGGCAGCTTGGTTCCATTTTCTGGTCCTGTCTCTGGGGTTGCCCGCTGGATTGCCAGTTGTGTGGCTGGTGAGAGTTGCTTGGCATAAGCAGGGACCAGAACTCGCTGTACTGCACCCTCAGAGGCCACGTAATCATCCACCAGCTAAGAACATAAAAAATAATAGCCTATTAGCCAGCCAGGCTTAGGGGAACCTGGTTAACCATCATTCTTTGGCTAAGAATAGTGAACAGAAAGTGGAAAGAAGGGGAACTCTAGCACAGTCTTTAATGGTCAATGGCTTGTTTCTCTGGGACTCCTATGAGTGTTGGGCAAATATTTCTTGTGTGTACAGGGCCTCTCATGTTGGGTTGTTACCATAGGGCTGCTCACAAGGAGAAAGCATGTTTCTGACACTGTTGGTGAATAGTCATTTATGGATAGCTCTTGGATATAAGAAATGGAGCTAGATAAGTGTTTTGTCTGAAAGGACTGGGTGAAGAAGTGATGACAAGAAAGAAACCAAGCAAGAGAAGGAGTAAGAAAATAAAACAGTAACAGCAATAAAGAGGAGACATAAAAGACAAATGAGCAAAGGAGGAAGACATAAAGTCAGAAATCCCTAGAGAGACTGGCAGCAACAGCTCCCCTCACCTATCCTCCATTCCCAGAGTCAGTCCATGCCCTCACCTTGATCCTGCCCCGGCCACATTCGACTGTCATAGCCCCTGACATCTACCTGACTGCCTGTGCCCTCACTCAAGGACATACAGAGCCGGGAAAGGAAGAAGGGAGCAAGGGAGAGAGGGAGGAAGAAAGGAGGGGGGATTTCTGCAGTCAAGAAAACAAAATACTGAAAGTGGGGACACACACGCACACGCACACACACACACACACACACACACACAGAAAGATGCGGGGGAGGAGGCTGAGATTTATAGACCTGTGAGCTGCTTTCTGCGCTGTGAAATCTAATTCCATCCTGTCGGCTTGGAAGCCTTTCCTGCCTCAAAGAACCCACAGCTCAGGGCAATGCCTAGCCTGGTACCTTTCTGCCTCCCACCTTCCAGGTCCTCCCTTGAGCTGGAACCACGGAGAGTCCTGACCAGCCACAGACTGGGGTGAGCAGCAGTGGCCATTACCCATATGGCTGTGCCTTCAGGAGAGCAATGACCAGTTGCTGTGTTACACTGGAGGGGGAGAGAGGGGTTTATGTATTCATTTCTCAGATCCAGCAGATGGGCTGGGAGTTTCATCCCTCCCATCTACTCCATGTGTTCTGCTCCTTTACTCTTTACTGGGTGTCTATGTCTTGTTGTGGGGGGAGGAGAAAAAGAGAGGACAGACGGAGAATAAGGTGGAGAGCTGACAGAACTCCAACCGTCTCTCAAGTGGCACCACATCTGTTATTTTCCTATCTCTAAGATCTCTATAGTTGCTCCATCTCCTTTTCATACTTCCATGTGTGACATTCTGCAGTTCTTACTCTACTCAGCCAGGATTTTCCTGCTCATATGGCCCTTAAGCAGTAAAGAAACTGAAATAGCACAATGTACATCTATGTCTTTTCCTGCTCACAAAATATGCTTGCTTGCTTCCTTCTTTTCTTCCCTCTTTCTCCCTATATGTTATTCTCTTACTGTTAACAATCAGTTGGCCATTTCTTTTTCTCATTTCCCATTTTATTTCCTTTCCTCTACCTCCCCCTCGCCTTACCTCATAGTCTCTCTCCCGTGGTGTAGATTCTCTTTCCACATAGATTCACCTTTCTTCTGTGCTCCCTTTTTTCACTTTTTCTCCTCCCTCAGCCCTTCATTTCTACTTGTCTCTTTCCCTCCCTATACTTGTCTTCTATTATCTTTATCTTTGTCCTCTCACTTTTTCCTCCTCTCTCCACCTCTGCCTCTCTCCCCTGTACATTCCCATCTCTCTTTGTACTGAATTCCTCTTGGCAAGCAGAGGGCCTGCGATAAAATATGAATGAGCCGTCTGTGCACGGCAGGCATCCTCGCCAGGAGAGGCAGAGTCCATGGAGCAGCCGAGACAGCTGTGGAAGAGAAGGTGCCATGCGGAGCTACTGAGAGAGAGGGAAGGGCACCCCATCACTACACACAGCAAAAAATGACCTTCTGCCAAAGAAGCTGATGGTTCAGGAAGAAAATAGAGCTGACTATCCCTGAAGGAAAAGGAAACGTGGTACTGTTTTGCTTTATCACAAATACAAACAAAAGGTTTAAAGATGGAAAGAAAAGAACAGAAAGGAAAAAGAGTGAAAAGCCAGGAAAAGCACCTAGGAGGAATAGCCCTCTGCTGCCATACTCACAGGATTGAGCAGGGGGGCCGCCTCGCTGGCAGCCAGCGTGCACCCTGGGAGCCGCATGTCCCTCTGAGTTGCTGGGAAGCCCAAAGGCCCAGGCCCCACTGAGGCTGCTCCCAGCTGCCGCAGCTCCTCAATCACCACCTGCACGCCGCTGCCCACGCTGTCACACTCCTCTTCCACGGCAGACAGAGCCTTAAAGGCTTCCCCGGGACTTTCCTTGAGAGGCCCAGGCTCCTCAGGTGGGGAACTATGTGCCCGGCTTTCCCCATCTTCATCAGGGATGGACACTTTCCCTTGCCTCAGGTCACCCACTTCCTCCTGGAGACGTTTTAACAACTCATTGTTGGCCCTGGCAAGACCCAGAGCAGCTTCAGCCAAACCCACTGCCTTATCGACCCGCTGGTAGATAACATGCAGGAGCTGCTCTGAGCTCTGAACAGCCAAGCCATGTCCAGTCACTGTGATGGGGGTGCTGGGAGGAGGATTCCCACCCTGGGAGCCTGTGTTGCCTCCATTAGTCTCACTCTTACAGGCGCAGCAGCAGCATCTGGCCTCGCTGCCACTGGGAGGGGAGAAGAGAATGGTGGCACTGAAGGACATGGCGGATGGGGCAGTAACAACCACGCTTACACTGCTGGGCCGCTCCAACAGGTAGGAAGCATCAACTTCTCTGGACTCACTTTCCTTTCTCAATGAGGATGGTCAGAGGAGCCCAGGCCCCAAGCTGTAGGGTCTGTGAAAGAAGAGTAAACAAGCCATGAAGAAGCACACAGTCCATGGCGGCCTCTCCTCGGCCTGCAGAAGGGAGACAGGTGCCTTCTATTTGCAGATCCTGTGCTCTCCTAGCACATCACAAATCAAGGCCTTCCTGATGAACGGTTTCAGACGGTAGAGAGCATTCCTTCTGCCCCCCAGCATGGAACCCCCGACTAGTGCAACCTAAGGAACAGGGAAGGGATTCAGAAGGACCTTCCGGCATCTGGAAAGATTAGAAGATTAAGGAAGAAAATGTAGATCTGTCTCCTCCTCCTCCTCACCATCTTTACTGTAATAATGGTACTGCATTTCATTGCTTTGACATTGTTCCTTAAGGTGTTCAGAACACTTCACATAAGTTACCTCATCTACTCAACAGCACTAGGAAACATATTACTCCAGGTCCAGAGAAGAGACATGTGGAGAAGTTATATGTCTTTTTCAAGGTCAGAGGAATAACAGCAGAATCCAGTTATTGCTACTTTCAATGTAGTGTTGTATTTTTTTTTAACTGATACCACTTTTTGTTGACATTAACAATCATGACAATCATGATTCTACCCTCTCTGTAATTTTCATACAAATGCATTCAGAGTAACACTCCTAAATAAGGAATACATCCATCACTGCAGCCCTCAGCATGTCACCAACTTCTCACTGTTATATTATATCATTAATGCTTTGGGGATGAGGGCAGGGAAATGAAATGAAAAGATCAGGGAATTGAGCTGGGGTAACCCAGGGCTGCACAGCCCCCTTTCCCACATAGTCGTGTACCTGGGCCATGAGCCTCTGTAATGGAAACTAGCTGTCCTGAATCTTCCAGCCAGGAGCCCAGAGAAATCACCCGTGGGGCCCCTTATCTTCATTTCTCAAGCTCCTTAAGGGTGGATCCAAAATTCAACAGGAATGTTTGAACAGCTATGCTGTCACTTTGCCTGCATGACCAGCCCCCATTAAAGGAGAAACCAGAATGTCAGTAATAAACCAAACTGCCTTTCTTTTAAATTACTGTAGTTAAGCAACTAAACTACTCCAGGAGAGAAAAAAAGGGGTAAAGAAGTTGATTTGTACCACTGAGAACACTCCCGGGAACTTAATAAATATTGTAATTTTCTAAATAATACTTGATGATAGAAAAAAAATCCTTCTGATGTGCCATGTCAAAACCTTAAGTATGTTTACAATTTCTCTGAGAGATGCATTTCTCTCTTACCCTGTAAATTAAAACATCACAATTAAAAGGAGAGGAGGAGCCGGGCATGGTGGCTCACGCTTGTAATCCCAGCACTGTGGAAGGCTGAGGTGGGCCGATCACCTGAGGTCAGGAGTTTGAGACCAGCCTGACTAACATGGTGAAACCCTGTCTCTACTAAAAATACAAAAATTAACCGGGCGTAGTGGCGGGCATCTGTAACCCCAGCTACTCGGGAGGTTGAGGCAGGAGAATCACTTGAACCCGGGAGGCAAAGGTTGCAGTGAGCCGAGATGGTGCCACTGCACTCCAGCCTGGCAACAGGGCGAGACTCCACCTCAAAAAAAAAAAAAAAAAAAAAAGAGTAGGAGGTTAAGAGAATTTTCTATATATTGAGGGTTTTCTTTTTTCTTTTTGAATAGGCAATCTCATTTCAGAAAGAGGCAATATCAATGCCTCTGAGGTACTAAAACATAAATCTGACAATGCATTTTAATTACATGTGGTTATTAAAGAATAGTCTTTAATTTGCTCTTTCCACCCTTTATATCGAAGAAATGGCTTTTTCTGTGCCAGATACTTACTTCTCGCAAAAGCTTAACTCAAATACATTTACAGCTTCCTTGTCATTATAGTCACTGGGAGGCACAGCTAAACCTGAAACTAAAGGTTAAACCAAATTAAAACTAAAGGTTAAAGGAAAGCACTAAGCACTTCTATGTCAATTTATAGATGAATCACTTATGTATTCTTTTCCTTCCTAAATAAGGGCCTACACTGCTCCTGCAGAGCTTTTTCTTTTTAATTCTTTATTTAACCTACATCATGCAGGGAGTTTGCTCTTAAACATAGATGCTGTGGGCAAAAGAATGTTTTGGTGATAATAAATAATAGTATTCAAATGCTTGCCAGCTGGGTTCAGTATTTGTAAAATCAGTAATTAAGATGCATCCGGCTGGGACACTGGCTGAGTTGTCTAACTCCTTTCTGGTACCAAACTCTCTTGCCTCACGCACTTACTCTTTCTTGCAAGAGGCTTTTACCCCTACCAGTGTTGAGCCTGCCTCAAGCTCTTCCCCTCTCTTTTATTTTTATTTATCATTTTTTTGAGACGGAGTCTCGCTCTGTTGCCCAGGCCAGAGTGCAATGGCAAGATCTCGGCTCACTGCAAGCTCTGCCTCCCAGGTTCAAGTGATTCTCCTGCCTCAGCCTCCCAAGTAGCTGGGATCACAGACACGTGCCACCACATATGGCTAATTTTTATATTTTTAGTAGAGACAGGGTTTCGCGCTGTTGGCCAGGCTGGTCTTGAACTCCTGACCTCAGGTGATCCACCCGCCTCAGCTTCCCAAAGTGTTGGGATTACAGGTGTGAGCCACTGCGCCCAGCTCCTTCTTCTTTAAATAGTCTTTCCTTGGTCGTCCTTCCTTGGTCATCTTTCCAAAACAGCACTGTACTGCAGGTTAAAAAAAAAAAAAAAAAAAAAAAAAAAAGGGCTGGGCGGTGGCTCACGCCTGTAATCCCAGCACTTTGGGAGGCCGAGGCCGGCGAATCACGAGGTCAGGAGATGGAGACCATCCTGGCTAACACAGTGAAACCCCGTCTCTACTAAAAATACAAACAAATTAGCCGGGCGTGGTGGCGGGCGACTGTAGTCCCAGCTACTCTGGAGGCTGAGGCAGGAGAATGGCGTGAACCCGGGAGGCGGAGCTTGCAGTGAGCCGAGATCGCACCACTGCACTCCAGCCTGGGCGACAGAGCGAGATTCCGTCTCAAAAAAAAAAAAAAAAGGGTGGCCGGGCGTGGTAGCTCACACCTGTAATCCCAATACTTTCGGAGGCTGAGGTGGGTGGATAACTTGACGTTAGGAGTTCTAGACCAGCCTGGCCAACATGGTGAAACCCTATCTCTACTAAAAATACAAAAAAATTGCCAGGCATGGTGATACTTGTCTGTAATCCCAGCTACTCAGGAGGCTGAGGGAGAAGAATTGCTTGAACCCAGGAGTCAGAGGTTGCAGTGAGCCGAGATCACGCCACTGCACTCCAGACTGGGTGATGGAACGAGACTCCATCTCAAAAAAAAAAAAAAAAAAATGAGGTTCTCCTCTGGCTGCACCATTTATGAGCTGTGTGAACATTAGTAAATTATTTCACTTTTCTGAGACCAAGTTTCTTCATCACTATCTACTTTGAGTGGTTTTTGTGAAGATTATACATAATATATGTAAGGCACCTATAGAGTGCTGGCACATGGTCAGTGCTCCACTAGTAACGGCTGGATGATATTATGGTTATTCCTGTAACATTTTGTGTTCCCAACCTGGACACCCACCCTGATTCCTTAATCTTTTTTTTTTTAAGAGGCGGGGTCTTGCTATGTTGCCCAGGTTGGTCTTCAACTCCTGGCCTCAAGCCATCCTCCTGCCTCAGCCTCCTGAGTAGCTGGGATCACAGGTGCGAGCCACCACCTTGATTCCTGATTCCCTAATTTTGAATAAAATGCAATGGCTTGAAATAGAATTTGGGGAAATTTGCCCCCAAATTTAATATTGAATTTCTAACAAACAACACATTCCTCAAGTCTATGAGGATGCATTTATAGATACAAAACCTTCTATGACGCAAATTAGAAAGGTAATTTAGTATTTGTAATTTACTTGCTATCATGACCTGGTCTCAGACTAAGGATAATATTTTATGCTAGTTTTTAATGCTAAATGTATTTTCCTATTGTGAGTTCAATTTGTTCCTCAATTGCTCTTCTGTTTTTCTACTTTGTATGTTACCATACTATGTCCATTTTAAAACATCACATTCAGGGCAACAAATAGGTGTTTTCCTGAATTAATTTGCCTATAAAAACTAGGTACAGTGTGGTCTAGCACAATGGGCATTCAAAGAATTCTTTTTTGGTTTCCATGGACACTATTGCTGACTTCATTTCCCAGCCTCTTGCTATAGTCTCTCACCTAAACTCTAAGATATGGAAAGATATTGGGATCAGCAGGTAATAAACGAGTATTTCACATTATATTTACTAACCAGGTAACTACTTAAGTGCTGGATAAATGACTCAAAACAAAACATTAATTTCATTAGCTGCATATACCCCCATTAAAGAAGGTGAGCTGGGCCAGGCACGTGGCTTACGCCTATAATCCCAGCACTTTGGGAGGCTGAGGTGGGCGGGTCACCTGAGGTCAGTTCGAGACCAGCCTGGCCAACATGGTGAAACCCTGTCTCTACTAAAGATACAAAAAACAAAACAAAAAAAAGTAGCCGCGCATGCTGGCGCGTGCCTGTAATCCCAGCTACTCAGGAGGCTGAGACAGGAGGATGGCTTGAACCCAGGAGGCAGAGGTTGCAGTGAGCCAAGATCACACCATTGCACACCAGCCTGGGAGACAGGGCGAGACTCCGGCTCAGAAAAAAAGAAGGTGAGCTGGTGAGTGGGGTGAGATATTTTTAGGCTAATATATTCATATATATATATATATATATATATATATATATATATATATATTTTTTTTTTTTTTTTTTTTTTTTTTTTTGAGACAGAGTCTCGCTCTGTCGCCCAGGCTAGAGTGTGGAGGCACGATCTTGGCTCACTGCAACCTCCACCTCCCAGGTTCAAGCAATTCTCCTGCCTTAGCCTCCAGAGTCGCTGGGACTACAGGCATGTGCCACCACTCCCAGGTAATTTTTGTATTTGTAGTAGAGATAGGGTTTCACCATATTGGCCAGGCTGCTCTTGAACTCCTGACCTTGTGATCCGCCCTCCTCAGCCTCCCAAAGTGCTGAGATTACAGGCGTGAGCCATCGTTCCCGGCCAAAATATATATATATATATTTGATACAGAGTCTCACTCTGTCGCCCAGGCTGGAGTGCAGTGGCACGATTTCGGCTCACTGCAACTTCTGCCTCCCAGGTTCAAGCGATTCTTCTGCCTCAGCCTCCCGAAGAGCTGGGATTACAGGTATGCACCACCACACCTGACTAATGAATGCTGACCTCAAGTGATCCGCCCACCTTGGCCTCCCAAAGTGCTGAGATTACAGGTGTGAGCCACTGTGCCCAGGCCCAAAAGTTTTTTATATGTAAGTCCATGTTAAAGGATGACTCACCAAAATGCATTGCACACTACTCAAATGAAAGGAAGACAAAGTCTCTACCTATAAGGCACTTAAAGTGTATTTCAGATGGGAATGTCTAAAGAATATGGGATGTTCTAAACATGGACTATCTAAAAAACAAATTGAGGCCAGGTGCAGTGGCTCAAACCTATAATCTCAGCACTTTGGGAGGCTGAGGCGGGTAGATCACCTGAGGTCAGGAGTTCGAGACCAGCCTGACCAACATGGAGAAACCCTGTCTCTACTAAAAATACAAAATTAGCTGGGTGTGGTGGCACATGCCTGTAATCCCAGCTACTCGGGAGGCTGAGGCAGGAGAATCACTTGAACCCGGGAGGTGGAGGTTGCAATGAGCCAAGATCGCACCACTGCACTCCAGCCTGGGCAACAAGAGTGAAACTCCGTCTCAAAAATAAATAAACAAACAAATAAATAACAAAGTGAAATACACACAAGTCCTAATAATATGGTATAGACTGAAAAATTTCTGAGGCGTTAGTTCAAAATAATGGAAACATTAACAAAATGAAATCATACTGAGAAAGAGTTCTTACAGAAGAAAAGCTTCCAGTTGAGCCTTGAGCAATGTATAGGATTAACTGATAGGGTAGTAAGACATTCTAGAGGAAAAAAAAAAAATTACAGGACTTAACAGGGTACATGTCAGAGGTCAGAGCAAAGGCGCTTATATAGTAAGATAAGGAGAATTGACAGAGTTATAGAGATGGGGTATAGAGATAATTGGTTAAAGACAACTGCAAGGTTATAAGCCTAAGAGTAACAGGATGGTACCACCACCACCACCAGAATGACAGAAATGAGGCAGTTGAGAGGAAATACCATGGCTGGGCATGGTGGCTCATGCCTGTAATCCCAGCACTTTGGGAGGAGGAGGATCGCTTGAGCCCAGGAGTTTGAGACCAACCTCGGCAGCATAGCAAGACCCAGTCTCTAAAAAATAAATAAATAAAAAGAGGAGACACCAGTATATTAGAGAAGAAGTGTATTTATTTAACATTTTAAATTTCAAATGATGGCAACATGTTTAAGTAGAAAGTCCTGAAAACAACTGACTAGGTCTAAAAAAGAGAAAAAGATCTTCAATCTTGGGATGCGTTGCCAACACAACATGACAGTAGATGTCACACTTAGGTTTGCAAAAAATATAAGCATTTGGGGTTCATTTCAGTATTGGTCTAATTTAAATAAATGTGAAACGAGCCTTAAAAATGTACTTTCCAGTACTTTTGGTATTTTTCATAAATATTTAGATAAAAAAGAAAGACAATTCATCTCCTTTAGACAGACAGTTCAGGGTAAGACTGTCCATAATTTTAACTATCCCTTTCCTCCCAAGTCACATTTTTGTTAGGACTAAATATATCATACTCTTGGCAGTTCCCTTGCTTGCTTTCTCCCCATTCTGAGTTTGAATTTTCTGCATGACTGAGTTCACCTCCAAACTATGAAAAATAAAAGTTTTCTCACTATTTAATAGATGTGTATGATATGGTATCACTCAGATGATATATGTTTTTATAATGGGTGCTTGACTCATTCAGGGTCATGCTAGCAATAGACTTCCTTAAATGTGATTACTGAAAGCATGGCAATTCATATCATAATCTTCATTTTAAGAAATAAATAAGGAAAACGGCCACTTAAAGCTCCTGCTGTGTTGGTCAGTCCTACTCCTCCACTTCAAGGTGCAAAATGGCTCACCTGTCAAAAGGTTCTCTCAAAACCTATTTTTATCAGAAATGAGCTCCTTATCACACAAGAGCAGCTAAGTAAATACCACAAAATACTATTTTCCCACATTTTAAAAGAGTGACTCGACTAATGGTCTGCAAAAAATCCAAGACCTTATTTTTAGGGGTAAAAAAGAGAGCTGTAGACCCAGAAGGCCGAATGCGGTCTTTAAAGGATTCCACGTAATCTGAAAATTCCACGTATATTTCTATAGCAGGATGAGAATTTTTAGCCCAGTATAGCACAGTCCTTTTTATTTACATTTGCTAAGATTACATTGGTAAGATTAATATTTCCGATTTCAGGTTTGCCTAAAGGACCCACTGCATTTATGGAGAAACTGAAAAATGAAAAAGTAGCTCCTAGAACTCGTGCCAGCGAGAACTTGGTAAATGTTAGTTGATTAAATATTAGTCAAGGATGACAAGGTGGACCCCAGGGAGGGCAGAACCGTTTCCGATGGGTCAGTGTGATTCAGCTACGGGAAAGGCGATCGCAGCGACGCGGGAAGCAGAGATCGGCGACTGCTCAAGAGGCCTCAGGGGACAGGGTGACTCGCCACTGTGCCCTACCATACAGTGCGCTCTGGGAGTCCCGGGTAAAGGGGGTCATTCCCGCGAGGGATGCGGAGAGCAGAGCGGCCGGAGGAGCGGCTAGGGATCTCGCCGGGTCACCGGGGAGGGTAGACTACGTAGCCCCGAGAGCTTTGAGAACTTGGGCTGAAGGCGGCGCTCGCCGTGAGAACTGACGCGGAGGTGCAGCTTTGCAGCCCTACAGATGTTCTACCGCGTGTGCCTGGCGCTACCGCACGGGCTGACTCAGCTAGGCAGAGGCGGAGGCGGGCGCGCGGGAGACAGAACTATCCGCGGCGCCTGCCCGTGTACCCGGCTACCGCGCGCACGCGGGGAGACACCGCCCCGTTTGCCTTCTGGCTCCCGGTGATTGGCGGTTAGACGATGGCTGGGGAGCAGGGTCACGGACACTATTGGCTGCAAACAACAGTCACTCAAAAAGTCAGGTAGGGGAGGGGCCTCCTCAGGGAGGGACAAGACTGTGAGGCTTTTTCAAGGCCGTCAGACGCCATCTTTAGCTTGTTTTTGTTTACTTGCTTTTGTTCTCTGCTGCTCACAAACCTGTGTGTACACGATTATAAGCACAGTGGCCACAAATCGGCGTCACACGTTGGGTGGTGGCCGACTTTTAGTTACTGCTGGCCTCGGTTACATTTCTTTCACATGTCACCTGCAAATTAGCAGCTCCTCACAGTTCAAAGAAGTTTCCAATACTAGGGGCCCCGAGGATTCCCAGGCAAAATCAACAGAGTTTAGTTTTGCTTTGCTTTGGAAGGCCAAGCCAACGATATATATGTGCGAGGAATTCTCTCCTTTCTTAGGAAGAAAAAGCAAGAACAGTGGATATGACCCTACGTTCCTGGATGTAGAAATCAAATAGCCTAGGAAATCAGGGATACGGGCTCTGCACTGTTCAGGGAGAGCTCTCCCTATTTTTTGAGACGCTAAAAAGTAAGGTAAAAAGTATATGTGATGACCTGTAGTGATGTGGAAAAGAGCTAAAAAGGGTAAAACTCCATTAAAAATTCCCGTAACTGGCCGGGCGCGGTGGCTCACGCCTGTAATCCCAGCACTTTGAGAGGCAGAGGCGGGCGGATCACCTAAAGTCAGGAGTTGGAGACCAGCCTGACCAACATGGTGAAACCCCGTCTCTACTAAAAATACAAAAATCAGCCCGGCATGGTGGCACATGCCTGTAATCCCAGCTACTCGGGAGGCCGAGACAGGAGAATCGCTTGAACCCAGGAGGCGAAGGTTGCAGTGAGCCAAGATCGCACCATTGCCACTGCAGCCTGGGCAACAAGAGCGAAACTCCGTTTCAAAAAAAAAAAAAAAAAAAAAAAAAACTCCCATCACTGTTGTGATCACAAAGATCACTAAAATGTGACTAGATTTCAAAGAAATGCAGGTCTGAAATTGTGGAATAATCCACAGTCGAGCCAGTATTTATTAAGCACTGGTCTGACTTGAATTGTTAGAGAATAAAAATACACTCAGCACAAGTAAGAAACCCAGAAAGCCCAAACAGGGCCACTTTTGTTATAAATTTGTACAAGTAACTTTATTGCAGTCAGTATTTAGGAGTCAAATACTGCTTGAAATAGAGTAGGATGCTAGCTGTGTAATAGAAATGCATTATTATACAGAAGTTTTGTTGTAATGAAATTTAAATTCTACAGTAGATTTTTTTTTTTGTCTCCTGGTTGTCACTGCATTTGTGACATTCCAGTTTCTCCCTCAGCACCTCATATACCTCCTATGCTTTCACTCCAATCTGCGAATACAAATTTGGATACAGATATTTTCCATACAACTTCTAATGAGGAGATAGTGATTCTGTAACAGAATGAAGTGAAAATAGGGCTCCTATAACAGGAGGTTCTGCTCTGCGAGCCTGTTTTTCTCTAATTCATATACTTTTTTCTGTGACTCTTAGAAATGAGAAGCTTTCCATTCTAAAAATGCAACATGATAACCAAAAGGCATTTCTTATCCCTTCTATTATTTGCCTTTGCATCCTCTTGGCTCCCCATCACCATCACCATGAACAGTTTTTGAGAATTACACTTGACTGGATTTTTTTCCTGATACTTTGCCAGCTGTGGAGCTTTTCGAATATTCCAACCAATAAACGACCATTTTGTCAAAAAGCCAAGAAAGAACTTCCCTTCTGAACACACCAACCAAACCACACATAAAGGCCAAAATATACACAGCTGTACACTTAAGAACGTGAGACAATAAAAAGCAAAACCACTTAGGCAAAACAGTCACTGAAGGCTTTGAACCACAGATTCAATAAATTGCCTACTCTCATTTGCCACATGGACTATATACTCCTTGGCAATTATTTAATTATTCATTATTCTGATCCTTTAGGAGCAGAAAAATATAGTAAATGCACATAGAAAGTGCCTAAGTATGCTAAGCATAGGATTTCTTCTAAGCTCTGCTTTGCACACAAAATATTTTGATCACATTTGGGAAGACAACGGAAAAAAATTCACATCCTAGGGGATACTTTGCACACATAAAACCAGATATATTTATCACTTTTGAAAATAAAATCTGATATGGCACATATACACACATATTGTACATATACACAAATAACCCCAAGTTATAACTTTACAAATTTGTTTCAAGAAACACACACACACACACACAAATGTTCTAATGAAAATGTGTGTGAAAGACACACTGTAATTAAGGTCTTTCCCCCTTCCCTAGGGAAATGAATGTCTCCATTATAATATCCCAATATTAACTTATTGGCCTTGGACAAGTGCCACATCCCAGCCACTTGGTTTTGGTTCTGGGGGGGTGGGTGTGTAAAAAGCACGCAAACGGCTTTATGAGGGAGCCTCAAATCTCTCTGCTTCCTTCGATGTTGCCTGTGGCAGAAATTTACATTATCCCTTCAGCCCGCTTAAAAAATTCTGTACTTCCCAAGCGGCTAAATTTTTAAAGTCCCTCAACCACAAAAATCTACCAGTTCTTAAAATGTGATTTAAAAAAAAGAAAAAAAAACTATAAATTTGGCCGGAAACGGTTGTACACGGCCATCCTGCTTCTCAACTTCTTGGTATATTTAAAACCTTGACCAGGAAAAAGAAAGAGGAAGAGAGACAGAAAAAGAAATGGGGGAAAGAGCAAATTCCCCTTAGCAACAGTTTCCTCACCCCAACACTGCTACAGATCTCTATTTTTAAAAAATTTGAAAACACACACAAGATTAAGGAGGAAAAAAAATGGAAAAAGGATACCCGAAGGTCGTATGGCTCTTTGTATTCGTGTGTGTGCAAAAAGGAGGACTCGCGGAGCCCGAGCCGGCAAGCCCCGCCCCTCCCCGGACGCCCTCCCGGATTGGCCGTCCGCGGCCGCGGGGCGCCCCGCCCGCAAGCACACGCGCCGCGCCCGAGGCGCCAACCCCGGAGTTGGGGGCGGGGGGGGCCCTGAGGGCCGCCGGACCCCCGACCCCCAACCTCGCCTGGACCTTGGCAGACCCCTTTCCCACCTCTCTCCCTTTCACTTTCTCACCGTCCTGTCACCCTTTCCCATCTTTTTTTCTCAGTGAAACAAGGCCCAGTCACCAGCATAACAATCCAGTGAGCGACCTCCGGACACTTTGTTAAATTGAGTGAACTAGTCAGTAACATTCTAGACTGCAATTAAACATCAGGGACTTGGTGCGTGGGCCCTACTCCGGTTTCCAGGTGAAATGTCTCTGGGTCACGTGTGTTGCTTAACACCCCCACGTTTAAATGAACATTCACGTATGGAACATCTTTCTGAAGTCTTACACTTCAGCCCGAGCTCCCAGTTTATCTACCTGGCTCAGACCACATTCTCAAAACTAAAGTGGCTCCTCTTTATTTCCAGGAAGACAGCTGGTATACCTGGATTTTAAGCCACCCATAATCTGGTCCCACCCACCTATTTGTTATTTATTTATTTATTTAGACAGAGTCTCGCTCTGTCACCCAGGCTGGAGTGCAGTGGTATGATCTTCGCTCACTGTAAACTCCGCCCCTCCGCCCCCACCCCCACCCCCACCCCCACCCCGCCCAAGCGATTCTCCTGCCTCAGCCTCCCAAGAAGCTGGGACTACAGGCGTGCGCCACTGCACCCAGCTAATTTTTTTTGTTTTTGGTAGAGACAGGGTTTCGCCATGTTGGCCAGGCTGGTCCTGAACTCCTGACTTGAGGTGATGTGCCCACCCTGCCTTTTTTTTTTTTTTTTCAGTGATGTGATCTCGGCTCACTGCAACCCCCACCTCCGAGGCTCAAGCGATTCTCCTGCCTCAGCCTCCCGAGTAGCTGGGATTACGGATATATGCCACCACGCCCGGCTATTTTTTTTTTTTAAGTAGTGACGGGGTTTCACCATGTTGGCCAGGCTGGTTTTGAGCTCTTGACCTCAAGTTATCCTCCCGCCTTGGCCTCCCAAAGTGCTGGGATTACAGGCGTGAGCCACCGCGCCTGGGCACATATTTGTTCTTAGTTCCCTCTACGCTCGTCTTATCAATCTTGTATTATTCCTTTACTCAAGTGGCTTTTTTTTTTTTTTTTGGCCTGAATTATGCGTCTCCCCTTCCCTGACTGGTCAATTTTTATCCATTCTCTTTCAGCACAGACTGCTTACTTCCTTCTCTCCGCTCCCATCAACATGAATTTCATGTGTACTCCAGTTAGCGGCACGTAACTCTACCTTGATTCACATATTTTAGTAATTTCACTCCAGTAAACTGTTTGAGGTCAGTGATCATATCTTAAAATTGTTTTTCCATCCAGGAACTGTTTGATTCTTACTGCAGTAGCTGGCATAATTGTAGATATTTAGTAAACACTGACCAAAAAAATCATTTATTTATTTATATTTATTTTTGAGCTGGAGTCTCGCTCTGTCGCCCAGGCTGGAGTGCAGTGGCCCGATCTCGGCTCACTGCAAGCTCCACCTCCCAGGTTCACGCCATTCTCCTGCCCCAGCCTCCCGAGTAGCTGGGACTACAGGCGCCCGCCACCAAGTCTGGCTAATTTTTTGTATTTTTAGTAGAGACGGGGTTTCACCGTGTTAGTCAGGATGGTCTGGATCTCTTGACCTCGTGATCCACCAGCCTCAGCCTCCCAAAGTGCTGGGATTACAGGCGTGAGCCACCATGCCGGGCCAAAAATCATTTATGATCAAATAAGTGAATTTCTTTTCTAGCTAAAACACAGATTCTGAAACTCACATCTCACAAGAATTTCCCTTCTATAGTAAGTAGCAATTTGTGAACACTTATTGTGCAGGAAGTAACTGTTCTGAACACTTTATGTGCATCAATTTAGGTATTATTATTATTATTTTTTTTTTTTATTTTTTATTTTTCGAGACAGAGTCTTTCTCTGTCGTCCAGGCAGGCGGATCACGAGGTCAGGAGTTCGAGACCAGACTGACCAACATGGTGAAACCCCGTCTCTGCTAAAAATACAAAAAGTTAGCTGGGCATCGTAATGCGCACCTGTAGTCCCAGCTACTTGGGAGGCTGAGGTAGGAGAATTGCTTGAACCCAGGAGGCAGAGGTTGCAGTGAGCCAAGATTGCGCCACTGCACTCCAGGCTGGAGGACAGAGCGAGACTCCATCTCAAAAAATAATAATAATAAAATAATAAGGCCGGGTGTGGTGGCTCACGCCTGTAATCCCAGCACTTTGGGAGGATGAGGCAGGCAAATCACCTGAGGTCAGGAGTTCAAGACCAGCCTGGCCAACATGGTGAAACCCCGTCTCTACTAAAAATACAAAAATTGGCTGGGCTTGGTGGCGCACGCCTGTAATCCCAGCTACTTGGGACGTTGAGGCAGGAGAATCCCTTTAACCTGGGAGGCAGAAGTTGCAGTGAGCTGAGATCGTGCCACTTAAAAATAAATTTTTTTTGGCCGGGCGCAGTGGCTCATGTCTGTAATTCCAGTACTTTGGGAGACCGAAGCGGCACGGCAGATCCCTTGAGCTCAGGAGTTGGAAACCAGCCTGGGCAACATAGTGAAACCCCTGTCTCTCCTAAAAATACACAAATTAGCTGGGTGTAGTGGTGCATGCCTGTAGTCCCAGCTACTCCGGAGGCTGAGGCACATTAATCACTTGAACCCGGAAGGCGGAGATTGCAGTGAGCCGAGATGGTGCCACTGCACTCCAGCCTGGGTGACAGAGCAAGACTTCGTCTCAAAAATAATAATAATCTAGGGACATGACAACTACATGCAAAGTATGATCTGGGTCAGAAGAAAAAATGCTATCCTGGACACTAACAGGATACTTGGGAAAATTAAATATGGCCTGGATATTAGATAATTTGATTGTAGCCAAGTTAGATTAGTGGCGTCACCATTTTACAAGAAACAGGTTCAGAGAGTACTTACTACAAATTTACATAGCTAATAGGCGACAGACCTGAACCCCCAAGCCAGCTGTCTTATCAAGCTGTTCAACATACACACACACACTCACACACACATTTTGACACTGGCCATCAGTCAGGCCTCGTCCATAAAATTGTTGGTTCTCAACGTCCAGGGCATTGTTGGTAGGATCTAGTTCTCAGCAGAAAGGCCTAATGCCTTCAGTGTTGTTTTCACCCTAGCAGCACCCTAGCTTAGGCAATAGATTTGCCTTTTACCTGAAAATGAGGTGCTAGTGTTTACTTTCTCAAGGGTTATAGACTTTCTGTGTTTCTTTTTTCTCTTTTTAGAGACAGGACCTCACTATGTTGCCTCGGCTGGTCTCAAACTCTTGGACTCAAGGGATCCTCTTGCCTCAGCCTCCCCAATAGCTGGTGCATGCTACTGTGCCCAACATGTGTTTCTTTTTATATGCTTTTCATTTAAACTTCTAAAAAATAACACAAGCCTAACTGGGCGTGGTGGCTCATGCCTGTAATCTGAGCACTTTGGAAGGCCAAGGCAGGTGGATCATTTGAGGTCAGGAGTTCGAGACCAGCTTGATCAACATGGTGAAACCCGTCTCTACTAAAATACAAAATTTAGCCGGGTGTAGTGGGGTGCACCTGTAATCCCAGCTACTTAGCCAGGTGTGGTGGTGTGCACCTGTAATCCCAGCTACTCTGTAGGGTGAGGCAGGAGAATCGCTTGAACCTGGGAGGCAGAGGTTGCAGTGAGCCGAGATTCCACCACTGCCCTCCAGCCTGGGTGACAAAGTGGGATTCTGTCTCAAAAAATAAATAAATAAATAAATAAAGCCATGAGATCACTAGGAAAATATTAAATATTAACTCTTGATGAGAATGTACTAGGACGTCTCATATTCTCAAATGCACAGGTGATATATTTTCTTTTTTTTTTTTTTTTGAGATGGAGTTTTGCTCTTGTTGCCCAGGCTGGAGTGCAGTGGCACAATCTCGGCTCACTGAAACCCCCGCCTCCTGGGTTCAAGCAATTCTCCTGCCTCAGCCTCCAGAGTAGCTGGGACTACAGGAGGCTGCCACCACACCCGGTTAACTTTTTGTATTTTTAGTAGAAACAGGTTTCACCATGTTGGCCAGGCTGGTCTTGAACTCCTGACCTCAGATCATCTACCTGCCTCGGCCTCCCAAAGTGCTGGGATTACAGGCATGAGCCACTGTGCCCAGCCACAGGTGATATATTTTCAAAAATGTTAGGATAAAGGGAAAACAGAAATGTTAATAATTATTAAAATCAACAGTTATTGAGAGTTTACTTGGTGCCAGGCACTCTGTATCTCATTTAATCAATTCTGTGAGATAAGTACTATTATACTCCCTCTTTTACTGAGGAGAAAACTGAGACTTAGAGGGGGATTGGTAAGTTACCTAGAGGTTGTTGAGCTAATTAACTCAATGGTGGTCACTAGTGGAATCATAGCTTGAACCCAGGTGTGCTCACTACAGAACCTGTGCTCTTGACTATTCATTAGTCTCTGTCTAAATTGAAACCCACTCTGCCTTGCTGTTACCCTCTTTTGCTCTCGTTCTGTCCATGAAAGACAAGCTGTCTTCACTTTGATGATCAATGGAATGTTCATAACTGCCATACAGTCTCCTGGGATATATTTTTAATTATGAGTCCATTACTACAAAGGTCAAAGTTAAGTTGGAAAAGCCATGTCTTTTTTTTTTTTTTGAGACAGAGTTTCACTCTTGTTGCCCAAGCTGGAGTACAATAGCACGATCTCGACTCACCGCAACCTCTGCCTCCCGGGTTCAAGCAATTCTCCTGCCTCAGCCTCCCAAGTAGCTGGGATTACAGGCATGCACCACCACACCCAGCTAATTTTGTATTTTTAGTAGAGACAGGGTTTCTCCATATTGGTCAGGCTGGTCTCGACCTCGACCAACCTCAGGTGATCCGCCCGCCTCGGCTTCCCAAAGTCCTGGGATTACAGGCCTGAGCCACCGCGCCTGGACTTTTTTTTTTTCTTTTTCTTTTTGAGACAGGATCACTTGCTTTGTCACCCAGGCTGGAGTGCAGTGGTGCAATCATGGCTCACTGCAGCCTCTACCTCCCGAGTAGCTCAGACTACAAGTGTGTGCCAATATGCCCAGCTAATTTTTAAAATATTTTGTAGAGATGGAGTCTAACTACGTTGCCCAGGCTGTTCTCGAACTCCTGGGCTCAAGTGATCCTCCCACCTTGGCCTCCCAAACAATTACAAGCATGAGCCACAGTGCCCGGCCTAAATTTCTATTTTCCCCATGGTCATAGGAGAATCTTTGAGTAGAAGGTTTGAGTAATGAACTTGTGTGCTGTTAGGTAATGAGAATAGGGAGAATATACCATTTTCACCTAAAAATTACAATTTTCACTCTAAAACATCTGAAATTTCAAATGTTAGACTTTACAGATGACTTGTCGATTGAGGAAAATCACTAATTTGGCTTTGAATCAAGCAGATCTTTTATTTTAGGCTGTTTCTGTTCAATGAGATCTGAAAGAGGCCTCCCCTACAGTGAAATGTAACTTCCCCTAGAGTGAGGCCGGGAAGCTGTTTCCGACAGTCATTCGTTAACACATGGGAGAGCATCTTAGAATAGGAGTGGAAGGAAATCCTACAGCTAGCTGAGAATATGTCCTAAGAGACACTGGAGAGGAAAGTATGAGAGAGCTGAGATTCAGAGTTGAGAAAGGGTACAGAAAGGTGGAAGGTAATGCAAAGGAAACAACAGAAAAGGAAGACGGCAGGCAGCAGAGAACAGCCCTCAAGGAAGAGAGAAGGGGTTTGTATTGTAGCAGGAGTGAAAGTAGATTCGATTTTAAAGAAAAAAGATCTGAATTTGATTGTTAGATGCAAAAATTTGATAAAAATTGTAGAAGCAACTGGAACATCTTAAGATCAGTTAAAAAAAAAGTGTCAAAAACCAAAACAAAACAAATTAAAATGCTATAACAGGCCAGGCACGGTGGCTTACTCACGTCTGTAATCCCAGCAGTTTGGGAGGCTGAAGTGGGCGAATCACCTGAGGTCAGGAGTTGGAGGCCAGCCTGGCCAATATGGTGAAACCCCGTCTCTACTAAAAATACAAAAATTAGCCGGGCTTCGTGGTGTGTGCCTGTAATCCCAGCTACTTGGGAGGCTGAGGCAAGAGAATCACTTGAACCTGGGAGGCAGAGGTTGCAGCAAGCCAAGATCGTGCCATTGCACTCCAGCCTGGGCGACAAGAGCCAAACTCTGTCTAAACAAACAAACAAACATGAAACTGTGAATGATATTTTATTTAGTCATTTTTGTTTACAATTGAAACTTTGGGAATTCAAAAGTAACATTCTTGCCTTTGAGCTTCTTTCAACCTACAAGAAAAGAAACAATCATCACAAAACTTTCAAATACACACACTCATCTTAAAACCTAATGATTTTGTGAAATTGTACCCCTTATGTTTTCTATTTGTTTGTTTGTTGTGAGATAGAGTCTCTTGCCCACCCTGGAGTGCAGTGGCATGGTCTTGGCTCTGCAACCTCTCCCTCCCAGGTTCAAGCAATTCTCCTGCCTCAGCCTCCTGAGTAGCTGGGATTACAGGCACCCGTCACCACGCCCAACTAATTTTTTTTTTTTTTTAGACTGAATCTTGCTCTGTCACCCAGGCTGGAGTGCAGTGGCACTATCTCGGCTTACTGCAACCTCTGTCTCCTGGGTTCAAGCGATTCTCCTGCCTCAGCCTCCTGAGTAGCTGGGATTACAGGCATGCACCACCAGTCCCGGCTAATTTTTGCATTTTTAGTAGAGACGGGGTCTCACCATGTTGGCCAGGCTGGTCTCGAACTCCTGGCCTCAGATGATCCACCCACCTCGGCCTCCCAAAGTGCTGGGATTATAGGTGCCTTTATGGTTTTTCTCCTTGGCAACCAGTTACTGTGAAAATCAAGTACTGTGAAGATACAGGGTACATCCACAAGTGTCCCAAGACCGAGAACAAGCTCATTTGCAATGCGTGGGACAGGATTCTGCAGCACTGCACCTAAGTGCTGTGCTCCTTTGCCATGTGGGTGTGTGTGAATTTTTCGTGGTGTTTCTACTGGAAGAGTCAGGACATTATTTGCAATCTGATTTATCTGTTTTCTTGTGATTAGGTTCAGGTTAAGCTTTTTTTTTTTTTTCTTTTTTGATACAGGGTCTTGCTCTGTCACCCAGGCTGGAGTGCAGTGATGTAATCACAGTTCACTGCAGCCTTGACATCCAAAGCTCATGCCATCCTCCTGCCTCAGCCTCCTGAGTAGCTTGGGACTACAAGTGCATGCCACCATGCCCTGCTAATTTTAAAAAGTTATTACTTGGTAGAGACAAGATCCCCCTATGTTGCCCCGGCTGGTCTCAAACTCCTGGGCTCAAGGGATCCTCCTGCCTTGGCCTCCCCAAATGCTGGAATTATAGGCATGAGCCACCACATCAGGGCCAAGGTTAAACATTTTTAGCGAGAATATTACTTAGGTAATTTTATATACTTCTTATTGTATCACATCAAGAGGCATATAATGTCAGTTTGTTCTATTATTGGTGACTGCAAGTTTATTCATGTCTGCTAGACGTCTCTGTTGTAGAAGTATATTTGCCATTTGTAATTAATTAGTAAACTAATAATAAATAGAGTGATTGTTATGGGCTGAAATGTGTTCCCCTAAAACTTATATACTGAAGCCCTAACCTCCAGTACCTCAGGATTCGACTGTATTTGGAGACTGAGTCTTTAAAGAAGTGATTAAGTTAAATGAGGCACTTAGGGTAGAGCCAGTCTGACTGGTGTCCTTATAAGAAGAGGGAATTTGGACACAAAGAGATACCTGTGGTGCACAGAGGAAAGACCATGTGAGGATACAGTGAGAAGGCAGCTCTCTGCAAGCCAAGGGGACTGAGGCTTCAGAAGAAATCAACACTGCTGATACTTTGATCTTGGACCTACAGCCTCCAGAACTGGGAGAAAGTAATTTCTGTTGTTTAAGCCACTCAGACTATGGTGTTTTGTTATAGCAGCCTTAGCAAACTAATACAGTGATTATCTTAGATAATGTGAATATCCTGTTCTTCCACAACCTTGCACCTTCCTATTTTTGCATTGGGGTTTGCCAAATGGTGATTTTTCAAATTCTGTTATTTCTTCTACATATAATAGCTGGCATCTATCTACTCATTTTTCTCCTCTTTGCCTTCTTCATTATCTTCTTTACATTTATGTTATTTCTTTTTTTTTGAGATGGAGTGTCGCTCTGTCGCCCAGGCTAGAGTGCAGTGGTGTCAAAAAGAAAAAAAAAAAGTCCCAAAAAAACAAAAAAGACCATCCTGGCTAACACGGTGAAACCCCGTCTCTACTAAAAAATACAAAAAAAACAAAAATTAGCGGGCATGGTGGCGGGCGCCTGTAGCCCCAGCTACTGGGAAGGCTGAGGCAGGAGAATGGCGTGAACCTGGGAGGCAGAGATTGCAGTGAGCCGAGATTGCGCCAATGTTGCCTGGGCGACAGAGCGAGACTCTGTCTCAAAAAAAAAAAAAAGAAATTCACAAAACAAGTAATTTTAATTTGTCTTAATTTTAAAAATTAATATACGTTTCATAGTTTTTTTGTTTTTGTTTTTGTTTTTTTGTTTTTTTGAGACAGAGTTTCACTCTTTCACCCAGGCTGGAACGAAGTGGTACAATCTTGGTTCACTGCAACCTCTGCCCCCTAGGTTTAAGTGATTCTCCTGCCTCAGCCTCTGAGTAGCTGGGATTACAGGCGCATGCCACCACACCTGGCTGATTTTTGTATTTTTAATAGAGACAGAGTTTCATCACCATATTGGCCAGGCTGGTTTTAACTCCTGAATTTAGGTGATCCACCTGCCTTGGCCTCCCAAAGCACTAGGATTATAGCCATGAGCCACCGTGCCTGGCCCATAGTATGTTTAAGAGCAGCAAAGGGCATCTTAAAATTAAACAATATGGGAGTCACAGTGCTAAGAAGGGTAGGAACCACTGGCAAAATGACACCATAGTGAAATCATTCATTAATTTTTTTTTTTTTTTTTTTTTTTGAGATGAAGTCTCGCTCTTGTTCCCCAGGCTGGAGTGCAATGGCGCAATCTCGGCTCACTGCAACCTCCACATCCCAGGTTCAAGCGATTCTCCTGCCTCAGGCTCCCGAGTAGCTGGGACTACAGGTGCCTGCCACCACGCCTGGCTAATTTTTGTATTTTTAGTAGAGACGAGGTTTCACCGTGTTGGCCAGGCTGGTCTTTTTTTTTTTTTTTTTTTTTTGAGACGGAGTCTCGCTGTCGTCCAGGCCAGACTGCAGTGGCGCTATCTCTGCTTACTGCAACCTCCGCCTCCCGGGTTCTCGCCATTCTCCTGCCTCAGCCTCCCGAGTAGCTGGGACTACAGGCGCCTGCCACCATGCCCGGCTAATTTTTTTTTGTATTTTTAGTAGAGATGGGGTTTCACTGTGTTAGCCAGGCTGGTCTCGATCTCCTGACCTCAGGTGATCCGCCTGCCTCGGCCTCCCAAAGTGCTGGGATTACAGGCGTGAGCCACCGCGCCTGGCAATCATTCATTAATTCTGTATTTTTTTTTTTTTTGTAGTGGAGTCTTGCTCTGTTGCCCAGGCTGGAGTATAGTGGCTAGTGGAATCTCTGCTCAGTGCAGCCTGCGCTGCAGTTCAAGTGATTCTCTTGCCTCAGCCTCCCAAGTAGCTGGGATTACGGGTGCACACCACCACACCCAGCTAATTTTTGTATTTTAGTAGAGACAGAGTTTCACCACGTTGGCCAGGCTGGCCTCGAACTCCTGACCTCAAGTGATCCACCCACCTCGGCCTCCCAAAGTGTTAGGATTACAGGCGTCAGCTAATGCACCTAGCCTCATTAATTCATTTATTAAAAGTACATTTATTATATATCTTTCCTGAGTAGCCAACAGCATGCTAGACACTGTGGGGGAACAAGTAAAAACTACACTATAGTGCTTAACTGAAAAAGCAGGCAGACATGCCAGGAAACAACCAGAGACACTACATAGATGCTGTTTGATGTGGCACATGCCTAAGGCTGTTTTTTGATTTGTTTTGTTTTGTTTGAGACAGGGTCTAACTCTGTCACCCAGGCTGGAGTGCAGTGGTGCGATCACAGCTCCCTGCAGCCTCATGTCCCAGGTTCAAGTGATCCTTTTGCTTCAGCCTCCTGAGGAGCTGGTACTAGAGGTATGTACCACCACACCTGGCTAAATTTTAATATCTTTTGTAGAGATGGGGGTCTCATTATTTTGCCCAGATGGTCTTGAACTCCTGAGCTCAAGTGATCCTCCCACCTTGGCCTCCCAAAGTGTTGGGATTATAGGTGTGAACCATGGCACCTGGCCCTAAGGCTGTTTAAATGAGATGTAGAACAGTGCTGACCCCTAGCCAAGGACCGCACTTGGATTGATCCACCTTTATGCATTTTTCCTCTTTAGGAGGTGCTTGGAAATGCAGGACTATGCTGAATATGTTGTGTTGGTTTAAAATGCTCCATTGCTTTCTTTTCTAAAGACTAAGCTATGAGCGCAAACTCAAGACTCAAGGGAGACATGGTGATTATGAGCCCTCCCACATAACCATGGTGCTCAGAGGATTCCCTCTAATCAGACAATACCACACATCACCGCTGGAGATAAGCTGCTGTGAAAAAAAGCCTGTGTATTGTGTGAAACTCTGTATGCATGGGGAGGCTTAGAGTGCATAGGTGTCTCTGGGATAGTGATGGTGTTGAGGCTAGAATGAGAAAAGAGCTGCGGTCGTGCAAAAACATCCCCTCTACCTTGGTGCCTTGTAGGCTACACCTACTTCTATTTGGACCTACTTATTTCTCGTCTTACCTGACATGTGCTATTCCTCAGTCTTCCTGGGAGGTAGTGGCTTCCCTCTCCTGACTTAGGCACCCTAGGCCCTGATCTGCAGGCATGTTTGCAGAAAAGAGGATGAGTTATGTGTGTATGATGTGTGTTGCCAGGGAGTATGGAGGTGTGGGGAGAGAAGGCTTCTTAGTGAACCTAAAAACAAATTTTCGAAGGTACTGGATCTGTGATCCTGCCTCACTCACCCTGTTACTTTTACGACACAGGTTTCTAATTTTCTGTCTTCGGCCTGGCTGGATTGAGATGGGGGTTGTGAGAGCCCAAACCTTCTTTCCAACCTCGCATAAGTGGTGTAGACATGGAGAGATTCTTGCAGAATTTAAGTGACTGTGACAGTACAGGGGCAACACACAGAGAGGCACGTGTTCATTACGTATGGCTGGAGAAATTATCTGTCTCCAGGGGGACATGTTTCACTGTGCATTAGCTTCGAGCCGCTTCCTTCCTCCCTGTTTTTCTGCCCACTCTCTCTATCACTGTCCTTCTTAGTCTCCTTTCCCACTCCCTGTCTGCCCCCATTCACAGTCCAGCTCTGCCTGTCAATATCTCCATCCATCTTTCTCTGCCACGTTCACATCTCCCTCTGCACTTTGCTCAATCTCGCGCTTGCTGTCTGGGAGTCGCTTTTGTTTGTCTCTGGTTTGTCTCTTGTTCTCTCTAGTTCACTTTCTGCCATTCCATCTGTTTTCCTCTATAATACCAGCTTTTTGGGTACCCTGCAGTTAATGATAACCTTTTCTTGTTACAGTAAAGCCTATAAGCAGCCCTTGGTTTATTGATTGATTGGTTTTTATTTAAACTCTGCAAAGGAAAGAGAATTTTTATAAAGTGAGAGAGCAGAGAGAAAACATGGAACGAGGCAAAGGGAGGAACAGCCTAAGATGGGGCCGGGGATAAGTAATGGGAAGCATCAGAACGTGTCGAACCCATGGTGTCTTATTTCTTTTCAAATAAACTGGGTCATATCTTTATGGCTGATGACAGCTTAATCTGGACCATAAAGAGTTAAATACCAGCTTAAGCTTGGCACCTAACTCAGAGGCAAAAGCTTCTGGGAGAAATGAGTTGGGTCAAATAAGCCCAAGAAGCTGACGTGGGTAGAATTTCTTCTGCTTGACCCACTAACAACTGCAAAGGGGACATTTTAGAAATGTTTTTTATTGAAATGCTTCAGTGGGGGCAGAGCTCCTGGAAACCAGAACTTGGCTCTGAAGCCACGCCTGGGGAGCACGGGAGGCTGACTTGGGGGGAAAAAGAGGGGTGGCCCAGGTCAGGTAGAAGGTGGCAGCAGCTGCTGATCAGGGCAGTTCTGATTGCTGTTTGAGCTCCCTCTTGCCCACTATAATTAAAGCATTCCCAGTATGATTCTGGCTTCCTGAAGGGAAACTAGAATTTATAAAAACAAACAAGAAACAAACGCAAAACAGCAGAGGTGCTTGGTTGCAATATATGTATATTTTAAATTATAGAGCACTGCTCTATACTCCATACAGTTTCAAAGTCCGTATCTGTTATAGCCCTGGGAGCAGGTCAGGGGAAGATCTAACAAAAGAAACAAAAATAAAAGAAAATTAAAAACCTAAATGTATCCACCGAAAATTAGATATGGTCATGTAGATTCTCTCCTAACCCAATCATCCTATCCTTGTTACTCCTGACACAAGGGAAATGCTCCCCTCAAAATTTCCATCCACCTTTTTTTTTCTACTTTATTCTCTTTTCATCCCACCTCTTTCTTCCTTCCCCTAACAGACCACATAGAATCCGTGGGCCAGAATAAATCAGTTATTTTATTTCCCCTCGGAGGATGTGACCTTCCACTCCCCAAATGGCTCTGACAGTTTTCTCATTTGCTAGCTGAGGAGGATATCAAGAGACACTGACCTTCTGGTTTTGCCTAAAGAGGAACACTCAGTAACTATTATCCTTCAGTCTTTGATTTGCGTTAACTGTGCCCTTCCTCCCTCCTCCCCCACATCCTCACCTACCTTTTCACCTTCCTTCATGAACATTCTACTCACCCCACAGTGCACTGCTACTCCCCACAGCCCTCCCTTGCCTGGTGTGCAGATGCTGGAAGGCTAGCAAGAGAAAGCAAGGGGCCTCCAGGAGTATTTGCTCCCTATTTAATCAGATTAGTCCCATCACCTACCCCGAGGAGCCAGATTTTGGTGTTACTGAGTTATCTGTTGAGGGAAGAGAAGTTGTCAGACATCACTTAAAGAGCCCAGTCCCTTGGACGCCTGGGAACTGCTGAGAGAAATTAATCTTCCAGCTATTTAAGGCGATTTCTTTTCCATCATCCTTTGTCAAGAGGACTGTACTGGGAAATGAATCTGATGGGAGTCCCTGAACTGGTACACTCCACTCAAAAACATCTCTCCAATCCTATGCGGCATCCATCATTCCCACACAAGCGGAGACACACATCGCTGCAAAGCCAATTTCCCCCCAGTAACCATCAGCAAGAAATCACAAATGCACAGGGTGGATACCACTAGCCTACAGACTTGCAGTTTTTCCCTACCTCTGCTCTACTTTCTTCCCAGAAAAACCTACCACAAATCGAGCTCTTCCATTAAATGAGTCTTTTACCCAAGACCCAGGAAGGTAGATCAACAGGGATATGCCAGAACAGAACATGCATTTTCTCTTCTAACATAAGGACTCTGCCAGTGCAGAATAGGTGTTTCCGTTAAACAGCTAAACCACTGCCAAAGCAAAGTGTGAGACAGAAACAGGGCAAAGGGTTGCATTGTTTCACGATCATCTCTTCTCTCCAGAATGAATTTTCTGTTCATGGACCAAAGCTGGGGTCTTATGCTCTCTGGGGTCATGTAAGGAAATTCCAATCTTCAATTCTCTTTCTATCCTTAAGGCTATTTCCCAGGGAAGAGGTGTTCAAATTGTGTTCCTTGAGGTTCCAAGAAGTGCCAGGGACTGTGTATGTGTATGGGGCTAACAAAGGGTGCTGCGGGGAGTGGCTGGATGGGGAAGCTCAATAGTGGAGGCTCTGGACCTCTCAGCTCAATTTCAACCTCTGATTTTTTTTTCAGGCATTGGGATTTCTCCTAAGAGTGCTTTTTTTTTTTTCTTTTTTTTTTTTAAGATCTGCAAACCAATGTCCTAAGTGGGAGGAAGATGACCTACCTGTGCTTCTCACGCAGCTAACCATTTCCCAACAGTCTACGAGAAGGAAGATGTAGCTTGGGTCCTGCCTATTTCTTTCTTTCTTTTTTTTTTTAGATGGAGTTTTGCTTTTGTTGCCCAGGCTGGAGTGCAATGGCACCATCTCGGCTCACTGCAACCTCTGCCTCAGCCTCCCAAGTAGCTGGGATTACAGGTGCCTGCCACCACACCCAGCTAATTTTTCGTATTTTTAGTAGAGACAGGTTTCACCATGTTGGCCAGACTGGTCTCAAACTCCTGGCATCAAGTGATCTGCCTGCCTCCGTCTCCCAAAGTGCTGGTGCTGGGATTACAAGCCTGAGCCACTGTGCCCCGCCCAGCTCCTGCCTATTTCAACCATGTAGTCTGAGTCCACACCAGCAGCTCCCTGACTGCAGGGGCTCCTGAGATACTTTCCTGCAAAAAATTTCCTTAGGCACGAGTCATTTGTTTTCCAAACCCCCTTCTCCGATTTCACTAATTCCCAATTTCCCTGCATTTGACAAATGCAATTAACAAGCCTCGATCAGTTCCTGGCCGACAGCCCTCATCAATCAATACGAAGACTGCACAAGGCTGAGGGGGAAGGGAAGGTAGCTGCAGTACAGGAGAGGAGGGTTTACCCCCTCTTCTTCTGTGAATGACTTCTCCAAACCTCTCAGTCTCAAAACATGACACTGGGTTGTCACCTTCACCAACCACTTTCTGCCTTCTGACTAAATACAAGGTGGTATTGTTTGTGTCCTCCGCTCCCATTTTTTAAAGGTTTCTCCCATCAACCTCCTCTATCCCCTGTCTTCTCTTTAACAGAAGGCCTTGCCATCTGCTGCCACCATAGCTTGGGAACTCCCCCCAGCCCCAACAGTGCTGGGTGTGATAAATCAGCCATCTCTCTGCTCTCAGCAGGGCCTCTTCCCCACCCACACATTCCAGTGACAATTTAGTGCTGCTTCCTGACCAGGAGGCTATAAAATCACCATCACTACCCTCTCCCCTCCACACATATGCACTGGAGGACCAAAAGGACAAGGGTCACCAAGCTTGTGGTTACTACTGCTTTCACAGCCACTTCTTTGTCCTCCCCTTCCCAGGGTCCAAGCCTTCCCTTCCCAGTTGGTTTAAGAGTCAAGATTTACCCTCTTCACCCTTCCGCTCTGCATGTAGCCTCAGCCTCCCTTCCCCCACCACAGGGTGACAGCCTTTTCCGCTGGAGCCCTGCCTGGTACAGCCCTGTGCATCTTTCCACCTCATCAACTTTTCATCTCTTTGTAAACCAAATCGAGAAGTGTCTCCCTCCTCCCTGCCTCTCTCTCCTTCTCCGTTATTAGCTTCATGAGTGGGGACATTAATGTATTCACTAGACAATGTCTTCACACCACTGTTTCCTGTAATTACAGTCACTTCCCTTCCACTGTCCTGGCTTATTTGACTGAAAAGTGCTTGGAGGAGGGACAGTGTGGACAAAAGATGCAACACAGGCTGAGATTGAGTAGTGAGTAGTGTAATGTTAACATCCAAGAAAGTAAAACAAATAGTCACCTCTGCAGCAGCTCATTAATGACTGGTAACACATAGAGGTCAATGTGCCAGAGCTTAAAAAAAAGTACTGATACAATTGAAGGCCCTTCCACTATAAATAGGATGGAGGATGGGTCACTGTGTCCGTATTACCAATGACAGTCACCCCAAGAAACACAAGCAGCTGCATCCACCCTCTTTCAGGGGGTAGAGCCACTATACTTCTCATGTAGATCAGCCACATTGTCACTGGAGACTCGGATCCAGCCATCCTCCCGCACGTGGTAGAGGTTGACTGCACCTCCTGAGTAGGCATCTCTGTAGGTGGCTTGGTAGATGGCTCGACGGGCCAGATCATAGGCCTGCTCCACTTCCAGGTCATAGGAATAGCCCCGATCCATGACCCCATATGCATACACAGAGCCAGAACCTACAGAGAAGGTGGCCCCTGAAATCCGGTTCCCTTCACTGTCCACGTAGTAGAGGCCTGGAAAGGGAGATGAGGTTAGCAGGAAAAAAAAAAAGATCACCCCTTTTGATATCTAATTCATATGCCAAGGCAGTAGTTCTTTTTTTTTGAGATGGAGTTTTGCTCTTGTTGCCCAAGCTAGAGTGCAATGGCGCAATCTCGGCTCACCACAACCTCCGCCTCCTGGGTTAAAGTGATTCTCCTGCCTCAGTTTCCCAGGTAGCTAGGATTACAAGCGCTCGTAACCACGCCCAGCTAATTTTTGTATTTTTAGTAGAGACGGGGTTTCACCATGTTGGTCAGGCTGGTCTTGAACTCCTGACCTCTGGGGATCTGCCCTTCTCGGACTCCCAAAGTGCTGGGATTACAGGCGTGAGCCACCTCGCCCGGCCAGCAGTAGTTCTCTTAAAACCTAGAATAAAATTTAAAAAAATAAAAAAATAGGCCGGGCGCGGTGGCTCATGCCTGTAATCCCAGCACTTTGGGAGGCTGAGGTGGGCAGATCACCTGAGGTCAGGCGTTTGAGACCAGCCTGACCAACATGAAGAAACCCCATCTCTACTAAAAATACAAAATTTGCCAGGCGTGGTGGCACATGCCTATAATCCCAGCTACTCAGGAGGCTGATGCAGGAGAATCACTTGAACCTGGGAGGCAAAGGTTGCGGTAAGCCAAGATCGCGCCATTGCACTCCAGCCTGGGCAACAAGAGTGAAACGCTGTCTCAAAATAATATAATAAATAGGCCAGGCGCGGTGGCTAACGCCTGTAATCCCAGCACTTTGGGAGGCCGAGGCGGGTGGATCACGAGGTCAGGAGATCGAGATCATCCTGGCTAACACGGTGAAACCCCGTCTCTACTAAAAAACAAAAAATTAGCCAGGTGTGGTTGCGGTCGCCTGCAGTCCCAGCTACTCAGGAGGCTGAGGCAGGAGAATGGCGTAAACCCGGGAGGCGGAGCTTGCGGTGAGCCGAGATCGCGCCACTGCACTCCAGCCTGGGAGACAGAGCAAGACTTTGTCTCAAAAAAAAAAAAAATAATAATAATAATAATAAATAAATAAAATAATATATATATATATAAAAGAGAAACCCAGGGAAGCCAACATAAATACAAGATAGGACTTCTATAAAATTATTATTATTTTTTTAAAAGCTAGCTGAGTGTGGTGGTGCATGTCTGTGGGAGGTTGAAACAGGAGGATTGTTTGAGCTCAGGACTTGCAGGCTGCAGTAAGCTATAATCACACCACCACACTCCAGCTTGGGCAACAGACTGAGATGCTGTCTTCAGGAAAAAAAAAAAACCTGAAGGAATAAAATTTAATATTAAGACTCCAGGATTCTACAACATACCACCCCATCTCACCTTATATTATAATAACTACCTTGCCATGTTGCCGATCCTCTCAGCACACCCACAAAACAAGTACATTCCAAATGACTTAGGTTTCAAGCACAGAACTTCAGACACTGTGAAAGATAACATTTAAAACATAATCCCCGGCCAGGCGCAGTGGCTCAAACCCGTAATCCCAGCACTTTGGGAGGCCGAGGCAGGTGGGTCACCTGAGGTCAGGAGTTCAAGACAAGCCTGACCAACATGGAGAAACCCTGTCTCTACTAAAAATACAAAATTAGCCAGGCGTGGTGGCGCATGCCTGTAATCCCAGCTACTCAGGAGGCGGAGGCAGGAGAATCACTTGAACCTGGGAGGTGGAGTTTGCAGTGAGCCGAGATCGCACCACTGCACTCCAGCCTGGGCAACAAGAGTGAAACTCTGTCTCAAAAAACAAACAAACAAAACATAATCCCCACTCCCCCATCAAAAGACCCCATAATCCCAGTCACTTGAGCCCAGGAGGTTGAGGCTACAGTGAGCTGTGATTATGCCACTGCACTGCAGCCTGTGTGACAGAAAAACAAACTCCATAATGCCAGAACTCAAAGAGTTTAGACTATCTGGAGAACAAGACATACTTTACACAGGAGGATAATAAAGCCTAGAGTTTGTAATCACATTGTAAAGACCTGCACTGTCCATATGGTAGCCACTAGCCACACAGGACTAGTTGAGCATTTGAAATGAACTAGTACTACCTGCTAACATAATATTTTGGATTTATTAGGTTAAACAAAATATATTGAAATTAATTTTTTTTAATTTTAAAAGCGTAGCTAGTATAAAATGTAAAATTACATATATGGCTCACATTATATTTCTATTGCTGGTATAGACCAGGGTTTGGCCAGGCCAACTGCCTTTATTTTTGTAATTAAAATGTTATTGGAACAGAGCCACTGTTTCCATACTGTCTATGGTTGTTTTGTGCAACACCGGCAGAGTTAAGTATTTGAGACAAAGATTTAGGCCTGCAGACCTAAAATATTTACTATTTGGCCCTTTATGAAAAAACTAGCTGACTTTTGGTACAGATGAAAATTTAGACAAAGTGTTCAATCCCAACTGCCTACTGGATCCCTCCAGCTGGATGTCTTTGTCATCATGTACAGATTCAAACTTCCTAAACTTAGATACCAGTGGTTCTCCATTACCTACCACACTCATCTCTCTTGTGCGCCACAAACCCACGCTTCCTCCTGTCTTCTGAAATTCTGCCAATAGCATCACTACTCTTTTTCCTGTTTCAGTGATTCTCACATCTCACTGTGCACTAGAGTCATCTAACAAAGATTTTTTTCAAAAATGCACAGGACTTACCCTAGGTATTTTTTATAACTGGTGTGGGGTGGGAAACAGGTATGGAACTTGTTTTTTAAGTCCCCCAGGTGATTTTAATGCAAGCCAGCTTGAGCACCTCTGCCCTTATTGGTTTTCAGGTTCAGGTGATTCTGATGTCTACCTTACTCCTTTCTCTGGCCCCTCCTCAGCCCCAGTGCCATGCTCTCTTGCCTAGAGGGGGGTCATCATCTGGTTCCAAAGTACCCTTCTGGCTTTATGGCTCACTATTCCCCTTCACCCACTTAGTTCCAATTAAACTGGACTTTCAGTTACTCCTCAAAAGCTCATGCTTCTTTCCTCCCTTTCTTTGTTATGTTCCCTTTCCCTTTTTTACATCCAGGACAACCACCACCAATCCATGAAGTCTTCCCCAATTCCTCCCATCATAAGTAATCTCTTCCTCCTCAAAACTCCTTCCGCATTTGACTGGTTCTTTTTATTTATTGATTGACTGACTGATTTTTGAGACAAAGTTTCTTTCTTGTTTCCCAAGCTGGAGTGCAATGGCACAATCTCAGCTTACTGCAACCTCTGCCTCCCAGGTTCAAGTGATTGATTCTCCTGCCTCAGCCTCCTGAGTAGCTGGGATTACAGGCATGCACCTCCAGGGTTCAAGAGATTCTCCTGCCTCATCTCCCTGAGTAGCTGGGATTACAGGCATGTGCCACCACAGCCGGCTAATTTTGTATTTTTTTTTTTTGAGATGGAGTCTTGCTCTGTTGCCCAGTCTGGAGTGCAGTGGCACGATCTCAGCTCACTGCAAGCTCCACCTCCTGGGTTCACGCCATTCTCCTGCCTCAGCCTCCCAAGTAGCTGGGACTACAGGCGACCACCACCACGCCCAGCTAATTTTTTGTATTTTTAGTAGAGATGGGGTTTCACCGTGTTAGCCAGGATGGTCTCGATCTCCTGGCCTCGTGATCCGCCCGCCTCGGCCTCCCAATAATTTTGTATTTTTAGTAGAGACAAGGTTCCACCATGTTGGTCAGGCTGGTCTCGAACTCCTGATCTCCGGTGATCCACCCATCTCGGCCTCCCAAAGTGCTGAGATTACAGGCATGAGCCACCATGCCCAGCCAACTGGTTCTTTTAAAAACGGTATTTATCAGGCCAGGAGCTGTGGCTCACGCCTGCAATCCCAGCACTTTGGGAGGCCGAGGCGGGTGGATCATGAGGTCAGGAGATTGAGACCATCCTGGCTAACACAGTGAAACCCCGTCTCTACTAAAAATACAAAAAATTAGCCGGGCGTGGTGGCGGGCACCTGTAGTCCCAGCTACTCGGGAGGCTGAGGCAGGAGAATGGCGTGAATCCGGGAGGCGGAGCTTGCAGTGAGCAGAGATGGCACCACTGCACTCCAGCCTGGGCGACAGAGCGAGACTCCGTCTCAATAAAAAAAAAAAAAGGTTATTTATCTTATTCAGCCTTGGGTTAACTAGTCATCCTTTGGTATATGAAGGGGATTTGTCCCAAGACCCCTGCATATACCAAAATCTATGCACACTCAAGTCCCAAAGTTGGCCCTGCAGAACCTGCATATATGAAAAGTTGGCCAGATATGGTGGCTCACGCCACCCAGCACTTTGGGAGGCTGAGGCAGGTGGATCACCCGAGGTCAGGAGTTTAAGACCAGCCTGGCCAACATGGTGAAACCCTGTCTCTACTAAAAATACAAAAGTTAGCTGGCAGGGTGGCGGGTGTCTGTAATCCCAGCTACTCGGGAGGCTGAGGCAGGAGATCACTTGAACCCAGGAGGTGGAGGTTGCAATGAACTGAGATCGCGCCATTGCACTCCAGCATGGGTGACAAGAGGAAAACTCCATCTCAAAAATAAATAAATAAATAAATAAATAAATTGGTCCTCTGTATATTTGGGTTTCAAATTCTGGGAATGTGTATTTTCAATCAGAATTAGGTTGAAAAATACCTGCGTATAAGTGGACCTGAGTGATTCAAACCCATGTTGCTCAAGGGCCAACTGTAATATGAGGCAAGGGGCTGACTCACAATGAATGGGACAGGGTCATCAGGAAGGCCTCTTGAAGAAGGCACTGTTTAAATGATGCTCAGTCTCCCTGGATTTTCCTTGTTACCCGGTCCCTGTACTCTTTTACACTGTTTCCATCACCTAGAACAAATCCGCCAGCTAAAGGTTCAAAGCAACATTTCCAAAATGCTTCCCTGGATCACGTAAAATGTATGGAACTGTCTTTTCCCACCTTTCAGAGAAAAGCATCTCAATTTCCAAAGTAACAAAGTGAGCTCCTCTCTCACATCCGGTTTTTAATTTCCTTTCATCCTCCATTGGGTAGTAAGTGGATACTCCCTACAGCCCTTTCTATTCTCGTTTGAAAGCAAGTGAAAAAGTGGTAGGTACCCTATAATTGTTCTATAAGATAACTAGGTATTTAGTAAGCAGGTAAATGAATGAAGCAAAATCAAAAGGAGGAAAGAATAATTATTTTTAAGCATATGGAAGGGAAAATTAGAAGGTGACTAGCTATACTCCAACTTTACTAAACGGGCAATTCAAAACTGGCTGATGAGGAAATGACATTAAATACAAAGTTGAACTGTCTGGCAAGTTTCTTAAATGCTGGAAAGGAAAAACAGGCTAAGGAACTTATTTTCAGAGATGATAGAACCGGACCTAGCATGATTGTAAGGGTGATTATAACCAGCAAAGAAATAAAAGAAATGAGCCCAGGACTAGGCGCAATGGCTCACTCCTGTAATCTCAACACTTTGGCAGGCTGAGGTGGGCAGATCACCTGAGGTCAGGAGTTCAAGACCAGCCTGGCCAACATGGTGAAACCCTGTCTCTACTAAAAATACAAAAATTAGACGCGCATGGTGGCATATGCCTGTAGTCTCAGCTACATGGAAGGTTGAGGCAGGAGAATCACTTGAACCTGGGAGGCAGAGATTGCAGTGAGCTGAGATCCCGCCGCTGCACTCCAGTCGGGGCGACAGAGCGAGACTCCATCCCCACCCCCTCAAAAAAGAGAGGAGCCCAAAAGGCCCCTTCTAGGCCAAAGACTCTCTAAAGAAAAAAAGAGAAGAGGCCGGGTGCAGCGGCTCACGCCTTTAATCCTGGCACTTTGGGAGGCTGAGGCGGGTGAATCACCTGAGGTCAGGATTTCGAGACCAGCCTGGCCAACATGGTGAAACCCCATCTCTACTAAAAATATAAAATTAGCTGGGCATGCTGGTGGGCGCTTGTAATCCCAGGTACTTGGGAGACTGCGGCAGGAGAATCACTTGAACCCAGGAGGCAGAGGTTGTAGTGAGCTGAAACAATGCCATTACACGCCAGACTGGACGATCGGAGTGAAACTTTGCATCTCAAAAAAAGAAAAAAAGAAAAAAACAGAAGAGAAATGACTAACTTTTGAGGGACAACCATATATTAGAGTCCAATACAGTAGCCACAAGCCACACATGGTCAATGAACACTTGAAATAGCACTACTGCCACATGTGGGATTCAACGAATTCTTTTTTTTGTTTTTTTTTTTGAGACAGAGTCTCGCTCTGTTGCCCAGGCTGGAGTGCAGTGGCACCATCTCGACTCACTGCAAGCTCCGCCTCCTGGGTTCACACTATTCTCCTGCCTCAGCCTCCTGAGTAGCTGGGACTACAGGCGCCTGCCACCACGCCTGGCTAATTTTTTGTATTTTTGGTAGAGACGGGGTTTCACCTTGTTAGCCAGGATGGTCTCGATCTCCTGACCTCGTGATCCACTGTCTCAGCCTCCCAAAGTGCTGGGATTACAGGAGTGAGCCACCACGCCCGGCCTTCAACGAATTCTTAAATTCTTTTTTTTGAGACAGAGTCTCACTCTGTCGCCCAGGCTGGAGTGCAGTGGCGCGATCTCTGCTCACTGCAACATCCACCTCCTGGGTTCAAGCAATTCTCATGCCTCAGCCTCCTGAGCAGCTGGTATTACAGGCGCCCGCCACCACGCCGGGCTAATTTTTGTATTTTTAGTAGAGATGGGGTTTCGCCATGTTGGCCAGGCTGGTCTTGAATTCCTGAACCTGGGGGCGGAGGCTGCAGTGAGCTGAGATCATGCCACTGCACTCCAGCCTGAGCGACAGAATGAGACACAGTCTAAAAAAACAGGAAAAAAAAAAAGAGAGAAGGAAGGGCTAAGGACCTAATTACACTTCTTCAGCATTGACACCAAGCCCTTTAATTCATCTGTCCATCCAACCCCTCCTCACTGTAGTGTCAGCCCAAGGATCATGTGGTTGCAGCTTAACTCACCAGGGCCTCTCTTATCCCAGCCACAGATCATGGTGCCCATGGACAGCCCCATGCCTTTGTACTGATACACCATGTTGGCAAGCAGTTTGGAGGCAGCTGCTACAGAGATGCGTTCCTTATTTCGAAGCTCATAGATTCGACATTGCCGAGCCAACAGCCGTTCCCAGAAGCTGCAATCCGCTGCGCCCCCAGCCATGGTGCCTAGCAGGTATGGGTTGATCTCTATCACCTTCTTCACCGTCTGGGAGGCAATGTAAGCACCCGCTGTAGCCCTGGAGTCAGCTGCAACTATGACTCCATGGCGGAACTGTTAAGATCAGAGGAAAACACAAAACAGGCCACATAAGACCACAAAAACACTCCTACATACTTCTTTTTGCATCAATCCAAACCCAGCACATCTCTTTCTCCGTCCTTTTATACTTCACAGTATACTTCTATACTTCACCATATATTAATGTCACCCGAGCTTCACATCAATCCCTTGACATGGATATAACCCATATTAAATTCATTTTATAGGATGGGCGTGGTGGCTCACTCCTGTAACCCAGGCATTTTGGGAGACCAAGGCGGGAGGACCGCTTGAGGCCAGGTGCTGGAGACCAGCCTGGGCAACACAGGGAGATCCATCTCTACAAAAAGTAAAAAAACTTAGCCTGTCGTGGTGGTGTGTGCCTATAGTGTCAGCTACTCTGGAGGCTGAGGCGCTGGAGCCACTGCACTCCAGCCTGAGCGACAGCGAAAAGCCCTGTTTCAAAAAAAAAAAAAAAACAAATCATTTTATAGATGAGGAAACAGGTTCAATGAAATCAAATGATTTCTCAATCTAGAGCTAGTTATTGCAGAGCTGGGCAAGGAACCCCAAATGTCTGATTCTTAGTACAATGCTTACCCTCACCACGCTTCCCCTTCATGCCAGTTTCAGTTACCCCTGCCTTGAGGGGCCGCCCAGTTTCCAAAACTTTGGTAAACGTTTACAATAGCCTTCCCTCGGCCAAGATTCATTGTTGTTGCGGCCTTTCCCAGCTAGAAGATCCTGAACAGCAGCAACCTGGGGTCGCCTAGGAATCAACCCAAGAGGCCTCACCTTCCTCCCCCGACTTACCCCCGGCCCCACCGCCACCCTTTCCAACCAGAGCAAAGACAGGGGCCTCCTGGGCCAATGAGACAGCAAAACTGCTGCGGTCCGAACGAGAGGACCCAGCCTCCGCCTGGGTTGGTGGCCAAGGCCACCGCAAACTCCGGTCAGGCTGGGAGGCCAGGCAAGTCGCGGGCGTTCAGTACTCAGCCTGGCAAGGGGGCTGGCTCCACACCTTGAAGGCCAGGGTGGTTGTTCCATGAAGCATTTCGATTCCTGGCTCTTCTGGGACACCCCAGCCTGGCGCGGCCAGGCTCAGACCATCACTGAGACTCCCTGGACCTAGATCCAGCAGATCTGCACGACCCCCAAGTCCGAAAAACCCGCGCTGGTTCACCGGTAGCGGTCTCTCCAACACGCTGGCAAGCGCCATGTCTAGTGTGGGCAGAAAGAACTAATTCTGAGAACGCCTAGCAAAGATAGGCCGGGCAACGCCTCGCCGTCACAGCTTCACTTCCTATTAAATCTATTCCGGAATGGAGCCATTTTGACTGCTGGCAAGCACGCCTCCAAAAAGAAGAGCCAGATGCGAAAGACCATTTTCACTGAAGGGGGTCGGGGAAATAGATGGCTTCACTAACCTTAAATTCTAAAAGGACGTACCTGCCATCTTGGCTTTGGTCATGCAAGTAGTCCTGGATCAGAATAACCTCAAAATCACAGGAAGTGACTGAAAACGTCCATGTTGCGTAAGGGAAGTGAGGTCGGCCATCTTTGAGAAGGGCGTGACTGGTTGAAAATCGGTTCTGAACCCTTAGCGGTGAGTCCTCCCACTCCAGCCTGGTGTCCAAGCAACAGGTTACATCGCTGCTGCTTCAGCACCTTGTTAACGCGCCTGAGGTTGCCATCTTGTTTAAGGGCACCTTCTAAAATTGGGTAAAATAATGATCCATTCTGAGGCCATTTCCCTATATTAGTTAAACCACAGCAATTAGTGGTAAAACAACGCAACAAAATAAAAGTGCTATACCTCTTGTTGTCAGTCGCCATACAGCAACCCTTCTTTAACAGTAACCGGTTATTAATATCCAATATTCGTTCTCTTGACTCCTACCTTCTGGTGGAAATTCGAATAAGTAATGAATTGCCTAAAAGGCAGATGGAAGAAGAAAAAGCAAAGGGTCCAGTTAATCCACAAACTAGATTCTCAGTTCAGACCTGAATAAGTGTCAGTAGTAATTTACCATCTCAGAGACGGGAGGACGGTTGAGACTGCATAAATATGTACCAAGAGATTCTCTAACTTCAACTTGCTAAGATGATGCCTTTTATTCAGGAACATACTATATTTCATTGCCTCTTCCTCCCTCCACCCACCTTCATTTTTCAAATCTTTTGGGAACTATAACAAACCGGGAAGTGTGCATATGTATGAAATGTTGCCTCCTGCTTTATGGTTCTATGAAGTCAGTCTCTGGCCTTCCTTGTTGGATTCTAGCAGCAACATCTATCAACACCGAAATTCCACTTTCCTCTGATGCCCAGTTCGGCCCCATCTTTCCCCCAGCAGACTCTGCATATGCTGTATTGTTTTTGTTTGTTTGTTTGTTTGTTTTTTGAGACCAAGTCTTGCTGTGTCCCCCAGGCTGGAACACAGTGGCACGATCTCTGCTCACTGCAACCTCTGCTTCCCAGGTTCAAGCGATTCTCCTGCCTCAGCCTCCCGAGTAGCTGGGATTACAGGCGCCTGCCTCCACAACAGGCTAATTTGTGTGTGTGTGTGTGTGTGTGTGTGTGTGTGTGTGTGTGTGTGTGTTTAGTAGAGACGGGGTTTCACCGTGTTAGCCAGGATGGTCTTGATCTCCTGACCTCGTGATCCACCCACCTCGGCCTCCCAAAGTGCTGGGATTACAGGCATGAGCCACCGTGCCCGGCCTCACGCCTGGCTAATTTTTGTATTTTTAGTAGAGATGGGGTTTCACCATATTGGCCACGCTGGTCTCAAACTCTTGACCTCAGGTGATCCGCTTGTTAGCCAGGATGGTCTTGATCTCCTGACCTCGTGATCCACCCACCTCGGCCTCCCAAAGTGCTGGGATTACAGGCATGAGCCACCGTGCCCGGCCTCACGCCTGGCTAATTTTTGTATTTTTAGTAGAGATGGGGTTTCACCATATTGGCCACGCTGGTCTCAAACTCTTGACCTCAGGTGATCCGCTTGCCCCGGCCTCCCAAAGTGCTGGGATTACAGGTGTGAACCACTGCGCCTGGCCTATGCTGTATTTTTAATGCTGAAATTGGCAACCCTTTCCAAGCCCAATCATCAGAATAGAATTAAACAGGAGATCTTTGTGTTTCACACTTGGATGATGTGGAAAATGCGGAGTGCGTCTGTTTACTGAGCATATATTATTTTGCAGTCACCCCTGCAGTGCAACTAGTCTTTCTGCCTCCTTCCAGTGGTTTTTCACTCTGCCACTGATAGCATGTGTACCTCTCTTAAGGCCCTTTTACATTTTACCTGGTTAGAAATTACATTTATCTCCTACCGGATTGTGAGCTTTTAAATACAAGTACTTACTATTCATTTCTGTACCCACTGTATGCTTAATACATATTTGCCAAATGAACACCTGAAAGAATGACAGCAGTGGTCTTCTAGTCAAAAAGGCTTGAAGTCCTTGCTTATCTTTTACAGCTTTTTTCTTTCCTTCATATCCAGTTAGTTGCATGGTCCTGTTGATTATTTCCACTTCAGTGTTTCTCACATTCTTTTTCATTACAACTGATACCACCTTTGGCTTCTTATGTCCTCATTCTGGAATTGCTGAAATATTCTCCTTATTTTATTTTATTTTTTTGAGATGGAGTCTCGCTCTGTCGCCCAGGCTGGAGTGCAGTGGCGCAATATTGGCTCACTGCAACCTCTACCTCCTGGATTCAAGTGATTCTCCTGCCGTAGCCTCCCAAGTAGCTGGAACTACAGGTGTGTGCCACCATACCTGGATAATTTTTTTTTTTTTTGAGACGGAGTCTCGCTCTGTCACCCAGGCTGGAGTGCAGTGGCACAATCTTGGCTCACTGCAAGCTCCGCCTCCCGGGTTCACGCCATTCTCCTGCCTCAGCCTCCCGAGTAACTAGGACTACAGGCGCCCGCCACCATGCCCGCTAATTTTTGTTTTTTTTTGTATTTTTTAGTAGAGATGGGGTTTCACCATGTTAGCCAGGATGAATTGCCTGGATAATTTTTTTTTTTTTTGTATTTTAAGTAGAGATGGGATTTTGCCATATTGGCCAGGCTGGTCTTGAACTCCCAACCTCAGACGATCTGTCTGCCTCAGTCTTCCAAAGTGCTGGGATTACAGGTGTGAACCACCATGCCTGGCCTTCTCCTAACTGATTTATGGGTCTAAATTGTCACTCTCTAATTCATTCTGCACAGCATCAGATTCGTTTTCCTAAAACACCATTTTTTTTTTTAATTGAGTTTTGCTATTGTCGCCCAGGCTGGAGTGCAGTGGCACGATCTCTGCTCACTGCAACCTCTGCCTCCCAGGTTCAAGCAATTCTCCTGCGTCAGCCTCCCGAGTAGCTGGGATTACAGGCGTGCGCCACCAGGCCCAGTTAATTTTTTTTCTTCTATTTTTAGTAGAGACAAGATTTTGCCATGTTGGGCGGGCTGGTCTTGAACTCCTGACCTCAGGTGATCTGCCCGCCACAGCCTCCCAAAGTGCTGGGATTACAGGCGTGAGCCGCTGCGCCCAGCCTAAAACATCATCTCGATCTTAACACTCACCTGCTTAAAAATGTTCTGTGGGCCAGGCGCGGTGGCTCACGCCTGTAATCCCAGCACTTTGGGAGGCCGAGGTGGGCGGATCACGAGGTCAGGAAATCAAGATCATCCTGACTAACACGGTGAAACCCTGTCACTACTAAAAATACAGAAAATTAGCCAGGCGTAGTGGCACCGCCTGTAGTCCTAGCTACTCTAGAGGCTGAGGCAGGAGAATTGCTTGAACCCGGGAGGCAGAGGTTACAGTGAGCAGAGATTGTGCCACTGCACTCCAGTCTGGGCGACAGAGTGAGACTCCGTCTCAAAAAAAAAAAAAAAAAAAAAAAAGTTTTGTGAATTCAAGCTCCTCAGCATAGCATTCAAGGCCTTCCATAATCCATTCCCAACTTACCTCACATGCGTTCTCTGCTCCAGGGTCCCTATTCCTGGGGACCTCATTAAGGAGAAGTACAAATGATAAATGCTGTGGTTCAGAGGTGGGCGAGGGAGTCAATATAGATTGGAAAGAGGCTGTAGGTCCAGGATGGCTTTGTCAAGGTCTGGATTCATTTTTCTAAATCTGACTTGGTGCACTCACAGCCTCTCCTTTCTCAGCCCATACCTGGGAAGGAATTTCACAATAGGTGGTACTTAAGCCAGACTGTGGAATAGGATTCAAACAGGTGAAAGGGAGGTGGGAGGTGTGTTAGGAATAGAGAGAAAAGAGCCTGTGATAGATAGATTTAGGTTGGACCATAGTGGGTCTTACGTGCCAGCTTGGGATAGAAGAGGTAGTTTTGATTTTATCTTATAACCCTCCAAGTTTTTCTAGCAGAGAAAACACAGGATTTGAGTGATACTTTAGGAAAACATGTCCATGTAGAGGGTAAGATTACAATGGGAGACTGGTGAGTGCTTAATTAGGAGGTCATTCAACTGTCCAGACCTGACTTGATAATGGCTTGATCTAGGGAGGTGGCAATCCATCTATAAAGAGTCTGAGACTTAGCCTTTAGAAAGAAGATATACTCTAGGCTAGGCGCAGTGGCTCACGCCTGTAATCCTAATACTTTGGGAGGCCCAGGTGGGCGGATCACCTCAGGTCAGGAGTTCGAGACCAGCCTGGCCAGCATGGCAAAACCCTGTCTCTACTAAAAGTACAAAAATTACCTGGGTGTGTTGGGGGTGCCTGTAATCCCAGCTACTTGGGAGGCTGGGCAGGAGGATCGCTTGAGCCTGGGAGGCAGAGGTTACAGTGAGCCAAGATCACGCCATTGCACTCCAGTTTGGATGACAAGAGCGAAACTCCGTCTCAAAAAGAAAGAAAGAAAGAAGATATATCCTTACCTTTCAGCAAGATTTCCTGGTGGTCCTACACCAAGGAGAAGAGAAGGACTGGTTGGACCTTAGCATGCTCTTTGAGTTTCTCCAACTTTCCCATGACCAGGTTTACACTTTTCCTTAGTAGTGAGACCCCAGAAAGCTATGATGCCACAGCCCCACCATCATGATGTCTGGAGGGTCCAGACTCTTTCCTTTGTGTGTGGGTCTGTTTCTTCAAATAAATCCATTTCCACAGCACCACCTTGAGCTGCAATGTTTAGTATAATATATGTACGGCATATGTTGCTGGAGTAGTTGCAGCTTGTCACTCTGCCCCAATTAACTGGCTATTTTTTTTTTTTTTTCTGAGACAGGGTCTTACTTTGTTGCCCAGGCTAGAGTGCATGGAGTGCAGTGGCACAATCTTACTCACTGCAGCCTCATTCAGTGAGTGCTCAAGTGATCCTCCCACCTCAGCCTTCCAAGTAGCTGGGACTACAGGTCCACACCACCACACCCGGCTAATTTTTTGTATTTTTTGTAGAGGTGAGGTTTCGCCATGTTGCCCAGGCTGATCTCGAATTCCTGGGCTCAAGTGATTCACCTGCCTTGGCCTCCCAACGTGCTGAGATTACAGGCGTGAGCCAACACACTTGGCCTTGACTTCGACTTTCTGAAGGGTCAGCTATCAGGGTCCACCAACCCCACCACTCTAACACCCCTGGTTGGTCTAAGACTTATAGACTCAACATTATGGAGTTAAGATCAGTTGTTTCTCCTGCCCTGGAATTACAAGCCACTCTGTTGCCATTGTGAACTATTAGGCAGAAGGGGGAGCAGGAGCTAGAAGGCCACTAGATCCTTTGGACTTCAACACAAGTCAAAGGCATACTGCCAGAGAACTGTCAGGAATGCCTTCTCTGTATACAGATAGAAGGACATATTTATCTCTAAAGCAAGGGAGAAAGAGACCTTCAGGTTCTAGTTTCCTTCATTCCTCAGCAATCTGCCTTTGTGGAAGATATTTCAGCCTCTTTCTCCTCTCCGCTGTTACAAAGTTCTCTTGCTCTTTTTTCTCGTCTTTGCTTTAGTCCACTTTTAATTAATTAATTAATTAATTAATTTTTGAGATGGAGTTTCGCTCTTGTTGCCCAGGCTGGAGTGCAATGGCAGCTCACTGCGACCTCCACCTCCCGGGTTCAAGCGATTCTCGTGCCTCAGCCTCCCAAGCAGCTAGGATTGCAGACATCCACCACCACACCCGGCTGATTTTTTTTGTATTTTCAGTAGAGACGGGGGTTTCACCATGGTGGCCAGGCTGGTCTCAAACTCCTGACCTCAGGTGATCCGCCCGCCTCTGTCTCCCAAAGTGCTGGGATTACAGGCATGAGCCACCATGTGCGGCCTTTTTTATTTTTATTTTTTTAAATTTTCCTTTATTTTTTATTGAGACAGGGTGTCACTGTGTCGCCCAGGCAGGAGTGCAGTGGCACAATCACGGCTCACTGAAGCCTTGACCTCTTGGACTCAGGTGATCCTTTCACCTCAGTTTCCTGAGTAGCTGGGACTACAGGCATGTGCCACCATGCTTGGCTAATTTTTTTTTTTTTTGAGATGGAGTCTCGCTCTGTCACCCAGGCTGGAGTGCAGTGGCACGATCTCAGCTCACTGCAACCTCCGCCTTCTGGTTCAAGCAATTCTCCTGCCTCAGCCTCCTGAGCAGCTGGGACTACAAGTGTGCGTCACCACACCCAGCTAATTTTTTAGTAGAGATGGGGATTCACCATATTGGCCAGGCTGGTCTCGAACTCCTGACCTCGTGATTCACCTGCCTCGGCCTCCCAAAGTGCTGGGAGGCATGAGCCTCCGAGCCTGTCCCAGGCTAATTGTTACATATTTTGTAGAGATGGGGGTCTTGATATGTAGCCCAGGGTGGTCTCGAACTCTTGGGCTCAAGCCATCCCCCTGCCTTGGTCTCTCAAAGTGCTAAGATTACTGGTGTGATCCACTGTGCCCAGCCTCAGTCCATTTTTCTTTCCCCATCTTTCCCTTGAGTTTGAAGTATGAGCTGAGTTCCTTGCTCCCATATCTCTGAAGGGAGTCCCCAGCACCAAGGTCTCCTGCCTCAGTGGGGTTACAGCGCTGTATTCTGACCACATCAGTCCACTGAATTGTCTACCTCGTCCTAGGCTGGGAGCCCTCTCAGGCCAGGGACAGGGCCTTATTTGTCTCTACGTGCCCAGTGCCCCGCATGGGAGAAACAAGGAGCCCAGCCCTGCTCCATCCATTTGTGCTCATGTTTCTTTGCATTACCCCAGCCCCCCCCGCCCAACTCCAGATAGTTGGAGGATGACAGACAGGAGACTCTTTGGGTGACTCTCAGATGCGTCATGGGCAGCAGAAGGTGAAGGTCTGACCGTGAAGGCAGCGTCTTCCTAGTGCTGGAGACTCTACAGCCCTCATCCTGTCTCCTTTCAGCTGTCCTCTGAGATGAAGGGGGCTGCTCCATCAGCCAATCCCAAAGCCTGAATTGGGGGTTGAGGAGAAATGAAGCGTCAGCTCACACACCTTCCTGGCCGGTTCTGGCTGTGGCCCAGCTTCTCTGTAGCGTCCCTCCTATCCCACCAGACCCCAGCCACAAATTCCTGGCTTGCTTCTTCCAAACTTCATTCAGCCCCAGGGATGGCTCTGCAGGATGTGTGCAAGTGGCAGTCCCCTGACACCCAGGGACCATCACCTCACCTGCCTCGGGCTGGCGGCTGGGCTGTGCCCCGGGGTTGTGACCCTCAAACCTTCCTGCAGATCCATGGCCCCAGACTGGCCCACGGCACCACCACTCTGGCCTTCCGCTTCCGTCATGGAGTCATTGCTGCAGCTGACACGCGTTCCTCCTGTGGCAGCTATGTGGCGTGTCCAGCCTCATGCAAGGTCATCCCTGTGCACCAGCACCTCCTGGGTACCACCTCTGGCACCTCTGCCGACTGTGCTACCTGGTATCGGGTATTACAGCGGGAGCTGCGGCTTCGGGAACTGAGGGAGGGTCAGCTGCCCAGTGTGGCCAGTGCTGCCAAGCTCTTGTCAGCCATGATGTCTCAATACCGGGGACTGGATCTCTGTGTGGCCACTGCCCTCTGCGGCTGGGACCGCTCTGGCCCTGAGCTCTTCTACGTCTATAGCGACGGCACCCGCCTGCAGGGGGACATCTTCTCTGTGGGCTCTGGATCTCCCTATGCCTACGGCGTGCTAGACCGTGGCTATCGCTACGACATGAGCACCCAGGAAGCCTACGCCCTGGCTCGCTGCGCCGTGGCCCACGCCACCCACCGTGATGCCTATTCAGGGGGCTCTGTAGACCTTTTCCACGTGCGGGAGAGTGGATGGGAGCATGTGTCACGCAGTGATGCCTGTGTGCTGTACGTGGAGTTACAGAAGCTCCTGGAGCCGGAGCCAGAGGAGGATGCCAGCCATGCCCATCCTGAGCCTGCCACTGCCCACAGAGCTGCAGAAGATAGAGAGCTCTCTGTGGGGCCAGGGGAGGTGACACCAGGAGACTCCAGGATGCCAGCAGGGACTGAGACGGTGTGAGAAGCAGGACTTGGTTGGGGATGGTGTAGGCCTGGGGAGTGGGTGGGAGGATGGGCAGCAGGGGGAGGGTCCCGCTGGCAGCAGCCTCACAGCGTCTGGCTCTAGCCTGTATGGGTTGCTGGCTTCATTTATTGCAAGTCTCCATCCTTTCATGACTCCCAGAGCTATTATGGCTCTGCCCAACAAGTTCCTATTGACTCCCAGTGGATTGGTCCAGCCTCCTTCTTGGCACCAAGTCCGTCTTTCATTCAACACTTGCAGTGTGCCTACTGCATGCCAGACGCATGCTAGGTGCTAGACCCTCTTTTCTTGCCATCTTCTCTGCTTTTTTCCATCATCTCATCCCCAGTTTCTCTTAGTTTCGGTCCTTTATGTGTCTCAGCTTCAGCGTCTTTGTCTTTTTCTCCTGATCACTTTGTCAGCATGGTAAGATGGGGCACCCGGGAAGGGAGCAGCCCCTCTCAGAACGAGGCGTAGTGATAGACACCCTTTGGATGGTGATGGGCTTGTCTTATCTGCTCTCCTTCTCTGACTTGACCATCATGACTAGAATGATTATCCCTTTACTGAATGCAGTTCTCATCGCAACCCTTTGAGGTAAAAATGAGTCTCTCTTTACAGAAGAGGAATCAGGTTCAAAGGGTTATGTGGCTTGCCAGGGTCACACAGTAAGTGGCAGGGATGACACTTAGATCCAGGCCTTCTCCTCCAGGGTCCATGCTCTTTCAGCACAGCTCCCCCTCCCAGGCCCTCTGCCCTGCCTTTCCTCTCTTCCCTGCAGGCTTCCGGAGAGGGATGTGGAGGGAGAAAGTAGCTAGGCCAGTCCCCTGCCTGGTGGCTCATGTGGCTTTATCTTCCAGGCCTGGAGCCATCCCCCACAGCCCACCCTTGCTCTCCAGCTTTCTGGGCCTGGCGGTGCCGCTGCCAGACTTCCCCTCCTCCTTTCTTCCCTTTGCCTTCTTTCCAGCCCCTCCTTCCTGATGCTCCCTCTGGAGAATGAAGACAAGAGAGAGGTGGCTGTGCCAGTGGGAACTGTCTGGCTAGCACATCCTCTCCTGCCCCTCCTGTCCCTGCTCCCACTCCCCTAGAAGCCCAGACTTGAAGATCCAGACTAACACCTCCAGGAGGGCCACTGCCCTGCTGTCCCCTGGCCAAATGAGAGAGAAAGCACTGTTAACCTACGAGATAGGGCCTGAAGGAAGGGTGCTGAAGTTGCTTTCCTCACATCCAATCCTAAAGCTTCCAGTCCCAAGAATAACAGCCGCCTGCCTTCCCTCTTGGACACCCCTCATCCCTGGCTCCAGCCTAGGCCCGAGCCTTAATCTTGCACCCCAGATTAAGCATTCCTCCAGGCAGGAGCTGGGCAGACAGACCTCCAGACTCTGGTGCAGAGCGGGTGACTGGGGTGGGGGAGGAAAGGTCAGGGGGCTCCAGAAGGGAAAACCCCAGAAAGGACACAGTGGGGAGGAATTGTGGTGGACACCACAGAAAGGTGTCCAGTTTGGGGGGACTGGCCTTCAAGCCAGGCTCAAGGAATCTGGCCAGTGGCCTCTGCGGCCACCCTTCTTTACCCCTTGCTCACTCCCCAGCCTCAGGGGAGGAGATGTGGGACTCTGGGACTGCTAACTGGGAGGCAGGGCTCCCAGTGGCCTAGTCCTGGAGGAAGCATGTGAGGAGGGGCAGCTTTTGCATGGCGTTCAGGTGTTTGACTCGGCATAAGAGGGTGCATATTCATGTCCACAGGTGTATGTAGTTCTGTGCCCAGGTGTAGGTGAGTGATACAGGATGGGATTCACACGAGTGTGGCAGGCGATGCGTGTGCAGTTCCTGTGTGCAGAGACAAGAAACAGACTGAAAGAGAAAGAGCGACACCTGAATAAGGAGATCAGCCTCTCAGCGGGAAGACTGCCAGGCCTTATCACTTCTTTTGGGGAGTGCTCCAGAGTAAAGAGGAGGTGGGGGACAGGCTCATGCCAGCAGTTCTCTACTTCCTCATCCTCCCAGCCCTATCCTGAGCCTCTCAGGAAGTGAGAAAAGACAGGCAGGGAGGGGTGGCCTGGGACCTGGGATTGCCACCTGAGCGCAGTCAAAGGTGGGCTGTGAACTGCGTGCAGCTGTCTCCCCCTGAGATGCTTGGCGCCTCACCCCCATTCCCAGACTCAAGCAGGAGAATTGAACTCAGACCAAGAGGGCAGAACCAGACCAGGAGGGCAGAACTCAGGGTGGGGGGACCCTCCTCTCTTTTCCTTCCATAGTCCCACCCATCTTCACTCCCTTTGACAGGTCCTGTCCTTCCAGAGGTTGAGGTAGTTGAGGCCAGAGATGAGCCCATGGGTCTGGCTGACAAGCCTGGTTCCCTCTGCCCTATTATTTTCCGCTATGTTTTTAATGAGTTTGGGGGAGGACCTTAGGAGAGTCTTAGGGAGGGCTGGGTAGACAAAGGCCAACATCCCATTCCAATGCACCCCTCACTGTCTAAGAGTAGCCCATGAGTCATTTCCCCCATTTCTCTACTAATTCCTGAAGGCTTGATACAGATATCACGGTGAGACCAAAGGGGCGGAGATCTTCCCCTTCCTGCCCCGAACCAGAAGACCTTGTCCTTCTGATGCCCTGCTTGGGGTGGTGCCTACCTCCTCACAGTCTCTGGAGAGTTCGGGGGGATAGCCCGCTCTTGCACAAGCCCTTGGACTGTCAGAGGTCCAGGCTTCCAGCCTTCAGCAGAGTAAATGACCTGAATTCCAGCACTAGAGGGAGGGGCCTTGTTCTCCTACCTCCTGCTTGTCCTTATCAAGCAGGTGGGGAAGGTATGAGGGAAGGTATGTTCACATTGAAGCAGCTTTCCCCAGCTGCCAGTACCCCATACGAAGGGGGAGTCACAAGGACCTATCCTACCTCGCCTACCTGTGTGTGCCTCTGGAGCCCTGGAGTTGAGAGGCCTGAGCTCTCATGCTGGTTCCTGGGTGGACCCCTTCTCTGGACTTTGGGAGATAATTGCAGTTCTGGCTCAGCTCCCACCTAGTTGACTGCTTCTGTCCGTCAACAGCCTGCCTCCCTGGTCCTCTCCCTCCTCCTTTGTGTTCTGCAAAGACTAAGACCATGGCCTAGGGGAGAGTTAAAGGTGGGAGCAGCGGGCCCAGATTCAATGTGACTGTCTCACTCTGGTCCGCCCTTTCCCCACTTGGCACTACGAGCCCCAGGAAAGGCTGGTTTGTCCCCGCTGCTGCCTGCCACCCCCATTATTTTCCTAGTCCAGAATCCCCCTTCCTCTCTTAGTCTTTTATCCCTCCGGCCCTCTTCTCAGCAGCTCTCACACTTCACCCTCTACTTCTCCTGCCCATCTTGCCCTCTGACCAATCCCTATATCTTTTTTTTTTTTTTTTTTGAGACAGAGTCTCGCTCTGTCACCCAGGCTGGAGCGCAGTGGCGCGATCTTGGCTCACTGCAACCTCCGCCTCCCAGATTCAAGTGATTCTCCTGCCTCAGCCTCCTGAGTAGCTGGGACTACAGACATGCGCCACCATGCCCTGCTAATTTTTTGTATTTTTAGTAGAGATGGGGTTTCTACCATTGGCCAGGCTGGTCTTGAACTCCTGACCTCAAGTGATCCACCCGCCTCAGCCTCCCAAACTGCTGGATTTACAGACAAGAGCCACCGCGCCTGGCTGAATCCTTATATCTTAATTTTCTTGGACCGCTTGAGACCAACAGAGGACCCAGAAAGTTGGTGGTGAGAGTGGGGCAGAGTCATCATCTCCTTACTCCCTCATGGAATTAACCCAAGTCTTCCCCTATCTAGAAGGAGGTGAAGTGTATTTTCCCCCAAGGAGAAAGGAGAATGAACTGGGAGGCAATAGGCTAGGCCTCGCCTCCCGTCCTTTGGGACGATGAAGCTTTGTATAGAAACCTGAGTGCAAAAACAGAAGCAGGGCTCCAGCTTTACAAAATAAAGTGTTTGTTTATTATGAAATTAGAGATGGAGGCCCCTCCCCTTCCTCCCTCTTTCCCCTTCCCCAGCCGCCTCCCCCTTTCCTTTCCCTACTCCCTCAGGAAGCACACAAGACAATGCCCAGGGCTGGGATGCCCAGGGGAAGCTGACAGCTGGGCAGAGCTCCAGGGAGGCGGCCACACGGGAGGCTGGAGCTCTTGCCCTGGGAGGCAGGCTGGTTCCCTCTCTCAGCTGGAGGCCAGTGGAGCCAGGATGAGGCTGAGGCCATGAGTAATGGATGGAACCATGCAGGCAGGTCTGTAAGGACAGGGGAGCCACGTTAGAGGCAGTGGGGAGTGGGAGCCTTCATCCACCGCCCTGCCCCACAGTCTAGGGGCACTGACCTGGGGCACAACATCCCCTGCAGGAGGGTGGGCAGCAGTGGCTGGAAGTTTCTCTTGATTTTGGGATGGACAACAGAAAAAAACAAAAAGCCAGTCACAGGGACCCAGAGAGAAGGAAGGGAGATGTGGGCAGGAGACAGACACAGAGCATGTGTATGGGCAAGGAAGACGCAGGGAGACTATGTGTGAGCTTCAGAACTGCAGAGACAAAACGCCACGGAGGAAGGAGAGGAATCACAGTGAGAGATCGCAGGGCCAGGGCCAGGGCAGGAAACCCAGGCCCGGACAGAGGAGCGTGTCACAGATAGAGACAAAGATTCCTGGAGAGAGACACACACACCGACTCAGGAGGAGGGAGGTGAGAGCGAGGGTGCCCCGGGGAAGCAAGGAGGGACACAAGGACAGGGAGGAGGCCTGGGGCCCCTGGGCTGCTGCCGCCCGCCTGGACCCCGTGGGGCTCACTCAGAGGGCCTGTGCCCGCTGCCCCCCCCCCGCGGTGGGCCGGGCCAGCCCGGGCGCTCAGGGGGCCGGGGGCTCCTTGGCCCCATACAGCTCGGCCAGGGTGCGGAAGAGCGGACCCCAGTCGTCCAGCGGCTCCGCGGGGCCGGGGGCGCCGCCGGCTTCGCTGCCGGAGCCCAGGGAGCTGAGGGAGCCGCAAGAGGAGCCGCGGCCCTCGTAGCCGTACACCTGCACCGAGTCGTACGGGGGTACGCCGGGGTCCTCGTCCGCCTCGCGGAGCCGCAGCGCCAGGAGCTGCGCCACGTCGGCGGGGCCGGGGGGTCTGGGCTGGCGCGACACCCGGGCCCGGGGCAACACGTCTCGGCGCGCGGGAGGGCCGGGCGCCGGGGGGGCCGCCCCGTCCGGGTTCTGCAAGGCCGTGATGTCGAAGGCCTCGGTGTCCTCCTCGCCGCCGCCCTCGTCGTCGTAGGTGATGATGTTCTCTCGGACGTCCTCCTCCTCCAGTACCATCAGTGCTTCTTGCTTCTGCCGCCGCAGGGCCACGAAGAGCACCACCAGGGCTGCGCGAGAGGCGCGCACACAGGCCCTGAGCCAGCAGGGCCGGGAGCGGGCGGCCTGTCTCCATGTGAAAGGCTGACCCATCAGGTGACAGAAGCCCTGTGCTTAGGGGCTGACATCTAGCAAACCTTGCATTGAATCCTGACTTCAGCCCTTACTCGCTATGTGACCATGGGAAGTTGCTAGACTTCTCTGAAGCCTCAATTTGCCCCTTAGATTACTTATGTGGAGAATAGGGAAAATATATTTACTTCTAAGGGTTGTTGACATAATAAAATGAAATATCACAAGTGACGTGCCCAGCACTATACTTGGCACAGAGTAGGGGCTCAGTAAACCATTGTTATGGCTTGTCATTGTCATTATGGATTGGCAGGTCACGGATAGAGGCCAGAGCTTTTCTCTTGGATGCATCAGGTGGTGGGAAAATCCAGGTATGAGGGTCGTTCAAGCCCTAAGGTGGATTTCCCTGTGTCCAGAGGCCTGGTTCTTCTCCACACCCCTGCAGGCCCAGATCGCACAGCTATGTACCACTGTGGCCTGACTCACCAAGCAGGGCACCCACACAGGTGATGATGGCAAGCAGGGCGCCGGTGCTGAGCCCAGCAGCTGAGAGGTGAGCCTCAGGCCAGCAGGATGCCACAGAGCCGTCAGGCTGGCAGCGGCACACACTAACAGTCACTGTGGCAGTGCTGCTCAGCGCCGGCTGCCCCCAGTCCCACAGTTCTATGGGAACCAAGTAGGGGGCATGGCGGGGTGGAGCAGGGCGGGAGGGCAGCAGCAGGCTGGCGGAGCCATCTGTGGGAGAGGGAAGGTGTTGAGGTATCTTCTGGGACACCTTCCAGGTAGGGTTGGTCCAGCCCATAGAGCCAGCTTCCCATAGAGCCAGCCCCCCATAGAGCCAGCCCATAGGTCCAGCCCATAGAGCCAGCTTCCCATAGAGCCAGCCCATAGGTCCAGCCCATAGAGCCAGCTTCCCATGGGGAAGGTTTACAAAGAGCCAACGAATGAGTACAAGTCCACACCCATCTTCTGTTGGGTAGAAGGCCGAGGCAGGTGGGGCAGGGGTCAGGCAGGCTGGGCTAGGGGTGGAGGAGGAGGAGAAGGGGACAGAGGCAGGTATGGACATGGCTGTAGGAGGCCACCTACCTCGGTTGTCCTGGACAGTAAAGTTGGCATCAGGGCCCAGAGGACCTTGAAAGGAGACATGGCTACTGTTGCCAACTTCATCTCTGTCCAGGGCCCGGATGACCTGAATCAGCTGGGAGGAAGAAGAGAGAGGCCTTGTATGGAGTGGGCTGCTGGAGGCCTGGACGTCCCAACCCCTCTGCCTCAGTTGCTCACCTGGCCAGGAGCTGCAGAGTCACACACAAAAGTATCGTAGGGCTCAGCCAGCTGGGGAGCATTGTCATTCTCATCCAGGGTCTGGATGGCCACTTGCACGCGCGAGGCCTGTGCAGAACTGTCTGAAGGCAGAACACCAAAACATACACGCCACACACACACCACACAGTTTACACGTAACATATGTGGTGCATGGGCATGGATGCCACATGAAGCATATAGCATGCACAAGAAACACATGAAATATGCATGTAATGTACAGGTAGAAAACAATGTTGCAGAATGAATGGAACAATACCAAGTGCATACAATATTCATGTAGTACCCAAGATATGTGCGATACACAATAGACATTCAACAGGAATGCCGCACCCATGATACACATATACAATAACCCACATGCAGGGCACATGCAGCATAAATGAAAGACAGAGGGAAGGTGCATACGAGTTGCATGCAGACAACAGCCATGAATATACAAAACACATTCATACCATATATCCAATGTACACTCAACATTTAAAACAAATGCAATGTACATGAAGCAAATGTTTGATATGCATAGTGAATGTGGTGCCACATCCCCCGACAACACCCAGTGCCCATAGAATGCATTTTCATGCATAGAGGCCATGCACAGCACCAGTGGGGTGGACAGACACATATACACACCACACACACACACACACACACACACACACACACACACACATCCCATCAGAGGTCTGGGAGGCTGTAGTACAGCAGTGAGCATCACTTATCTTGGGTAGAAAGGTGCTGCATGATCTACAGGGTGCAGAGCCCAGGCCAGCCTGGGTACCACAGCCAGACACAGGCCCCATCTTTACCCATCCCTTCATCAGGTGACTCCCTACCACTACCCTACCTTGCTTCTCACTGCCAGTGCCTTCCAAGAGAGAATGCAAAGTGTGTCTCCCTGTCACCTCTCTTAGGCCAGGTCTCCCAATTCCTTTAGTCTTTCCCCTAGGCAGAGGGATAGCTGACTAGCCTTGGGGAAAGGGGCTGAGGATGCAGCATGGGCAGGGGAGGCTGAGTGGATCGCCTGGCTAAAAGGATTGGGATACCCCAGAGACAGGATGGGGAGGAGGTCTACTTCTTCCCTGCGGTAAGGGCCCAGCACTGCTAGGTGATGTCTGGGTGCGGGTAGGAGCAGGATTTGGCAGGAGAATGAGAAGACAGTGACTAGAAACGCACACACACACAAAGCTATGTATATATAAGCAGCCAAAAACATACTGTGTGTACACGGACACACACGGCCATCCACACAGACATCCATGCACTAACAGATAACACGTGCACTGCCAGGTAGTATCTGTGCATATCTACTATGCACACAGTTGCATGTATAGAAACATAAACCTAGACACATAGCATTAAACACATTTGAGAGGCAGTACGGTGGGGATAACAGCTCAGACTCTGCACACTGACTGGATCTCACAGCTCCACCACTTAATCTCTATGTGACCTTGGGAAGTTACTTAACTTCTCTTTGCCTGAGTTTATTGTTTAAAAATGAGGAAATAATCATACTTCCCTCATAAAGTTGTGGTGATGATTAAATGAATGAATCCATTTTGAAGATGAATAGTGCCTGATAAACAATAAGTAATAAATTATCTGTCCACAAATACCCACATACACAAAACACATACAAACAGCTACATGTGCATACCACTGTATATATCAATCACACATATGCATAATTAACATAAATATAATTCTGTACACTCAACAGTAAACACATATATATCCATTACAGATATATACCCACAAATATATATTTGTGTATATCTACATACTTTCCCCACATTTGGAATTATACACATGGCTGAGAACATACCCACATGTGCACATTCATATAGGCCTTCACTGACACATTCAGATATCCACATATACAAGGGCAGTTTTCATATGCAGTATGAAGACAAAAGGGTGGAGGAGCCCCTGAGGCATAAGCAGGGGTATAAGGGACTATTCACAGAAGATCGGGAGGGAGGTCTCCCTGTCTGTATGGGCTAGGGCTGCCCAGAGGCAGCTGAACCCGCTGCTGGCCTGACTGATGGGGGAGACCGCATATGGAGCTGGCACTCCTCCCCTTCCTTATGGTGTCCACTCCCCTACCTTGGGGGATTCCCACAGCGCTTCCAACAGGGCTTCTCTGGGGTGGGGCTGCTGGTGCACTCCACTCAGCAACCAGAAGAGGTACCCAGCCCCTTTCTGGCCCCCAGCTCCAGCCTGAAGCAGAGAGTGGGCAGGATGGGGTCTGTCAGTACACAGGTTGGGGGCTATGTAAGGTCTAGTTTATTTCTGGGTTGGGGCAAGTCAGGTAAGGGAATGACTTGAGGGTCAGGAGAATGCTCAGGCACACCCACTGTGCCCACCCAGCCCAGCCTAGGGGACTAGGAGACCAGGAGGCCCGCCCTGCCTGGTAGCAAGGATCCAGGCTAGGACCCAGATCCAGGCTAGGACTTGGATCCAGGCTAGGACTCAGATCCAGGCTAGGACTCAGTGGCCGCACGCTGGTGAGGGTGCGATGGCAGTTAGCACCCTTCTCCACCCCCACACCCAGGGACAGCTCCTCGGCCAGGAGGCTGCTGCCGCCTTGTGGGCCCTGGAGTCCTCACCGAGCTCTGTAGCCAGCACAGTGAGGTTGTGCCAGGCGCGAGCCTCGCGATCCAGGGGTGCTGCTGTATGGATGGTGCCTTCCTCGGGCTGGATAGAGAAGCAACGCTCCGGATCTGAGTGGGGGAGGATGGAGTATCTGGGGAAGGGAGAGACATGCTGGGGCTGATCTGGGGCGGGACCACAGCTTGTTCCACCCCCTCTCTTCTTTCTTCCCTCTGTTCACCTTGTCAGACCTCATGACTCCTCTGGGTAGAGCCATAATTCAGGTTGGAGTCCCCTTAAAAGGCATATATCCCTGGGGGATCACCACCATTAAACACCTGTTAAGACTCAGGGCCACTGGGTTTCACGGGGGGAGGGGGAGAAGACACAGAATGGAGTAGAAGCGGGATAAACAGACCTTGACTCTCAGACTTCTGGGCCCTGTTCTGAGAACCCAGGGACATGTGTTTCAGCCCTGCTCTGCCTTGGGCTGGCTATGTGACTTAGGGCAAATTGTTTAACCTCTATTTACTCAACTGAAAAGTGGGAATGACACCAGTACCTCCCTCACAGAGCTGTGACAGGGATGCTGGCCGGGGAGGGGGAAAGAGTGGCTGTTCTGCCACTTACCAACTGTGTGACCACTTATGGCTGGCTTCTAAAACAAGTGGTGATGAGAACACCTACTTCATAGGGCTGTTGTGAGAATTCAGTGTCAGCAAGGGGGTAAACTGTGAAGCACTTTGGGAATGATCAATAGAGATCCACTTATCAAATGAGACTATATCCACTTGCACTGCCACTGGGAGGGGCCACCATCATCTACCCAGAGGGGTGGACAGACGGTTGAGGAGTGGTCAGCCAGGCCCTCCGGCTCTCCCCTGGCACCCAGGCCTGCAGACCAGCAAGCCCAGCTGCAGGGAGGGAGGCTTTTGCTGGGATATGAGTGATTTGCTATAAGGTAGGGGGCACATTTACTCATTCTCTGGGTGGGAAGAGCCTGCCATCTGGCTCCCCAGCCCACATCCCAGCTCACCTACCTGATTGGGCTGGCAGGGGAGTCCAGGTCAGCCGCGGAGATCTGGCCTACCAGGGTCCCCGGGGCCTTGTTCTCAGGCACTGTCAGGTGGTAGGCAGCCTGGGTGAAGGCAGGTGGCTCTGGGGCATCTTGCACTGCCACACGCACAGAGGCCACATCCTTGAAGGGCCCTCGCCGCAGATAGGCTGGGTCAATGAGCGTGTTGGTGGCCTCGACACGGAAGGAGTAGGAGCGCTGGCTCTCAAAGTCTAGGGGCTATGGTGAGGGGAGAGGGAGAAAAAGTGAGGCATGTGGAAACCAGGGCAGGTCCCAGGCTCTTGGAAGGTGACAAGTCCCCTCCTCACATGCATGCAGTGCTCAGTCCTCATGTGAGGAGAGGTGGCACTGGAGGGACAGTGGCCTTGGTGGTCAGGATGCACAGCAGATTACTTAGGAACTCTAGGTCTGCCCCTAGCTCCCTCATAGACTTGCTATCACTTCTTCTTTCTAAGCTCCAGGGCCTCATCTGAAGGATGAGGAGGTGACCATGATCTCTAAGCTCCAACAGAGAGATCCTGAGTCTGTTCTAGAAGAACAGTTAAATATGTGCCCTGTGGGTCGGCAGGAGGCAGGTCTAAGAGAAAGCATTAACAGGCAGGAGGCTAACCTTGCGGACAGTGAGGAGCCCGTCTCGACCCTGCAAGTCTGTGCTGATGCTGAAGGCCTCAGACCCCTCCCCATCCAGGATGCTGTATGCCATCAGGGCGTTGTCCCCCAGGTCTGGGTCCTGGGCCCGGAGCCGGCCCACCAGTGTGCCAGGTCCAGCTGTCTCCACCACGGAGAACTGGTATAGGCCTTGGGATGACAGAGGGGAGACACCTTCTCAGAGAGGTCCCCAGCCCTCCTCCCTCCCCACAGCACTTTATTCTCCCAGGATCTGGCTGGGGAGGAGGCGAGGAGGGAAGGTTTCTCCAGACACTGTAGGGGTGGGGTGATCAAAGGATGGCTCAGGTGGCAGCAATGGCCCCTTACTCTGTGGGAACTTGGGGGGGTTGTCGTTGACATCGCTGAGCGTGACAGTCACCGTAGTGCTGCCTGACAGCCCCCCCATGTGGCCGCCCATGTCCTTGGCCTGGATCACCACCAAGAACTCCTCCTGTGTCTCCCGGTCCATGTTGGGGATGGCTGTACGCACCACTCCTAGGGAGAGATGCTGGTCAGAGGGTGTCTGTCCCCTTGGCTGCCCCACCGGGCTCCCAGGCTCCATCCTCACCAGTCTGGGGGTCCACAGAGAAGAAAGGCAGTCCATCCAGAACAGTGTACACCAGCTTGGCACTGTTCCCATAGCTGGGGTCATCAGCATCGTGAGCAGTCACCTGGATCACTGATGTCCCTGTGGGGGATGCCAGCACGCCATTCAGCAGCAGCAGGGAAGGATGGGGAAGAACAACCGATGGGGGGGGATGCAGATACGAGGGAGGCTGAATTGAAGGGGGCAGGTTCTGGGGCAGACAACAAGAAGGGAAGGAGAGGTGAGAGAGCTCCAGAAGACGGGAACTGGGGCATTCAGAGCTGGGGTGCTCACCGACATTGGACATCTCGGGCACGGTGGCATGGTAGGGCCCAAGGGGAAAAATGGGTGGATTGTCGTTGATGTCTTGCACTTTGATGATGAACTCTGATGGGGGCTCCAGGGGCCGGTTGGAGGCTCGGTCCACGGCTTGGGCCAGTAGCACATATTGCGCCTTTTCCTCCCGGTCAAGGCTCTTGGTAACATGAATATTGCCTGTGGCCTCATCAATCACAAATACGGTGCCTGCCCCCTCCCCGGTCAACAGGTACTTGGTGCGGCCCTCTCCCCGGTCAACATCCGAGTGCAGCTGCAGGGGTCACGAAAAGATGGCAGAGGGCTCCAAGTACAGAGACAGGGTTAAAGAGTCTAGGTTTGGGTAGAGCGTTGGGAGTCCTGAGGGACCAAGGTCATTGCAGAAGTGATGAAGTTGCAGGGCAGGGCCTGAGGGCTTGGTGTCAGAGTAGACATGGGAGGGGTCATCCTTACCTTGCCAATGAGAACAGGCTCTGGACCAGCATATTCCTCAATGACAAAGAACTGGTTCCAGACCCAGCTCCTTCGAGTCCGCAGCAGAGCAGGCCCTGGGTGTTCCCGGGACCCTGCCCAGGCCCGGGCTGGGGCTGCCAGACGCCCCATGCAGCCCCAGCCACCCAGCCAGGCCAGCAGGAGCCTCACCAGGCCCCACATGTTTGGACTCCAGCCAGGGCTCTGTTCACTGGCCCTGGGTGCTGAGGCTGGGCCAGGCCACGTGGCCCATGAGCTGGCTGGGGTGGAGGGGCAGATGCGTTGAGGCTACCCCATGGATCCACACCTGCAGGACAAGCAGCTGCTCAGGCTCAAGGAAACCCCTAGCCCTCCTCCCCCGCAAAATTAGATGCTGAAGACCAGACCTCCAAGGAACCAGACACTCCACTGCCCAGAACTCAGACTAAGACAGAGAGCAGAGAGGCTGATCCTTCCTCCACCCAGGCTCTGCATGTATTCACCTCCAGCCCTCCAAGCTGATAAATCTCTGGTCAGTCAACTCTGAGTAGAGAACTGGGGAGGAACACAGGAGAGGGGATGCTGGGAGGGCTTGGAATCCCAAATCTGGTCTCTGTCCTCCCAGGTTGGGCACGTAGCCAGGTATTGGAGGAGGCGGGGCTACCAGAGAAAGGGCTTAAAATTACGGAGTTGGGATTCATGGAGGTGTGGCCTTAAGGTGTCTAGGGTCAGCATGAGATGACAAGGAGTGCAGCCTCAGGCAGGGCTGAGAGTCTGTGAAAGTCCCTCCCCACAAGGGGGAGCCCCACTCTCCAGGCCCTGTCTCCAGCCCACGCTGCCAGTGCAGTCCTTGAAGGGGGACTGGGCTCGTGAGACAGGAGTTGGGAGCCAGAGCTGAAGGAAGAGGATACAGGGTGGGGGACAGGGGGAGGTGACCGGGGAGAGAGGTCCACCCAGAGGCTAGAGACAGATAATGACTGACGGCTAGACTGACTCAGGGACTGTCCGGCAGAGAAATGACTGGATGAGAGACAGAAACAGAACAGTGGCAAGAGACAGAATGAGAGAGACCAGGGCAGCAGCCTGGGTGTCTGAAGGCAGAGAGGAGTCCTAGGGGCCAGGCTTGGAAACGGGTCACCGGGGGCAGTTCCGGGCAGGCAGGGGCAGACCTCAGCTTCGGGGGTGTCAAGCCAGGCCTCGGGAACTTAATTCTGGGAGAAGGAGCAGACAGGAGGGGTGGAGGCAGGGAGGGGCCACGGGAAGGGAGCTAGAGAGGAGACCCTTCCCACTGCTCTCCTTTCTCCTAGGGGCGGGGGGGAGGACCCCTCAGGTAGCTGTGGCTTCTGCCCCTCCTCCCTCAGAGCAGACACACACCTGACAGTCCCTTTGCTCCCGAGGGAAGGGGGAAACCGGAGGAAGGCTGGGGACCAGAGAGAAGGCGGGATGAGGAGGCGAGAAGGAAGGGGATAGAGGAGTGGGAAACAGGATAGCAGGAAGGGGAGAGGAGAGGGAGGGAAAGGAGAGCAAGAAAGAGAAAAGAGAAAGGCAGGAAAGGGGAGAAAGGTAGAGAAAGAAAAAGGCAAAGAGGGAGAGGAGATGGAAAAAGGACAAGAGGGAGAGGGAAGGGTTGGGGAGACAGAGGGAAGGGATAAGGAAGGCAAACAGGCAGAGAAGGAAGGGTGAAGAGAAATCGAGAGAAGAAAGAGGGAGAGAGGTGCGAGGGGAGAAGGGAAAGAGGCAGAGCGCGGGAGAAGGGAGCCGGCAGCGGGCTCCCAGCCACGGAGCGCACCCCTCCGAAGACCCCCGCAGGCTGCGGGCCCCCTCCTACCCCTCCGCGGATTCCCGACCCCTGCTCCGGGGCAGGCGCCCTTACCTGGCACTGCCGAGGGGCCCAGGCCGGCGGGAAGCGCCCCCGCCCGCCCCCGTCGCCGGGTCCCGGGGGCACAGCCCCGAGCCGATTGGAGCGGGCGCCGCGGCTCCGCTGCAGGTCTGAGCGGCCCCGGCGAGAACAAGGGAGCGAGACGGAGGGGGCGGGGGAAGAAGACTCCGCCTGCGGAGGAGCGAGGCGGCTCCGCGCCGCGCGGGAGAGGAGAGCCCAGCCTCCGACCCTCCCCGGCCAGCCGGGCCCGCGCGGCGGGGGCGGGGGCGGAGGCGGCGCCGCGCGTCCGCCCCCTCGGCGCTCCTGGGCTGCGGGGCGCATACAGATGCGGCGCCCCTCCCGGACCGGGCCCGCAGCGCCCGGCAGGGCACTCGGGCGGGAGGACGTCCAGGCCACGGCGCCAGGCCATTTCCGAAGAGCTGGCGGGGCGGGTGCACCCGGGAGCGCGAAGCTGCCAGTCCCCGCCCGCAGCGGAAAACGGGCGAGCGCGCGGTGAGGTGGGGAATTCGGAGCCCACTGCGGAGAGACCCGGCTCCGGGCTCCCGGTTCCCGGCTGGCTTTTGGGACTGGTGTGGATGGAATCCCAGCTGCAAGGCGGCGGCGTTTTGAGAGCCCATGCAAAGCACGGTAGCAGGTCAGCTGGGGGACACTTAAGGACGGCAGAAGGGTCCAGAGAGTCCGAGGCCCGGGCCCAGGGAGCGGGTCGGGAACAGAGGCACGACATCGGCGGGAGGTCGGAGGCGGGCAGTGGAACCCTTCTTGGGAAGCTCGGTTACAGGGGCCAACAGAGCGAGGAGCTGCCGCCCCCTGGTGGTAGTTGTGGGAGGCACCAAGGTGGCAGGCAGGTGACCAAACCCCTAATTTAACCGTGCACAGGACCAGGAACCAGAAGAGGACCCACCCTCCTAGCCCTGCTGGGGTGCCGCCACGGACACAGGTTGCTCCATGCCTTCCCGAATGAGGAAGGTCCACAGCTTTGGGTTGGTCAGGGCCAAGGCAGGGGATAAAAGACGTGGGAAGTTCAATAAGCAGGAAGCAGTCAGCCTAAAGGAACACATGGAATGAGAGCAACTCCTACTCCAGATATCCTCAGATGTCCACGCTCAGATATCCACAGTGGCTTCTTAACCTGCCCAAAGAAAGCCACTCACACAGTTTAAAACTAAGTCAGATTTTTATTTTTTTTTCCATAGACCACATCATTTAATAATAAAAAAAATAAAAATAAAAATTGAACAAAAGGAAAAGGTGGATATAAAGTGGAACCTGTGGGAAAGAGGCAAGGGCTGCAGGACAGAAGAGACTGGGAACTGCAGGGGCCCTGGGACTCAGGAGGAGATGCTGATTCAGCTCATAGGTGACCCAGTCCTGGCCCCGGCTGTTCCCAAGAGAAGGCTGTAAGTACCCAGGGAGGTGGTAAGCAGGATGGAGGAAAAATCAGAGGACTGGGGCACCTGGCTGTTCCCCATCTCTGGCCAACCACCTCCTTGCCTAACCTAGCTCTTGCCTCTCAGACTTAATGGGAAATGAGAGGGAGGGTCGGGCTAAGTCCCAAGAGATAGGTTAAGGGGGTGTGTTTGGGGGGAAAAGGATGGCCACTTTTCCATTTGGTATGTATGTAGGGATAGGTGATGTGAAAGACCCTTGGCTCCAGGGTGGTGGAGACTGTGCCTATCCCTCTGTGGCCATAACCCCCTGGGGCCGAGTGGCTGGTACCTGCAGCTCTAGTGTTTTCCCAGCTAGCGGCGCCCACCCCGGTCCCGCACAGGTGTGCTCCGACTCCGGCTTCTGCTGTGGCGCTTGGTGTCCCTGCGATCCCTTTCCCTGCCTCGTTCTCGGTCCCTTTCCCTATCCCGATCTCGGTCCCCCCTGTCCCGCTCCCTTTCTCTCTCTCTCTCCCTGTCCCTCTCCCGACTGTGCTCCCGACGTTTCTCTCGCTCCAGCTGTCGGTTCCGTTCCCGCTCGGCTTCCTTCTCCCGCTCCTTTTGCTCTTCTTCTTCTTGCTCCTTTCGCCGCTTCTCCCGCTCCTTGGCCCGTTCGGCCCGCTCTGCCTCTTTCTGAACGATCTGTAGCCAGGTAGGAAAGGCAGAGAATAGGCAGCTCAGTCCTGGTCACAGCCTCCATTTGTGCCTGGACCCTGCCTCCTAGCTCAGGGTCAGCTTTTCAGTTAAACAGGAAGGGGTTGGGGGCTCAACAACTGCATCCTGTCTTTCTTAGAGCACCTCTCTCCCTCCTAGTTTCAGCCTTTTTTTTTTTTTTTCTGAGACGGAGTCTCGCTCCGTCGCCCAGGCTGGGAGTGCAGTGGCACGATCTCGGCTCACTGCAAGCTCCACCTCCCGGGTTCACACCATTCTCCTGCCTCAGCCTGCTGAGCAGCTGGGACCACAGGCGCCCGCGACCACGCCCGGCTAATTTTTTTGTATTTTCAGTAGAGACGGGGCTTCACCGTTGTTAGCCAGGATGGTCTTGATCTCCTGACCTCGTGATCCGCCCGCCTCAGGCTCCCAAAGTGCTGGGATTACAGGCGTGAGCCACCGCGCCCCGCCAGTTTTTTTTTTTTTTTTTTTTTGAGACAGTCTCACTCTGTCGCCCAGGCTGGAGTGCAGTGGTGCTATCTTGGCTCACTGTGGTCTCCGACTCGCAGGTTCAAGTGATTCTCCTGCCTCAGCCTCCCTAGTAGCTGGGATTACAGGTGTCTGCCACCATGCCCCACTAAGTTTTGTATTTTTAGTAGAGATGGGGTTTCACCATGTTGGCCAGGATGGTATCAAACTCCTGGCTTAGATGGAGGCTTAGATGATCCGCCCACCTCAGCCTCCCAAAGTGCTGGGATTACAGGCATGAGCCACCATGCCTAGCCACCAAGTTTCAACTTTTACACACATTGACAGGTACTGGCACCATCCATGCCTGGCCCTTGGTATTTCCCTAGCTCCCTACCGTCAGCGTAGATGTGAACAAATCTCTTTTTTGAGTAGCATAAGCCTAAAATTCCCAAAAGGCCCATTACTAAGAAACTAAGTTAAAGATGCAAAAACTCTTAAAAAGCAGGGAAATGAATTTATAAAACACGATTTCTCAGCTAAATACAATCAAGTTCTTTTTTTTTTTTTAATTGTCTGAGACAGAGTTTTGTTCTTGTTGCCCAGGCTGGAGTGCAATGGCACGGTCTCTGCTCACTGCAACCTCCGCCTCCCGGGTTCAAGCAATTCTCCTCCTCAGCCTCCCAAGTAGCTGGGATTACGGGCGCTTGCCACTGCACCCGGCTAATTTTTGTTATTTTTAGTAGAGACAGGGTTTCCATGTTGGCCAGACTGGTCTGCAACTCCTGACCTGAGGTGATCCACCCGACTCGGCCTCCCAAAGTGCTGGCATTAGAGGCGTGAGCCACCACGCACGGCCTAAAATCAAGTTCTAAGAAGCCTGGTCGGCACAGCCAGCTTCCCAGACATCCACAAACTTCAGCTGCTATCTGCGTGTCTATCTTTACCCTCCTGAGTCTGGTTTCTCTATGTTATACCAATTAACTGAAAACTGCCTTTTTGTGATGCTTAGTTTATCCTAAACCTAGGAAGTACTTGGGCCGACTCACTCTCGCAGTCACATGAATCTCCCCTCACCCTGACCTCAAGCCTCAGTGCCACTAGGGAGCAGGGCACGAAGAAGAGCACTCACCTGGCTGTCAGTCAGTGGGAGCCAATAGATGCAGGGAGCTGCCTTGGTCTTTCGGAAAAGGTCATCCAGCAGCTTGGCAGGTGGTTCCTCCTGGGCTTTCTCTGAGGTGGAAAAAAGTGAACCAGATATGATGCATCTGACCCTCTGTCCCATCCCATCTGGGTCCCTTTCCCACCTACTAGTGGGTATGCGTACCCCATAGCTAAGTACCTACCTTTCTTCTCACTCTTCTTTTCTTTAGACTTCGCACGTTCCTTGCGGCGGCGGTCACGGGACCTTGATCGGGAACGGGGCCCTTCTCGAACTTTGTCCCGATCCCATTCACGCTCTGATCGAGTCCGCTCCCGCCGCTCCATTTCCCGTTCCCGTTCTGCCCACTGTTCCCGCACTGCCCGTTCCTGCTCCCGCTGCTCTGCCCGGGGGTGCTGTGGTGGCTGGACCGGGGGTGGGGGTGGGGGGTGCAGGGGCCGTGGTATTCCCTGCTCCTCTGTCTTAGTTTCAGAGGGACGGTCCACCAAGAGGCCTCGGTGATAATCCAGCTGTGGGGAGAGGAGGGACAAGGACAGTTAGGATAGAGGTGATATCACTCCCACTCAAGGAGCCAGGATGGCCGGGCGCGGTGGCTCACGCCTGTAATCCCAGCACTTTGGGAGGCCAAGGCGGTCAGATCACGAGGTCAGGAGACCGAGACCATCCTGGCTGACACGGTGAAACCCCGTCTCTACTGAAAATACAAAAAAATTAGCCGGGCGTGGTGGCGGGCGCCTGTAGTCCCAGCTATTCGGGAGGCTGAGGCAGGAGAATGGCGTGAACCCGGAAGGCGGAGCTTGCAGTGAGCTGAGATCGCGCCACTGCACTCCAGCCTGGGAGACAGCGAGACTCTGTCTCAAAAAAAAAAAAAAAAAAAAAAGGAGCCCAGGTACCACTTTGAAGCCCCATGGTACAATTAAAGGAACCAAAGCCAGGGAAGAAGAGAAAAGAACAGAAGCTCAGAGACTGCAGGTCTGGCAAGGATCTCAGCTGAAATCTAGCAGATAATGGCTTCCCCTGCCCCTCCTCTCTTTCCTCTCCCTAGGTTTCTTACCTCATCTTGCTCGGCATAGTCAGCACAAAGGAATTTGGGATTGGACTGGGGCCATTTGACCCCGTGCAGAGCTGTGCGGGTGGCAACAGCTTCCTCTACTGTTGAGTACTGGTGGAGGAAGGGAGAAGATGGAGGGTCACAGTGTGTCTGCAACCCTTCCCACGTGCTGCAACACCCTTAAACCTGCCCACACTGGTCACAAAAGGAAATATATGCCATGACCTATAGAATCAGCTTCTTCCCCTCACCGTTACAAAGCAATGAGATTTGATCTTGTCAATCCAGAAGGCCTCTTCCACCAAGGTTCCTGTGCGCCCCAACAACTCCTTTAGCTGGCCTAAAGTGAAAGGACGGACCTGCCAATGAAAATAGACTTTCAGGGTCTAGCAGAAGGCAAGACCACCACCCAATCTTTAGATTTCCCGAGCTGCTGTCACAGGAGTATAGTTTCAAGGTTTGGGGGAGGGCAGAGAGTTTAGGAACCTTGCAGTAAGAATGTGAGAAGAGTGGTGGTGCTTCCCAGCACTAATTGAGACGTTGTATGTGAGGCCTTCTGCAAGTCCTCAAAACAACCCTGCAGGGCAACAGCTTTTCCCCCTCATTTTTAGATGGGTAAATATGTTAAGTAACTCACTCAAGATCAGTGAGTAACTTAATCTATTGGTAGACCAGTTCAACTATGAGTGGAACCTAGGAGGCATAAGCCTAAAGCTCAAACTTAACCACTAAGCAAGCTGGGATGGTGAGAAACAATGACTTACCAAATTGGAGATATGGACAATGTTGCTAATCTTGCCCCGGGGTGGGGAGGGCACCTGGGCAGTTCGGACTGGGTCATCAATGGTAATGGAAACTCCGGACTTCTGCTGGCTAATGGAACGTCGAGTTAAGGTATCTCCTAAAGTCACTATCAAGAAGACCACAAGAACAGCTTTTGGTAGGAAGCAATACTGGCTCTTTTCACCCTCAATGTAACTCTCACGGTTCCCTTTCTTTTATACCAAGCAGCCACTCCTTAATCTAAACGTGCAGAGCACCTATAATCTGCAAAGTACTGTGCTAGGCTAACCTCCTCATCATGGAGATTCAAAGATTAAACAGAGTCAAATCTGGCCCTCAAGTAGCTTACTTAATATGTAGGAGAAAGATATGATATACGAAAAAATATAATGAAAGGCAGGAAACATTCAAAGCTTTCAGCGATCCAAATGAGGTGCTCTGAGAATTCAGGGAGCCGCATTACATTTCTCTCACAATATGTCACTCACCTTTCTTTACTTCATGCTCTGCAGGTGGGGGCAAGGCCACCTCTACTGACACCTGGGGAGGTACAGGAGGTTCTGCTTCAGGTTCCTTCTCTTCTTCCTCTTCTTCCCTCTGCCCATTCTCCTGGCCCTCTGCAGGTACTACCTATCAAGGTGTCAGAGAACACAGCAGGTCTGTTAAACACCAAACTGGCATATTCTTTTCAGCCTCTGGTTCCCCGGTAAGAGTAGCAGTCAATCTAGCATGTTCCTTCCGCTAGGGGTATTTCGTTATCGGCTCACTTCTACCAGATCCTGGGATTGTTAGTGCCTCAACTTTGCCTTGAGGAAAACTAAGACAGGAGTTAGTAAATTTTTTCTGTAGAGCAAAGCAGTACTTCAGGTTTTGCAGGCCACATAGTTTGTTGCAACTACTCAACTCTGGTGATGTTGTAGTGAACAAACAGCCACAGACAAAAGTGAATGAACTCGTGTGGTTGTGTTCCAATCAAACTTTATTTGTAACAGGTAGCCAGCTGGATTTGGTAGTCTGACCCCTGAAAGTGTCAGTCAACCCAACCCTCTGCACAGACAGGGAAGTTCCCTCCAAAGACTTTATCTCAGCTCCTCAGCTAGCTGCTCTGCATCTACTGCTCCCACCTTTCCCCTGACACTGGGGTGCAGAAGCCTTACCTGAGTGACTGTCCGGCATATTTTCAGCCCCTTGTCATGGGTCCCATCATCGCCATTACGCTCTGTCTCATCCTCAGAGATGCGAGAGTCATCAGCATGAAGATCCACAACAGCCTCCTGCCCCGCCAGGGGTTTGATGTCGGGGATGAGGCTCTGGGACACAGATACCCCCCACCCCGTTACACTGGGCCCATGTCTACTCCCACCTTAACAGGTCTCATCCTCCCTTCCCTGGCTCCTCCCACCTCACCTTTAGTGATTCAGTGGTGATACTGATGGAAGGTTTCTTCTGTGTGGTGGCTGTGCTGGCTCCCCAGCGTCGTTTCCGACCAGGCTGGCCCCCCTCTGTGTCACTGTTTCCAGCTGGCACCCCCTTGGTAGCTGCTGTCCCCAAGAAATAGACCCAACAGTTAGATGGTCTCAGGACCTCTGCTAGTTCAAACCGTAATACCTACAGGTTACCTCTGGCTGGAGTTTTGGTAAAAGGTTAACTTAAAGAAATCATATTTGGAGGCTGAGTGTGGTGGCTCACACCTGTAATCCCAGCACTTTGGGAGGCCAAGGCGGGTGGATCACGAGGTCAGGAGTTTGAGACTAGCCTGACCAACATGGTGAAACCCCATCTCTACTAAAAATACAAAAATTAGCCAGGCGTTGTGGTGCATGCCTGTAATCCCAGCTACTCAGGGTGCTGAAGCAGAATTGCTTGAACCCGGGAGGCGGAGGCTGCAGTGAGCCAAGATGGTGCCACTGACTGCACTCCAGCCTGGTGACAGAGCAAGACTCCGTCTCAAAAAAAAAAAAAGAAAAGAAATCATATTTGGGAACTGGGGAAACCATGGCTTCAGACTGAACACTGATCTAAAAGCAGTAAGGGAGGGGTAGCTAGTTTGATGAGCCGTTTAAACTTTTAATGGTAGACAGTAATATCAAGTAGTGTGGAAGAAAAACTGAGAAGGACATGTAAATGCAGAAGAAACAAGAACACTATGTGATACTAACATCTAGGCAGAACTAAGATCATGATGGGATCTGGTCTTCCTTTAATTTTCACACTACAGATTGATATTTAAGTTATAAACATCTATTATACTTTTGTAATCTAGAGTTCCTCATTGGGGAAAATGTTAAAATTGTTACTGTTTGAGGTGTGGGGCACTTTCATTTCCTTGGGTGCTCTCTTAGAATAACGCATAAACAAGGTCAGGCACGATGGCTCACGCCTGTAATCCCAACACTTTGGGAGGCCAAGGCAGGCGGATCACAAGGTCAGGAGTTCAAGACCAGCCTGTCCAACATGGGGAAACCCCATCTCTACTAAAAATACAAAAATTAGCTGGGCATGGTGGCGCATGCCTCTAATCCCAGCTACTCAGGAGGCGGAGGAGGATTGCTTGAACTGGGACCCGGAGGCGGAGGTTGCAGTGAGCCAAAATCGCACCACTGCACTCCAGCCTAGGGTACTACAGAGGGAGACTCCGTCTCAAAAAAACAACAACAAAATACCCAGAATAATTCATAAACTGCTAAGCATCACATAGGAGTCCCTGAAACTCATTCCTTGTTGAGTATTCAGGTATCTGAAAGAATAAATGCCTCTAAGGCTAAATGGGACATGGTCTCAGACACCTCACACTGTATCTCATTAAAATGTGACTGGAGCAATATGATGGGGATTGTCTCAAGTTTTGAATTCCAAAATGAAACCCTACATAGGAAAGGATTCAGATTTGCTAGGCACAAGGGGTGGGGCAGGAGGGAGTGACCCAAGAATGCCATTGAGAATGAAATTCTGGTTCTCAATGAATGCTGGTTTTTATGGTATTCCTGACTTTTATCAGGGATTTGGGGCTGGACTTACAGACAACGGAGATCTTCCTCTTGAATGATTTGGGCAGCGAGCTCTGTATGAAGAAGAAAAAGGGGAAAAAAAAGAGAAAGAGAGACACCCCACAGAGAGGGGGGAAGGAGGTTAGATGGGGCAGTCTTAGCTTAGCCTCCAAAGACACAGATAGAGTGAGAGAGAGAGACAGAGAGAGACACAGAGACAGACAGAGACCAAAACAGAAGCGGCAAACGGCAAAAACGAAGCAGAATCAATGCAAGTTAGAGAAAAAAATAAAACTAAACATCAGAGCAGGGAAAAGTCATCTACTCCGTATCACACCTGTGTATTAGCTTAACCAGAAATAAGCTGGAAGAGGAGTTCAGTAGCCTCTCAGCCCCCTAAAGATGTTGGTCATACCCCCTCTTTCACCGTCTGAGTCGAGAGGACACCAAGCCAAACAAACTGTGCCCCAAACTGGGTCATCTAGTCCTCCCAGGTCCTTCCTTGCTAACTCGAGGAAACAAGGAAAACCAACTTTGGATGGCAACTTCAACAAGGTAACCCTCCTTTCTTCAATGGCCAGACTGATGCCCACTGACAATGGCTTTGAGATGCTTGGACAGCAGACTGTCATGTCAAGACTGCCCAGACCCCCACCACACTGTGGAAAAGGGCAGCACCAGACCCACTGGAGATGAGGCTCTTGAGCCAAGTGCTAGCAAAAAGAACTCAAAGGTGTCTTTGATAAAGGAAGGTTTTTATGAAGGGCAGATTGTCCCCAAGGAGATCCTTAGACTTTCCAGCCACCGCAGGGAGCTCCAGCAGAGTCTTACTGTTTCCTCTCCAACCAGGGCTCAAGCCTTAGGGGCTCTGCCAAAGACCAGAAGACATCTTTGGGACAAGTCTCTACCCCAAACACTCAGTGGGTGAATGACGAAAGACTATGGGGGGCGGGGGAGAAAAGTGAGAGAGAAAAAGGGAATAGAGTATTTTCAAGTGTAGGTGCTTATTTCTGGAAAAACTAAGACCACTCTACCACTCTTCTAAAGGGTAGGGCAGAAACCTCGTGATGAAATCCCTTTCCCATCCACCCCCACCCGCAGCCCCGTTTGTGTCGTCTAACCAAGTCTCCTTGGTCTCTGTTAAGGGCCAGCCTGACCCCTAGCTGGGCCGCTCTCGATGGGTAAGTTAGTGAGAAAAACAAAACAAAAAAAAAGGTCTTAATTAAAACAGGAAAAACATGAACCAAATAAATAAATAAAAGAAATCAGAAAAAATAAAGATATAGAAAAAAATAAAATAAAATATTAAAAAAAGAAGAAGAAAATAAAGAAGAAAATAAACTAGGAATATGACAAATGTTCCAGGTACCATCTCACACCTGGGATCTTCAGTTCAGCCAATCGCACCTCACTGTGTACTGTATCTAGTCAACCGCCGGTCCAATCAGAATGAGCCCTCCCTGCTAGGCGCTGTGCAATTGGTGGGGGGTTGGGTTGGCAAAAAAGGTGGGCGCACGGCGTGGTAGTCAGCACGGCACTGCCAGAGTCCTCCCAGGGGCGCAGGGGGGGCGGGAGGGAAACGTGTGGGGGGACGCTGCCCAGTTTCCATGATGTCAAGACAGTTCACTGGCGGTGGCCAGGCTCAGCGAGGGATAGAGGGGGGAAAGGGGCAGAGACATCAGTCCTGGCCCTGAAGGGACATCATCTTGCAGTCCCTGATGAGATGGCCTGTGAGTAGCAGGAATGATCCTTGCCTTTTATCGTGAGAGGCAGGCAGGACCCTATGTCCACCAGTGGCAAGCTGCAGCAATAACACCACCCAATACTTGGAATCCAGGTGATGACTCCAGAGTCCCTTTCTCCTCTGCCTGTAACTGGGGAGGGGGTCCTCTCACCGAGTGGGATCATGGAGCCTCTGATGAAGGTAGCCTGGGGGTAGGTGAATACCCCAGGACCTGGCAGACATTCAGCAGCAAGGTCAGAATACTTCTCTTCGGAGAGTTGTGGCTGGCATCTCCTCAGGGACTCCAGCTGAGACAGTGGTTCCAGTCAGGTGGATGAAATGAGTCCCTGCCTCCAGGGATGGAGGAGAAGTTGGAGCAACCAACATGCTGCCCTTCACCATGGACAACAGGGACCAAAGGAAAGTCCATCTGATGAGCAAGTGGTGACACATGGGCTGGGCTGTCATCAGCATTAAATCCCCAGGGGCTCAGACCCTAGACTCCTCTGCACGGTTCCTAGTCGTCACAGCTTAAGTAGAGGGTCCCACTCAGTGTTTTACAGCATGGCACTGCGATCACAAACTTTAGGAGGTCTTGGTGCCCTAGATGGGGATCCCAACAGTCTGTAGCAAACAAGGCAACCCACAGTCCTCAAAAGGGCAAGGGCATGTGGGCAGGCGCCCCAGCACTGGCACAAGCTCTTCTTGGGGTGTCCCAAGTAGGGAGATGATGCAAGTCCACCCCTTTCCAAATGTTTTTTGCTTGCTCAATACAAGTCTCTCCAGAACAGTGTTCTTCTTGGCCCCCTGATGTAAGCAAGACAGGGAGGCAAAAGGGGGCCCATCACAGGAGCCCATATACATGCCCCCCTCTGGCCAAGACACCTGGATAGCAGACTTGGCTCTGATTGGGCAGCTCAGTAGCAGCGGGTGGGTCCAGAGGAAGAGGCGGCATCAGCGATTGGCCAGTTGGGCAGGGTTATATTTTACGGGCGGATTACCGTACATGAGGTACTTGGACAAAGTTTTACGGGGAAGAAGGACCTTGTAATAAATAATATTCTGCACATCAAATCACTTTCACCGGCCCCCACCCCCGCAACACACACCAGAAAAAGGCTACACACACAACAGTCCCTCCCACCTTGTTACCCCTCTCCTAAACCCAGCTCATTCTTTCTCAATTACTTTAAGAGCCAAGAAGACTTCGCTGGCTCTGATGGGGGAAGCCCCCTGAAGTGGGTGCAGGACACAAGATAACATATGCCAAAAAAGGAGGTAGAGGGGTCACAGGTAACTGAGAATGGGCCTTCCGGATCACAAGTGCTGGCTTCTAAGTAGCTACATCTCTGCAGTCAGACCACTGGAGGGCAGAGGAGGAACAAAAATTTCTCAGCATGGCTGGTCTGGTGAGAACCACCAATGTCCACTAGATGGCGTTGGGCTCCATCAGGCTTTTAAAAAGGAGGGAAAGCTAAAGGAGTTACCACCAGGAGAAGCTTGGGAAGACAGCAGGAAAAGCTGAACATAAATCTTAGATAAAGGGCCATTATCAGACTTTCCCGTTAGTTACAAACGTCTAGAGTCTGGGCACTACTTCCCCAACAAGGAAAGGAAAATGAATGAGCCCTGTCCCCGTCACAAGGGGTCTCCCTTGCTAAACCAGCGAATTCTCCCTTGGCCCTATTCTGATCCAAGTCCCTGCCTCATCCCTCCTTTAAGTTAACCCACCGTGTAAGAGGGATCACTAGAGTGCTCTACTCTTTCCCCTAGGTCCATTCCTGCCCACCCGCCCCAATAGGTGGCTTGGATGTTTACCTCTTTCTTCTCCTCATCTTCAACACTGCCCTCCGGGCGGTCATCATTGCTGACTTGGTCTGCAATAGGCATGGGAGGTTCTGGAACATCATTTTCAGGTCTGTTTTCACTTGTGTCCATGGTCACTTCCTCCTTCTCCTCACTGACAGGAGGGGGGAGTGGTGGTGGGGGGGCGGGCAGAAAAGAACCAAGGGGAAGAGAGAGCAAGATGTTAGTTACTGGGTCAGGAAACCCTCCTGCCTCATCACTTGGGTGGGATTAGGAGGGCTGCTTTTCTGATCAAGGTTAGAGACCTTGTCCCAATGGGAAAAGTGGGAAATAGATTTTCCTTGGGGAAAGAGCGTGGATCACAGCAACCACATCCACCTATTGCCCAGATGAGTTAAAAGTTGTCATTTGTGGGGTTAGGACTCCAACTATTCTCAGGTAATAACTCACCAGAGTACTCCTATATGAAAGGAGAAAAACCCTCCTCTGAAAATAGTCCCACAAAAGTGACTGTGATTTGCCCACAACCCTGTGGCCTCAGTCTCCCTGGCCAAAGGCACCTTTATATGGCAAAATTGCACGAGAAACGAAGGGAAGCCCGATTCCCTTAAAAAGACAAGAAAGAATGGCCAAGGCTTTGGCAAAAAAGCCTGACCTGTGTTTAATCAACTGCTTAATAAGTAAAGGCCTGCTGATCCTCAGGATCTGGAGACACCAGCATGGAGAAAATGGTGGGGGGTGGGGGGTGCGGGGCGGGGGGTGGGAGCTGCAGGGAAGAAGCAGGCCTGGTGAAGGTTCAAGCTTCAAGGACCCTCTCTCATTCAAAAGGAAAAATTAAAACTGCTGAATTGAGTATGAGAGCTCAGAGATTAGGGCCACTTTTACCTGCTCAGAGGTGTAGAAACTGTTCCTACATTCGGCTTTCACCCAGTTTCTCCCACTCCCTCATTCCAACTTCCAAGAGATAAAGAGAGCAGGCCTCCTAGTCAGGACACACCCTCCCCCACACAGGCAGCTTCCCCCAAGAACACCAAACCCACTCTCCCACTCTTAATCTCACAAGTTAGCTCCCATTTCAGGCAAAGAATCCCAGAGATTCACTTCAGATAAACTATCTTTCCACCTTTGATTTCTGTCTTCGTCCCCAACTTCTATCTCAAATCTCACCCCCTCTACCACCCAAACACCAAGCAAAAAAAATCAAATCAAGATGATCAGAGGCCTAAGGCTCAGGAGAGGGGAAACCAAGCCTCCCAGGCCGATAACCACCACCAGAAAAGTCAGCATTCCCAACAGGCTGACTGACTGACACTCAGAGGTCAGAAGAACCTCCCTAGAGCAGTCAAGAAGGGATGCACTAGGGGGGTTAGGGGGAGGGGAAAATCGGAACTGTGCCCCCAGCTAAACAGGCCCCCAGAGAAACACGAGATTTAGCTGCTTACATCTAGAGAAAAGGCTTATACAAAAAAAATATCTATTTCCCATACAGAAAGGGCATGTGGGGCCAATTAGAAACTGGGCAGGCAGGACAAAGGGGGAAGGCAGAATGACTGAAAACAAACCAAAACGAAAGACGGAATGAAAGCCATGAGGAAGAGAAGGAAGACGAAGGGAGCTAGGGCGGCGGGGAAAAGGCATACATGGAAATGTGAAGCTCTCACCCTTCTTTGCTTTCTGATAACATGATTTTTTTTCTCCCCCTGGAAGTGCTGTTTATCCCTTTCTGGAATGGAAGAAATAACAAAAACCAAACAAAAAAAATCCTAAAAAAAATAAAGAAAAAAAACCACACCTTCCTTGTTCCAAGATCCCACCACCTCCTCCCCAGCCACCCGATCCAGAGAGAGAAAATTGAGATGTAGCAACCGGGGATCCAAAAAATGGTAAATGGAAGGGGAGGTGGTGGTGGTGCGGGGAGGCTAAAACAGATCTGGCTTTTAAGAGATAAGCGTTAAGTCCTCACGGCAAACCCCGAGTTCGGCTGGATTGGTCTCTCTGGAGAAGGAGGAAGAGGGCCAGGCTGCTGGTAGTGGCTGGCTCTATTGTATTGGCGGAGCGGCAGCGATCAGCCGGAGACATGCAGGGGAGCCATCTTGCCACTTACCCAGCAGCCTGTGTGTGCGGATGGGGGAGGGCCTTGCTGCAGCAGGGGAGGGGAAAGAAAAGAGGGAGGGAGCTGAGTGAGCAAGGTTCTTATCCTTTGGCAGGCCACAGGGAGCCGACTGCTGGCTCCAGAGGCCTGGCCTTCTTTTCTCAAGTTACAGCAGCTACAGAGGCTTAACCCCCCAGGGCTGGAGTGCTCCCTCCTGGTCTTCCCAGGGGGCAGGGGAGGGGGCTGGGTGGAGGACATGTAAAGTTACAGCTGCTTGATTGGAAGATTCTAGAAAATAGAGAGAATAGAAGGCAGGCAAACAGTAGAGGTGGGAGTGAAAAAGGATTAAATAAGAACGATAAAGCCAAAGTTGAAAAGTGATTAAAGAAGGATGGTAATGAAAGCTGGATAGAGGGTGGGGCATGAGCAATGTTTTATGTGCCTACCATCCTCTATCCAGTAATCTAGGCATGGAACACTGAAACCAGACCAACCAGTCAGATGCTGCAGGTAGGGAGGTGGGATGGGAATTGTCACTATCCAATCACTACAGTAACTGGCTGCTCACCCCGGCAATGACCACGTGTTACTACTCCAACATGTCCTTTTCCCAGGGATGGTGGAGGGAAGTGGATAGCAGGGAGAGTTCTTTTTTCAAATACCAGTAGAAGGGGGGCAGGGTTGGTGTCTCTGAAGAGATGACAGACAACTTTGTTTTATAGAGTCTTTAATAAGGTCACCCTGCCCCAGGGTCCACTCGGGCCAGAAAAAGAAAGGATAAACAGGGCAAGGGGACCTTGGGTAGCTGAAGCTTGAAGGCCACTTCTTGAAGCAAGGGCTCCAAGGTGAGGCTCTAAAGTAGATAAGACAGTGAAGTGAGAGTGCTGCTATATGGGGCGGGGAAGATCAGCTGGGCAGAAAGCGACTGGGAACTAAGCAGAAAATATTAATCATGGGAATCTTCACTAGACCAAAGTGGGAAACAGATGCTAATAGTTCAAAAAGTGCTCAGTAGATACTCAAAATGCTTATTTGTTGACTGCAGAGATGTTCCTTTTGTGTCCTAGTGGCAGTAGAAGTTTACACTAAGATAAACTTCTGAGAACCAAAGCTCAGTGTCTCGTGTAACATTTGAGCTTTTAAGCTAGGAATGAAATTTTCTCCCCGCTGCTTAAAATCTTACACTTACAATGCCAACTGCATGCTAAAGTGGCCATATTTATACATTACTTTAAATGTTTCCTTTCACATAGTGGTCCCTGTCTGCTCAGGGTTAAGAGTGAAGACTCTGGAGTCAGACTGGCTAGCCCCACTCTGTTAAAAGTTGTGTGATAGTAGGCAAGTTCCTGGTTCTGTATATCTGTCTTGTAATCTGCAAAGTGGGCATAGTGACAATACCTATTTCATGGAACAGTGTAGTTAAGTGTTAGCTCTTAAGAGTCTGGCTTGGAGGACACCCCAAGTGAAGGTACAGATACATGTAAAATACATGCACACTTAATAGGCCATTATCTCATCTGATGCCACCTCTGGGGCTCTGAGTTTCCTCAAAAGAGTAGACTGCTTGTTTTCTGAGGCAAAGCCATTCAGTGATTGGCATGACAGGTTTTCAGCAATGCCCTTATCACTCTGTATAATAACTGCTACTTTATCTGCCCCCCATCTCTACCCTGCATAATTCCTCAAGGGTAGGGATTGCATCTCTTGGCCCCTAGCCCAGGGCCTAACACAAAGTAATGTTCCCTAACTATTTCTGAATTAGGGTGTCATTGTGGGTACCAAGTGGACACTTACTAAATGCTTGCTAACCTAAAAGTTTTCTTATTGAAAAAAAAATTTTTTGGCTGGGCATGGTGGCTCACGCCTGTAATCCCAGCACTTTGGGAGGCTGAGGTGGGCGGATCACCAGCCTGACCAACATGGAGAAACCCTGTCTCTACTAAAAACACAAAATTGGCTGGGCGTGGTGGTGCATGCCTGTAATCCCAGCTACTCGGGAGGCTGAGGCAGGAGAATCACTTGAACCCAGGATGCAGAGGTTGTGGTGAGCCGAGATCGTGCCATTGCACTCCAGCCTGGGCAACAAGAGCAAAACTCCATCTCAAAAAAAGAAAAAAATTTTTTTAATAGAATCCCCACAAACAATGTTACACCACAGAAAATGTTACCTTCAGCCATCCTCAAATAAAATGCTCTGTTTATCCACTGTCCTAAAATACTCTCAGCTGCTAATATGCCTCTGCAGAAGTGGCTGATTTTGAGAAATTTTGTTATTGAAAATTCCTTTTTTTTTTTTTTTTTGAGACGGAGTCTCACTCTGTTGCCCAGGCTGGAGTGCAGTGGCACAATCTCAGCTCACTGCAAGCTCCGCCTCCGGGGTTCACACCATTCTCCTGCCTCAGCCTCCCGAGCAGCTGGGACTACAGGCACCCTCCATTACACCCGGCTAATTTTTTGTATTTTTAGTAGAAACGGGGTTTCACTGTGTCAGCTAGGATGGTCTCGATCTTCTGACCTTGTGATTCGCGCGTCTCGGCCTCCCAAAGTGCTGGGATCACAGGCGTGAGCCATCATGCCCGGCCGAAAATTTCTTTTTTTTAAGAATAAGAATCTTACCACGTTCTCCTTTACCCTCTTAAGACACAAGAGGCGTGTGTTTTCTATTTCCCCATGATCAATTCTGTGGGACCCAACAATTCCGAACATTTTATTTTCAGACAATAATGAGGGCCGGGCATGGTGGCTCACGCCTGTAATACCAACACTTTGGGAGGCTGAGACAGGAGGACTGCCTGAGGCCAGGAGTTTGAGACCAGCCTGGCCAACATGGTGAAACCCCATCTCTATTAAAAATAGAAAAATTAGCAGGGTGTGGCAGCCGCGTCTATAGTCCCAGATACTCAGGAGGCTGAGGCATGATAATTGCTTGAACCCAGGAGGCGGAGGTTGCAGTGAGCAGAGATCGGGCCACTGCACTCCAGCCTGGGTGACAGAGTGAGACTCTGTCTCCAAAAAAGAAAAAAGATAAAGAGGAATCCTTGAAACTGTCCCCAAAATGGACTCTATCTACTTGCAGGACTAGTACCAAAACCTTGTTAACCATGTGTCAGAGCCCAACATAGCTTAACAGTCTGTGAAACTGCACAGAATAAGCAGTGGGGATATCTACCCATAAGTAAACAGTACACAAAGAAGCCCAGAAGAAAAGGGTACAACTACTTGGAGGCTAATAATATCACATTACAACTCATATGTGAATATGAGATTCAGAGAAGCTAATGGAAAAGGAAATTCCTATAGGCATATATGCTGAAATTTTAGTTATTATAGAAAATTCACGAGGAGCTGAAAAACTGACGTGAAAATTTAATAAGAAACAGTGGGACTAGATACCCTCAGAAGCATACTGGTCCCAAGATAACCTAGAACAGTATGATTTTGGGGTATATGTCCTTAGATAATTTCTCAGTGGAGCAAACTCTATTGATGACAACAAATTCTGCTTTTTCATGCATCATTTGGGATATTGGCATTGTATGTCCCCTGGGGAATATCAATTACACCATCATATTGGCTTAAGGAACCAATACCTTCCTCCTACACAGGCAGAAGGACAAACATGCATTGTACCAAGAGCCTAAAACTGCTATTGCCTGCTAGGTCTGTGCATACAGGAAGGTTGTATCTAGAGAAATCCAGGTCTGAATTAACTACAGCTGAATGATACAGCTGCCCACACAAACAAATCCCCTCTTTTCTTTCTTCCCCTTTTTTTTTTTTTTTTTTTAAGTAAAAAGAGAATACCATTATTTTCTGCTATATGGGGACATTTTTGTTATACCCATACAAGGCAGAAGACCAGAGTTTTGAACAGCACTCAACTGAAACAGGACTGAGGACCCACAAATTCCTGCTCCAAGCAATGAAAAAGACACCTTACCTCATAAATTTAGAATTCCTCAGGCACAATCAGAATCAGAATGGATTTAACCAAACACAGCAAAAAGTCAGTCAATCTCTTCCAAATGGTGACAGGTCCTTGAAGTCTAATTTTTTTTTTTTTTAACACTTTACTGCTCTGTTTTTTAAAGTCATATGACTTCTTGTTGAGACAGACAGAAAAACCAAGGTTAGGCCATAAATGGTCTTTTCCATTTTTTTTTTTTGAGACGGAGTTTCGCTCTTGTTGCCCAGGCTGGAGTGCAATGGCGTGATCTCAGCTCACCGCACCTTCCGCCTCCCGGGTTCAGGCGATTCTCCTGTCTCAGCCTCCTGAGTAACTGGGATTACAGGTGCACACCATGCCCGGCTAATTTTGTATTTTTAGTAGAGACGGGGTTTCACCATGTTGGTCAGGCTGGTCTCGAATTCCTGACCTCAGGTGATCCACCTGCCTTGGCCTCCCAAAGTGCTGCAATTACAGGCATGAGTCACCACGCCTGGCCATGCCATAAATGGTCTTTTCCATTTAGCATTGTTGATTACGCTTTCAAAATTGGCCAGAGCTCTAGAGGGCTGCCAGACTGCACACTTAACACTCTGGAGGGGTGAGAGACCAGGAAGGGTGTTGTTAATCAGTTGTGGTAGGGCCTCCAGAAATGTATGCAACCTTCTCAAAGATTTATTTACCAGATCCAATGCCTATGGGTTTAGGCTTCTGGGCATGCTGTTTTGTTAGAATGTTGAACAACCCATGTGATAGGCAGGTAGAAGGAAAGCAGGTACGAGTGATGTGTGTGAACTGCTCCTCAGTGAAGACTGCATTTCCCTTCTATACACTACTCCACTGAAGCGGGCCTAGGCAACAATGGACAATCTAAGTATTTGCCCAAGATGCCACTTGCCTATCATCTTATTAGAATCAATGTGACTAAATTATCTCAGTCATAAAATGAAGATCAAAACCACCTTTACCTGGAGTGGGGGGACAGGAAACTCTATGACTCCAAGCTTCATGTGCCCTGGACTTGCATGGGAATGTCCAGAAAAAAAGCTGCTTCAAAACAAAATAAAATGCCTTTCTGTTGCTAGGATCTCATAAACCCACAGAATTTTAAGGCTAGCAAAGAGCTTTTCAGAAAATCACTTTCTTCCCAAGGTGCATCGGAAGCAGTTCCTCAGGCCCAATTAGTAGCAGGCTGTCAATACCCACTTCAAAACTGCCATTTCACAAAGGACATGCTTTTGTAAAATGGAATGTAAAATGTACCTCCATGGAATTGGGAGGAGGGGGGCAGGTATTATGTCTGGTTGAGGGATATGGAAGAGAAAATGTCACCCCATTTCCTCATCGATGATGTAGCTGGGGAATCCTGAATACCTTCCAGAATCCGCTGAGTTTTCACTTTATGGTCCCAGAAGAAAAACCCTTTTCCAAAGGATAGCGTACCCATTCCAGAAGGGAAAAACCAAAAAATTTCAAAGGAAGTAGAGTGAACTTTTGGCTGCCAAACAAAAAATGTTAACAGCCACAAGATGGCAGCAGAGGTAAGACTGTCAGAATCGACAAGGATTATACCCCTCAGCAAGGGTATACCCCCAGGTAAAAGCTATATAGTAAGGTCTATAAAACTATCATTAAAGTCACAGGCAAATGAGATAAATCATGTCACCTGCCCACTACCCTCCAAAAGTCAGAGTTAAAGTACAGTTTGAAGCTCTCAGAAGAGTATAAATTATTAGACAATTACATATAGGGGAAATCATACTGGTAGCATTAGTGTTAATATGGCATAAAAACAAGTATAGAATAACTTTAGGCTAACAGTCTACACAGGACATTCTACAAAGCAGTTCAGGGTTCCTGATGTCTAAAAGCTACGCAATCTTATTCCCATAAGGCTTCATTTTTTCATTTCCCAGGAGACTTTGAAGCCAGGAATTCTGGCTCATTGGCTTCTTAATTTATAATACCTATCTCAGAAGAATGAATGACATACCTATTTAATTCTAATTTAACCTGATATGAGTATTTCTCTAGGACTTAATATAAAGATTTTAAAAACTCACATTAATTGTATAAATTTTAAGTTCAATCAAATGGTCTTAAGGGCCCAGGAACAAACTTCTGACTTGAAAGGAACTTCATAATTTGCTGTACTGTATGCTGTAAGAACTAGGATATCCTAGCAGAACTAGGATAGCTTAATGACAGGTAGTAACTAGGGAACTAGGGAAAATGCACAAACTAAAAAATAGCACCCAGCTGTGCCTTTATTAAGACCCTCAATATCCTTTATTAAACTGGGTTCCTAGGTAAACATGAGTTAAAGATTAAGATGCCCGGAGTCAATTCCCTTACATGGTTTTGAGTGTGGAAGCAGAAGCTTCTATTGCCTAAATCTTAAAGGAGTTGACTATTTTGGCTGGATGATCCCAGGTGAGTTTTCCTTGTGCCCTGACGACCACTTTTCAGGTTACCTTAAAGGTGGCAGCTCCCAACATAGTAACTGAAGTCTAGCCTTTGTCCAGATAAAGCTCTGCCTTTATGTTTTAAAAGGAAACTAGGACTGCTTAGTCAAAGAACCCTAGGGAGCGAAGAACTATCGCACACTCATAGTTCCCTGTTATACCCCGGTCGAGATATATCACTTACACAGTGTGATGAATTCTTTCTGATTCTGGCAGATGAGAGGTCTGAGTCTCTGAGGTTTGGGGCTGTGTGGCAGCTGGTGGCTCTGCCTCTTCAGCTTCACACTTCTTTGGGCTCCCCTGTCAGGAGATAGCAAAAACGAACAGAGCAAAACATTTAGATCTGCTTGGTTCCTTTTCTTCTACCTGGAGCCTGAAAAAGGCAGGGCAGGACATACACAGTACCAGCTCCACACACGGCCCTCTGTATCTGTTATTTCATTTTAGAATAAGGAAAGGAACATGGCTTAAAAATAGGTACTTCAAGAATATTTATGCCAGTAATCATTTTATCAGAATTTTTAATTTTTTTCCTTTTCCTCAGTGATCCTTGTTCTGACAGAATTCTTTTTTGAGAGAACTGAGAAAAGGCTGACTTCCTTTTGGCAGATAAAAGGAGGAGTTATGAGGAAGAATTGACCCTGGGGGCCCTGGAGATAACCCTGCTGCTCAGCCTCATGTAGAACTTCTACGAACCAGGGAGCTGGAAATGAGTTAAGCAGGATTAACAGGTATCCACCACATTTCTACTGAACCTTGTCCAGACTTAACTTTTTAGTTTTATAGCAAAGACAAGAGGGAAGATCTTGCTTAATCCTCCATCTCTGTGTAGGGAGGGGTCACAATAGCCTACCCGCTCAGGCTGTAACCTCTGGGTCACATGCTTTTCAGCTGATTCAGGCTGACTCAGACGCCTTGCTTGGACAGAGGATGAGGAGGTGGAAGTCCTCTCCTTTGGCTCACAGACCTGCAGTTGTGGCACTGGTGGAGTTGCAACCTCCTGACCAGAAGAGGGATCTTTGGTTTCAGTATAGCTGGTGCTGCTGTCCCTGGAGACTCCAGGGCTCAGAGACTAAAACAAAATGAAACACATAACAAGGAAAATTATTGTATATGGTATATATTCAGTAGATTGCTGAGTTTTCCAGTTTCCATGGACCAAATTTTATACTCTGGACCTTTTTGTCTGTGTTTACTCCCATTTTGTCTGTGTTTATTCCCATTTAGTGGTCTCCTTGACCACTTATTTAACAAATTATTAAGTTTTAACTAGATGCTAGATCCTGGGACACACACGTAAAAGGGCATGCCCACATCCTCAAGAAGTTTCCATCTAGTGGAGGAGATGAGTACATAAATTCAACATTCTATCAAGGGACTCAAAATGAAAAAGAACCCCATTTCGGGAATCAGTTAATTGAAAATACGATTCTGAAATGAGGAGAAAGTAATCAGTGAAGGAGAGTAAAGGAGGCTTTTCCTATTCCTTTCAGAAATCATGACAGGCTCTCCAGGGGCTGAAATGAAAACCACTGGAATATGACAGAACATTAATACACCCGGGATTCTCTCATACTCACTTTTCTGCTGTTGCTTGATGCTGAACGAGAACGTGAACGTGACCTTGATCTGGACTCTGATGTTGATCTGGAGCCCATCTTGGGTCTACCACGAGGGTTGGCATGAGTACGTGCCTGGGCTACATCTCTCTGCTTGGATCTGAGCGGTGAATGAGACCGAGAACCTGAACTGTCAGGAGAGCGAGATCTTGATCTAGAACTGGAGGAGGAAGATGAGGAGGACCGGCTAGAGGATGAATCAGCTGACTGTTTCAATCTGTGGCTTGGGAGAAGGGTATGAGAAGCTCTTCTGCCTTCCTTCTGTTCCAAAGATGGCTGTTTCAGACATTCTTCAGTGATTCCTTTGGCCAGTGCTAATTCCTCAATTTTTAGAGGGAGGGGCTGAGCAGATCTGTCTGACTCAGGTTCAAGATCCTTCTGGGCTGAGTAGTCAGCCAGTGTGCTTTTCTGAACCAGAGGCAGGACACTCTCCTCTGGCACTTTCTCTGCTGGAGATTCTGCTTTGGTGTCTGAAGGACTTGACAAAGGAGACAGGCCTCCTACCAACTGGACAGTATGCTGAGATACTAATAGCTCCCTGGTGTCAGCATCTGTATTAGGAGGAGATAACTGAATGAGGACAGCGGGGGCTGGGCCTTCCATGGGCTCTATTTCTTCTTCGCTATGGAGCTGTGGATGAGGTGGTGGAGAAGATGCTTCCTTTGTTAGTAAAGGTGGAGGAGTCTCCTCCTCGCTGGCAGTTTGCTCTGGCAGCGCTACAAGTGAGGCCTTCTTTCGATCTTCAGTCAGTCGAGGAGGGGAAGGAGACTTCGATTTTTCCTTTAAGCCTTGTGAAGATTTTATTTCTCTTTCTTCCTCCTCAAGGGGAGATGTTGTTTTCATTTCCTTCTCCTGCTGCTGTCTGGCCAGATGACTTTTTCTAGCCTCTTCCTGGGATCTTGTAAATCTCCCTCCTCTCTCTAACACCTCCTGTTCCTGGGATCTTGTTTTGGGTCTCTCATCCATCATCTCCTCTGGTTTTACTCTAGGTATCTCTTCCCCTTCTTCCTTAAACTCTTTCAGGATTGGTGCCTCCCTAGATTTTTGTCCCTCATCATCACCTTCCTCTTCTTCATCATCTTCTTCCTCCTCCTCCTCCTCCTCTTCTTCCTCCTCTGTTTTCAAATTTCGATCTGCTCTGACCCTTAGGTTTCTGGAAGGTGTTTCTTGATCCTCTTCCTCCTCAGCAGGTTGGCTGCCCTCAGACAGTTTAGCTGCTCTTGCCTGAAAGAACAGATACACAATGGCTCCAAATGTATTTGCTCACAGTCAACAGAGGAGAGAAAGTATCTAATGAAGACACCCCTAGGAAGGAGAAATTCAATGATATATACTTTCAGCAACAGAAACAGGAGTGACAGGAGACAATCATGACTAACGTAGCCCTTAGGGGAATCAAAACAAAGTGACCAAAAGAAATATCACAATGAAGCTACTTGTATGTAGTTTAAATTTTAGCTTCAAGCACCCCCTTTTTTTTTTTTTCAGTAAAATATTAGCAGAACATCTGGAAAGTAAAAGGGTGGATAGGGGGCTGAAAGGAACTAACCTACTATCAATTAATACGATTATCTTTTTATCATTTTGGTATATTTCTTTTTGTTCTTTCCTCTAATCATTTCCTTTGTACAGTCATAATTACACTACACATAACATTTTTGTATTCTGCCCACTTAGTGTTATATAACTTTAAAGCTTTGATTGAATGGTTAATTATGTCATATCTTGTCTAATAATGTGCTTTAAGAATACAGAGCAGCCTGCTAATTTTCAAATTTAAACTTTTAAAAAATATTCACTTAGAAATCTAAAAGGCAGAGCAGATCTAAATAAAAAGACAAAACGAACAACAAAAAGATGACAAAGAGGAGAAGGAAGATAACCACAAAGAAATCTAGAGGCCAGGCAGTGGCTCATGCCTGTAATCCCAATCCTTTGGGAGGCTGAGGTGGAAGGACTGCTTAAGCCTAGGAGGTCGAGGCTGTAGTAAGCTGTGATTGTGCCACTGCACTCCAGCCTAGGCGACAGAGCCAGACTCTGTCCCAAAAAAGAAAAACAAAACCCCTAAATGTAGAGACATACAAACTCAAAACAAGTCTGAAGAAGAGAAGATATCCAAAGCATTACTGAAGAGGTAATGCTTTAGGAGGTATCTGAGTTACCTGTCTGACCCTAGATGATCGTCTTTCTCCTTTCCTTGGTTTCTCATCATCAGAGTCACCTTTCTCTTCAGAAATTGAGGAGCTTTTTCCTATTGAATGAAAAAGAATCAAGTCAGATTCATGAAGTGAAGACTCATTCATGGCTTTTTAAAAATCAGGCTTTCTAATATCCAACCAATTATAGCATATGAGCCTATCAAGACATATCTGTATCGGTTTCTTTGACTTCTACACTAAAGAAAAGACTACAAAAAGCCCTAACTAGGTCAGGGTCTTATTGGTAATTCTTGGTGTGCAAGTCTAGAATATTTTCAACACCTCGAAGCCAATTCACATGTTATAAATAACTCAAATAAATGTAAAATAATTTCCAGGGGCTTCAAACTGTCTAGCAGGGATGTACAAATATGAAGTGTACTTATTTCTACAAAGTGTTCTTACTCTGAATAAAGTTTAAGACTTCATTATGTTCTGTATCCATTTTTTTGGATTGCCTATTACTACTACTTTCTAATTTCAACCAAAATATTATGATGAAATATATGAATTTGCACAATAACAAACTCAAGAAATAAATACTTAGAGGAATGTTTTTCAGCGCCCTAAAGTTCCTGAAATTACTTCAAGCCAACTGGATGGGGTTTCAGAATTGGGTCCTGTCTATTAGGTTTTATGTATTAGAGCTCAATATTTTTTTTTTTTTTTTTTTTTTTTCTGAGATGGAGTCTCACTCTGTCACCCAGGCTGGATGCAGTGGTGCAATCTCGCCTCACTGCGACCTCTGCCCCCTGGCTTCAAACCAGTCTCATGCCTCAGCCTCCTGAGTAGCTGGGATTACAGGTGCCCACCACCATGCCTGGCTAATTTTTGTATTTTTAGTAGATATGGGGTTTCATCCTGTTGGACAGGCTGGTCTCAAACTCCTGACCTCAAGTGATCTGCCCGCCTTGGCCTCCCAAAGTGCTGGGATTACAGGCATGAGCTCACATGTTTTTCTTTTTTTTTTTTTGAGACAGAGTTTTGCTCTTGTTGCCCAGGATGGAGTGCAATGGCATGATCTAGGCTCACCACAACCTCCGCCTCCCAGGTTCAAGCGATTCTCCTGCTTCAGCCTACCGGGCAGCTGGGACTGCAGGCGCACGCCACCATACCTGGCTAATTTCGGTATTTTTTACAGAGGCGGGGTTTCATCATGTTGCCTAGGCTGGTTCGAACTCCTGGGCTCAAGCAATCCCCCCGCCTTGGCCTCCCAAAGTGCTGGAATTACAGGCGTGAGTCACCGCACCCGGACTAGGTGAGATTTTTTTTTTTTTTAAGGAAAAAAAAAGTTCTATTAAAAAGCTTGGAAACCACCAATCTAGGTTATCCTGAACAATAAATCCATGTAAAACGGAAAGAAAGTTTCACTCAAATTCCATGAAGGAAGGTAACTGGGTAAATCACTTAAGTAATTTGGGTCTCAATATCTTTCTTTTTAGACAGTGTTTTACTCTGTCACCCAGGCTGGAGTGCAGTGGCATGATCATGGCTCACTGCAGCCTCAGCCTCCAGGGCTCAAGTAATCCTCCCACCCCGGTCCTCCCAAAGTGCTGAGATTAAGGTATAAACCACTGTGCCCGAGTCTCAAATGTCATGATTGAGAAAAAGGAGGGGCTGCACTAGATGATTTCCAAATTTCCTACCAGAATTAAGATCAACTAGGCGGCCGGGCACGGTGGCTCACGCCTGTAATCCTAGCACTTTGAGAGGTCGAGGCAGGCGGATCACGACGTCAGGAGATCGAGACCATCCTGGCTAACATGGTGAAACCCTGTCTCTACTAAAAATACAAAAAATTAGCCAGGCGTGGCGGCAGGTGCCTGTAGTCCCAGCTACTCAGGAGGCTGAGGCAGAATGGCGTGAACCTGGGAGGCGGAGCTTGCAGTGAGTCGAGATCGCGCCACTGCACTCCAGCCTGGGCGACAGAGCGAGACTCCGTCTCAAAAAAACAAAAAAGATCAACTATGTACAGTAGCAATACTAACATCAATGAGAACCAGTTTAGAAAATAGCAGGAAGATAATTATATTCCAGATACTTGATCAGCTAGATTGGACTCAATGTTAATACAGTACAAAAGGTTCTGTACACAAAACCATGTTGTATAGTAATAGTGCAAATAAAGCAGATGGTATGCAGCTCTAACCCAAGATCTTCTCTCTTATTTTTTTTTTTTTCTGAGAGAGAGTCTTGCTCGTTGCCCAGGCTGGAGTGCAATGGCACGATTTCGGTTCACTGCAACCTCCGCCTCCTGGGTTCAAGTGATTCTCCTGCCTCAGCCTCCTGAGTAACTGGGACTACAGGCGCCCGCCACCACGCCTGGTTAACTTTTGTATTTTTAGTAGAGACGGGGTTTTGCCACGTTGGCCAGGCTGGTCTCGAACTCCTGACCTTGTCATCCTCCCCCTCCTTGGCCTCCCAAAGTGCTGGGATTACAGGTGTAAGCCACCATGCCCGGCCTTCTCTATTTCTATATCCTTACAATCTAAAATGAACTAGGCGAATGCTTCTGTAATAATAATTAAAAAATCAAAATGAGGCTGGGCACGGTGGCTCATGCCTGTAATCTCAGCACATTGAGAGGCCGAGGCGGGCAGATCACGAGGTCGGGAGTTTGAGATTAGCCTGGCCAATTAGGTAAAACCTCATCTCTACTAAAAATACAAAAAAAATTTTAGCTGGGCGTGGTGGCGTACGCCTGCAGTCCCAGCTACTCAGGGGGCTGAGGCAGAAGAATCGCTTGAACCTGGGAGGCAGAGGTTGTAGTGAGCCGAGATGGCGCTATTGCACTCCAGCCTGGGCGACAGAGCGAGACTCCATCTCAAAAAAGAAAAAAAAAAAAAAAAACCCAAAATGAAACTAATGAAATCAATTAGAAGACTACACATATTTTGTAAAACTTTACTTCATGATCATTTGATTAAAAGGACCTCTGAGTATATACCATTTCGTATCTGGGTAAGTGAAGAAAGATTTGTGTTATGGTTGTTCATACAGGATATATGATTAGAATATATAGTGAAAGGCCAGACTCTTTAGCAAACATTTGAAGACATCTGTAAGACAGTAGTGCAGTGAAATGAAATACTCATTTCATAATTCAGTGATCTGAAATAGGCTAAGTTATAAAATAAGTAAAACCAAAATAAAAAGTTTTCATAAATGTTAGGCAAAGTTCCTTCACAAGTATCAGTGAAAGAAGCTGATTTATCTCACACACACCAAAAAAAAAAGGCAAGTGCAAGGTTGGTCAGAGATAAATGTGTTAAAGTCAACGCTGGGCGCAGTGGCTCACGCCTGTAATCCCAGCACTTTGGGAGGCCGAGGTGGGCGATCACGAGGTCAGGAGATTAAGACCATGGTGAAACCCCGTCTCTACTAAAAATACAAAAAAAAAAATTAGTCGGGTGTGGGGGCGGGTGCCTGCAGTCCCAGCTACTTGGGATGCTGAGGCAGGAGAACGGCGTGAACCTGGAAGGCAGAGCTTGCAGTGAGCAGAGATCGCGCCACTGCACTCCAGCCTGGGCGACAGAGCGAGACTCCATCTCAAAAAACAACAACAACAAGAACAACAACAACAAAGTCAAATAACTGAGTTGCAATTTTAAAATTAGTATGTACAAGCAAAACAGCCTCTTTATCTACCTACTGTGAATTATATGCTATTTATTGAATTATAATGTTATTTTTGATACTGTAAAACTGCAGTGATAGGATTTCTGGATGATTACTCCTCTGGAAGAACTTGTAGTAAGTCATCAAAGAGATCTGGAGAAATGAACAGGGCTGTTCAGAAAGTTCTGGTCATCACTGTTTTGCAATAAAAGCAGAAACTGGAGGCGCCTCAGACATGAAACAAGAAATTAGTCAGCAATGCAAAATATAAAGAGATGAGGAATCTCTAGTTCCTTGGAAAGAGCTGATGTGATGCAGACAAACTTCTGAAAAAGGTGATATCTTCTATTATAAGAACATGGCCACAATGAATGTCTTAGGCCAGATGTTAGTAACACGTGTAGACAGTGAGCGCTTTAGCTAAGGGTGGAGCTGATACTGATAACAGGCTAATAAATACATTTCAGGATTCGAAAAACAAGTCAGGGTAAATATTAGATTTCCAAGAGTCCAAAGCCAGAAGGCTTCACAGAAAGGAAAAGGCAGTTGCTAGACAATGCAGGATATATTAAAGTGCAGAATGTTTAAGGGTTATAGAGGAAATAGTTCTTCATCCTAGAAAACAAATTCCTGGGTAGGATTTGTGGGACCAAAGTAAGGAAGCCAGAGATCGAAGAAAAGCCTGTGGCTAAAAGGTAACCTTAGGTGTGAATAAGAAGCAGGAATGAAGAGAATACAGACCTGGAAACAATGCCAAACCTAAATCTGACTCATGTTAGACCTGTAAGTAAGTTACCTAGCATTTCTCTAGAATTTCCGCATCCAGGTTTTAATATGGAGAAAACGGAATGAGGGGCATACTCTATAAGCCAAAGGCTGGCTAAAATCACCTTTGTTAAAGAATCAATATTCTGAATATGCATTTAAAAATGTATTTTCTTAGTTTGAGCTCTTTTTGAAAAAATTAAGGACGGTAAGAATTTCTGTACACACAGTCATGATATAGAAGGAAATTCAGACAATTTATGACTATGGTAGGTGGATAATGAGTCCTAACACCTTAGAAATATCTGAAGAAAGTGATGGAGACATAAGAGGGAAAGTCAGACAGGATTTTATAAACCAATTATTTCTTTGAGACATGGTTTCACTCTGTTGTCTGCCACCTTGACTGCTAGGGCCCAAGCAATCTTCCCACCTCAGCCTCCCGAGTAGCTGGGACTACAGGCATGTGCCATCACAGTCAGCTAATGTTTTCTATTTTTTTGTACAGATAGGACTCACTATGTTGCTCAGGCCAATCTCCTGGGAGATCCTCCCACCTCAGCCTCCCATAGTGCTAGGATTACAGGTGTGAGACACCACACCTGGACAAACCAATTCTTCCTTCCTATTTGGAATTTTGCCAATAGCATATAAACAGGAGGATGCTGGAATATAAACCAAAGATCTTGATAAATTATAACACTGAAAAACTCTTCCTTCAGTTAGTCATTCATAAAATGAATTGGTCAACAGAACCACTCAGGGACTTTTTAAAAAATGTAGAGCCCCAGGACTCCCATTCCTTGAGATTCTTTGGGTAGGGGCCAGGAATCCATATTCTTAAACATAGTAATATTAAAACAAATAAAAAATCTCCCTCAGGTGCCAGTAGCGTTTAGAAAAATGTTAGTAGGAAACTTAATCAAAAATTGTTATTCAAGAGAGAACCCCAAAACATTCAAAGCCAACAAATAAGCTGCCATTGCAATGGCATACTGGCATATGGCAGACTGAGATTCTATACCTGGAAGAATCTGATTTCTGGACAAACACTAGGGTTAATGCTGATTCAACTAAGCACTGATAGAATTCCAAATGGCCACTCCATTCAGGACCTTAACTAAATTTTGTACAACATCTATAATGGGATTCTTATCTAAGCCAAGATCAGAGGTAGAAAAGTTTATGGCATAAAGGACACTGAAGAGCATTTACGGCAATTATGAGCAGTACTCTACAATTTACCACATTCATATTTTCCAATTTATTTTTCACCTTTTTTTTTTTTTAACGTCTGGGGTTTTTTTTTTCCTCCATCAATCATTAGCCATGGGCAGGGTCTTACTGATGACATAAAGCACTGAAAAGATTGGCTACCCTTACTCTAAATCTTTGCTTTTGAAATCTATTTCAGAAATCATTTCTCATTTTCATTTCGAATTATATTAAGAACTGACAGCCTCTCTTTTTAAAGAGAGGTCCTTATCAAATCATGGTCCTATTAAGAATTTTCAATGGTTCCCCCATTACCTATAGAACTAAAAAAAAAACCCTCATACTTACTGGCCTGGCATTTAAAGCCCTCTGTGTATCACCCTCATCTACCTTTTAAATTGTTTTGCTGACTATTCTTGAATGTGAAATACTCTACTCTGGCTAGATTAGTCTACTACCTCTCCTTTAAAAATACCATTTTCATTCCTATCTCTCTGACTTTGTTCCTTCCTAAAAATATCTTCTTGTATCCTCTCTGCCAAACCATTTCTAAGGCTCAGCTCAAATCCTGTATCTCCTTATGAGGCTTTCTCTAATCACTGTAGTCCTCAGAGCTCTTCCACTCTTTTGGTTCCCTATGTCTGTATCATTGTCACATACTATCTTCTGTTGTTCGATTTATGTGTAATTGTTCTCTCTTCCTAACAGACTTTATGCTGTGCTAACTCCCAATATACTCTCACAGAGATATGTATGCAGTAGGAATTCAATAAATTTTTTTTTGTTTTATGTGAGAAGAAATACCGACAATTTTAGAAGAGCTTTCTCTTTCCTCTCGGCTTTAAAATCAAGGGGGAAAGGGCGCAGGGAGCAAAGTGGATCAGCTGAGGGTCTACTACTCTCGTATTTCAGGAGAAAAGAGGTCCCTAAGGAACTTAATAATTCCAAAGTATTGGCCAGTATTTTCTTACTAAAAGATTTCTAGAAATGTCTTTCTGGGTCTAAGACTAGGATCAAGAAAAACAGGGACTGAGTAAAACAGGACCTTAAAACTAGACTCAAAGGCTCTCTATTTTCTCTAGCCTTTTGGAAAATTTCTTTCCCACCATTAAATGTCTCCTAAAAAATCTATTTCCATGAAGAGTCTATCGCTGCTCAGCCTTTTAACTAAAATCAAGTGTAGTCCATGAAGGAATTCTGTATTAATCAGAAGAGCTGGAAACCTCCATACATCCTAAAAACACTGATTATGGTGGATTCCGCATCCCCCTCAACACTAATTATTCAAAATACTTGTTAAGTTACACATTGGTTTAACATATGTACTAACAATCCACATGTCTTATATACATATTAAGTATCCCTTTTCCAAAATGCTTGGGATCACAAGTGTTTTAGATTTTGGATTTTTGAATATTTGCATTATACTTTCTGATTCAGCATCCCTAATCTGAAAACCCAAAATCTGAAATGCTCTGATGAGCATTTCCTTTGAGTGTCATGTGAATACTCAAAAAGTTTTGGGTCTTTGGATTAGGCATGCTCAACCTGCACATATTTTCCTCAAAGTATACTGACTTAGACAGGTAGTTCCCAAAAGACAAAGGCTATATTTATAGACTTTTGCTTGAGATATTATGCAAAATTGGGTGCCTATTATGATTTTATGTATTTTTTGAGACACAGTCTCGCTCTATTGTCCAGGCTGAAGTGCAATGGTGCAATCTTGGCTCACTGCAACCTCTGCCTCCCGGGTTCAAGCGATTCTCCTGCCTTAGCCTCCCGAGTCACTGGGATTACAGGTGCCTGCCACCATACCCAGCTAATTTTTATATTTTTAGTAGAGACAGGGTTTTGCCATGGCTTTTTCACGGTTTTTCCAGGCTGGTCTGGAACTCCTGACCTCAGGTGATCCTCCTGCCTCAGCCTCCCAAAGTGCTGGGATTAGAGGCGTGAGCGACCACACCCAGTCTGGGTGCTTAATATTTTCTATAATGTGAAGAAATTAATTAATCTTGCCTGAACCAATCCCATATACTAGGTTAGAGCTCCCTACTATAATATGCTCACATAATACTCTGCGTTGCCTTGCACAGTAGCCAAAACAACTGTAACTAATGTCCATGTCCTCACTAGACTAAGTTTCTTGGGGCTGAGACTTGTTTCTTTCTTTACTATATTCCTCGTGCCTAGCATGTGCCTGGTATACAACAAGTACACAATAAAAATTTGTTGATTAAACCACAGCAGATACCCAACTCCAGAGGGTGACTGAATGTGTTAACACGTAATATACACAACTGGTGAAGAGATGAAAAAGAGCTGACTGTTGCCAAATTCAGAGGTAGAAGAGTTGAAGAGGTACAGATGAGAAGAAAAATCACACTGCTTCGTAAAACACTGAGAAGGTAACACAATATATAGGTGAAAGCAGACTTCAAAAAGGGTATACTTTCCATGAGAAACAGATGTCAAATATCAATGTCACAGAATTTCCCTGGGACTTTCATGGAGGCTTAGCATGAAAGGAGGTGTAACTACCTCCCCCCACCAACTACGCAGGATTGACAAAACAGCGCAGTGGGGAGGGAGATACGTACTGGGCGAATGTCTGCTGAGCTCCAGCTCTGGTCTCTCCAGGCTGCTCTGAAAGTCAGGAGGCAGCAGGGAAGCCACTCCCTCAGGATGGATCATCTCGTCCTCCGACTCAGCTGAAGCTTCTGCAAAGTACAGATCGGGTCGGGGCAGGGAGGGAGTGAAGGACTCAGCATGTAGGAATATGTAGAGGAGTGAAGGAGGTCAGGCAAAGTCACAGATACAGAGATACATACCAAAAAGAGCACCGTATAAAAAGAAAAAACTCCCTGGGATTCAGCTCTACTTCATCTAAATGGTAGCTTAATTTACTTATAACTCTTCCTGTTGGCAGGAATCCTCTTCTAACAAGACAGTCAAATTAAGTGTCCTCTTCCCTGACAAAAGTAAATAGTAAACCACTTGGCTTCATGGGCTATGAAAGCAAGTAAGTAGCAGTCTCAGCCTCACTTATTTCTGAAATTGTCTAGTTAGACAGGCCTATCTACTTGGTGACAGGGATAAGAATGACGAACTCCTTGTTAAAAGTGACAATCTGGGCTTACCTTCAAGTTCTGCAGCTTCTCGAGCTTCACGTTCCAGACGCTGCCTAAGTAGCTCCTGCTGCTTTTCCAGATACTGTTTTATGAAACTGTTCTGGCTCATTTCCTCACCAATCTGTGTAGAGGAAATGAAAACAGAGGGTCTAGGAAAACAAACCAGGAGAATGCAAAGAAGAACATTCCATGGAGCAAAGGTCCACTCCTTATAGTTGCGCCCAAGAAAGATAACTAAAATGTTGGAAGGCTTTTTTCTAAGTTAGTTCTATATTGAAGAACAGAATAGCCTTGAGTCACACACAAAAAAAGGGCAAAAAGAAGAGCTGCACATAAGTTTTTGATTTAAATATTCAGTTCCCAAAGAGTGATACTGGTATACAAATTACTATTCTTTATTTTTATTTTTTGAGACAGAGTTTCACTCTGTTGCCCAGGCTGGAGTGCAGTGGCGTGATCTTCCCTCACTGCAACCTCTGCCTCCTGGCTTCAAATGATTCTCCTGCCTCAGCCTCCTGAGTAGCTGGGATTACAGGTGTGCACCACCACACTCGGCTGATTTTTGTATTTTTAGTAGAGACGGGGTTTCACTATGTTGGTCAGACGGGTCTCAAACTCCTGACCTCAAGTGATCCACCCGCCTCAGCCTCCCAAAGTGCTGGGATTACAAGTGTGAGCCACCGTGCCCAGCCACAAATAACCTTAAATTAAAATTCCTGTAATTATATCTTTTAGGCTAAATTCCTAGATTACGTGGAACATTATCTAAAGGGTAATCTAAAATTTCCTTTTGGTAGTATCAAGACTGAAACATGGGGGCTCACGTCTGTAATCCCAGTACTTTGGGAGGCTGAAGTGGGAAGACTGCTTGAGCTCAGGAGTTCAAGATCAGTCTCAGCAACATGGCAAAACCCGTCTCTACCAAAAATACAAAAAGGTGGGCATATTGTGGTGTGAGTCTGTCATCCTGGCTACTCAGGAGGTGGTGGGTGCAGTGAACTGAGATCGTGCCACTGCACTCCAGCCTGGGTTAAAGAGCAAGACTCCATCTCAAGAAAAAAAAAAAAAAAAGCCAGTTCCTCCAAAAGATCAACCGTTACCTATCCAGGAAACATTTTTTTTTTTTTTTTTGAGACGGACTATCACTGTCATCCAGGCTGGAGAGCAATGGCGCGATCTTGGCTTGCTGCAACCTCCGCCTCCTGGGTTCAAGACATTCTCCTGCCTCAGTCTCCTGAGTAGCTGGGATTACAGACATGTGCCACCACAACCAGCTCATTTTTGCATTTTTAGTATAGACGGGGTTTTGCCATGTTGGCCAGGCTGGTCTCAAACTCCTGACCTCAGGTGATCTACCCGCCTTGGCCTCCCAAAGTGCTAGCATTACAGGCGTGAGCCACAATGCCCGGCCTCATATCCAGGAAACATTTTATCAAACAACTCCAAAATTCAAGTATAGTATTTAAAAGTATGAAATCAAGAGACTAAGAAAAGGGATATCCATTCAGCATTTAGACAAAGTTATAACTCCATTTTGTCTGGGTGAAAGGAAATCCTTGGTAACAGGAGCTTATGCCTTTTCCTATTTTTTTTTTTTTGTAATACAGATTCCCAAGTTGCCCTTCTGACCTCCAGCTTTCTCTTCACAAGTTCTCCTCCCTAGAACCTTCTTGCTTAGCAAGTCCTATTTAGAACTGAAAAAGCAAAAAAACCTGAATACTTTCTATGTTATTAGTCATGTTTCCTAAACATAGTAAAGGTTTATTTTCACCTAAAGTAGAAATGAGTCTCTTGGCACTCAATGGACATTGTTGAAGGGTGGGTTGCATGTGTATTACAGAATAGGCATGTTTGCTGCACAAACCCGGTGTTAATAAAAGCAAAGCTTCAAAGACTAACATGCAATGGGCAAAAGGAATACAATTAAGCTGATTAACTTATGCAGTTTCTTATGCTTGTTAAAGTACTTAATTGAACCTCTGAATGCTGGCTAGATTATGATACTTACAGCTTAATGAGGTGATAACAAAGGAGGAGGAGGGCTCTCTTGTTTTCCACAGTATCCTGAGACTTCATCTAGTACTGAGGCTGCACACTATTGCTTTAACAAAGACTTGGATTTTTCCTTTAAGTATATGACACATTATAATGAGGGGATTTTTAAAAGCTGAAAGAAACTTTAAGAGACTGTGCAGCCTAATAATTTTTGGATTTTAACTGTGGAATAATTTAAAAATTTTATGCAGAAACTCAATAGTTAAAAAGTAGATCTAATCTAGTTTAAGAGAGGAGTATGAGCCTTGCTTACTTGGGAAAAAGGTATTTCCCCTAGGAAGCTCCCCAAAGCAGCTCCACAAAACCCTAAGAGAACAGTTATAAACCCATGGGTTTAGTCTGTTTCTCATATTACAGATAAGGAAATGGAGAAGACCAAGGCCTCCAAAGGTTGTTTCTTATCCTAAGTAAAGAGGTATTAGTAATGTTTATGAGTAAGTGCACTGAGTTAGTAGTTAACACTAGTAATGGTGGGTGACTTACACAGGATTGAACCCTTGGAAAATCTACATCAACAAGAGTTCTTAATCAGCAACTATTTCCCTACACTGCCATATTGGTGATCTACTTCATATCTATACTCAAAGACATCAACTACCTTTCCTAAATTCATGGCAGATAAATGACTTCAGATCTCTGTACTACACGTAATTAATGGAAGCCACACCTTTCTACACATGCCATTTCAATTATTATAAACTAACAGTGCCTCTGATTCTGTTCTTTACTCCAGGCCCTTGTATACAACTGGGTTGATTAGAATTCAACTGTCCTGGTTTGAGAACATTTCTGACTAAGAGAACTTAGGAAAACAGTCATGAGGACTTAAGCATCAAATATACAACACCACGTCCTTCCATGTGTCTGGATATCCAAAGGGCCCACTCCATTGAATACACCTTCTTTCTCACCTGGGAATTTGGCTGGAATGCAGCATGGGGTGTTGAGTGTTTCTGTAAATTTTCTAGCATTAGAGCCTGGTATAGAGAAGGGTAAAAGTCAGAAATGATGAGGAAAAAAAAGAAAAACAAACCCCCACCTCTACCACAACCTCTAAATTAAACGCAATGACTTAAATACACACAATTAAACTGTATTCCTTTTCCAGGGACCTGAAAACCCTTTACTAACACTGTTCTCATTCATCTTCAGAAGACCCATAAAGGTAGCCATGGTTACTGTTACTAAATGTACAGATATAAAATGCAGGCACACAGAATCAGTGACCTGGCTATGTCATAATATCAGTAATAGAACCAGTACTAAAATCCCTATTATCTTCTGCACTTTCGCCAAGTGCCCCTTCTAAATCTGATCATGCATGTAAAATTACTTAAAATACTCAAACCAGCCATGGGGCTCCTGGTTTTTGCCTGACGGAATTACTTGGTCAAAGGGTTACCCAGTACCAGGGTCAATTTGTATAATTTCCAGTACTGTGGCACCTAGATTTATCAAATTTATAAAATTTTCAAAGAGGAAGCTACAGAAGAAAATGACCACAGACCCTGTAAACTGTGGTCTAACCTAGTCTATCCACACAAACACACACACACAAACACACACACACAAAACTATCAGCTTCTGTATAAGCAACGGTCTGCCAACTCAACCCTGGAGCCAACCCAGACCTAATCTGCACTACCTGCCACGTATCCTGTTGAACTCTAATTAAAACCAAGACATCCTCATCTTCCCTTCTTTAAACCAAACCTATACACTTGAATCGAGCTACACCTACCTCATGACAATCCCACCTTAATCTACTCAAACCGATTCAAAATCCCCAATATATATCAACCTGCCTCGCCTCTCTCACCAATATTCACCAAACTCTTAACCACCCAAATTGCCACTAGATGCCACTAAATTAGAGACCTCTCTCTCATCAAGTCCCTTCAAATAAAGGTCTCTCTTCATCTCACCTCCTCATCTAATCGAGCAGACATTTTACCCTACCCCAGTCCTATTCGTGCAGATACCGATACCAACCCCATCCACCCCTTCGCGCAACTATACCCCTAACTCCGACCCAGCCCAACTCGCCCCCCTCAGGCCAGCAACGCCGTAGGTTGTAGTGGGATTTAACTCCTTCTGCAGCGCATGCGCCGAAACCACAGATACAAACAAGGAGGGGGTGGGGGAAGGAGGAAGGAGCTTAAGACACTCCTGGAGAGTAGTGCACACCCTCCCATTTGGGCTCGCGCTGCTGCCGTTAAGGCGGGAACCGGCGCGATCTCCATTCCAGCGCGAACCTCATCAACCACCGTGCGCGCGGATCCAGAGGCTCGCGCTGGCGGCCTGAGCGAGCTCGCGCCGAGCCCGGATACTGCGCCTGCGCCGCGGCAGAGGCTCGTCTCTACCGGGTCCGCTCTCCTCCGACACCCCAGCAACGCCGACTCCTCACCCCTTTGAGCCGCTTGACCAGGGCACTCTTCTGCCCGCTCTTGGCTAGGCCTCGCTGCTCCAGTGCGGCCTTCAGGTCGGTCACCCGCAGCGCCTGAAGAGGCTTCCCGTCCAGAGTCACCTCCTCCAGCTCCGCCATCTTGCGTGAGGTACTCGGGTCCGTCCCGACGGCTTCGGGCATCTTCGGTAATTTCCGCCAACGCCCTTCGAACGTACCGAGATGACCCCGCCCACTGCCATACTCTACCCCTCGATTACCACTCAGAACTCCCCGGGTTCCTCCGGATGTCCTCGGATGTTTCCGTCTCCACATCGTTACCAATCAATTCTTTCCATCCGCCCTGCAGCGCCCCTTTTCTCGCCCTGCTTTCAGGCTCGGTTTTCTTCGTCTTGCCGAAGCTTTGAATCGAATATATTCGGAAACCCTCGACCCTGGTATAACCATAATCGGAGATGTTCGTTTATTTCCGGACCTAGAGATGAGGCGCTGGGGCGCTTGGGTGTTTGGGGCGGGTCCGAGGCCGGAAGTGCGTGGGCTGCCGGGCTGGCCCAGCTTAGGGTTTTCAGGAAATTTGGAAGCTGCCGCAGTAGTTGGAGTCTAAGGACTCGTGACAATCTTCGGGTGCCCTTCGAGAGAAAAGGGGAGGTAAGCGGGGTAGAAGTACCTCTATGGGCCGGGTCAGACTCGGTGTTTGCGGATTACCTTAATAGGGCAAGCCCCCCACTCCTTAACGCAAACAGCTTCTGCCCTCTGTCCTCTGAATCATAGCCACTCCCATCTTAGGCTTTTTTTGGGGAGGGGCGGGGGGCTGGTGCGGAATCGGAATAACAAGCTCCGTGGGGGTGCGCAAGAAGCATCGCCGTGTCTTCGGACCCAGACTATGAACTGATCTATGACGCTGAACTTGAGTTTGAGTTTGCCTTGGAAGCCATGTGGCAAGATTCTGGGAAAGTTCTTCCTTGCTCCGCAGAAGAGAGTAAGTTCCCTTGGAGGAACTGCTTCCTGTAGGGCAAGAACTGGAAAATGCAAGCGCCCTGAACTTTTTTGGTACTTGAACTAATATTAATTGTTTAGGGGCTTCTTTCTTTGTCACTACCAATCCTCCAACTTGATGCAGAAGAAACACAAACAGTAAAATAGGTCACAGACAAATAGTTTAGAGATTTAAGAGATACGTTAGAGATTTAAGAGACTGAAAACTATTAAAGTCAAATTGGCTGATCTTTCCGTTGCATTCATGATGCAAAATCAGTGGCAAGGTGCCGGGCGCGGTGGCTTACGCCTATAATCCCAGCACTTTGGGAGGCCGAGGCGGGCGGATCACTTGAGGTCAGGAGTTGGAGACCAGTCTGGCCAATATGGTGAAACCCCGTCTCTACTAAAAATACAAACAAATTAGCCGGGCGTGGTGGCGTACGCCTATAGTCCCAGCTACTCGGGAGGCTGAGGCAGGAGAATCGCTTGAACCCAGGAAGCAGTGGTTGAGATCACGCCATTGCACTACAGCCTGGGTGACAGAGCAAGACTCCGTCTCAAAAAAAAAAAAAAAAAAAAAAAAAATTGCAAGGCACCAATAGATACCATACTAAAAAAAAAAAAAAATTTTTTTTTTGTCACTCCACTCTGGGTCCCTCCACTCTGACGCAGGCTGGAGTGCAGTGGCGCGATCAGGGCTCACTGCAGCCTCAACCTCCCGGGCTCAGGTGATGCTCCTACCTCAGTCTCCTACGTAGCTAGGACTACAGGTAGGCACCTCTACGCTCAACTAATTTTTTTATTTTTTGTAGGGATGAGGTTTTGCCATGTTGCCCAGGCTGGTCTCGAACACCTGGGCTCAAGCGATCCTCTTGCCTCGGCCTCTCAAAGTGCTGAGATTACTTTGGAAGTGCAAGAACCACCGCGTCTGGCCCATACTAAATATTAAGGACAATTGTTTAAAGACATGGATTGTCATAAAATAGTATAACACTTGTTAGATCTCTAAGCCAACAAACCAACTGGACTCTTTTTTAAGAACGTCTCAAACACCCGGGCTTCTGGTTCTTTCATGCGTTACCTTATTTTGAGCAAGGTCCTTACTCTGCTTTTTAACTTTTCCTGGTGCTTTACAGGAAATGTAAGGAGGTAACGGATGTTATGGAGTTGTTGGCATATTTCAGAGGCTTATATGCACATTGAAGGCTCTTTCATCATAAATAATGTTTTTTCTTTCTTCCCCCACTGTTGATAGCTGCAAAACAATTAGCATCAGCCTTGACCAGCTGCACGTACTAGATTTTAAAATGTGTGCATTTTCATTTTGGAGAAGATGTAATGGACCAACATTAATCATTGTTTTTTTCTTTACCCAACCTGGCACATAGAAGTAAGAGGAAGAGAATGAACAAGAAATATATTGGTTATTTTTAGGTTCTTTATAAGAAAGATGGAGGAAGACAGTGGGTGGGGAAGAATGGGTTTGAAAAAGGCAGGCAAATAGGAAATGAAGTTATTTTTGGTGATTTTTCTAAGGTAGTTGGATAATAATCTAAATAAAGGACTCTTATTATTTTGGGTCTTTGAATTCATAAAAAGTAATTTTCTCTGTAGATGCTAATTGAGTGTGGTAAGATGTCTTGTTGCTTGAAAGTTGTATTTTCGTTGCTCTACCTGGAGAGCATATAACAGTGCTTTTATGTTTCAGGATGCCACTGGAGTCATCCTCTTCAATGCCACTATCCTTCCCATCTCTCTTACCCTCAGTACCACACAATACTAACCCTTCCCCTCCTCTGATGTCTTACATCACCTCCCAGGAGATGAAGTGTATTCTTCACTGGTTTGCCAATTGGTCAGGTCCCCAGCGTGAACGTTTCCTAGAGGACCTGGTAGCTAAGGCAGTGCCAGAAAAATTACAACCACTGCTGGATAGTCTGGAGCAGCTTAGTGTGTCTGGGGCAGACCGACCACCTTCTATCTTTGAGTGCCAGCTACATCTTTGGGATCAGTGGTTTCGAGGCTGGGCTGAGCAGGAGCGCAATGAATTTGTCAGACAGCTGGAGTTCAGTGAGCCAGACTTCGTGGCAAAGTTTTACCAAGCAGTGGCTGCTACAGCTGGTAAGGACTGATAGGCATTCAGACCAAAGAAGATAACCATAGCTGATGGAGCCATGACTCTCTACAATGATAACTCAATTCAAATGTGTCGCCTAAAGCTCTGGAACTGGTATTCCAACCAGCTGACCGAACTCACTGACCAGTACAGGCATGGTTATTTCAACATTAATAGCATGTCAACTGGACTCCTATTTGTAAATGTTATCAATCTAAGCAATCCAGCTCATCAGTCTACTAGTTTGCTTCTTTCCGAGAGATGTCAAGTCCTCAAGAATTTGATGGCTTCTTCTGCAGCTATAACCACAAGGAACCTACACATTGTAACTCAAGTCCACTGCTGGCTCATGAAATGTGTAAAGTAGAACCCTCCTTCCCGAGAAATAAGACAGGACAATAAAAGGTGGCGTTTTTGTACTTTACCTGGATTCCATTGGCTGGTTTTACCACTCCTATCAGATTGTAGTGTAATTGTGTGATACGCAAACCATTAGTTTTCCCAGTGATGATTTAATAAAATTATGAAAAATCAGGAGAGGGAGATAATTAGTTGCTTCCTCCTTCACACTGTTTGAATCGAACTCGCGGTGACTTTTTTTTTTTTTTAAAAACATGGGTTGTCACTTAAGTTTGGAGTGCAGTGGCATGATCATCAGTGAGCGTGAGATCACTGTAACCTCAAATTCTAGGCTGAAGTAATCTTTCTGCCTCAGTCTCCTGAGTATCTAGGACTACAGGCCCGCACAACAATATCTGGCTAATTTTTAAATTATTCTGTAGATACAGGGGTCATGCTACGTTTTCTAGTCTGGTCTTGAACTGCTGGCCTCAAGCGATCCATTCTCACCTTGGCCTCCCAAAGTGCTGGGATTACAGGCATGAACCATCATACCTGGCCTTTTTCTAAGGCATATGTATGTGATATTCTTGGAACTGGTAGCAGGTGTTCCTATTCTGTAAGTTTGCTTTACAACAATACGAAAATAAGTGACAATTTACAGGTTGAACAATTTATTTTTGTACCAAAATAAAGAATGGATCTTTAGAACTGTAAAACTTCACCCTTTTTTCATTGCCAGGCTATATAATATTGACAACCGGGGAAAGAGGCATTCCAAAGAAAGTAGAAATTAAGTATACACAATAGATTTTCCATCCAGTTGTCTCACAAGAAATTATTCTCTTCCTTACCCCCTGTCATGTTCTGGGCAACATCACACCTCCCTTATTCCTCTAACTGGGACCCTTGTGCTGTGGAGCTCTGGTGAATGGTAAGAGGCAGATGGTCTCACAGGAAGAGTGGCTCTTTTCTGGTAGGCTGTGGTTCCCATTACACCCACCAGGATTAGCAGCATTAGGCAGAGTCCCATGGACAGCCTTAGGTGGGTCATGGAGGGATTATGGTCTGAAGTAACCAGCAACCTAGGAACATAGAAGGTAATATTTGGCATGGAATAATGCCTAGCCTTAGTAGATAAAGCGGCATTACCTTTTTTTTTTTTTTTTTTTGGAGACAAGGTCTTGGTCTGTTGCCCAGGCTGGAGTGCAGTGGTGTGATCTTGGCTCACCGTAATCTCCGCCTCCCAGGCTCAAGCAATTCTCCTGCCTCAACCTTCCGAATAGCTGGGACTACAGGCGCACGCCGCACCACCACGTCTGGCTAAGGGGCTTTACCCTTAAAGATAGAGCTCATGAAGCCCCGCCTCATCCAAGCATTAAGCTAAACAGGAAATCATTAAGAGGGACTATCGAACCTTAAAGTAGAAATAAGATCAAGATCTAAGTCTTCTAGCATCTTATATTATTGGAAGAAGACCTAACTTGGCAGCAAGGGAAGTGGCTTAAGGGAAGAGTCAGTCTATGTTCTTTAGGTAGCTAGACACAATCCCTAACAGTGCTTAAGAAAGGAAGGGGGCTGGGAGTGGTGGCAGTGGCTCCCAGCACTTTGGGAGGCAGAGGCCGGTGGGTTGCTTTAGCTCAGGAGTTGGAGACAAGCCTGGGCAACATGGTGAAACTGTCTCTATCAAAAATACAAAAATTAGCTGGCATGGTGGTGTGCACCTGTAGTCCCAGCTACTTGGGAAGCTGAGGTGGGGGAATCACTTGAGCCTAGGGAGGTCGAGGCCACAGTGAGCTGAGATCACCCCACTGCATTCCAGCCTGGGTGACAGAGCGAGACCCTGTCTCAAAAAAGAAGAAGAAAAAGGTGGGGGGAGGGGACTAAGATCCCTATGTCCTAGAGATGGGGGAATGTGTTATTGTATGGGAGGAGGGAGTCAGGTAGTGACGGGACTGGATGATCGTGTTAGGGATCTTTGTTCTCTGAAACGCAACCCTGTCTAGGACAATATACACGTGAGTGAGTGCTTAATAAATTTAATTTCAAACATCCGGACTCCATGGATTTGAAAGGAAAGTACTTGGAATATCTTACTTGCTGGGTTGTGTGGTAAAGTTGGCTCCTCCATGATACACTTCTAGGGGTTTTTTCTGGAGAGTCAGAGTCAGGGCCTTGTGCAGTGTAGCAACTGAAGGCCCTTGGCAGCCAGGGGACTTCCACATATGCACAGTAAACACCAAGCTAGTGGTAATTGATGGGCCATGGAAATAGCACCTAAATGGACATTTGAATCTTTTAATAGAGATATAGTTCCTGGCAGAGTATATCTCATGAAACAGATGCAGGCTTAAGAGTGGGATGAACAAGTCTTCAGAGGAGAGTCATAAAGTAAAGGACTTAGGGATTCTCCTTGGCCCATTGTATAAATACTCAAGCTTTTACCTGCCAGTGCCGCCTTTGCTCGCCAAAGCCTCCAGTACTGCTTCAGCTAGCCCTTCTTGCTGTTCCTTCCCCAGAGAGTGTCCTGGAGGCCCAGCTAATTCTAAAGAGAGCTGGAATAGTGGATCTGGGGTTGAAAGACTCACAGGTGGGGAAGTAACAGCATTGATATCTTCATTAGTCTGACACAGCCGACCCCGGGGACAGAAGAGAAGACCATAGTACCCAGGTATCTGCAAGGAAATAGGTAGCAGGATATGGTTTTGCCTTACCTGTTCAAGTCTTCCTTCTAAGGAAAATGTATATTCTAGATCAGAGTCATGGACTCAGTGGGTACTTAGGAAAACTGTATGCACATCAAAACAGGTTGGACAGTACCACCATACAAGTATTTCCCGACTTCTTTTTGCCAGTATGCTGCAACTACTACTCTTATGGTACCCACCTGTATAACCTTTCCAGGAAGGCATGGGACCCAAGGCGAGCCCTCCACCTGCACCTTGTAAGCTCCCCTCCCTGTGCATTGATGTAAGTAGCAGCGGCCCATGAGCTCTGCTTCCTTGAGGTGTGGGGTAAGAGAAGGATGCCTGGGCTTATCCCCAGGGAGCAGCTGTGAAGTGAGGTTGGCAAAGAAGCAACGGCTCTGGGGATGGTAGATCTCCCCATGGGGATTATCCACCCCAGCAGGGAATCCGTTTTCCTTCTTCCAGCATTCACTCTGAAGGGCAGGTCAGAAGTAGAATAGTGTTTGTTCTGATGCCTTTGAAGTTGACTGCCTTCCAGACCCACTCAGTTTCATTGTCTGCTCTCTTATCTACTCACCCCATTGGCTAAGGGCTTGTACATGCGGCAGCCTTCCAGCATGGGGTCTGAGGAGCAGCTTCCCTTGTCCAGGTGCAGGTAGTGGCAGCCCAGCCCACTGTGTGGAATGGATGGTAGAGTGACACTAGAATCACTGGCAGCCATACAGTCCCCTAACCACTCAGCACACACACCTGCCAGTACAGAAGAAGTCTGAGGAGCCAGTCCCACATGTGGTCACCAAGCCAAATTCTGGGCCAGATCCTGCTTGACAGATGAGAAGGAAAGAGAGCCCTCAGCAAATGAAGCCCAAACATCCTTCAGCACCAGCTATCCTCACAGCTTCGATTATACATCAGCAACAGACACCCCTCCAGCCTCCCACTTCCCCCAGAGCTGACTTGGGTCATGAGTGCCTCTCTGCAGGTCTCCCTTATTCCTCACCCTGGCCCCACAACAGCTCCTCTGCAGCGCTGTGGTTGACCTGGTACCAGCCTGAGTCTTTGAAGGCAGCGAGGGTGATTGGGTCGAGTCGAGTGCGCTGGGCTCCATCAAAGGTAGCAGTCATTAAAGAACCCTGGAGTAGTCTGGCCTCCCAGTGCGAGGACAGAAGGCCCTCCTGGAGGAGGTGGCAGATGGCTGGTTGTTAGCTGGCTACTCCTTTCTTCCATCACCCCAAGGTGTTCTCATTCTCACCTCTTCTTCCAAGGGAACACCCAGGGAAGCCCCCGACACTCCCAAGTGTTTGGCCAGGCTGAGGCTAACAGCTGGGGTGGTGAGAAGCAGTTGTCCCCACTCATCTTGCCTTGTCACTAGTTGCCTTGTAGAACAGTTCTCTCTAACTGCAGAAAGGGAAGAAGGCAGTACGAGGAGAGGAAAACTTAGGAAGGGTGAAGTAAAATTAGAAGGAAGGACGTTATGAGATAGTGAATTTCCTCTGGTTGATGGTGGAAAGTCCTTAACCTCATTCCTCTCATTTACCACTGAATCCTGAGGGGCAGTCTCGCCATTTCTTGAAGAGCTGTCCAGAGAAACCCAAGGCATGGAGCAATTCATGTAATGTGGCCTAAGGACAAATGACAGCCCAGTAAGGGGGCCGAATTTGCAGCAGGATTGACCAAACACTCTATAACCCCTCTGCCCAATCAGCTCTTCCTAGAGTTTGAGGCACCTTCTATTCCATCCTCTGTGGGTTCTTTGACTTAATGGGAAACTGAGTAACCTGGCCCCCTACCCTGCAACCTGTTTGCTTCTCCCTATTCATCATGCAGCAGTCACCATGACGATGTCACTGTGGCTGAGGCTGGGGCTGGTGAGATGTTGGGCACAGTAGACAATGGTACCAGCGAGGGGCCTGTCTTCTGAGTCCAGCTGGCAGCAGGCAGCATAGGCTATGACAGAGGGCTGTGGATGGGCCAGGACAGGGTAGGGCCAGAAAGGAGAAAAATAGGGTAGCACAAGTAGAAGAAGTCCTCTGAAAATGGAGGACCAGGGGACTCTGCAGAACTCTGCAGGAGTGGTATCAAGGGATGGCTGTGGGTGGGGGTAGCCTTTACCCAAACGTTACTAGCATTCCCTAAGTTATCCCAAATAAGCACAACTTAATAAAAACTGCTTTTGGCTGGGCATGGTGGCTCACGCCTGTAATCCTGATACTTTGGGAAGCCAAGGTGGGCAGATTGCTTGAGCCCAAGAGTTTGAGACACAGCCTGGGCAACATGACAAAACCCCGTCTCTACAAAAAAAAATACAAAAAATTAGCCGGACATGGTGGTGCATGCCTGTAATCCTAGCTACTCAGGAGGCTGAGATGGGAGGATCACCTGAGCCCAGGAGGTCAAGGCTGCGGTGAGCTGTGATTGGGCCGCTGTACTCCAGCCTGGGCAACAGAGTGAGACTGTCTGAAAACAAAAGCAAAATAAAACAAAACAAAACAAAACAAAACTGCTTTTATGCTCCCTAACCCTCCTCATGAGATTTAAGATTGAGAGAGACAGCAGGGAAAGGAAATTTGATTTGAACTTCACCTCTTGGTGGCACTTGGAAGTGTGAGCAACTCGCACATACAGGAGAAAATCAGTGTTTTGGACCCCAGGCCCATCTGGCTGGACCAGTTGTGGGGGACCCTGCTCCGGCCACAAGGCATAACCGCGAAGATGGGTGTCAGGAATCTGGCAGGGAGTGAAATGTTGCATTAGCAGAGGGGCTGGAACAGTAGGAAATTGGGTATGAGGAGTAGGGGAGAATGAATCTCTTTGGTCTGTCTTTGTGTTATCTAGGCAGCTGGCTAGAATAGAGTTCTGCCCCTTCACCCCCAGTCTCTGATTTAATAAATTTTAGCAGGGAGAGGAGCTCAAGAATCTACATCGTTAAGCACACTAAGTAACTCTGATGGTGGTGGTCTTGGAATGGTCATGGCAGGCTGCAGATCTCCAGATCCCTGAGACTGAGAGGTGAGCCTGCTCAGGATCCTGTCTTCCGTCCCCTTCTTCCCTGGTGTACTTATTTCTGGTTTTCCTCTCTTTACTATCTCTCTGCGTATCCCCCCACCACCCTTATTTTTTCAAGATTTCAGTGTTGTTGACTCAATCTCACCTTTGCCCCCAGGCAACTCTCTCCTTTGTATCCTGGGTTCAAGAGGCTGCACCTATAAGAATGAAGATCTGTAGGTGAGCTGAGGACATTTCTAGGTATCCCTGAAAAAGAATTACATACATTGTCAACGACGTGAACTCACCTGTGGTAGTTTGGGCTATCTGGGTCTCCCCAGACAGCGTGGCAATACTGTGCAGGGTCTCGACTCAGAAGCAGGGGTCCTTGCACTGGAGGGACTTGATAAGAAGTCAGTTTCTCCCATATCTTGGAATTCCAGTTCTCTTTCTGGGCTGATCTTCCTCCCCTGGACCTCTCTGCTCCTCAACCCTCCCTGACACCTCTGTTCCCTCACTCACCTGCTAGAACAGCCTGGATTCGCTGAGTGGCCTCTCTCACTGCGGCCAGGGCTCGGGATCCCCCTCTCATCCCTTCTCCCTCAGGATCCCAAGCTCCATCTGATATATGATCTCCTAGATAGCAGCTTTGGATTCGTAGGGGTTGAGGATCACGGGAGCTAGGGAGGGTGAGGGAGGAAGAGCGAGATTTTGAGGGGAGTTGGGAGAAAGGGGGCCTGAGAAGGCTCACAGACTTCTGTGTCTCATCATGTAGACATCGGCTTGCAGCAACCCTGAGGACTAGTGGCGGCAGCAGCAGCAGCAGCAGCAGCAGCAGCAGCATCTCCCTTCTGTGTCTCTCCGTAGATACAGCCTGGATCCTGTCTTCCGTCCCCTTGTTCCCTGGCTCACTGTTTCTGGCTTTCCTCTCTTTACTATTTTTCACCTATGCCCCCCACTACTCTTGCTTATTTTTTCAAGATTTGAATGTTGTTGACTCAGTCTACAGTTCCCTGCCAGGAGGTTGGATATGAACCACCCTCTTCCAGAGGTGCCAGAGGCAGAGTGCTGGGGGAGGGGAAGTGTTATTCTGAGGCCTCAGCTGACCTTTCCAAAGAGGAGCCTGCCTTATCCATGATGAAACTCTTTCCTTGTTTTTTGTTTGTTTGTTTTGTAGAGATGGAGCCTCTCTATGTTGTCGAGGCTGGTCTCAAACTCCTGGCCTCAAGTGATCCTCCTGCTTCAGCCTCCCCAAGTGCTGAGATTACAGGTGTGAGCCACTGTGTGTGGCTGGGAACTCTTTCCTAATCCTTTCCATCCCTCATCCTATTTCTTGTGCCTTTCTGAGTAGAAAACCTTGGAACCTTCACCGAACTAGAAAACTGGTGTCACCATAATAGGGGAAGTGGGGGACAGAGGTATTCTTTGCTTTGTAGTTGCCTGCTGGCCTCACTGGACATGGCCAAACAAGGCTTCTGCACTTCACTAGCCCCGGTTTCAGAACTGGGTGGCCTCTAACTAAACTACAAGACTTCTAGGATCTCCTACATCTATGTAGGGCTCTTAGTGGGTGCTCAACAAATACATGTTAGTTGACTGACACCTCCTGTAAGAGGCCGTTGTGTTAGGTCTGTTAGGTTTCACAGATGCTGCTTATAGGCATGCAGAGGAGGGAAAATAAACTTTTTTTTTTTTTTTTTTTTGTCTTTTTGAGTTTCGCTCTTCTCACCCAGGCTGGAGTGCAATGGTGCAATCTCGGCTCACCGCAAACTCTGCCTCCTGGGTTCAAGCGATTCTCCTGCCTCAGCCTCCAAAGTAGCTGGGATTACAGGTGCACGCCACCACACCCAGCTAATTTTTTTTGTATTTTTAGTAGAGATGGGGTTTCACTGTGTTGGCCAGGCTGGTCTCAAACTCCTGACCTCAGGTGATCCACCTGCTTCGGGCTCCCAAAGTGCTGGGATTACAGGCGTGAGCCACCGCTGCTGGCCAAGAAACTCTTAAAATGGACATTAATGTTCAAAGATACTCTTAAGGAACTCTGTTTTCTTTGCTCATGCTGTGCTTTCACATCCTGTTTCCCTTGCTTGGATACCCGCCCCCCCGCCCTCCCCCCGCCTCCCCCGGCCTCCCCCGGCCTGCCTGGCTAATTCCTACCTTTCTGGTAATTACCCTTGGAAGCCTTTCTTAATACCCCCAGCCCAAATTCCACACCTGGCACAGTGGGTGGGGAACCACCTCACAGGAGGGGCCTCTCCTCCCAGCTCCTAACAGAACACTGTCATCCTCTGTTATAATTGTTGGCTTAGTGGCTCTCCCTCCACATCCTGAAGTCCTTGAAGGTAAGCCTGCTTCCTGTTGGTCTTTGTGTCCACACCACTCAGCACAGCCCTTCGGGCCTGGTCTTCAGTGTGTGGATGAAGACATAGAACCTAACCCCATTATTTAACTTTTGAAGAAACAGCTGTTTTAGGTAGTATATTTTAATAGCTAATTGGTGACCGACATGGACTAGAGTTTAGAGTAGGGCTGCTGACTTCCCAAGGATTTTATACTTTCACATGCCAGAACTGTGGTTGAAACTACTGATTACAAGGGAGACACCTGTTGGGGCTCAGAAACCGTAACCCAAAATACAGCATTGACATGCTGAACTGAAGAAGAAGCCTCAAGGTCTCTCTGACCATCCTGCCTTACCCCCATACACACACACCCACACCCCTCATCTCTCCCAAAGCACAGGCCCTATCTGCCTAAGATCCAGACTCAACAAGTAAAGCAGTTTTTCCTCTTCTTCCCCTAAGACCAAGAATGTAACCACACCTGGACAGGCCTTTTCACTGTTAGAACTGTTTACAAGTTAATCTCTGTTCCCAGATCCATTCATTCTCCTTAGCAATCATTTATTGCCCCTCAACAGAATTCCTGTTTTTCACCCCTCCTATAACCTGTTTTGCTAGGATCCAAGGCACCATTCTTTCTGTAACCTCAAGATGATATATAAGCTGTACTTCATGGGGGTGGGGTTAGGTCTTCATTCTGGAGGTTCTCATATGTACATGGAGAATTGCTTGAACCCTGGAGGCGGAGGTTGCAGTGAGCCAAGATGGCGCCATTGCACTCCAGCCTGGGCAACAAGAGCAAAACTCCGTCTCTAAATAAATGAATAAATAAATGTGTATGCCTTTTCTCCTATTACTCGATCTGCCTCATGTCTGATTTTTCAGTGACCCTCCAGGGGCCCAGGGTCTTGGCTTTCACGCACCCAAACTCTGGAGGTAAACACTGCCACTTTTTATCTGTAGAAATGTATTTGTAAATTTGATGAAGTGCCCCAGTTTTCCCATCTGTAAAATAGGGGTGACTGTACTTTTGGGGTTGTTGAGAAGTAAGTGAATATTTATAAAGCACTGAGAACAGTGTGTGGTTTATGGTAAATACTAAATAAAAAAATGCATATTATACACAGTGGCTCATGCTTGTAATCCCAGCACTTTGGGAGGCTGAGGTGGGATGATCACTTGAGTCCAGGAGTTTGAGGCCATCCTGGGCAACATAGGGAGACACCCGTCTCTTTTTATTTTATTTTATTTTATTTTATTTTTTATTTTATTTTTATTTATCTTTTTTAGTATTTATTGATCATTCTTGGGTGTTTCTTGGAGAGGGGGATGTGGCAGGGTCATAGGATAATAGTGGAGAGAAGGTCAGCAGATAAACACATGAACAAAGGTCTCTGGTTTTCCTAGGCAGAGGTCCCTGCGGCCTTCCGCAGTGTTTGTGTCCCTGGGTACTTGAGATTAGGGAGTGGTGATGACTCTTAAGGAGCATGCTGCCTTCAAGCATCTGTTTAACAAAGCACATCTTGCACCGCCCTTAATCCATTTAACCCTGAGTGGACACAGCACATGTCTCAGAGAGCACGGGGTTGGGGGTAAGGTTATAGATAAACAGCATCCCAAGGCAGAAGAATTTTTCTTAGTACAGAACAAAATGGAGTCTCCCATGTCTACTTCTTTCTACACAGACACAGTAACAATCTGATCTCTCTTTTCCCCACATTTCCCCCTTTTCTTTTTGACAAAACCGCCATCGTCATCATGGCCCATTATCGATGGTTGCTGTTTCTTCGGAGCTGTTGGGTACACCTGCAGAAAGGCTGTCACTTCACACTTGGAAGATTGCACAGTGGCCAGGCAGAGGCGCTCCTCACTTCCCAGACGGGGTGGCGGACGGGCAGAGGCGGTCCTCACTTCCCAGATGGGGCGGCGGCCGGGCAGAGGCGGTCCTCACTTCCCAGACGGGGTGGCGGCCGGGCAGAGGCACTCCTCACTTCCCAGACGGGGCGGCGGCCGGGCAGAGGCGCTCCTCACTTCCTAGACGGGGTGGTGGCCGGGCAGAGACGCTCCCCACCTCCCAGACGGACACCCATCTCTTAAAAAAGAAAAAAAAAAGAATACATATTGTATACACTGTCAATGCAGAGGAGAACTGTTCTTTTATTATTTACTTAGATTTATTATTATACTATTTTATTTTTTTTTGAGACATGGTCTTGTTCTGTCCCAAGCTGGAGTGCAGTGGCACACTCACAGCTCACTGCAGCCACAACCTCCTGGGCTCAAGCAGTCCTCCCACCCCAGCCACCCGAGTAGCTGGGACTGCAGGTGCGCACCATAGTGACCAGCTAATTTTTGTATTTTTTGTAGAGACAGGGTTTCACCATGTTGCCCAGGCTGGTCTTGAACTCCTGAGCTCAAGTGATCTGCCCACCTTAGCCTCCCAAAGTGCTGCGATCACAGGCGTGAGCCACCATGCCTGGCATATTTTAAAAATTTATTTTTATTTTTGATGTAGGGTCTTGCTCTGTGACCCTGGCTGGAGTTCTGTGGCATGATCGTAGCTCACTGCAGTCTCGAACTCCTGGGCTTAAGCCCTCCTCCTACCTCAGCCTCCTGCAGGTGTGTGCCGCCATGCCTGGCTAATTTTTAAATTTTTTGTAGAGACAGGGTCTTGCTGTGTTTCCCAAGCTGGTCTCGAACTCCTGGCCTGAAGTGATCCTCCAAAGCACTGGGATTACAGATATGAGCCACCACAGCTGGCCTGTTTTTTTATTATCACCATGTGTACAAATCTTTTTTTTTTTTTTTTTTGAGACGGAGTCTCGCTGTGTCGCCCAGGCTGGAGTGCAGTGGCGCGATCATGTGTACAAATCTTTAGAGGACTGTTGTTTTTTCCCTAAGGCAAACCTAGTCTTTTTCTCTAAGTGTCTGAAGTCTTTCTTCCCCCAGATTTCTTAGGTTTTTCTGGCCTAAGTCTGCAGCTCCTAATGCTCTGCTGCTCCCCTGTGGCTGTACTGAGACAGGGTGTGCTCTGGCCACGGTATGGGCTGATCTTAACTTCAAACTTGCGGGTGGAAGAACTTCATGCATTTTAGTAAATCCTTCCTATCTTTTTAAAATTTAGATTTTTAATTTTTTGAGACAGGGTCTCACTTTGTCACCCATGCTCCTGTGCAGTGGTGCGATCATGGCTCACTGCAGCCTCAACCTGGGCTCAAGCGATTCTCCCGCCTCAGTCTCCCAAGTAACTAGGACCACAGGTACATGCCACTATGCCCAGCTAATTTTTAATCTTTCTTCTCTTTACACTGCAAATTCTTCTTCATCTTTCAAGATCCAACCCAGAGGTTATCTGCTGGTTGAGACTTCTTTGCTCCCCCAGGTAGAGATAGTTCTCAAATCTTCTGTTCTCCAATAGCATTTCTTTCACATGTTCGAAGGAGCTCTCTTATTATGTTATCCTGACATTTATTTTTGTATTTTTTTCCCTGCTAGATGGTGGGCAGGGGCTGAGTCTTATTTGTCTCTGCCTCTGTAAAGAGGTATGAAGTAGTTGCAGGACAGTAATGAAGGTAAGAAGATGAAGATGAGGAAGGAGGAAGGAGCAAGGAGGTAGGGAAAGAGTGAGAATAATAGTCACTTTATGGGGCACAGCTTTGTGCCTACATGTTGTTCTAAGCACTTTATTTTATTTTATTGATTGAATGATTGATTGATTGAGACAGAGTCTTGCTCTGTCACCCAGGCTGGAGTGCAGTGGGATGATCCCGGCTCACTGCAACCTCTGCCTTCTGAGTTCAAGTGATTCTCCAGCCTCAGCCCCCCAAGTAGCTGGGATTACAGGCATATGCCACCACACCTGGCTAATTTTAGTATTTTTAGTAGAGATGGGATTTTGCCATATTGCTTGGGCTCGAACTCCTGAGCTCAAAGTGATCCACCTGCCTTGTCTCTCCAATGTGCTGGGATTACAGGCGTGAGCCACCATGCCCAGCCCAAGGGCTTTATACTCATGTAGTTCTTTCAGCCACCTCATGAGGTAGGCATTATCATTATCCCAATTTTACAATCAAGGTACAGCAAAATTAGGCAATGTACATAGGTGGTAAGTGGCAGTATAGGAGTTGAACCGACATAGTTAGGCACCTCAGCACGCGCTTGAACCCACTGTGTAATCCTGCTTCTCCAGTGTGTAGTGATGAGAGGAAGAGGGCAAGGAGAAAAGAAGATGATGAGGAGAGAATGGGGATAAGGAGAGAGGATGGAAGGATAAGAGAGGATGAGATTAGACAAAAGAACAGAAGTTAGAGAGGATGGGAGGATAAGAGAGGATGAGATTAGACAAAAGAACAGAAGTTAGAGAGGATGGGAGGATAAGAGAGGATGAGATTAGACAAAAGAACAGAAGTTAGAGAGGATGGGATGAAGAAGAGGAAAAGGGTGCGGTGGTAGGAAATTAGGGATAAGGAGAGAGGATGTTGATGAGGAACTGGGTGGAGATGACAGAAATATCGACTGTGGAGAGAGGCTGGTAGGAGGAGAGCTGTCGTCCAGGTGGGGTCATCATTCATATGGATGCTCCCCCTGGCAGGCTGGCCTCTCAGCTCCCTCACCCTCTGTCTCTAACAATCTCCTCTATTCCTCCTAGTGAGCCTCTCCCAGGGCCATACCCAGAGCCTTATCACCACCAGAAACTGCAGCACCTATGAAATAACGGAATCAAACATCCCACGCTGATAGAATCTCCTTTCCTTATGGTGGTTTGCTCAAGCTGGCACCCAGCAGCTGTTCTATTAAGCTCATGAGGAACCACAGCCCTTCCCATCTTCACATCTCACCTTCTCTGCCTTAGGTTCCAGGCTCACCACTGCAATCCCCTTTTGTTAATGCCTTCAACTCCTCTCCCCTGTCTGTCCTTTCCATCTCATCTCCCTGGTTAAGTCTCAACTCTAGATGGACCTAACATTTGTCTTCTCCGCACTTGCTCTCAAGCACCTAAGGACCACTGGACAAAATCATCCCAGAGGACATGTCACTCTAAAGTGGTCATCGTCAGCTTCAGTTGGGCGCTTTCAAGTCAGAAAGCTCAGCAATGAGCTCCCTCTTCTACCCTCACCAACTAGGATTTTATACTTTCTTTCTTTTTTTTCTTTTTTTTGAGATGGAGTCTCACTCTGTTGCCCAGGCTGGAGTGCAGTGGCTCGGTCTCAGCTCACTGCAAACTCCGCCTCCTGGGTTCCCACCGTTCTCCTGCCTCAGCCTCCTGAGTAGCTGGGACTACAGGTGCCCGCCACCACACCCAGCCAATTTTTTGTATTTCTAGTTGAGACGGGGTTTCACCGTATTAGCCAGGATGGTCTCGATCCCTGACCTTGTGATCCGCCCGCCTCAGCCTCCCAAAGCACTGGGATTACAGACGTGAGCCACTGCGTCCGGCTGGATTTTATACTTTCAAACCTCCAGCCTCCCCTCCTGCTCAGTGACTTTTGGTTATCTCTTCTTTCATGGTGAAAATAAAAGCCATAAGATAGGAACAGCCCCGGCTTGCTACAAACCTATTTGTATTTGATTCTGTTGCCATCTCCTCTGTTTCTTGTTAAAAAAGAGGAGACGTCTTCTTCCCTTGGAAGGCTGGTTCTCCCTCTGATGCTCTGAATCCCATCTAAGGGAGCTTCTGGCCTCAGCCTCTTCAAGCCTCTCTGCCTCTTCCCAGCATCTTGCCCTGCACCCCCAGCCTTCAGTCAGTGAATGAGAAGGACCTGCTTGGGAACCTTTGTGTGTACTTTTCTTTCTGTTGGGAACCCCCACTTTTTGCCAGATGAATTCCTACTCATCATTTAGATATCCGCCGATATGTTATCCCTTCAAAGAAGCCTTTCCCGACCCTCACATTTAAATCAGATACCCATGTTAATATCGGCCATCAGTCACCCCTTTACTTTTGCTAGATGACACTGCCCACAATTTGTTTGTGGTCTTATGTTTGTCACTCTCACTAATCTATAAACCCCCAAAGGGCAGGGACTGTTCTCCTTATGTGTCCCATAGCTTCTATAACAAAGTGCTTGGCTTCAAGTAGGTGTTTAGTATGTATTTTTTGAGTAAATGAATGTGGTGAGAAGGCAGGAGGGAGGTGAGGGATGGAAGCGTGAGGATAGAAGATAGAAGGTGAGTAGATGGAGAGTGAGGAGAGGATGGTAATGAGGACAGTATGCAAAGGTGAGGCTGGGGATGGAGGGGAGAAGGGGTGAGGGGAGGACCAAGGAGAAGGGGTCTTTGCACTGGTGTAATGCTTCCAGACCCTGAGTGGGCTCCCAGGAGCTCTGTTTCTTGGGACCATGCTGCCTGTGAGGTTTGAAGGCAGGGCTGGAGGGAGGAGCTAGGCTTTATCTTAGGGTGCAGCCCTAACCTCAGATGGTGACAGAGCTGCAGCCAGCAGGGGTTTTGCAAACCGTCCCGATTGCAGCAGGCCAGCAGTCTCGCTGGGGACGAGCGGGTGGGGCCTGAGCTTATCTCCTGAGTACAGTCCTAACCTCAGATGGTGACAAAGCGGGAGCTAGAAGGCGTTTTGCAAACCGTCCCGATTGCAGCAAGGTTGGATAGCCTGGCCAGGGGTGACAGTGCTAGGTGTGTGTGTGGTGGTGGTGGTGGGGGGGGCGTGGTGAGCAATAGGGGTTTGGACAGTTTAGGACTCCAGGGTGAAGCTTAGCTCATGGGGCGTAGGGGATGGATCCATTCTATGTGTGGCTTGCCTCTACCTACCCCTAGAACCCTGTTTCTTCTAAAAGGGAAGCAAATCTAAGGGAAAAATCTAGTCTGTCCCTGGACCTAAAATAAATACATAAATAAATAAATAATAAAAGAGAAGCAAGAGGCTACAGCTCTGTGGTGGGTCTTTCCCTATCAAGAAGCCTGCCCCTTCCCAGGCCCTGGGACCTTTCCATTGCTCTCTGAAGTCAGAATTGATGGCCATTTTGATAAAGTTAAGTTGTAGCCATTTTCCTCTGAAAACCCACACCCTCTCCCCTTGGGGAGAATTTCTCATATGCCACTGAGGTTTTCTGAGGCCAGGCCAGGCCTGCTTATGGAAGCAGCTGACAGAGGTCAGCCAGGGGTTCTGTCCAGCTTGGGCCACTCCCATTTTGGAGCAGCTCATGCTGAGTCGGGAGGAGGGGTCTGTCTGCGGGGGGTGGGGGGTGCTGGTGAGGGTGATGGGAAGTGACTGGCCTGTCCGAGAGGAGACGCACAGGCTCTCAGCCAGCCCTGCCTATTGTTGCCTCAGCGTCTCCTGAACAGCCCCCTTCATCCCATAGTCCCCTCACTGGCTTGGAGCACGGCAGGGGGTGGAGGTGAAGAGGCCCCTTTCCACCCACAACCCCAACCGGGATCTTGCAACACTGGGATGGGGGCCCTGGGGGCCCAGGCATGTGGCAATCTGTGTAGAGGGGTGGGGAGGTGTGCACCGAGCAGGGGGGTTGGGGGCAGCTTTCACAAGCCACTGCCTCCGCTGACTGACCTTGGCAGACTCACCTTGGGCAGCTTCCTCCCTCTGCAGTGTCTCCCCACAGTCTGTCTTCTCCTCTGCAGCTTCCCTGTGGCCTAAGATCCTGTCTCTCAGCTCAGGAGTCTCATTCTGCTCCCCAGTTCTGCTCCAGAAAGAAAAGTGGGCCTGAGCTGTGGGCGCTGAAGCAATAGGACTGCATGCGTGTGCTGTTTGGACCTTGATTTGCTGGTTTTCAAACGTTATCGAGTCCCCGGTCCTGGTGCCTTTCCCCAGGCAGGGTTTGGCTAACTGCCCTTCCCTGGGCTCCTTTCTGTCATCTCCTTCCCCAGTGGGGACAACCTTACTGTGGTAAAGGTGCCAGGAGGACCAAGGGGCAGGGAAGCTGAATCCAGGGGCAGAGAGAACCCTGCTCTCCACCTGCCCCGGCTTCTTAGGCACCATCCTCCTTGACAGAGGGAATGAAAATAGTCATTTGCAACCCCTGCAGCCCCATTCTGGAGGGAAGGTGCATCTTTTTCTTACTTATCCTCTCCTTCCTTCTTTCATTCAGCATCTACTCCTGGCTTCCTTTCTCTCGGTCACCTTAGGGCTTTTGCATTTACCCTTCCCTCTGTTCACCCTTACACTCAAAGACATACCTGCCTCCTTCTCAAAATTTTTGAAGTGTCAACTAAAATGTCACTTCCTCAGAGATACCTTTCTCGGCCACCCCAGCTAAAATAGCCTCCCTACCTGTTGGTTTATGTGGTTTCCCCAATGGGCTATTCAAATGGAGTAAGCAGGAGAAGTTAATTAAGGTGCTTTATGAAGATGTGAACCAACAGTATCTGGGGAAAGTTCCTGGAGTGGTGAAGTCCCCTGGGCTAGCCCAGCACGGGGGGCGCCTGAGGGCCAGGAATCCTTTGGGAGGGACTGTGGAGAGCGCCGGTCAGCAGGGGGCTCCCACCACTCTCCTCCTGCCAGTCTCACCCCCACCCCATGAGAGGCTGGTTGATGTAGGGAGGCATCCACCTGGGGACTGTGTAGGGTGATGAAGGGTGGAGAGGGTTCTGGAGGGGCAAAGGAAGACATTCAGCACACTTGTTTATTGACTTTTTCTTCCTACTCCTTCTGCTGAGAACTTGTCTCATTCCTAGAAAAGATACTCAACAAATACTTGTTGAATAAGTTACGTTGGCCAAAACCAATTGAGGTCAGATTGAAAGCCTCTTTCAGGAAGTGTGCCCTCTGGCTCTGACTCACACCCCTGGAATATGATCTGATGCAGAGGATTGGGATGTGTTCAGCTGCTGCACGTCACGCTGGGATCACAGTGGGGAGACGGGGATGTGACTCCCCCAGACTGGGTGCCAGTCAGGAAGGCTCCACTAGGCACCGGCCCTGAGGACCTGACTGGGTGAGCGGGGGCCTGAGAGGAGAAGCAATTCAGAGCTGTGGGAACAAAGCCTGGGCTTCATGCTGAAGCAACCCAGGTCCCATCACCCAGAACCTTGAAAGTAAGTCAAGGGACAGTGGTCTTGAGCTGAGAGGAGGAAATCCGGAGGTTGAGTCATTTACCATGTTCTGTACAAACCCCCCTTATGCAACCTATCCCCCTGGGCTGAAAGGAAGGTGTGAGGATTCTCCCAGGTGCCCACAGAGACTGGTACCTCCCCTCCTTCTGAACTCAGGAAGCTCCAGTCGGTCCCTCCACTGAAGGTTCAGATCTCTCCCTCCAAACCAGACCTGGGGCACGGGCCTCCAGGACACAGAGGTGCCCGAGAGACACAGAGGCAAAGGCAGGAAAAGGACTGAGTCCTGGGCAAGGTAGACATGCCGCACACGGATGCCCGAGGTGTGGGAGGGCTCTACCGCTGGAGATTTGAAGAAGGGAGAGAGATCTGGGATGATCCAGACACCAGTCTCTCACCTTCTCAGAAAATTATTCCTTGATGTCTGACTCAGCCTTTCACAGCATTGGCTTAGGAGAGACTTTAAGAAGCCCGTAATCTGTCCCTGGGTCCCTGACACTGTTGGGCACTGTTCTTTATTGAATGTGATTCATGTGACACTCGTACTGAGGATCTGTGAGAAGAGTGTAGCGTGGAGTAGAGAGACAGGTACCACGTACTGAGGCAGCAAAGGGACTCAGTGAGTGTCAGGAGAAGCCTCTTACCCCTCTGGCCCTCAACTGCTTTATCTGTAAAATGTGGCTCACCCTACCTTGCTGGTCTGAGGGCAGAGCCCACCAGATGATCTCTTGAGGTCTCTCCCAGCACATCTTGAGATCTGCGATTTTACAGAGCCAATTTTGGTTCTACCTCTAAACAATCGTGTGACTCCAGGTAAGTCCCTTCCCCTCTTTGCAGCCTGTTTTCTTACCTGCAAAATGAGTTTAGATGAGATCTCTGAGGTCCTTTCAGTTCCAGCAAAATGGAGGAATCATAATAAATATGCTTATTACATGCAAAGTTTTCTTTTTCTATGAATATAACAACACTACGGAGTGGGGACAAATATTGCAACCATTTTGCAGATGAGGAAACTGAGGCACAGAAAGACATAATGGCTCAAGGCTCACAGCTAGTAAGTAGCAGTGTAAGATTCAAACTGAGGCTCTTAATTATTGTACCATTCTGTCTCTTAGGCTGTAGTCCAATGCAAAAGAAAATGCTGTTTCGAATGATGGGTTTCCCTGGCACGGGCAGATTGTCATCCTCCTTCTCACTACCAGTGTTCTCATACACAAATCCGGTCTCCAGGTCTTTCCCAACCGATTCCTGTCCCATGCACTCAATTCTCAAGCTTTAGGGAACTGGAGCCTCAGGGATGAGGGACAAAGGATGGAAATGAATGGGTGGGAGCAGCGTGGGGAGGGTGTCCATCTGGTAGACTGAGGCTTTGGAAATGGAGAGAAGAGATGGCGGGCTGGATCAAGGGACCATAAATATGGCAGAGCCATCAGGAATTTTCCCATGGTCACCTGGGGCAGGAGCTCCCAGACCTATACCTCAAGGTGAGAGAGAGTGGGCCTGGGATCAGCAGGCCTGGGCATGAAGGACTGTGTGGTGCCGGGATCTCCCTACAAGCTGAAGATCTTTGTTAGCAGAGCATACAAAGGTGCTCCAGGTCCTGTGGGGGGCGGGGATGTGCCTTCAGCTCACAGAAGGGGGTGATGGGGGATGTCAGGGAGAGAAGAGCAGAGTGACAGATACACGGCCTGGCTGTGTGGTATATTGGGGGTGGGCTGTGGACAGCATGTCTGTGTTTCCACATGTCCACTTGGTCATGGAAACAAGAGGTGCAGACCTAGCCACATGCATCCTCTGTCCCCAGGGTCCTCCATGACACACACACACACACACACACACACACACACACACACACAGCCAACAGTCCCAACACCCAGTCACAGTGCAACTTTATTCAGCCATATAATCATTATGCTGGGTCCTGCCCTCTTTGCCACCCCGGTTGCCATTTATCCATGGTCTATGTCTCAGGGTTCTAGGCCCCCAGCAGGATGGGGGTCCGCAGAGTTAGGCCGTGCCAGGGAGCCTGGTGCCCACAATCCACCAGCCAGCCTCAGCTGCAACCCCCCACGCCCTTGATGAGGTTGGCCGCCTCAGGAATCTGGCGGAAGAGGTTGCGGAGGGTGTCTAGCTCCTGGGTGAGCTGCTCCACGCGGCTGCGGAGGCGCTCGTTCTCTGCCATGTACTCCAGCACCTTCTGCTGCGTCTCCAGAATGCGCCTCTTGGCCTTGTCTCGGCTCTTGCGCACGGCGATGTTGTTGCGCTCCCGCCTCAGCCGGTACTCAAGGCTATCTTTGTTCACTGCCTTCTTGCCCTTGTGTAAGGGGCCAGCCGGGGAGGGCGCCTTCAGGAGGGGACTGCAGGGGGGTGCGGCAGTGGCCAAAGGGGCCTGGAGGGGAAGGCACGGAGAGACGGAGAGGTGAGGGCTGGCCAGGAGGCAGAGCGGAGGCGGGGCGGGAATCTCGGCAGCCAGGGCACACTTGATGCGTCAAAGGAATACAGGACTCAGAGCCAGCTCCTGTCTCTCAGGTCAAAACTATCATCGCTCTGCTTCTGGGAGATGGTGACCCAGATGCACAGGGTCCTCTGCTTGAGACCAAAACTCCCTTTCATGTTCTCACACTTTCTTTCTTTCTTTTTTTGTAAAGATGGAGCCTTGCTATGTTGTCCAGGCTGGTCTCCAACCCCTGGCCTTAAGCGAACCTCCTGCTTTGGCCTCCCAAAGCGCTGGGATTACAGGCATGAGCCACGACACCCAGCCAATGCTCTCACACTTTCTGAGTACACTTTCCCTCAATCTGCCTTGAGTCTCCCGTTCTATGACCAGTAGACATTTCTCACAGAAGCAGGCGGCAGAGAAACAAGAGGAGGGGGCATGGTGAGCAGCAGAGAGGCTGGCGGTGGGGGCCTGAGATCAAGTAGGTCAGCTTGCCACAGGGGCTTTGGGTGGGGATTCAGGGTGGGAATGAATTCACAGAGAAGGAAAGGGAGGTCATGGTGGGGTGTGAACACAGAGGACTGTGGGTTGGGTCCATTTCACAGAGCGACACCAAGCACAGGCTCAGCAGCATGAGCCGGGGCACAGGGTCCTGTCCACACCAGCCTCTCCAGCCCCGGGCAGGAGGGAGGAGGGCTGGCCTGCTCTTACCTTGAGAACGCGCAGAGGCTGGCCGGGTGCTGCCAGAGTTGGGGGCAGGTGCATGGCTGTCTGCCCACAGTGTGCCACTTGGTACTGCAGGGGATTGTAGCTGCCTCGGCTGGCAGCTCGGCTGCCCTCTGGCCCCCGGGGCTCCTCCTTCACCGCCACAGCCCTGGGGTCGTAGCTCCCTGGGCTGCTGTAGATGCCAGGCCCCAGCGCCTTCCTGTCTGGGCCGAAGGTATGTGGAGGGTAGGCAAAGGGCCGAGGGTCAGGCGGCAAGTAGTGGGGGAAGGCAGGGGTTCCGGGGCCCTTGAGGCCTCTGGCCTCAGGCGCTGGCTTCACGGCAAAGAGATCGGAGAGAAGCTGCTCTTCCCCAGACTCGATGTAGGCGGAGAGGTCAATGGAGGCCTCATGCTCACACATGTCCCCTAGCTCCCCGGGCCCAGCTCGGCCCCCTGAGAACTCGAGTGGCTGCTGGCCACCCCGGGGCTCACACTCGTAGTAGGTCCCGTGGGACATGGCCGGCCCGCCCCCTCGGCTCCCCGCCCCCACCTGCTCTTGAGGCACCCCTTGGGGTGCTCCGGCTGCCCTCTCTCTACCTCCTCCTGACCTGGGCCTGCCCTCTCTCGATCTTCTGCCCTAGACCTGCCCTCTGCAGTCTCCTCTGTCACCCACTCCTGTGTGGCCTCTCTCCCCCCTCTGCTCTGCTTCCTTTTCCTTCCTCTGTAGTCAATGCCTCTCTTCTCTTCCCTTTTTTCCCCTCTCTCCCCTTGGGGTGACTCAGGGAGGGGCAGGACACACCCCAGAGGGAGAGATGTAAGCCTTAGAGAAAGGCGACTCCTGGCCTATTCAGCAGTTGGGGACACTCCTTGGTCAGGGACCAAGCCAGGGTTCTGGAGATGCCCGAAGCTGATGCTTCTGGGAATGCCTCTCCACTCCCTGCTGGGAGGCCAGGGGACTCCAAATCCTCGCAGAGGGCAACACCCCACTCTGAGCAACCTCCTCCCTCCGACTTTGAAAAAGTTCTATGCAGAATGAGGTTCCAAGTTAGAGTGAAGAGAGAAAGCCCTCTTCCAGTGCCTACCCTCAGTTGGGTCTCACCTCCTCCCTTGACACGCCTTCCTCTGGCTCTCCCCTGCTGCTGGGCTCCACCTACCCCCAAGAGAAAGTTTCTTTTGTAGCCCCACCTCCCAGAGCATTCTCTGAGTGTAGGCCAGGGTTTGTTTTTTGAGGGGTCTAGGGAGTAGTGATAGGTCCTAGGAACAAGCTCTACACGCGAGCCTGCGTGGTGCTCCAGAGCATGCTCATTTGCTAGGTTTTTGCACAGGAGCTGTGCAATAGCCCACATGTTAGTGCGTTTCCAGCCCTAGCTACCTCTAGCAGCCTGGTACACTTCCTAACTCCCTGGGCTTGGCCAAAGCACCTGGTCAGGACTTGGGCCTTGCACCGCAGGCCTAGGCAGGTTGCTGCCCTCGGAGTAGACAGCCATAATCCTCCGGTGGCTCCAGCACTTCTCTCTTCCAGCTGCTCTGTGCTGCAAGAGGCTCAGGCTGGTGCTTCGCCCCTCACCCTGGGCCTGAGGCTCTGCCTCTGGTTTCCTGTGCCTGGGCTGCAGGGCTTAGGAGCTTGCTGCAGCTCGTTTGCTGTCTTTCCTTTTGCATGGCCGCTCTCTGATCTCCAATGCGTGTCTCTTGGGTCTACTTCCTCTTGTGAGGTTTGAGAAGCCTCTTATGTCATCACCTCTTCCTGGGGCTCTGTTTTAGGGTCTCCAGGAGAAGCCCATGGCTCCCTCTCTGCAATTCTTTGTTCTGTGCTGGCTCTCCTCTTCCCTTTTCTCTTTCCTTTGGGAACTCCCCACTACCTCCTTTCAGAGACACCTGCTCTGGTACTGCTTTTACCTGTTGAATTTCATCTCCAAAAGGGATTGTAGGTCCAGTTGGGGGGGGGGGGGGAAGGACACATAGAAATGTTACTGACTCTTTTATGACCAGCAAGTGCTATGGGTGCCCCAGAGGGACCAGAAGTTTTTGTAAGTTGGGCCAAACAAGGGGTGGTTCACTGTGAGTGGGCCACAGTAGGACAAGTGCAGAGAGGATGTGTGTCGCATTGAACATTAAAATTTTAAAAATGCATATTCTGATTAGCATATTCCGGTTAGCATATTCCTTACATCCTCCCTACCCCAACACCTACCCCAGATGCTCTCTGTGCATGACTTGAGACATGGCCAGATATGCTTTATCTGAAAGCACAGTGACCTGGTGTGGGGAGATCTGCGTGTAACCCAGAGACAGATGTCAGGAATTAGGGAGATTTCTCCATTTCAAAGCTGAGCTCTCAGTTTGGTGGCAGTGCTTGTGTTGACCACCAGGTGGCAATATTGGCCCCAATATTTCGGACTCGGAGGGCTGCTGTGGTCCGGACTCAGGTGGACAGCAGAGGGCAGCCTCTCACAGCGCTGGCTCTCGGCAGGCTCCTGCGGGGCATCTGGAAGGAGGAAGAGGAAACCTGGCTGGGATGGGGTCTTGCAGTGCAGTTCCAGGGAGAATGAGCAGCCTGCCAGTACTGGGTCCAGGGCCTTGTCTCCATGAGGAGAAATTCTGTTCCCTCCCCTACTTTGAAATAATGATAATGAATAGGCCTTGTGCTTTCTGATAAATTAATGCTTTTTCAATCCTTGAAACCTACACTTTTTCATGCTCTTTCCCTGTGGGTTATGCGGGAAGGTAGGCAAGGCAGACAGTATTTTTATTCCTACTTTATAAACAGGGAAAACAAGGCTGAGAGGCTGAGCTACCCAAGGTCATCCAAGGAGGATGCCTGGTTCGTCTCTGGCTGAAAGGATGGGAAGGGGTTGCTATGTGACTCGGAGAACCTTCCTGGCCCTCATTTGGCCACCGTGGGGAGGGGGAAGTCTGCATCAGTAGCTTCAGTGAACTGGGCACAGGAGGATGTGGGAGGTATGCAAACAGAGCCGCAGGAAATGAGAAAGTCAGCAGCTTTAGCCATGGTGAGATAAATCTCTGCCCTGGCCTCCCCGGCTAGTGCTGACGTTGCTGGCATGCTGACCTCAGTGTTTCCCAGTAACAGGGGTTTGGCTGGGGCAGGCAGGGCTCTGGATGTCAGGGTAGGGTAGGGGGAGCTCTGGACAGGAAGGGGAGCTCTGGACAGGAATGGGAGGTGGGGAGGGCAGTGCCAGTCAGCGGCTGGGGGATTCTTGCTCAGGAGAGGAAAGAAGCTCTGCCGGGTCAGCAGGATCATTTTTCCTTGGCCACTGCAGTTACTACCTCTTTGGATTAACTGAAATGATGCATGTTTGTTATCTTAGTGACTTTGTAACAGGCCTCCTTCCAGTGCCACCTCCTTGGTGAATCAAGACTTTCCCAGTAGGAAGGTAACTGAGCATGGCTGTGAAGTGTTAAGGGAGAACTGGGCTCAAATCTGGCCTCCGTCACTGACCAGCTCCATGACCCTGGCAAGTTACTTAATCTTCCTTGCAAGGTGGCAGTAGTAATACCTCCTTCATAGGGTTGTTTAATTTAAACTGTGAATAACATAATGTATGTCATGCATCTGGTCTTAGTAAATGTGAAGTCTCCTTCTTCTCTTCCTCTGACCTCTCATTGCAGTTTTATCTGTGTCTCCTAAACAGACACTACCTGCTGCCTGGTGTGGTGCGTCAGTTTGACAAACATTTTTGAGCATATAGGTACTCATGGGGCACTGCATGGGGTCTGGGGATGTGTTGGGTTTAGCCCTCGCCAGTAGGGCTCACTGCCCAGCAGGAAGGCCCACAGGCAGTGGTTCCAACAAGGCATGGGTGGTCTGTAGAGCCAGGAAGCGCACACATATGTGTGCCGTGCGTATCCTTGGCTTCGTTCCCCTGGCAAACTATTTGCTCTTTGAGGGTAGGGTCAGTTACATCTTTTGGACCTCTTCAACTATGGTGACCATATTTCCTGAATTAAAATGAAGGACAGGGCCGGGTGCAGTGGCTCACACCTGTAATCCCAGCACTTTGGGAGGCTGAGGCGGGCAGATCACGAGGTCGGGAGATCAAGACCATCCTGGCTAACAGGGTGAAACCCCATCTCTGCTAAAAAAAAAAAAAATACAAAAATTAGCTGGGTATGGCGGCACGTGCCCGCAATCCCAGCTACTCGGGAGGCTGAGGCAGGAGAATCTCTTGAACCTGGGAGGCAGAGGTTGCAGTGAGCCAAGATCGCGTCACTGCACTCCAGCCTGGCAACAAAGCTAGACTCCGTCTCAAAAAAAAAAAGAAGGACAGGCAGGTTGACACAGGTGAATATCTTTATGGAGACAATGGAAGAAAATATTTGAAGTCTGTGCTGACTTAGAAAAATCAGGAAAAAATTTGCTATTTCCACAGCATATAGCAAAGTCTTTGACAGAATGGTCACAGAAAGATTTGTCGTGTGACCACATTAATAAATGAATGCATAAGCAGCTACAATTTCAGTGACTTTCAAAATGTTCCCAAATTCCCTGAAGTCAGAGCATGTGAAACTCCTAGGATTAAAGTGACTGGCAGGGTTAAGACGGGAAATGGCCAGGTTAAAAGTAAATGTTTGTTGCCCAGGAGGAGACCCACATTTGCCCATTTGACCAGGTTGAAAAGATCAGCAGGTGTCACAGAAAGAGAAGGTGCTCCTGAAGGACAAGTGCCTTCATGGAGTAGAAGGGATGAGGGACAGGACATGCTCAAATGGGGCAACAGGGAGGAGCCTGGGGCAGTCCAGGGAAGGGAAAGGAAAGGTGTGTGTGCTGGGAAAGAGGGGCCCAAAGGGCACATGTGAGGCTTGGACAAGACTGGCAGCCTCTGCCTTTTGGGACAACCTAAAGTTGGAAGATTGAGGAACTGTTTGAGATTAGGTCCAGCTCTCTTTCTTTCTCAAAATGCTAAGCAGGTGAGGTGACTTGCCCAAGGACACACAGCTGTTGAGTGGCCCGCCTCCCAGCTCAGCGTCCCTGTTGAATGGCGAGCTTCCAGCCTGTCTGGAAGAATGACAGCCACAAAGCAGGAGTGTTGGCGTCAGGCCAGGACTGGGAGTGGCGGCATCTTGCCTGCCTGTGTCCTCACAGTGTTCCAGATGGTGAAGGGTGATGTCTTAACACCACTGCCCCTCCACCACCCCCTTACTCCCGCCCTTGCCCTACATCTGCCAGCAGTGCTGGCTCTGGAATGGTACTGTCCCAGGACACGCAGCCAGGAGGGCGGCCCATAAAGACAGGGACACAAAGCAAGGACTGGGGCTAATCCCATCAACTTCCTCTAGCAGTTAGCCCAAAATGCCAGGAAGTACTTATACATACCTTAACGACTTTTTCCTTTTTCCCCTGTCCTAGTCCAGTGGTCCTCCTACTCTTCCTCCTAGAGCTAACTCTTCTTCTCAGATGGCTCTGTCCAGCTGAGTGAACCTAGCCTTACCTCCCAGGCCCTCCCATCAAGCTCCTCAGACCCTGACTCTCTCCACAGACTCGGCTCAGGCTGTGCTGATGAGAGAAGCCTTTGCTGATCAGGCTTTGGGAGGACATCTGCCTTTGCCTCCCTCAACTTGGCTGGATGCCATCTCTCCCTTGCCCATGTCCCACCCTGGGCAATGTTGACTTCTTCCCAGTTAGTCTGCAGGCTTTCAGTACGGTGCACAGAGCAGGAACTTAATAACACTTCATGACTCCAAGAAGGAGTGAGACAGTGTTGTTAAATAAAAAATTACAGAAGGCCATGGTTTTGGACTAAGCTCCTGCCCTAGGCCCCACAGACCAGGCTAAAAATCAAAATAGAATCACCCATGCTAAAGTTCCACATCACCAAATCTAAACTAAGTTGTTATCTGACCTTCCTAGAAATCAGGAGAGAGACATAACAGCCAATTAAAACAGGCCAGTTTCAATATTCAATGGACATGATAATGAAGTTCCCTCTGCTTTAATCTTTACACAAAACAAGGCAGCCTGAAGGATCCTGATATGAACTAATCAGTTATTTTTCTATTGTTCCGTCTCCCTGTCCCCACCTTACAAGAAAAGTAAATTTGTTTTTGTTTTTGAGACAGGGGCTTGCTCTTCCGCCCAGGCTGGAGGGCAGTAGCGCAAGCATAGCTCACTGCAGCCTCGACCTCCCAGGCTCAACCCATCCTCCTTTCGGCCTCGGCCTCCCAAGGAGCTGGGACCACAGGCACATACCACCATGCCCAGCTAATTTTATCTTTTGTAGAGACGAGGTCTTGCTATGTTGCCCAGGCTGGTCTCAAACTCCTGGGCTCAAGAGATCCTCCCTCCTCGGCCTCCCGAAGTGCTGGGATTACGGGAGTGAGCCGCTGTGCCCGGCCAAGAAAAGCAACTTCGAAAAGTGACTAACCAGCTTTCTTCAGCCCTCCCTGTCTGTAAAGCCAACCTCTTCTGCTCAACTCATTGGAATATGTATTCTATTTTATGGAATGAAGTGTTGCCTGATTCCAGAATTACAGTAAACAATTGAGATCTGTAAATTCGTTGTACTTTTGTCTTTTGATGTTTTTGGTTCAGAATGAGAGTCAGTGGTTTGAATGCACTGGCATTGAGTCCCTAGGATAGCTAGAAGTTACAGAGAGCGAGAGCTTTTAGGAATGTCATTCTGGAAGGAACCTGGCAAGATCTCCTAAGAGGAAATGCCTGGTGACTCTGTCTCAAAAGGTTACTTAATTACCAACACCACCAACTTCATTTCCATTTTAAATTTTATTACATCAAAAGAAAAAAACCTCTCCACAAAACAAATCTCTAAAACCTACACCAAACGAAAGAAATTATCATTAAGGTTCTAACTCCATCCCCCAAAACAACCTTACATTAAAAAAAATCCAAAAGAAATAGAAATACCAGCTTCAAAAATATTTATCCAAAAAGTAAGGCATCAACTTTACAAAAAAATAATTGAAGGAGGGGAGGAAGTTGGAGGAATGAGAAAAGAGGGAATAAGAAGATGGTCCCCTGACCCTCCAGGGGCCAACCCCAGCCTGCCGGGCATCTACTCTGAAGGGGTCACAACTCAGACCAAACTTGGCATCTCACCAACTATGGGGTGGGCAAGCTGGGCGGGGAAGCTGGGAGACACCATCCAGGCCAGGAAGGGCTCCTGTGTATTCCAGTTTAAGCAGACAGAATTCGGGGTGGGGGAGAGAATCCCGATTTGTGATAAAAGGATCCTAAGTCCTTAGTGCAGCAGGAGTGGCTGGGAAGGTTGCAGGGCCCACAGCAAACTCCATAGCCTTCCTTTGAAGCCCAGGGAAAGGTCAGAGGCTGCCAGCCACAGAGGAGGGCCTTTTTTGAGGATCTCCAGAGTGGGCGCCCTGCTGCCACTACCCTTTCACCCTGCCCCAAGACAGCATGACACTGAGACCTGCGAGGAGTGGGGGATTATTGGAGTTGGGGATGGATGGGAAAGGAACTGGGCTTCAGCCAATGCTCTCCTCAGTCTCCCAGGGTATGGAATGGGCACCTCTAGGGAGGGGGAAAGCACCCTTCCTCCCAGGGAAGGCATTTAATATCAGATCCGTCCTGAGGGTTAGAAATAGGGGAGTATTTTTAGGCCAAGTTCTTGGATGGGAGGTGACTTAAGGCTGATCTGGCTCTGATCTCAGGCCTGAAGGGCTTGGGGATCCTTCGTACCTGGTCCCAAGCCAAGGCCCAGAGAGGAGAAGTGCACGGTGGGGGCGGTGGTGCTGGCTGTGTGCGGGTGTGCTGGGAGTGGCTGCAGGGATAGCAGGGGACTGCTCCTTCCTGCGGCGGGCAGGTGGAGTTGCTGAGCAGCTTCGTCATTAGGAGAGAGATGCCCACTACCTTAAAAATCAGAAGCTTTTTGGCTTCTGGAAGCTTTGGCACCATGTTGGGGGCTGGATGCAGGAGGCAGGGGCAGGGCTGGGTTTCTGCAATCTGAACCTTTCTCAATATGTTCCTCAACCGCCTGGCTTGGGGGTGGAGAGGCTGTTCTTCTCCTTGGTCCTTAGCTCTGGGAGTTGGCGTCCTGAGGAGAACCGAATTCTGGACAGGGAGCCCTGGCTGGGGTGGGTGCAGGTATGATGGGGAGGGGCAGGAAAGAGGGCAGAGGGAAGCATCCCCTTGGATTTTGGGTCCCTGGTGAACAGATAGGGTCTTGGGTCTCTCCAGCTGACCCCTTGATGGGGACAGAATTGCTTGAGCCTGTCCCCCCACAATGCAGCTCCTGTGGCCTCTCCTCTCTGAAGGGGCCTCCCTGGGAGGGAAGGCAGTAATGAGCTCCGGTTCCTGAAGAGGCAGCTGAGGGTGTGGCCCGGAGGGAGGTCCTGCAGGGCACCTTGGCATCTCCCCTCTCCTCCAGCAGCTGGGAGTGTGGGCAGCACTGGAGTGGGGCCTGGGACATGGACCCTGGGGTGAGAGGCTGGTTCTTTGGGTATGAATGTCAGTTTTTGTTTACAATTTCTCACCACCCACACCAAAGTCCTACCACTGCCTGACAAAAGCAGAGAGAGGGGTGTGTGTGTACTCGCATGTGTTGGCAGGACCAAGGCAGGGAGGTAGGATAAAAGGGGGAGGAAGGAGAGAGTAGCCAGGGAATGGTGGTCCTCAGGGCTGGGGCTGCCCCGCCACGTCCTTGTCCTTCGTGGGAGTGGGTTGGTACATGGGCTGCTGCTGCTCCTCCATGTCCTCATTAGCCTCCTCTGTCCCTGAGCCCCGCTCCACCTCGGGGTACACGACCACACACATCTTCTGGCTCACCAGGGTTAGCAGCTCTGTAGGAAGAGATCACACAGAAACCAGGCCAATGCTGAGTATCCCACCAACCTGGCCAAGTGGCCCCGGCCCTTCCTGGCTCTCCTGCTCCAGGTTCTGCCTCTTCAGAGCAGTCAGTGCGTTGAAGAGAATCCTCGCCACCTGGTCTGCCTCCTGCATCTCCCGCCGGCTACTCTTTGCTTATGAAGGCCCCAGCCTTCCCACCTTCCCTGTGCCCACTGACCCCTAAGTCCAGGGTCTCCTCTGGTCTCCACCCAGCCTCGGGCAGCTCTCACAGAATGGCTGACAGGTTGCCTATTTTATTTTAAAATTTTTAATAACAGAGATGGAGTCTTGCTATGTCGACCAGGCTGGTCTCAACCTCCTGGGCTCAAGTGATCCTCTGTCTCAGCCTCCCAAAGTGCTGGGATTACAGGCGTGAGCCACTGTGCCCAGCCCAGGTTGCCTATTCTTGCGGGTCTAAGGTCTGTGTGGAAATGCCAGCTGTTCTCTACCCTCAGAGGTCTCTGGGAAAAGGCATCTGCTTCCCCTGCTCTGGACTCTTCCAGGGCTCTGTGGACTGAGGAGAAGGTGAGCCTAGATCTCCTGGCCCTGGTGGCTCCCCAACCCCATCACTGACCACTGCATTCCAGCCCAGGAGGCCCTGAAGCCAGCCAGAGCCTCCAACAACTCACCAATGAAGTCACTGAAACACTTGGGCTTGTGTTGCCAGTAAACACCCAGGAAATAGACAGGCACTCCTGTCAGCATGATGGCCAGGCCAATGCCACACACCACCGGCTCTGACCACAGGCTGAAGACCAGCAGGAAGGCCCAGAACAGCAAGTAGATGATGGGGAACAGCAGGTTGATCTGTGGAGCAGAGGCATGAGGCGTATGAACTGTGTAGGCCACGTGGCCCCCAGGACTAGGGACTGGGGCATTCTCTCTCTTCTTCACCCACAGAGACACATCCTCAAGGGCAAAGGCTGGGCTTCCCTCGGCTCTGTGGTCCCACACTCACCCCTGGTAGGGCAGGGGCTATATAAACAAATGTTGATGAACATGGTCGGTCAGACAGGAAGAGGATGGGGAGGAGTTAGGGAGGAAACGATCCTCCTTGCCCATGTCCTCGCTCTTGGGTGTGGTTAGACAAGGCCTCATCATGCATGCCATGTGCCCGTGGCAGCCAGAGAAGCCCACAGGGATGGAGAAGCTTGCTGGCACATGGGTGTGTCTGCTGAGGTCCTAGGGTGGAGGGGAGGTGTGGCAATGCACAAGGTGCAGGCAGGAGACGATTCGAGTCACTCAGGCTCCCTGGTCCTTGCCCACTTCTGTGCAGGGCCCTTATGTGGGCACAATATGGCAAATGTCAGCTCCTTATGGGCCACATGTGGGGAGTTCCTGAGAGTATCCTCTTCAGGGCTCCAGGGGCAGTCCTGATTCGGCTGCCTTTCTCTTCCTTGTCTTCCTCGCTCAGAAGGGATGTGTGTGGTGGGGACATGGGGTTATTCTACCTCCTCTTCCCTCTAGCAGATTTTCTAAGTGTGAGAGTAGAAAATGGCGGTGGAAATGCCAGTGAGGAACTGAGAGATTTGGAGAGCCTTTGATTTTTCAGCTGGAAGGATCTTCTAGAAGCATCTAGTCACTGTTTCTAGAATAGGATTGTTCAAATAGCTCTGGAGTACACTCTATTCTTCTAATTCGTAGGAGAACTCATAATGCTCTAGCATGTCCTGTTCTGAGCAATCCCTTTAATTCCTATCACAGAGTTATATCTTGTAGCAATATTAGGTTCACTGAGCACCCTATATGTGTAGGACTGTGGGAGTTTATAAAGGGAGGATCATGGGAGGTTGCAGTAGACTGGAAGACTTCAAGAAAGAGGAGGTACTTGAGGCGCATTTGGAAAATGGTTAAAATGTAGATGGGCAGATGGGAGGAGGAAGTCATTCTGGGATGGAGACATAGCACATAGTGAACCCAGCTATCTGGAGGGACAAGGAGGAAGTGTTGGGGAGATAAGAGAACCTTGAAAAGTCAGCTGGAGTTTAAGGCTTAGACTGGTAGGAAACAAAGGAATGTCATGATGAAAGTCACATTTGATCTGACTTATTCCCCAGCTGCAGTCTGCTCCGATCTCATCCCCAGTGGAGAATGGAAATAGTGGTCCCATTCACAAATGGCCCTTGCTTTCCAAAGGGTCTGCTACCATCAGAGATGATGACGTGTGGTCAGCAGCTAAGAACAGAGGTGATTTAAAAATCTGAACTGCAGCTAGAACCATAGAGGAAGGGGAGGGGACCCCAAAGGGAGTTTCTCTCACCTTGATGGGGCGGGGGATATCAGGCTTCTTCCAGCGAAGGACTATCTGTCCAGCAACCGTGACCCCATAGAAGAGGTAGTTGATGAAGCCCACATAGTTGATGAGTGTGTACATGTCGCTGGTGACCAGCATCAGCAGGGTGGAGATGCACTGGGAAAGTGGGAGGAGCTCATCAGTGATCCGAAAGATATTCAGAGACTGGTATTACAGATTAGGGGCTGTCCCCCAGCCTCCAGGCAGATGATGCCATCGTATAATGGATGTCTCGAAATGGAGACTTTAGAACCTCCCCTAGTAACCCAATATGTTACAACATCTTTATTGCTAGGAAATCCTTTCTTATTACAGGGGTGATGATCAAAATATTTAACCACTCGTATGGCACGGGCACTAGCCAATTAGAATGGATACTGGACATAAGCAGCTAGACTGGCCACACTGGTATTACCTGGCTCTGTGTCAGCCCCGGTCTCATTTGTATGCCTCTGTTGGTTATAGCTCAAGCTAAATTCATTTTTTTAAAATCCCTTAGGGAAGATTGTTAACAACAGATTAAGGCTGTATTCCTGCCCTCATCCTTTTCTCCTGGCTGAGTCATCTATTTTTCTTCCTTCCTTTTCTTTATTAATTTCAAAACTGGTTACATAGCACTTACTGTGTGCCAGGTCTCTATGTTTAGCATTTGACAAAGATTAACTCACTTAACCCTCATAACATCCCTATGAGGTTTTCTTGACAGAGTCTACTTTCCAACTTCAAAATCATCTCTGTGGCTCTCTTGGAACCATGCTCCTCCCCTCTGATAACTTGTGAAGGTCAACAAAAGGTTCTGTTCTCTTGTGAGATCCGATGGTTAAAATAATCGAGAAGATTTTAATGGTTCTTGCTACATCTGCCTTTTAGTCACACTACTGCACCAATAGCTCTAACTGGAAAAAACAAAACAAAACAAAACAAAAAAATGTGTGTGGCCCACTGGGAGTACTGTCTTCTCCAGCCACCTTCGACAACCAACCAGTCAAGGTGACCTTCATCCTGCATCTGAACATTCTGAAATTGTACAGCAATGCTGTAAAATGCTCTTGGCTCCCAAGAGCTCTGTTATTCTGATTGCTAACTGCTTCACCAGTGGACCAAAGTCATTTTTAGTGTTTTATTCAGGATCCAGAAGGAAAATAAAAATAACTCAAAAGACTCAATGGGGACAAGTCTTTGTTCCTTCCTATAGCTCTCTCAAAATGATTCTACTCTGGGGATATTTTACTCCCATCTCTTTCCTGTCCCAAGTTTCCTTTGCACAGTTTCCAGTTTATCAGTCTTCCTCTATTATTTTTCGTATTTGGTGTACTGTTAACACTAACTTCATTTCAATGATGTTTCCCAAGAGACTGGCAGGCTGCCCTGAAGCTTGATGGGGGAAGTGGGTGTTTGCAGGGACCAACCAGCCAGGAGCAGAGGCCAGTGCTGCAACCCTGTGGTAACAGGTGCGAGGAGAGCCAAGGGAGATATATTTTTTTTGAGGCTGTAGAATCCTGAGACAGTCAGTTCAGTCTGACCCAAAAGGATGGGAGAACGGAAATAAGTCAGCCTGAGAGCCTTAGGTATTTCAAGACTCAGGATCTTTCCTTGCTATATCTCTTGATATTAACAAAGATGATGGGTATCATTTGCCAGATCCTCTAAGATCCAGTGAGACCTAGCAGCAGACTGCAAGGGTAACAGGGGTGTGTGTGAAAAGCATGAACTCCCAGCTTAGACTAGGCACAAAGAGAGGGAGGTGTGTGGAGAGTTACAGCAGGAAGGGCCCTTACTGTGAAGAGCAGGGCTGGGATTGGGGTGCAGCGCTTCACGTGGATCATGGCCAACACACTGGGAAGGTGGCCCTCTCGGGCTCCAGCGAAGAACAGCCTGTCAGGGAGAAAAGCAGGTCAGCCTGGGATAACCCAGGGACCACCAAGCCCCAGCTCCTTCATCCTTGCCTACCTTCTGCCCACACAGGGGCATCCCCACTCCAACCAGGCACCCGCCTTCACATGCATACTTTCCACCCCACCAGTCACAGAACCTGTGTTCACAAATGCAGGTGCAAGCAAACCAGAGGCAGCCAGTGGAAAAGTGGATGAACCCTGGGTATGTTAGACCCTGAATGTGGTATGGGTGGCTCAGGGTTACTGATAATTGTACTGTCACTCAGTGGGGTGTTCCCAATGCCTGGAAGGCTGCAGGAGCAGCCTCTGTCTGTTGCCTAAAATCTTCATCTCTTTAAAAGCATTCCTCACATCCTCAAAGGATGCAGATTCCCTAATACACTGGGACTGAACTGCATATGGAAAGCTTTAAAAACACTCTATTTTTTTTTTTTTTTTTTTTTTTGAGATGGAGTCTGACTCTGTCGCCCAGGCTGGAGTGCAGTGCTGCAATCTCGGCTCACTGCAACCTCCGCCTCCCAGGTTTAAGCAATTCTCTGCCTCAGCCTCCCGAGAAGGTGGGATTACAGGTGTGTGCCACCATGCCCAGCTAATTTTTGTATTTTCAGTAGAGACGGGGTTTCACCATCTTGGCCAGGCTGGTCTTGAACTGCTGACCTCGTGATCCACTTGCCTCGGCCTCCCAAAGTGCTGGGACTACAGGCGTGAGCCACCGCGCCTGGCCTAAAAACACTCTTGTCCTAGTCAGAGAGTAGTTAGTTGTCTTTGTGGGAGTAGGGAATTGGTGGTGGAAATGTTCTCTATCTTGTTTTGGGTAGTGGTTGAATTTTGACAACTGTCAAAATTCATCAAATGGAAGCCAGGCACAGTGGCACACACCTATATTTCTAGCTACTTGGGAGGCTGAAGCAGGAAGATTGCTTGAGCCCAGAAGTTCAAAGCCAGCCTAGGCAACATAGTGAGACTCTGCCTCTAAAAAACAACAATAAAAAACAAAAATGAACAAACACAAACAAAAAAACCCCCACAAAACTCATCAAAATGAACATTTATGATCTGCTTTTTTTTTTTTTTTGAGACGGAGTTTCACTCTTGTTGCCCAGGCTGGAGTGCAATAGCACGATCTTGGTTCACCGCAACCTCCGCCTCCCAGGTTCAAGCGATTCTTCTGCCTCAGCCTCCCGAGTAGCTGGGATTACAGGCATGCGCCACCACACCCAGCTAATTTTTGTATTTTTGGTGGAGACGGGGTTTCTCCATGTTGGTCAGGCTGGTCTCGAACTCCCGACCTCAGGTGATCTGCCCGCCTCGGCCTCCCAAAGTACTGGGATTACAGGCATGAGCCACTATGCCCAGCCTATGATCTGCTTTTTAAAAAAAAAATTGAGGCAGGGTCTTGCCATGTTGCCCAGGCTGGTCTCGAACTGGGCTCTAATGATCCTCCCACCTCGGGCTCCCAAAGCGTTGGGATGACAGGCATGAGCCACCACGCCCAGCCTGCATATTTTATTGTATGTAAATTGTACTTAAAAATTTATATCCTGTCTTGTGGGATTGAGTTTAAAAAAATTATATCCTGTCTGGGCACGGTGGGTAACACCTGCAATCCCAGCACTTTGGCAGGCTGAGGCGGGAGAATCATTTGAGCCCGGAAGTTTGAGGCCAGTCTGGGCAAAATAGTGGACCCTTGTCTCTACAAAAAATAAAAATAAAATTAGCCAGGTGTGGTGGCATGTGCCTGTTGTTCTAATTACTCGGGAGGCTGAGGTGACAGGATCACATGAGCCTGGGAGGCTGAGGCTGCAGTGAGCTGTGATTGTGCCATTGCACTCCACCCTAGGCAACAGAGCAAGAACCTGTCTCAAAAAAAAAAAAAAAAAAAAAGAGAAAGAAAAAATTGGAAATATCGTAAGTGCCTAAAAGTAAGAGGTCGATAAAATGAATTTGGCATAAGATGAAATGTTATGGGCTAGGCACAGTGGCTCATGCCTGTAATCCCAGCTCTTTGGGAGGCTGAGGTGGGTGAATCACCTGAGGTCAGGAGTTTGAGACCAGCCTGGCCAACATGGGGAAACCTCGTCTCTACTAAAAATACAAAAATTAGCCAGATGTGGTGGCACGTGCCTATAATCCCAGCTACTTGGAAGGTTGAGGCAGAATTGCCTGAACCCGGAAGGTGGAGGTTGCAGTGAGCAGAGATCATGCCCTTGCACTCCAACCTGGATGACAGAGTGAAACTCTGTCTCAAAGAAAAAAAAAAGGGAACATTATGTAGTCATAATGTTTTTGAAAAAATTTGATTACATGAGAATATGCTCAAAATATAACATCAAATGAAAAAACAGGACTGAAAACTATAATGCAAATAATTTTTTTTTTTTGAGACATGGTCTTGCTCTGTTGCCCAGGCTGGAGTGCAGTAGCACGATGATGGCTCACTGTAGCCTTGACCTCCCAAACTCAAATGATCCTCCTGTCTCAGTCTTCCAAGTAGCTGGGACTACAGGTGTGCACCACCACACCCAAATGCCAATTAATTTTAAGATTATTTATGGGCCTATTTATTAAAATGCTAACTGATTGTCTCTGGGTGGTGAAATTATGGTTAATTTTAATTTTCTTCCTTATACATTAGAGAAAAAATTTTAAAAATCGCAAAATGCAGCCTGGGCAACATGGTGAAACCCTGTCTCTACAAAAAATACAAAAATTAGCCAGGCGTGGTAGAGCGTGCCTGTAGTTCCAGCTACTGAGGGGGCTGAGGTGGGAGGATCACTTGAGCCTGGGAGGTTGAGGCTGCAGTGAGCTGTATTTGCACCACTGCACTCCAGCCTGGGTGACAAAGTGAGACCCTGTCTCCAAAAAAAAAAAAAAAAAAAAAAAGAAAAGATAAGGAAAAGGAAAAAATGAATAAAATTCTAAAATAGATGGAATATTTATAATCAGAATAAAGATTTTTTAACTTAAAAAATTAAACTTTTTATTTTTCCAATTTTTAGAGATGGGGTCTTGCTCTGTCACCCAGGCTGGAGTAGAGTGGCGTGATTATAGCTCACTGCAGCCTCCAATTCCTGGGCTCCAGTGATCCTCTAGTCTCAGCCTCCTGAGCAGCTGGGACTACATGTACATATCACCGTGCTCAGTTAACTTAAAAAATGAAACTTTTTATTTTGAGATAATTGTAGATTTGCATTCAGTGAATCTTACAACCAAGTACAGTTGTAAGAAATAATAAGGAGAGATCCTATGTATCTTTTGCCCAGTTTCCTCCATTGGTAACATGCTACACAATTATATTATAATATCACAACTAGGATATTGATGTTTAAATCAATTTTATTTTTTACTTATTTTTCTTTGCTAATTTTTTGTAGTGACAAGGTCTTGCCTTGTTGCCCAGGCTGGTCTGGAACTACTGGGCTCAAGCAATCCTTCCACCTTGCCTTCCCAAAGCACCGGGATTACAGGCGTGAGCCACCACGCCCAGCCCTAAAAGTTATTATTTTTTTAATATTTTTTATTTTTATTGAGACAGAGTCTTGCTCTGTTGCCCAGGCTGGAGTGCAGTGTCACGATCTCGGCTCACTGCAACCTCCGCCTCCTGGGTTCAAGTGATTCTTCTGCCTCAGCCTCCTGGGTAGCTGGGAGTACAGGCACCTGCCACCACGCTCAGCTAATTTTTGTATTTTTTTTAGTAGAGGTGGGGTTTCATTATATTGGCTAGGCTGGTCTCAAACTCCTGACCTTGTGATCCGCCCGCCTCAGCCTCCCAAAGTGCTGGGGATTATAGGTGTGAGCCACTGCGCCTGGACATAAAAGTTATTTTTAAAAAGAAAAGTTTTAGGCCAGGTGCGGTGGCTCACGCCTGTAATTCCAGCACTTTGGGAGGCTGAGGCGGGCGGATCACGAGGTCAGGAGATCAAGACCGTCCTGGCTAACATGGTGAAACCCCGTCTCTACTAAAAATACAACAAATTAGCCAGGCGTGGTGGCAGGCGCCTGTAGTCCCAGCTACTCGGGAAGCTGAGGCAGGAGAATGGCGTGAACCCGGGAGGCAGAGTGTGCAGTGAGCCAAGATTGCGCCACTGCACTCCAGCCTGGGCGACAGAGCGAGACTCTGCCTTAAAAAAAAAAGAAAAATTTTAAGAGAATAATTTGAATGTTCCTAGCATAAAGAAAAGACAATATTGAAGGAGATGGGATATCTCAATTACTCTGATTTGATTTTTACACATTATATCAATGTATTGAAACATCATCTGTAGCTTGAAAATATGTACATCTATTATATACATATGAATATGAAACTTGAACATAAAAATCAGCCCTCCTTCCCTTTTACTCTCCTAAGAGAAAAGTGAATATTAGAAGCTGTCAACAGTAATTTACATGTCAGTGCAAATTGGACCACTTTTTTCTTTTTTCTGGGGAAAGGCCCACCTAAGGGATGACAGGCAGGGTACAGCTTGATAGGAACAAAAAGGCACATATTCAGCACACTGGGAGTTCAGAGGAGAATAGTCATTTACTTTGTAATTTGTGTATGGAGTAGACTGAAGCGAACAGCAGCAGCTAATCAGAAGTGTGGGAGCTGACTGTATCCCCAAGTACCCATAAGCAGTAACCATCATGAACTCCCTAGGCCGGTGTCACTAGTTTCATGCAGCCATACACATCCCTGTCCCCTCTCCCATGCTACTGCCCCTCTACAGGGCAGTCTCATGCACCAGGTGCTCTGTGGGGCTCATCGTGCACATAGCCAGGGTCCTGCACTCACGTCCCCCCTCCACATGCAGACAAGACCAAGTGTAATTGTCCAGATCCAACAGCATTTGCAAGTGTCAGGTTCACAAGAGACAGTCCTTGCCCAGCTAGCCGATAACGGAGGAGACGATGACATTAAGCATAACACACATCCACACACTCTGACTCTTCAGGAAGGATCATCCTCTCCCTACCCGAGAACACAAAGGAGTGACAGAGAGATAAAGAAGGAGGGAAGGAGAAGGAAGGAAGAAGGAACTGGAAAGATGAGCAGGGGAGGCCTGGGTGGGTGAGGTCTGGCCTCTGAATCGGAGGTGGAGCACACCATGCGCCACCGTTTCCTGCATGCACACACGACTAGACCACATGCACGCAGACCGCTGCTAGGCCTGCCTGAGGGACAAACCCCACTCTAAAGTGACTGTAGCCAGTCACTCTCCTCCAATAGATCTCAGGGAGCCTCACGGGTCACTGTTCCTCCACCGCTTGGCCTCGGCGGGGCCTCCGTGTGGCCACTGCTCCTGTGTAACATGCACACGAGGTTGCTGTGGGTGAGCGTCACAGGGTCCCGGGGTACAGGGGACACCCACACCACCTCTTTCCAGCCCTGGGTCCTAAAAACATTGCACTCCCTTGTTATTTCACAGGAACTCTTCCTGATGTGACGGCTTTGGAAGCAGCTGAACTCACGGACTCATCTTTGGAGCAGGACTGTACTTTCTGAGGGCAGGGGGTGCTTTCTAAGAACCTGGGAGGATCCCTTGAACCACACAAATGGAAGTCATTCAACATCTGCTAGCCTCAACAGCCCCTTCTGAAGACAGCAAAAGAAAGGGCCGGGTCCCTGGATGCATGGAGGCAGGACCTGGGACTCGTGGACCCGCTCGCACTTCTGGCTTCTGAGAGTGCTCTGGGGTGGGGGTCACGGATAAAAGGCTCTTTCTTTGGACAAATGTTTGCTTTCCACTTTTCCCCACCCTCTCACTTCACATTCTCCACCTGAGTCTCATGGGTGGCCTCAAAAAGGCCTCTACAGCCACCTCTCTGTTGAGCAGGGAGGAGCTCTGCATTCTTGGGGCAATCAGGGTGAAGCCATCCCACCTGCAGGCTAGTTCCAGAACATTCATGGGAGGCCAGACCCAGAGGCCCCAGGCACAAGTCTCCCTCTTGGTCCCTTTCCAAATGGGGTTCTTTTCTAGCCAGCAGCAGCCTGTTTACAGGTACAGGACTGCAGCCAAGATACTGCCTTGCTGCCAACCACAGCCACTGACTGGGGGCGGCGTCAGGCAGGCTGGCGGCCTCCTCTGTCTTCTGCTCCTTTTGAAATGAGACAGGCCACTACATGTGAAGCACCTAGGACCCGTATGCCACACACATCGCAGGTGACCACGTGAGCAGCACACACTCCTCAGCATCCACACTGACACACACGCCCTCATGTGAGCAGTCACCCCTCTGCAAGCCCAACATCCAGATGCCCACACAGACCCCTGCTGACAGAGACAAGCCCACCATATACAAATAGCAAAGTGCACAGCAGAGTGGCCCCTGGCCGGGGAAGGGCCCAGGCAGCACTCACCGAGAGGAGGTGAAGAGAGACCCATTAACTCCTCCAAATGTGGACAGGGCAACAGAAATGGGCATGATCCAGGCCATGACTCCTAGGAGCTTCTCTCCAAAAGTCTGGGAGAGGAACCAAGGAGATAAGCAAAGGAGAGGTCACCACTCCCCGACCCCTCAGCTCCCACTTCACTCTGGGAAACCGTTTCTCCTATCTCCACCCTTGCTAATTCTCTCTCGCCAAGCTTCTTAATTGCCCCCACCCTCTCAAGGGTGGACCCCTACACAGGGTGGTTAATGCATGTTTTAGGCTAATTAACTGAAGGAGGTAGTACACACTGGTAATAATAATAATGAACTAACACTTACTAATCTTGTTTTATGGGTGAGGAACTGAGTCACATAGTGATTAAGTAGCTTGCCTAAGATTACACACCCAGCGAGTGGAGGGGCCAGCATTGGAAGCCAGGTGGTGTGATCCAGGCCTTACATACATTATATGATTTCTCCAGCACAGGGAAGGGCACAGGCTTGTCAGGCAGATCTGTCAGGCAGATCCAGGCTCAAATCCTTGCCCTCCAGCTAGGAGCTGTGAGACCTTGAGCAAAGTTTATGATTTTTGAGCCTCTGTCTCCAACTGCAAAATAGGGATTAATCCAGAATCACAGGGTGAGAATTTCTCAATTCATCAAAACAGATGAGTTGGGGGTAAAATAATAGGAATGAGCCCCTCCTTAGTCTGAGAAAGAAAAGGCTGTGAAGCTATAGATGAATCTTCATGTATTTAAGGACTATACAATGCAGGAGACCAGCCTTTTCTATATTCCCTGAGCCAGGTTTACAGCACATTACCAAGGAGAGATTGTTCAGAATAGAAGGCTGTTGGTCATAAGAACAGGCTGCCCCAGGAGATGGGAGGACCTCTTTCTTTACAGTCTTTTGAGATAAGGCCAGTGAAGAGACTGGCAGGCTGGGTGGTGGCCCAGCCTGATGCCAGGTGAGGGAGCAAGGTGCCTCCCAGGTCCTTCTTAGATGTGAAGGATCCCAACCCCTTGCACCAGCATGGTCTCTTTCCCCAAAGAGCACACCTGACTTCTGCTTCTGGAGGAGAAGGCAGAGAGAAAAGGCATGTCTTGTGCAAGATTATGTCTTTCTGAGGAGGGGCCTGTCTGCTTCATACCACTCTCACATTTAGAGCTTTAAGTGCCCGAGACTAGGAGTTGGCAAACTTTTTCTGTAAAGGGCCAGATAGTAAATGTCTTATAGCTTCTCAGGCCACGCGGTCTCTGTGGCAATGACTCGGTTCTGCCATTGTAGCTGTTCTAGGTACAACCCAGCCACCTGTTTGCTCCTGGGCACTTAAAGATACCCCAGCCAATGACATATGTGGTTTCTGCCCTGAGAACTTGGGGGTGATTTCCACTTCCACAAGGCCATGGATCAGGGAAAAGTGAGTGGGGCTACAGCAGGCAAGTCTATGTCTGCATTCCTGGTATGAGACTCTGGGACTTTCATTTCTTACCACAGCGACGGCGTTGGATGCCAGCAGCTCCTGGGGGGACATTGCAGTGACATAAGCGACATTGGCAAAGACATACACAAATGTGACCAGTGGGATGGAGATGAAGATGGCTCTGGGAAGGTTCCTGTAGAGGGAGAGGAGGTGAGGGGAAGGGCTGGCACCCGGGACACCCGCCTTGCCATGGAGTCCAGGGGGTGTCTTCTGTCTTTCTGCATGCGTGTAGCCTTACAGCCTTCTGTGAGGCTTCCTTTCCCTGGGAGGTGGGCTTTGTCTCAATATGGGCAGGATAATTTAAAGGAAATGAGGCTGAGCGTGGTGGTTCACACCTATTATCCCAGCCCTTTGTGAGGCCAAGGAGGGAGGATTGTTTGAGCCCAGGAGTTCGAGGCCAGCCCTGGCAACATAGCAAGGCCTCTTCTTTACAAATTAAAAAATTAACTGGGCATGGTGGCATGTGCCTGTAGTCCCAGATACTTAGGAGGCTGAGGTGGGAGGATTGCTTGAGCCCAGAAGACTGAGGCTGCAGTGAGCTATGACTGCACTGCTGGACTCCAGCCTGGGTGACAGGGTGAGACCCTGTCTAAAAACAAAACAAAACAAAAGAAAAAATAAGTTAAAAAAATGAAGGCAATAAAACAACTCAGGTTGGAAATACGCTCCACACCTGTTGATCTTGACCTGAATCTCCACAATGCACCTTTTCCCCCTGCCTCAAGACACCAAGACCGGCCTGTCCTGAAACAAGCAAGATTCCCAGAAGCCTCTCAGGGCACAATTCATTCTCTAAGGCAGTAGTGTTACTGCAGGACAGTTTTCAGCTTCTAATCTGCTCTGGGAAAGTCACTGGATCCTTTCCTCCTCCTGGTGGGGTGAACGGCAAATGGTTTAAGTGCCTGGGAAATGAACTACGACTTCAGGATAGATCAAATCACAGTTAGAATGGGGCTTTGGAAGGCGAGGTGGGCAATGGACACCTGCTCCCTCTTTCCAGCAGCAGGTGCTGTGGCCCTTCAAGGGAGAGGGAATAGCCAGGCTCTTTCAACTCACTTGTAGGGATCAACAAGCTCCTCAGTCACGTAATTCAGAAAGTTCCAGCCTCCATAGGCAAAGGAGCCCTGAAGGAAAGCCAGTGCGACGAGGCCGATGTCAGGTTCCTGGAAATTCTCAAATGCATTCTTTGGCTCCAGCCAGAAGTACTCTCCTGTGGACACAAGCAACAGGAGGCCGCTCAGTGAGACAAGTCAGGGGCCCAGCAGCCCCTGGCCTGCCCTGGCCCACCTCTCACCCCTCCCTGTGGCAATGACACCAACTCTGTCTTGTCTCCAGTGAACCCAACATATTGGATAAATTGGGATAAAGGGAGCAGGGAATTTCAGGTCCAGGGCTTCCGAGACCCCGGAAACTACGAGTCCAAATGAGGGTTTAAGTGCCGTTCTGAATGCTCCTTTTGTAAAAGGCAAAGTTATTTAAAAGGAAAGGACATGGTAAATTGGGCTTTGGAAATACAGGATTGGAGTCATTGGTAATCTCCTGACCACTTTCTCTAAGTTTCTACATTTTCATGAAGAAGCATCCAGGGTTGGGCACAGTGGCTCAGGCCTGTAATCCAAACAATCTGGGAGGTCAAGGCAGAAGGAATGCTTGAGGCCAGAAGTTTGAGACCAGCCTGGGCAACATAGTGAGACTCCCATCTCCACCACTAATTTAAAAAGTTAGCTGGGTGTGGTGGTGCATGCCTATAGGCTCACCTATTTGAGAGGCTAAGGTGGGAGGATCACTTGAGCCCAGGAGTTTGAGGCTGCAGTGAGCTATGATTGTGCCACTGCACTCCAGGGTGGATGACAGAGCAAGACCCTGTCTCCAAAAAAGAAAAAAGAAAAAAACAAACAAACAAAAAAAGCAAGCATCCAGAACAACAAACACTCAAACATAAGTTTCCATAATGCTATATTAGTTCAAGCTTGTTTTGCTGCTTGCTTTGTTGATATCCTCCTATCTCTTTCTGAGGTGTGTGTTTGGTCTCTCTTTTCTTTTTTGTTTTTTTGAGACGGAGTCTCGCTCTGTCGCCCAGGCTGGAGTGCAGTGGCGCGATCTCAGCTCACTGCAACCTCCGCCTCCCAGGTTTAAGTGATTCTCCTGCTTTGGCCTCCTGAGTAGCTGGAGTTACAGGCATATGCCACCATGCCTGGCTAATTTTTTTTTGTATTTTTAGTAGATACAGGGTTTCATCATGTTGGCCAGGTTGGTCTCGAATTCCTGACCTCAAGTGATCTGCCTGCATTGGCCTCCCAAAGTGCTGGGATTACAGGCGTAAGCCACCATGCCTGGCCGTCTCTCTTTTCAAGATTCCCCAAGGACAGGAATTTTTAAGCAAAGAGCTGTTTAAACTGCCTTCCCAGCCCCCCTAGCACAGTGTGCTGCAGACTGTGGGCCCTTGGAATCATCTGCTGACTGGCTAAAATTTCAATGAGATAGAGAGTAACTGATCATATGTTACTTATTCATCTGCAGTTTAGCATTGGGACAGGAAATAAGGAGATTAGTGTGACCAGGAGAAAGAATTGAGGCCAGCTTAGGAGGGACTCACTATTTTTGACAAGATAGCGCAGTGATTTCCTTAAGTCTAAATGCCTGAAAGCAATATATAACCTGTTAAAGAACTTAATCCAACTGTTTAAAATAATCAGGCATATTATATAGCAGAAACTTAATTATGTTTCCTGGAGTAGAAGTCCGGGCTGCCCACACTGCCTTCAGGGCTTGTGGGAAATTTCCCTGTTTGTCACCTGACTTTCTCCGTGAGGCAGTGACGCTGGGCAGAGCCTCATGGTGCCATGGGTCCCATGGAAACCAAATATAGCCTCAGGCTTGGAAAGGGCCAAATCCAGTGGGGAATGTTGGCAGGGGCCCCGGGAATGCAGAGCTCTCTCTCTCAGAGATTATAAGTAATTTTGAAACATAAAATACCTTTCTCTGTCCTCCACTTTAAGATGTGGACAAGATTCAACAGAAGATGCAGGGAGCTTCCCTGGGGTTGGGGCAAAAAGACAATAGGAATCTAGAGATCTGGGGTTTTTGTTTGTTTATTTGTTTTTGAGACAAGGTCTTGCTCAGTCGCCCAGGCTGGAGTGCAGTGGCACAATCATAGCTCACTACAGCCTCAAACTCCTGGGCTCAGGTGATCCTCCCACCTTAGCCTCCAGAGTAAGTGAGACCACAGCCATGCACCACCATGCCCCATTAATTTTTAAATTTTTTTGTAGAGATGGGATCTCGCTGTGCTGTTCAGGCTAGTCTCAAACTCCTGGGCTCAAGTGATCCTCCTGCCTCATCCTTCCTAAGTGCTGGGATTACAGGTGTGAGCCACCACACTCGGCCGATATGTGGGGTCTTTACCTAGCTGTGCTACAGCCTTGAGGTAAGCATGGGAGAGGTGACCTTTGCAGCCTAAAGGGAGCATTCCCTACTCCCAGCCACCTCGGGGAAAATGGTTTCTCCTTCCCTTTTGTCAAGCAAGGGAAGAAGAAGAGAAGTCACTCAAGGCTAGAATTGGGGAAATCTCAGGGTGTGGCATACTTCCAAAGCTGGGCTGAGAGGGTGTGTACATGCAAGGGGAGGAAAGCTGGGCAGTACCTGTTTTTCCTGCGATACTCACCTTTGCATATCTGTACAATCCCCATGATGATAATCAGGGCCAAGGCCAGGAGCTTCCCAGCTGTGAAGATGTCTTGAACCCGGGTGGCCCACCGCACACTGGAACAGTTGACCCATGTGAGGAGCACTGAAATGAAAGACCCCCAAACAGACCTTCAGGGGCTGTATCTGGCTGCATGATGCCCAAGGCACACAAGCAGAACTGCTCCCTCATCCTGACGATGACATTGTAGTAGGTGAGCCAGACATCCAGCAAGCTCAACCCCAGGGACCAGAGACTTTGGCTAGGTTAATGGGTTGCAAATGGGGATTATATGTCCCAAATTAGAGCTTGGGCCCAGCATGCCCTGCTGAGGGCTGGAAGCCAGAAGTAGGCATGGAAGTGTAGGCACTGGCTTTGGGGGTAAAATCACATCTGATCAGGGCACAAGTATGGGCTTTGTCTTCAAGTTATTATTTGTGCAAGAGAAGCTGTGAGCAGCTGGTGGGAGTCAGGAAGCCACCTTCCTGAGCCTGATTTTGGGGTAACAGAGGCTTAGGGGAATCTTATGTTACTTAGGTTTATTGAGATATAATCTACATCTTACTAAAACTCACCTTTTTAAAGTGTACAGTTTGATGAGATTTGACAAATGCATTTAATGGCTTAATCACTTCAGCACTTCATATATAGAACATTCCCAACACTCTAAAAAGTTTCCTTTTGCATCATGCTCCTTTGTAGTCAGTTAGGCAAATCTTCTTCCCCTACCTCTACAACCATTACTTTGACTTCTGTCCCTATAGCTTTGTCTTTTTCAAAATGTCACATAAATGGAATCATATAATATGTGGTCTTCTGTGTTTGGCTTCTTTCACTTCACAGAATGCTTTCGAGATCTACTCATGTTGTTGCATATATTACAATTTGTTCCTTTCTATTGCCAAATAGCATTCTATGATATAAAGGTATCTGTTTGTTTTTCCATAGACATTTGGGTTGCTCACAGTGTGGGACTATTATGAATAGAGTTGTGATAAATACTTGTGTAGATGTCTTTTTTCTTTTTGTGGATTGTAGAGATCTTTGAGTGGGGTTTTCATTGCTCTTGAGTAAATCCCCAGGAATGAGATCCTGGGCCATAGAGTAAATGTGTTTAACTTTCTAAGAAACTGCCAAACTGTCTTCCACAGTGGCTGTCTCATTTTGCATTCCTACTCTCATGTCAGAGTTCCTGTTGCTCTGTATCTTTCCCAGCATTTGGTATTGTCAGTTTAAACACAATTTTTTTTTTTTTTTTTTTTTTGGCTAATAGGCATGTAGTTGTATTTCATTATGGTTTTGATTTGCATTTCCCTAATGGCTAATGATGTTGAGCAACTCTTCATGTGCTTATTTACCATCCATTTACAAATCTTCTTTGGTGGCATGGGGAGTTGTAATTCTCTACAAAAAATTTTAAAAATAAGCTGGGTGGTGTGGTCGCTCTGACTTCACTTGAATGGCTGATCAAGTTTTATCAGTACCGTATTCTTATATGGTACTTCTACTTTCCAAGTATTTCCCAACCTTATTTGATGCTGAGAACATTTGGTTAGGGTAGGATGGTCCTGACATTAACCGTCTGTAACCTTCCTTTGTGCGCCATCTCCACCTGGCAAACCCCTTCTCCTCTTTCAAGATCCAGCTTAAATGTCACCTGTTCTGTGAATCTCTATAATTCAGCATGTTATTTATTCCTAACAACATGCCTGCAAGGGAAGATATATCAGCTGTGTTTTGTAGACGAGGAACAAAGTTTGTTCCTTCTCTCTAGAACAATCCCAGACCACTTTGTTTATATCTAATGTTGGGATGTATTTCTTTTTTCTTTTTCTTTTTTTTTTTTTTTCTGAGACGGAGTCTCACTCTGTCGCTCAGGCTGGAGTGCAGTGGCGCGATCTCGGCTCACTGCAAGCTCTGCCTCCTGGGTTCACGCCATTCTCCTGCCTCAGCTGGGACTACAGGCGCCCGCCACCACACCCAGCTAATTTTTTGTATTTTTAGTAAAGACAGGGTTTCACCGTGTTAGCCAGAATGGTCTCGATCTCCTGATCTCATGATCCTCAGCCTCCCAAAGTGCTGGGATTACAGGCAGGAGCCACCGCCCGGCCGGGATGCATTTCTTTGTATTAAAATGACCTGCTTCTGGCCGGGCATGGTGGCTCACGCTTGTAATCCCAGCACTTTGGGAGGTCAAGGTGGGCAGATCATGAGGTCAGGAGTTCGAGACCAGTCTGGCTAACACAGTGAAACCCGTCTCTACCAAAAATACAAAAATTAGCTGGGCGTGGTGGTGGCGCGCCTGTAATCCCAGCTACTCAGGAGGCTGAGGCAGGAAAATCACTTGTACCCGGGAGGCGGAGGTTGCAGTGAGCCGAGATTGTGCCAGTGTTCTCCAGCGTGGGTGACAGAGCTAGACCACATCTCAAAAAAAAAAGAAAAAAAAATTTTTTTTTTTTTAAGACACCAAGGGCAAGTAAATGTTTTCATGTTTTTAAATCTCAGGACTTATCATTGGCGCCTGCAAATAGTAGATGCTCAGCAAGTATTTAATAAATGAATTTTAAAATATCACAATTCATTAGCCTTCCAATATCATCTCAGTCTACACATTCCACAGCGCACATCAACCTCTTCTGCTCCCCAGGAACCCCATCAAAAGGAGACACAATCCCTAGTTGGCTTCATGTTGCCAAAGGGCAACAGGGAACTTGACTTCAAGAGCAGAAGCTCCTGACTCCTCATGGAAGAGCTATTATCCAAGATGATGTCATGCAAGGAGAAGCAAAACATGTTGTCAGAGGAAGGATTTTAAGTGCCCGAGCAGGGAGAACACTTTGTAAATACTCAAATGTTCCAGACGGACTGACATCCTGATAAATACACATTTGGTTTGTCTTACTCAATTCAATAAGGATTTCAGGATCATGTGCCTGGTGACAAGCCAACCTAAGTCACTCTAAACAACTGGGTCTGTGATCTCAGCTTCTTCCCTAGGCCCCAAGGCATGCAAGGTACAAGGCTGCGCCCCTTCACCCAGGAATTCAGGCAGACACAGCAGTAACTCAAGGATAAAGGAGATTGATAAAAGGAAGGAAGGAAGATTAGGAAACAAACCCCATAAGCCTCAGGGATAGGTAAGGATTACACAACAAGGAACTGGATCTTGATCTCAGGGAAGAAAATCCTTCTCCAAGGGGAGGAGAGGGGAGGGCGAGGAAATGACAGAAAGTGCTTGAGGAAAATAAGGGCAGAGCAGGACAACTCAAAGAAATTCCTCCTCCCCCAAGCAGACCACCTCCCTGTGTGCTGGGAAAGAAAACATGAAATCATCTCTTTACAAGATGGACCTTACTGAGTCACAGAAAGACACCTTCAAACTATCAGCTCTGTGGTCTTCCTGGGGTAACAGAGATAGGGATGCTTTGTAAAATAACCTATCTGTGGCTATCTTCTGTCTTGCCTAACCTTATCTCCATCACTTCCCAAGAACTCAGCCCTTGACTAATATTTAACCTTTCACCTTCACAGTAATCTTTCAGAAACAAGAAGAAATTCTGAGAATGAGGTGGGGATAGGCAGGCTGCCTGTGACACCTAATCTCCTTGGAACAATGGCTGCAGGCCCCAGATCTGGCCCTTCACCCTGCAGTTGGGTGATCATACCATGTGACTGAGGGGAAAGAGGGTATCAGTCTCCTGGTACCACAAGACAGCTTCCCTCACAGCAGGCTGAAACCTGAGCCTCCACCCAGAGAGGAAAGGTCAGTGGGTGCTCGCCAAGCTCCTGCCCCGGTCAGGAGCCCTGCTGCTGGCTAGCTACTGCTTGGCACTTGTCTGTTGCGGACGATGATATTCTAGAACCCTCTCTTCTCGGCTAGACCCTGAATTCCGCATTCCTGAGACACAGTGACCTCAGGGAAGCCACATGTAGATGAGGATCATTGGCCATAGCAGCTTTGAAATGTGAGGGGCTTTTTATCCATCCATCCATCCATCCATCCATCATAGATCCATTCACCCATCCACCCATCTAGCCATCATCCATGCATCCATCCACCCACCCATCTATCCATCTATCATCCATCCATCCACCCACCCATCCAACCATCCATCATCTATCCATCCATCCATCTGTCTATCCATCCACCCATCTACTCATCCGTCATTCATGCAGGGCCTACATGTACTAGGCATTCTAGCTGGTGGGGAGGTTATTGATAAGACACAAGTCCCTGCCTTTAGGAAGTTGGCAGTATAACAGGGACGACGGGTGAAGTAAGAGATGCCCACAAAACAACGAGGTGATGGCAAAGCTATTCACGGAAGCTAGTGGGCATCTATGAGGAACCACTAACTCAGCCCAGGGGAATCAGAGATGCCTTCTATAGGAGGAGGAGACCCTGGCAACATGGAGAAATTTATAATCCTGGTCCAACTGGACAAAATAAAAAGTCATAAGACTGGTTCTTGTCCGTTGTAACCTAGTTGCGGGAGTGGTTACTGCTTCTTTAGAGGCCCTCATGGAATTCCAGGCTTGTATGTATTTTTTGGGCATTTCCTCCCCTCTTTCTTTCTTGCTTCCTGGGTAAAAAATAAGATGAAAGACTATTAAGAAGACAAGAGTTCAAGAAGATGCTGAAGTCAGGGGCTGGTTACTTAATCCACCCAGTTTGAAGAACTCAACATCAAGGTGACAGAAGAGATACAAATAATGAGTCAGGCAGGAGGAGGAAAACTCAGATTCTAGCAACCTGGAACACTGCCCAGAGTCCAGGGCCTCCCAGCTGCCAAGCAGGAGAGATGGGCTCAATGCTTTCTGCAGGACTGGCAGAGGGATTCAGAGTCCTCGCTGCAGACCTGCAACTGGCTTGCTCACTGTGGAGGGCTGGGTTCCCTACAGAGAAGGTGCCCTCAGCCCCATCCCAGCTCTGATCCCAGACTTTGATCTCCAGGAATTACAGAAGTCTCTCCTTCACTTCCTCCCCTTGGCAATGACAGCATATCTCTTTGGGATGGGGGGCAGTTGAAGGCAGAATTATGGCCATCCAAGATATCAACGTTCTAATCCCTGAGATTTGTGACTATGTTTTTTAAATGACAAAAGGAACTTTGCAAATGTGATTAAGTTAAGGATTTTTTTTTTGGAGACAGAGTTTCGCTCTTGTTGCCCAGGCTGGAGTGCAATGGCGCAGTCTCAGCTCTCTGCAACCTCTGCCTCCCATGTTAAAACGATTCTCCTGCCTCAGCCTCCCAAGTAGCTGGGATTACAGGTGTCCGCCACCACGCCTGGCTAATTTTTGTATTTTTAGTAGAGACGGGTTTCACCATGTTGGCCAGGCTGGTCTCGAATTCCTGAACTCAGGTGATCCACCCACCTCGGCCTCCCAAAGTGCTGGGATTACAGGCCTGAGCCACCGCGCCCAGCCAAGTTAAGGATCTTGAGATGGGGAGATTATCCTGGATTATCCAGAGGGACCAGTGTTGTCACAGGAGTCCTTTCAAGAGGGAGGCAAGAAGGTCAGAGTTATAAAAAGACATGTGATCATGGAAACATCAGACAGAGAGAAAGAGAGATTTGAAGATGCTACACTGCTGGCTTTGAAGATGAAAGATGGGGCCATGAGCCAAAGAATGTGGGAGGTCCCTAGAAGCTAGAAAAGGCAAGGAATTCTCCCCAGAGCCTCCTGAAGAAATTCAGGCCTGCTGACGCTAGAGTTTAGGACTTCTGACTTTCAGGACTAAGATAGTACATTTGCATAGTTTTAAACCACTAAGTTTGTGGTTACTTGTAACAGTAGCAATAGGAAATGGATACCAGACAGACATTATACAGAAAGACCAGACAGCAGGGACATACCCTTAAAGAGAAAAGCTTTTAAACAGCAGCCAGGCAACACACACCAGGAGCCCAAAAGAGTGTCTGTCCACAGGCCTTGCGGGACACCAGATGGAGGGAAGGGATGGCGCTCTCTAGAAGAGGGTAGTGAAGGTGAGGTCACTAGTGTGTTCACCTGGTTAGCAAAGTTCCACACCACATAGCCGCTTCGCACTTCTTCCAGCTTCCCAACCCTAGTTGGGATCCCACAGCTAGAGTGTTCCTATTTCCTCTTCCTCCATTTGGTAATTCAATACAGTAGCAAACAGCCTTGCCTTGTAACTCTAGCAGTGTTTTTCCTCTTTCCTTTTAGAGAAATCCAGGGCAAAAGATACAATATCCCTCCTTCATCTAATCCAGGTTCTCCCCCAGTCTCCCCTGTATTCCTTACAACTTCAGGCCCACCCACACAACCCAGATACGCAAACACTGGCCCAAGAATCACTAACTTCTTGCAAGGCGAGTGGAGTGCCAGGATGTTCACAGACATGAATCCTTTATTTTCTGCCCCCATGATTTTGTTGGTCTCCTTATTTCACTGGCCAGAAGCCACAATCAAAGGCCATAAAAGAAGTCAAGATAGAAAGCTACGAGATTATTATCCCAAGAGTCCTGAGTCTGAGTACACTCTTCACATCAGAGGGGACAGAGTGGCCCCACCGTGTACTGTCCTGTGGTAGACAACACCAAAAACACCTTGGAAGAGCTTGTCCTGTATCCTTCCGGGCTCAGTCAACCCATTTTTAACCCTAAATCAATATACAGTCATGTGCTACATAATGACATTTTGGGCAACAACAGACTATTTATACCTTGGTGGTCCCATAAGATTATAAGACCATATTTTTACTGTATCTTTTCTCTGTTTAGATATGTTTAATGCACAAATACAACTGCCTACAGTGCTCAGTACAGTAACATGCTGTATAGGTTTGTAGACTAGCAGCAACAGGTTACACCATGTAGCCTAGGTGTGTAGTAGACTATGCCACCTAGTTTCATGTCAGTACACTCTATGATGTTTGCATAATGACTAAATCATCTAAGGATACATTTCTCAGAATGTATCCCCATCATTAAGCAATGCATGACAGTATTATAGATTATAGGTAAAAGAGACAATTTAAAATTAATTTCTTTAGTGCCTTTTGAAATAGAACACCAATGAATCATTAGCATAAACAAATAAATCTTCATTTAGAAGGTTTTAAGGATGGGTTGGGGAGTCGTGGAGCTGGTTTTAAGTCCCTGCAATCGTCCAGAGCTGAGGCTGTGATCTTATCACTCTTCCCCTCAACTCTACCTAGTAGCACCTGGTAAGTGAAGGATGATGTGGGTTTCTGGAGTCTTTTTCGGGCGTGGAACAAGTGAACGGAGCTCAGAGGAGCTTGTGTAAGGTGTGAAGTGGTAAGAATGGGGAGGAGGATCACCAGCAGCATGAAGGGAAGGAGGCAGAGTCGGCTCTCTCAGAGGGACCTGGCAGGTCTGAATCTGAGAATCACAGAACTTTTGAACTTGAGGAACTCAGCGGCCATGGTGCCCTTCCCAGCTTAGTCACGTACTCTCAGTTAACCTCTCTGAGCCTCCCTTTTCTCCATGTAAAACCTATGGTCCATTTGAATCATGTGACGATACTCTGTATCCTGTGTATTGTTGCATAAAATGTTAAATGATTATTTTTATTGTTCATCTTAAGAAACTGCAGACTAAGAAAGTCAAAAAGAGCATGTGATTTGCTCAGGATCATGCTGACACTCACAGGCAAAGCAGAGTGGCGGGGAATGGGAATGGTTTGAAGGATTTTAGAGACCATATCATGCATCAGACCACATTGTACATCGTGCCCCTGACCCTTCTCAATTTCTAATCTGTTTCATCTTTTTCTCTGGAGGATGCTCCTTCACAAATGACCTGCTCTGGGGTCCTTCAACCCAGCTGTCTGGAAGTTGGGAGTGGGTCACAGGTACAGGCTGTGGGGCTGGGGAGCACAGGCTAACGCACTGGACCAGAAGCCCAGATGGTCAAACATATTCCCGTGCCTCAGTTTCCACTAGTGAAGAAAATACCACCAGGTCTTATAAGTCACGTGCCTCTGTCTGCTAGGGAGGAACACCCTGCAGAAAGCTGAAGAGCTGTGCGGTTGCTGCCCGTGCTGCCCCACTCCTCAGGCCCCACGGAGACTGTCCACAGCCAGCGGTGCACACGCAGCCATAAACAATCCCCTGGTGGCTGGTGTGGCCTTGAGGTCCTGTCTGGCACACAGTAGGCGCTAAAGCTTACTGAATGGAAACGACAGATAGATACATCTACACAGAAAATTCAAGGAGGGTGCACATAGAAGCCACCGTGCTGCTCTAGGGAGTAAATATCAGGTTTAATATGTCATAGGATGGCCCATGAAGCAAGGCCAGCAAGTGCCCCGGATGCCAGACAGAGTTGTGGGGAGAGGGTACATATTGTGGCTGTCTCTCCTTCCTCTAGGAAAGCTCACAAAGTACAGCCAGGCACAGTCACTGACACCTGTAATCCCAGTGACAGTAGAGACTGAGGTGGGAGGATCAATTGAGGCCAGAAGTTCGAGGCCAGCCTGGGCAACACAGCAAGATCCTGTCTCTTAAAAAATAACAGAAAATTAGCCAGATGTGGTGACACATACCTGTAGTCCCAGCTACAAGGGAGGCTGGGGTGGGAGGATCACTTGAGCCCAGGAATTCAAGGCTGCAGTAAGCTGTGATTGTGCCATTGCATGCTGGCCTGGGTAACCCTGTCTCTTAAAAAAAAAAAAAAAAAAAAAAGCAAAAAGCTTGCTGGGCACAGTGGGTCATACCTGTAATCCCAGCACTTTGGGAAGCTGAGGCGGATAGATCACTTGAGTTCAGGAGTTTAAGACCAGCCTGGCCAATATAGCAAAACCCTGTCTCTATTAAAAACACAAAAATTAGCATGCCTGTAATGCCAGCTATTCGGGAGGCTGAGAATCACTTGAACCTGGGAGGCAGAGGTTGCAGTGAGCCAAGATCGTGCCACTGCACTCCAGCCTGGGTGACAGAGATTCCACCTCAAACAAAACAAAACAAAAACAAAACAAAACAAAAGCAAAGAAAAAAAAAGCTCACTAAGAGTACACGTTATTCCCAGAGAGAGACTACTTGATAACTGTTTTCTTTTTTTTGAGAGCAGTCTCATTCTGTCACCCAGGCTGGAATGCAGTGGCCTGATGTTGGCAAACTACAATCTCTGCCTCCTGGGCTCAAGCAGTCCTCCCACCTCAGCCTCCTGAGTAGCTGGGACCACAGGCATGTGCCACCACGCCCAGCTAATTTTTTGTATTTTTGGTAGAGATGGGGTTTCGCCATGTTGCCCAGGCTGGTCTTGAACTCCTGAGCTCTAGCAATCTGCCCACTTTGGCCTCTCAAAGTGCTGGGATTACAGGCATGAGCCACCAATGTTTTCTTTTTTTTGAGACAGGGTCTTACTCTGTCATCCAGGCTGGAGTGCAGTGGCATGATGATGGCTCACTGCAGTCTCAACCTCCCCAGACTCAGGTGATCCTCCCACCTCAGCCTCCTGAGTAGCTGAGGTGTGTGCCACCAGGCCCAGCTAATTTTTGTATTTTTTGTAGAGACGGGTTATGCCAGGTTGCCCAGGCTGGTCTCTAGAACTCCTGGGCTCAAGTGAGCCACCTGCCTTGGCCTCCCAAAGTGCTGCGATTACAGGCATGAGCCGCCACACCCGGTGATGTTTTCAGGTGCTCCCTTGCTTTGGATACAGGACTCTGGCTTCTCATTGAGCTGGGCCAGCAGGGGGTCATTTTGTGCCTCCCTCAGGGAGCCAATGAACATTCCCACATGGATCCCTGAACCAATCTCATTTCTTCTACTAAGCCAGCTGCCACTCGATGAGCCACACTATTCTGGTCTGACAGGGTAAAGGTTGGGATAGGGCCACCTGGATACGGGGCTGGATTGGTTGTTATAAGGACAGTGCTAAGAAGAATGAACCAGTTGGGACTCTCCTTGTAGTCAACTCTTGGCCCTAGAGGTAAATATTTGAAGCCTGCGCCCTACCACCCAAGGCTTGTGTCCAGCCTCATGGGTGATCAGAAGGCAGGAATGACCTTAGAGACCCAGAACCTCATTTTATTTTTCTTTTACAGATGGGAGTCTCATTCTGTCGCCCAGGCTGAAGTGCAGTGGCATGATCATAGCTCACTGCAGCTTCCCAGTCCTGGGCTTGAGCGATCTGCCTGACTCGGCTTCCCAAAGTGCTAGGATTACAGTTGTGAGCCACCATGGCGGCCCCAGAACCTCATTTTATATGTGAGTGAATTTAGACCCCAGCTAATTCGCAGCAAAGACCAGACTGGGACAGCCCAATTCCCAGTTGCTTGTTCTGCCTCTGCCCCGCCTTCCTTCATTATACACAGATCACTCTGCTTTCCCTTGGCCGCTCCCACATCATCTCTCCTCCTGCTTGGGTCAGTGGTACCCATGGTCACTACTGCCAGTGCCACTTGGGACTCTGGGTCTGTCACCAAGACACTGGTTAGCCCCAGCCTGGACTGCTTTCTGTGCAGCAGGAAGGAAGATGCCAATATGGCAAAAGGGGAAGACTTTCACAGTTATGCCTCAGAAACCAAGAAAGGTGCATCCATTGCTCCCAGGGCTTTAGAAAGTCATTTCCCACAGGGATCTCCACCTTGGGTCCCCTCCCACCAGCCCCCTTAATCAATGTCACAGTCACATGTTCCCTCCAAACTCCCGGAACTCCATTTGGATTTCTCGGTCTCGCTGGCTTGCACCTTTCTCAGGAGTGGACTGGACTGGCTTGGAAAGGCTTGGTTTTCCTTTAACATTTCCAGAACCAGGCCACTCCTCCTTGTCTGTTCAGATAAGTGAAAACAGGCAGTAGAAAGGGGGAAAAATGTCCAGACTTGCCAAAGTCCATAAAGACAGATGGTGAAGAAGAGAGGGAAAGAGCACAAGAAACCACAGGGCGGGAGAGAGCAAGGGGAGGACAATGCAGATGAGTGGGAGAGAAAAAGGGCTTGAGAGGAGCAGAACAGAGAGAGGCCAGGACTGAAAACAGCAAGATGGAATGTACTAAGCAGACGGTTGCTGAAAAAGGAAGCAGTGACGCCACTTTGTAGAAATCAGAACGCCCTGTTCCTCTCCAAACCTGCAAAACAGGCACCTTTCTGGATGGAGCTCCCCAGCCCTCTGAAACGCCATAAATTTCACCTGGGTCATGGCCTGCCAGAAGGGTTGGCTTCTCAGCCTCACCTTTTGCTGGGGCGTTCACTTCTCTGCCTTCTGCCACGCTCTGGCCAGCTCCCACAGACTCCCTCCCCTCCAGCTGGAGCAAAAGGGGTGAGGCATGTCCCTCCCAGCAGCCCTCTGGGTCTGGGTGCCCAGGCTGGAGGTTGGAGCCGCTGGGCAGGGAAGCCGGGCCTGTGGGGGCGTGGGTGTGGCTACGCTCGGCTCTGTGATTGGCTGCACCGAGTTCCTTGGCCGCCTCCCCCGCTTGTGGAAGGAACTGAGCACGTGTTTCTAATTGTGGAAAAGCCGCTTCGGCTTGGCCTGTCCAACCGCAGGCGTTTCCAGATCTAGGAGGTAAGCAGTGCCGGCTGCCAAAAGGCGCTGATAGGCAAAGAAAACACGGAGGCCTGTTTGACCTCTAACGCACACAACCCAAGGCTCTGATAAGGTTCCAGTTCTGCCCACGCAGGCCACACGGAACAGTCTTTCCTCGTCAAAGACCCAGAGAGGCCTGGAGGTGTGGGGGAGTGGGCAGACACGGATCCAGCTTCACAGAACCCTCCTAGAATCCTTCTCTATTCCCCGCCCACCCCCACCTCAAGACATTTTTTAGAGCGGGTGAGGGGCCCACATTATAAAGTCCTTCCGCACCTGGATTATTGTACATGTAACATAACTTGTCTGATAAAGTTATACATATAACTTGACTGGTGAAAGAGAAAAACGTTAAAAAAAAAAAACCCACAAAAAGCCACACAACAGACAAAAAAAAAAAAAAAAAAAAATCAAAGCAGCCCTTCCTCATAAACTGCGCTTTGATCCCAGCTTCTATAAAGTGCACAGTGGGGAGTGTGGTTTTGAAACAGATCTTGCCTATCGCACGATAGTAACATTTCCCCTTCTCCAGCCCTTTTCATCTCGAAGCACTTACAACGTTTTAGAAATCTCGGAACCCCCTCCAAAGGAGAGGAGGTGCTCTGAGCCTTCCGGAAGGGCCTCTCTCTTCCAAGGACACACCAGCAGAGGAGGAGGGTGCAGAGAAGCTGTGAGGGCTGTGAGTGCTCCTGGAGGCACACAGCTTTTACCAAACACTTCCAGCTAAGCTCCTGCCCATACTGCCCCATCCCCTCCCCTCCTCCCTTCCTGGCTCTCTCTTCCCCTTCCTTCTTATCCTGTTAGCTCCTGCGCCAGCTGCTGGAGCTGGGGTTTCTGCTGAATCACCACCCAGTATTTAGCTCAGCCAAGAGGCAGGAATACCCAGCTCAGCATTTTCCAAGAGCTGAGTAGTTCTCTCTTCAGCATGAGCTAAACATGGCTCCTCAGCTGGCCTGGATCGGGGAGAAGCGAAAAACTGGACACCAAGAAATCCAGGGTGGCCTGCCATGCCACCCTGGGGAACCCTATTTTAATCCTACTCATTACTTTTTCAGCCTGGGCCTGAAAAATTGCTATCTCACACACCAATTCTCAGGGCTGATGTCCCCCGAGACATGGAGCAAGGTGGATGAGAATGGGTTCTGTTGAGTCTGCACTGAGCCCAGGAGGGCTAGCCTGACCCTCCATCATATTTCAGTCTTGGAAGACAGGGTGTGGATCCTGTGAGGTTTAGTTGGTTCTTGGACCAGAAGGCTTGTAGGCTCTGTTGGTGTTCACTAAATTCTATAAACCTGGACCCAGGCTGCAAAATTCCCCCAAAACGGTTCAGTTATAACCCAATTCCAAGGGTAGCTTGTACTTAAACTTGCTGAACTCTTTTTTCTTTTCTTTTCTTTTTTTTTTTTGAGATGGAGTTTCGCTCTTGTTGCCCAGGCTGGAGTGCAATGGCACGATCTCGGCTCACCGCAACCTCTGCCTCCCGGGTTCAAGCGATTCTCCTGCCTCAGCCTCCCGAGTAGCTGGGATTACAGGCATATGTCACCACGCCCGGCTAATTTTGTATTTTTAGTAGAGACAGGGTTTCTCCACATTGGCCAGGCTGGTCTTGAACTCCCGACCTCAGGTGATCCGCCCTCCTCGGCCTCCCAAAGTGCTGGGATTACAGGAATGAGCCACTGCGCCCGGATATTTTTCTCTTTTTAATAAGGAACACTTTGTGAATTTGCATGTCATCTGTACATGGGGCCATGCTAATCTTCTCTGTACTGCTCCAATTTTAGTATATGTGCCGCTAAAGTGAGCACAACTTGCTGAACTCTTATAACAGAGATGCCCTTTTTTCTTTCCCCCAAAGCTCCAAGTACCACTGGGCCTCACTCCCATAAGCCTTCTGATTTTATGTTCTTAGGTATGTGATATAAATTTGGTGTGTCACATTAACCCTTAAAAGTTTACCAGACACAATTAATGGGTGACTTTATTTAAACCATGGGCCCTGGCTCCTCTGAGAAAAACAAAGTGATCCTTGACAGTCAGCAACAAAAGGCCAGAGAATTTAAGTTTCTAGGCTGGTACAAGAAAGTAGGCAAATCTCTACCACACCTGGTGGAAGCTGAACTCCAAAACAGTTTCCTGTTTCAGGAAACCTCAATCTCATTCACTGTTCTTCCAATCAGAAGTAGACATATTCCCAGAACAAGCCCCTCATTCCTCCATTTCCAGGGTGTGGGCACACACACTCTCTGAACAGCAGAACTTCTGTCTGAGAGTAGAAGCTGAAGAGCAGAAGAGACACTATGGGAATCAGGAAAGAGGAGGTGATCTGGGCCAGCAGTTGAAGCACATTGAAACGAAGAAGAAGGCTGACTTCTCAGGTAACTTACTTACTCTGCCATTGTAGACATAAGAGTCCAAAAGCACAGGGGATGCTTTCTCAAGTCCCAGCAAGTCTTAAGTGTTGAAGAGTGAGTAGAAAGGGTGACAAGGACAGAGGGGTCAACTTGACCAGTCTGAACCACACCAATTCAGATGATACAACAATACGTACAGACAATACGACCCAGTGTTGTCCTTGATTTACTTCACCTGTATCCCCAACAAGACCATGCAGTCCTTGACTCCTTCAACCTTAATCACCAAGGCCTACCAATTCTACCTCCTAAATGCCAAATGCATCTACTTTTCTCTACTCCCACTGCCCCAAGATGCACATGATAGTCATCTGCAATCTGAATCCTTACAACTGAATTGTAATCATCTTTTCTTGCCTCTGATCTTATTCCCCTCACCAATCCATCCTTTAGCTTTGCAGCATGACTCTCCTAAAATACAGATATGATCATGTCGGTCTTCTGTCTGAAACCCTTCAAACCTCATTCCTCCTAAGGGAAAGCCCAATCTCTTTATGGCCCATGAGGCTTTTCATGATGGGGTCCTTGCTTCTATTATATATTTCTTGCCTCCTAGTCTATGGTGTGGCTATACTGAACAACCTGTAGTTCCCACAAACAACTGTGATTTTTCCTGTCCTCAGACCTTGACACATGTTAATTCCTTCTGCTAGAACATTCTCCCCACCCCATTCTACTCCACCCTCCCTCCGTGCTGAATATTGCCTGACTATGTCCAACTGGTCTTTCAGTCTCAATTTACATGTCACTTTCTCCAAGAGCTTCTTCAACCCCAGTCCCATCCTCACTTTTCTTGCAGGAGCTGCCTGGATGCTGGCCTCCTGGGGAACTGGAACTCCAGTTTGAACTGAAATTCCCTGTATACTTGTCAGGAACATCCACTGGACTGTGGGTTCCTTGGTACAAAAACTAAGTATCCCCATGCCTGCCACAGTGCCTGGAGCAGAACAGACACTCAAATATTTAATAACGTATGACTGATTGTGTATTACCCGCGGCATCAATAGAGGACACACAGGTGGGTGTAGTATAATATGTGTTAAGAAAGAAGGCTAAATCTGCTGCTGCTGCTTCACATGAGAATGAGAGTCTTTCGGTTTATTGTTGTCTCCCCCGTGCCAAGAACAGTAACTAGCCCATCATGGGCACTGATAAGTGTTTGTTGAGTGAATAAAGTGTTGCATTTATATAACATTTCCCAAGAGTCCCAATCCCTTTCTAAGTTATACTGCTCTAGAGCAGGCAAAATTTTGAGCAGGATCCTGGGAGCACCACCCTGGGGAAGGTTCTAACCAGAGACCTGCTCAGCACCCCTCGGGGCTCTAGGGAGGACATGGAAGGCAGACATGGAGTCTAGCTCTGTCGCCCAGGCTGGAGTGCAGTGGCGCAATCTCGGCTCACTGCAACCTCCGCCTCCTGGGTTCAAGTGATTCTCCTACCTCAGCCTCCTGAGCAGCTGGGACTACAGGCCCCCGCCACCACGCCCAGCTAATTTTTGTATTTTTAGTAGCGACGGGGTTTCACCATATTGGGCAGGCTGGTCTCGAACTCCTGACCTCGTGATCCACCCGCCTCAGCCTCCCAAAGTGCTGGGATTACAGGCGTAAGCCACCGCGCCCGGCCGACATAGAACACATTCTAACTGCTTGTCATCAATGCTGGGAACATTTAAGTTGAAACGTATTTCATTTTGATTTGGGGACAAACTTGATTCCTTCCCTTAGTAGTCAATTAATCAATATGTCCAGCTGATTCTACTCCTAAATCTTTCTTGTTTTTGTCATCTCTCCATCCTTGTTACTTCATTCTTAGTTCAGGCTACCATCTCTCTGGCCTGGACAAATGCCTAGCCTGCTTGTCTCTCTGCTTCAAGTTTCAGTCTTTTCTTTCCCAAATGTGAACCTAATCATGTGACTCCTCTGCTCAAAATCTTTCAGTGATTCCCTGTTCCTTGGATAAAATCTACTTACCTTTCAACATTTAGCTCAAGCTGGGAGCCTTTCCAAGCACTGTCTTCCCAACTTTGAAGCCCCGTTCTCTGTGTTGCCCACATTTTTTCCCCATCACATTGTATTGTAATGATGTGTTTTTGCATACGATTCTCTTCACTAGACTAATCTTTTCTAAGACTCTATAAATCATACCTTATCTCCCCTTAGTGTAGGAGTTCAGTATGGTAATTAGCTGATGGATTTTTTTAGTTTCTTTCTCTTTTCCAAAAAAAATCTGCTTACAGAATAATTTTCATCTTAATGCATCATAAAAATGAAAAATGAGATGTTAGTCAAACTGTCCATTGAGTAAAAATCAAGAGATTTTCAATACATTTAGATTTTAAATGCTGGCTAGTTAGAAGGCGTACAGAGAAAAATGGAGTCTTGGATATATGGGAATCAAATGTAGGCCAGTCTGTATTTGTCTGAATTCATATAAACGAGGCTGATCGGATACCCGAAGAACTCTCTGGGGACTAGGGAAGGGCAAGAAGGCAGTGCTGCCCAGGTATCTGAAGGAAAATGTTTAGTGTCTGGGGAGGAGCAGTTTGGGGGTAGAGAATGTGAAGGCTCAAGGGAAAATAAACTGAGGTTAAGGGATTTAGATGATAGGAAAGACTATTGAATGCTCTGAGGTCAAGGGATTGATTAAATTTGCAAGAGACTTGCAAAACAACTCACGAGTTTCTCTGTGACAGCATTCTGCACCAGGCAGTTGGAGGCTTTCTGCAGAGGAATTGCAAAGCAACTCAGGAGTTTGAAGCAACACATGAAGTCCTTTCCTTTCCAAATAGCTCAAGGAAGAAGAGCTATCTGAAGCCCTGGAAAAAGCTAGCCTCTTAGGAATCTCAGTAGAAAGATAGAAAACAAGATTAGAAGCATTTTTTCCTTGAGAGATGCATACAGGATATTTCTTTCTCCTGAGGGTGAGGAAGGAGAAGGAACTTCTTTAGGTCAAGACATTCAGGGAGAAGTGGGGAACTTGAATAAAAAGAATTGATTCCACTTCAGGTGCTGGACATGACTCCAACCCCAAATGAGAGGAAGGAGGCCAGGAGGGGACTGAATGAAAGGTGATCCAGTCTCCAAGAGAATGGGGAGCAAACGGATCCCAAAGGAAAATGCAGAGTTGCACAGATGCACAGATGGAAGCCTGGGAAAGGGTGTCCCCTGGACCCAGTGCTTCCTCTGGATCATTGTGGATGCTTTGTTTACAACTAGAGACCCAGGTAACAGCCAAAAGATGTGGCTACAGGATAAAACGGCAAGCTGTAGGCCGGGTGGGGGTGGCTCACAGCTGTAATCCCAGCACTTTGGGAGGCCAAGGCGGGTGGATCACGAGGTCAGGAGATCGAGACCATTCTGGCTAACAAGGTGAAACGCTGTCTGTACTAAAAACACAAAAAATTAGCCGGACGTGGTGGCGGGCGCCTATAGTCCCAGCTACTCGGGAGGCTGAGGCAGGAGAATGGCGTGAACCCGGGAGGCAGAGCTTGCAGTGAGCCGAGATCGCGCCACTGCACTCCAGCCTGGGTGACGGAGGGAGACTCCGTCTTAAAAAAAAAAAAAAAAAAGGGCACGCTGTAGGAATAACCTGTCAGTACATAGGTCCATGCAGCCAGAGTTGTACAGTAATAGATGCACTTTATTTAGAACTATCCACTAGGACTGCAGCTACTGGCCAGCGGCTGATGATAAGGGCGGCTATCGCTGCTGGCTCTATATCTTACTTGGATCTTTTATATGGGGAATATAGTCATTTACTCATGAAATAATACAAAAGGAGAAAAACACACAAGCAGATCACAAAAGGTATCAAAACCAAGTTCTAACACTTCCCAGTCCCCTCCTAACTCCCTCCACTCCCACTAATATACTTGTTCTGGAGAAGAGAGAAAGGCTTTTTATTTAATTAAAATGTAAAATACTTTCTCTCTCTCTCTCTCTTTTTTTTCTTTTCTTTTTTTACTGCTGGGTGGCTAGGGATATTCTGCTGACTCAGCAGTGAGTAATCAGCTTTGACCTAAATAATAGAATAACTCGAAGTGGCAGCTGCAGTTGCATAAGTGTGATCCAAGTCTGCAGTTCCTTCCCTCTCCCTCTCCTCTCCCCGACCCGCTCAGGATCCGGCAGGCAAGCCAGTTTCAGCAGGTTCTTTCCACCTCTCCACCCCCACCACCTGGCTCCTCCCAACTTCATTTCTCATCAGTTCTCCTCCAAAACAGCCCCACCATGGAACCAGACTTGGCCTCATCTCCTCCCTCCCCCAGCAAACCCTCGCCACGGGCTTTACCACACAGGCTCTCCCTGCTGGGCCCTGTGCCCTGTCCTCCAGTGCCCTCCATTATACACCAATGACCTCTCCACAGAGGGTGGCCTTTCCTCAAAACCTCTCGCTTCACAGTCATCAGCATGTCGCCACAGGACAGCAGGAAGCAGAGTTCCCCATGTGCATATGTTTACGCCACACCGGAACTCTCTACTGCGTCTCTCAAAAGAGACACAGGCTGGGCTTATTTTATGTAGCTGGCTTGCCTGGCCCCTGCTAAGAGGATGAGGAGGGCTGGATGATGGTGGGGGTAGGTGGGTGGGTGGGAGGGGTGCTGGAATAAAAAGTACCAGCATTTAATGAAAGATAGCGTCTACCAGTCGGGCGCAGTGGCCTCACTTTGGGAGGCTGAGGCGGGTGGATCACTTGAGGTCAGGAGTTTGAGACCAGTCTGACCAACTTGGGGAAACCCCATCTCTACTAAAAATACAAAATTAGCTGGGCATGGTGGCTTATGCCTGTAATCCCAGCAACCTGGAAGGCTGAGGCAGGAGAATCGCTTGAACCCGGGAGGCGGAGGTTGCAGTGAGCCAAGATGGCGCCACTACACTCCAGCCTGGGTGACAGAGTGAGACTCCATCTAAAAAAAAAAAAAAAAAAAGCATCTACCAAGCCTTCCTGACAGCTTGGTTCTTGTTTTACTGAATACCGTATGAGAGGATTGGATGCTTATCTGGTATGGCCTGCCATAAAATTCAAAAAAAGAAGAGAGGATTTGAGGGGCCTATAGAAGTGGATTAAAAAAAAAAAGTATTCAACAAACCGGAAAACAGAACCTCTGTACACAGACTCAAAGCAGCTGGGAGTGTCAGGTATAAGGAAAGGGAGAGAGGAAGTTTGTTATAGCTAATGCATGTACGTGTGCACCCTGCCGGGCAGAGGGATGGCAGCTCCACATGGCCTTCACAGCTAGGAGGAAAGGGACACTGCAGCGGGACAGGTGTGGAGCTGGTTTCCATTTCCCCTAAAGGAAATAAGGAAGACTACGCTTGGGAATAAGAAGGATTTAAGATTTTTCTGCTTATGAAGGTAGACAAATATTTGAACCCATATTTCAAGGACATTGAAAATTCCTGTCTTTAGAGGACAAGATTGGCTACTGTTAAGTTGGAGATAATTTCCTTGCAGTTCTGCTGAGAAGGCAGAGGCCAAACTTAGATAAGCTTTATTGAATCTTTGACTACAGGAATAGAGGAGGGGGGTCTTGTCATTTTTGTCATCAGCCAGTTTCTAAATTTCTCCTTGGCTTGGTCCTTGCAGTGTCTAGGTGAGGGGAAGGCTGTGGAGAGGACTGTGCAACATGTCATTCTGGAGCAGGGCTACAGGCAGGTGGCGTTCTTATCTCCTAGGAGAGTTTGGACCTTTCTGGTCCGAGGGGACGCCAAAAAGGCTACACTACTTTGGAGGGTCTTTGTGCAAGAGGTCAAACCCTTGGCAGATTTGGGGAATGCAAAGAAAGCCATGGGGTCTGGCTGCCTGGGAACTTCTTCAACCTGTGGCCTGGCTCCTCTCCTAGGGTGCAAACTGAACAGCCTCGGGGGTTCTTGATTTCTAGTAGAAGGGTAAGGGTGGCCTCTTGTCTGAGACACTTTAGCAGCATCAGCAGGAAAAAGGAAGCTGTCTGTGTGCAAAGAAACACCAAAACAGCAGTAGCTAGCACTTCTGTGGCCTTGCCTCCCACCCTCCCATTAGCTGATCTGATGGCAGAAACAGCACTCTTCCTGCATTCCCACGCCCTCGCTCTTCCCCGCTCCCCATCTCAACTCTGGATCCAGCTAGGATGCAAGGATAAAGTGGCCCCAGCATCTTGCCCACCCCCAGTGACTGATATGACTGGGGTGCTGGGTGTCTAACACTGTGCTGAGGGTGTCCCCTTCCTTCTCTCTTGCAGTCCTTGTGACCACGACCTCTTGAGGCAGCTAGGATTACACTCCCCATCTCACAGTAGGGTGGACGAGTGATTTTGCCCAGCACTCACCACTGCAGTTAGAAATGGTGGACTGGAGATGCAGGCGCAGGCAGCCTGGTTTTGGAGCCTGCATTCCTCTGCCTCCAGATCTGTGAGCAGGCCTGATCAAACACAAGGAATACACCCCCAAACAAATGTCTTGGCCCCATATTGCAAATGGCCTGGGTGGTGGAGGTCTGTCCCAGGGTTGACCAGCACTGCCAAAGAGGGCTCACTTGCCAAGGAGACCGCCTCTTGGGTCCCAGCTGCCTGCCCTGTAAGAGGCTACTGAGGTGGGTGAGTGATCTCTTCCTCCCCCATCCCGTAACAGGACAGAAGGAAAAGTGTCAGGACCTGGGAAAGCATATGGCCAGGATGATCACTGCCCTCAGCTAAGTGTATGTGTGTTAGAAGCTATGGGAAGGCAGGGACCCAGTGAACCCTAGAGGTGGAGCCCCTGAAACATATCTAAGTATTTACTTTAGAAATTAGTTTTTGATTAAAGATGTAAAATACCCCAATCCATTGAGATGACTAATATCAGAGATAAAGCTTTGAGACTTCCTAGAAATACGGCTCTGCAGAACTTCTCTAGGAAGCCTCTCTAACCTATTCCAGCCCACAGAGATCTTTTCCCCTTCTCTGAATTTTATTGTTATTGTTGTTTTTAATTTCTTTTTTTTTTTTAGAGACAGGATCTCACTATGTTGCCCAGGCTGGAGTGCAGTGGCTATTCATAGGTGTAATCATAGCTCACTGTGGCCCAGAACTCCCAGGGTCAATCGACCCTCCTACCTCAGCCTCCCAGGTAGCTGGAACTACAGGTGTACACCACCATGCCTAGCTCCCTTCTCTGAATTTTTACTGCAATTGAATCCTAACCACAGTATCTGTCTATATGGCTTTTCTCCTAGTTAGAAAACTCATCAAGGGCAGGGATCATGGACAAACCCTTCTCCAAGAGAGTTAAAAGAGTGTGACTTGACAAGTTGAGGTAGAAGTAGATGTGGACCTACTGCCAAGAAGCCAGAGTAATCTTCCTAGGAGCAGCTGGGAGTAGCCAGCACAGTGCAGTGCACTGGACAGACAAGAAATCAGGAGCCCTTGCACTCCACGTGGCCTGCCTCCCTGGGCAAGTCATTTGCCTGGCTCTCTGTTTCCTTATCTGTTCTGGGAAAATGTTAACACTGGCCCAGCTTACCTCATGGACTTGTCATTAGGCCCAAATCAGATAATATAGGTGAAAGTGCTTTGCGTAATGTCAAGAACCCTGCCAGTGAAAATCATAGTGCCTCCAAGGAGCTACTTAAGTTTCTTTCTTTTTTTTTTTTTAACACCAGACAATTGTATGCAGAATCCATTCATAAAAAACACACTTGTAGGAAATTGAAAGAAAAGTAATGGGGAAAAGAAAAGGAGGCAGGGTGAGGTGGGTCAGGCCTGTAATCCCAGCACTTTGGGAGGCCAAGGCGGGCGGATCACTTGAGGTCAGGAGTTCAAAACCAGCCTGGCCAACAGGGTGAAACCCCATCTCTACAAAAAATACAAAAATTAGCCGGGCATGGTGGCTCACGCCTGCAATCCCAGCAACTCGGGAGTCTGAGGTGGGAGAATCACTTGAATCTGGGAGATGGAGGTTGCAGTGAGTGGAGATCACGCCACTGCACTCCAGCCTGGGTGACAGAGTGAGACCCTGCCTCAAAAAAAAAAAAATGGAGAGAAGTTAGGAGAGTCAGAGACATGTAGACCTCCAGGGAGGATAAAAGAGGCTGTCCCTCAGACTGGGTGCAGTGGCTCACACCTGTAACCACAACACTTTGGGAGGCCGAGGCAGGAGGATCACTTGAGCCCAGGAGTTCAAGGCTGCAGTGAGCTATGATCATGCGGCTGCGCTCCAGCCTGAGTGACAGAGTGAAGACTCTGTTTCTAAAAATAATAATAATAAATATAATAAAAGAGGCTGTCTTGCTACCAAGACCCAGATGACACTTACATAAGCAGATGGCAGCCAGGAGCCGAAGGCCAGACTCTGGGGGGAAGCAGGTGGGGAAGAGCGGCTGCAGCACGTAGTTGGAGAAGGTGAGGGCGATGACAGCCTGGTTGGTGGGGTAGATCACCAGCACAGCAATCCACAGCCTCAGGAACCTGAAGGAGGAAAGGGACATCCGCCGAAAGGCATGGCAGGGACGCAGAGCCATCAGGGGAGAGCCCGGGCAAGTCATGCATCTCTTTTTTATTTTCAAGGATGCTGAAGAGCCCAGCCTCTGCCCCCACCCACAAATGAGACACCCAGCCCTCTGCAGTGACAATAAAATGGTTTAATGAAGAGTTAAATTTCCACAAGCACTAACACAAGTCTTGGCGTTCTTCCTTTCTCTCCTCTCCTTTCATGATCTCTTCTCCATCACTGTGGCCACCAGCATCCAATGGTGGAAAAACAAAATTTGCAACCCCAGAATGTTGATAGACAGGACATACTAAGGGTGTGGTTACGTAAGCAATAATCAGGAGAGGTATCAAGTGGGGGTTTGCAGGGGAAGCGCCTTCCACACCTTTTGGCCCATTGGTGAGGGTTTACCAATGGCAGGGATGCAGAAATTGAGGAAATTTAAGATTAGGGCCCAGCTCTAGAGGGAGGCCATTATCCTTGGTAGTGTGAGAAGAGGGTGCACTCTACCTTAGCTGGCCACTCTCATTTGTCAAGATAGAAGGGCGTTGTTTTTGTGATGTGCTTTCTCTGGGAATCTATGGTCAGTGTTGTTACACAGTTCTGTTTGCTCTCACTCATAGACTCCTTCCCACTAAGATCAACATAGAGGTCAAAACTACAAACCTGGTCCTCCATCATTATCGGGAGCCTCAAGGGGATACAAGGCTACACTAGCAACCATGGCAGGAAAGCAGAAGAGACATTCCATTCACTAGCACCCCGTGGCACACTGGAGACTGGAAACCCCTGGCCTTGGCTTTTTCCAATCTGACCTCCTTCTGAATGTCTTCCTCCTTTTCCCCTAGACCATTCAGGTCTCCACAGATCCTCTTACCCAGCCAGTCCTCCGAAGATGTCCTTGACATAGGAGTAGTCACCTCCAGATTTGGGGATGGTGACCCCGAGTTCAGCATAGCAGAGGGCTCCCACAACTGTGATGAAGCCCGTCACAATCCAGACGATGAGAGCAAGGCCCACAGAACCAGCATTCTCCAGCACTCCCTTTGGCGAGACAAAGATTCCAGAGCCGATGATGTTCCCTGCATGAGGCACCAAGGGTAAGGAGGGGAGACAGTAGAGACAGGACGGTTGGCAGGATTGGCATTTGGAGGGTGGTCTCATTTCTGATCTGATTCTGAAATGCCTTGGATATATGTAAATGATCTGCAGGCAGGTGTGCCTAGCAATAATTCTCCCTGAAGTAGGGGAAAGAGGAGCAGAGAACTGACACTTATTGACCAGGAACTTGGTCAGGTACTTTCCACATCTCATTTAATCCTCAGGATGACACTATGGAATCAGATATTTCTCACATTTTACAGAGGAGGAAACTGAGTCTCAGAGATACCAAGTGAGTTGCCTAGGTCCACATCGCAGTAAGTGATGGTGAAGTATTGAATCTCAGGACCCTCCAGCTGAGCGACACGTGGTCCACCCAAAGTGACAAGGCCTTCAAGACTCTCTGAAAATGGCAGGGCTGGAAAAGTGGGCTGTTTTCAGAGACCACCTGCCACTGGAAGGCTTCAAAAATGAGCCAAAGGGCAATATTTTTTGGACAGATTGCGGTCATACCCCAAGACTGGGGGTTTTCAAGACTTACAAGTGTGGAAAACACTCCTGGAGGCTGGCTTCTACCCTAGACATGACGGCCCCACCCTTGGTGAAGAACATAAAATAACTCTATAAAAACAGTCCTAGTGGTTTAGAAGTGGTGTGTAGGAATGCAATACATACAAAGCCTCAGTACTGCATTCTTTCAAAGGTCATTACCCACCAATGTTTCATGTGACCCTCAAAACAACCTTATGGAATTCAGGGAGAGGAGAGGGGCAGGTACTTCCCTCTCTATTTTACAAACTAAGAGATTAAGACATAGAGGGGTTAAGTGGCTTTCTCCAAATTCCACAGCTACTGATGGGTAAAATTGGATCTAGAAGTCAGTCTCCTGATACTTAATCCGGCAATCTTTCCACTAATCCACTTCTGCTTGTGTGCAGGGGCTGGTTTTCTCCTGAGAGGTGAGGCCCGCAGCCGGTACTGAATGGCTAGCTGCTGGGTTGTGTGTTACGCAGACGAGGAGTAAGAGTGTGGAGGCCGTTCCTGACATGCTTCCTCCCAAATGTTCCTCTGTCCACTTCTTGTGGTAAAAGAGGTCATCGGGGTCCATTGAGTGGGTGCTTTGAAAGTGCTGCTTCATGCTCTGCCCAGCTGCACTGCTAAATGCCTGAGGAAAGGAGCAGAGACCAAATGGATCCAGGTGGAAAGGCAGAGCTAGAGTATCCTGAGGTCAGCTGGATTTGACTGTGTTCTAAGGACATCTCAAGCCTCCGTGATCTCTCTGTAGTGGTCTGGAACCAGTGAGATGGAGATTGTAAGGTGCTACGCTCAGCTTTTAAAAACTGATGGTCAGATCTCAACCATAACTCAACCTCAATCTAGCCCTGAGACTGAAATATAGGATCAGAGGGCACAGGCTGAAGTTAGATGCAGAGGAAAAGGAAGCACATATTTGTCTCAAATATGTCTTCCTAATTTTGGTGCTGGGAGTCTTTCCCAACAGAACAGGGCTGCTTACAGAAATGAAACTAAGAGAAATAATTCCTCATCATCAAATTAGTGATAATAATTATCAGGCAAAGAGAAGATAGAAAAAGGAGATTCTGAGTGCCACCAATCCTTTACAGACTTTTCCTCTTCTTGTAAGTTTATGTAAAGTTCTATGATAGGACAACAGGACATCTTTCAGCCCTCCTCTCTCAGACAGTCCCCATATGCTCTATTCAGAAGTACTGGGTTAGCAGGGACTACAAAACCTGCTTGTAGTATTCCAGGACTTTGGACACGTTCCCCCTTCCAGTGATTCTTCCCCTGCCAAACTGCTGTTCTCTGGACAATATCAAGTGCTGGGAAATGAGAGATCTAGAGACAGGTTTGCTAATAGTGCTGAAAGATGATAGTAAATTCCTTGCCTAGCAGGAAGTTATCAAAAGAGCGATCCATAGGGAATTTCAAAGCCAGCCAAGACTACAGCAATAAAGCTAGGGTTATAAAACCAGCTCAAGGAGTTAGAAAAACAATCAATAGCAGCAGAAAAACAAGGTTTGACTTTGGTCTTTAAGGTACTGAAAAGGGAGGAGTGTATAGCTAGGTGCTTCTTAGAGCCAAGAATGGCTGTTGCAAGAGGGAAAATGAGGATGGGTGTTATTTAATAGATCCCATCTTCTCAGGAATGAAGAGTGTCAGTGTTCCACTAAGGGTTCGTAGAAAACAAACACTGCAGCAGGGATCAGTAAGTGCTTCTCTTCTGTTTTCACTCTGACATTTCGAGTATGTTCCCTTGTTCTAGGCCACAGGAGCCACTGGAAGATGGGACATGCAACACTAACTGCCCACTTCTTGCCTTTGCTTCTTGGAGGCCCCAACCTTTAAGAACTCTGGCAGAGAGCTGCCAGAGTGATTGCGAGGGTCACAGTAGATCGGCATTGGAATAAGAGTCCTCACTTCATAAAAATTGGGTTTCTGCCCCCAAAACCTTATTTTTGACCAAATTAAAATTACAAAGATAGGCCAGGCATTGGTGGCTCATGCCTGTAATCCCAGCACTTTGGGAGGCTGAGGCAGAAGGATCACTTCAGTCCAGGAGTTCGACACCAGCCTGGGCGATATAGGGAGATCCTATCTCTAACAAAAAAATTTTTTGTTTTTTAATTAGCCAGACATGGTGGCATGCGCCTATAGTCCCAGATACTAGAGAGGCTGAGGTGGGAGGACTGCTTGAGCCTGGGAGGGCGAGACTGCAGTGAGCTGTGAGTGCACCACTGCACTCTAGTGACAGAGCAAGACCCTGTCTCAAATAAATAAATAAATAAATAAAATTACAAAGATAAAAGCTAAAAAAATATTGAGCTACACTAGTATAAACTAAGTGCTAGGGAACAGCCTGTCGCCCAGGCTGGAGTGCAGTGGCACGATCTTGGCTCACTGCAACCTCTGCCTCCCAGGTTCAAGTGATTCTCGTGCCTCAACCTCCCCAGTAGCTGGGATTACAGGTGTATGCCACCACACCTGGCTGATTTTTGTATTTTTAGTAGAGATGGGGTTTCACCATGTTGGCCAGGCTGGTCTCGATCTCCTGACCTCAAGTGATCCACCCGCCTCGACCTCCCAAAGTGCTAGGATTACAGGTGTGAGCCACTGCGCCTGGCCTACCATCTCCAATTTATAGGGGAAGAAAGTAGGACAATTATTATTCCTATTTTTCAAGTGGGAAAAATGACGGTATTATTATCCCTATTTTATGGATGAAGAAACTGAGACCTAGAAAGGCAGTTATTTGCCTAAATCATAGGGTGAGTTTGTTGTAGCTGGACCGGAAGCTAAATCTTCTGTCACAGCCTCCAGCTTTTCCCTGATAATAAAAGGTCTTCCTAATACACTGGGGTCAGTCTTCTATGCTGTACTTCATAGGCAATGGGAATGGTTCACAGGAGGCACTTATTGAAGAGTTGGAACACAGATCTGATTCCTTCCTTCTATTGCAGTACCACCTTCAGTGGGGATTTATAAAACATTGATATCCATTACCTTACTTGATCTCCTAAGTACTTTCTTAGGTGCAGAGGGCAGGTCATATCATTCCTATTTTACCATTGCAAAAACTGAGGCTCAGAGAGGTGAAGGGACTTTATCAAAGTCATGCACTGCATAAGTAGCAAGGCCTGGATGAGAAGCTAAGTCCTTGGACTCCTGGTCCAGACTTTCCTCCATGATTCCATGCTGCCTCCCCTCTGGAAACTGCACAACAGACACTTTTCCAGTTGGGCTTTTCAACTTGGACACTGTCTAAGTGAGACTTTCCTGGAGTGGCTTTGAAAAAGACGAACTGGGAAAAGGCTTTTCTACTTTGACTATGAACCTACCTATCTTCCTTCCTTCCTTCCTGTCTCTGTTTCTTTCGTTCTTTCTTTTTTTTTGTTTTGAGACAGTCTCACTCTGTCACCCAGGCTGAAGTGCAGTGGTGCGATCTCAGCTCACTGCAACCTCCGCCTCATGGGTTCAAGCGATTCTCCTGCCTCACCCTCCCGAGTAGCTGGGATTACAGGCGTGTGCCACCATGCCAGGCTAATTTTTGTATTATTAGTAAAGATGGGGTTTCACCATGTTGGCCAGGCTGGTCTCGAACTCCTGACCTCAGGCAATCCGCCTGCCTCGGCCTCCCAAAGTGCTGGGATTACACGCTTGGCTGTGGGTCTCACCACTCTTTCACCCAAGCTGGAGTGCAGTGGTGTGATCATAGCTCACTGCAGCCTCAAACCCCTGGGCTCAAGTGATCCTCCTGTTTCAGCCTCCCAAGTAGCTAGGACTATGGGTGTGTGCCACTATACAAAGCTAATTTTTATGTTTTTCGATGGGGGGAGGGGGTCTCACTATGTTGCCCAGGCTGGTCTCGAATGCCTGGCCTCAAGTGATCCTCCTGCCTTGGCTTCCTAAAGTGCTGAGATTACAGGCACGAGCCATCCTGCCCGGCCAACACACGTTTCTTGATGAGATATAGGAAGAAAGTTGATTACTGTGGGTTTTTTCCTCCAATGTTTTAGCTTAGACTCATTGTCTGTAAAGCCACTTAGAATGAGACGCACATCCGTCTGGTATTGCTGAGGTACTCAAGGTTAGAGTTTTAGTCCTGCTTCTATCCTCCCCAACTAATAAAGTAATCATCTTATCACGCAGATCTTCTTTAGTGAAGAATGAATTCTAGGATGCCTGGACAATGAAACCCAGTTTGGCTTGTTCTGTCAAAGAAAAACCAAGCAAATCATTTCATTAAAAAGGAGCCATGTTGTCTCAATGGGCAAGTCTTCACTAGAAAAATTGCCGGAATTGAGAAAACCCACATTTGCCGTGAATAATCACTAACTCCCCCATCTGTAGACCAATACCCATGTGACTCCCATTAAAGCATTACTCACATCTAGGCTTGTCCACACGAGAATGTTACAGCCATCAAAGAATTTCCTAAGGCATAGAATTACAGAGTTCTGATGCCCAACAGACCCTCAGATCCAAAAGGCTTTGGCCTTCCTTACTCATGCTAGCCTTGAAATCTAGCCACAGCCTCCTCCTGGGGCTTCGAGGTTTTGGCCATTTCCATGATGTCCAGAGAAAGCTAGGTGAACCTGCTTTGTGTTTCTTCCACAAAGTGGCTGAGAGGATCTCAGAGCTTTTCAGGACTAAGGGAACAGCGTGAAAGCAGGTCTGGCATGTGGGGCCCAGGCTTTGATCTTCACGCCAGGCCTGGAAGCTCACCATGCCTCTCACCCTGTTTACACTTTCCCATCGGGACTGTACAAACAGCTCCTCAGGGGTGGTAGCAGGTCAAGACTCTGACACATGCCCTGAGGAGTCAACATCTTCTGCAGATTGAGATGTGGAAGTCACTGCAGAACACTGCTCTTCTGGATTTCTTATTGAAAGCATGAAAAGGGCACTAGACTTAGAGCTGGAGGAGAAACTTTGTCCCTGCTTTGCTATGTGACCTGAATTTTTCTGAAAATCAGTCTCTTCATCTGCAGAATGGGAGTAATTGTTCCTGCCCTGCCTACCTCAACAGGGTTGTTGTGGGGAATCAAGGGAGAGGTTACATGTGAGGCACTTTATGATTTGTGAAACGCTAACAAATGTAAGGAATGGCTAGGATTTGTAGCAGTAGGGACAGAGACCAGCCCTAGAAGAATTCAATGGACTTGCTTTGGAGGCTTGGCTCCAAAACAGCACTGTACAGCCAGGACTGTGAAACATTCTCTGAGTCATTTGTCTGCTGGTCTAGGTGTAATTTGTAGATGCCGCAGGTGGGCGGGCAGCAGGTAATTGCATCTCAAAAGGTATTTATTGAGCGCCCACTCTGTACATGCTTGTTTTGGGAGGTAATTGGGAAACACTTGTTCACACATGGACTTTTAATGAAACGGATGGAGCCAACTACCAGCTACTGAAAGACAGGCATCGTAGCCTGGGGGTGGTGGGGGGCTGAGTGTTGCGCCCTCAAATAAGCCCATGAAGGACCCACATCTTGCCTCCAGCATTCCCGGCCCAACTGGGGAGCCAGGCATCCACAGTGAGAGGCTTTGTCTTCCTTGGTGGTTTTCAACTGAGAACAACTTGTCTACCACCTCAAGAAGACAGCTGGCCGTATCTGGAGACACTTTTGGTTGTCACAATGAGGGTGGGAGAGCTACCAGCACCTCGTGTGCAGAGGCCAGTAACACTGCTAAACATCCTACAATAGACAGGATAGCTTCCCACAACAAAGTATCTGGGCTTCATTGAAGTTTGAAGGTAGAACAGGGCTTCTCAACCTCAGCACTGTTACTTTTGGTTAAGCTCTAATCCCTTTCAAATTTGAGCCTGGATGATTTTTTTTTTTAAAGCTAAGCCCAAAAATGTAGTATTCATGGGAATAACTCATTTTTAAACAGAACAAAATTTTCATTGTGGTAAAGACACGTAACAAAATTTACCATCTTAACCATTTTTAAGTCTATAGTTTAGCAGTGTTAAGTATATTCACATCGTTGTGAGGCAATCTTGAATAATGATTTGTTTTTGACTGACTGCTATTATTCAATACTCACCATGTACTAGGTTATAGGATGTGAAAGTGAGACACAGTGCCTGGTTTCAAGGAACTGTGTGGAAAGGGAAGACACATGTGCACAGACACAGAACTGATACCACCACGCAGAGCAGAAGCTGCATGAGGGCTATTGCAATATATGGCAAGATTTTAATGGGTGGAAAAAAAATCACTGGCATGGGCTGTTCAGAAAAGTCTTCCTGGGAGAGGGGAGTGTCAGACTGATGCTGATGAGTGAGTAGACTCAGCTCAGCAAAGAGAAAAGGAAAAGCAACCAGCTGGTTGCTAAGCAGATCAGACTTGGCCTGAAATGGTCAGTCTTCTTACTGGATCAGTCCAACTGAAATTTCAGAACCAAAATTATTGAGTTTGTGAGTTGGGGGTGGGAACCACTAATCATCAATGGTTCCCCCCATTCTACAACATACTGATGCACTCTGGTATCTTCCAATAAATATTCATTTCTTTCTCTCCTCGAGTTAAAGGAGTGCAAGGGCTTTGTTTTATTTTTTAAATTTTTACTTTTTTTTTTGAGACAAGGTCTCACTCTGTCACCCAGGCTGGAGTGCACAATCACAGCTCACTGCAACCTCTGCCTCCCAAGCTCAAGCAATCCTCCCACCTCAGCCTCCCTAGTGCTGGGACCACAGGCGTGTGCCACCCCACCCGACTAATTTTTAAATATTTTGTAGAGGCAGGGTCCCACTGTGTTGCCCAGGCTGGTCTTGAACTCCTGGATCCAAGTGATCCTCCCACCTCAGCCTCCCAAAGTGCTGGAATTACAAGTATGTGCCACCCCACCTGGCCAGCTTTGTTTAAATACTCCACAAGAAACTTCCATTGCACAGCTAAGTAAACTGATAATTAGCTTGCTCAAGATTACAAAGATTGTAAATAGGGAAGCGGTTTGCAAACTTAAGACTATCTCTAAAGCCCATCTTTTTCTAATCAGTGGTTCCTCCCAGTCTATGGCATGCCGATGCAAATCATGGAAAAATTCACTCTAAACTTTCTGCTTTCAATATCAGGGTCCAAATACCACCTTAAGTCAACCTGACCTGTCTTTATCAGCTGCTTACTAAACACTCTCTGCAGAACTGTACTCTTAAAAAGCACTGAAGTATTTGTGCATTTCCTAAATGTACAAACAAGCACCTTTAAAACGTGGAGACAGATGAGAAAAGTAATAATTCTGCAGCAGTGGTACTCTTTCTGAGTAATCTGCTTTTGCAATGTGCAGTTCAGTGTGAGGTTGCCTGGTCCACCTTCAGACATTGTGAAACCTTCTCCCCAGAAGTGATGTCACTGCTAATGCTGAGGATATTTAAAGCAGGGAGCAAACCAATGGGAAGACATGTGACTGTGACAAAGATGAGGGATGAGATGTGATCAATAGAGCTTTTCAGCTCAAACTTCACTCATTCTATAAATAAAACAGCTTAAAATAGACTTGAGGGATTATTTTGCCTCCTAGAAATAAAATTCACCAGTGCTCAGGACAAGGCCTAGAATATAATGTGCTCGGTGAGTGTTTGTTAAAATGTGGAATAATTCTGAATCCTATGTCCAGCTGCTCCCACTCCTGCAGCAGAGAGGAGCCTGCAGTTTGCCATTTCCAGATCTCCAGGGAGAAGGGATCTGGGGGCCTGCTCTGTAGACGCGTTCTGGAAGGGGAAAGAAGGCATGGTCCTCCATGCTCTGTATGCTCAGCGGGGAGTTAAACATTGGAAAGAAACAGTTTCTAGCCCCCTGGGTTCCTGAATGGCTCTTATTTTCTGTAGTTTGGGATATACTCCTGGGATCATTTGCATGTGCCTGCTTTTCTAGATCCATCTCCCTCTCCTACAATAACAACAAAACAACAACAGACATTCCTGAGGCATTTCTTTGAAGGCAGCTGTGCTGCTGGATTACCCATCAAAAAGACAGAAAACCTCAGTAGCCTGGCAACTTGAGAAGCCCCAGCCAAGATGCCCCACACCTCTACCCCACTTCAATAAGCTGATTTAACTCAGAAAAGTGTATATATGGTGCTGGCCGCTCTTGAGAAGGTTATTTGGTTTGGGTACAGTGGTGTTTTGTGTTTGTTTGTTTGTTTGTTGTTGTTTTGAGACAGAGTCCTGGAGTAAGCAGTAGTGCAACTTGGCTCACTGCAACCTCCATCTCCTGGGTTCAAGCAATTCTCGTGCCTCAGCCTTCGAAGGAGCTGGGACTACAGGAATCTGCCACCACATCTGGCTAATTTTTGTATTTTTAGTAGAGATGGGGTTTCACCATGTTGGCCAGGCTGGTCCCGAGCTCCTGACCTCAAGTGATCCACCCACCTTGGCCTCCCAAAGTGCTGGGATTACAGGCGTGAGCCACCGCACCCGGCCGGTACAGGGTGTTTTTAACTGTGACTGTTTAAAATGGCTGTCTGGTGTGTCTCTTGGACATAGTTTCTTACCTGCCGGGTTCCTACTTTCTTTCCTCCACTCTAAGCATCTCCTGCTAGTCAGTCATTCTGCGTAACTCTGCTCTTTGAGGGAATGTATTATCGCCCTGACAGTAGCAGATTCAACCAAATTACTCCTTTAGCTCTCTGGTTCCTGGAGTCAGGAAGTGTCCAACAGGATCCCTGGTCCCGGCCACCTTGCACTCCAGACTGAGGAGCATTTTAGTTAAGCCCAGTTGCTTCAGATTTTAGTGACCTTGGTGGGAATCTAGGCTCTACCATCACCTAGCAATGTATGCTCAGTAAATGGCAGCTACTTATTATTATTACATTGCTGGGCATATAGCCTTTCCCTACTCACCAAGATGTGTTTGTTTTGAAATACCTCCTAGCTGGCTTCTGTCCCAGAATTTTATTTGAGAACAATGAGGGTTTTAATCACATTTTCATCCTGAATGAACCAAATCGTAATCCCTCTATGTTTTGTGTGAGTGTATTTGTATTTTTTAATTGAAGTACAAACTCAAGAAGCAGTTTTCACACTCCCTCCCTCTGGTCAACATCCAGTAGACATTTTTGGGATTAGAAGCTAATACATCATATTAGAGACTAAAATGCAAAATCTTCTAAAGTGGTATAGACCACATGGGTGTGAGATCTTTTATACTTGAAATTTTTCCAAGTCAGTCCAGAGCCATTTCAGTACAGTTATACCCATAGCCACACCTCTCTGTTGACAGAAACCCTTAAAATTTTTTCCCCCAATTTTTTCAGTATCAGACATCCGTGGTCTTTCTGGACTCCAGTCTCAGGGTTGTCTTCCTCCATGGCCAACTGCCCCACCATGCAATATATATCAGCCTCCTCCTGTCTTGGTTACCAATTAGAAATGAGAAATGGCTAAGTGTTCTGGCTATGGAGTCATCTCAGTTATCAGTGGTGTGACCCTAGGAAAATTAGCTACCAGCTCTGTGACTCAATTTCCCCATTTTTAACGTACAGGTAATTATAATAAGTACTGTCTTAAGATTGTTGGGAAGATTGAATAAAATAATATATGTAAAGAGCTTATAGCTCAGGAATTGGCATTTAGGCTGGGCGCGGTGGCTCACACCTATAATCCCAGCACTTTGGGAGGCCAAGGCGGGCAGATCACTTGAGGTCAGGAGTTCGAGACTAGCCTGGCCAACATGGTGAAACCCTGTCTTCACTAAAAATACAAAAATTAGCTGAGCGTGGTAGCTCGCGCCTGTAATCCCTGCTACTCAGGAGGCTGAGGCAGAAGAATCACTTGAATCTGGGAGGGAGAGGTTGCAGTGAGCCGAGATTGCCCCACTCCACTCCAGCCTGGGCGACAGAGCAAGACTCTGTCTCAAAAAAAAAAAAAAAAAAAAAATTGGGATTTAGTAAGAGCTCAATAAATACTATTTTAAAAAATCATGTTAGTTGGGAGATAGTGGTCTAGTAGCTAGATCAGCATCCAGTATTGTTCTGTAGCAAATATACCAAGATCCCCCAAAAACATAAATTGTGCTGAAAACAAAATGGTCTGACATTATATACTTTTTAATTTTATTATTACAGCTCTCTGGCCAGCTTTTTCACCTTTGTTAAGTTTAGCTGAAAGCTGCCTCCTTACATATTTTAAATTCCACTTAAAGATTTCTCCATATGTAGTGAAACGTAACCTAACTGGATGTGTAAATAGACTGTAACCTACTTTTGTACCATTCACTGAGTTTCAGCCAATCAAAGGCAGCCAACTGTCCAACCCTTGTTCAAATAAGGAAAATGTAGAGCTGTAACTAATCAAGCTGTTTCTGTACCTTGCTTCTATTTCCTGTATGTCACTTGCCTTTTTCTGCCCATAAATCTTCTTCGACCATGAGGCTGCCCCAGAAACTCTGAATCAGTTCTGGTTCAAGAGGCTGCCTGATTCACAAATTGTTCTTTGCTCAATTAAACACTGTTAAATTTAATTTGTTTAAGGTTTTCCTTTTAATGCCTTCAAGACACAGATTCTGGTTACATACCTAGATACGTGACTGGTATAAAGTACCTAAATGGCCAGGAACTCTGTGGGTACCTCTAACACGGCTGGGAAGAACACTGGTCCATAAAGGAAAGGTGTGCATGTGCAGGAATGAATGCGAGCATGGTCTGTGCTGGCCAGATGCCCCTCAGGCTCACCCAAGTCTTCCTGCAATTGCACCGGGAATATTACTTTCTTCCACTCCCAGCTGACAGCCCAGCTCCCCTGCTATACTGGGAGTCTTCCTCACTGGGAACACAAAATTAATTGCTATACAATAAGTATTCATTCATCTATAAAAATGAATAAGGACCTCTGTCCAGATTCTAAAAGAAAATACTCCTTTAGGAGATAAAAATAGAAATAGTGAAGAATAATGCTTACAAGCTTGATTCAGGATGCAGACAAGCTCTGGGTTTGAATCCTAGCTCCAATATTTTTTAGTTGTGTGACCTTCAGCAAAGTTGCTTACCCCTTTGAGCCTTTATTTCCTATCTGGAGGAAGAGGTAATAAAGTGTCTACCAAATGAGTTACTGTGAATGACAAATAAGTTCAGGTATGTTAGGTAATTGGATGAGTACCTGGCATATACTAAGTGTTTAATAAACACAGCTATTAACAGTAGCTCTGGTATCATTAATAAATGAACTTTGCTGTCCTCCGCACCCTCTTTCGACTTTGGGGGGAACTCCACGTTCATGGTGAAATCTAAATTAATATGCTGCCAACAGGTTTCCTTAGCCAAGTACATGGAGAACAAAAGCCTGATTAGGTTAGGACAAGGATGATGTTAAAAGATTAAAATGGGCCAACCTAATTGTCCAGGTTGATAAAACTACTCCTAGCTTAAAGATTTTCAAGCCAGGTTCCCAGCAGCCCTGCAGATAAATGTTTCCTATTCATATTTTTGTCCTAGAGTCGGTTAAATTCAACAATCATTTGAGTAAGTATTCCTTAGCAGGCATTCTGTTAAACACTAAAGATTCAGAAACATATAAGACACTTGCTTTTTTTTTTTAAGAGGCAAGGTTTTGTTGGGCACGGTGGCCCACACGTGTAACCCCAACACTTCGGGAGGCTGAGGCAGGAGGATTGCTTGAGCCCAGGAGTTCAAGATAGCCTGGGCAACATAGGGAGACCCTGTCTCTAAAAAAAATTAAAAATAATTTTAAAAATTATTAAGCTACTTGGGAGGCTGAGGTGGGAGAATTGCTTTCGAGGCTGCAGTGAGCTATGATTGCACCACTGTACTCCAGCCTGGTTAACAGAGTGAGATCTTGTCTCCAAAAAAAAAAAAAAAAAAAAAAAATGAAGATGAGGTCTTGCTCTGTTGCCTAGGCTGGCTTGAAACTCCTGGGCTAAAATGATCAAGGAGATGGGACTACAGGTATCCACCACCACACCTGGCTCAATTTTTCTCATAGTTCAATTTTTTTTTACGGACACAATCTTTGATCTAGGAAATAACAGTTTAGTCATTATGCTTTTACCTAAGAAAACTCCCAGAATCAGCTCCCCTACTTCATCTTCTCCTCAAAGCCTTCAAGATGCTTCTTAATCTAGTTCTTAGTAAGAACCTCTCTCTCCTGGCTTCCCACCATTCACATAACTTTGCCCTACTTTAGCTCTTTCACAACTAAACCATGTCATTAATTTTGAATGTTCTCTGTTTAGTACATATGCATCTCATCCTCCCAATCAGGATATAAGGAACTCTCTGGCATAAGTCTTCTATTAATTCATTGTATATTTCCATAACACCTACCATTCTGTTATCCTTGCTTTCAATCATCCATGTTGATTGTGAATGAAATTTTACAAAACATGTAGTTTAAATTATCCCTCTTAGTCAGTAAGGTATGAGAGAGATAGATTTAGGGCAAATGTAACTTTGCCACAGTCCCTGAAAAAAAAAAAAAGATCTGGGGGCCGGGCACGGTGGCTCATGCCTGTAATCCCAGCACTGATAGGCCGAGGTGGGAGGATTTCTTGAGCCCAGGAGTTGGAGACCAGCCTGGGCGATACAGTGAGACCCTGTTTCTACAAGAAAAAATTTAAAATAGCTAGGTGTCGTGGTGTATGCCTGTGGTCACAGCTACTGAGGAAGCTGAGGTGGAAGGATCGCTTGAGCCCAGGAGTTTGAGGCTGCAGCGATGCAGTGAGCACGCCACAGCACTCCAGCCTAGGCAACACAGCGAGACACTGTCTCAGAAAAAAAAGAAAGAAAGAAAGAAAGATGGGACAAATTCTACTTTTCCATAACATGTCTCCTGATTCACTTAGAAAACTTCCTTTCTCTTTTTGACTTTTTTTTTTTTTTTTTGAGATGGAGTCTCACTCTGTCACCCAGACTGGAGTGCAGTGGCGCAACCTTGGCTCACTGCAACCTCTGCCTTCTGGGTTCAAGCAATTCTCCTGCCTCAGCCTCACGAGTAGCTGGGACTACAGGCATGCGCCACGACGCCCGGCTAATTTTTTGTATTTTTTAGTAGAGACGAGGTTTCACCGTGTTAGCCAGGATGGTCTTGATCTCCTGACCTCGTGATCCGCCCGCCTTGGCCTCCCAAAGTGCTGGGATTACAGGTGTGAGCCACCGCACCCGGCCCTTTTTTTGCCTTTTAGTTCTCTTTTTTTCTGCAGTGTTGACATTGGACACCAGATCCCTGAAATCTACACAGAAAATGCCATTTCTATTTTTGCATTTGGTCTTGAAAACACTTGAATCACGATCATCCACTGAGAAACTTCTCCAGAAGAGGAAAGGGCAGTTCCTCAGCACATCTGTGACTCAACAGCAACTCGGGAGGGGAAGCAGAATGGATTTTGTCCCCTGTTATCATCTTAAAGGGGAAATTTGTTTCTAGCTTAAGTTGGGGTAGAATAGTGCCTATTAACTCTACAAGGATTCTCATGTTTTGCAAAAATATCCCAATTTCTCTGAAATCACATATTTGGAATCTCTTTTCATCACAGAACACCAGAATTGCCATTCTAGTTACTGTAATGCCACCATGGGGAGCTTTGAGATTATTCTCCCATTGAAGTACCATCCATAAGGTTGTGGACAAATCAGTAGTAACATATACCCACAGAAATTGTACTTATTATACCTGAACACTCCCATTTCTTCATAATCTTAGAAAAAGATGTTAAAGGAAGAGACAAAAACATCAGTATATAGGAAAATACCCTCTACCCTTGAATACCTGAACCTGGAGATCGAGACCATCCTGGTTAACACGGTGAAACCCCGTCTCTACTAAAAATACAAAAAAAATTAGCAGGGCGTGGTGGTGGGCGCCTGTAGTCCCAGCTACTCGGGAGGCTGAGGCAGGAGAATGGCGTGAACCCGGGAGGCGGAGCTTGCAGTGAGCCGAGATCGCGCCACTGCACTCCAGCCTGGGCCACAGAGCGAGACTCCGTCTGAACAAAAAAAAAGAATACCTGAACCTATATTGGGAAGGGCGAGCCAGGCTGAGGCAGGAAGGATGTTTAATTGTGCTTGTGTGCCTGTGGGCGTGCGCATCTGTGTATAAGTCAGAACCTTCCTAGAGGGGGAAAATGCTTAATTCTGTCAGTCAAATTGGTGAACGGGCTATTTATAGACCTTAAACTGGCATGTGCTATACATACTGAATACTTGGCTGTTCTCATTTCTTTTGAACAATTGAGATAAAGTAAAGGAGAGGCAAAAAAAATGTCATGAGAAAAAGTAAAGAGAGATTCAGATCATGACTACAATTTTTCTTATAACATTATCTTTCTTATAACTGTAGATGGCCTGGAAAACTTCCCAGAGTCAGGGAATCACATAAAATAGGATTCCAGGGTGTAGGAGGAGTTGGTGGGGGTGGGGGGGGGATGGGATTTCATTTTAGAGACTGAAGAGAGCTTGGTCACTGAAGTTCTGGGTGTAGAGGTGAAGAGGATTATCTGAATACTGCACTGATTTTATTTGATTTCAAGAGTGCTCTCCAGTGTCACTATTGCTCAGATGCCAAAATATCTCTGAGCTATTGCATAGAACATGGCGTCAGCCAGAGAAACTGGTTCAGGGGCACCAGGACACAACGAGCTCTCATAAAGGAACTCTGGAGAGATGACAAAGAAGCATATCTATGCCTGACCGTCCTGCACTCCTTTTTCTGGGAAGAAAGTAAAGCCCCCTACCAAAGATAGCAGAACAATCTCTCACTCTGAAGTGAGGGCAGGAATAGTGAGCTATTGCCTGCCATCCATCTCCAAGGCTTCTCTGGAAAGAGGATGTGCTGTCTAGAGACGAAGCTGTATTTGGGACTCCTGCCCTGCAAAGTACATTCAGGGGGTTTGAGTGGCCTGCACTGGCACTCTTGGGGCCACCCAGGTTCCCCACCTTCAGCACCTCCCAGCTAGGACACATATTTTACCCATCAGTTCCTCCTCAACTCCATATTCTACACATTCTAGTTACTCCTGATTCCCTCTGAGAGCTTCACCGGGTCCTCCGTGGCTGTTAAGAAACAGGTGGACCCCACCAGGCAACTGGAGAAACTGCAAACTCTCCACTTACCGAGAGGCACAATCTGTCCCCTCTTTTCTTCCATAACTTCCCCATCTGTGAAATGGGAATAACAGCCCTGTCACAGCTACTTCACACAGTAAAAGTGCTGCATAAGGTGGAAAACGCTAAAATAAAAAGGCAGGGCATTGCTCTTGCTATTTTTAATACCTATCCCATAGTTTCATTTAACATAAAACTGCAAAATAGCTACCAAATATACCTTAAAAGCCCATCCCCAGCCTGGGAATAATAGCTGCATACAAACTTGTTCAGGTCCCTCAGTCCCTCCTTAAACCTATTGAACTAGAACCTCCAAGTGTCGAGACCAGGACCTGTATTTTTAAGGAGTTCCCAGGCAATGCTAATCATCAGCCGGGTTTCTGACCACGATTTGCTCCATTCTATGAACACTGGGCAGAATCTTTGCCTGGTTTGGAGGAAGAGATGTATGATGTATTTCCTATGCCTCTCAAACTTGACCAGTGGAGGTGAGTTACAGCTCAGGTGACTGACAATCCTTTTCTAAGGAATAGGAAGAACAATAATGCTTTCGAAGGGTTAAGATCTCACAGGAGGACCACCAGAGGGGAGAGGAGGGGTCCGCGGGAAGGAATGGAACTCACCTACGATGATACCACAGGCACTGACCAATCCGATCTCTTTCTTCAGGGCTACTCCGCCCCCTCCGGAACCAGCCTCGGGGCTGGCGTCCGACTCGCCCCCACCTGGGTGTTTCTTTTCGGTGTTGTTTCGGTGCCTGGCTCCTTCTTCCATCCTTCTCAGTAGGATTGCAACCTCAAAAGCTGCCTCCCTTTCTAAATGCGTATTCGTGTAAATATATTGGGAGAGAGCTTTGAATTAGAACGTCCTTTTCCGAAATAGGAACCACTGCTACTCTCTAAAAAAGGCAAGCAGATAAAAGAGAACACGAAAAATATTCCTACTCCGCATTCACACTTTCTGGTCACTCGCGTTTACAAACAAGAAAAGTGTTGCTAAAAAAAAAAAAAAAAAAAAAGGCCAGGGGAGACATACATTTAAATATAAAAATAGAACTGTGCCAGCGACTCCGGCTGGAATTCTGCTGAAAGGGATGTGTCTTCAGAAACCAGGATGGTTCTGCTCTGTGCACCAGGCAGTGGCTTATTCAGAAAGTGAGCCTGGATTTCCCTTCACCTCTCCCCCTAATAAAACAGGAGACTGCCTTTACCTCCCCTTAGTTTTTTCTTTTATGATGAAGACAAAAGTAGTTTTCATTAACGGTAGGAAAAAAGAGCAATCCTCAGGTACTTTCTTCTCTTCTAGAAAAACAAACTGTGAACCTGACGGTGTTGCTCTAGATCTGGTTTCCACCTGCTTTGGGTTTCTTTTCCCTTCCCCGTCTTCTGCTTCCGCCTTTCCCAGGTGTCCTCTTCTTTCTCGCTGGTCTTCGTGCCCTTGTTTTCCTCTTTTCGATCCCCGTTCTACTGCACAGCCGGCCCCATCCCTCTGGTTTCGGGAGAGTGGCTTCTCCACACACTAACGTGCTTCTCTTTAGCGAGGGGTTTTATTCGCCCGCCGAGGCTCCGCCCCTGCCTCCTCTGCTCCCCTCCATCCTCAGTCCCGTCTCCTCCCTCCTCTGCAATTTAAGTATTAGCACAAAGCCCCCAAACAGCACTGAGAAAATGGACTAAGTTATTTCTTTTTGCAATCGTCTCTCGCTTTCTCCATCTTTCTCCTTGCAACCAAGTGGAAGTAAACTCCTTCCACGTCAACTGTTCCGGGAGAGCTCATTAGCTAGTATAATGTTACAGGTCATACAGCATCTGTGAGCTTTATAAATCAGGGAACAGTTGTGCCGATACTTTTAATGCCATCAGAAATAAACTAGCCAATGTATTAAAAAATATTTAGGACTGGATCCTGTATTTGAGAATACAGGAGAGAACGTTGAAAGGACATCATCTTCGAGTTTCCTAAAAATAGGGGGAATCGACGGGTGGGGGAGGGAAATGGAAGGAATTAACAATGGGAAAAAGGTTCTTTTAGCGTAATTGTGAGCTACGAAGAGTACAGAGGAAACAAAATCGCCAGGCGCGGTGGCTCACGCCTGTAATCCCAGCGCTTTGGGAGGCTGACAGGGGAGGATCACGTGAGCCCAGGAGTCTGAGACCAGCCTGTGCAACAGAGCGAGACCCCGTCTACTAAAAATTTTAAAATTAGCCGGGTGCAGTGGTGCAGGCCTGTAGTCTTAGCTACTCAGGAGGCTGAGGCTGGAGGATTGCTTGAGCTCAGGAGGTCAAGGCTGCAGTGAGCTATGATGACGCCACTGCACTCCAGCCTGGGAGGTAGAGCAAGACCCTGTCTCAAAAACAAAACAAAACAAAAAGCCAGAAAAACCACATGCACATACAAAAAGATAAAAAACAAAATCACCAGGTAGCCTTGTTGTTCACAGCTCTTATTTAGGACTGGCTGAAACATGAAAAAAAATGACTCAAACCCTGATCCTGCAACTTCTAATATTTTTGCATTTATAAACTATTTGAAAAGCACACATGGGGAATTATCAGTATATCGCTGATCATGAAACATACTTGTTGATGTTAGAATAACTAGCTTATTACCATATCGAAATGATGCCTCCACTTTCTTGAAGAATTTCACTCAGAAACTGCTGCCTTAAGGTGAGAGCAACAATGTCTATTTATAATTGTAAATTATTTCGAAAAAACAGCATGAAGCAATATAGTGGACAACACTATAAGTCTAAAATAAAGTTATTTTTAGCCTTATTAAATATATTATGCAAAATTATTTAATTTTAAAGTGGGCCTAAAAAATTAAGTTCCCCCAAACTGACCCCTAACTACAAAAATTTGGCCTCACTTTCTGGAAAATGTTCCAAAAGATTTTGGGTTTTAAGGAAAATAAATACTTAATTCCTTAAAATGAGGTTTGTTGAGCTATCATAGCAAAAGCTTTTTCAAATGGGGTAAAGTCCAATCAGCAGTCATCTGCCCCCTTGATCACTCAGCAAGTATTAAGAGGTTTCAAAGGTTGGGAGGAACTTCCTCTCCTCCTTTTGCTAGTTCAAGACACAGCAAATTGAAAGACTCAGCAAAAAAAAAACAACAAACAACAACAAAAAAAACCAGACAAGGCAGGGAATATATAGCACGAAACTCCATGGGAGGGAATGAGTCATGGGAAATGAAAAAATGTCGAATTTGCCTCTAGCCTTTCCTGACAACCTTAGAAAGCACTGAGGAAAAATTTGATAGATTCATTTGTATACATTCAGATTTGAAGACTTCTGCTCCGATTTCAACATCACCATATAAAACAAATAATGTTTCTGCTTCTTAAACGTGAGTTCTTTCAGTAATATTTGGTAGTTCTAATTTATATGATGCAGACTTAATGTGGGATAAAACATGAATGTGATGAATTTGAGGTCTCTTGCTAAAACCAGTGCAAACTGATAACGATATGGTAAGCTTTAGCCCTCTCAAATTATGAACTAAGAAGCTAAGGGGGTTATGGGATCAAATACGTTCTTGGAATACAGCGGTACTAGGTGCACACGTTGGAAAGGAAGAGTTGCTGAAGATTAGTATTTCTATTTCTTTAGCACTTGGAATTTATAAGTGGCTTATTACCATTGATTACTGGTGCGATGTAATATCTAGGAAAGGGGCTGGGCACGGTGGCTCATGCCTGTAATTCCAGCACTTTGGGAGGCCGAAGCAGGTGGAGTGCTTGAACTCAGGAGTTCAAGACCAGACTGGGCAATGTGGTGAAACCCCATCTCTACAAAAAATACAAAAATTAGCTGGGTGTGGTGGCTCACGCCTGTAATCCCAGCTACTCAGGAGGCTGAGGTGGGAGGATCGTGTGAGCCATGGAGGTTGAGGCTGCAATGAGCCAAGATCGCACCACTGCACTCCAGCCTGGGTGGCAAAGTGAGACCCTGTCTTTAAAAAAACCAAACCAAAACAAACAAACAAACAAAGCTAGGAAAGGAATCTCCCCACTTTCAAAGGGAGCATTATTTATATTAAGTGCCTCTCTGTAGGTTGGAATCTTTTTGTGACATAAACTCTTAAGTGTGTCAAAATTCCAGGTGACTAACATTGAACACAAGAGAGAAAGAAAAGCCTTGGTGTAATATGTTGACAAAAATCTGTAAAAAATTACAAACTAATGTTTATTAAATTTTGAGCATTTTTTTTTTTTTTGAGAAGGAGTCTCGCTCTGCTGCTCTGGCCGGACTGCAGTGGTGCGATCTCGGCTCTCGGCTCACTGCAACCTCTGGCTCCTAGGTTCAAGTGATTCTCCTGCCTCAGCCTCCTAAGTAGCTGGGATTACAGGCACCTGCCACCATGCCTGGCTAATTTTTGTGTTTTTAGTAGAGACGGGGTTTCACCCTGTTGGTTAGGCTCGTCTTGAACTCCTAACCTTGTGATCCACCCGCCTCGGCCTCCCAAAGTGCTGGGATTACTCTATTCTGCATTTGCCTTTATATTTTTATTCTATTCTCTACGTTTAAATAGTGCTTTATAGCCCACAAATGGTTTTCTGAACAATATCTCAATTTTTTTCCTCCTCATGTAGTATCTTGGGCAGACGAGGCAGTTATCTTAAAGATTTTAAAAATTAGAAACCTGAGGCTTAAAGAAATATTTTACCTGAGGTAAAAAACAAGACAGTCTATTTGAGGGCAAATGGGAGATTGATAGTTTACACTGAGCACTTTTTCAGGATGCTATAGCTACTGGTCAAAGCCTCAATTTCTTTCACCTGAGGGAAACTCTGTGTTTTTGCTTTGGTGTCTTAACTGTGCCTTTTAGAGACTCACCTTGATCCTAACACTTATCTGCTCAGTGAGACCCACAGGACTTCACCTGGGCCCCCCCAACATTTGTCACCCCCTTCGCACAGTCCTCAGTGTGGCCATATCCCAAGTACGTAGTACAATTCTGTTTCCAATATCGGAGCCACTGTTTCAGCTGTTTTGCGTGCTTCAGATCAGAAGAAATTGATCCCTTTAACTAGGGAAAATTATGGATGAAAGGCCGTTTTCTTACAAATATGGATTTAGAAAGAGAAAGGCTGTGCGTAGCTGACACCTACTGGACAGAAAAGGTTATGGCTTGGGACATGCTGCTTGTGATAGTTAAAACACAAACACACACAACCCCCACGCAGTCATGTTCTAATATTCCCCTACTCCCCCCTTTTTTAGAGACAAGGTCTCACTCTGTCACCCAGGCTGGAGTGTAGTGGCACAATCACAGCTCACAGCAGCCTCAAACTCCTGGGCTCAAGTGATCCTCCCGCCTCAGCCTCCCGAGTAGCTGGGACTACAGATGTGCGCCACCACACCCGGGTTAATATTCCCTTTCAGAGACAAGTTAGACGTGTCTGCTAATGCAAAGGAATAGAGCACAAAGCTCATGCACTCCATTCCTGATTTTTTTTTCTAGATCCAATAGACAGCACTTTATTCTTGCTTTTTGTAACAGAGCTGGGAAGTCTGAGGTTACCAACAAAGGACCCAAATCTCTCCCTGGAGTCAACTCACAGTCCATGCGCTCACTCCATCCTTCTTCTCGTAACTATGTGCCCCATATCTATGTGCTTTAGTTTAAAGCAGAAGGAAACCCTGCTTTAAATTAAAGCCAACTTTCTTCCCAGAGTCCCAGGGATCACTGCCTATGGTCGATTAGATGGGGCCTTCCTGAGCCAGTAGTTTTAGATGCCTTTACTTCATTAGAAAATGAAAAGCAGATGAAAATTAATGAGAAAAGAAGAAAAAATTAAAAAAAGAAAAGGCCAAAATAGGTCAGAAAGAAAGGAAGATGAAATGAGGAGACTCGGTCAGTGATTAAGCCCTTTTTAGTGTATGCTCTGTTTGCCTTTTGGGCATATTCATAAGTTCAAAGGAAGTTGTGTCTTCTAGGGTTTATGCAGTCCTGAGAATTTGGATGCAGCTGACCCTGCTTTGTTATGATGGTTAATTAATTCAGCTCTTCTGGAGATAATGATGAATCCTTGCTCTGACACCAGAGACAAAAATTCCAACAGATTACTCCTCTGTCTGCTGCACTTGGTGGGATTCCATGGAGCCAGCCCAGCACTAGTGGGAAAGAAATAAAGAGGCACTGCCTGTGGCAGGCCAGATCTCCGCATTTTCTTGATTCTTTTGCTGGGTCCAATCTGTCATGGGGCCTTAACAGTCTTCTTTCTCAGGATTTAAGTGACTCCAGCTTTGAATACTTAAATATGGAAACTTCCCCTTCTTAATTGGTTTTCATTATGTTTGACAAAGATTAGGGTTTTTTTTTTTTTTTTTAGAGATAGGGTCTCACTCTCACTCTGTCACCCAGGTTGGAGTGCAGTGGTGTGATCACAGCTCACTGCAACCTTGAACTTCTGGGTTCAAGTGATCCTCCTGCCTCAGCCTCTCAAGTAGTTGGGACTACAGGTGCACACCACTATGCCTGGCAAATTTTTAAAAAATTTTTAGTAAAGATGAGGTCTTACTGCATTACCCAGGCTGATCTCAAAGTCCTAGCCTGAAGAGTTCCTCCAGCCTCAGCTTCCCAAAGTGCTGGGAGCCACTGTGTGAACCACTGTGCTGGGCCTCAGGTTTTTAAAGATGTAGATGACAAGTTCCCTGAGGGCAAAGACCTGCTTTGCTCACTGCTGTAACCCCAGTACCTAAAATGGTGCCTGGCACTCAATAAATATGATTGATTGAATGAATTAATGTATAAATAAATGTTGATGTACATTAATGCATAATAAATAAAATAATTACCAAATGACTCCTTGATATACCAACTAATTGTAGCAAGATGTAGCTGTTGGTGCCTGTACAGGGGCTGGAACACAGAGAAGAAAAAGACAATCAAGGTTTTGACTTTGAAGATTATTTTATACAGAGCACAGATCTCAAGCAGGCCCTTAACACTGCCAGCAATCCTACCACAATCTTGTAGTTAACTGACCTTTCCAATTACCTGCTCCTCTCTTCAAACCAATACCACACCCCAAATCTTCGCTTCTAGTTGACATCTTTGACTATTGTTTCATGGAGAAAATGGGAATAGGCAGAAGAGAACTTCCCCATGCTCCATTTACTAAATCTGTCAATCTACCTGCAGCTCTCCCCACATCCTCTGCCTTCCCTCCCATTGAAATGAATGTGCTGTCTGTGTTCCTATGTATCTCCCCTATTTGTGCACTAGCTTCCCTATCCTATCTCCCAAAGTCTCAAGACTTTGCTCTTGAAATTATTCTCTTCTCTCCTACATCATCAGTTTTTCACTGTCTCCTGGATTATTCCTGTCAGCATACAGATGTGCTGTAATAACTCCCATTGAAAAACAAACAGGCCGGACTGGGTGGCTCACGTCTATAATCCCATCACTTTGGGAGGCCAAGGCGGGAGGATCGCTTGAGTCCAGGAATTTGAGACCAGCCTGGGCAATATAGCAAAACCTTGTTTCTACTAAAAATTAAAAAAAAAAAATTAGCTGGGTGTGGTGGTGCATGCCTGTAGCACCAGCAACTCAGGAGGCTGACGTAGGAGGATTGCTTGAGCCACAGGGTTGGGGCTGCAGTGAGCCATGTTCATGCCACTGCACTCCAGCCTGTACAACAGAGTGAGTTCTTATCTGAAAATATGTGAAAAAATGAACAGAACTTCCCTTGATGCTCTATTCCTTTCAGCTACCACCCAACTTCTCTGCTCCCATCTCTACTTCCTCATCTCCATTGGTACTTGGAATTACCACATCAAAGCTTTTGTCCCCATCACCTTGTGGAATCCATTGTTGTCAAGGTCACCAACATCTACTCTATCAGTTGGACCACCGGTGGTCCAATCTAGCAATCATTTCTCAGTCTTTATCTTATTGATCTTACGGCAGCATGTGGCCAGCTAATGGCTCTGGAGCACCCACTCTCCTGGCTTCCCCCAACCTCATTTGTCTCTTTTTAGGCTCCTGGCTGGATCCTTTCCTTCTCCAATCTCTTCTCTTCTCTATCCTCCCTCTCTAGCTGTGTGATGTCATCCAGTCCCATGGCTTTCAGTAGCAACTCTATACTGATATTTTCCAAATTTATAGATCCAGTCCTAATCTCTTGCATAAACTCTAGAATGAGCTATCTAACCACCTAATTGATGTCTCTGTTTTGGGTGTTTAATAGGCACCTCTAGCCTAATATGCCCAAAAGAGAGTGCGTGCTTTCCGCTCCAAACCTGATTTTTGCCCAGTATTCCCCACTTTAGTAAATGGCGCTAGTTGGTCAGGCCAAAATATCTTGGAGTCAACCTTGACTTATCTTTTTCTCATATATCCTACATTTGGTTTGTCAGCCAATCCCTGTTAGCTGTAGCTTCAAATCAAATCTCGCAAATATCGAGAGACTGATCACTTCTTACCATTTCCACTGCTACCACCCTGGTTCATCACCGCTTCACCATCAGCTCTCACCTACACTGTTTCAATAGCCTTCTAATTGGTCTCCCAATTTCCACATGTTTCTCCTACAAATGTTCCCCTACACTTTATTCTCTACACGGCAGCCAGAATGATCCTTCGTAATCACAGATCAGGTCATGTCCCTCCCCTGTTCAAAACCCTCCAACGCTGCCTGTCACAGCTAACTAGAATCAAACCTGGAGGTCCTGGTGGCCACTTGGACTTCATACCCTTCTCTTCCTTTCACGTGGTCCTCCAGTCTCATAGGCCTCCTTCCTAGTCCTTGAACACTAAGCTCTGCCTCAGGGCCTGGTAGTAGCTGAAGCCTCCATCAGGGTCAGTCTTCCTGCAGACCGTCTTGGGGGTGTCCTCCCTTTCTCACATCATGCACATCCCTCTGCAAATATCACCTGCTCAAGGGGGACTTCTCTGACCACCCAATAGAAAGTCCATCGCAGGCTGCGCGCAGTGGCTCACTCCTGTAATCCCAGCGCTTTGGGAGGCCGAGGTGGGTGGATCGCCTGAGGTCAGGAGTTCAAGACCAGCCTGGCCAACAAGGCAAAACTCCATCCCTACTAAAAATACAAAAATTAACCAGGGCTGGTGGCGGTGCACACCTGTAGTCCCAGCTACTTGGGAGGCTGAGGCAGGAGACTCACTTGAACCCTGGAGGCGGAGGTTGTAGTGAGCCGAGATCGCACTGCACCCTGGGCGACAAAGTGAGACCCTGTCTCAAAAAAAAAAAAAAAAAAAAGCAAGAAAGTCCACCTCCATCCCATCACCTGTACCTTGCCTTTTATAATATCTGCCATTACTTAACATAATTTGTTTGTTTGTTTGTTCCTTGTTTGTCTTTCCTATTAAAATGTAAGCTCTGAACTATTGATGTTGTTAGTTGGTTTTTCTAGGGGGTAATGATATTACAGTTATTGTTAAAAAGTTTTATCTTTTAGATATATATGCCAATATATTTATGGATGAAATAATCTGATATCTTGGATTTGTTTCAAATAACATAGGAGGAAGAATAGAGGGAAGGATAGGTTACCAGTGAAAAGGCTGAGTTTATATTGTTTAAGTGGGATGATGGGTAATAGTCCATTAGACTGTCTTCTTTTGTATATGTTTAAATTTTTCTGTAATAAAAAACAAACAAAACCTTTGCTTGTTTCTTCACCATTATTTACCTAAGGCCTAGAGCAGTTCTTGGCATATAGAAGGCACTCGACAAATACATACTTATTCGATATTCATTGTATATTGAATCTTTGGGAGAGTAAAGGTATATTTTCAAGATAAATTTTATTCAGTTACTGTAAATTATTGGAAATCTAAATTCTTGTTTCCAAAGGAGGATTTTACAGAGTCTGCCCTTTCAGGCCATGCATTCAAGAATATTCTAATTAAAAAGTTAGGAAACAACAGGTGCTGGAGAGGATGTGGAGAAATAGGAACATTTTTACACTGTTGGTAGGACTGTAAACTAGTTCAACCATTGTGGAAGACAGTGTGGCGATTCCTCAAGGATCTAGAGCTAGAAATACCATTTGACCCAGCCATCCTATTACTGGGTATATACCCAAAGGATTATAAATCATGCTGCTATAAAGACACATGCACATGTATGTTTATTGCGGCACTATTCACAATAGCAAAGACTTGGAACCAACCCAAATGTTCATCAATGATAGACTGGATTAAGAAAATGTAGCACATATACACCAAGGAATACCATGCAGCCATAAAAAAGGATGAGTTCATGTCCTTTGTAGGGACATAGATGAAGCTGGAAATCATCATTCTCAGCAAACTATCACAAGGACAAAAAACCAAACACCGCATGTTCTCACTCATAGGTGGGAATTGAACAATGAGAACACTTGGACACAGGAAGGGGAACATCACACACCGGGGACTGTTGTGGGGTGGGGGGAGGGGGAAGGGATAGCATTAGGAGATATACCTAATGTGAATGACGAGTTAATGGGTGCAGCACACCAACATGGCACATGTATACATATGTAACAAACCTGCACTTTGTGCACATGTACCCTAGAACTTAAAGTATAATAATAAAAAAAAGAATATTCTAATTATGGGAAGGCCAGAAACTATAGTCACTAATTTGGTGATAACTATGCCTTTATGCCTTTAATTATCTTCATAAGACCAATTTTTTAAAAATATAGCTTTATGGCCAGGTGCGGTGGCTCATGCCTGTAATCCCAGCACTTTGGGAGGCCAAGGTGGGCGGATCACCTGAGGTCGGGAGTTTGAGACCAGCCTGACCAGCATGGAGAAACCCTGTCTCTAGTAAAAATACAAAAATTAGCCGGGCATGGTGGCACATGCCTGTAATCCCAGCTACTAGGGAGGCTGAGGCAGGAGAATCGCTTGAACCTGGGAGGTGGAGGTTGCTGTGAGACGAGATCACGCCATTGCACTCCAGCCTGGGCAACAAGAGAAAAACTCTGTCTAAAAAAAAAAAAAAAAAAAAAAAAAAAGAATGTTACCAGAATGGCACTGCCTTTCTCAGCAGCAATGCTATTATAGAAGTTTAAATGGAGCAATGTCTTCAAAATTGAGAAGGAATATGATTTTCAACTCAGAAAATTATACATAGCCAAAGTATCAATCAAAAGTGGGTATAAAATAAAATCTCTATCAAAATATAAGATCTCACATTTACCTCTCTTGTGTTCTTTTTCAGAAAGCTGTTGGAGAATGTGCACCACCAAAATAAGGGAATAAGTAAAGGAGGAAGAAGACCCTGAGTTCAGGAATAAGGTACCACAACTAGAGACAGTCAAAGAGAATTCCTAGGATAAGAGGGTGAATTAGGACCAGACAGCCACCCCTCCAGAGGGAGGGCAGAATGGAGGACTCAAGAGGATGTCTCCCAGAAAATAAAAATGCAGCTGAGGATTACTTGATGTTTGGCAGCCTGGAACATAGTACCCAGGGGGCGGATTTATGTTTTTATCTAATGAGTCTAAGAAGAACTAGCGATAGTGACACAGAAAAGCAAGCAAATGAAAACATGAGGCAAGTATTAACTTCAAGGAATTGTTTGATTTGGCTCAGCAATAAAGAATATGTAGATAGTCATAATAACGCATACCAGTAGAAGATTTAACAAAAAAAAAAAAGGAAGAATGGAAAGAGAAGAAGAGTGGGGGTAGTTATTAGAAGTTTTGTAGTACAATATGACTTTTAAAACCATATACTATCTTTCTTTTTTTCTGAGATGGAGTGTCACTCTTGTTGCCCAAGCTGGAGTGCAGTGGCGCGATCTTGGCTCACTGCAACCTCCGCCTCCTGGGTTCAAGCGATTCTCCTGCCTCAGCCTCCCAAGTAGATGGGATTACAGGAGCCTGCCGCTACGCCTGGCTAATTTTTGTATTTTTAGTAGAGACAGGGTTTCACCATGTTGGCCAGGCTGGTCTGGAACTCCTGACCTCAGGTGATCCACCCGCCTCGGCCTCCCAAAGTGCTGGGTTTACAGGCATGAGCCACCATTCCTGGCCTCATATACTATCACTTAAAAATTAAAAACAAAAGAGGAAAATAGGTAGCAGACAAGCACTACATAAACATGGCAGCAATGGTATTATCAGTCACATTAGAATTTAAGGCAAAAAGCATCAATATATATAAAGGAGGCCAATATAAAATAATTAAAAGAACACTCAAGAAGATATGACAATCTTGAACTTCTAAGTACCTAAAAATAAGGCTTGAAATAGATGAAGAAAAAATTGATAGAATTGAAAAACAAATTTGGAAAATTTGCAATCATTGGGAGAAATTTTAATGTACCTCTATTAGAAGCTGATAAATCAGCCAGGCGCAGTGACACACACCTATAATCCCAGCACTTTGGGAGGCTGAGGTGGGCAGATCATCTGAGCTCAGGAGTTTGAGACCACCCTGGGCAACATGGTGAAACTGCATCTCTACTAAAATAAAAATTATCTGGGCGTGGTAGCACCCACCTGTAGTCCCAGCTATGTGGGAGGCTGAGGCATGAGAATCGCATGAGCCCGGGAGATGGAGGTTGCAGTGAGCCGAGATCGTGCCACTGCACTCCAGCTTGGGCTACAGAGTGAGACTCTGTCTCAAAAAAAAAAAAAAAAAAAAAAACAACGCTGCTGTATCAAACAGGCCAGAAAAATTAGTAAACAGATAAAATATTTGAACAAATTAGCAAGCTTGATCTAACAGATTTCTAAAGAACTGTGCATTAAAAAATAGAGACTATACATTATTTCCAAGTATGCATGGTATATTTAAAAACATTTCGATTTACTGGGTCACAGAGGAGCTCTAGAAATTTCAAAGATGTGAAATCATACAGCATCACACAGATTCTTGGGTCACAATGAAATTAAATTAGCAATCAACAATTAAAATAGAAAATAAGGTAAAGACTTTTGGGAAATTTGAAAATGAACGAAATAACTCGGTTAAATAATAATAATGGAAATGAAATAACTAGAAGTTAACTGACAATGAAAGTACTGCATATAGGAGCCAGGTGTTGTGGTGCACGTCTACAGTCCCAGCTATTTGGGAGGCTGAGGTGGAAGGATTGCTTGATCTCAGGAGTTCAAGTCCAGCTTGGGCAACATAGTGACACTCTGTCTCTAAAGAAAAAAAAAAAACCCATGAGATGCAGCTAAAGTAGTATTCTGAGGTAAATGTAAAGTCTCACAGATTTAGAAAACATGGAAGATTTATAATAAATGAATTAAGCTATCAGAGGAACCAAATGGAATTATAAGCGCTTGACTCGTAGCCCATCTTCACCATATCTCTTGTCTACCTCTAAGGCTTCGATGTCCTTTGTTCCCATGATTCACCCTCACTGCTCTGGAACCAATTGTTTTGTAATGCTCTTCCTTCATTATAGTCTCATTTCTATTCAGTAATTCAATTTAGTGCTAATTCTCCCCTACTTCATGCACTCATTTCGTGTGCTCAGTATCTTCTTCCAACACTCCCTGGACCTCCACACCTCAAATGAAACCTGTGCTCTCCCGACAGCACATCCACCCTCCTAATACTCCTCAGTAGAGATGGGTCCTTGCCATGTTCTGATGGCACCTGGACGGTGGAAGGGACTAGCATGTATTGAGCAATCACTATGTGCCAGACACTTCATGTAACAAGGAATTTCATCATGTTTAATTTCGTTTAACCTTCCAAACAACCTTTCAAGGTAAACGTTGTTTTGCATTTTACAAAGGAGGAAACGGGTTCAAAATTATGTGACTTGCCAAGGACACACACAATGGCAGAGCTGTAATTGGACTCTAAATCTTGATTGACCTCACTGCATTTGCTCTTTTCACTGTGCCACGGGAGAAAAAAGGTACAACATTCTTTTCTGTCTCAGTTGCTTTCAATCATGACATTGTTATTTCTCAATTCTTCTCTGGATGCTTACTACCACTTGGTCACATCCTCAATTGCTGCTGTCTACTGACCTCTGAAAACTTCCTTATGAACGGGAGCACCTGGCTTAGCATTTACTCTGCAAATCAGAGCCTAGACACTTAGCCACCATGGAAAAGTGCCTTTTACCAGGTGCCGAAAAATTTCTTTCTGATTGTAACTACCAATCCTCTGAGTGCCCACTGTCTCTCTGTCATTATTCTTTCTGCTCTTTCTCCAGCCTGCCCCGCTCCGCCATTATCATGCCAAAATGCATGGCCCAACCTCCAGCTGGCTTCCAAGCCCACTCTGCGTCACCACTGCTCTCTGTGCCACAGCCACACCAACCTCCTTTCAGTCCTCAGATGACCTACCAAAGGGCTCAAAAAAACAAAAACAAAAACATAGAAACAGGGGCCTGCTCTGTCACACGGGCTGGAGGGCAGTGGAGTGATCATAGCTCACTACAGCCTTGAATTCCTGGGCTCAAGCAATCCTCCCGCCTCAGCCTCCTGAGTAGCTAGGACTACAGGGCTGCACCACCATGCCCAGCTAATTTTTAAAATATTTTTATAGAGATGGGGTCTTGCTATGTTGCCCAGGCTGATCTTGAACTCCTGGTCTCAAGCAATCCTCCTGCCTAGGCCTCCTAAAGTGCTGGGATTACAGGCATGAGCCACTGTTCTAGGGCCCAAAGGGCTTTTTTTGTGTCCATGCTCTTCCTTCTGCCTAGAGGCTTCTCTTCGCCCTTAGCCTAGTTCACTGCTATTCATCCTTCTGATTTAGCACAATTGTTACTTCCTCAAAGAAGCCCCCACCCACCCCATTCCTGGCCCTAGAGTGTGTTCTTTGTTTCAGAGTCCTCACTTGTGATAACTAGAGTGATTTTATGATTAATGTCTACCTCCCCATCTAGACTGCAAACTCCATGAGTGCAGGGACAATGGTGCTTTTTTTGCTCACTAATGTCTTCAGGGCCCAGTACAGTGCCTAGGACTAAGTAGGTACCCAATTTAAAATTGCTGAATGAATGTATATAGGACATGTATGTGGTAACACTTGGTGGACAGTTGGATATATGGTATCCCTAGCCCAGGAGAAAGATTTGGGCTAAAAAATCATATTTAAGTGTTATTAGTACATAAGTGGTCACTGATGTTATCATCCAGAAAGGGTGAGAAAAATATAACGAGAGGCCAGGCACTGTGGCTCACGCCTGTAAGCCCGGCACTTTGGGAGGCTGAGGCAGGTGGATTTCATGAGGCCATGAGTTTGAGACCAGCCTGGCCAACATGGTGAAACCCTGTCTCTACTAAAAATACAAAAATTAGCCATGTGTGGTGGTACATGCCTGTAGTCCCAGCTACTTGGGAGGTCGAGGCATGAGAATTGCTTGAACCCGGGAGGCGGAGGTTGCAGTGAGCTGAGATCATGCCACTGCACTCCAGCCTGGCAACAGAGCGAGACTCCATCTCAAAAATAATTTTCACTAATTTGCCTATATTAAAAGTAAATATTAAATAAGCAAATTAAAAATTATTTAAAAAAACAAATATAATTAAAAAATAATAAAAAATATTGTATAATAAAGAATTTCAAACATTCCCCAAAGGAGAGAGAATAATACAATGAACTCTCATGTATCAGAATCCTCACCCAGATTCTACAATTATCAAGATTTTGCTATGTTGTTTTATCTACCTATTTCCCCCTTCTATGTCTTGTCTTCTTTTTTTTTTTTTTGAGCAACATGGCTGTTTATTTCACCTGGGTGCAGGCGGGCTGAGTCCAAAAAGAGAGTCAGCGAAGGGAGATAGGGGTGGGGCCATTTCATAGGATTTGGGAAGGTAATGGAAAATTACAGTCAAAGGGGGTTGTTCTCTGGTGGGCAGGCGGGGATCTCACAAAGTACATTCTTAAGGGCGGGGGAGATTACAAAGTACATTGATCAGTTAGGGTGGGGCAGGAACAAATCACAATGGTGGAATGTCATCAGTTAAGGCTGTTTTTACTTCTTTTGTGGATCTTCAGTTACTTCAGGCCATCTGGATGTGTACGTGCAAGTCACAGGGGATGCGATGGCCTGGCCTGGGCTCAGAGGCCTGACATTCCTGCCTTCTTATATGTCTTGTCTTCTTTACTGAAATGTTTAAAAAATAACTACAGACATCATGCTATTTCATCCCCACATATCTCAATAAGCACCTCTGAAAAAAATTATGGAATTGTCTTACATAACTCAAGGCCATTATCACACCTAATGAAATTAACAATAATTCCTTGGTATCAACTAATATCCAGTTTATAATCAAATTTCTTCAAATATCAAAAAAGGTCCACATACTGGAGCCAAGCGTGGTGGCTCACGCCTGAAATCTGAGCACTTTGGGAGGCGGAGGAGGGTGGATCACCTGAGGTCAGGAGACCTGCCTAGCCAACATAGTGAAACCCCCGTCTCTACTAAAAATAAAAAAAATCAGCTGGGCGTGGTGGCGGGTACCTGTAATCCCAGCCACTAGGGAAGCTGAAGCGGGAGAATCACTTGAACCTGGGAAGCAGAGGTTGCAGTGAGCCGAGATCGCGCCATGGCACTCCAGCCTGAGAACAAGAAAACTCTGTCCAAAAAAAAAAAAAGGTCCACGTACTGTATGTAAACACTATACTCTAGCTGGTAAGTCTGTTTCTCATGGTATATGGGTTAATAGTTCTCAAACGGCTTTACATATGTACTGGGGCTGAACAAATAAGTAAATGTATAGTGGATTTTGGGAGGAAGGGTTTTCACTATCAGAAAGAGAAGTAACATATAAGCAAGGAGGGAAAAATAGAATGAGCCCTTGGGTAGTGGATTAGAGTTGGTTAGCTAGCTTGGTATATATATAGACAGAAATATGTGTATATACATGAGTCGGTATACACACAAATATTACCTAGTGCTATACCTCACGCTGTCCACTGAGAGGGCCTAGAGGCAATGACACCCCCATAGCAATGGGCACATCTTGTGTCCAGATTTTGGTTTCAAAATACTGTGAACTCTGAAAATTTGAGACAGGTCTCAGTTAATTGTTTATTTTGCCAAGGTTGGGGACATGTGTCCGTGACAGCCTCAGGAAGTCCTGAAGACCTGTGCCCAAGGTGGTTGGGGTACAGCTTAGTTTTATACATTTTAGGGAGGCATGAGACATCAATCAATATATGTAAGAAGTACATTGGTTCAGTCTGGAAAGGCAGGAAGACTTGAAGTGGGGAGGAGGCTTCCAGGTCACAGATAGGTGATACACAAATGGTTACATTCTTTTGAGATTCTGTTAGCCTTTCCAAAGGAGGCAATCAGATATGCATCTATCTCAGTGAGCACAGGGGTGACTTTGAATAGAATGGGAGGCAGCTTTGCCCTAAGCAGTTCCCAGCTTGACTATTCCCTTTAGCTTAGTGATTTGGGGGCCCCAAGCTTTAATTTCCTTTCATATTTCCCCCCTTTCTTTTCAAAAATCTTTTGGAGAAGGCATTTTACAAGAAAATGAATCTCTGGTCTCAGGTTTCATTTGATCTCTCATGGCAAGGATGGTTTATTCCTAGACAGGTAGGTCCCGAACGAAGATTTTTAGCAGGTTGTGAAGTCTCATGTCCTATGAAGGAAAAATAGTGGGGAGGAAGGGAGAAAAAACAACAACAAACAAAAGAACATTCTTGGAAAATCTATATAGGCCACATTTCTCTGAAGTCTATAGTCAGTAGGCAGGTATGTAAATTGGTTGCTGTTATTTTCTTCTGAAGTTTAAGTTGTTTAGTCTCAGTTAGCTGGGCTTTAAGAAAGCACAGCTTAGTTTTCAGTGACTCCTAATTAGGAAACATGGGAAAAAAAGAAGGGAAAAAAAAGAAAAAGTTGAAAACATTATTTTGAAGACTTGTAGCCAAGAAACAATTAGAATTCAGCCCAAACTGTAGAACATAATAAAAAATTAAAAAAAAAAAAATTAGGCAAGACTAGACTCTAACAACGAGTGTACTATCGTCTTGAAACATTTTTTTCTCTCTCTCTCTAGTTTCCCATTTTACTAAAGATAAATCATGGTAGGATTGGTTTGCTTATTATGCTTGGCCAAATTATTTGTATACAGTTCAGCAAAAATAATTATTTTTTACATAGGCTTTTAAATGGGCTTTGATGAAACTTTGTTCCATAGGAGGAATCTCAGATAAGATTTTAAAGCTGAATCCAGCCATGAATTTGTGCCATCAAATACCTACAAGTTGGGTGAATTTCCTCTCCCCCAACTTTTTTTTTTTGAGACAGATTCTTGCTCTGTCACCCAGGCTAGAGTGCAATGGCATGATCTTGGCCCACTGCAACCTCTGCCTCCTGGGATCAAGCAATTCTCATGCCTCAGCTTCCCAAGTAGATGGGATTACAGGTGCGTGCCACTGTGTCTGGCTAATTTTTGTAATTTCAGCAGAGATGGGGTTTCACCATGTTGGCCAGGCTGGTCTCGAACTCCTGGCCTCAAGTGATCCACCCACCTCGGCCTCCCAAAGTGCTGGGATTACAGGTGTGAGCCACTGTACTTGGTCTGAATTTCCTCTCCTCTTGAGGATCCAAGATAAATCTGGGGCTTCCGTGCCTGTCAGAAAGTGATATTCTTTACTTACCACAGGCCAGAAACCCTGTACACGGACTGTGTACACAAAATATGAGGCCAGTTTTTCCAAGGGCTTTATTGGCTTCTTAAGTCAAGTTTGATTCCTTATAGGAAAGTGCACCATTCCAGTCAAAGCCTTGGTAAAACTACCAGTTTCTTCAATTGTGTCCTGTTAAAAATGAAAACAGATTCTTATTGCACTTATGCAACTAACTGTATTGCCAAAAGTTAAGAAGCTCACAAATAGTTTTCAAATTCTGGAGAAAATCAATTACAGAGAAACAAATATGCTCCAAATTTTGTTCATGGGAGTATACTAAATTGTTGAAAGCTGTCAATAGCTCAAAAGAAAAGTTTTAAGACTCTGAAAAACAGAATAAAGGATCAGCAACATTTTAAGCAAAAAGTCAAAAAGATTAGTTCAGTCCATGCAGTTAATTCCTGTTCTGCTTGATATTCATGAACATTTTAGCTCTCCATGAGTCTTGAAAGTTTTTTCTCTATTCTGATGTCACAATCTCCAAAGCTATCAGAAATCTGCACTCAAGAGCACCTGTTATAGTTTAATAGCTGGTTATAAAACCATCTTCTAAAGAGAACCAAAACAAGGCAACAATTGTCTGTGGATGACAAAAAGTTTTAGGGCAGCCATAGTCAAAAACATAATTGACAAGGGAATTTGTTACCTCTGTGGCACACAGTAATTTTAACTTAACATAACAATTATTGTTATTGATAATGTACACTAAGTTATATTAGAATTATAAGTTTCTCATAATTTTGGAACACATACCAATAACATTTATACAAATACAGCTCAAAGAAACCAAATAACCATTTCATATTTGACAATGCTTCCTGTATAATTTTTATACCAAATAAGCCAAATTATATTATTTTTGGACTTTAGGGAATGTAATATCTTAAAGGAGTAATTAGGTTAGAACAAGACACAATTTATAATTTAATTTTGGAAAGTTTGTCAAATATAAAAGGTTTAAAACACTTGATATTACAAAATAGGATTTCAGGTCATTGTAAAGTCATCTGTTTAACCAAAGTGGTAATTCAAGGATTTCAAAAATAGTGAAAACCTTCATTTATTGAGAGAGGGGACTTAATTTTCTAAACCTGAAGCCCTAATAAAAACAGCATGGAGCCAATTCCACTTGCTTTTCCAAATTTTGTAAGCAATCTATAAAGTTTATTCTTGAGTATAAAATATAACTTCCATAAACCTTTTATAACCTTTATAAACTTTATTAAGGAGTTGGAGGCCGGGCACAGTAGCTCATGCCTGTAATCCCAGCACTTTGTGAGGCCGAGGTGGGTGGACTGCTTGAGGTCCGGAGTTCGAGACCAGCTTGACCAACATGGTGAAACCCTATCTCTACTAAAAATACAAAAATTAGCCAAGCGTGGTGGTGTGCACTTGTAATCCCAGCTATTCGGGAGTCTGAGGCAGGAGAACTGCTTGAACCCAAGAGGAGGAGCTTGCAGTGAGCCGAGATTGCGCAACTGCACTCTAGCCTGGGCAACAGAACAAGACCCTGTCTTAAAAAAAAAAAAAAAAAAGCAGTTGGTTAATGCTTCACAAAAAACTTGTTAATCTAATACAGGGGTCCATATACTGGTTTTTGCATCAGTGTGTTTTTGACACTAATGATTAATTTATAGAGAAACTAAACTTATTTATCTTTCCAAATCGGCCCTTACAATCTTTGATCTTATGTGCCCACCTCTTCCGTGATAGTCCCTGGGCCTTGAGGAGTTGAATAGCTTTAATTTCTTGCCCTGTGTCTCAGGAATGCATTTTATTTTGATTGGCATCTTCTACAGGGCCTAAAGATGAGGCTTTAATTGCTGTCAGTGTTTAGGCTGGGCGTGATGGCTCACGCCTGTAATCCCAGCACTTCGGGAGGCCGAGGCGGGTGGATCACGAGGTCAGGAGATCGAGACCACCCTGGCTTACACGGTGAAACCCTGTCTCTACTAAAAATACAAAAAATTAGCCGGGCATGGTGGTGGGCACCTGTAGTCCCAGCTACTCGAGAGGCTGAGGCAGGAGAATGGCGTGAACCTGGGAGGTGGAGGTTGCAGTGAGCCAAGATTGGTCACTGCACTCTAGCCTGGGCGACAGAGCGAGACCCTGTCTCAAAAAAAAAAAAAAAAAAAATTGCTGTGAGTGTTTAAAATTTAACAGGACTTGGTGTCCATTTTAGACCCAGGAGTTAAAGCCCTCTAACTCAATGTTACAAGGACTTTATTTTATTTCATTTTATTTTGTTTTTTAATTTTTCCATAGGTTTTTTGGGGAACAGGGAGTATTTGGTTACATAACTGAGTTCTTTAGTGGTGATTTGTGAGATTTTGGTGTACCCATCACCCAAGCAGTATACACTGCACCCTATTTGTAGTCTTTTATCTCTCATCCCCCCAACCCTCACCCCCAAGATCCCAAAGTCCCCAAAGTCCATTATATCATTCTTATGCCTGTGTATCTTTATAGCTTAGCTTCCACAGATCAGTGAGAACATATGATGTTTGGTTTTCCATTCCTGGGCTACTTCACTTACAATAATAGTCTCCAATCTCATCTACCACAATTTCTTTATCCACTTGTTGATTGATGGGCATTTGGGTTGGTTCCACGATTTTGCAATTGTGAATTGTGCTGCTATAAACATGTGCGTGCAAATATCTTTTTTGTATAATGACTTCTTTTCCTCTGGGTCTATACCCAGTAGTGGTATTGCTGGATCGAATGGTAGTTCTACTTTTAGTCCCCCTTTTTTTTTTTTTTGAGATGGAGCCTTGCTCTGTCACCCACGCTGGAGTGCAATGGCACGATCTTGGCTCACTGCAATCTCCACCTTCCGGGTTCAAGCAATTCTCATGCCTCAGCCTCTCAAGTAGCTGAGATTATAAGTGTGTGCCACCACACCTGGCTAATTTTGTATTTTTAGTAGAGATGGGGTTTCACCATGTTGGTCAGGCTGGTGTTGAACTCCTGACCTCATGTGATCCACCTGCCTTGGCCTCCCAAAGTGCTGGGATTACAGGCATGAGCCACCATGGTAGGCCTTACTTTAGTTATTTAAGGAATCTCCACACTGTTTTCCCTAGTGGCTGTACTAGTTTACATTACCACCAGTAGTGTAGAAGTGTTCTCTGATCACCGTATCCATGCCAACATCTACAGTTTTTTGATTTTTTGATTATAGCCATTCTTGCAGGAGTAAGGTGGTGTTGCATTGTGGTTTTGATTTGCATTTCCCTGATCACTAGTGATGCTGAGCATACGTTTGTTTGCCATTTGTATATCTTCTCTTGAGAATTGTCTATTCATGTCCTTAGCCCACTTTTTGATGGGATTGTTTGTTTTTTTCTTACTGATTTGTTTGAGTTCGTTGTAGATTCCGGATATTAGTCCTTTGTCAGATGGATAGATTGTGAAGATTTTCTCCCACTCTGTGGGTTGTCTGTTTACTCTGCTGACTGTTCCTTTTGCCGTGCAAAATAACTCTTTAGTTTAATTAAGTCCCAACTATTTATCTTTGTTTTTATTATATTTGCTTTTGGGTTCTTGGTCATGAAATCCTTGCCTAAGCCAATGTCTAGAAGCATTTTTCCAAAATTATCTTCTAGAGTTTTTATAGTTTCAGGTCTTAGATTTAAGTCCTTAATCCATCTTGAGTTGATTTTTGTATAAGGTGAGAGATGAGGATCTAGTTTCATTCTCCTACCTGTGGCTAGCCAATTATCCCAGCGCCATTTATTAAAAAGTGTCCTTTCCCCACTTTATGTTTTTGTTTGCTTTGTCAAAGCTCAGTTGGCTGTAAGTATTTGGTTTATTTCTGGATTCTCTATTCTGTTCCATTGGTGTATGTACCTATTTTTATACCAGTACCATGCTGTTTTGGTGACTATGACCTTATAGTATAGTTTGAAATCAGTTAGTGTGATACCTCCAGATTTGTCCTTTTTGCTTAGTCTTGCTTTGGCTATGCAGGCACTTTTTTCATTCCATATGAAGTTTAGAATTGTTTTTTCTAATTCTATGAAGAATGATGGTGGTATTTTGATGGGGATTGTGTTGTATTTTGATGGGGATTGTGTATGGTCATTTTCACAATATTGATTCTACCCATCCATGAGCATGGGGTATATTTTCATTTGTTTCTGTCGTCTATGATTTCTCTCAGCAGTGTTTTGTACTTTTCCTTGTAGAGGTCAACAAGGACTTTAAAAGCACGTATAGAAAGATACATGGATGAAATATCTTAGTTTAAAAAAAGTTTTAACTCAGTTTTTTTCCTAAGCAAACCAAAACTTAATAATAATATTTGGACTTTCTGGTTTGTCCTGAACATCCCTCCTTCTTAATCAACCAGTCATTTTTATTTTAGGACTAAACATTTACTATAAAAGATTCTTTCTCATATACAATTATTTCTCTTTAAGCTTTCTTACTACACACACAAAAAATCTCTTTATTTTTATAACTTTCTTTACTTCTGTTTTTTATTTCCTGGTTCCTTTTACCTTGTTTTATACAGAGCCTTTAAATGAGCTTGGAATTAGACAAAAATTTTTCTCTTTTTTTTAAAAAAAGGACACCCTTTTTTTTTTTTAAGCAAGAATGTTTTCCTACAATATATATTTATTGGAAAATACCCAAATAATAAAATACCTATTATTGAATTTAACTTTATTTCTAAATTGTGACCAGTTTGTCTGCAAGTATTTGTCCCATTACATTTACCTAATTATTTTATTTTAATTCTTTACCTAGATTATTTACGAAAACTGTGATAGTCATGATTTAAAACTATGAAGCTGCCATTGCAAGATTATAACTGAGACAGTGGAAAAAGTTTTGACCTAACTGACTCCATATTGCTCTTAACCTCCAAGCTGTCCTTGTTCATTCCTGGGCATGGGCTGAACTAACTTTGGGAAGGAACTGAGTTTATAGTTTAGCTTTGAAACAAAGACAATAACAGTCCTTTCCCAAAACAAACCTCCTTACTGTCTGTGGACCAGACTGTCTAAAGCCACAGGATTAGAAGTTATGGCAATCTTATTAAATTCAAAATGCAGCTATTTTTATTAAACCCATATCAATGTCTTATTTACTAAAAATTACACAAGCATAGATCATTCTGTTTTGGCCTGGGTTTATAGTTTTGTAACTTCTATGCCAAATTTTGACACCTTACATTATTTGGCAGGGTAAGTATGAAATTTGCTTGATTAATAATGCAAACAAAGTGTATGCTGGCAATTCTTTAGATATTTCTAATAGTACTTTACCAGTAATTTTAAAGCTAGTTTATTTATTAAAGATTTTACTTATTACATAAACCTGAAAAAGCATTTGACTAGTCTTTTTTTTTGAGACGGAGTCTTGCTCTGTCAGCCAGGCTGGAGTGCAGTGGCAGGATCTCATCTCACTGCAACCTCTGCCTCCTGGGTTCAAGCCATTCTCCTGCCTCAGCCTCCCCAGTAGCTGGGATTATAGGTGCACACCACCATGGCCAGCTAATTTTTGTATTTTTAGTAGATACAGGGTTTCACCACGTTGGCCAGGCTGGTCTTGAACTCCTGACCTCTTGATCCACCTGCTTTGGCCTCCCAAAGTGCTGGGATTACAGGCGTGAGCCACCGTGCCCGGCCTAGTCTTTTCTTTTTCAGTATCTGATTTACATGCTTGTATTTTTCTTTAAGCCAATTAGTTAGAGCTCTTTCATATATTTTTAGTAGTGAAACATTTTGTACACAACACATAAATATATATAAAGACGTATTAGGCATGCCGACAGCAGTACATTTTATACATTTATAAAGACCCTCACCCCCTTTTCTTTTTTCCTTTCTTAGACTGTCAAGATTCTTGATAACCTGTTTCACAAACCTAGGCAGTTGTCAGCTAAATAGCCTTAAATTTGCACATTAAAGGAAACAACTCAGGTGAAAATCAAATAGCAAAATTTACATCATAAGGTAGAGAGAGAAAAAATGTGGTGGTGCTAGAGGGAGACACTTTTATTTTTCTTTGAGTCAAATTAAACATAAAATTAAACTATACTCTGTCTTAAAAACCCAAGAGTAGCCTCTGTTGCAGTAACTATTTTAGCAAAACAAACAAACAAACAAAAAATCAGGTGAAAACAGAATTCAGATAACTGAGAAGAAAAAGAAAAACAAACTTTCGTTAAAAAAAAAAAGACAAGGTCTTAGAAGAGAAAAACAACAACAACAAACAAAAACATGAAGGCCTTTCAAATACAAACATGCACACATACACACACACATCTTGGGTGTGTTATCCTTTTAATTAAGCTGATTTTTAACCATTGAGCTGCTTAAAATTTTTTTTCTTTAAATCTTATTACCATATTTCAGCTAGGACAAAATGCTGCTATTTCAGAAGTACAGCCAACAACAAGAGTTAAGCGAAACTAACAATGATCACACAACATACGATTTCTGAGTGTTCTAAGTGTAAGTAGGAATTAACACCAGCTGGCTGGTAAATGCTAACTTTAGTCATTTAAAAGGAATTGGCAAGACAGAATCCCAAACCAGTTTCTTACCTAGTGATGGGTCTCAGGCTGTAGACTGCTCTCTACTATTCTAGAGGCAGGAAAAAAAACCTCATCTTCCCTGTTGGAAGCCAGCTCAAATTCCATAAAGGAGTTACCTGCCTTTCATCGTCATGGAAGGAGGAAAACTTGCCTTCCTGTTGGAAGCAAGTAAAACTACAAAAAACAAAAAGAAGAGTTGTACAGCAAAATAAACTTTAGATCTCCACCAAATTTGGGGAGATCAGGCATTCTCTGTAGAGGGTATTTTCAGACCTCAGCAAATTGTCCTATTAGTTTGAGCCATAGAGTTAGCTCATGCTGGTACCAAGCACAGATAGGAGATTTGTCAAAGGTCGGGGGCAACTCCACTCAGAATCCTCCCATGGTTACCAAAATGCGAATCCTGAAAATTTGAGACAGGTCTCAGTTAATTTAGAAAGTTTATTTTGCCAAGGTTGAGAACACGCCCCTCCATGACACAGCCTCAGGAAGTCCTGACAACATGTGCCCAAGGTGGTCGGGGTACAGCTTAGTTTTATACATTTTAGGAAGACATGAGACATCAATCAATATATGTAAGAATAACATTGGTTCAGTCTGGAAAGGTGGGACAACTTGAAGCAAAGGTAGGCAGACTCTAAGCGGAGAGGGGGCTTCCAGGTCACAGATAAATGAGACATTGCATTCTTTTGAGTTTCTGTTAGCCTTTCCAAAGGAGGCAATCAGATATGCATCTATATCAGTGAGTACAGGGGTGACTTTGAAGAGAATGGGAGGCAGGTTTGCCCTAAGCAGTTCCCAGCTTGACTATTCCCTTTAGCTTAGTGATTTGGGGGCCCCAAGATTTATTTCCTTTCACAATAAGGGCAACCTGGGCTCCTTGGAGAAATGGCTTTTAGAGCTGGGTCAAGGAAAGCACGAGATGAGTGTGGCACATTTCAAAAGACTTAGGAGTCAGCCGGATGTGGTGGCTCACACTTGTAATTCCAGCACATTGGACGAGAAGATCACTGGAGGCCAGGAGTTTGAGACCCTGTCCCTCCAAAAATAAATAAATACATAAATTAGTCCAGAGTGATGGTGTGTGCCTGTAGTTCTAGCTACCTGGAAGATTGGAGCTGGAGAATAACTTGAGCCCAGGAGTTCAAGACTGCAATGAGCTATGATCACACTGCACTCTAGAATGGGTGACAGAGTGAGATCCTATCTCTAAAAAAAATGACATAGGAGTCAATCTGAAAGTGCTCTTCCATGGCCAAAGCTGGAATAATTTGAGCAACAAAATAAGTAGCACAGTATTGTTACAGGAAAGGGGCCCAGACCCAGACCCCAAGAGAGAGTTCTTGGATCTCACTCAAGAAAGAACTCAGGGTGAGTCTGCAGTGCAAAGTGAAAGCAAGTTTATTAAGAAAGTAAAGGAATAAAAGAATGGCTACTTCACAGACAGAGCAGTCCCAAGGGCTGCTGGTTGCCGTTTTTTTTTTTTTTTTTTTGAGACGGAGTCTCACTCTGTCGCCCAGGCTGGAGTGCAATGGCGCGATCTCAGGTCACTGCAAGCTCTGCCTCCCAGGTTCACGCCATTCTCCTGACTCAGCCCCCTGAGTAGTTGGGACTACAGGTGCCCGCCACTACGCCTGGCTAATTTTTTGTATTTTTAGTAGAGACGGGGTTTCATCGTGTTAGCCGGGATGGTCTCGATCTCCTGACCTCGTGATCCGCCCGCCTTGGCCTCCCAGAGTGCTGGGATTACAGGCGTGAGCCACCGTGCCCGGCCTGGTTGCCCATGTTTATGGTTATGTATTGATGATATGCTAAACAAGGGGTGGATTATTCATGCCTCCCCTTTTTAGACCATATAAGATAACTTCCTGACGTTGCCATGGCATTTGTAAACTGTCATGGTGCTGGTGGGAGTGTAGCAGTAAGGACGACCAGAGGTCACTCTCGTAGCCATTTTGGTTTTGGTGGGTTTTGGCCGGTTCCTTTACCGCAACCTGTTTTACCAGCAAGGTCTTTATGACCTGTATTTTGTGCTGACCTATCTCATCCTGTGACTTAGAATGCCTTAACCATCTGGGAATGCAGCTCAGTAGGTTTCAGCCTCATTTTACCCAGCTCCTATTTAAGATGGAGTTGCTCTGGTTCACACACCTCTGACAGTATTAGATTATAATCCAATGTATAAAATGTGTAAAAGTATCTAATATTAGATATCCAATGTATAAAATATACATGCCTCCATACTGATATAAACAAATGATTGACTAAAAGACTAAATGGTGGAGTGGAAACAAATCTTTACAGAATACTTTGACTTCCAAATTTTAAATAATATATGTAGATACTTTTTCTTGCAGGAGGTAATGCTTAACCACTTTGAGGGTAGGCTGGATTGAGGGACTCTCTTTCAAAGAATAGATGGAAAGGGAAAAATAGTAACTTTACAGTGGAGAAACCTGGCAACCACTCTCTTAAACAACAACTCAAAATTAATATCATCAGTTAGATATATGGATATCATGTACCCCTGATACAACATGATGACAGGGCACTTTGCCTCTGTGATTCTTTTAAAACATCTATGACTGGCCCAGTGAGGTGACTCAAACCTGTAATCACAGCACTTTGGGAGGCCGAGGTGGGCTGATCACTTGAAGCCAGGAGTTTGAGACCAGCCTGGCCAACATGATGAAACCCTGTCTCTGTTAAAAATACAAAAATTAGCTGGCATGATGTGTGTGCCTGTAATCCCAGCTACTGGGGAGGCTGAGGCAGGAAAATTGCTTGAACCTGGAAGGTGGAGGTTGCAGGGAGCCAAGATTGCACCACTGCACTCCGCCTGGGCAATAGAGTGAGACTGTCTCAAAACACGAACAAACAAAATAAACAAATACCCCTATGACTAAGTTGAATCATGATACAAGCATCAGACAAGCCCAAACTGAGGGACATTCTACAAAACACATGACCCATTTTCCTTAAAACCGTCAAGCTCATGAAACACAATGAAAGATTGAGAAACCGTCTCTGACCAGAGAATGCTAATGAGACATGACAATGAAACGCAGTGCGGTATATAGGCTTGGACTGTAGAACAGAGAAAGGATATTAGTAGGAAAATGAGATTTGAACAAAGTCTGGAGTTTAGTTAATTATAATGTGCCAATGTTGGTTTCTCAGTTTTGACAAATATCACATAGAAATGTAGGATGGGGTGGGCGTGGTGGCTCACGCCTATAATCCCAGAACTTTGGGAGGCTGAGGCGGGTGGATCACGAGGTCAGGAGTTTGAGACCAGTCTTGCCAACATAGTGAAACCCCGTCTCTACTAAAAATGCAAAAAATTAGCTGGGTGTGGTGGTGTGAGCCTGTAATCCCAGCTACTCAGGAGGCTGAGGCAGGAGAATTGCATGAGCCCAGGAGGTGGAGGTTGCAGTGAGCCAGGATCACGCCATTGCCCTCCAGTCCAGGTGACAGTGTGAGACTCTGTCTCAAAAAAAAAAAAAAAAAAAGAAATGTAGGATGATAACATTAGGGAAAACTGAAACTGGGTGAAGGATATCCAGGAACTCTCTGTACTACCTTTGCAAACTTTCCTGTAAATCTAAAATTATTCCAAAATAAAAAGCTATTTTACAAAAAGATAATGAATAAGATAATGTTATAAACAGTGTTAAAGCAACAAATTCACTTTGGGAGGCCAAGGTGGACAGATCACGAGGTCAGGACTTCGAGACCAGACTGGCCAACATAGTGAAACCCCGTCTCTACTGAAAATAAAAAAATTAGCTGGTCGTGATGGCGTACGCCTGTAATCCCAGCTACCTGGGAGGCTGAGGCAGGAGAATTGCTTGAATCTGGGAGGTGAAAGTTGTGGTGAGCTGAGATTGCACCACTGCCCTCCAGCCTGGGCAACAGAGTGAGACTCTGTCTCAAAAAAAAAAAGAAAGAAAAAGCAACAAATTGAACAACTTAGATAAAAATGGACGAACTCCTTGAAAGACATAAACTACTAAAACACAGGCAAGATGAATAGATAACCTAAATATCTCTATACCTATTAATATAATTGAATTTGTAGCTAAAAATCTTCCCACAAAGAAAACTCCAGGCTTAGATGGCTTCACTGGTAAGTTCTACCAAACATTTAAGAAAAAAATAATGCCAATTCTACACAAATACTCCCCAAAAGTTAAAGAGAAAGGAATAGTTCCCCAATGATTCTTAGAGGTCAGCATTATTCAGATACCAAAATCATACAAAGATCGTACCAGAAAACTAAAGACCAGTTCCTCTCACGAACATAAATGCAGCAAATAAAATCAAACAATGCATAAAAAGGATAATACGTCATGAACAAATTTATCCCAGGAACACATAATTGATTTAACATTCAAAAACAATGTAATTCACCATAGAGACACACTTAAAAAATAAAAATTAGTATTATTATTTTTGAGACAGAGTCTCCCACTGTCACCCAAGCTGGAGTGCAGTGGTGCAAACTTGGCTCACTGAAACCTCTGCCTCCAGGATTCAAGCATTTCTCTCGCCTCAGTCTCCCAAGTAGCGAGGACTACAGGCACATGCCACCATACCTGGCTAATTTTTTTGTACTATTTTTAGTAGAGACAGGGTTTTGCCATGTTGGCCAGGCTGGTCTTGAAGTCCTGACCTCAAGTTATCTGCCCTCCTCAGCCTCCCAAAGTGCTGGGATTACAGGCATGAGCCACCGTGCCTGACCAAAAAAGAAAAATTATATTAACAGATACAGCAAAAGCATTTAACACAATCCAATATCCAATCCTGACTTTAAAAAAATCTCAACAAATTAGAAATAGAAGGGAACATCCTTGAAAGGGCACTTAGGAGAAAATTGTAGCCAGCCTTATACATAATGGTGAAATACTGAATGCTTTTTCCCTATGATCAAGACTAACACAAGGATGTCTGCCTTCACCACTTCTCTTCAACATTATGCCGATGGCTATGGCCACTGCAGTTAGGCAAGAAAAAATAAAGGTATACAAACTGGAAAGGAAGAAGGAAAACTGTTTTTCTTTTTTTGAGCTCTACTGCTTAAGAAGTAAAACTTAAAAGTGTTTTTACTCACAGACGGCATGATTATCTATCTAGAAAATCAAATGGAATCTGTGAAAAAGCTCTATAATAATGGGGTTTGAAAAGTTTGTAGAATACAAGATCAATAACAGAAAAATCAGTTGTACTTCTACACAATAAGCAATCAGAAATTTAAACTTTATTTTTTATTTTTAAATTTTATTTTATTTTATTTATTTATTTATTTTTGAGACAGAGTCTCGCTCTGTCGCCCAGGCCCAGGCTGGAGTGCAGTGGCGCAGTCTCGGCTCACTGCAAGCTCCGCCTCCTGGGTTCACACTATTCTCCTTTATTTTTTAATTTAATAGAGATGGAGTCTTGCTATGTTGCCCAGGGTGGTCCCCTCCCACCTCAGCTTCCCAAAGTGCTGGGATTACAGGTGTGATTCACCATGCCCAGCCAGAAATTTAAATTCTAAAAGACAATACCACTTTTTAGTTTTTGTTTATTTTTCTAAAATTATTTACTTTATTTCTTTTTACAATTTTTTGAAGTAATTTCTTTTTTGCCAGCCTAATAGTAGATTTCAGACATTATCATTTATGATAATATCAGCAAATATAAAATTATTAGGGATAAATCTGATAAAACATGTAAAAGACCTGTACACTAAAAATTATAACACAGGCCGGGCATGGTGGGTTATGCCTGTAATCCCAGCACTTTGGGAGGCCGAGGTGGGCATATCACAAGGTCAGGAGATCGAGACCATCCTGGCTAACACAGTGAAACCCCGTCTCTACTAAAAAATACAAAAAATTAGCCGGGCGTGGTGGCAGGCGCCTGTAGTCCCAGCTACTCGGGAGGCTGAGGCAGGAGAATGGCGTGAACCCGTGAGGCGGAGCTTGCAGTGAGCCGAGATCGCACCACTGCACTCCAGCCTGGGCGACAGAGTAAGACTCCGTCTTAAAAAAAAAAAAAATTATAAAACGTTACTGAGAGAAATTAAAGAAGACCTAAATAAATGAAGAGATATACTTTGTTCATGAGATGGAAGACTCAATATTGTTAAGAAGTCAATTTTTCCCAATTTGATCTATAGATTCAATGCATTTCCAATAAAAATTCCACCAGGAGTCATGAGGCGGAAAGAAGAAGTATTGAGACAATTCATCCACATTCTCCTGTCCCTCTGGGTATCAGCAAATCACTGCAGAGAGCTAAACTTCCACCCCGACTCGGCAGCAAGAAGGTGGTGGGAGTCAGTGCTCAGCTTTTCCTGGAAAGGTGTCAGTGGGACCCAGTGGGGAGCTGAACATTTACCACTTTTAGGAACTGTGTGCTCTACCTAAACAGGGTGACTGCATGCCAAATGAAGAAAGAAAGAGAGAGAAGAAGTGAGGAAGAGAGGTAGAGAGAGAGAAAGAGAGGCAGAGAGAGAAAATGATTCAGCCTCACAAAATAATACTCAAAATGCTTAGTATATAATCAAAAAGCACTCATCATACAAGAACCAGGAAAATCTCAGTTTAAATGGAAAAAACCCCAACAGTCAACAGGCACTAACATTTCAGTGTTACATAGATGTTAGCCTTATCTAACAAGGATTTTAAAGGAGCCACCATAAAAAGTGCTTCAATGAATTGGGTGTACCTGTAGTCCTAGCTGCTTGAGAGGCTAGCACAGGAGGATCACTTGAGCCCAGGAGTTCGAGGTTGTAGTGTGCTGTAATGTAATCCATAGGCAACATAGTGAGACTCTGTATCTTTTTTAAAAAAGCTTCAATAAACAATTACAAAAACACTTATAAAATTTTTTTAAAGTAGAAAGTCTCAGCAAAGAAATAGAAGATACAAAGAAAAACTAAGGCTGGGCATGGCGGCTCAAGCCTGTAATCCCAGCATTTTGGGAGGCCAAGGCAGGTGGATCATTTGAGGTCAGGAGTCTGAGACCAGCCTGGCCAACATAGTGAAACCCCGTCTCTACTAAAAATACAAAAGTTAGCTGGGCATGGTGGTACATGCCTGTAATCTCAGCTACTTGGGAGGCTGAGTCAGGAGAATCGCTTGAACCCAGGAGGTGGAGGTTGCGGTGAGCCCAAATTGCGCCAATGTACTCCGGCCTGGGCAACAGAGTGAGACTCAGTCCCCCCAATAATTAAATTAAATTAAAATTTTAAAATTAAATTAATTTAATTTAAAAAAAGGACAACCAAATAGAAACCTCAGACCTGAATAATATAACCAAAAAAATGTTTAAACTTCATTGGATAGGATCAATAACAGAATGAATAAAGCATAGGAAAGTCAGTGAACTTGAAGATAAAATAATAATAATAATAATCAAAATAGAGAGAAAACGGGCATAACTAATGTCAGGACTTCAGAAATCAGATTTAACATTTGTGTCATTGTAGTCCCAGAAAAAGAGGAGAAAAAGAGGAGAAAAAATGAAAACATATTAGAAGAAATAATGGCTGAAACCTTTCCAAATCTGTTGAAAGAAATAAGGCCACAAATTCAAAAAGCTGAGTGAACTTCAAGAAGAATAAACCCAAATAAATCCATGCCAAGACATATCATAATTAACACTAATAATTTTCAGAAAAAAATAAAGACAAAGTCTTGATAGCTAGAGAGGAATGATACATTACTGATATGATTTGGCTCTGTGTCCCCACACAAATCTCATCTTGAATTGAATTGTAATTCCAATGTGTTGAGGGAGGGACCTGGTGGGAGGTGATTGGATCATGCGGGCAGTTTCCCCCATACTGTTCTCATGATGGTGAGTGAGTTCTCATGAGACATGATGGTTTAAAAGTGTTTGGCAGTTCCCCCCACCCCTCTGCCTCTCCTGTTGTCATGTAAGGTGTGCCTTGCTTCTCCTTCATTTTTTGCCATGATTGTAAGTTTCCTGAGTCCTCCCTAGCCGTGCAGAACTGTGAGTCAATTAAATCTCTTTTCTTTATAAATTTCCCAGTTCTTTATAGCAGCATCAAGACAGACTAATACAGTTTCCTATGGAGAAACAAAGATTCAAATGACAGTGTATTTCTCCTTAGAAACCATCAATTCTTAAACCCAGGAATTTGAGCTTACAATGAGACATGATTGTGTCACAGCATTCTAGCCTGGGTGACAGAGCAAGACTCTGTATCTTTAAACAAACAAACAAACACACACACAAACAAACAGAAATCATCAATGCCCAAAGAAAACTGCACAACATTCTTCAAGTGCTGAAAGAAAGGAACTGTCCATCCAGAATTCTATACCCAGCAAAAATATTCTTTAGGAATAAGGTGAACTCAAGACATTCCCAAATGAAGGAAAACTAAGAAAAGGGGTCATGAGCAGATGTACCCTAAAAGAATGGCTAATGAAAATTTTTCAAACAGAAAGGAAATGATAAACGAAAGACACATGGAACACAATTAGTGAAAAAAGAACAACAGAAAGAGTAAAAACATGGGTAAATGTTGACTATCCTTCTCCTAGTCCTTATCCATTCTTAGTGAGTTATCTAATTATGTTTCATATTGAATTACATTGACACCACTAGACTGAGTTATTTTATGCATGTATAATGTAATCTCTAGAGCAACCATTAAAACATTTGCCGGGTGTGGTGGCTCATGCCTGTAATCCCAGCACTTTGGGAGGCCAAGGCGGGCGGATCACGAGATCAGGAGATCGAGACCATCCTGGCTAACACGGTGAAACCCCCATCTCTACTAAAAATAAAAAAAATTAGCTGAGTGTGGTGGCGGGTGCCTGTAGTCCCAGCTACTCTGGAGGCTGAGGCAGGAGAATGGCGTGAACCTGGGAGGCGGAGCTTGCAGTGAGTCAAGATCGTGCCACTGCACTCCAGCCTGGGTGACAGAGCGAGACTCCATTTCAAAAAAACAAAAACAAAACAAAACAAAACAAAATCTATACAAGATGATACATTCCAAAACATTATAAATAAATAAAAATGCAATTCTAAACAATGTTCAAGTAACCTACAAAAAAGCAAAAAGAAGTGAAACAGAGGAATAAAAAAACAGAGGAACATACAGAAAACAAAGAATCAAATAGCATACTTAATCCCTAACATATCAATAAGTACATTAAATTTAAATGGTTTAACTGTATCAATCAAAAGATAGACGTCGACAGAACAGATTAAAAAACAAACATGACCGAGCACAATTTCCAAACAAATAAATTATGCTAAGTAAAAAAAAAAAAAAATAATAAGGCCAATCTGGCTGGGTGTGGTGGCTCACGCCTGTAATCCCAGCACTTTGGGAGGCCAAGGTAGGCAGATTGCTTGAGCTTAGGAGTTCAAGACAAGCTTGGGCAACATGGTGAAACCCCATCTCTACCAAAAATCCAAAACTTAGCTGGATGTGGTGGCATGCATCTGTGGTCTCAGCTACTTGGGAAGCTGAGGTGGAAAGATTGCTCAAGCCTGGGGAACAGAGGTTGCAGTGAGCTGAGATTGCCCTACTGCATCCTAGTGTGGGTGACTGAATGTGACCCTGTCTCAAAAAAAAAAAAAAAAAAAAAAAAAGACCAATCTCAAAGGTTACAGATTGTATGATTCCACTTATACAACATTTTAAATGATAAAATTATAGAACTGGAGAGCAGATTAGTGACTGACAGATGTTAAGAATGGGGACAGGCACAGAAGGGTAAAGCAACAAGAAGGTTCCCGGGGTCCCTGAGTCCAGGCCTAGGCTCTTGGACAGCATTTCTGAACCTGCTATGGACCAGAGTGGAGCCCCCTGCCCTGAAGGGTGAGTCTTAGGCCTGGCAGAATTCACCACAAGCTGACAGAGAAGCTCCTGGGTTTTAAGTTAACATCAGCAGTGGCCTGGCAGAACCACCATAGACCAGTGGTGGCAGTGGTGGCAGTGGTGGGGGGGGGGCTCCTCTGCCTGTGGAAAGGGGAGGGAAGAGCGGGAAGAACTTTATATTGTGGTGTGAGTGCCAGCTTAGCTGCACTAGGACATCAGCTAAACTGCTAAGATTTTTAACTTCAATTCCTGGTTCCCAGAGAGCATCTCTGGACACCTCTGAGTCCTGGGGAACTCGCTGCCCTGAAGAGAAGGGCCTTGGCCAAGAAATAGTGCTGTGCTGGCTTCATGTCTGACCCAGCACAGTCCCAGTGGTGGTTGCCACATGGGTGCTTGCATCGCCACACCCACAGCTCCATGCTGCTGAGCACACAGAGAGAGAGCTTCCATTTTGGGGTGGGGGAGAAAGTAAGGGAAAAGAATAAGAGTCTCTGCTTGGTAATCCATAGAATTCTTCCAGATCACATCCAAGACCACCAAGGTGGTACTTCTATGAGTCTGCAAAAATCACAGTATTACAGGGCTTGGGACCCAGGTCTGTTTGAATACCTAGAAAGCCTTCCTAAGAAGGACAGGCACAAACAAGCCCAGACCACGAAGACTATAATAACGAACTCACCAGTTCTCAGACACTGATGAACATCTACAAGCATCAACACCATCCAGGGAGACATGACCTCATCAAATGAACTAAATAAGGCACCAGGGATCAATACTGGAGAAACAGGGATATATGACTTTTGAGGCAGAGAATTCAAAATAGCTGTTTTAAGGAACTCAAAAAAATTCAAGATAATGCAGAGAGGAAATTCAGAATTCTATTAGATACATTTAACAAAGAGATTGAAATAATTAAAAAGAATCAAGCAGAAATTCTAGAGTTGAAAATTGCAGGCCAGGCGCTGTGGCTCATGCCTGTAATCCTAGCACTTTGGGAGGCTGAGGTGGGCGGATCACGAGGTCAGGAGATCGAGACCCTCTTGGCTAACACGGTGAAACCCCGTCTCTACTAAAAATACAAAAAATTAGCCGGGCGTGGTGGCACACACCTGTAGTCCCAGCTACTCAGGAGGCTGAGACAGGAGAATTGCTTGAACCTGGGAGGTGGAGGTTGCAGTGAGCCAAGATTGCACCTCTGCACTATAGCCTGGGTGACAGAGTGAGAGTCTATCTCAAAAAAAAAAATAAATAAAAAGAAGAATGCAATTAACATGCTGAAGAAAGCCTCTTAAAAGTAATCTCTTAAAAGTAGAATTGATCAAGCAGAAGAAAGAATTAGTGAGTTTGAAGACAAGCTATTTGAAAATACAGAGTCAGAGAAGAAGGAATCATGTGAGTCTGGGAAGTTGAGGCTGCAGTGAGCCATGATCACACCACTGCACCCTAGCCTGGGTGACAGAAGTGAGATGCTGTCTCAAAAGAAAATACAGAGTCAGAGGAGACGAAAGAAAATAAAAAACAATAAAGCACACCTACAAGATCTAGAAAATAGCCTCAAAAGGGCAAATGTGAGTTATTGGCCTTAAAGAGGAGGTAACCTTAAAGAGGAGGTAGAGAAAGAGAGCTAGGGGTAGAAAGTTTATTCAAAGGATTATATCAGAGAACTTCCTAAACCTAGAGAAAGATATCAACATTCAAGTACAGGAAAGTTATAGAACACCAAACAGATTTAACCCAAAGAAGAGTACCTCCGGGCATTTAATAATCAAACTCCCAAAGGTCAAGGATTAAAAAAAAGGATTCTAAAAGTACGAGGAGAAAAGAAACAAATAACAAAATAGAGCACCAATATGTCTGGCAGCAGACTTTTCAGTGAAGACTTACAAGCCCGGAGAGAGTGGCATGACATATTTAAAATGCTGAAGAAAAAAACTTTTACCTTAGAATATATTCAGTGAAATATCCTTCAAACATGAAGGAGAAATAAAGGCCTTCCCAGACAAACAAAAGCTGAGGGATTTCATTAACACCAGAACTGTCTTACAAGAAATGCTAAATGGAGTTCTTCAATCTGAAAGAAAAAGATGCTAATGAGCAAGAAGAAATCATCGGAAGGTACGAAACTCACTGGTAAGTACCCAGAAAACCACAGAATAGTATAACACTGTAATGGTGGTTTCTACTCTTGTCTTAAATAGAAAGACTAAATGATGAACTAATAAAAAATAACAACAACAGCTTTTTAAGACAAAGACAGTGCAATAAAACATAAAGAGAAAGAACAAAAAGTTTAAAAGCAGAGGAAAGAAGTTGAAGTGTAGCGCTCTCCTTCTTCTCCTTCTAGTTTTTTTTTTTTTTGAGACAGTCTCACTCTGTCGCGCAGACTGGAGTGCAGTGGCAAGATCTCGGCTCACTGCAACCTCTGCCACCTGGGTTCAAGTGATTCTTGTGCCTTAGCCTCCCAAGTAGCTGGAATGATAGGCGTGCACCACCATGCCCAGCTAATTTTTGTATTTTTAGTAGAGATGGGGTTTCACCATGTTGGTCAGGCTGGTCTCAAACTGCCGACCTCAGGTGATCTGCCTGCCTCAGCCTCCCAAAGTGCTGGGATTACAGACATGAGCCACCACTCCCAGCCTTTATTAGTTTTCTTTTAGTGTGTTTGTTTGTATATGCAATCAGTGTTGTCATCAGTTTACAATATTGGGTTCTAAGATAATATTTGCAAGCCTCACGATAACCTCAAATCAAAAAAACACACAACAAGGGCCTGGGCACGGTGGCTCACACCTGTAATCCCAGCATTTTGGGAAGCCGAGGCAGGTGGATCGTTTGACGTCAGGAGTTCGAGACCAGCCTAGCCAACATGGTGAAACTCCATCTCTACCAAAAATACAAAAATTAGCCAGACATGGTGGCACATGCCTGTAATCCCAGCTACTCCAGAGGCTGAGGCACGAGTATCCCTTGAACCTGGGAGGCAGAGGTTGCAGTGAGCCTGGATGGCACCATTGTACTCCAGCCTGGGCAACAAGAGCAAAACTGTCTCGGGAAAAACAAAAACAAAAACAAAAACAAAAACAAAAACAAAAACAAAAACAAAAACCATACAACAAGGCCAGGCAAGGTGGCTTATGCCTGTAATTTCAGCACTTTGGGAGGTCGAGGTGGGTGGATTGCTTGAGGCCCAGAGTTCAAGACCAGCCTGGCTAACATGGCAAAACCCCATCTTTACTAAAAATACAAAAGTTAGCTGGGTCTGGTGGTGCACACCTGTAGTTCCAGCTACTTGGGAGGCTGAGACACAAGAATTATTGGAACCCAGGAGATGGAGGTTGCTGTGAGCCGAGATCACACCACTGCACTCCAGCCTGGGCAACATAGCGAGACTCTGTCTCAAAAAACAAAACAGCCGGGCTCGGTGGCTCACGCCTGTAATCCCAGCACTTTGGGAGGCTGAGGCAGGTGGATCACGAGGTCAGGAGATCGAGATCACCCTGGCTAACACGGTGAAATCCCATCTTTACTAAAAATACAGAAAATTAGCTGGGCGTGGTGGCGGGCACCTGTAGTCCCAGCTACTCAGGAGGCTGAGGCAGGAGAATGGCGTGAACCTGGGAGATGGAACTTGAAGTGAGCCGAGATTGCACCACTGCACTCCAGCCTGGGAGACAGAGCAAGACTCCATCAAAAAAAACAAAACAAAACAAAAAACAAATACACAAAAAATAAAAGCAGGAAATTAAAGCATACCACCAGAGAAAATCACCTTCACTAAAAGGAAGAGAGGAAGGAAGGAAAAAAGGAAGAGAAGACTGTAAAACAACCAGAAAACAAATAAAATGGCAGGAGTAAGCTGCTATTTATCAATAATAACATTGAATGTAAATGGACTAAACTCTCCAATCAAAAGTGGCTGAATGGATGAAAAAAAGACACAATGATCTGTCACCTAGAAGAAATACACTTCAGGCCAGGCGCAGTGGCTCACGCCTATAATCCCAGCACTTTGGGAGGCTGAGGTGGACAGATCACTTGAGGTCAGGAGTTTGAGACGAGCCTGGCCAGCATGGTGAAACCCTGTCTCTACTGAAAATAGGAAAAAAAAAAAAAAAGAAAGAAACACGCTTCACTTATACAGATACACATAGATAAAGGGATGTAAAAAGATGTGCCATGACAATGGAAACCAAAAAAGAGCAAGAATAGCTATAGTTATAAAAGACAAAATAGATTTCAAGACAAAAACTGTAAGAAGAGACAAAGTCATTCTATAATGATAAAGGGGTCAATTCAGCATGAGAGTGTAACAATTGTAAGTATATATGCACCCAATGCTAGAGTACCCAGATATATAAAGCAAATATTATTAGAGCTAAAGAGAAAGACAGACTCCAATACGGTAATAGCTGGAGATATCAACACTCCATTTTCAGCATTGGACAGATCTCCCAGGTAGAAAATCAACAAACATCAGACTTAATCTGTAATACTGAACAAATGAACCTAATAAACATTTGCAGAACATTTCATCCAACAGCTGTAGAATACACATTCTTCTTTTTAGCGCATGGGTAATTCTTAAGGATAGACGATATGTTAGGTCACCAAACAAATCTGAAAACTTTAAAAAAACTGAAATAATATCAGGCATCTTCTCTGACCACAGTGGAATAAAACTAAAAATCAATAACAGGAGGAATTTTGGAAAGTATATGAACACATGGAAATTAAACAGTATGCTTCTGAATGAACAGTGGGCCAATGAAGATATTAAGAAGGAAACTGAAAAGTGCCTTGAAACAAGTGATAATGGAAACACAACATACCAAAACCTATGGGATATAGTGAAAACAGTATTAAGAGGGAAATGTATAGCTATAAGTGTCTACATCAAAAAGGAAGAAGAACTTCAAACAAATAACCTAATGATTATCTTAAAGAATTAGAAAAGCAAGAGCAAACCAAACCCAAAATTAGGAGAAAAAAAGCAAAAATATGGATCAGAGCAGAAATAAATGAATTTGACATGAAGAAAACAATACAACAGGTCAATGAAACAGAAAAAAAGTTCTTTTGAAAAGATGAACAAAATTGATAAACTTTTAGCCAGACTGAATAAGAAAAAAAAAGAAGACCCAAAGAAATAAAATCAGAGAAGAAAAAGGAGACATAACTAATACCACAGGAATTCAAAGGGTTATTAATGGCTACTATGAACAACTATATGTCAATAAATTGGAAAATCTAGAAGAAATGGATAAATTTTTAGACATATACAACCTACCAAGATTGAACTATGAAGAAAACCAAAACCTAAACAGAAAAATAACAAGTAACAAGATAGAAGTCACAATAAAAAGTCTCCCAATAAAGAAAAGCCTGAGACCCAATGGCTTCATTGCTGAATTCTACCAAACATTTAAAGAACTACTACCAATCCTATTCAAACTGTTCTGAAAAGTAGAGGAGGAGGGAATACTTCCAAACTCATTCTATGAGGCCAGTATTTCCCCTATACCAAAACCAGACAAAGAAACATCAGAAAAAGAAAACTATGGCCAATATCTCTGATGAATATTGATGCGAAAATGCTAGTAAACCAAATTCAACAATACATTAAAAAGATTGTTCATCAGCTGGGTGAGGTGGCTCATACCTGTAATCCTAGCACTTTGGGAGGCTGAGGCGGGGGGATCATCTGAGGTCAGGAGTTCGAGACCTGCCTGGCTAACATGGTGAACCCCCGTTTCTACTAAAAATACAAAAAATTAGCCGGGCATGGTGGCACGCACCTGTAATCCTAGCTACTCAGGAAGTTGAGGCAGGAGAATCGCTTGAACCTGGGAGGCAAAGGTTGCAGTGAGCCAAAATTGCGCCATTGAACTCCAGCTTGGGCAACAAGAGTGAAACTCCGTCTCAAAAAAAAAAAAAAAAAGGAAAAGAAAAGATTGTTCATCATGATCAACTGAGATCTCAGGGATGCAAGGATGGTTCAGATATGCAAATCAATATACGTCGTACATCATATCAATAGAACGAAGGACAAACCATATGATCATTTCAATTGATGCTGAAATAGCACTTGATAAAGTTCAATGTCACTTCATGACAAAAAAACCCTTAAAAAACTGGGTATAGAAGAATGATACCTCAATATAATAAAAGCCACATATGACAGACCCACAGCTAATATTACACTGAATGGAGAAAAACTGAAAGCCTTTCCTTTTTTTTTTTGAGATGGAGTCTTGCTCTGTCGCTCAGGCTGGAGTGCAGTGATATGATCTCGGCTCACTGCAACCTCCGCCTCACGGGTTCACGCCATTCTTCTGCCTCAGCCTCCCGAGTAGCTGGACTACAGGCGCCCGCCATCAAGCCCGGCTAATTTTTTTGTATTTTTAGTAGAGACGGGGTTACACGATGTTAGCCAGGATGGTCTCGATCTCCTGACCCCGTGATCTGCCCGCCTCAGCCTCCCAAAGTGCTGGGATTACAGGCGTGAGCCACCGCGCCCGGCCAAGCCTTTCTTTTCAGATCTGGAATGTGATAAGAATGCCCATTTTCACCACTGTTATTCAACATAGGACTGGAAGTCTTAGCTAGAGTAATCAGACAAGAGAAAGAAATAAAGGGCATCCAAATTGGAAAGGAAAAGGTCAAATTATCCTTGTTTGCAGTTGTCATAATTTTATATTTAGAAAAACTTAAAGACTCCACCAAAAACTATTAGAATTGATTTTTAAAAATCCAGTAAAGTTGCAGGATACAAAATCAGCATACAAAAACCAGTAACTTTTTATATGCCAACAGTGAATAATCTGAAAGAGAAATAAAAAAGTAATCTTATTTACAACAGCCACATATAAAATTAATTACCGAGGAATTAACCAAAGAAGTAAAAGATCTCTATGAAGAAAACTATAAAACATTGATGAAAGAAATTGAGGAGAACACACATACACACAAAGGAAAGATATTTCATGTTCACGGATTGGAAGAATCAACATTGTTAAAATGTCCATGCTACCCAAAGTAATCTACAGATTCAATGCAATTCTTATCAAAATACCGATGACATTCTCCACAAATATAGAATGTCAAAAAAAAAAAGCTATCCTAAAATTTGTATGAAACAACAGAAGACCCAGAATAGCCAAAGCTATCCTGAGCAAAAAGAACAAAAAGGGAGGAATCATATTATCTGACTTCAAATTATACTGCAGAGCTAAAGTAACCAAAACAGCATGCTACTAGCATAAAACCAGACACATAGACCAATGGAACAAACTAGAGAACCCAGAAACAAATCCACACAACAACAGTGAACTCATTTTGGGCAAGGATGCCAACAACGTACACTGGGGAAAAGACAGTCTCTTCAGCAAATAGTGCTGGGAAAACTTGATGTCCATATGCAAAAGAATGAAACGAAACCCCTAGCTCTTGCCCATACACAAAAGTCAAATCAAAATGAATTAAATAATTGAATCTAAGACCTCAAACTATGAAACTACTTCAAGAAAACATTGGGGAAACTTTCCAGGACACTGGTCCGGGCAAAAATTTCTTGTGTAATACCCCACAAGCTCAGGCAACCAAAACAAAAATGGACAAATGGGATCACATCAAGTTAAAAAGCTTCTGCACAGCAAAGGAAACAATCAACAAAGTGAACAGACAATCCACAGAATGAGAGAATATATTTGCAAACTTTCCATCTGACAAGGGATTAATAACTAGACTATATAAGGAGCTCAAACAACTCTATGGGAAAAAATCTGATAATCTGATTTTTAAGTGGGCAAAAGATTTGAGTAGACATTTCTCAAAAGAAGACATACAAATGGCAAACAGGCATATGAAAAGGTGCTCAACATCATTGATCACATAAATGCAAATTGAAACTACAGTGATCAGATTAAGACACCTTGATGCCACCCCACACAAAAAAAAAACACCTACAATAAGATATCATCTTACCCCAGTTAAAATGGCTTTTATTCAAAAGTCAGGCAATAACAAGTGCTGGCGAGGATGTGGAGAAGAGAGAGCCCTTGTACACTGTTGGTGGGAATGTAAATTAGTACAGCCACTGTGGAGAACAGTTTGGGGATTCCTCAAAAAACTAAAAATAGAGCTACCACATGATCCAGCAATCCCACTACTGGGTATATACCCAAAAGAAAGGAAATCAGTATATCAAAGAGATATCTGCACTCCCTTGTGTGTTGCAGCACTGTTCACAATAGCCAAGATTTGGAAGCAACTTAAGTGTCCATCAACAGATGAATGGATAAAGAAAATGTGGTACTTATATACAGTAGAGTACTATTCAGCCATAAACAAGAATGAGATTCTGTCATTTGTAGCAACATGGGTGGAACTGGAGGTCATTATGTTAAGTGAAAAAAGCCAGGCACAGAAAGACAAACATTTCATGTTCTCATTTATTTGTGGGATCAAAAATCAAAACAATTCATGAAGATAGAGAATAGAAGGATGGTTATTAGAGGCGGGGAAGGGTAGTGGGGATGGGGTGGGGAGGAGATGGGGATAGTTAATGCATACCAAAAAAAATAGAAAGAATAAATAAGACCTAGTATTTGATAGCATAACAGGGTGACTATAGTGAATAATAATTTAATCATACATTTAAAAATAACTAAAAGAGTATTGTACATTAAAAAATAACTAAAAGTATAATTGGATTGTTTGTAACACAAAGGATAAAAGCACGAGGGGATCGATACCCTATCTTTCATGATGTGAATATTACTCATTGCACTATTACACATTGCAAAATATCTCATGTACCCTGTAAGTATACACACCAAGTATGTACCCACAAAAATGAAAAATTTTTTAAAAAATTAAAAAACTCGGCTGGGCGCGGTGGCTCACGCCTGTAATCTCAGCACTTTGGGAGGCTGAGGCGGGTGGATCACGAGGTCAGGAGTTGGAGACCAGCCTGGCCAAGATGGTGAAACCCCGTCTGTACTAAAAATACAAAAATTAGCAGGGTGTGGTGGCGGGTGCCTGTAATCCCAGTTACTCGGGAGGCTGAGGCAGGAGAATCGCTTGAACCCAGGAGGCGGAGGTTGCAGTGAGCCAAGATCGCTCGCTGCACTCTAGCCTGGGCGACAGAGCAAGAAACCGTCTCAAAAAAAAAAAAAAAAAAAATTAAATAAATAAATAAATAAATAGGAACACGGGGCCGGGCGCGGTGGCTCACGCCTGTAATCCCAGCACTTTAGGAAGCTGTGGCGGGCGGATCACCAGGTCAGGAGATCGAGACCATCCTGGCTAACACGGTGGAACCCCATCTCTACTAAAAATACAAAAAAATTAGCCGGACATGGCGGCGTGCGCCTGTAGTCCCAGCTGCTGGGGAGGCTGAGGCAGGAGAATGGGGTGAACCCGGGAGGCGGAGCTTGCAGTGAGCCGAGATCGCGCCACCACACTCCAGCCTGGGTGACAGAGCGAGACTCTGTATCAAAAACAAAACAAAAAGAAAAGGGGACACGGAAAACCGGTGGGTGATGGTAAGAGATGGCACAAGGCATCTTCGTGGTGCTGGACCAGTCTCGTCTTATCTCGGCTAGTCCCCTCCCCTCCCCTCCCCTCCCGTCTCCTCTCCTCTCTTCTTTTTTTTTCCTTTCCTTCTTTCTTCTTCTTCTTTTTTTTTTTTTTAATAGAGAGGAGGTCTATGTTGCTCAGGCTGGTCTTGAACTCCTGAGCTCAAGTAATCCTCCGGGTTTGGCCTCTCAGACTGCTAAGATTACAGACATGAGCCATCACACCCGGCCCTTCAGTCTGTTTCTTGATTGTGGTGGTGGCCTCACAAATCTTTACATGTGATAAAATTGTGAACACACACAAAAATGAGTATAAGTAAGACTAATGAAATCAGTAATGTCATGAGGTCTATGGATGGTACCAATGTCAATTTATTGGTTTTGATATTGTATTATATTTATATAAGAAGTTATCGTTGGGGAAATAAATGAGTCAAGGGTATATGGAACCTTTCTACACTACTTTTGGCAATTTCCTATGAATCTATAGCTATTTTATTTTATTATTATAATTTTTTTTTTGGTAAAACGGAGTAGAAACTTTATTCGTTGATCAGGGAATGGAGAAGAGGAGTTTGTGCTCAAAGAACCTTCTCTCTGTAATTATTTTAAAACAAAAAGTTACAATTTATGGTATTAGAAAGCAGGACAATGGTTGCCTTTAGGGGAGATGGTGTATGGAAGCGGGCACAGGGGTTTTCTGGGTGCTGGGAATGTTATGATTTCTGATCAGGGTGGCTGATTACATGGGTGTGTTGAGTTTGTGGAAATTCAGTAAGCTATGTGTGCAAGAAATAGGCATACTTCTGTATGTATATTATACATCAATATACATTGAATATACATTAAATGTCAATATACATTGAATATACATTAAATCGAACAAAAAGTGTTTTTTTGTTTGTTTTGAGACTAGTTCTCGCCCTGTCACCCAGGCTGGAGGCAGTGGTGCAATCACTGCTCACTGCAGCCTCAACCTGCAGGCTCAAGAGATTCTCCCACCTCAACCTCCTTAGTAGCTGGGACTACAGGCATGCATCAGCACGCCTGGCTAATTTTGTACTTTTTGTAGAGACAGGATTTTACTACATTGGCCAGGCTGATCTCAAACTCCTGGACTCAGGTGATTCACCCACCTCAGCCCCCCGAAGTGCTGGGATTACAGGCTTGAGTCACCACACCTGGTCAATAAAAAGTTCTAAAAATATAAAAGTTTTTTAAAAATCTCATCAGGCAATGCCAGGCATGGTGGCTCAAGCCTGTAATCCCAGCACTTTGGGAGGCCGAGGCAGGTGGATCACCTGAGGTCGGGAGTTCAAGACCAGCCTGACCAACATGGAGAAACCTCGTCTCTACTAAAAATACAAAATTAGCCAGGCGTGGTGGCACATGCCTGTAATCCCAGCTACTCAGGAGGCTGAGGCAGGAGAATTGCTTGAAGGTGGTGGAGGTGGAGATTGCGGTGAGCTGAGATCGTGCCATCACACTCCAGCCTGGGTGACGAGAGCGAAACTCTGTCTAAAAAAAAAACTCATCAGGCTCTTTTTAGAAATTGTTTATCTGATAATAAAATTCATTTGGAAATGCAAATGAGTTAGAATGGTCAAAGCAACTCTGCAAAAGAACAGGCTGGCCAGGCGCAGTGGATCACAGCTGTAATCCCAGAGCTTTGGGAGGCCAAGGCAGGAAAATCACTTGAGGCCAGGAGTTTGAGGCCAGCCTGGCCCACATAGTAAAACCCTATCTCTACCAAAAAAAAAAAAAAAAAAAAAAAAATTAACAGGTGTGGTGGCATGTGCCTGTAGTCCTAACTATTTGGGAGGATGAGCAGGGAGGATGAGCAGGGAGGATCACTTGAGCCCAGGACTTCCAGGTTGCAGTGACTTGTGATCACATTAACGCAATCCAGCCTGGGTGACAGAGCAAGACTCTCTAAAAAAACAAAAAAACAAAACAAAACAAAACAAAAACACAAGAAGAAGAAAGAACAAAGAGGATCAAGACTACATCATTTCAAGACTTATCATAAGGCTACAGTAAGTGACAGTATGGTATTGGCATCAAGACAGACAAATCAATCAGTGGAACAGAATAGAGCATGCAGAAATGGGCTTGAATATGTATAGAACACTGATTTTCCTTTTTATTTCGGTAAAATATATAACATAAAATTTGCTATTTTAACCATTGTTAGTGTGCAATTCAGTGGCATTAGGTACATTCACAATGTTGTACAATCATCATCTCTATTTCCATAATTTTTCATAACCACTAACAGAAACTCTTCACCCATTAAGCAATTACTTCCTATCTCTCATACCCCTAGTTCCTGCTAACCTCTAATCTACTTTCTGTCTCTATAAATCTGACTGTTCTGGATATTTCAGTGAGATTATACAATATTTCTCTTTTTGTGTCTGGCTTATTTCACTTAGCATAATTTTTTCAAGATTCATCCATGTTGTAGCATGTATCAAAACTTTATTTCCTTTATGGCTGAATAATATTTTATATATATATATATATATATATATATATATATATATATATACCACATTGTTTATCCATTCATCTACTAATGGACATTTGTGTTGTTTCTATCTTTTGGTTATTGTGAATAATGCTGGTAGGAATATTGGTGTACACATATCTGTTTGAGCCCCTGTTTTAAATTATTTTGTATACACCTAGGAATGGAATTGCTGGGTCACATGGCAGGATAGTTCTATTTTTCACTTTTTGAGGAGCCACCAAATTGCTTTCCAAAGCAGGTGCATCATTGTACATTCCCATCAGCAATGTACAAGGGTTCTGATTTCTCCATATCCTCCTAAAACATATTTTCATTTAGAAAATTCTAGCCACCCCACCACATGTGAAATGATATTTCACTGTGGTTTTAATTTGCATTTCCCCTATGACTAATTATATTGAGAATCTTTTCATGTGTCTGCTGGACACTTCTATATCTTCTTTGTAGAAATGTCTATTCAAATCTTTTGCCTATTTTTAATTGGGTTGTTTGACTTTTTTGTTGTTGAGTTGTTCTTTTTTTTGAAACAAGAGTTCTCACATATTTATTACTGAACCCAGACTACTAGCGCACAGCAAATAAAGAAACAGAAAAACTATATTCCCAATAAAACATGCCCAACTGTCCAGATAGTGGTGACATTTTTAGCTTGATATGGTAAGATGGTTATGAGCTTGATACTGCATAAATATGTGTGCCATCTCGTGCACAATTCCTTATAGATCCAGCTTGAATCTTCTCCAATGTCTCCTTTTAAAGTTGTACCTGATTTTATTATCAGTTTTCATCCAAATCCACTGAGGAATGGGATGATTTTGCTTTTGTTTCTTGGTTAGGAATTGCTTAATACTGAAAGTCTTGTGAGAAGACATGATGAGAAGCGGAGTCGAATACACACCACAATGGTGGAAAAAGGAAGAGAGAGAGAGTTGTAGTTCTTTTTATATTTTGAATATTAAAACCTTATCAGATATATGATTTACTAATATTTTATCCCATTCTGTGGGTTGCCTTTCACTTTCTTGATAGTATCCTTTGTTGCACAAAAGTTTTTAATTTTAACTAAGTCCCTTTTATTTATTTTTCTTCTGTTGCCTGTGCTATTTTTGTATTTAAAAAGCCATTGCCGGCCGGGCGCGGTGGCTCACGCCTGTAATCCCAGCACTTTGGGAGGCCGAGGCGGGTGGATCACGAGGTCAAGAGATCGAGACCATCCTGGCTAACACGGTGAAACCCCGTCTCTACTAAAAATACAAAAAATTAGCCGGGTGTGGTGGCGGGGGCCTGTAGTCCCAGCTACTCGGGAAGCTGAGGCAGGAGAATGGCGTGAACCCGGGAGGCGGAGCTTGCAGTGAGCCGAGATCGCGCCACTGCACTCCAGCCTGGACGACAGAGCGAGACTCCATCTCAAAAAAAAAAAAAAAAAAAAAAAAAAAAAACCATTGCCAAATACAAGGTCATGAAGATTTTCCCCTATATTTTCTTCTAAGAGTTTTAGAGTTTTCACCCATACATTTAGGTCTTTGATCCATTTTGAGTTAATTTTTGTATATGGTGTAAGGTAAGGATTCAACTTTATTCTTTTGCATATGGACATAGTTTTCCCAGCACTGTTTGTTGCAGAGACTGTTCTTTCCCCTATTCAATGGTCTTGACACCCTTGTCAAAAATCAACTGACCATAGATGTGAGGGTTTATTTCTGGATTCTCAGTTCTATTCTGTTGGTCTATATATGTCTATCCTTATGCTAGAAACACACTGTTTTGATTACAGTAGCTTTGTAGTAGGTTTTGAAATTGGGCAATATGAGTCTTCCAAATTTTTTCCTTTTTAAGATTGTTTTGACTATTCTAAGTTTTTTGAAATTTTATATTAATTTTAGGGTGGATTTTTCAATTTCTGAAAAAATAGTTGGAATTTTGATAGGGATGACATTGAATCCGTATATAGCTTTGGATGCTATTGTAAACAATATTAAGTAGTGTTCTATGTACAAACAAGTCTTGTGCCTCTCCTTGATTAAATTTATTCCTAAATATTTTATCCTTCTTGATGCTGTCACAAATGGAATTATTTTCTCTGGGCAATCAATTTTTGACAAAGGCAATTTAGTTGAGAAAAGTTAATCTTTTAAAAAAATGGTGCTGAAACAATTGGATATCCACATGCAAAACACACCCACATATGCACATGCAAACTTTAATCCATACCTCACACCATGTAGAAAATTAACTCAAATGAATCATATACCTAAATGTAAAATCAAAATTACAAATCTAGATTTCTAGAATTTTTGAAGAAAATTTCCAGAGGTACCCCATTTTCCTTTCAGAGTAGAAGAAAAGATAAGAATATTTAAAGAGCTCCCCCTCTCCCCTCTCCCCTCTCCCCTCTCCCCACGGTCTCCCTCTCCCTCTCTTTCCATGGTCTCCCTCTGATGCTGAGCCGAAGCTGGACTGTACTGCTGCCATCTCGGCTCACTGCAACCTCCCTGCCTGATTCTCCTGCCTCAGCCTGCCCAGTGCCTGCGATTGCAGGCACGCGCCGCCACGCCTGACTGGTTTTTGTATTTTTTTGGTGGAGAGGGGGTTTCGCTGTGTTGGCCGGGCTGGTCTCCAGCTCCTAACCGTGAGTGATCTGCCAGCCTCGGCCTCCCGAGGTGCCGGGATTGCAGACGGAGTCTCGTTCACTCAGTGCTCAATGTTGTTGCCCAGGCTGGAGTGCAGTGGCGTGATCTTGGCTAGCTACAGCCTCCACCTCCCAGCCGCCTGCCTTGGCCTCCCAAAGTGCCGAGATTGCAGCCTCTGCCCGGCTGCCACCCCGTCTGGGATGTGAGGAGCGTCTCTGCCTGGCTGCCCATCGTCTGGGATGTGAGGAGCCCCTCTGCCCGGCTGCCCACTCTGGGAAGTGAGGAGGGCCTCTTCCCCGCCGCCATCCCGTCTAAGAAGTGAGGAGCGTCTCTGCCCGGCTGCCCATCGTCTGAGATGTGGGGAGCGCCTCTGCCCCGCCGCCCCATCTGGGATGTGAGGAGCGCCTCTGCCCGGCCGCAACCCCATCTGGGAGGTGAGGAGCGTCTCTGCCCGGCTGCCCTGTCTGAGAAGTGAGGAGCCCCTCCACCTGGCAGCCACCCCATCTGAGAAGTGAGGATCCCCTCCGCCCGGCAGCCGCCCTGTCTGAGAAGTGAGGAGCGCCTCCGCCCGGCAGCCGCCCCGTCTGAGAAGTGAGGAGCCCCTCCGCCCGGCAGCCGCCCCGTCTGGGAAGTGAGGAGCGTCTCTGCCCAGCAGCCACCCCTCTGGGAGGGAGGTGGGGGTCAGCCCCCGCCCAGCAGCCACCCCGTCCGGGAGGGAGTTGGGGGGTCAGCCCCCGCCCGGCCAGCCTCCCCGTCCGGGAGGGAGTTGGGGGGTCAGCCCCCACCAGGCCAGCCGCCCCGTCTGGGAGGGAGGTGGGGGGTCAGCCCCCGCCCGGCCAGCCGCCCCGTCCGGGAGGGAGGTGGGGGGGTCAGCCCCCACCCGGCCAGCCGCCCCGTCTGGGAGGGAGGTGGGGGGGGGGTCAGCCTCTGCCCGGCCGCCACCCTGTCTGGGAGGTGGGGGTGCCTCTGCCCAGCTGCCCCGTCTGGGAAGTGAGGAGCCCCTCTGCCCGGCCACCACCCCATCTGGGAGGTGTACCCAACAGCTCATTGAGAACGGGCCATGATGACGATGGTGGTTTTGTGGAATAGAAAAGGGGGAAAGGTGGGGAAAAGACAGAGAAATCAGATTGTTGCTGTGTCTGTGTAGAAAGAAGTAGACATAGGAGACTCCATTTTGTTCTGTACTAAGAAAAATTCTTCTGCCTTGGGATGCTGTTGATCTATGACCTTACCCCCAACTCTGTGCTCTCTGAAACATGTGCTGTGTCCACTCGGGGTTAAATGGATTAAGGGCGGTGCAAGATGTGCTTTGTTAAACAGATGCTTGAAGGCAGCATGCTGGTTAAGAGTCATCACCACTCCCTAATCTCAAGTACCCAGCGACACAAACACTGCGGAAGGCCGCAGGGTCCTCTGCCTAGGAAAACCAGAGACCTTTGTTCACATGTTTATTGGCTGACCTTCCCTCCACTATTGTCCTATGACCCTGCCAAATGCCCCTCTGCGAGAAACACCCAAGAATGATCAATTAAAAAAAAAAAAAAGAATATTTAAAGAAAAGAAAATTTTATCTGGGTTTGGTGGCTCATGCCTATAATCCCAGTACTTTAGGAGGCTGAGGTGGGAGGATCAGTTGAGCCCAGGAGTCTGAGACCAGCCTGGGCAACATGGTGAAACCCCATCTCTACAAAAAAAAAAAAAAAAAAAAAATAGAAAAATTAGCCGGGTATGGTGGTGCATGCTTGTAGTCCCAGCCACTCGGGAGGCTGAGTTAGGGGAATCATTCGGGCCTGGGAGGTTGAGGCTGCAGTGAGCCATAATCATGACACTGCACTTCAGCCTGGGCAACAGAGTGAGACCCTGTCTCAAAAAAAAAAAAAAAAAAAAGAGTTCTCAAAACTCAACAATAAGAAAATAAACAACCCAATTAAAAATGGGTAGGTTGGGCATGGTGGCTCATGCCTGTAATCCCAGCACTTTGGGAAGCCAAGGTGGGCGGATCACCTGAGGTCAGGAGTTCGAGACCAGCCTGGCCAACACGGTGAAACCCTGTCTCTACTAAAAATACAAAAATTAGCCAGGCCTGGTGGTGTGTGCCTGTAGTTCCAGCTACTCAGGAGGCTAAGGCAGGAGAATTGCTTGAACCTGGGAGGCAGAGGTTGCAGTGAGCTGAGATAGTACCACTGCACTTGCACTCCAGCCATGTATACCATGTGTACGAAGGAACACTCAAAAAGCCCAGAACACTCAAAACCAAGATATTTTCTAGGAAAACTGTTGGTCTCTTTTTTTTTTCAACTGTTCAAATTTCTATTAAGTTGTTGGTTTTCTTTTTTAAAAAGCTCTTTGTATATTAAAGCTATTAGCCCTTTAGGATTTAAGTTGATTTTTTTTGTAATTTGTCACTTTGTGCTTTACTTTTCGTGTGTGTGTGTGTGTGTACATGCAAAAAGTTTTTTTTAAAATTACTTAGTCAAATTTGTCAATATTTTCTCTCTTCTAGATTTTTGGATCCTAGGAAGATTTCCTGCACACCTAGGTTATAAGAGTATTTACTATTATTTTCGTCTGGTACCTGTCTGTTTAGATTTCTGATCCATTTGAAATTTATCCTGGTAAACAGTATGAGAAACAGACTCAATTTTATATTTTTTCAGATGGCTATTCAGTTGTCCCAATTCTATGTATATAAAAATTCAATTCCCCATGCACACTTACCAATTAAAATTTATTAACGTACTTGGTTCTATTTCTAGACTTGATTCTGTTTCATTGGTCTACACGTTTATGCACCAACACCACACTTTAAATTACAGACGTTTTATAATATATTTTAATATTGGATGGGGCTAACGCCCCACTCCACATGGCACTAAAATATTTTCCAGTGAAAACTTTTATTTAAGTAGAATTAAGATTACTCAGGCATGATGCTACATGCCTGTAATCCCAGCTGCTGGGGAGGCTGAGGCAGCAAGATGGTTTGAGGTCAGGAATTTGAGACCAGCCTGGGCAACACAGTGAGACCTTGTCTCTTAAAAAAATATTAAAAATTAGGGCTGGGTACGGTGGCTCATACCTGTAATCCCAGCACTTTGGGAGGCCGAGGCAGGTGGATCACGAGGTCAAGAGTTTGAGACCAGCCTGGCCAACATGGTGAAACCCCATCTCAACTAAGAATACAAAAATTAACCAGGCGTGGTGGCAAATGCCTGTAATCCCAGCTACTTGGGAAGCTGAGGCAGGAGAATTGCTTGAACCCAGTGGGCGGAGGTTGCAGTGAGCTGAGATGGTGCCACTGCGCTCCAGCCTGGGTGACAGAGCAATACTCTGTCTCAGGAAAAAAAAAAAATAGCCAGGCAAGGTGGAGGAGGCTGAGGCAGAAGGATCCCTTGAGCCCAGGTATTCTAGGCTGTAGCAAGCTATGATTGTGCCACTAAACTCTAGCCTGGGCAGCAGAGGGAGACGCCCATCTCTTAAAAACAATTATATTTAAGAAAACTATTTATGGAATAGTTTGATTTGTAACCTGAGCTAATCACTTTTTTCATGGAATACTGTTTTTACTTGAAAGAACATCTAACATACAAACTATTCAGACTTAGGTATTTGGTAGGCATTTTCTCAAAAATAAACAAAACTGCCTTGCCACTTCAAGGAAAACCAGTGACAGTATTTGTTGCCAATGATAAAATTCAAGCTTTCAGATGAAAATTAGACCTTTGGAAAACTTGTACCTGCAACTGACAGCTTGACAGCTTCCCAAGACTCAAATACTTACCTGATGAGATAGATAGTGATATTAACAAAAGTGATTTTTTATATTGTGTAATGAACTGTGTCAATATTTAATATTGTATAACAAAATGCACTGATGTGTATAACTCAGTGAACCAAAATTTTTGAAATGACCAGTTTGGTCTAAATGTATGATGTTACAAAATCGTGCATGGGCAAAAGATCCATTTAAAGTGCAAAACAGACCAAATAATTTTAATGTAACCGGCTATAAAAAGTTCATTGATATGGTTCAGATCCCACTTTGCAATCAACTTTTAACTCAGACTTCCTGAATTTTTATGTGATATCAAAGAGAAATGTTCACAATTATCTGAAAAGGCCATTTAAATACCATTCTCTTTCCCCACATATTTGAGTGAATCCAAATGTTCTTCACACACTCCAACCAAAACAGCGTACTGCAAAAGTTAATGCAGAAGCAAATATAGGACTCCACCAGCTTTCTATTAAGCTACATAGCAAGAGATTACAAAAATGTAAAAACGATGCCACTCTTCTCACTAAATTTTTCTTGTTTTGGAAAACATATTTTCCATAGATTATTTATATTAACATTTTGGCCAGGCGCGGTGGCTCACACCTGTAATCCCAGCACTTTGGGAGACCAAGGCAGGTGGATCATGATGTCAGGAGTTCGAGAGCAGCCTGGCCAACACGGTGAAACCCCGTCTCTACTAAAAATAGAAAAAATTAGCTGGGCGTAATGGCAGGCGCCTGTAATCCCAGCTACTCAGGAGGCTGAGGCAGGAGAATCGCTTGAACCCAGGAGGCGGAGGTTGCAGTGAGCCGAGATGGCGCCACTGCACTCCAGCCCTGGCGACAGAGTGAGACTCTGCTTCAAAAAACAACAACAACAACAACAAAAAGCAAAAAAACCCCAAACAACAACAACAAACAAACACACATTTAATGGGGTTTATTATTGTTTTCAAATAATATTTAAAAATTTCAAATAATAAATATTTTAAAATTTCTCACTTTTAATTGCTAATTTGGTAAATATTGGTAGATGCAATTTACATAAACAAAAGCTCTTTGGAGGGTCTTCAATAATTTTGTAAAGGAAGCCTGAGACCAAAAAGTTTGAGAACTACTACTCTAAGTGGATTCCTCAGGAAAAGCTCATTTGCATGCTTTTTGCCAGTGGCCTTTATACCTGAACACAATATAAGGGGATATAAATTTCTGGGATCATAGTTTCCGTGAAAATCTGGAAAATGTTGTTTCATTGTTATCTAGAATGCTTCTGTGGAGAAATCTGATGCCAATCTTATTCTGTCTCTCTCTTTTTTTTTTTTTTTTGTTTGAGGCAGTGTCTTGCTCCCTCAACCAGGTTGGAGTGCAGTGGCGTGAACACAGCTAACTGCAGCCTCGACCCCGTGGGATTAAGTGATACACCTGCCTCAGCCTCCCTAAGTAGCTGGGACTACGGGCACCCGCCACCACACCCGGCTAATTTTTTTTTTTTTTTAAAGACGGAGTCTCTCTCTGTCTCCCAGGCTGAAGTGCAGTGGCGCGATCTCGGCTCACTGCAACCTCCGCCTTCCGGGTTCAAACGATTCTCCTGCCTCAGCCTCCTCAGTAGCTGAGATTACAGGTGCGTGTCGCCACACTCGGCTAATTTTTGTATTTTTAGTAGAAGCGGGGTTTCGCCATGTTGGCCAGTCTGGTCTATAACTCCTGACCTCAAGTGATCCGCCCGCCTCGGCCTCCCAAGGTGCTGGGATTACAGGCGTGAGCCACCGCCCCTGGCCAAAAATTTCTGAATAAAGGTTGACTTTTTTTAATTGAAATTTGTTAGTTCTCAATTAATATCACACTGTTCTTTGTCCGCATCATTTTTAAATTTTCCTGTTTCCGATTTTACGCTATTCTTTCAAAGCACCCATTATTTTCATTTCATTTTAGAATATTAAGCAAAAGTTTTCGCCCACTTTATGACCACAATTTATATTGCGTTCTCATCGTTTATTGGAACATTAATTAGGTTTTATTTTCACCTTTTTGTTTCCACAGTAACATGTATGGGATTAGGTTACAGTGTTTATTTGTCCCCAATCTTTTAAGTGAGGTGAATTTTCCTGGGCTGCTGGGAAAAGTCTCCTACACCCCTCTCCCGCCACCGCGAGCCGCTCCTAGCCCAGTGACAGCCTCTGCGGGCCCCGCCCACGCCCCGCGCACGCCACGGAGCCACGCCCACTGATTTAGCATACCGCCAGGCCCCGCCCACACCTCTCACACCGCCTCGGCTGCGCCCAGCCTCTTTCCTCACCCGGTGCCAAGCCAGCTGTTTACTTTCCCGCCATGTCCAGCTCTTCGTGAGGAGAACTGGATGATTTCCTGAGATCTGAGGCTTTCTGGAATCACAGCGGCCAAGCGGGTAGGGAGTGTAGCCAGAAAAAGAACTGAGAAGCTTGAGACGGCTGAGGCCCCATCGCCTCTGGAAAGCAGGGGAATTTTGCCCTCAGGGTCGCCTTAATCACCCTGTTCACTGCCTTTTTTATGTTGGGCTCATCTGGTCAATTCAGGGGATGACATTGTTGCTGCCCTTAAACAAACCTGGGCATATAGAACGGGGCCTTTTCAGTGGTTTTTTAGACTCACTTGCTGGTGAAAGTTAGTGTATCACGATCGAACAAATAGGACAACGAAGCTCGTGGCACTGTGGGATGCGTTTGCGTTGAGCTGTTTATTCAGTACATTTTTTATCGTAAATCTTACGAAGTTTGTATCCCTCAGCGGTTACACACACACACACATCCTACGAAAAGTCCCGGTGCAGTGACTCCCGCCTGTAATCCCAGCACTTTGGGAGGCCAAGGAAGGAGGATCGTTTGAGTCCAGGAGTTCCAGACCAGCCTGGGTAACACAGAGAGGCCTTGTCTCTACAAAAAATAAAAATAAAAATAAAAAATAGCCAGGCGTGGTGGTGCTCGCCTGTAGTCCCAGCTACTCCAGAGGCTGAGGTGGGAAGATCGCTTGAGCCCAGGAGTTCCAGGCTGCAGCGAGCCCTGATCTGCCACTGCACTCCAACCTGGAGACAGAGCCAGACCCTGTCTCAAAATAATAATAATAATAATAATAATAATAATAATAATAATAATAATCCCACAAAGAAACCTTACAAAGTCACATTTACTCAGGTATTTAACAAAGTATATGAAATTGGTATTGGCAGAAAATACAGGCTATATGATTACCATGTCTAACACAAAAGTTATTTAATGTGGGAGCAAGAACTTTACATGGGGAATCAGGAGACCAATAACTAAAGATGGAACTTTCGACAAGTCATTTAATTTTACTGAATATCAGGTACCTCTTTTGAAAAATGTTGGGACTGAACAAACATTAAGTAATTTTTCAAAGTCCATATCAGATCTATGATTCTGAGTTTCTTTTTTTTCAGATGGAGTCTCACTCTGTCGCCCAGGCTGGAGTGCAGTGGCACGATCTTGGCTCACTGCAACCTCCTGGGTTCAAGCAATTATCATGCCTCAGCTTCCCAAGTAGCTGGGGTTACAGGCGTGCACCACCACACCCAGCTAATTTTCTTTTATTTTTAGTAGAGACGGAGTTTTGCCACGTTGGCCAGGCTGGTCTTGAACTCCTGGCCTCAGGTGATCCACCCACCTCGGCCTCCCAAAGTGCTGGGATTACAGGTGTGAGACACCATGCTTGGCCTGATTCTGAGTTTCTGCAGAAGAAAAGTATATTTCCTTCTGTGGAAGGAAAGTATACAAGCTGAGACCATACCATCATTCATCAGCCCTATTTCCCTTAGATAAAATGTGTCCCAAGTGGCTAATATGTGATCTTCTCTTTCTGGTTCACTACCTTCTCTTGGCTCCACTCTCACCATATCACAGGAAGTAGTTAAAAAAGAAATGGACGATTCATTTTTTGTTTTTATATTTTTAGGATTGTATTTTCTTTTTTCTTTTTCTTTTTCTTTTTTTTTGAGACGGAGTCTGGCTCTGTCGCCTAGGCTGGAGTGCAATGGCACGGTCTCAGCTCACTGCAACCTCTGCCTCCTGGGTTCAAGTGATTCTCCTGCCTCAGCCTCCTGATTAGCTGGGATTACAGGTGCCTGCCACCATGCCCAGCTAATTTTTATATTTTTAGTAGAGATGGGGTTTCACCATGTTGGCCAGGCTGGTCTTAAACTTTTGACTTCAGGTGATCCACCTGCCTCGGCCTCCCAAAGTGCTGGGATTACAGGCGTGAGCCACTGTGCTTGGCCAGGATTGTATTTTCTAATTACAAACTGGCACATGTATTAATCCAGAAAACCTGGGGGAAAAAAAAGTAAAGGAAAACACACACACACACACACACACACTCATAACCTCACCACTCAAAAAAAAAAAAATCTCACCACTGTCTGTCCATTACTTTTCTAAATGTGTGTTTATATGTATATATATATACACACACACACATTTATATATAAAATGTTATAACAACCTGCTGTTATAAAAAGCAGTCTGCTTTTTTTTCACTGTATATGTACATATACTTCTTTACAACCAATTGGAATACCCACAATGATATGCCACATCCCAAAAAGCTATCAGAAGCTAAGCAAGCACGGTTACATAGATTTTGGAACAGCTATAATTATGTTATTCTCTAGGTTATTCTTACTCTTTCTCTTTATCTGCTCCAGAATGGATTGGTTTCATTGCAACCAGTGCTTCCGAAAAGATGGGGCCCATTTCTTTGTCACCAGCTGTGGCCATATTTTCTGTAAAAAGTGTGTGACTCTGGGTGAGTGACTCAACTGTTTTCAGATTCAGGGAAAAATGTTTTCATGTAAGGATGTAAGGAGTAGCCATTTCTATGTGTGACTTAGGATAAAAATCACTTATTAGGTCAATGGTGATAAAGATACTGTAGGAAACTGTCAATTTTAGAAATTGAAGGAATCCATTAATAAAGAATGGTCCTAAATTATTTAGCAAATGATTTAGCAAATCTATTACTTGAGGACTAGAATGTACTCGTTAGTGTTTTGAAGTCTGGCAGGGAAAGCCACAAGGCATCAGATTCTTCAGGGAAAAGAGATAGAATAAGTATAATGGATGGGAATAGAGGAAAGTTTGGCTGATAGAAGAGCCATTTCTAAAGGGGAAGTGGTCTAGTCTGTGACATCAATTTGATTAGAAATGATGATGATGATACCTTTGCAGCTTAAAAAGCAGTTTCATATCAACCAATTTTATGTAAGCCTCACCACAAGCCCAGGTGGTAATTATTAGTAGAATCATTTTACAAATGAAGAGACTGGCTCAGAGAGGATAAGTGATTTGACCAAGTTCTTATTGCTATTAAGTCTTAGAAAGGATACTTAAATTTCAGTGTCTTTTTTTTTAATGCTGCAATACTTACAAGGTGTGTAAATCCCTAGAAGAGGGACTTGGGGTAGGGTGTTTTGATCACGGAAGACTTCACAGAAGGAGTGATTCTTCAGTAGGGTTTTGAATGATAAAATGGAATTTGCCAAGTGGATAAGGCAGGGAAGATTTATTCTAGTTTAAGAGAACAGCATGTACAAAGACATATTACATCACAAAACCATAGTGCAGGGGACTACACATAGTTGAGATTGTTAGAGTATAAACAGTAAGGTAAGAAGTGGTGAGAGATGAGGCTAGTGAAGTAGGCAGTGTCGGATGATGGAAGGCTCTATACACTGGGCTAAAGAGCCTGAACTTCATCCTGCAGGTGATGGAGACCTGTGGGAGTTTTTGTTTTGTTTTGTTTTTGACATAGTCTCACTTCGTCACCCAGGCTGGAATGCAGTGGCACAATCTTGGCTCACTGCAACCTCTGCTTCCCAGGTTCAAGCGATTCTCATGTCTCAGCCACTTGAGTAGCTGGAATTATAGGCATGCACCACCATGCCTGGCTAACTTTTGTATTTTTAGTAGAGATGGGGTTTCACCATGTTGGCCAGGCTGATCTCGAACTCCCGGCCTCAAGTGATCCGCCTGCCTCAGCCTCCCAAAGTGCTGGGATTACAGGTGTAAGCCATTTTTTTGTTTTGTTTTGTTTTAAGAGAAGAATGTTATGTACTTTCTAGCTCACTCTGGCAACGTTACGGACTGGGAAAAAGAAAAACCTGGCCGGGCGCAGTGGCTCATGCCTGTAATCCCAGCACTTTGGGAGGCCGAGGCGGGTGGATCACAAGGTCGGGAGATTGAGACCATCCTGCTAACACGGTGAAACCCCATCTCTACTAAAACTACAAAAAATTAGCCGGGCATGGTGGCGGGCGCCTATGGTCCCAGCTACTCAGGAGGCTGAGGCAGGAGAATGGTGTGAACCCCGGAGGCAGAGCTTGCAGTGAGCCAAGATCGTGCCACTGCACTCCAGCCTGGGCGACAGAGCAAGACTCCGTCTCAAAAAAAAAAAAAAAAAAAAAAAAAAGAAAAGAAAAAGAAAAAGAAAAACCTTTAGTCCCCAGAGAAAGAACAGTCAAGTTAAGTAGCCTCAGGGGAAGGTTTTTTCTCTGTACCAATCTCATGACCTTTTAAAGTTCGCTAATGTAAAAAGCTGTTTACTATGGTAACAGCAGCTCACTTTGGAGTGGTTTGTCTCCGTGAAGCATATGCCATGTGATGTTTTCTCCTGACATGGCATTTGTCTTAATCAATGACCAGTCCCACTACTAAAATTTCACTTTACAGGGAAAGATTAGGAATCTTAATTTTTGCTTCTTTCAGATTGGGTTAATTGGGGAATGAGAGTAGCAGAGCTTCAAAGCAAGATTAACAAATATTAGCAAAGTGATGACAAGGTAGGCATAACTGGGGACTTTCTTACAGTGCCCAATGTGTGCCTGCTGTCAGGTCAATAGAATAAAAAAGAGTAACTTAAAGTTAAGATCTTTGGTATCTTGTACTCTTCCTCACTCTTGTAAATGTACTCCAGTACTTCTGCTGGGAGTTTAGAATTGTCCCTTCTGTCCCACAGAAGAAAATTGGGAATTTATAAAAAGATGGGGCAGGAGGTGCTGGGGTGGTGGCTCATGCTTATAAACTCACCACTTTGCGGGGGCCAAGGTGGGAGGATCACTTGAGCCCAGGAGTTCAAGACCAGCTTGAGCAACATAGGGAGACTCCATCTCTAAAGATAATAACAAAATTAAAATGAGTTGAGGTGGTGGTGTGCGCCTGTGGTCCCAGCTAGTCAGAAGGCTGAAGCAGGAGGATCACTTGAGCCCGGGAGGTTGAGGCTGCAGTGAGCCATAATTGTGCCACTGCATTCCAGCCTGGGTGATAGAGTGAGACCTTGTCTCAAAGAAAAAGTAAAATAAAATTTAAAAAGATAGGGAGATGGGTAGACGTACGGTGTGAAAGCCCTACTTATATCTCAACATATTAGTTTGGAAACACTTGTTTAGAGAACAGAGCTTAAGTTGATGTCCTTTTATAACACAATGATATTCTAAATTCAGTTAAGAACCCTTTTTTTCTTCCTTTGCTAGCATACTAGATTGTTGCCATGTACTTTAAGTCTTTAAATCTTACCTCATGCTCATGAGAGCCAAATATTTTTTTCCCTTTTCCTCCCAGAAAAATGTGCTGTTTGTGGAACTGCCTGCAAGCATCTGGCTCTTTCTGATAATGTAAGTTTTTCTCCCCCTGCCACAAACTGTCTCATCCCATTCCTGGCCTGTAGGAAGTATATACAAAGTACAGATGATGAATTGTTTCAAAAAGAAAGAAAAGAAGACCGGGCGTGGTGGCTCAGGCCTGTAATCCCAGCACTTTGGGAGGTCAAGGCGGGTGGATCGCCTGAGCTCAGGAATTTGAGACCACCCTGGGCAACATAGTGAAACCCTGTCTCTACTAAAATATAAAAAATTAGCCAGGCGTGGTGGTGCGGGCCTGTAGTCCCAGCAGCTTGGGAGGCTGAGGCACGAGAATTACTTGAGCCCAGGAGGTGGAAGTTGCAGTGAGCTGAGCTCGCGCCACTGCACTCCAGCTTGGGCTCAGAGTAAGACTCTGTCTCAAAAAAAAAAAAAAAAAAAAAAAAAGCAAGCAAGCAAGCAAGCAAGCAAGCAAAGAAACAAACTTGCAGATAGAAGTTTGTAAAAAGAGTATAAATAACAGGCCAGCTGAGGAGGCTCACACCTGTAATCCCAGCACTTTGGGAGGCTGATGCGGGTGGATCACCTGAGGTCAGGAGTTCGAGACCAGCCTGGCCAACATGAGGAAACCCTCGTCTCTACTAAAAATACAAAAATTAGCTGGGTGTGTTGGTAGGCACCTGTAATCCCAGCTACTCAGGAGGCTGAGGCAGAAGAATCACTTGAACCCAAAAGGCGAGGGTTGCAATGAGCCTAGATCACACCACTGCACTCCAGCCTGGGTGACAACAGCAAAACTCTGTCTCAAAGAAAAAAAAAAAGTATAAACAACAGATGGAAGCATTATTTGTGACCACTGTTACAGAAGCACAAGGTAAGGAGAATTGGACATATAATGTACATCTAGAAGAGTGGAGATCTCCCTTTTACACACAGTGGAGATAATGTCAGGTACATTAGAAAAGGTGGTACATCTTTTGTCATGTTAGTCAGTATTTTATTTTATTCAATTGTGGATATTCTCACAGTGTGTATTGCTCTCTTCGTAGCTGAAGCCTCAGGAGAAGATGTTTTTCAAAAGTCCTGTGGAGACAGCTTTGCAGTATTTTAGTCACATCTCTCAGGTATGAGAAACAAAAGTGAAGAAAATCTGACTCTCCAGGCAAATTCTAATTGCATCTTATTCCTTTATCAAAGGTTTTCTTTAAACTGCATTTGTACACAATGGAGGGAAATTGACTGCTTTCTTTGCTTTCTTCCTTGATGATACAAATTTCAATCAGTTAACTTTTTATTGACCCAGAATCTGTGATAGGCTGTAAAAGTCACTAAGTAGCTAACATCTTGCCTTGTATTTCCTAGTTGTATTAATTAATTTCTACGACTAAAGGTTGTTTTAGGGAGCTTTATCATTTTTCTCAGCAGATAGATGCACCTTCTAAAAATTGCTTTGAGTATATAGGCCTGGCCCTGCAAACAATAGGTTTGATGGTTTAACTTGCAACCAGTAGTTTATAGCACTAAGTTTACGAGAGTATTTCTTGTTTCCCATTCTCACTTTTCAATAACCTTTTTAGTAATACTTACCTCTTCATTTAGTGTTCATAACTGGTTGCTTGAATTTTAGGAAATATCTTTTCTTGATGTGTCATATGTTGGCATACAATTGACTTGATCAGGAGCAACAGGAATGTAGAAGAAGGTAGAGAGAAGGCAGGACAACCATTTGAGAGAGTTCCCAAGTTGTAAAAACTTTGGTTTTTTTCCTTCTACTCCCCATTTCTCTTAGATTATTCTATAGCCTCATGGAATTCCTATCTTGGCATATTTCTTGAGGTTTTTATCACTGTTCCCTTTCTATACTCTTACTTCTTATTCTTTTGAAAATACCCCTTTTCTAAACCTCAAGATGATCCTTAGTCATTTTCTGGTTGAAGATTTAATTTTTCTTCAGTGTCCTGCCTCTCAATCCTCACTCTAGAGATGGAGTAAGGGGAATTAAGGCTTGCTGCTTGCTGTCTTTAGCTGCTTGGTTGAGCCATCATATTTGACATACACTATATTTAACATTATAAGTATATTAAAATCCAGCTGAGACTCAAGGAGAAATGTAAACAAGGTCATAGGAACAAGAGAAAGAGCAGACCTTTAGTTAATAAATAAACCTAGGCATAGTTAATGATCAGTAGAGAAATCATATGTAGTCTGAATCCTAACCTGCCTGATCATGGGACCAATTACACATGGTCAAGTATCAAGATAAAAGAAATGGAAAGGGTCAGTTAATCATCACTTTAGTGAAGGGCCAATTTGGTGAAGTCAGCAAAGTCTGAAAATGTGTTTTCCTAATTTGTGAAGCTGAGTAACTGATCCAATACCTAGATTGTTTCATTCAGGCTTCTGCTCAAAACATTCTTCTTCAGTCAGTCCTTTAGTGACTCTCATATTTCAAATAGTAGCCCCAACATTTTCTACTCCTTACCATGCTTTTTTTTGCATTGTAGTTCTTTTCTCTAACATTATGTTATATATTTGTTGTCTGAATCCTGCACTGGAATATAAGCTCCATGAAAACAGATTTGGTTGGTTTTGCTTATTGTTCTCTTTTAATAGTCCTTAATAAGTAGTGGACGCTCAAGACGTTGTCATTGAATGAATGAATGAATGGAATGTTGTTGTAAATATCTATTTATGTTTTTATGTTCTCCAATCTCTACAAAGACTTAAGGCCATTTTTCTGCTGTACTTTGTGCTAATAGTTGATCAAGCTGACTGTTTTGAATTCTTTACTCACCTCAAGATAATCTTTCTGAGGGACTGGAGAACCTCATATAGATCTGTAAGTCTGTAAGTTTTCTTTTCTTTTTTTTTTTTTGAGATGGAGTCTTGCTTTTGTCTGTCACCCAGGCTGGAGTGCAGTGGCAAGATCTCAGCTCACTGCAACCTCTGCCTCCAGGGTTCAAGCGATTCTCCTGGGGGCAGGGCAATTTCAATCTTACTCATCTTATATGTCAGCTCCTAACATAGTACCAGGAGCATAGAAGGATTCAATAAATAATTTATGAAAGAATTAATGAACTAATCTTCCCTATTGAAGTTTTCCTTTAATGTATATGAAATACAGTAAAGTGATAATACTGGGAAAACTGTTGATGTAGAAATCTAATGACCAACTCGGCCTGCTAACTTATAGCTTTATTTCTTTGAACCAGTCATACTTCCTCACATGTAATATGAAATAATAATACTTATCCTACTTCTTGTAAAGATCCAATGAGACAATGTTTATGGAAATATTTTAAAAACTGTAAAGTACTTTAAAAAAAAACAAACAAAAAACAGAGACAGTCTTGCTATATTGCCCAGGCTGTTCTCAAACTCCTGGCCTCAAGCAGTCCTCCCACCTTGCCCTACCAAAGTGCCAGGATTACAGGTGTGAGCCACCATGCCCAATCTGAAAACTGTACTTTATTAGTTTAAAGAATAATGTGGAAAAGTCATGAAAGGTTATGAGTGATCACAAACCCACTTAAAAATAGTTGAAGATCATATAAGTGAAAAGAAGTTTGTATTTTAAAAAATTGTTGGCCGGGTGTGGTGGCTCACGCCTGTAATCCCAGCACTTTTGAAGGCCACGGTGGGTGGATCACCTGAGGTCCGGGGTTCGAGACCAGCCTGACCAACATGGAGAAACCCCGTCTCTACTAAAAATAAAAAATTAGCCAGGTGTGGTGGCACGTGCCTTTAATCCCAGCTACTCGGGAGGCTGAGGCAGGAGAATCACTTGAACCTGGGAGGTGGAGACTGCGGTGAGCCAAGATCGCACCATTGCACTCCAGCCTGGGCAACACGAGCAAAACTCCATCTCAAAAAAAAAAAAAATTGTTTTCAAGGGGAAGTATAAACACCCCATCTACTTTTTTTTTTAGGTCCACTAGTTTTCATGCAATCACCTTCTTTTTTAATAACAGCTTTATTGAGATGTAATTTACATACCATAAAATTTACCCTTTTAAAGTATGCAATTCAGTGGTTTTTAATACATCCACAGAATTGTGCAAACACTACTGCCTAATTTTCAAACATTTTCATCACCCCAGAAAGAAGCTCTGTACTTATCGGCAGGCACTTCCCAAACCCTTCCCACCCTCCCCATCCCCAGGCGATCACTAATTTACTTTCTGTTGCTATGGTTTTTCCTGTTCAGGGCATTTCATAAATATGGAATCATATAATGTATGGTCTTTTGTGACTTGCTGCATTCACTAAGTATAATGCTCTCAAGTTTCATCCATGTTGTAGCATCTCTGTTAGGACTTTATTAGTATTTCATTCCATTTTATGGCCAAATAATAATCTATTATATAAATGGATATACATTTTACTTATCCATTCATTAGTCAATAGACATTTGGGTTGTTCCTACTTTGGGGCTATTATAAGTAATATTGCTATGGAACATTTATGTACAAGTTTTTACATGGACATATATTTTTATTCCTCTTGGGTATATACCTACGAGTGGAATTTCTGGGTCAAATGGTAACTCTATATTTAACTTTTTTAGGAACTGCCAGACTGTTTTCCCAAGTGGCTGTACCATTTTACATCCTTAGCAGCTCTTTTAGTCTGTCTGGGCTGCTATAATAAAATACCTTAGACTGGGCAATTTCTAAATAACAGAAATTTAATTTTAACAGTTCTGGAGGCTGGGAAGTTCAACATCAAGGCACTAACAGATTCAGTGTCGGGGGAGGGCTTACTCTTTGCTTCCAAGATAATGCCTTCTTGCTGCATCCTCACATGGCAAAAGTGGCAAACAGGCTCCTTCAAGCCTCTTTTTATTTAGTTTTTTGAGACAGGGTCTCACTCTGTCACAAAGGCTGGAGTGCAGTGGTGTGGTTGTGGCCAGTGGTGCAATCATGGCTCCCTGCAGCCTTGCCCTCTTGAGCTCAGGCGATCCTCTCACCTCACCCTCCCAGGTAGCTGGGACTACAAGCACATGTCACCACACCTGGCTAGTTTTTGTGTTTTTTTTTTTTTAATAGATACAGGGTTTTACCATGTTGCCCAGGTCTCGAACCCCTGGGCTCACGCAATCTGCCCGCCTCAGCCTCCCAAAGTGCTGCAATTACAGGCATGAGCCACCACGCCCAACCCCAAGCCTCTTTTTTTTTTTTTTTTTTTGAGACAGAGTCTTGCTCTGTCGCCCAGACTGGAGTGCAGTGGCACGATCTCGGCTCACTGCAATCTCCGCCTCCCGGGTTCAAGCAATTATCCTGCCTCCACCTCCTGAGTAGCTGGGATTACGGGCATGCGCCACCACACCTGGCTAATTTTTGTATTTTTAATAGAGATGGGGTTTCACCGTGTTGGTCAGGCTAGTCTCGAATTCCTGACCTCGTGATCCGCCCACCTCAGCCTCCCAAAGTGCTGAGATTATGGGCATGAGCCATCACGCCCGGCCCCCAAGCCTCTTTTTATAAGGACACTAATCCCATTCACAAGAGCAAAGCCTTCATGACATAATCACCTCCTAAAGCCTCCATCTCTTAATACTATTGCATTGGGAGTTGAGTGTCAACAAATGAATTTTTGTGGGACACAAATATTCAGACCACAGCAGGCCAGTAAATATTTTAAGCTTTGCAGGCCATACAATTTCCGATGCTGCTACCCAACTCTGCTGTTGTAGCATGGAAGCAGCCATAGACAGCATGTAAGCAGCCACAGACAGCATGTAAGCAAATGTGTGTAATTATGTTCCAATAAAACTTATTTACAAAAACAGACAGCTGGTTATGGTCAGTTGTTTGCTGACCCTTGGTCTATTTTATGGTTTTTAAAAGATTTTTGAAGTCATATGTTTTTACTAATATATACATACATAATTGCTACATATACTGTTGGAATAAAATCAGGTCAAGATTTGATCTCATCAATAGACCAGAGCTTCTCCATCCCTCAGCTGAATTAAGAATTTGAACAACTGAGGTACTCAGTGGGCCAGGCGCAGTGGTTCATACCACTTTGGAGGCCAAGGTGGGAGGATTGCTTGAGGCCAGGGGTTTGAGACTAGCTTGGGCAACATAGTGAAACCCCTTCACTACAAAAAATTTAAAAATTAGCTGGGCATGGTGGCACACACCTGTAGTCCAGCTACTCAGGAGGCTGAGGTGGGAGAATTGCTTGATCCCAAGAGGTTGAGGCTGCAGTGAGCCATGATTGCACCACCATACTCCAGCTTGTGTAAAAATAAAAAATTAAAAAGAGATACTCAATGGTGCTTTTGAAGAAAAGTTGTATTTAGTTTGATATTATTTTACCTAAAAAGGAAAAGCTTTCAGTATTTAGGACTTCTGAAACAGTGTAGTTGAATTCTTCATCACTACTGAGCAGGGGATTGAGGAACCTTAGGCCAGTGTGAGGTAGTATTCCTTTGATCATACAAACTGTGCAACCCAAAACATAACCCTCTGCCTGGTGGGCTGCTGTGGCTCTCATCCAGAGTGGGTACTTCAGACATCTTACTAACAATTCTCCAATTGCTTTTGCTAAGAAAGCATTTTTAGGGTTCTTTTTTCCTCAAATCTGTTCCCTCTGAACCGTCACGATAATCTATTTCAATTACAAATCTGAACAAGTAACTGCCTTTTCAAAATCCTTTGGTGGCTTCCTATCACTTAAGTTTCAGACTGCTCAGAGTGATACATAGTTACCTTAACGTTCTGGTTCCTCCTAACCTCTCCAATTTCAATCACAACTACCATCTCACCTCTCATGTACAAACACAAGTTATTACGTAAGGTTATTTATTACCTAATCTATTAGGCAGATTCAGTTCTTTGCAGTTCTTTTACAGACCATATACTTTCATACCTTTATACCTGAAATGCCTGATTTCTACACTTTAAAAACTAAGTTAGGCCAGCCGTGGTGGCTCACGCCTCTAATCCCAGCACTTTTGGAGGCTGAGGGGGTGGATCACTTGAGGTCAGGGGTTCAAGATCAGCCTGGCCAATATGGTAAAACCCTGTCTCTACTAAAAATACAAAAAATTAGCCAGGTGTCATGGTGGCGCGTGCCTGTAATGCCAGCTGCTTGGGAGGCTGAGGCATGAGAATTGCTTGAACCTGGGAGGCAGAGGTTGCAGTGAGCCTAGAATGTGCCACTGCACTCCAGCCTGGGTGACAGAGCGAGACTCTGTCTCAAAAAAAAAAAAAAAGACTGAATTAATAATTACCTCTTAATCATTATCTCTATATCTTGTAAGTACTTGTGTTCTGCGTATAACCTAGTGTTTTACTTATTAGTTCATGTGTCAGAATGTCTCTTCTACTAGACTGTGATAAGCTACTGTAAACCCGGAAAATCTGAGACAAGTCTCAGTTAATTTAGAAAGTTTATTTTGCCAAGATTGAGGACATGCGCCTCAGAAGGTTCAGACGACATGTGCCCAAGGTGGTCAGAGTACAGTTTGGTTTTATACATTTTAGGGAGACATGAGACATCAATCAACATATGTATGATGAACATTGGTTCGATCGGGAAAGGTGGGACAGCTCAAAGTGGGAAGGGGCTTCTAGGTCATAGGTAGATAAGAGACCAATGGTTGCCTTCTTTTGAGTTTCTGATTAGCCTCTCCAAAGGAGGCAATCAGATATGCATGTATCTCAGTGAGCAGAAGGGTGACTTTGAATAGAATGAAAGGCAGGTTTGCCCTGAGCATTTCCCAGCTTGGCTTTTCCCTTTAGCTTAGTGATTTGGGGGGTCCAACATATTTTCCTTTGACACTACTAAAAGACAAGAACCCATACTATTCATCTTAGCATTTCCAGTTCTTATGCCTGACGTAAAGTGTTCAGTAAAGGTTTGCTAAATGGAAAGATGAATAATATTTGCACTATATATTTTCTGCCCCTGTGTGAGATGTTTTCTGATACCAACCAGTTCTCTGACACCAACTAGGTATGCAACAATTCAATTCAATTCAATTCAATTCTAACACTAATTCCTAGAGTTTTAGTATCATACTTCACATGTTTAGGGCTCAGCCTCACAAGACTGCCCCGACTCTGGACACCAGCCACAAATGGGGTACCCAGGCTAAAATACTTCAGACTGGCCAACAACAAACTTGAGGATTCCCATGAACTTCCTCCTGCTCCCACAAGCTTCAATAATTTGCTAGAATGACTCACAGAACTCAGAAAAGTACTTTGTTTATTATTACCAGTTTATTATAAAAGATACAACATAGGGGCCAGGTGCAGTGGCTCACGCCTGTAATCCCAGCACTTTGGGAGGCTGAGGCGGGCAGATCACCTGAGGTCAGGAGTTCGAGACCAGCCTGGCCAACATGGTGAAACCCTGCCTCTACTAAAAATACCAAAAGTAGATGGGTGTGGTGGCGGGCGCCTGTAATCCCAGCTACTCTGGAGGCTGAAGCAGGAGAATCACTTGAACCTGGGAGGTGGAGGTTGCAGTGAGCCAAGATTGTGCCACCACACTCCAGTCTGGCAACAGAGTGAGACTCTGTCTCAAAAAAAAAAAGAAAGAAAGAAAACCATATATCATGGAAATAGCCAAATGGAAAAGATGCAAAGTATGTGAGGAGGGGTGCAGAGCTTCCATACCCTCTCCAGATGCACTACCCTCCCAGCACCTCCAAGTGTTCACCAACTTGGTAACTCTCTGAACCGCCTTGTTCAGGAGTTGTTATGAACGTTCCATTACATAGGCATGATTGATTAAAGAATTTGTCATTGGCGATTGAACTCAATCTCTAGCCCCTTTTCCCTCTCTGATTGTCAGGGGTTGGGGGGCGTGGGAAGAAAGGTTGGGACCCCAACCCTCTAAACAGTGTTTGGTTCCCCTGGCAACAAGTCCCCATTTTGATGCTACCTAGGACCCACCAAGAGTCACCTCATTAGCACACATTCAGGTATGGTTGAAAGGAGCTTGTTATGAATAACAAAAGATGCTCCTATCACTCAGGAAATGCCAAAGGTTTTAGTAACTCTGTGAGGAACCAGGGGCGAAGACCATATATGTATTTCTTACACCACACCCTGTTCAAAAGATCCCCCTCAAAATCAGCCCATTAAAAAAAAGTTTATTATGATTTCATCACATGTAATTTCAAATGTTTAAAAGAATATAATGATATGTATAATATAATTAATTTCTGAACCATATCAGGTTCATTGCCCAGTGCATGGCAAATTAGTACACCAAGACACTGGGTTGCAGCAGAGAAAGGGGTTTAATCATAAGACAGCTGAACAAGGAGATAGGAAACCTCAAATTTGCCTCCAGGAGGAGTTTGAGGCTAGAGGTTTTTAAAGGGTTGGACAGGTAGTAAGCCAAGGTGTGGGGATCATTGATTGGTTAAGGAATGCAGGTTGAAGTCATGAGAAGCGGGGATGAAGAAATTGCATTCTCATGCTGATTCAGTTCCTCTGTGGGGGTCTTTAGACTCACTGTTCCACTGGAATTCAGGATCTGAAAACTATCTTAAGCAACTTTTAAGCAAAAGCCTTATGATTCTAATGTCATATTCTATTTATGAGAACAATGAGGATGCAAATGGTCAGCATCTAGTGTGATGTGACTTTCGCAGCTAAAAGGAAGTGGGCCAAGTGCAGCCTGATTAATGCTTAATTATAACTATATTTCTGTCCAGAGCCAAGCATGTAATTCTTGTTAAACCCTATGAGGACGGTTTATTTTCATGCATCCATCACTCCACTTCAACAATTATCAGTGAATGGCCAGTTTTCCTCCATCCATACCTCTTGCCACCCCCACCCAGATTATTTTAAAGCCAAAACCAAATATTACGTCATTTCTATCTGTAAACATTTCAGTGTGTATCTCTAAAAGATAGGAACTTTTTTCTTAAATATAACCACATCATGCTAAAATAACAATTCCATAATATTATCAAATTATCAGTCCCCATTCACATTTCTCCAGTTGTCTCAGTTTTAAAATGTTCCCACATTTTGAATTGAGTTTCAATAAAGGTATATATTTCAGTTGGTTATTATGTCTCTTAAGTTTCTTTTACACTATAAGTTTTCTCTTGTTTCTTTTTAAGTTATTATTGAAGAAAATGGTCTTTTGTCTATAGAGTTGTTCACAGTGTGGATTTTGTTTATTGTACCTATGGAGTCATTTCATATGTTCCTCTGTCCTCTATTTCTTGTAAATTGTTAGGTAAGTTTAGGGTTTATCACCATCATTGGTTTGGGGGCGGGGAAAGGTGAGGCAAGACCACTTTATTCTAGTGTTGTATTCCACCAAGAGGTACTTAATGGTCTATGTCTCTTATTTTGTATGAGGGTAGCCATTGATGAACTTTGCAGAGATCCTTAATTCATTAGAAGTTGTAAAATTCCAATTCTGTCATCCTTTCTTATTTTTTTAGTTGGAGTACTTCTAAAGAGAAATGTCCTTTTATCAAGCAAATGATTATCCAGATATATAGTTCAAAAATACTAAGACTTGCTTGTAGATATTATGGAATGAGGGAGTTTCACAAAAGATAGATAAGGCAAACTAATAGGTTTTGAATGTCAAAGAGATCGTGAATTTACCAATATCTTTAAAGTGAATTTCTAAAACTTAGTGACTTATTTACAGATGTTCAAAAATTAAATTGCGTGCAAAAATAAATCTTCAACTAAATACAAATGCTGACATTTAAAAATAAGAACTAAGGCTAGGCACAGTGGCTCATTCCTGTAATCCCAACACTTTGGGAGGCCGAAGTGGGAGAACGGCTAGATCCCAGGAGTTTGAGATCAGCCTGGGCAACATAGTAAGACCCTTTCTCTTAAGAAGAAAAAAATTAAAAAATTAGAGGGGTATGGTGGCATGCACCTGTTGTCCCAGCTACTCGGGAGGCTGAAGTGGGAGGATCACTTGAGTCCAGGAGGTTGAGCCTGCAGTGAACTGTGAACAAACCCCTGCACTCCAGCCTGGGTGACAGAGCAATACTCTTTATCTCAAAAACAAAACAAAACAAAACAAAACAAAACAAAAAAACAAAAACAAAAACAAAAACTAAAACTAAAACTGGGCATGGTGGCTCACTCCTATAATCCCAGCACTTGGAGGATGACATGAGGCCAGAAATTTGAGACCAGCTTGGGCAACATAGCAGGACCCCATCTCTATCAAAATAAAAATAAATAAAAATAAGAACTGGGAAGGTCATTCTTTAGTACAAAAATGATAATCAAACTAATATTCATTTCCAAAGCATATATTACTTTTTTGTATGTGTGTGCTTTTGGTAGAGATAGCATTTTGCCACGTTGCCCAGGCTGTTCTCAAACTCCTGAGTTCAAGATATCTGCCCACCTTGGCTTCCCAAAGTGCCAAGATTACAGGCATGAGCCACTGCACCTGGCCTAGTTTTATAAACAAACAAGAATGTTTTGTTTACAATAACCCACATTGGACCAAAACGTCTTGTCTTATCATAGTAAACCTACTAAGCTCCCCCTTTGCTTCCATTACTGTGCCTCTCTCAGTATTTTTCAGTTATTTCTCCTTTACTCTTTCCAACCTTTTGTTGGACCTAATTCAGAACTGAAGTTTTAATATGCTCTCTCAAGCATATAAAATAAAAATTATGTTTCATATATAAAATAAAGTTTATACAAGGCTGTTGGTTTGGATTGAGTTTCTGTACTAGGTCCAACAGACCAAACCAAAATGGAATTACTCATGCTGACAGTTCATCTGATCTTCCAAGAAATCAGGAGAGAGAGAGGTAATAGCTAAATCTCCAAACAGGCCAATTTTAGCTGGCATAATAAAGAAGTCCCCTCTGCTTTACCCTTTACAAGGAAAGTAACTTTGAACCAACCTATGCACTTTTTGTTCTCTGTTTCTGCTTTCTTCAGCCCTTTTCTGCCTAAAAAGCCAACTTGTCTTCTCAGTTAATCAGAACACTCATTCTGTGTTTTAGAATAATGTGTTCCTCAAGTCTAGGACTGCAAATCAAAGCCAGTTAATATCTTTAAACTAAATTTGTTGTAATTTTGTATTTTGACATGTTATCAATAGTAAAATGGTAGGAATCCAGAGCATGAAGACCATGATATCCTTACCTGGTCCTAGTATGGAGATAAAGGAAAGGAATCAGGGTATAGAAGTAGATAGTTTCATACCAATAAAATGTTGGTATCAATGTTCCAATAAAACAAACAATATTTAACACTTGCATTATCCAGACAATGTTAAGTGTTATCATCAATAGAACTACTTTTATTATTATCAGCTCTGTGTTACTGTATTAACAAAATAATCACACCTTTAAGAAAAAGTAAGTTATTGGGAGGCCAAGGCAGGAGGATTGTTTGGGACCAGGAGTTCAAGACCAGTCTGGGCAATATAGCAAGATATCATTTCTAAAAAAATTTTTTTAATTTTTAAAAAAGCAAGCAAGCAAACAAAAGTTAATCTTCTTTGGAAAAACGAAAGAGACCAACCTCTTCATGAGGCTGAGGGATTTGAAAGATTGCTAACTATTGGTAATTTTTTAAAGTACTGTACTGAGGTACATTACTGAGTTAGATTTTAGAATCTTCTTCAGTGAATGTGTTTGATATAGGCTAAACATTTGTACCCTGGCATCAGGCAAAATCACTGCTTCTTTAATACTCCTTGCTGGTTGTTTTCTGGACTGGTCTTTCTTCTTCTTGGAATGATCAGTTTTTTGGGACAAGTAGACAAAGTAGGTTTGCTTAGGCCTGGCAAAAGACCCTCCCATAGTCCAGTCTGGCTCCCTGGAGTTCCACAGTGGGGTCTGTTTATGCACTTACGACCCTTGGTAATGTCAAAGGGAGGGCTAACTAATCTAGGGTAGGATTTGGCTTATCTTGATGCTAGCCTGATTTTGACATAATTTTACTCCTGACTAATCCCACTAATCCCAAGGGTAGGATTAGGATATTTGGGATACTAACATTGTGATTTGGCTGTCTATTATATAGCTTTATCTCTGTTGCTCCTCACTCCTACCCCCCTGCCATTTTAGGTAATTCCCAGGATTCAGAGTGACTTTTATTCTGCTTCTCCACTGTTTAATTTTTTTTTTTTTGAGATGGAGTCTCACTCTGTTGCTCAGGCTGGAGTGCAGTGGTGCAATCTTGGCTCACCGCAACCTCCACCTTCTGGGTTCAAGTGATTCTCCTGCCTCAGCCTCTCCATTAGCTGGAATTACAGGTGCACGCCACCATGCCTGGCTAATTTTTGCATTTTTAATAGAGACGGGGTTTTGCCATATTGGCCAGGCTGGTCTCGAACTCCTGACCTCAAGTGATCTGCCCACCTTGGTCTCCCAAAGTGCTAGGATTACAAGCATGAGCCACCACGCCTGGCCTCCTCTATTCAAATTTTCTAAAATAATTTTTTTAAGTTGGGCTGTTGCTCTGTTGCCCAGACTGCAGTGCAGAGGCACGATCATGGGTCCCTGCAGCCTCAAACTCCTGGGTTCAAGCAATCCACCCACTTCAGCCTTTCAGGTAGTTGAGATTACAGGAATGTATTATCACGCCTGGCTAAATTTTTTAAATTATTTTTTGGCCGGGCATGGTGGCTCACACCTGTAATCCCAGCACTTTGGGAGGCTGAGGCAGGTGGATCACGAGGTCAGGAGTTCGAGACCAGTCTGACCAACATGGTGAAACCCTGTCTCTATTAAAAATACAAATATTAGCCAGGCGTGGTGGCGGACGCCTGTAATCCCAGCTACTCAGGAGGCTGAGGCAGGAGAATCGCTTGAACGTGGGTGGCGGAGGTTGCAGTGAGCTGAGATCGTGCCATTGCACTCCAGCCTGGGCGACAGAGCGAGACTCAGTCACACACACACAAAAAAAATAAAATAAAATAAATCAAAATTATTTTTCATAGAGACAGGGTCTTGCTATGTTGCTTAGGCTGGTCTCAAATTCCTGGCCTCAAGCAATCCTCCTGCCTCAGCCTTGGCTTCCTGAGTCTCTGAGATTATAGGCATGATCACCATGCCTGGCTTAAAGTAAACATTTTCTTTTCACAGCTTAAAATAAACATTTTAGTTTTATTAAAAATGAGGGTTTAAAAAAATAGACTAGAGTAAATTCTTATCTATCTAAAACTAGTTTAGTTTACTTTCAAGTAGAAAGGAAACTCTTAAGTACAATTCTTTAGTAAGGTGGCAAGAGCAATTTGAAAATTAAGTGAGAACAAAAAGTTTATGAGAAGAGTACCAAGATCTAGGAAAGGACCCTAGACAAAAGAGGGTTTATAGTCTGAACAGGGAGGAAGCAGATGAGACGTAAATACTGCTGTGTACTCAAAAGTAGAGCCTGACAAAGCTAAAACACTTTCTAAATATTAACTTTTGATCCGATTCAGCAATCCCATGATAGACACATTAGTATAGCAAATGGTAAAGTGAGGCAAAATAAAAAATTACGTGTGCATGCCCAGAAAAAAAATTCAAGCATAGGTAATCTCCTTCTGTGCCTCTCCACCCTTTCCTATAGCAGCATAAGCAGCCTGCAGGTGACTCTGTAGGTGTCTTTAGGGAAAATAAATTGGTCACCAAGGCTGTGTAATAGCTATGAATGTGGAGGCTGATCCAAACTAATAGTTGACAAGTTAGAACCAATTCTAAGCTTGAAAAACAGTTTTAAAAAAAATCTCTCTTCTTGCACGGGATGAAAAATTATATATTTAAAGGGTCATTCTACTATGGTAGAATATTCTCATTAAGATAGTAAAAGGGGCCGGGTGCGGTGGCTCACGCCTGTAATCCCAACACTTTGGGAGGCTGAGGTGGGTAGATCACCTGAGGTCGGAAGTTCAAGACTAGCCTGACCAACATGTAGAAACCCCGTCTCTACTAAAAATACAAAATTAGCTGGGCGTGGTAGCACATGCCTGTAAACCCAGCTATTCGGGAGGCTGAGGCAGGAGAATAGCTTGAACCCAGGAGGCAGAGGTTACGGTGAGCCGAGATCGCACTATTGCACTCTAGCCTGGGCAACAATAGCGAAACTCTGTCTCAAAAAAAAAAAAAAAAAAGACAGTAGAAGGCTAGTGTCCTGGAAATGAGTGCTGAGCTCTCTAGTTCTGGGAAGTTGTGAATTAGGCCAGATGTTCTAGAAGAAAATGAGCAGTATAATAAAGTGTGATTTGATGGCTTCCCTTTCTTGCCAGAAGTGAAGGGAAAGGAGTTATGGGAGAGTATGTCAAAGGCTTGTTTTTCCCTAGTAGGTGTGGAGTTTCCAGAAGAAACAAACAGATCTCCTCATCGCCTTTTATAAGCATAGAATTACAAAGTTAGAAACAGCCATGCAGGAGGCACAGCAAGCACTGGTGAGCCAGGACAAGTAAGTAACAAATCAAGTCCCAAGAGAGCTTTTTTTTTTTTTTTTTTTCTAAGAAGTGACAGTCCTTATTGTGTTTGCAAAGCCTGGAAATTGCTCCATATGTATTTGTTTGTTTGGGAAAATCAGGTACAGAATTTTTGATCCCCTGAATCTCCATTTTTTCTCTTTCTTCCCTCCAGAGGCCCTCCTCACTTTATAGTTTTCCTCTTCTATTTCTCGGTATCAAAAACTGCTTCCCAGACCAGGTGCAGTGGCTCACACCTGTAATCCCAGCACTTTGGGTGACCGAAGCAGAAGATCACTTGAGGCCAGGAGAAGATCAGCCTGGGCAACACAGCGAGACTCTGTTTCTAAAAAAAAAAAAATTTTAAACAAAAATTAGCCAGACATGGTGGTTCACACCTGTAGTCCCAGCTACTTGGGAGGCTGAGGCCAGAAGATCGTTTGAGCCCAGGAGTCTGAGTTACAGTGAGCTATGATCACACCACGACACTCCAGCGTGGGTGAAAAAGTGAGACACTGTCTCAAAAACAAAAACAAAAAAAAACATCTGCTTCCTTGGGAAATCAGATATAGCTGATTCACACTGATAACACTCATTGTAGCCTCAATCTCCTGGGCTCAAGCAATCCTCCCACCTCAGCCTCCCAAGTAGCTGGGACTACAAGTGCACACCACTATGCCTGGCTAATTTTTGTATTTTTTTTTTTTTTTTGTAGAGAGGAGTCTCTGCATATTGCCCAGGCTGGTCTGGAATCCTTTTTTTTTCTTCTTTTAAAGTTTTTTTTGTTTTTTTTTTTTATGGAATGCTTCAAGCATTTACATGTTAACTTTCTTTGGGGGCTATGTTAATCTCCTCTGTATTGTTCCAATTTTAGTGTATGTGCTGCCAAAGCAATCACAAGATGGAGTCCTTGATAAAAATTTTTAGACATCAGCAGGCCAGGGGTGTGTGTGTGGGTGGAGAGAGGAAATGGAATTCTTTGCAAATTCCCCTGAAATCATACCAAGTAATTGCTTATTTTGTCCACCTAATTGTTCTCATTATCAAAACCCTGCCATTAGTCTCCTTGAATCATCAAATCCCTGATAGAAATAGCTTGTATAGCTGCAAGCATTTCTCAGTAAGTATTAACTAGATGTTAATAGTTATAATAATAAAAAATCAGGTTTTTAATCCCTGATTTGCTGGAGCTGATTGTTTCCATCTTTTGCCTAGAGAATTGTCAGTCTTAAGGAAGGAGAATGGAGAACTGAAGAAATTTCTAGCCATTCTAAAGGTGAATGAAATAGATTTTCCTTATTATTATTTTCTCTCTTACTTTTCTCATCTATCTAGCTGACTGTATAGAATAGTGTTTCCTAATCTTTTTCTCATCATGGCACACACAGAAATTGATATTTGTATAACAAGCACACTATAGTAAATGGATGAGGTCTCAGCAGACCTTGGGGGACTGAAAGGATCAATATATAGCACACTTGTAACCCATTCCTGAACATCAGTGAGTCATGACCTACCAGTTGGAAAGCTCTCTTATAGAAGAGACAGCTGTTGCAACTTAAACATTTCTCTTCAAGAAACTCAAAGATACCTCAGGACCCTTCCTCTGCATCACACTCTACTTCCTAAATAGTTTTTCTTCCTAAGAATGTTCTGTGTATTTATATAATTTTCCTATTGATCCTACTCCTGTAATTATTCTAGCACATTGTAGTGTGTCATTTTCCTTTCTCTCACCAGAGACTCCGTATTTCCCCACATATGTTAGTCTATGGGATTCCGTATGCACTCTTATGAAGAACTAAACTTTTATCCCCTCAAAGCTAATAATATCCTAAGGAAATACTGCTGCTACTTTTCCTCCTACTGGGAGTCTTAGCAACCATGACTAAGGGGCACTGAGCTTAGTTATCTCGCAAGTAAGACTGAAGATCTGTTGATTAGGATCCTCAGTTGCAGCTTTCTTCACTCCTGGTTTTTTCACCTATAGGAATCTCCAAGTCGGTACCAAGGAAGCAGGTCAGTTTTATCAGCTCCCATACTAGCCCAGCCCCCTGAAAATTCCTGTTCTTTCTTGACTCCTGGCTGTGTGAACTCTGAGAGAGAGAAAATGGTTAATGAATTTAGCTTTCACTTCTCCGAGGAAGAGTTAGTTACTGAAAGTGCCGAAGTAAAATCTTAATTGTAATGCTCACCCTGGATTGTCATCTTATGAAATCCTAGTGTTTGAAATGCTTGTTCCCTGGTGCCATAAAGAAATAGCATTTGAACATAAATTTAATTTACTCAGCAAGGTCATTTTTACTTCCTGCAGAAAGGGTACACTCGCCGGCAGTTTTGCCACGAGAGTACACTGAACAAAGGAGACAGGGTCGTTCATAACCTGACGCGTCTACCTTACTGCTGTGTCCGGTTTCCATTGGCTGGAACCAGACCTCACATTCTGTATTTGTTCCGATTGGCTAGCAACTTAGAACTTATGAAAAGGGGCAAAGGTAGAGGAGAACAAAGGAAGGAGGAAGTAACTTGTGGAATGCTGAGAAAGGTAAAAACACCTTCAAATAAGGAAGAGGAACAGACTATAACCTAATGCTTGTTTGGACCAATCTAAGCATGCCAGGGCAAATATTTAGGCTAAATTGTGGGAGCTAAGAACATAAAGTACATTGATTTCTTTATTACGGCTAGCAGATATTTAAGAATGTTAGTACAGGTCTTTAAATAAATTTTGCTTTTAAGAGAAGTTACTATTTATTCCTAATTAGATGAAGAGGAAAGTCTTTAAAGAGGAACCTCCACCTTACTTTTTACACTACTCATCCTTCAAAATTGAACTCAGTCATTTCCTCTGTGAAGACTGCATTAGGTGGAGTTAGATGGTCTGTTCATTCATTCAATATTAAGTGCCTACTGTTTATCAGGTACCATGTTACAGGCTGGATATATACCACCGGTCCTTTCTAATTAGTGATATCTATGCTCTACCAACTCTTAAATATATTTTTAGTATCGGCTGGGTGTGGTGGCTCACACCCGTAATCACAGCACTTTGGGAGGCCAAGGTGGGCGGATCATGGGGTCAGGAGATTGAGACCGTTCTGGCTAACATGGTGAAACCCCATCTCTACTAAAAATACAAAAACAAAATTAGCCGGGCGTGGTGGAGGACACCTGTAGTCCCAGCTGCTCGGGAGGCTGAGGCAGGAGAATGGCGGGAACCCAGGAGGCAGAGCTGGCAGTAGTGAGCCGAGATCACCCCACTGCACTCCAGCCTGGGTGACAGAGTGGGACTCTGTCTCAAAACAAACAAAAAAACAGAAAACAAAACAAAACTCTCTCTATATATACACACACACACATATATATTTTTTAATATCAGTCCTGCATTATGGATTAAAGAGACACTGCCCCTACATTCATAGAAGTTACAGTCTAATGTTCTTTTGTCCTTCTATACTTCTGATAAGCCCATTACAACACTTAAACACTGTTCTGATTTTTTTTTTCATCTCTCCCACTAGCCTGTAAGCCTCTCAGTTATTCTAGTTATCTTTGTAATCTCAGGATCTAGGAAATATAGACCCAAATATATGCTTGTTGGATGGCATCCTTCTTTCTGGTTACTTTGGGTTTAGTTATTTTTCTAGTTTCTTAAGGTGGATGAGAGGATGGAGGGATGTATGAATGGATGGACAGATGTATGGTTGAGAGTACTTGGTAAGGCACTGAGGAGAGAAGAAAGGTGTACTTTAAAACTTCTATTATGGGCAACACAGAGGTGGAGAAAGCTCCACTTAGGGAGTTGGAGAGCAATGGGTTTTATATGGAAACTTTGCTTCCATATTTTAGGATGCTACCTATAATACATGAGAGTAAGCAATTTGTCCTCAGAGAGGAAGCTATTATTCTATAAACAATGATCTGATTGATCCTCTAAAGTGGCACTTGACCTCTGCCTAGAGAGATTAGAGCCGCCTCTTTTTTTTTCCCTTGCAGGTCAATCACACCTCGACCAGTGGGCATTACTTCCCCATCACAGTCAGGTGGAGAACATTTTTCCCCTAAATATCTGTGTGAGATGAATATCCTTTCCTTATGTAGAAGATGGTTTCCTCTCAGAGACAATAATGTGATCTTCCTAACTTTATGTGTAATATGAAAACATTATATAACCAGATAACCATGTACAACAAATTGGCCAGGCAAGGCAGGCATACCATTGATGGCAACTTTTTATTCTGTACTTTATTCTCTTTCAGTTACCCCACGACCCAGTTTCCAGCATAGCAGTCAAGTGGTCAGGTAAACCTACACAGCAACATTAAAACTGTTGGCAAAAGTTGGAAGATAGAAGAAATATCTAGTTGTAGCTCAGATTGGGACTGATGAAATTTTAGGTCTATGTAGAAGTTTAAAGCTAGGGTTTTTTTTTTTCCCTAAGCCAAACTGTATCCAGCTTTATTAAAGATACTGTCCATTCAGGCAGGACATGGGCAGACAATCATTAACAGTATACAACAACTCTCAAACTCCCTTCTTCAATGGATTACCAAAAATCAGAAAGCCACTATAAAACCCAATGAAGTCTTCATCTCATGCTCCGAACAGGGAAAGTTGAGAGTGAGGGTTGACATTTCACATTTAGCATATTGTTTAACAACTTTTCACAAGCCAACCCTGACTTTCAGGGAATGAAATGAAAATGGCAGAATTTATCTGAAGATCCACAATCTAGAAATGGAACCACTGCTCTTTTGACAGGTGCCATCTCAGTGGCATCACTGGAAAGTCCAGATTGCCAGACAAACTGGTAATCAATGACTGGGGGTCAGGTCCTAACAGATGTCTCGGCTTAAGGGAGTTAAGTTTATGCTGAAAGATGGAAAAGGAGAAGAGGACATAAAAACGAATTTGTTTTTTCATACCACAAGGCTTTTGTGCCAAGGTGGCCATGTGTGTCAAAGTCAGGGAATCCCTCCTCTTGGGAGCCAAGAGGAAGTCTCTCAAAACTAGAAGGGAAAGGTGTTTTCCTCCCATCAATCCAGCTTCGGAGACTTTCTATTAGTGACATGTGCCCCTTCCCCCAAAAAAAACGAGTGTTCTGTGTGCTAACAACATATAAAGCTAGGTTTTCTGAGGCTGGGTACAGTAGCTTATGCCTGTAATCCCAGCACTTTGGGAGGCTGAGGCGAGTGGATCATTTGAGGTCAGGAGTTCGAGACCAGTGTGGCCAACATGGTGAAACCCTGTCTCTACTAAAAATACAAAACTTAGCTGGGCATGGTGGTGCACGCCTGTAGTCCTAGCTACTTGGGAGGCTGAGGCATGAGAATCACTTGAACCCAGGATGCGGAGGCTGCAGTGAGCTAAGCTTGTGCCATTGTGCTCTAGCCTGGGCAACAGAGTGAGACTCTGTCTGAAAAAAACCAAAACAAAAAAACAACAACAATAAAAAGTAAAACTAGGTTTTTTGCCTTTTTTTTCTTTTTGTTTCACCTTATACAGTCGGTCCTCCTCAGCGGAATCTATTCCTTATAGAGAGGCTGGCTTTGGTAGCTTGGGACAAGTAAGTAATGTTCACCTTATCTTTCCAGATTGAAGTTTCTAATGCTAAATGAAAGCAAAGGTTTATCAAGAACTTAAATTTATATTGGTTTTGGCATAAATTATCTGATGTCATACTGGACCCTATTTTCTTTTGGCAATGGAGACCTGATATTAGAAACTGACAGAGAATAAATAGGGGTGGAAATAGTGAAAGTGTTTAAGGACTCAATCAACAGTGTCCATGGTGTTCATTTTGGAAGGAGTAAAGTATGGATCTTTCTTTGACTAGTATGCCCACTGCAGTAGAACAATATATGCTTGAATGTGTAGCTATAGATAAATAGGGAATAGGGAAGCCAGATAACTGAGATATATTTATTAATTGATGCTTATTATTTGTCTATCAGGGAGGCAGAGGTCTGCAGGGAAGGAGAACTCCCAGAGACTCTTATAATGGTGAGGTGGGGGGAAAAGGGTGTCAGAAATCAACTTACTCTATGCGAAGATCTGCGGATTTCTGGTTTTCTATGCATAATATAATGCCATTTCACTTGTTTTTTTTTCCTGACAGTGATTCCATGTATCCATACATATATTACAAGGTTTTTTTTTTTTTTTTTGGTGAGATGGAGATTTACTCTTGTTGCCCAGGCTGGAGTGCAATGGCATGATCTCGGCTCACCACATCCTCCGCCTCCCATGTTCAAGCGATTCTCCTGCCTCAGCCTCCCGAGTAGCTAGGATTACAGGCATGTGCCACCACGCCTGGCTAATTCTGTATTTTTAGTAGAGACGGGGTTTCATCGTGTTGCCCAGGCTGATCTCGAACTCCTGACCTCAGGTGATCCGCCTTCCTCGGCCTCCCAAAGTGTTGGGATTACAGGCGTGAGCCACTGTGCCCGGCCTACAAGTTTTTCAAATAATGATATTTTTGTCTTCCAACTAATAAGGGGAAAATAAAGATTTGAGTGATAGAAAGTCATTGAAAACCTCTGGTCAGGAGATGGAGGATAACTTTTCAGTAAAATTGACTTGGATTTTTTTGAATTGCCACAAGATGGCATTACAAGCTAAGTGTAAAAAGAAGGTTCACAGGATGCTGATTGTTGGCCTGAAGGGTATCTGGCTTCTTTGCTGTGTTTTAAACATAAAAATATTCCAGTGAAGGAATATTTTGGGTCTGCTTACTTAATTTCTTACCTAAAGCCCCTTAAAATTATTACTGTTGTTACCATTTTCAAGGGCATTAGCCAGTACCTAGAGAATACCTATCAGAGAAGACTTTCACAAGAAAGAATTTGAAATTCCCAAATCTCTTTTTTTAATTCTCCAAATAGTCTCCCTCTAAATCTCCCACATTTGAAATCTCCCACTCCTTTGAAAAACATAGATGTTCTAGCCAATTTATTTCTGTCAGGTTGGTAACAACAGTGTTCTCTTTTTCATTCTTAATTTTAGTAATTTGAGTCTTTTCCTCTTTCTTTGTCAATCATTTCAAAGAATTCGTTTTGTTGAGAGTCTGTATTACTTCTTCTATTATCTGTTTCATTTACTTCTGGTTTAGTCTATTTCCTTCCTTCTCATTATTTTGGATTTAGTTCTTTTTCTAGTTTCCTAAGGTGGAAGTTTCGATTATTGATTTGAGATCTTTTTTACTATTGATGTTTCCAGTCATAAATTTCACTGTAGCACTGCTTTTACTGCATCCTATAACATTTGGCATGCTGTGTTTTGTTTACATTCATTCCAAAGGTTGTTTGTTCATTTGTGTTTTTTTTTGAGATGGGGTCTCACTCTGTTGCCCAGACTGGAGTGCAGTGGTGCCATCTCAGCTCACTGCCACCTTCGCCTCCCAGGTTCAGCCTCCCAAGTAGCTGGGACTACAGGCACGTGCCACCATGCTTGGCAAATTTTTGTATTTTTAGTAGCGACGGGGTTTCACCATGTTGGCCAGGCTGGTCTCCAACTCCTTACCTCAGGTGATCTGCCCGCCTCAGCCTCCCAAAGTGCTGGGATTATACCCATGCTGATCCCATTCCAAAGTATTTTCTAATGTCCTTTGTGATTTTTGTTTTTTGGACCCATTGGTTGTTTATCAATGTGTTGTTCAATATCTACATATGTGTGAAGTTCCCAAATTTCCTACTGTTATTGATTTTGACTTTCAGTGATTTAAATCCTTTTAAATGTTTTTTTTTTTTTTTTTTTTTTTTGAGATGGTGTTTCTTTCTTGTTGCCCAGGCTGGAGTGCAGTGGTGCAATCTCGGCTCACCGCAACCTCCGCCTCCCAGGTTCAAGCAATTCTCCTGCCTCAGCCTCCCGAGTAGCTGGGATTACAGGCATGCACCACCACCACACCCGGCTAATTTTGTATTTTTAGTAGACACGGGGTTTCTCCATGTTGAGGCTGGTCTCAAACTCCTGACCTCAGGTGATCTGCCTGCCTCATCCTCCCAAAGTGCTGAGATTACAGGCGTGAGCCACCACACCCGGCCTGATTTAAATCCTTTTAAATTTATGACCTAACATGTGGTCTATCCTGGAGAATGCTCCATGTGTATGTGGAAAGAATGTATATTCTACTCTTTTTGGGTGGTGTATTCTATAGAGTCTGCTAGGTTTAGCTAGTATATCGTGTTGTTCAATTAGTATGCTTCTGTTTCCTTTCCTTGCTGATCTTCTGTCCAGTTGTTCTGTCTGTTATTGAAAGTGGGGTATTAAAGTCACCAACTATTATTGTGGTTTTTGGTTTTTTGTTTTCTTGTTTTTTTGAGACAGAGTCTCGTGCTGTTGTTGATGCTGGAGTGTAGTGGCACAATTGTGGCTCACTGCAGCCTCCACCTTCCAGGCTTAAGCGATAGTCCCACTTCAGCCTCCTGAGTAGCTAGAACAAAAGGCATGCACCACCACGCCTGGCTAGTTTTTTTATTTCAATTTTCATGTCTTTGTAGAGACGAGGTCTCCCTGTTCTGCCCTGGCTGGTCTCGAACTCCTGGGCTCAAGCAATCCTCCTGCCTCAGCTCCCAAAGTGCTGGGATTATAGGCATGAGCAACCATGCCCAGTCCCTATTATTGTCAAATTGTCTTATTTTCTCTTCAATTCTATCAGTTTTTGCTTCATGTATTTTAGGACTCTATTGTTAGATGCACATATAAATGTTTCTCTTCTTGATAAATGGACCCCTTTATCATTATTTAATGCCTTTGTCTCTTGTAACAATTTTTTTTTTTTTGGGACAGAGTCTCACTCTCGTCTTGGCTAGAGTGCAGTGGCAAAATCTTGGCTCACTGCAACCTCCTCCTCCTGGCTTCAAGTGATTTTTGTGCCTCAGCCTCTTTAGTAGCTGGGATTATAGGCATGTGCCACCACGCCTAGCTAATTTTTGTATTTTTAGTAGAGACAAGGTTTCACCATGTTGGCTAGGCTGGTCTCGAACTCCTGGCCTCAAGTGATCTGCCTGCCTCGGCCTCCCAAAGTGCTGAGGATTACAGGCATGAGCCACTGTGCCTGGCCCAACAATTTTGTCTTAAAGTCTATTTTGTCTGATATTAGTATAGCCACTCTTTTGTTCCTTGTTTTTTGCATGGAATATATTTTTTCATCCTTCTCCTTTCAACCTATATGCATCTTTGAATCCAAAGTGAGTATCTTGTAGACTGTGCATAGTTGGACTTGTTTTTTCTTTCATCTGTTCTGCCAGTTTCTGCCTTTTAATTCATTTACATTTAATGTAATTACAGATAAGGAAGGACTGACTTCTGCATTTTGTTATTTGTTTTCTATATGTCATGCTTTTTGGTTAGCCTTTTGTTTGTCCCAGCTGATATTTATCTCCTTAGGCAGCCAAACAAGTGCTTCTAATTGTTTTCATCAGACTGGAGAAAGGTTTTTCTGCACTTGGTAAGCTCTGAGCTCCAAGTCCTGGTGAACTTGAGCTCCAAGTCCTGGTGCTGTCAAATTAAGACAACCTTGAAAGTGGGGTCTTCCAGGGAACCACTAGACAGGTCAAATAATGACAGTTCTCTGGGAATGAATCCTTCAAAAAGCTCCAACCCTGTTCCATCCCCTCTAGTGACTGCCAGACTGTTGGGTTTCATCATGAGCATGCCCTGTTGGTTTTCAAGGCTATCATGGAGGTGGAGAAGGAGAAATGGCAATAGAGCAAGTTAAAATGCCACAAACCTTGCTGTTTTTACTAACATTTTGCTATTTTTCTTGAATAAACATTCTCCAGATTACTACAAGCCCTTTGTTAATTTTCAGATTTCTGAAAAAGTTGATTCTGACCATTATGCCAATTTTCTCATTGCTTTTATGGAGGAGGAAATTTTTGGAGGTCTTTGCTCTGCCATTTTTGTTGATGTCACTCCTAGCTAATTTTTGTTGATGTCACTCCTAGCTAATTTTTGTCTTTACCCATTCTTTCTGGTGATTTCCATCTTAGAGGGGAAACCAAGGCACAGATACATGAGAGCACATGAAGGCAGTGAGGGATCTCAGCCCACAGACTCATGAAAGGGAGAGGAAAGCACCTATAAGAGATACTGCTATGTGATTTGTGAGCTTTTTCACTTGGCATTAGCCCCCAACCCTAACCCATATACTAAAAATCTTTTATCTCCATTTCCTTTGCCCTGGCCCCAAGTATACCTGAATCTCTTCTCCAGTTCATGGATTATCTCACAGGCTTATTTTTATGCTTTCCAGAAACCCCTTCACCGGCTTCAACTCATAGCCTATCTTATAGGTCAGTAACACTATGCTTCCTTTTTCTTGGGATGTGTTCATACTTAAACTCTGCCAGCAGGCTGGGTGCGGTGGCTCACGCCTGTAATCCCAGCACTTTGGGAGGCCGAGGAGGGTGGATCACTTGAGGTCAGGAGTTTGAGACCAGTATGGCCAACATGGCGAAACCCTGTCTCTACTAAAAATAAAAAATTAGCCGGGAGCGGTGTCACGTGCCTGTAATCCCAGCTACTCGGGAGGTTGAGGCAGGAGAATTGCTGAATCCAGGAGGCGGAGGTTGCAGTGAGCTGACATGGTGTCACTGCCCTCCAGCCTGGGTGACAGAGTGAGACTCCGTCTCAAAAAACAAACAAAAAAACAAAACTCTGCCAGCAGTCCTGGGATTACTTCTCCACTGGCTTGTACCACCGAAGTTTACAATGTGCCTTATAAGCAAAAAAGAAAGCTGGATAGCACTGTGTTTAATATACATCCAAATTACTGTATTTTGGCCCGGTAGTGGCTCCCACCTGTAATCCTAGCACTTCGGGAGGCTAAGGTGGGAGGATTGCTTAAGCCCAGGTGTTGGAGACCAGGCTGAGCAACAAAGTGAGACCTAATTACCCGGGCTTGGTGGGTGTATGCTTGTGGTCCCAGCTACTTGGGAGACTAAGACAGGAGGATCACTTGAGTTTAGGAAGTCAAGGCTGCAGTGAGCCATGATCATACTACTGCACTCCAACCTGGGCAACAGAGTGAGACCCTGTCTCAAAAAAAAAAAAAGAAAAAATTATCATCAGTTGCAAGCAGGGAATTTTTTCCTCTCTGGCCTAGCTGTATAGGCTCTTCCATTACATATGCTTTTTATTTTTACCTTTACCTGTCCTTTTCTCTGCTGATGCTTTTATTTGCTTTCCTTAGAACTTCATCTGCCTCCTCTGGACAGGGGATTTTTTCTTTCAGACCATCCCCAAATGGGCATTCAGGCCACACAAGAGTCCTCACCCCCAACAATTTTGGTAAGTTAAATAACATTTCCAAAGGAATGGAGCTTCAACTATAGACACATATACTAAAATGAAGATTTTCAAGATGACAAGATGTTGAGGTTTGCCCCCCAAAGAGCATTGTCTCTAGTTGGCTCCTTAATATTCTTTAAGAGCCATCCCATTTTCTTCAGAGTGAAGGGAAACTCTGGATTTTGCCTGGTTAGCACTCATCCTGTCACCAGTCGAGTCCTACTATTTAGCCAGAAGGTTGGCCTATAGGATTAAACTGGCTTCTCAAAAGTCCCTATATTGAAAATGCTGGGCGCTCAGTTCTGAGGATTATAAGGCCAATATCCATTCTTCTCCCCATCTTTTTCAGTAAAGGTGGTACCACCAGTCCTCTTGCTAAGAGGCTGCCATCTTCCATAGCTCACCTAAATATTTATATTGGCTATTTTCCCACTCATAGTTAAATCTCAGACCTCTCTGCCAGTACCTGGTCCTCACAGGAAAAGAACAGACTTTATATCCCATCTCTTAAATTGCTGATTGTGTTTCCCTTCTGAGTAGTGTTCCTTTAAGAACTACCTCATTACCCTGACCCACAAGTAACACTGCCGAGAAACTGCCCAAGTAAGTTATCTTTCACTGTTCCATTCTATCCTTCAGCTCAGAGGGAGAGCACAACTACACTAGAGAGTCTTCCTAGTTTCCAGCTACCAGTCCTGCAGGTGAGACCTGGCTAGTCTAACTTGTCTGTGCATAAAATCTCACATGGTTAGGCCTGCACACTAAATGCCTCAGGGTAGTGGAATATAACCAGTGAAGAACGACATGGGTTTCAACTCTGGTAACTATATGTTCACAATCTTCCAGAATGGTCTCAATTTCAGATTTTATCCTACTGTTAGATTAGCTTCCTGGTTTGGGGTTTTAAAATGAGGTCACATGGTAGTGGGAGGCTTTAAACTGAGAGGTCTTGGCCAGCGTGAAGTAAGTGTGGACACATGGACATCTTCAGTAGTTCCACAAGAAAGTATTTTCTATGAAATACATCTTTTGGGTAGGGGTACTACTTGAACTAGGAAAAACCACATTTACTTCTCCAGAGACCGCTAGAATAATATTTTATAAATTTATGGGACTATGATTCTGATTCCAGCAACAAAAGGTAAAGGGCATGGTAACAAGGAGAGGTTTGTAAAGAGTTCTATTAAATGAAAAGTCACCGGGGGCGGTGGTACATGCCAGTAATCCCAGCACTTTGGGAGGCCGAGGCAGGTGGATAACCTGAGGTCAGGAGTTAGAGACCAGCCTGACCAATATGGTAAAACCCCGTCTCTCTCTACTGAAAATACAAAAATTAGCCAGGTGTGGTGGCGGGTGCCTGTAATCTCAGCTACATGAGAGGCTGAGACAGGAGAATTGCTTGAACCCAGGAGGCGGAGCTTGCAGTGAGCCGAGATTGCGCCACTGCACTCCAGCCTGGGCAGCAGAGTGAGACTCCATCTCAAAAAAAAAAAGAAAAAGAAAGAAAAAAATAAAAGTCCAGTCTTGCCTTTTTTTGTTTGTTTTTTTTAATGGCTTGGGTTTTGAGCATATTTAGGCTCCTTTTTCACTCCAAGCTCCTGGTGTCCCTAGGCACAGTTCCTTCATACTAAGATAAGTATATATTTTGCTCCCATATTCCAAGATGCCCTTTATTTTCATCAGTAAGAAATTAGGGTCTAAGCCTTAAGAGGCAACACTGGGGAAGTAACATTCCTCCCTAAAATCCTCAAATGGAGGGATTAACCTAAGATGAAAAAAGACTTAAAAGCTCTATAAACCGTCTACAAATATATGGCCCCTAATTGGATCTTGACTGAAACAAGCTGTAAAAAAAATAAATAAAACAATTCATGAGACAGTTGAACAAAATTATCTATTGGACATTTGATATTAAATAATTGTTAACATTGGAGAGTTTTTTGGTATGATGATATCGTAGTTATGTTTTTAAAAATAGCCTTTCTCTTTTATAGGTACATACTAAAGTATTTATGGATGGAAAGTCAAATGATGTCTGGCGTTTGCATCAGTGTAATTTAGTAGGGAGGGACACTGGGAGAGTAGAAATAAAAGATTGGCCATTAATTATTTGTTAAAGATGGACAATGGGCACATGAGTTCATTATACTATTCTATGTATTTTTTGAAAATGTGGGCCAGGCGTGGTGGCTCATGCCTGTAATCCCAGCACTTTGGGAGGCCGAGGCGGGCGGATTATGAGGTCAGGAGATCGAGACCATCCTGGCTAACATGGTGAAACCCCGTCTATACTAAAAAAAGTACAAAAAATTAGCCGGGCATGGTGGCGGGCGCCTGTAGTCCCAGCTACGTGGGAGGCTGAGGCAGGAGAATGGCGTGAACCCGGGAGGCGGAGCTTGCAGTAAGCGGAGATGCACCACTGCACTCCAGCCTGGGTGACAGAGCGAGACTCCATCTCAAAAAAACAACAAACAAACAAACAAACAAACAACCGAAAATGTGAAAAAATTTTAAAGTTATTGAAGGAAATGCCACCTCCTCAGAGGCCTAAGAACTCTGCCTCCCTGGTAGTCATCTCTGGGTGTGGTAGTCATATGTCCCAGATTTTCCAAAATAGTTTAATTTTCAAATATTCATCCTTATTATTATCACCATAAGCTACTGAAATGTTCCAGAGATTGTCACACTAGATGTAGCAAATCCTAGTTTGGAAAAGTTAGTTATCATGCAATGAAGAAAACTATGGGGAAGCAAAAGCAGTGGTGTCTGTCTCGATAAGCTTCATACAACAGGTCAGAGAGACTTGCTTGCCCTTTTTGCTGTTATAAACACCCACATCTACCTTCTTGTCCTCTGCTGCAGACTCTCTACCAACAACGGAGGCATATGGGATTACCCAGTGGGAGAGAAGCATGGACCACTTCTAGATAGATCATCTTCAAGATCTGATCTATACATGCTGCTGAAGGATGGACTGTAGCTTCCAGTACGCATTAGGGGTGATGGCCCTGGAAAATGTATCCCTGCATTGTTTCCTAGTTTCACTCTGTACCTTATGCTCCCCCCATCTTTACCCTATTCACCCTTATCACCTCCCAGGACAGTGGTCAGGTCTTACAAAAGGCTAGTGCTTCAGGAAGATGTTTATATCTCTTCCAGAAGACACTGGTAGCTCCCCTCATTTCCTACAATTTGGAACAAAGGTCAAAAAAATAATTCTTGGCATCATGCTTGGTTGGGAGTTGGGAATGGGGATTGTGATGGATCATATACTCATCACTGTTTCATTTCTGGATTTCATTTTTAGCTTTGGATATACTGTCCCATTGCCAATGTTAACGAGCAATATCTCTGTTCTTTTCCTTATTATACTTTTTTATTTGTCTATTATTTCCTCTATGCTTAGTTACTATTAAATGTTAATTTTCCTTTCTATTGAAAACAACTGTTGGAGACACTGATTTTCAGCTTAGTATATAGATAGTAAAATAAAGACGATGCCCTTTTATTGCTACAATTCTATCACTTTTACAAGCTCTAGAATGGTGGAATGGGCGAACAACACTATCACTGAGATCAAACATGTATTCTACTTTGGGTTTTAAAAGGCAGAAATGACGAATTAAATAGGTTAGCCACTCACAAGCTGGCCTTAAGCAAAAATACTGGAAAAACAGAAAATAGCAGGCATCTGCCAGAAATAAATTAGGTCTTGGGAATGATCTTGTATCTGAACTAGGATCCCCATACCCTTTCTGGTACTCTGAATTTATTTTAAAGGCATTTCTAGATACCTTCTCTTTTAGGCAAGGGCCTGTCCTGTAGCAAATGGAGTTACCTCCAAGACTGTTGTATCTCTGTTACTCCTGAAGCCTCAGAAATTTTAGTCATTATCATTTGATGGCTGAGAAACAACCTGGCTGGCGATAGATGCTGAACTACTTCCTTTTTACAGTTTTTGTTCTTTTAATTTACCTCAATAAGTCCTGCCCCTCCAAACAATAAGTTAAAAGTATGCTGAGTTAGAATGTTAATGGATTTGGTTCCATTAATCCCTAAACCATAGGAGTGGCAAAGTGGTTGAGAGAGAAACAATTTTATTTTTGGCCTTTTTATTATTATTCTAGCATTTTAGGGCTTCCACTCTTTTATTTTTAGATGGTTAACTCATTGATGATACCTATTTGCCATATAGCTGATCCCAACTGATGAAAACCATTCTAAAACATCAATAATTAATTCACTTAAAGACGATGGTCCCTCTGTCCCTAAGACAGATCCTATCAAGAGAGGGAAAAGTCTCTTTTCTGGAAACAAATTGACAGCAAAAAGATGAAAAATTAGTCTCTGTCAAGCTGGACAGGAGGTAGTTAACAGGTTTGTAAAACCAAACCTGAAACCTACCTTCACTGCCCTTCAACAAGGAGAAACTATTCCCTCTCTTTCACCCCTTTGTAACACAATTCTACTGTTTAAAAGGACATCTTCCCTAATTACCACCTCCAATAAATATCCATTCTAAATTATTCTCCACCCAATTATTAAAGTTTTTTACAAGCTCGGTGGGGGAAGATTTTCCCTGAGACAAACAATGAACAGAGTGAGGATTTTGGAAAGATAGAAAAAGCTACAAGGCAAAGTGGTCACAGCATAAGAACTGAAAATAGCCGGGCACGGTGGCTCATGCCTATAATCCCAGCACTTTGGGAGGCCAAGGTGGGCGGATCATGAGGTCAGGAGATCAAGACCATCCTGGCTAACATGATGAAACCCGTCTCTACTAAAAATATAAAAAAGTAGCCGGGTGTGGTGGCAGGTGCCTGTAGTCCCAGCTACTCGGGAGGCTGAGGCAGGAGAATGGCATGAACCTGGGAGGCGGAGCTTGCAGTGAGCTGAGATTGCGCCATTGCACTACAGCCTGGGCGACAGAGCAAGACTCCACCTCAAAAAAAAAAAAAAGAACTGAAAAATTCTGCCACCTGTGATTTAGTCATGAAGCGGGTGAAACATAGTCAAGTTGGTATGAGGAAAAGGAAATATTAATATTTGTGATGAGACTGGGACTTATTGAGAATCTTGGTTGTCTAGGAAATGATCAGTTACTAAGAAAAAAGTAAGAGAGTCAGTTGCATTACGCACAGACTTGTGCTCAGAAAAGGGGTACAAGGCAGCCTTATATTCCAGGTAAGATGGTGGGATTGGGGATGCACTGGAATCATCAATCAAATCAGAATCCTTTACTCCTCCTTTCCAATCCTCCTGGAGAGGTGGTGCCAACATCTGGCCTCTGTATAGTACACCAAGGGAAAAAAACAGCAGACACGAGGAGAGCAAGAGCAGCTTCCCAGCCCATGGTTTCCCCAGATCCTTAGCACTCCCTACCCTAAGGTTAGAGGGTTGGATTTCTGCTGATCCAATCCCAGCCTTACTTAGTGCCCTATGGTCATTCTCCCTGGTCCACCCTCACTATATCCCCCTGCCACCCACCCTGAAGAACACAAAGCTTTTTAGTTCTCTGCCACAAGGTAATTTTAAAAATGTGGTTTCTTTGTTTAAACAGTTACTAAGTTGGTTCATCTTTCAGTAACAGACCTCCCCTCCCCCAGCTCCCCACTCAGTCTTGTATGATCACATCATCATCATCATCATCATCATCTTCCTCCTCCTCCTCCTCCTCTTCCTCATCATCTTCTGGCAGTTCTTCCTCCTCCTCTTCCTCTTCTTCATCTAGACAAACTACCACCTCAGCTGGCTGAGGTAATCGAGAGTCAAACCAATCCAGCACCTGCTGGGTGCTAAGCCTTGATGCCTGACTCAATTGAGGGATATCAGTTTCCCGTAGCTGTTGGTGGGCTGCCCAGTACCTCTCCAAGGGTTGTATATCCGGTGGGGGTGGAGGGATCGGCAGAGGTGGTGTCTCAGCCCTTTCGTTCAAGGAGCGGGTTGATGGTGGTGGTGTAGGAATTGCTGGGTCTTGGAAACTAGGGGCACCAGGTACTGCGTTGTCCCGAAACCACTTTAGTTGCCCATGCTTCAAGGCATAGCGTGTGTCACCAAACCACTGAATGATCTCAGGCCGAGGTAAACCAGTGATCTGTTCTAACTTTTGGTAATCCTCACGCCGTGCCCACTGGCACTGTAAAAAAAAGGATTTAAGGATAGCCAGCTGCTCTTTGGTTTTGCGCTTGGTCTTTCGCTGGCGTTGCATATCTGGGGAAAGGTACTCTGTGGGGCCAACTCTACCTGGTACTGAGTTATGCCGTAGCCCTTGGGGCCAGGCTGGTTCCAGATGTGGGGGTAATGCCTGTTCACTGGGTGACACTGACTGTGGGACACAGCCTAGTGGCTGGAGGGGTTTAGAGGCGGCAGTAGCTCCATTAGCCAGTACCTGGAAAGAAGAAGAGGTAGAGGAAGAAGAGGGAGTAACACTAGATGCTGACTCCTCCTTACAACTACTGGCAATTAATGCAATTGGTGGGGGTTTATCCCGAGCTTGTGGCTGGGGGACGGTTGTGGAGTGGTTCCAGGAAGCAGTACCTATGCCATGTGACTGGTTGGGACCCCTGCCTGCCTGCTCCTTTGAGAGGCCACTGCTTTGAAGATGTTGCCAAAAATCTGATTGGTAGGGGAATGCTCCACTGCCAGGTGTCATCAGGGACTCCTTTAATTTCTGGTGACTCTGTGGCAGTGGTGGCATCTGAGAGGGCTCCTCAGGCTCTACCTTCAATCCTTTCGTCTGGGTAGGCTTGCTAAGAGTTGGAGGACCTATTCCAATACCAACTTGCTCTGGAGCTGGCACTGGAGGAGGAGGCACCTCCTCTGGGGGCCGTCCCGCATGATGAGTAAAAGAGAGAAGGGATTTGAAATGGAGTTGGTCCCGACGGTAGACTACTCGGGCTCGAGTCTCTTCTATTTCTTCAGATGACCAGCTAATACCACAGCGGAGGCGCTGGGCCATAAACCAAGTCTTGACTTTCTCCATCTGCAACCCATAACGTAGGCAGAGAAGGGCAATGTCTGCTAGGCTGGGATAGGGAAAGTAGCTGAAGGTTTTGAGCAGGTGTTCATTGCTGTCTAGCTCACTGGTCTGGGCTGCTTGCGTCCACACAAGCTGTAGCTCCTCAGAGATTGGAGGGAGGCAGATGAGCCCCGCTGGTGAACTACTGAGACCGCTGGCCTCTTTATTAGGAGGCATGGTGCCTTCTGATTTGTGCCCTTCAGAGATAGCTGCAATAAGAAGACAAACAGCTCAATCACTGGGTCTCCTCTTCTGACACACTGCTCAATTTCTACCAAACTAACTGCTGGACACCAGAACAATTTAATCTGTATTTGTATCATGTTGTATTGCTTTTTAAGTGCCTCAACAATTTCTTATTTAATTTTCATAAACTTAAGTCATCAGACCCTGCTTTAATTCCCATTTTCTGTGGACCAAAGTCCATAGACGTTAAATTACCCCAAGCCACATGACTGGTGAGTGTTGTTCCAAGAAAAAAATCTGTCTTTAAAGCCAGCCATGGTGGCTCATGCCTGTAATCCCAGCACTTCGGGAGGCCGAGGTGGGAGGATTGCTTGAGCCCAGAGCTTTGATACCAGCCTGGGCAACACAGTGAGACTACAAAAAATTTAAAAATCAGCTGGGCATGGTGGTTCGTGCCTGTCGTCCCAACTACTTGGGAGGCTGAGGCAGGAGGACTGCTTGAGCCTGAGAGGTTGAGGCTGCAGTGAGCTATGATTGCACCACTGCACTCCAGCCTGGGTGATAGAGTGAGACCCTATCAAAAAAAAAAAAAATCTGTCTTTAGAAGTTAAGAAGGAAAACTGATCCTGATATAGCTTTTTTTAGTGTGTATGTGTGTGTCTGTGTGTGTGTGCGTGTGTTTTGAGATGGAGTCTCACTCTCTCGCCCAGGCTGGAGTGCAGTGGCATGATCTTGGCTCACTGCAACCTCCACCTCCCAGGTTCAAGCAATTCTCTACCTCAGCCTCCCGAGTAGCTGGGATTACAGGTGCCCGCCACCACGCCCGGCTACTTTTTGTATTTTTAGTAGAGATGGGGTTTCACCGTCTTGGCCAGGCTGGTCTTGAACTCCTGACCTCGTGATCCACCTGCCTCTGGCCTCCCAAAGCTGGAATTACAGGCATGAGTCACCACACCCAGCTGGTGGGTTGTTTTTTTTTAAAGAGATAATATTGCTCTGTCACCCAGGCCACCCAGGCTGGAGTGCAGTGGCACCATCATAGCTCTGATACAGCCTTTATCTTTCCTATTCAAACCCACTTCTAGAAGCTATCCACCAACTCTCACCTTCTAAATTCATGGAACAAGAATCACATAGTGAAGACTCAACCACAAAAACAAGAGGAGCAATAATTTCAACTGGTTTGTGTGTGTGTGCATTTTTGTTTTTGTTTTTTCAAGAGACAGGGTCTCACTCTGTTGCCTAGGCTGGAGTGCAGTGGCATGATCATGGCTCATTGCAGCTTTGAACTCTTAGGCTCAAGCAATCCTCCCACCTCAGCCTCCCAAGTAGCTAGGACTACAGGTACATGCAGCCATATCCGGCTAATTTTAAAATTTTTTGTAGACAGGGTCTCACTATGTGGCCTAGGCTGGTCTCAAACTCCTAGCCTCAAGTGATCCTCCCACCTCAGCCTCCCAAACTGCTGAGATTACTGGAGTGAGCCACTGTACCCGGCCCTCAGAATTGTTTGTTTGTTTGTTTGTTTTTGAGCAGGATCTTGCTCTGTTGCCTAGACTGGAGTAGAGTGGCATGATCTCAGCTTACTGCAGCCTCCGCCTCCTGGGTTCAAGTGATTCTTGTGCCTCAGCCTCCTGAATAGCTGGGACTACAGGCGTGTGCCACCATGCCCTGCTACATTTTGTATTTTTAGTAGAGACGAGGTTTTACCATGTTAACCAGGCTGGTCCCGAACTCCTGACCTCAAGTGATCCACCGGCCTCGGCCTCCCAAAGTGCTGGGATTACAGGCGTGAGCCACGGCGCCTGGCCAGAATTGTTAATAACTATTTTTTTTTTTGAGACAGAGTCTTTCTGTCACCCAGGCTGGAGTGCAGTGGCGTGATCTTGGCTCACTGCAACCTCCACCTCCCGGGTTCAAGTGATTCTCCTGCCTCAGCCTCCTGAGTAGCTGGAATTACAAGCGTGCACCATGATGCCCAGCTAATTTTTGTACTTTTAGTAGAGACGAAGTTTCACTATTGTTATAAATAAAGTTTCGGTGCCACAAAAGAAATAGCAATCGAATATAAAATTTTCTTTTTTTTTTCTTCTCAGTAGGGCAATTTACTTCTATAGAAGGGTGCGCCCTCATAGATGGAGCAGTGGTGAGCACACACCTGGACAAAAGAGGGGAAGAAGTTCTTATTCCTGACACAGGTGGCCCCTGCCGCTGTCATTCCCATATTGGCTAGGGTTAGACCGCACAGGCTAAACTAATTCCGATTGGCTAATTTAAAGAGAGTGACCGGGTGAGTGGTTTGGTGGGGAAAATGGTTATGGCAGAGCAGGAAATCGGAAGGAGTCAGGGTGGAGAATGAGTCAGGGCAGAGCAGGTAATCGGAATGAGTCAGGGTGGAGCAGGTGATCGAAAAAGGTTGCTTTACAAGGAAGTTAAGTTTAAAAGTAGAAGGCAAAGAATTGAACATACTGACATATTGATTCTTTGAAGAGAAATTTAGAACTCATATCTAATGCTATGTTGGCCAGGCTGGTCTCGAACTCCTGACCTCAGGTGATCCACCTGCCTTGGCCTCCCAAAGTGCTGGGATTACAGGCATGAGCCACCGCGCCTGGCCACTATTTTTTTTTAGAGACAAGTTCTCGTTATGTTGCCCAGGCTGGCGTGCTATGCATAGGTGCAATCATAATGCACTACAGCCTCGAATTCCTGGGATCAAGTGACCCTCCTGCCTCAACCTCCTGAGTAGTTAGAACTACAGGTGCACAACATTGTTCCTGGCTTGTTACTAACTCTTTGGCTGCTAACAATTTATATTTAGAATGTGGATCAACAGATTGGGAATACAACTGATGAATATCTGGAAGGTAGGACAGCACTGTCCTCTGCCCAGCCCCCCTTTTTTCTTTCCCTTCTTGGTGGTGGAGTGTTGGGGGAAGGCGACTGACAGTACCTTTAAGCCCTAAGCCCAAACCTGATAGCTTTATTTTTTCCATCTCTTGGTTGGATGAGAGACATGGGTCAGAGATTGGGGATAAATGAGGCTCACTCCCCTAACCCTTTAGGTCATGTGAAAATAGAGAGGGGAATGTTTCCTCCTCCAAGTCAGCCTTGGAACAAAGGTTATCCCCTCCCCCAGCCTTTGTCTCTTCCAACAGCTCAGCTTCTCCCCAGGGAGCCCAGAAAGCTCCCTCAGTCACTAACAGCCCCCTCCACACAGGGCAGAAGGTCTCCTGAGCTTAACTTTTCAGCCCAGCTTTCTCCTCAAGACCAGGTGGACAGGCTCATTATAAATTGTAACCAGCTCCTGCAAGCTACCCAGCAGCACCACTGCTCCCAGGATTATGGGTATGGGGACTGCAGGAATAGCCTTTGACTGTGCTGCTTTCCTGAAATAACTGCTCAAGTTATTTCCCAGAATATTCTGTTGACAATTTTTAACTCAGCTCCCTGTGTGGGCACTAGAGACCCTTTAACACATCCATCACCCTTTACTCTTAGGGGAATCACATCTGTTATATTTTATTTTTATTTTTATATTTTTATTTTTATTTTATTTTATTTTATTTTATTTTATTATTTTATTTTATTTTATTTTATTTTATTTTATTTTATTTTATTTTATTTGGAGACGGAGTCTTGCTCTGTCGCCAGGCTGGAGTGCAGTGGCACGATCTTGGCTCACTGCAACCTCCGCCTCCTGGGTTCAAGTGATTCCCTTGCCTCAGCCTCCTGAGTAGCTAGGACTACAGGCGCACGCCACCACACCTGGCTTTTTTGTATTTTAGTAGAGACAGGATTTCACCATGTTGGCCAGGATGGTCTTGATCTCCTGACCTCGTCATCTGCCTGCCTCAGCCTCCCAAAGTGCTGGGATTTCAGGCGTGAAACACCGGGCCCAGCCTTCTATCTGTGTTTTTAAGTATTACTCCTGATCTGCTAAGGACAGGACAGGATTCCTATGTAAATGCTACACGATGAATTGCAAAAATAAACCTCAAGTCCATACATTTAGAGCAATGTGATCGCAGGGATTTTACACCATGATTTTTAAAATTCAGAAGCATTTTAATACGTGTCACCATTTCCTTTTAACAAGCAAATCTAACTAACTGAGGCCACGCAGACCCTGAAAGCAATACTGCTTGAAGAGCCCCTTAAGAGGGTCAATGGAGGCAGCATGGCATGACGGGTAGAAATATGAATTCTTCAATAAGGCCAACCTCTGAGTTTGAATCCCGGTTCTGCCACTTATCAGCTATGTGATCTCAGGCAAGTTACTTAACTTACATGAGCCTGGTTTCCTCCTATGTAACAAAGTGAAGACAGTGCAGAGAGTACGTAAGAGTACTACGTGCTAGGTGTTATGCATAGGCAGGGCATAGAGCAAATGTTAGGGGATGGATGTCCGGGGTGAGACAAATTAATGCAACTCCACTTCCTAGAATGCTGCTTGTCCTCAGGCAGTTATTTAACTTCTCTAAGTCTTAGTTTCTCATGAGAAAAAAAGCACCTTGGGCCGAGCGCAGTGGCTCATGCCTGTAATGCCAACACCTTGGGAGGCCAAGGTGGGCAGATGGTTTGAGCCCAGGAGTTTGAGGCCAGCCTGGGCAACATGGTGAAACTGTCTCTACAAATAATAATAATAATAATAATAATAATAATAATAATAATACAAAATATTAGCTGGGCATGGTGGCGCAACTGTAGTCCTAGCTACTCGGGAGGCTGAGGTGGGAGGATTGCTTGAGCCTGGGAGGTGGAGGTTGCAGTGAGTCGAGATTGTGCACTGCACCACAGCCTGGGTGACAGAGACCCTGTCTCAAAAAGAGAAGAAAAAAGCAAAAAAGCACCTACCCAGCAAGTTTATGACTAAATGAAAAAGTGCACTTGACATTATAACTAGAACAAAGTAAGGGCTCAATAAATAGCAGCTTTTATCATGACTTCAACTTCATGGAGGTGATTTTGATGTGAAGTAATGCTCCTCCTAGACAATGGGGTAACTGGGACAAAGACTGAATCATTTAACATTCACTGTTTTCAATCTATTTTTGCAGAGCCCTAATTCTAGTTAGCGATGAGGAAACCAGTGTATCTGTGATTCTATACTTTTACATTTTGGGGTTTAAATACAATTTCAGAATGTATTTGCCACTTAAAAAAATGTATGAAAACCAGTGCTTTAGAACTGCATCCATAATTTGGATCCTTTGTGATCGGTGTGTCAGTTGCCTATGTGATAGTTCCACCTTTCGCCTTCCAGGTTCATCCAGGACACAGCTGAAATGGCCTGGGAGGCACTGCTTGCATGGCCAGGTGCTAAACTACCATTTACAAATTGTGGCCCACCGAGAACACCACCAAATCCAAGCTGGAGAACACTTTATGATGGCAATGCTTGACGTCTACTTAACCTCATTTGTGTCCTATTATATAAAGACACAATAACACTTTAGAGATAAGGAAAATAAAGCATAAGGAACAAAGCAGTCCAGTGTGAGGATGAATACTGCCAGATGGGAATATAAGGCAGGCACATTTATAAGTATTAAAAGCTGTAAGGAAGCATTTTACTTTCGTTTAGGTGGCTTGATGTCCTTCACATTCTCGGCATCAGCTTGATATTTCAGTGTAACATACAGTACTGCAAACAACATATTTGGTGTACTATATGCATTCAGTTTTCACTTACACAAAACACCAGTTATGGAACACTTCCTGAAACAGAATGGTGGCTTAAATCAAGGCACAGCTGTATAGCTGGTACTTCCCTGGAAGAATCTGGCTTTGAACTAAGAGAAAACCACAACCAGAATGGCTCATGAGAATTATAACAGGTAGGGTAGACCCTATAGTAATCAAAATCATAATAAAGACACTAGAGTATCTTGTGTTCTTGTGTGTCCATTTTGGATTGAGTAGAAAAAGAAGAGAATCAAAAGCTGAAGTGAGGAGTCCTAGCGCAGAGGAGGTAGTGGTGGTGGTGGTGGTGAATATCTATTCTGAACAACTTCTAAATTTGTATCCTTATTAAATATGCCAGATATGTCCCATTGCTACTTAAAAATCACTAATAAAAATATATGGAGTCATGGCTGGGTGCAGTGGCTCATGCCCGTATTCCCAGCACTTTGGGAGGCAGGAGGATCACTTGAGCTCAGGAATTCAAGACTAGCCTGGGCAACATAGCGAGACCTCGCCTCTACAAATAAATATATAAATTTTAAAAATTGAAAAAAAAATTCTCTCTCTCTCTCTGAGACAGTATAACACCCTTCTTTCCCCTTGGGCTTTCCATATCCCTGGACAGATGGAAGACAAGAACGGACTGTCTTAAACTTCCAGTTTCTGTGTTTACACAGTCCTAGGAAAAAGAGGACTCTAGAACTTTAGGTTTGAACCTAGGCTTATCGTTAAAGTAGGAGACAGTTAAAGTGGGAGGCGAGGCTGGGTCTAATGGCTCACGCCTGTAGTCCCAGCACTTTGGGAGGCCGAGGCGGGAGGATCACTTGAGGTCAGGAGTTCGAGACCAGCCTGGCTAACATGGTGAAACCCCGTCTCTACCAAAAATACAAAAATTAGCCGGGCATGGTGGCATGCGCCTGTAGTCCCAGCTACTGGGAAGGCTGAGGCAAGAGAATCGCTTGAACCTGGGGGGCGGACGTTGCAGTGAGCCAAGATCACGTCACTGTACTCCAGCCTGGGGGACAGAGTGAGACTCTGTCTCAAATAAATAAATAAATAAAAGTGGGAGATGAGATATGATCCTTTAGAATTCCCTAAATCTTTATTTAGAGACAATCTGAAGCACTCCTGAAATGTGTTTGGGGATACAGTTTTAAGGGCCTTAAAGACTTATAGTGATATTCAGCTTATATGCTTCTTAACTTTTTAGTTCATGAACCTCTTTGAGAATCAGACAAAAGTTACAGACCCTCAGAAAGTTATGACTAACCTTCCCAAAATAAACATTCACACTTACACAATAAACTCAGGGGCTTTAGTTGCTGCCAAGAAGCCAGGTTAAGGCTTACTGCCTCATATCCTTCCAACTTAACAAAGGCAATAGTGATAATCACTTAAAGATGAACAGTTTGATGTGAATGAACGTAAAGAGTTGATGGAATACTCAAGAATTCAAGTGCGTCTAGAAGGGACAAAGTATTTGTGATATTAGTTGGAAAGAGTGGAAGGGAGGGATGCTCAACTGGGCCAGGAGCCTGGCTTAACTGAGCCACTGGATTACATGACCAATACCCACAGTACACTGGAAACTAAAGGCTAAGTAGGCTGCTACTAGTGCGCCAAAATCATCTGCTTCATTCAGTTGTCCTGTGTCCTGGGGCCAGTTTTGTGTGATTACAAACCTGCTTATGTCCATATTTTTCAGTGTCTATATAATAATGTAATTAAACCTCATGTTAAACCTATGAAAAATCACTGCATTAAAAATTGTTTCTTCAGGAATACTGATTTTTAAAAAATTGCTCCTATGAAAACTAAGTCAAATGTTTTGGAGAGACATAACGCAAGGAAGAGTATGCATTTTAAAAATTGTTGAGTTGGGAGTGAGCAAGACAACTGTAAAAGATTGAGCGGTGGGACTTAATCTCAAAAGTACTCTGCACTCAGAAGTGTCTAAATTCATACTTCACTTTAAATAAAGCAAAACGGGAAACCAAAGATGATGAAAGTGCCTGAGTGGCTCTCAGACTGCACACTAGAATTACCTGGGAAGCTTAAAAACCAGGCCACCCTCCTTCCCATTCAGGTTCAATAGTCTGTACTGGGGTCCAGGCATCCAAAGTTTTTAAAAGTTCTCAGGGTACAGCCAGGTTTGAGACTCCCTGTGTAGTTAATACTGGAAAGAGAATTGGGAACTCTGAACAGCAGTCTTAGACACAAAAACAGTCTCACCACTACATCAAAAGATTGGTGAAATGGATATACTTTTAATTATAATGTTTAAGATATGTATGCATTATCTTTAAAATTCCCAATCTGGCTTTTTCAATTACTACCAACTAACCGAATCATGTAATATAAAAGGGCTTCAAGTGTATGATGGGAAGGAGGTTCACATGACAAAAAAAAAAAAAATCTCCTGATAGGGGCCCACATTACCAAACAGGTCTCAGCTTGAGTCTTCTTTCAGTTTAGGAGTCTCAGAATAGGACGCAACACTAGGAACCCCAGAGGACTCAGGTTCTCAGTTTCCTGGTTGGTTCTCTTAGTATGGCTGGGTACGGGAGTCAGAGGGGCAGTTTCTTCTAAACCTTTCATTCCCAAAGGCCACTGATCCCCAGAAGCAAGGCCAGGTTCTGCACGTGTGTTGAGGTCGCCAGGAGGTAGCCGTGGGGGTTGGGGGTTTGTGTGGCGGGGGGGCCTGGGAAGGAAATGTTTCTCCTATCCTCCATTTCACAGGCAGTCCAGAAGGCTCCGAACTGGGTCAGGGAACAAAAAGTTATTGCACTTGGGACGATAAGCCCCATGAGGCAGGCGAATCTCAATCCTACTCTCGCCAAGGGCGCCCCAACCCAACCTTCTTGCCCTCCCCTACACAGACACTCACCCTCCCCTAGTTACAACAGGGGAGGGAACCGAAAAGTCCAGAGGAGAAAAAAGAGAGAACCGGGCCACTTCGAACCTAGAATTATCCCCCCACCAGCGCGGGGATGGGGCTCCAGAGGTGGGAGACCGTACACGAGCTGGGAGGGGAAGTCCAAGGGGCTGGGGATCACTCACCGCAGTCCAGCCCGGGCGGCGGCTCCCAGCCTCGCACCATGGGCCGGGGGGAAGTGGGGGAGAGGGCAGGGGGCCTCCGAGTGGGAGTGGGGTTGCTGCCCGGTGCGGCCGCTCCGAGCCCACCCCAGCGATGGCCGAAACCGGGACTGCCCCCCCCACCGTCCCCGGGAGCGCGCCGGTCTACCCAGCCCTGCTCGAGCAAGTTGGAGGCGGGGCGGATGGGTGGGGTGGGCGTCCAGAGGCGGTGCCAAGGTGGCCCGAGTCCTGATTGGTAGGCGCAGGCGGGCGGGCACGGGCGAAGCGCACTGGGCTGGCCATTGGCTGCGTGGGTCTCGGCTGAAGTCAGGTATTGGCTGCGTGGGCCTCAGCTGGGGTCATCTATTGGATGCGTGGGGCAGGGAAGATGTCCCCTGGGGCCAAGCTGCAGTGCATGGTACCTCCCCCTACCGTCGACCTATCGGCGCCGGACCTTTGGAATACACCGGACCAGGATCCTTCCGAAATTCCCCAAGGAGGGATACTGCACTTTGCTGAACTGTCTGGACCGCCAACAACTCCCAATTTGTTTCCTTCTGAAGGAAGCCCTCCAGGAAGACCTTTTCAGTGCCCCCTCCGGAGCCATACAAACGAGCTGCGCCTTTCCCAGCCGAGAGCCCAACCGCCACCAGCAGCGTCAGCTGTAACAAAGCGCCTAAAGCAACTGGGAACTTGTTCTCGAGAGGGATCAGATGTCTTGCCACCCGGAAAGACGAGGACCTTAGGAGCCTGCGGGCGACTTAGGCCGTTCCCCGGGTCAAACTGGCACCAGACAGATGTTCCCAAAGACGAAGTGCTGGAGCAGTCACCTCATTGGGACCTACCAGACCCTCAGGCTCCCCTCCCTGCCCTAGAAAAGAGGACGCGGAGCTCTCCATAGTATTTGTTTTTCGCTAGCTAGAAAGGGATGAAGACTGAGGTGGGAGAATGACTTGATTTCAAGAGTTCGAGGCCAGTCTGGGCAACATAGCGAGACCTTGTCTCAAAAAAATTTTTTTTAACTTACAAAAAGAAAGGGATGCCAATAAAATGGACTTCAACAAAGCAGTATCCCACACAGTATGAAGTTATGGGCCAAAATTTGTATTTTAGGATTCCCCATCTTCTGTGAGACAGAGTAACAAATGTAAGAAGACAGGCTTGCTCAATTCTGTTTGGCAACATAATTTCACAAAGCCTCTGACTCTGACGTCTCTGGAAAGATCCTTTGAAGACAAAACAGGATAGGGCACACAGTCCTCTATGTCTCTTGCCTGAGTCGCTATATTCCTTAAAAGATAAATGGGCTGGGCGCAGTGGCTCATAAACCTAATCCCAACGCTTTGGGAGGCCAAAGAGGGAGGACTGCTTGAGGCTAGGATCCAAGACCAGCAAGGGCAACATAGCGAGTCCCTGTCTCTACAGAAAAATTTAAAAATTAGCTGGACTTGGTGGCATGCACTTGTAACTACTCAGGAGGCTGAGGCAGGGGGATCATTTGAGCCCAGGAGTTGTAGGCTGTAGTGAGCTATGATTGCACCACTGCACTGCAGCCTAGGCAACAGAGTGACACCCTGCCTCTAAAAATTTAATAATAATAATAATAATAATAATAATAATAATAATAAAAGATAAATGACCCTAGTCCTTGCCTTTTCCTGCACATAAGATGATGTCTAATGGGGTTAGGGATGTTGCCTCTGTAATCTATAACCAAATGTTCTCTTACACCCAAACTTTTATGTGATTCTGCTTTAATGTAACTTATGAGCAAATTTGAGGTAACTTCTGAGCACATACTGAACCCCCACTACCTGTATGTAAGCTGTAAATTAAAATACCGTCAGAGCAGTCTGAACCTTTCTATTTAAAAAAATTTATTTTTATTTTTATTTTATTTTTTGAGACTGGGTCTCACTCTGTTGTCCAGGCTGGAATGTAGTGGTGCCATCTTGGCTCATGGCAGCCTTGACCTCCCAGGCTGAAGCAATCCTCCTGCCTCAGCCTCCCGAGTAGCTGAGACTACAGGCATGCGCTGCCATGACTAATTTTTGTATTTTTTTGTAGAGATGGGTTTTTGCCATCTTGGCCAGGCTGGCCTCAAACTCCTGGGCTCAAGCTATCCACCTACCTCTGCCTCCAAAGTGCTGAGATTACAGGCATGAGCCACCACGCCCGACTGAACCTTTCTAAAGGGCTGCTTTTGGTCTATAGACCTGAGTCTATGATCCTCAGTAAGTTTTCTGATTACGACTTTTTTTTCTTTTTTCTTTTTCTTTTTCTTTTCTTTTCTTTTTTTTTTTTTTTTTTGAGACAGAGTCTCGCTCTGCCGCCCAGGCTGTAGTGCAGTGGTGCAATCTCGGCTCACTGCAAGCTCCACCTCCCGGGTTCATGCCATTCTCCTGCCTCAGCCTCCCGAGTAGCTGGGACTATAGGCGCCCACCACCACGCCCGGCTAATTTTTTGTATTTTTAGTAGAGACGGGGTTTCACCGTGTTAGCCAGGATGGTCTCGATCTCCTGACCTCGTGATCCGCCCGCCTCGGCCTCCCAAAGTGCTGGGATTACAGGCGTGAGCCACTGCGCCGGGCCCACAACTTTTCTTTAGTAAACGTGCCTAAAACTTGGAAACAATCTTTTCTGAAGTGACTCTTCTGTTCTTTGGTCTTTGAAAAAGTCTCTTCTTGCCTACTTAGGTTAATGTAATACCGTATATATACTTGCCTACTTAGGTAATGTAATACCGTATATATAATATAAAACATTTTCAGACTTTGTCCTGTATTCCCAGACCTCACCACTCCCCCTCCTTACATACCTCCAAGAAGCCATCATAATGTATTCTTTGTTGCTGCATTCTAAGGTACAGAGCTATTTTAAGGTGGCCAGGCATCATATCTCTCCTGCAGAACTGAGCTCTATTTTCTGTTGCTATCCCTGTCTTTGCCCCTGCCTCCTCTCCTCCCTCATTTCACTTAGTAACAATCTCAACTCCTAATAGCCAGTTCCACATCCTTCAAACTAATATCTGGCAAAAAACATCATGGGGTAAACAATGGAAAGACATATATAAATCAGCTTTAATTAGACACTTTTGATCCTTTAGGGTTTGAACCAAGGCTGGTGATATATACAAACCTTTTGATAAATCATGATTATCCACAATGCCTCATTGGTTTGTATGTAATGAAGGGAAAAGTGAAACATTTTAGGCAGCAGCAACAACTCTGTTACCTGTGGAGAGGTTATTCCCTCATAATCCAAACAATTAATGAGACTGCATTGACTGAGAGGAATTCATGCGTGTTTGACTAGAAAGCCAGGTAAGAACCGTCAGTGGGAACAAAACACCTGACCCTGGAGGGTTCAATGAGTCACTCTGGATGTCACTAATCATGGGCTTGGAATTACAAAAGGTGGATGGTCCAGTCACCTTTCTTGTCTCAGAAAGACACTGCCAAGAATCAGGAGTGGGGGGCAGAATCGAAGACAGATTTAGGAATAAGGGGAATCCCAGGAAGGGAAAAGAAACTCTCCTGCCTCAGTTCTAGAGTGCAGGCTGAAGCCTCCTCCTTCTATGTGGGTTTCTCCCTATAGCTTTGGATGGAATGAACTGGGGTGGGGAAGTGAAGGGAAGGGAGATGTCCAGGCTGACAAGGGTCCCAACTTTAGCAAGACAATAATCTCCCCCAGCTCTTCCAGGGACCACTGCTAAAGAATGGGGACTCATGTCATCCTCACTGTAGAGATGTTAATACTCCATCTCTAGTGAAAGCTTTCTTTCCCTTTGCATGAGTGAGACATTAGCAGGGCTGTCTGGAGGCACATTTTACTCTATAGCAAGCTTGTTCAACATGTGGCCCAGGACAGCTCAGCTTTGAATGCAGCCCAACACAAATTCATAAACTTTCTTAAAACATTTTGAGTTTTTGTGATTTTGTTGTTGTTATTTTTGTTCATCAGCTATCATTAGTGTTAGTGTATTTTATGCGAGGTCCAAGACAATTCTTCTTCCAACGTAGCCCCAGGGAAGCAAAAAAATTGGACAACCCTATTCTATAGCTAAGGATTCTAAAGTTTCAGAGTCCTTCCCTGCACAGACCTCACCCAAAGCATGGGAGGAGCCCCAGCAATGTGTTAACATGATTGTAGGTTTTTGTAAAGTTTGAAAAAATATACTTAAATGGTAATTGGTTAAGACTGAGTTCTCCTAGATGATGAGTTGACGGGGGCAGCAAACCACCATGGCCCATGTATACCTATGTAACAAACCTGGACGTTCTCCACATGTAGCCCAGAACTTAAAGTAAAATTTAAAAAAAAAGAGAAATTTTTGAATCTTAATTTTTATTCTGCAATTATGGATGTAGAAGTCAGTAGAAAAACCCAGTATATTAATAATTTCACATTTCTTGACTGCAACCTCAAACTTAATTGAGCTAAAGTTTACTGTATTTTTTCCTCCTCTGGTTGCTTTCACACTTTTAAAGATAGTAACAAAATTATTCTTCTGAGACATTTCCGGTAAGATGGATATCTTTACTATTGGATTGTTTAACAAACAATTAAGCCTAGAAGTTATTTGAGTACATAAAGGTGCAAGAATGATACAATGGAATTTGGGGACTGGGGTTGGGGGAAAGAGTAGGAGGGGAGTGAGGGATAAAAGACTACACATTGGGCTGGGCACAGTGGCTCATGCCTGTAATCCCAGCACTTTGGGAGGCCGAGGTGGGCGGATCACCTGAGGTCAGGAGTTCAAGACCAGCCTGGCCAACATGGTGAAACCGCGTCTCCACTAAAAATACAAAATTAGCTGGGCGTGGTGGCGCACGCCTGTAATCCCAACTACTCGGGAGGCTGAGGCAGGAGAATCGCTTGAACCCAGGAGGCGGAGGTTGCAATGAGTTGAGATGGAGCCATTGCACTACAGCCTGGGCGACAAGAGTGAAACTCCATCTAAAAAAAAAAAAAAAAAAAAAAAGACTACACATTGCTTGCAGTGTACACTGCTTAGGTGATGGGTGCACCAGAATCTCAGAAATCACCACTAAAGAACTTATCCATGTAACCAAACACCACCTGTTCCCCAAAACCTATTGAAATACAAAAATTTTAAAAGGCAAACAAAAAAAAAAAAAACAAGAAAAAGATGACCTCCCCAGGCTCAGGTGATCCTCCCACTTCAGCCTCCCAAGTAGCTGGGACTACAGGCACACCACCACACCTGGCTAATTTGTTGTACTTTTTTGTGGCCCAGGTTGGTCTCAAACTCCTGAGCTCAAGCAATCTGCCCACCTTGGCCTCCCAAAGTGTTGGGATTACAGGCATGAGCCACTGTGCCGAGCAGGAATACATTTAGTGTGGGTTTAGTAGGTATACTTAAGTGCTTTACAGTTACTTCTGTGAATAAAGTATCCCCATGTAGTTATAATGTTATGAACTGAACTATATCCCTCCAAAAATTCATGTTAAAGTCTTAACCCCTAGTACTTCAGAATGTAACCGTGTTTGGAGATAAGATCTTTAAAGAGGTAACTGTGTTAAAATGAGGTCTTTAGGATCTGGGCGCAGTGGCTCACACCTGTAATCCCAGCACTATGGGAGGCCAAGGCGGGAGGATCACTTGAGCCCAGGAGCTTGAGACCAGCCTGAGCAACACAGTGAGACCCCGTCCCCCATCTCTACAGAAAATAAAAAATTAGCCCAGTGTGATGATGTGTGCCTGTAGTCCCAGCTACTTGGGAGACTGAGGTGGGAGGATTGCTTGAGCCCAGGAGACTGAGGCTTCAGTGAAACGTGATCGCACCACTGTTCTCCAGTCTGAGTGACAGAGCGAGACCCCATCTCGAAATAAAATAATGAGGTCTATAGGGTGGATTCTAATACAGTGTCACTGGTGTCCTTATGAGAGGAAATTTGGACACAGGTGTGTATGTGCACACAGAGGAAAGAGCATGTGAAGGCACAGGGAGAAGATAGCCGTTTAGAAGCCAAGGAGAGACCTCAGAAAAAAGCAACTCTCCTAACACCTTGATCTTGAGCATCTAGCTTTCAGAACTGAGAAAATAAATTTGTTGTTCAAGTCACCCAACCTGTGCTATTTTGCTATGGCAACCCTAGTAAACTAATATGCATAGCTTCCAGAAATAATGTCACCAATTCAAATAGTATATGACATTAGTTATTACAAATTTGAAACACTACAAGTTTGACAAAAATCCTAAAAATCTGTGACATTATCACTACAAGGTGTGAAGATAACATTTTTGTAAACTATCAAGAATTTTAAAAATGTGGCCTGGTGCATGGCTCATGTCTGTAAACCCAGCACTTGGGAGACTGAGGCAGGAGGATCGCCTGGGCAACACAGCAAGATCCTGTCTCTCTCTCTCAAAAAAAAAAAAAAAAAATTGGGAGGCCAAGGCGGGCAGATCACGAGGTCAGGAGATCAAGACCATCCTGGCTAACACGGTGAAACTCTGTCTCCACTAAAAATACCAAAAAATTAGCCGGGCATGGTGGTGGGCGCCTGTAGTCCCAGCTACTCAGGAGGCTGAGGCAGGAGAATGTCGTGAACCTGAGAGGTGGAGCTTGCAGTGAAATGAGATTGCACTACTGCACTCCAGCCTGGGCCACAGTGCGAGACTCTGTCTCAAAAACAAACAAACAAACAAACAAAAAAGGCCAAGGGCAGTGGCTCATTCCTGTAATCCCAGCACTTTGGGAGGCCGAGGCAGGCAGACTGATTGAGTTCAGGAGTTTGAGACCAGCCCGGGCAACATGGCAAAATCCCATCTCCTCAGAAAAAAAAAAAAATTAGCTGTGGTAGTGCATGCTTGCGGTCCCAGCTACTTGGGAGGCTGAGGTGGGAGACTCACTTGGGCCCAGGAGGTTGAGGCTATAGTGAGCTGTGATTTCGTCACTGCACTCCAGCCTGGGTGACACAGTGAGAATCTGGCTCAAAATAAAATAAAATAAATAAAATAAATAAAAAAATAAAAAAATTAAAAAAGGGGGGGGGCCGGAATTTTTGAAATATGATAAATCTTTCTGGAAGACTGAATTACTTTTCTCTTTAGGAAAACATAATCATCATATGAAAAGGCTATCAAAGAGCAGGCAGCTTAAAAAACGTAGAGCAATATATAGGTTTGTCGGGTAGACAATTTTTGACAGCTTTTAAAAAAATTATTCGTTGACAGCTTTTCTCATTCTAAAACAAATATTCACTTTCCCCCCCAATCTTGTATTTATTTGTCTTAAAGGGGGCTCCAAAAGTTGCACACTTCAGGCACCCAAAAACCTGGATCTACCCCTGGGACTAACCAAATGGATATGGAGAGTTTCTGTGCCGTCTGGGGAAATCATACTCCAATACCCTGTGCTGTGTCTCCTAAGAAATATCAGAGCTGGAGAGCTGATTAGTAAGAACTGCAATGATTGAGGATTTCGGATAGACTTGGGATAGCAAAAGCTGCACTGAAGGTTAGTGGAGAAAAGAGTTTAGACACACCTAACCTCAAGTTAAAATGTGAGAAATCTGCAGTGAGGTTGGGGCCACAGAGACCCTGGACAATAAGCCATGGAGAGAACCCACTTACCTCTCCTGGGGTGTCTGCTCCTCATGCTGATTCTGCTCTTCAGCATATCTTGTTTCACTTACAACACTTAGTGAAGAGTAAATTCTCTGTGCCGACATCACAACTTGGCCATTATGATGTAATGAGGAGGCATCTGTTATTCTCAGGGTAGGGCTTCCCTATTAGGAACATTCTAATTACTTTGAGGGTAATTGGATTGTTTCATTATTCAGGTGATGTAGAAGTCAATCCTGTTAGAACTTAATCTTTTTCAAGGACTCCCTCCTTTTATAATGTATCACTCCATTCTGAATTAGGCAGACGTCTTTGCTTTTCCTTTCCATATTTCTCCTCCGTTGCCTTAGGGGGTTGCCTTTGATAAGGGCTTTGCTCTTTCATCCAGCACTTAAGGAGCAGAATGTAGGCCGGCACAGTGGCTCACACCTGTAATCCCAACCCTTTGGGAGGCCGAGGTGGGCGGATCGCGTGGTCAAGAGATAGAGACCATCCTGGCCAACATGGTGAAACCCCGTCTCTACTAAAAATACAAAAATTAGCTGGGCGTGGTGGCGCACGCCTGTAGTCCCAGCTACTCGGGAGGCTGAGGCAGGGGAATCGCTTGAAGCTGGGAGACAGAGGTTGCAGTGAGCCGAGACTGCGTCACTGCACTCTGGCCTAGCGACAGAGTGAGACTCTGTCTCAAAAAAAAAAAAAGAAGAAGAAGAAGCAGAATGTAACTCAGATGGTCTTCTTAAGGAAGGATTTCCCCACCCAAGGAGAAACGCAGGGCTTTTCCCAAGCTCTTCCCTTTAACTGTTGGTTAAAGCAGTTGGTGCTGGGTTCCAGAGAAGAGCTGGGCCCTGGTAAATTTCCCACTACCCAAAATGATGATAGGATCCTGTTGGGAGTGTCTTACATCAGGACTGCCTAAGTCCTCCAAAACTCCTTCCCCTCAGCATTTGCATAGCCAGAGGGGACTCCAGCAGAATGAGAATAGGACTTTTAGGAAATAAGGTAGTTCTCTAACCAGGACCATCTCTAGCTCCCTGAGCTCTAGCCGAAGAAGGGGAGTAAGTAAGGAGGTCTCTCTCACAGTCTCACACAAAGCAGATTGCTCACAAATTGACTGAAGGTAAAGCACCCAGGAAGCAACTGCCTACAAAAGCTGCTCCGGCTGGGCGAGGTGGCTCACGCGTGTAATTCCAGCACTTCAGGAGGCCAAGGCGGGCGGATCACTTGGGGCCTGGAGTTCGACACCAGCCTGCCCAACATGGCAAAACCTCGACTATTAAAAAAATACAAAAACTGGGGGCCAGGGGCATGGCTCACGCCTGTAATCTCAGCACTTTGGGAGGCTGAGGCGGGTGGATCATCTGAGGTCAGGAGTTCGAAACCAGCCTGGCCAACATGGTGAAACCCTGTCTCCACTAAAAATATAAAAATTAGCCGGGCGTGGTGGCACGCCCCTGTAATCCCAGCTACTCCGGAGGCTGAGGCAGGAGAATCACTTGAACCCGGGAGGCAGAGGTTGCAGCCAGACGAGATCTCGCCATTGCACTCCAGCCTGGGTGACAGCATGACTCTCAGGAAAAACAAAAAACAAAAAACTACACACACACACCCCTCCCCCCACCAAAAAAAAAAAAAACTGCTCACAAGAGTGCGCCCTCTACTGGAGGGCGAAGAAACCTCGTCATTACAGGCCTGGTACTGTGGCACTCCGTGAAATTAGCCATTATCAGACATCTACTGAACTGATTCGCAAACTTCCCTTCCAGCATCTGGTGTGAGAAATTGCTCAGGACTTTAAAACAGATCTGCCGTTGCAGAGTGCAGCTTAGTGGTGCTTTGCAGGAGGCAAGCAAAGCCTATCTGGTTGGCTTTTTGAAGACACCAACCTGTGTGCTGTCCATGCCAAACGTGTAACACCTATGTCAAAAGACATCCAGCTAGCACGCCGCATGCGTGAAGAATGTGCTTAAGAATCCATTATGATGGGGGAAACTTCATTCTTAAAAAAAAAAAGTCTCTGCTTCCTGTCATTGGTAGTTCTGAATGTTAGATATTTTTTCCCCATGGGGTCAAAAGGTACCTAAGTATACGATTGTGAGCAGAAAAATAGGAGACAGAAGTCAGGTGTTGTCAGTTTTCAATTTTCATTTGTGTGTGAATTTTTAATGTAAATGTAGGTGGGGAAGTAAAGCATTAATGCAAGTCAAAATGTTTCAGTGAACATTTCAGTGGTTCAACTTTATAATAATTTAAGCAAACTTATTAAATTTTTCTGGACACACACACACAAAAAACAAGGTGACCAAGAAATTGAGTCAAGGAGGGAATCTTGCCTCTGAGTCTCTTGCTGCCCTTAGCCCAAAACACACAATACTTCTGAATATCTTATGACATACTTTCTTTTCATATTTCAACTTTATTTAAAATATGAGGTTTTATGTCCAGAAGGGAGGGCAGTTGCCCATGGAAGGTGAAGTGAGGCACAATACTATTGGGTTGCGGGCCAAGTACACAGGGTTGCACTGTGAAGGAACTGAGGAGGTTCTGGGAGGGCCTGGTGACAACAATGGATTTGGGGAGATCCACAAAGGAAATTTTCATTTCCTCCCCAGGTTAGCTATTCAGTGGGTGGATTATTCAGTCTTTTTAGCAAGGTCACTGCTCCTTAGCAACATCAACAAAAGTGCCAAAGCTGAGGACACAGAGAATACCATCATTGTCTTTTGTTTCTCTTTATGCCTGGATGGGGAAAGGAATGGAAACTAATAGCAGAAAATGAAACATTTCTGATGTTATCCCTTGCCATGAAGAATCACGGGCTTGTGTAGAGACCTCTTTCTTTTCTTTTTTTTTTTGAGGGTCTCACTGTCACCAAGCTGGAGTGCAGTGGTGCGATCATAGCTCAGTAACCTCCAACTCCTGGGCTCAAGCGATCCTCCTGTCTCAGCTTCCTGAGTAGCTGGGAATACAGATGTGTGCCACCATGCCCAGCTAATTTTAAAAGTTTTTGTAGAGACAGGGTCCCACTATGTTGCTCAGACTGGTCTCGAACTCCTGGGCTCAAGCAATGCTCCTGCCTCAGCCTCCCAAAGTGTTGCGATTACAGGTATGAACCACCACACCGAGCAGAGACCTGTTTCCTAGCCTGGGAATGGGTGATCAGGAGGCCTGAGTTTAAGTCCCATCTTGAGCTGCACTAACAAATTCTATGACCCTGCTAGAGTCATTTCTCACCTCTGGACCTGTGTTCTCATCTGTAAAGGAGCCAGGAACCAATGACGTCGGAAGAGAAGCCTTTTCATGTCTGATTCTATGACCTGCAAACTGCAAAGATCCCAGCAGGCTCCAGAAAAACACGGCAGTTAGAAACAAGGGAATGTGGGTGTTAGGTGGAAAACTGAGGAGCTAGGGCTCATGATGAAATGTTTTTCTACATTCACAAAGAAAAACAAACAAACAAAAAACAGGACGGAGGCTATGGGACAGGGAGGTGTAGGAAGACACCTGCAGTCTGGATGAGAGGAATGGGCAACAGTGTCCCTGCTGGGTTGCCTCAGGGACCCAAGCCTATGACCCAGGTAGTGTTTTCTCTCACGGCACTTCCCAGTCCACAGCTGACATGTTATATTCCAAATTGCTCCTGTTCATATAGTCATGAGCCATCAGAGGAGTTTCCACTACAATGCCTAATGCGTAACACATTAATAGGGTGGCTGAAGATTCCGCTAAACTCCTAGTGTTCCCCGTGTCAGATTAGACTGCACCCGCTGGGAGAAAGCAGTGGATGCAGCTCTGTCCATGCACACTCAGCTTTGCTTACTGAGGGTGTGAGAAATACAGATGGAAGTTTTGGAAGAGCAGTGCAAGACGGAAAGGGCATACTGCCTAATCTTGGTTGGTTTGCAGATGGTGGGGTTTGTGGTAGTGCCGGATCAACTCAACCCAAGGTGAGGAAAAGCCAGGGGGTTGGGAAAATCTCAGTGCTGAAGTCCTGGGAGAGGAGTACACACCAAAGCCATCAGGGCAAGGAATCTCTCCAGAGAGCCGCGAAAGCACCAGGCACTCAGAAGCCACTCAAGAAATATTAGTTTCCTCCCTATTTTACAAGGCTTGGTAGCACTGATAGTTTTGTGTCAGGTTCCAAGGAGACACCCACTATTTGTGTGCCTAAGAAGTAGCTCAGCCAGACCCAGCCTTGAGGCAGTGGGGCAACTAACAGCTTACCGAAGCCCTGGGGCAGCTTGATATGGGAATAATCAAGACCAAAATGTTGTTCTATAAAGCTGAGATTGGGGAGAGTGAGCCAGGGTACTTCTGAGAAAGAGGTCAGGGAACAGGATTATCATTAGCATTCTGCCCACAGAGTTGGCACTTACCCAGTAACATCGGGATTCCTAGAAAAGGCCCAAGCACAGACCCTCTAGCAGGTGTCCTAGTCACGGACCCAACCTAGTGGCGACATTAGGGGGTTTGCCTGTTCAAGGCCAGTGGGGGAAGAGGGAGGGAGGTGGCACACCAACAGGTGTGGAGCGCTGGCTAGGGCCAGGAGAGAATTCCAATGTATGGAAAGGCTAGAGTGTAAGTGGGAAGGTGAGGGGGGTCCTGTGCTGATCCTGCATAGATGGGACACTGACACAGGAGACAGCAGCAAACTCCTTCGAGTCACAGATGAAGCTCGGGGGCCCCCTGTCTTCTCCAAGCCAGTCCAGGAGATTGGCAGGATGGGAAGGCAGAGCACAGTCAGAAACTATGATCATTTCCTAATAAGAGATTATAGCAAGGTTTTAAATTTTGTTTTTAAAGAGGAAAAAAAATATAACATCATGGTTACACAGAGGCTCTGGAGATTCCCTGGGTTCACAATCCTACTTCTGCCATTTACTAGCTGTGCGATCTTGAACAAATTTCTGAGCTTCTCTGAGCCTGTTTCCTCATCTCTAAAACAGAGATAATGACAATGTTCTACTTACAGGGTTGTTTTGGGCATGCATGCAAACAAAACAGATTTTATGATCGAGTCATAGTTCTGGAAAGGAAGAAAAACCCAGATTTGCGCACACAAGTGTTAAGTAAATGTGAGCCCTCACTATTGTTCATACAACATGGCAGTGACACACATACATTAGACAAGAGATTATTACACACTGAGCCTCCACCCAGTCTCCCTATTATCCTCCCATGGGCTCCTAATTGATGACTAAACAGTGCATTGCTGGGTGGCTTCCAGTAGTTTCTTTCTTCACTTTGCTGCAACTTTGAACTGAAGGTGATCCACATGGTACATGACATTCTTCCTGTTTTCTTCACAAGACAAGGATGATGTTTAAATGGGCATTTGTTTGCGGAATGACTTGGAGAGTTCCTCTCTTTCAGCCATCTTTTCTCAAAGACTAAGGCTGTGGACAGGATGGGCATGGTAACAAGCCAACAAGCCTCATACTCTATTCTTTTTTTTTATTTTTTGAGACGGAGTCTCACTCTGTCACCCAGGCTGGAGTGCAGTGGTGCAATCTCAGCTCACTGCAACCTCTGTCTCCCCGTTAAAGTGATTCTCCTGCCTCAGCCTCATGAGTAGCTGGGACTACAGGCATGAATCACCATGCCCGGCTAATTTTTGTATTTTTAGTAGAGACAGGGTTTCAGTATGTTGGCCAGGCTAGTCTTGAACTCCTGACCTCAAATGATCCACCTAACTCAGCCTCCCAAAGTGCTGGGATTACAGGAATGAACTACCGCCCCTGCCCCCACACTCTATTCTGAATGCATGTATGGGCACATGTGCATGCCTGTCCCCTTTCACTCAGTGATAAGGAAGAAGGGGAACCAGAAATTTCTGTTTGAGAAATTAGTAACAGAAATGGGTGTGGGGAGCTGGTTACCTGGGAGATCCTTGTTCATTTGTAACATCAGGAACTGCTTCTTTTCCTCCTTCTCTCTTCTAGAAGACTGTCAAGGAGCCCGAGTGAGGGAAGCAGACCAACCATGGTCTTGGAGAAAAGAAAATAGGGTTTCCATCCCTTCTGGAGGGAGAAGGAATAGCAGAGATGAACATGAATGAAGAAGGAAACAAATGGAAATAAACAAAATGAAGGTAAATACCCTATATGTTAAAAGAAAAAAATACCCTATATGTTAAAAGAAAAAAGAAAAGAGAAGGAAGAGACACAAGGAAAGAAAGAGAGAAGCAAAGAGGTTAGGAATAGGGTAAGAGAAAAGGAAAAACAGCAACCAGCAGAGGAATCACTCCCCTGTTAAGGTTAACCAGGAGGAGAGGCTTATATAAGGCATGAATGTGAGTGGGTATGAGAGTCCAGCTTTCCCACTGCACTTGCTCTGGTTATGGAGCAGACTGCCATCTTCTGGTGCCATTTACTATTCAAGTTGCTTTGGTGTTTTTTTGTTTTTGTTTTTTTTTTTTTTTTTTTTTTACAACCAAGTGGATTGATTGAAATGCTTTGATTCTTCATTTGAAATGTTTCTATTCCATATACCCATTATCTTTTATCCTCACAAAAGCCCTTAACATTGTTTCCTTTAATCTTTGGGGTTCTTAAGCATCATTTCCACCAACAGAGATGTACCTACCCACAGTTGTCTCAGAGCATGGAGGCTGAAAGTCTGTGAGGACAAGAGTGAAATGGAGCAGAGGATAGGCTGTGGTTTGGAAGCGGCTCTGGAATACGCTGGGGGTGGCGGTGGGGCTGAAGGTTGGTTATGGGATGCTTCCTGGGCTCCGGAACATCTGTGCCAAAAACTGGAGGACCCATCCTCGGCTCCAGCCAGACGCTTGGGGTGCTATGTATTCTGAACCATAGCACTAGGTTGGAAAATTTGGCTCCTAATCTATACTCTGCCATGTACAGATCACAAAATATCATACAAGGAGCCTTAAAAGGTCATCTAACCTAAATCCAGTTTCCCAAGGAGAACACTGGGGCACAAAGAAGTGAGAGGTAACTCGCCCAAAGTTATATAGCTAGTCAGGGACTTCCTCTTCGGAGACAAAGGAAATCAGAATAGTGATTCTTCTGATTCACCGTCCCTCGACAAACAGTCCACAAAGTGCTTGGAGGTTATTAAAAGGCACCCCAGAAAAGTAAGGCTGGCATTTTCCTGGAAGCCCCTGAGTGTACAACCCCTGAGGCTCAGTATTTGGCTATAAAAACAGGTCTGGAGTTGCTTTGGCCTCCGTTTTAATCCCTAAAGCTGCCTGGAGGCTGGAGCTCTGATAGCTACCTGTCATCACTCCCCAGCCAGTCCGCGGACACCGCAGCCAGGAACTGTCAGAGGTGACAAGGGAATCCCGTCATAATGCCAAGGACCAAGGAGCAGTGGCCAGGTTCCTGGGATTAAGCAAGGCAATTATGGCTGAGTTAAAGCTAGGATGGGTAGGACAGGGGGATCTGAGGTGGAAAAGGCCGGTAAGAAGAGGGAATGCGCCAGCAATGTAAATGCCTTCGACTGGGTGGGCTACTTCACATCATACCTCCTCCATCTCCAAAAGGTTCTTAACCTTCTTCAACCGCCTAGGCCTGATGGACCTCCTCCCTTTCTCCCAGAGCCCACTCACTGAAGGGAAGGCCACCATCATCCCCATTCTTTTCCTTTTTTTATAATCCCTCCGGTGCCGTTTCGGGTCTCCTTCCTCCTATATTCTGAGTTCCTTCCACTCACATCCAACCAGCTTTTAACACCCGGATCTCCCGGAGCTTCTTTGGTTCCGCTCACTCCCCCCGCCCCCACGCCCCCACGCCCCCACGCCCCTGATTTCCCCACCCTTTTCGCCCTCCCCGGCTTGACTCCCTTGGACCGCTCCCGCCAATCCTGGTCTCTCCTACTCCTCCCCGCCACATCGGGTCGCCCCGCCCCCGGGTGCCTTTGGTGTTTTCCGCCGTCGGCCGCAGGCGCCTCGTCTCAGATAAAGTGGATCCAGCCCTGCGGCTCCGGAGCTCCGCCACTGCCCGGGTGCTCGGGCCCACGTAGAGCATAGTCACGGCCGCCGTTGTTGTCCCAGAACTCGTGACCTGTCACACGGTAGCGCAAGGCGAAGAGCAGGGCGCCCCCAATCGGCGGCGCGGGCAGGCGGAAGGCGAAGCGGTCGGCGCGCGGCGGGGGCGGGGCCGGACCGGCGTAGGCGGCTGGCGCCTCGCGTTGGCTCCGCCAGCCGTCGGCGCTCCAGCGCACGCTCACGCGCTTCTCGTAGGCCAGGTCCACCACGCGCGCGCTCCCGGCCACGCCCAGCGGGCCCGCCTCGGCGCGTTCCAGGCAGATGCGCTGCGTCAGCAAGCGGGCGGCGAAGCCGGGCTCGCTGGCCGGCTCCAGGGCGGCGCGCGCCTCCTGGGGGAAAGAAGAAGCGGGAGGAGGGAGCCCAGGGCGGAGAGAGGGGAGAGACAGGGGGCGGTGTCAGAGCAAGGCACTGGACCAATCAGAGGCCGACCCCGGCGTCCAGGCCGGCAGAGTGCGGCCCAGCTGCCAGGGTGGCCTAGAGCCACTCGCAGATGGGGTCCCCAAAAGGGATGGGCAGGCGCAAGCCCAGGGATGGGATGGAGATGGGTGCTCTTTGGCAAATCCACTCCCACAAGCCCGCTGCGGCCGACTGGAGGAGGTCCCCAGGAGGGGAGGTGCCCCCGCCGCCTACCTGGAGGCCGCGGGCGCGGGGCTGGCAGGGCGCGAAGTGGCGGAGGGCGTCCCTCTGCAATTGGATCTGCACGTGGCGGGGCACCCGGGGCAGCTCACCGGGACGGAAGCGGCGCACGACAGCCAGCTCCAACCCCAGTGCGTCGGCGAAACGCACTCTCTTGCGGGTGTCTGGGCTACGGCTGCGGGGCGCCCGGGCCCCGCCGCCTCCGGCTGGTGCAGATCGGGCCCGGCGGCCCCGACTCGGTGCGTGAGCGCGGGATCGGGCCCCGAACCGCGTCCCGCCCTCGCCTGGCTCCTCCTCCGGCTCCTCCTCGAGGCTGGGCCGCTGGCTACGGTAGTAGGCGCGCTCCGTTAGCGCGGCGATGAAGCTCAGGTTGCGGGGAATGTCGGTGCCCGGGGGCCGCTCACGGGACATGGCAGCCCCTTCCCCGGCGGGGCCAGCTCGCAGCGCCACCGCGCTCCCCTCTCTTCCTCTCTCCCGCCCGCCCCGCGTCAGCGCAGAAGTCGCTGGGTCCGCTTCTGCAGCCCCTCGCTGCTGTGTATTCTCCTTGCAGACACCTCCAGGATCCTCCACCTCCCGTTGCTTTGCCTCTCCTCTGTGACCACCCTTCCCTCCCTCTGGCCGTCAGCTTCCAGGGTCTTAGACTATCACATCCTGCCTCCTGCTAGCGGTCTGCTCTGAGCGTGCGCTCAACTGCACTCACCCTCCGGTTCCAAGGCCCTCACGGCCCGGGCGCCCCCGCCCACAGCCCTCTGACAGGTGGCTCCGCTTGTCTTCGCTGCTGCACCAGGGGGCGGGGACTCCACCTTTGCGGTCCCGAGTGAAGCTACTCAACCTTTTAAAAAAAACATCCACGGACGGGACGCGATGGCTCACGCCTCAAATCCCAGCACTTTGGGAGGCCGAGGTGGGAGGATCGCTTGAAGCCTGGAGTTCAAGACCAGCCTGGGCGTCATAGTGAGACCCCTGATCTCTACAATAATAATAATAATAAAATGTAAAAAGTCCTCAACTTTTCCGGCACAGCACAGGAAAGGTTAACGCCGGGAAGAAAAAATAACCTTTCATTTTCTTGCAGGGGAAGGTTCAAAACGCCCAGCATGTGACTTTATCTTTGGGGTTCACTGTTTTCTTTTCTGAAACCTAGGCTCCTGGTTTGGGCAGGGGGTGGTGGTGCGTGCAAAGAAGGAAAGGTCATGAAAGCTAGGTAGAGTCTTTCAAATAGAAGGTGAGAATATGGCACCCGAACTGAGAACTGCAGGAAGACCTAGCTTCTAGTGACCTTGAGCAAGCAAGGCATAACTTCTCTGGAGTCAGTGTTCTCGTGTGTGTGTGTGTGTGTGTGTGTGTGTGAGTGTGAGATGGAGTCTCGCTCTGTCGCCCAGGCTGGAGTGCAGTGGCGTGATCTCGGCTCACTGCAACTTCTGCCTCCCCGGTTCAAGCGGTTTTCCTGCCTCAGCCTCCTGAGTAGCTGGGATTACAGGCGTCCACCACCACGCCCGGCTAATTTTTGTATTTTTAGTAGACACGGGGTTTCACCATCTTGGCCAGGCTGGTCTTGAACTCCTGATCTCAGGTGATCTGCCCGCCTCGGCCTCCCAAAGTGCTGGGATTACAGGTGTGAGCCACCCCTGAACTCAGAGCCATACTCTGAACTCAGTGTTCTTATCTGTAAAAAAGTGGTGGAGTTCTGATTTCTAATCCAAGTGTAAGCCCTTTGAGGGCAGGGGCTTTGTCTGATTCATGGTGAGTTTTAGTATATGGTAGGCACTCAAATTATTGAATGAACAAGCACCCAACAACTCTCTTGGAGTTGGGACTGTGGAATTATAGGTCCAGTGGGAGCTTCCAAGAAGGGCAGAGCTGGCTTTTTCCCCTTTCATTTTTTTTTTTTAACATTAGTGAAAAAAAAAAGTGAAGTTGTTTTTAGTTTTTTTCTAACTTTCCTACTGATCTAATATAGCACTTACAATGTGCTAGGTACTGTTGTAAGGGTTTTACAAATACTAACCCATGTAATACAACCATCAGAGGAATAGAGACTATTATGTCTAGTTTAAAGATGAGAGAATTGAGGGAGAGAGGGGAGAGGACTCTTACCCAGGGTCACATAGTTAATAATTGGGGAGGTGGGATTAGGACCTAAACAGTTTAGCTCTAGAGTCCACGCTCTTACCCGCTTGGTTATATAAGATTAAAACATTTAACAATAATAGTTAACATCCTCAGAGTGTTAAAAGAGGGAATATTAGAGTAGAAATGAAGTCTCTAAATTTAAAGCAGCAGGATAGTTTAACTGTAAAACCACAAGTGACTAAGTTGAAAATAAACCATGAGACACATGTTATCTTATTATTATACAATTCATTCCTGTTTACATGCATTCGCACTAGTATTGACTGTAGCAATACTAGTTAGCTAGGACTCATTTTTAAAGCAATATTGACTTTTTAAATTTTACACGTATATAGAATGCATGGATGTATTCTCTTCGTATCATTATATGTGATACAATATATACAATGTATATATTGTATATGCATATACAATATAATATATATAATGCATATAAATTAATGTCTAATAAATCATACATTAATTTATGTTACAATCAAGCTGGCCCAGGAGTTTGAGATCAGTCTGGGCAACATAATGAGATCCCTATCTCTATAAAAAATGAATTTAACCAAGCATGGTGCAGTACACCTCTAGTCCCAGCTACCAGGGAGGCTGAAGTGGGAAGATTGCTTGAGCCTAGACGGTGGAAGCTGAAGTGAACTGTGCTTGTACCACTGCACTCCAGTTTAGGCCATGGAGTGAGAACCTTGTATCACAAACAAACAAATAAACCAGGAGTGCAAATGAAGACTTGGACTAGGTTATTCTCTAAAGAAGAGGGCAACCTTGCTGGTGGCAGCCAGAATGATCAGGCTAAGAGCAAAAATGAAATGAGGATGGTTGAAAGGATACAGCCATAAAGGAGTGTAATAGGCTGTGTGTTTAGAATAGAGGAGAGAATTGAGTATGGACTTGTAAATGGTGTGGATTCAGACTATGAGAACCATATTGACTATGTGAAGGCAAGAGGTGATCTTGAAGCGATAGTGTCAAAGTTACAGCATGAGATGGCTGTGCTAGCTTCTTACATATCAGCCTATGGCTTTGGGAAAATCACTTAACCTCTCCAAACCTCAATTTCCTCATTCATAGAATGAGGATAAAACAGCATAAGGACTGGTGAGAGGAAAAAATACACATGTAAAAAAAGCACAGCATCTAATAACTCCTCAAAATATGTTAGTTTTTACCTTTTTTTTTTTTTGAGATAGAGTCTCGTTCTATCACCCAGTCTGGAGTGCAGTGGCATGATCTCAGCCTCCTGGGTTCAAGTGATTCTCATGCCTCAGCCTCCTGAGCAGCTGGGATTACAGGCTGGCTAATTTTTGTATTTTACGTCTGGCTAATTTTTGTATTTTTAGTAGAGATGGGGTTTTGCCATGTTGGTCAGGCTGGTCTCGAACTCCTGGCCTCAAGTGATCCACCCGCCTTGGCCTCCCAAAGTGTTGGGATTACAGGTATGAGCCACCGAACCCAGCTAGTTGTTACTGTTATTGCTGCAGAAAAGACCTTGCTTCTCCAGTGACCATAAGGGAAGATGGTAATACAGAGGCTTGGATTGGAGGTAGAAGCAAAGGGAGCTAGCAGAATAGGAGAATTAGGTTGCCTCTTTCTGGCCTTTGGTTGGGGCACTCTTTAAAAAAGTGCCAGATCCAAGAGCCCAGGGGGCTGGCTGTGAGTGCCCTCATGTGGATCAGCTATGGTCAGACTGCTTCACGCCTGTGACCTGCCCTGTATAAATATACTGCCATGTATAAATAATGGCCCCATATATATGTAATCTGGAAGGATAAACATCAAGCTTAACACTGGCAACCTGCAGGGAGGGAAGTGGAATTGGGTGTGTATGTGTGTGTGTGTTTGAGAACCTGTATTTTATTACTCCGCACGTCTTTATTGTTTGATTTTTTTCATAATGAGAATGAGTTTGTGTGTTGGGTAAAAAAAAGAAAAAGAAAAAAACCCCACTAAAATCAATCTAATTACAAAAGAAGATGAATTAAAGAAAAGTACCGAGAGAAACTGCTTGTGATCCAAGTCCTGGCTCCCTAATGCCTGGCTGAAGCCCAGCCCACAAAGAGAACACTGGGTTAAAGGTCCTGGAGAAAAGATGGGAAAGGTTTGGTGTCTATGTGGTGTCTGCTAGCCCCATAAGGGTAAGGCACCTGGTAGACGGTTCCCAGCTTAATGGGAACTGCTCCTGTTTTCCAGGCACACAGTTCAGGGCTGGAAAAGTTCAACAAGTGCATGGAACATCGGAAACCTCCTGAAAATGCTAAATTTGCCCCGAGATGTCCCGAAGTCCGGCATATTTCTCTGGGCAGCCTAGAGGCTCAGGAGCCCAGCCCAGCCCAGCCCACCGTGCCCTCTCAGCCAGCCCTTCTTTGCCTTCAGCAGCCCTCCCTCTTCCTGAGTAGTGGCCCTTTGCAGGCCTGCGTCCCAGCCCCGCCCCTCTCTCTGGACGCATCTCTGGGCCCCATCATCACCCGGCGCCGGGCCCTCCCTCTGCCCCCCCCTTTCTCCTCCCTCCTTCCTTCCCTCCCTTCCTCCCTCTCTCCCTCCCTCCCAGCTCCTGCACCAGGAAACGGCCCGGATCCCGGCAGCGGCCTGACCCGTGAGATCCCTAACCTGGCAGGCGGGCGGGGTTGGAGACTGGCTGAGGTGGGGGTAAGGGAGGAGCTGGGCCTTTGGGCTGCACTAGGGGGAACCGGGAATAGAGATGGTGTCGGCAGGAAGCCCTTGGCCTTGGGTTTCCCGGGAGGACAGTCATTAAACATGGATTCGGCCACACAGCTGGTAGAGCGTTGGGGGCAGGGGCCTAGGCCCAGAGCTGCAACCCTAGCCCTTCCCAGGCCAGAACCTGATCCCTGGCCTTCCCCTCCTGGTTCTGATCTCCCCCTCCCCTTTCCAGGGCTCCACGCTGGCCAGGAGGATGAAAGGCCCCAGCTGGGGGCTCCTTGCCACCAGTGCTGTGTCTTAAGAGCTGCCATCCCGGCTGGGTGAGTGTCTCCTTCCTTTCTCTGTCTGGAGTAACCCATTGCGTCTCCCACCTTTCTCTTCAGCCCATCTGCTCCCCCTCATCTTGTGTCTCTGCCAACATCTTTACATCTTGCATTTGGGGAGGTCCTAAGACCCTTCCTCTAGCCAAGAAGGTGTGGACTAAGGAGACCCGGGGGTGGGGGTGTTGTAGGGGTGTCATTGAGCTGACGTTGTCTTATTGTGAAAAGAATCTAAAGTATCCTAAACAGAAAATTTACTTGTTTTACATTTAATTTGGCATATTAGGAATGTAATGGCCAGCCACTCACAGCCTAGTCTCATATCATGACTTAATTCCCTTGTTCTTGCCTCTCCCTGTCCAGTGAGTCCTGAGCATTTCCTCTCTCCTCCTCATCTCACTGGGTTGGTCAAACCAGAAGTGCTCCTTCTGATTCTCTCTTCATATATTCATGCCAGTCTTTCATCCTTGCCTCTTATAGCCGCCCGGATGGCGACCCCAGCCTCGGCCCCAGACACACGGGCTCTGGTGGCAGACTTTGTAGGTTATAAGCTGAGGCAGAAGGGTTATGTCTGTGGAGCTGGCCCCGGGGAGGGCCCAGCAGCTGACCCGCTGCACCAAGCCATGCGGGCAGCTGGAGATGAGTTCGAGACCCGCTTCCGGCGCACCTTCTCTGATCTGGCGGCTCAGCTGCATGTGACCCCAGGCTCAGCCCAACAACGCTTCACCCAGGTCTCCGATGAACTTTTTCAAGGGGGCCCCAACTGGGGCCGCCTTGTAGCCTTCTTTGTCTTTGGGGCTGCACTGTGTGCTGAGAGTGTCAACAAGGAGATGGAACCACTGGTGGGACAAGTGCAGGAGTGGATGGTGGCCTACCTGGAGACGCAGCTGGCTGACTGGATCCACAGCAGTGGGGGCTGGGTAAGAAGCTTCTCAATTGCCGCTCTGCACATCCTTCTGCAAAGCTGGTCTCCAGGGGGAAGATGGGGGCTCTGATTGGAGGCTGAGGCAGCTATGTTGGGAATGAGGTACGGGGCTGAGTCTCCCCGTCTGGATGGAATTAGATTGAGAGATGCCTGGACTCTGCACTCCAGGGCTGCCATGCAGTCAACACTGGATGGGCTCATGGTCCCAAGCAGAGGACAGAATACACACCCAAGGAGTGCCTGCAGGGGAATGTTGTCAGGGACTTTTTACATCTGAGTCATGGCGTGGGAGGTGGGGAGGACCAGGGATGGGTGGTGGTCAGGCAAGCCTTGGCAAAGGATGCTAGTTCTGAGCAGAATTTTTCGCCAAGGAAAGGATGGAATTCACTGGAGGCAGAGTGGGCAGATGAACCAGTCTCTCAGGGTGGGGGTGCACCTGGGGGGATCAGAGGGGCTTGCAGGGAGAAGAGCTTTGGCCAGAGAGGAGCTGGGTATGGGGTAGTGCTCGCAGTGGATGGAACTGGAACTCTTCCTCTCCTCTTCTCTCCACTCTTTCCTCTCCTGATATCCCTTTCTCCTTCTTTCTCTCCTGCTTCCCTTCTCTCCCACAGGCGGAGTTCACAGCTCTATACGGGGACGGGGCCCTGGAGGAGGCGCGGCGTCTGCGGGAGGGGAACTGGGCATCAGTGAGGACAGTGCTGACGGGGGCCGTGGCACTGGGGGCCCTGGTAACTGTAGGGGCCTTTTTTGCTAGCAAGTGAAAGTCCAGGGCCAGGTGGGGCTAGGTGTGGCTGGGGGCCAGGAGAGCAGGAACAGAACAGAGAAATGCCCTTGGAAGAAGTGGAGTTGGTGGATGGGTGGGCATGGAACAGGATGGGCAGAGAAAGGGTAGTGTGTGAGGGAGCTGAGTAGGCCAGGTAGGCGATTGGAAGAGTGAGCAGGACACAGAGGGGAGGGGAATGTTTTGGCAAGTTTAGGGGCACAGGAGATGTAGTCGTTCCAGGGCTGGGGGAGGTGGGAGGGATCACGCCTATAGGTGTGGGCACATGAAACGACCTGGAACTTGCTTCACAGCCCTGAGGAAGGTGGACTTACATAAGCAGCTGTATTCCATTAGATGAGTGGGATTTAGGGAACGCAGAAGGCACATCCCTTTGGAATGGAAGCTTAGGGGTTCTCAGGTGATAGGGAGAGGTGGCTGTTAACAGTGGGCTGCTTGGACACGCGTGTGCATGTGCACGCATGCTGGTGTGCATGCTGGGCTGCCTGGCAAATCTGGTGGTGATGGGATTCCTCAAGGAGAAAACATTCCCTCTTGCAATGGCAAGAACTAGGGGCAGTTCTCTGTCCCTCCTCCCAACCCCTCCTTTCCCCTGCCCTTGTCCTGATGCCTCAAGGCTTAGAGAGAAACATTGTATCCAGACCGAGGGCTCTGCTGCTTCTTTCCAGAAAGTGATTGGCAAGGCTTTGGAGAGAAGAGCAGTTCTGCAGCTGGCCTTGTTCCTTCATCATCCCCCTTCCTTGTGCATTATGCACTTGCTGCTGCCTCCTGGGCTCTGATAGAAGGGCAGGGCTGTTGAGCCTGGATGGGTGGAGGCTTAGGTAGCCGGACCTGCCTGCCACCCTCCTCTCCCACTCAGGCACAATGGTGCCTAAAGTGTTTCCAATCTCTGGGACCTCTGTACCCAAACTGAAACTCTAAATTGGGGCCCTAACTAATTTTCCTTTTGAGGTTGTGGGCATAAGTGCTGATCTAGAATACAGTCTGGGTCCCACACTGTGTCTCAGTGAGACTGTTGATGCCTTGAGATGACCATTTCAGATCTGAATCCCATGGGTGTGAGGGTGATGGGTACTCCAGGACTGGCCTATGCTGTGTTGTGGGCTTTGGTTCGGCTTTATCAGGGGCCAGGCATATGGGTTCTAGAGTACCTACCATGACCTAGAAGCATTTATGATTTATTTGAAGCCACACTGTTTGCATGGGTGTTACTTGTCTGTACCTCAGAGTCTGAGGATGTTAACTTTGGAACTCGCAGTCCTCTAGAACAGCTTCAGATTATGGCTTTTTCTTTTGAGGAAGAAATTATTCACTCCAGATGCATGCCCTGAGCCAGACCTCACTGCTGCACTTTCCAAGGTGCTAAGATTGCTGCTCTCCAATGCTAACTTTCTGACACAGTGCTCTAGAACCCTGCCTGTGGTCCTGAGCACTGATCACCTTAGCTAGACCATGGTTGACTCTTCTTGGAGATTTTCACTTGGTCCTAGAATGTGGCAACGTAGTTGTGCTCGCCAGAACGTGGGACCAAATTGGCCTCAGGTGTTGAGTCCAGACTTCTGCTTTTGAGAGAGGGCTGCACTTTTTCATGGTATTTCTAGGGGAGGTGGTAGGCTGCATGTGCCACTTGGTCTTGTTGTGAGTATGCTGACACCAGAAACTCAGAGCCAGCTTGTGGCAAGCAGTTGGGGTGGGGGGTCTCTGACTTGCTCAGGACAAACTAGGCCAGTGGTTTTCAAACTGCTTGGCAGAGCCCTGAAGTTTCCTAGGGGTTGCCTCAGGAGTCCTTGGGGAGATGAAGGGGGTGGGGAGCTGAGCAGGCTGGGCAATTTGCCCTCAAACAGAACAGCTCCCCTTGTAGCTGTCTTACATATTGGGGTTCAGGGTAAGATTTTATTTGCATTAAGGGGTTTGCTGCTGAAAAAAAGTTGGAAAACCACTGACTAGACCATCGGCTCCAAATTGGAGTCTGTGCTTCCTTCCCCAGGTATGGAGCACACTCTTCACCCTACCCTCTACCACAGGACACATATCCCTGTTAGCATTCCCCGGGACCTTTAGCCAAGAGGAGCTGCAGGGACCATGGCCAGGTTACCAAAATGCCCTGCTCTGAAGCCTTGACACCTGGGTGGAAAGAGAGGCTGTTTTCTGAAAGGGTAAAGGGCTTGGTCTGGATTCCCAGAAGCATAGCTTAGATGGGACCACAGTGGGCAATTTTGACCTGTCCTGCCCTTCTTAGCTTGAAGGGAAACCCCAGAGACTCTTCTGTCAGGGAAAACTAGGGACTCTCTTCTAGAGCCATATAGTTCCTTGGGATTAGCTCTTGGCCAAGAAGGCTGAGTATGGTTCCCAATTTTTAAATCCATTTCATTTTTTAAAAAATAAGGGAAATAAATGTAATTGCCATTTTTCAAAGATTAAGTAGGAGGAGAGGGGTTTCTTGCTCTCCAGAGCCCAAAGGGACAAATAGGGACTTTGTTTAGGCCAAGGAAGGAGCGGAAGTAGGGCAACTCGGTCCTGCGATTATTAATCCCACTCCCCACTTATTCTAGGGCACACAAACACTATTTTACTTTTTTAAAATCATAAAACGGCAGAACAGATTTGGTTAGTTTAGAAGAAAAGAAAGCTCTATAAATATAAATCTATATTCCTGTATTTTTATTTAATAATTTATAAATACCAAGTTCATTTGACTTTTATTTTTGTGTAATATGTAATGATCGTATTAAAAACAATAAATAAAGCCCAGAAGTTTAATGAGAAGGACTGAACAGGGTTTGTGACTTCTACACTGTATAGCCTGGGGTCAGGACATTTCCTTGATCCAATCATCTCTTCATGACCTTGTTAAAGGCAAGAATTAGAATAACAGGGATTTGAGAAAGTGTTGGGATCATTAAGAAAAAAAGAGTCTTTCCCCCATCCTCACCCCACTCCTATACCAGCCAAATGGTCAAAGCCAAGAATTCCTTCTATTTCAACCTGAGCCTTGGGAGGGTGTGTGTATATGGTACTCTGGGACTGCCACTAACAATAACCAAATGAGAAACAAAGAAAACCTACCAAAAATCTTTGTGTGATAGTAATCAAGCCCCCAGTTGTGGTTCAGGCTCTAATCAGAAGTGTGTGATAATAATGAACATTTCTCCATGGTGCCTTCCTGCCTACCTCAGACTTAAAAATAGGTCTGGGCCAGGTGCGGTGGCTCACACCTCTAATCCCAGCACTTTGGGAGGCCGAGGCGGGCAGATCACTTGAGGTCAGGAGTTCGAGACCAGCCTGGCCAATATGGGGAAACCCTGTCTCTACTAAAAATACAAAAATTAGCCGGGCATGGTGGTGCGTGCCTGTAATCCCAGCTACTCAGGAGGCTGAGGCATGAGGATCACTTGAACCTAGAAGGTGGAGTTTGCAGTGAGCCAAGATCGAGCCACTGTACTCCAGCCTGGGTGACAGAGGGAGACTCTATCTCAAACAACAAACAAACAAAAAATAAGGCAAGGCGGAGTCTGGCAAAAATGGGAGTCCCTGCTTCCTTTGCTGGTCCTGTGAGACATTTGGTTTCAGCCATTTTAATGCAAATTGATAAACTGGATGGAATTTCTAAGAATATTCAGCTCATCCTTCTCTACCTCTAATCTTGGACCACATCAAAATCATGTTAACTGAAACAGTGATCCTAATTTTAAATTTCAGGTGGGAATTTCTAGCCTTTCTGTAATCCAGTGCAATAGACTGGTACTTGGGTTTATGTGTTAAATTGCAAGAAATATAATTGTTTAGAGGAATCCAGCATTCTCTTTCTATTCTTTATACAAAAGTCTACAGGGGAAACCATATTAAAATCAGAGAGTGGCTTAGTGAATATGGCACTATGGGAAAGGAAATTAGATGTTCTTAATAGTTAATATCATCAAGTATGATAGCTGGTGTATTTATCTCCACTGTTGTGTGATTGATTTAATGATTGATTTGCATTTGCCTAGTTCCAAAAAATATTTGCAATATCTTACTATAATACACAAAATAATAGGAAAACATAAATTTTTTAAGTTGGGTTGAATTTCAAGTCAAGGTTAAGTAAAAAAAATAAGTAGGGGTAAAGGGAAAATTGAAATAAGATGGCGGCAAAAGGAAAATTAATGCACAGAAAAACATTCTATAAGTAGCATTTCCAAATACTAAAGCTAGGCTGTGAATTCAGCTGTGAGCTTCTTGGTGGCTAAAGCAAATTAAAATACAGAATGAAATTCACATTCCTCTTAGGATTTATAAAAGCCTATCAGTTACTCAAGAGGGGCAAAAAAAATTTTGTGGCTTTTCTAAGAAGACAATGATATAGTGGACACCACCTTCTGTGACATCTAAAAGCAAATATGATGTTGAGTTTTGACCACTGTTTCTTCTAAAAACACCAAATGGAGATTCAGAAGGTCCTAAGCGAGAAATAACACTGGTGGAGAACTGTATGAAGGAAATATAATCCATCTATCGCTTTAGATAGCCCAAAATTTAATCCTGTATTAAACCAAATCATCATAGAGCAGCATATTTGGGCTAAATTGTGATGAACCTAGTAGAACACACTTAGGACCTTCTGAATCTATTAGAAGGTCCTAAGTGTGTTAGGACAAATGACACCTTCAATAAAGTTGGGCAACACTTAGTTACAATTATTAGTAAATGGATAGATTGTAGATATTCTGTGTTGTTACTTTTTTAAATTTTTATTTATTTATTTATTTTGAGATGGAATCTCGCTGTGTTGCCCAGGCTGGAGTGCAGTGGCGCGATCTCGGTTCACTGCAACCTCCACCTCCCGGGTTCACTCCATTCTCTTGCCTCAGCCTCCCGAGTAGCTGGGACTACAGGCGCCCGCCACCACGCCCGGCTAATTTTTTGTATTTTTAGTAGAGACGGGGTTTCACCGTGTTAGCCAGGATGGTTACCATCTCCTGACCTCGTGATCCGCCCGCCTCGGCCTCCCAATGTGCTGGGATTACAGGCGTAAGCCACCGCGCCCGGCCCTCTGTGTTGTAACTTAATAGCAAATCCTTTGAAGACTTTAAAAGCTGCTTTAAGGCTGGGCGCGGTGGCTCACGCCTGTAATCCCAGCACTTTGTGAGGCCGAGGCGGGCGGATCACGAGGTCAGGATCACAAGGTCAGGAGATCGTGACGGTCCTGGCTAACACAGTGAAACCCCGTCTCTACTAAAAATACAAAAATTAGTTGGGTGTGGTGGCGCAGTCCCTGTAGTCCCAGCTACTTGGGAGGCTGAGGCAGGAGAATCGATTGAACCCGGGAGACGGAGGTTGCAGGGAGCCGAGATGGCGCCACTGCACTCCAGACTGGCGACAGAGTGAGACTCCGTCTCAAAAAAAATAAAAATAAAAAATAAAATAAAATAAAATAAAATTTGCCTTAAATGTAGATACAGGAGAAATACAGAAATAAATCGACTATTTTGAAACTCAGCAGAAAATACACCATAATGAAATGCTGTGTAGTTTATTCAGTCAGTCATTTATGCAGCAAATATTCAAGCATCATCTGTGTGCTAAGCACAGTTACAGGCTCTGAGGTAGAGTGAACAGACAGATGCAAATCTCTGTTCTCATGTTGCTTATATTATAGTAAAAGAAACAGAAAACTTAACAATTATGTAATATGTGAGAAGGCGATGAATACCATAAAGAAAAATAATTCATTGAGGGGAATGTGTGTGTATATATACACACGTAAGAGTTCAATTTTAAATTGAGTGGTCAGAGAAGGCCTCATTTCTAGGGTGACTTTTGGGTAAAACTATGACAAACAAAATTGGAAAAATATATTTATTGACATGGGAAGATGTTTGTCTTTTTTTTTTAATTGGGTAAAAAAAGAAAATAGATTAGAAAATAATATATACAGTATGATCCCATTTTGCTAAAATATTTATATCTGTGTGCCTTGATATATATTTGCATATTGAAACTTTCAGGAAGTATATATGCCAAAATATCATTAGTGATTGTCTCTGGATAGTGGGCTTTATGAGTGCTTTTATTTTGTTCTTTTTGCTGTCAGTATTTTCTGATTCTTTGACAATGAACATATATTTCCAGATATTTCCAGTACAGTATATGAAAACAAGTTCTTTAGGTACAAAATTTTTAAAAAGTTAACGAAGCAGGATGGAAATTAAGCAGCCCAACAGAGGGTCCTTCACATTTAAATGGCTACCCCACTTCCATGCAAAGGCAAACTTAGGGAGCCAAGGTAAGCAGGACCAGACCACATTAGAAGATTATTGAGGTCTGCTCCAAGACAGAGGTCAGTAAAGGAGAAAGACTCCATGGTTCTACATCAGCACTGTCCAATAGAAATATAATGCAAGCCACATGTAGTTTTACATTTTCTAGTAACCTCATTTAAAATGCAAAAAGAAATTATTAAACCAATTTTAATATTTTATTTAGCCCAGTATATAAAAATATTATCATTTCAACATGGAATTAATATTAAACAGTTATTAATGAATTATGTCACATTCTGTTTTTCATACTAAGTCTTCAAAATTCAGTGTGTATTCAACACTTAGCACATCTCAAGTTGGACTACTCATGTTTCAAGTGGTCAGTAGCCATGTGTGACTAGTGGCTATCATATTAAAGTGTAGCTCTAGATCATAGGTCATTATTATAGTCTGTAAAAATTTCAAAGTAGTTCCAGATCATAGAGCATTATTGTAGTCTGTAAAAATTTCAAGAAAGGAGATAAAAATAGGGATGAAACTACCAAGACGTCAAATATTTATGTCGTTTGGGGAGAAAACTTTTCTGGGAAGAACTATGAATGCCCTCACCCATTTTTACTACTTAATTCTCCTTTTCTTAACTCCACTGAGCCATTCCCTTCTTCTTCTTCTTTTTTTTTTTTTTTTTTGAGATCGCCCAGGCTGGAGTGCAGTGGCGCGATCTCGGCTCACTGCAACCTCTGCATCCCGGGTTCAATTGATTCTCCTGCCTCAGCCTCCCGAGTAGCTGGGACTACAGGCGCAGGTCACCACGCCCAGCTAATTTTTGTATTTTTAGTTGAGACGGGGTTTCACCATGTTGGCCAGGATGGTCTTGATCTCCTGACCTCGTGATCCACCCACCTCGGTCTCCCAAAGTGCTGGAATTACAGGCGTGAGCCACTGCGCCCGGCCGATTCCCTTTTATTAATACATTTTCCCGTCTTCTGGGGCACAGTATCATTGGAGTTTCACTTTTTCCAAAACTCCATGGTCCTTTGTTTATAGGTTATTACTTAGAGAGAATTATAATGGGTGAATCTCACACCATTACATACCAAATTTCAAAAAATTCATTCTCAGAGGAAAACTTATCTCTTTGATATTCTCTATGCATCAACAACAGGCAGGATAATAAATACGAGTATTCATTCATTTATTTTTTTACTTTTTTAAAAAAATAAGATTATTCATTACTGAAGATGACTCATTCAGTTATCATTTACTGAGCACAGAGTGATAGGCAAAGGGAACACAAATATAAGATGGTTCCCTGTCTTTTACAGTTTATAGACTAATAGGGAAGGATCTTACAAGTCACCATTCAAAAAGCTTTTTTTTTTTTTTGAGACAGTCTCACTCTGCTGCCCAGACTGGAGTGCAGTGGCACGATCTCGGCTCACTGCAACCTCCGCCTCACGGGTTCAAGTCATTCTCGTGCCTCAGCCTGCTGAGTAGCTGGGATTACAGGCGCACGCCACCATGCCCAGCTAATTTTTGTATTTTTAGTAGAGACGGGGTTTCGCCATGTTGGCCAGGCTGGTCTCGAACTCCTGACCTCAGGTGATTTACCCTCCTCGGCCTCCCAAAGTGCTGGGATTACAGGCATGAGTCATCGCACCTGTCCCTCAAATAGCCTTTTAAATATGTTTGCTTTTTTCTTTTTTTGAGACAGGGTCCTACTCTGTTGCTGAGGCTGGAGTATTGTGGCATGATCATAGCTCACTGCAGCCTGGAACCCCTGGGTTCAAGTGATCCTTCTGTCTCAGCGTCTGGATTAGCTGGGACTATGCCACCACACTCAGCTAATGTGTTTGTTTCTTTCATAAGGTAATTATGCCTAGTAGAAGAAGTTTGAAAGTTGGAGTGATTTTTTAAAAATAAATATGTAATGGGCTGGACATGGTGTCTCATGCCTGTAATCCCAACACTTTGGGAGGCTGAGTTGGGCAGATGGCTTGAGCCCCAGGAGTTTGAGACAAGCCTAAGCAACATAGTGAGACCTTGTCTCCACAAAAATAGAAAAAATTAGCTGGGCATAGTGGTGCACACCTGTAGTCCCAGCCACTTCGGAAGCTGAGGAGGGAGGATTGCTTGAGCCAGGAGTTTGAGGGTGTGGTCGGCTGTGATCATGCCACTGTATTCCAGCCTGGGCGACAACGACCCTGTCTCAAACAACAAAGGCAGCAAAATAAACAAGTAAATAAATAAATAATGATTGTGGAAAATTTGTAGAACATAGAAAATTATAAAGAAAATGAATCATAATGCTGTCACCCAGAGACAATTACTATTTTGGTATACTTCTTTCTAGTATTTGTTTGTCTGCTTTTATGATCATGCAATTTTGTATACGCAATTCTGCTTACCATTATATTGCAAGCATTTTTTCTTGATGTTAAAATGTTTCAAAGTCATAATGACTATATACAATTACTTCTACTTGTGTACAGTAATTTTAATGCCCACTTGGTCCTTTATCTGTATTTTTTCACTTTGATAAAAATACTTATTCTGGCTGGGCATTGTGGCTCACGCCTGTAATTCCAGCACTTTGGGAGGCTGAGGCGGGCTGATCACCTGAGTTCAGGAGTTCGAGACCACCGTGGGCAATATGGTAAAACCCCATCTCTACTAAAATACAAAAAATTAGCTGGGCTTGGTGGTGGTGCGCCTGTAGTACCAGATACTTAGGAGGCTGAGGCACAAGAATCGCTTGAGCCCTGGAGGTGGAGGTTGCAGTGAGCTGAGATTACGCCACTGCACTCCAGCTTGGTTGGGCTATGGAGTGAGACTCTGTCTCAAAAAAAACAAAACAAAAACAAACAAACAAAAAATATTTATTCACAAATTGGATTACATTTTTAGAAGAGATAAGAAATAGGATTACTGGGTTAAGAATCTCAACTTTTTTTTTTTTTTTTTGGAGAGAGTCTCCCTCTGTCACCCAGGCTGGAATATAGTGTCGCGATCTTGGCTCACTGCAACCTCCACCTCCCAGGTTCAAGCCTTTCTCCTGCCTCAGCCTCCTGACTAGCTGGGATTACAGGCGCCCACCACCACACCCAGTTAATTTTTGTACTTTTAGTAGAGACAGGGTTTCACCATTTTGGCCAGGCTGGTCTCGAACTCCTGACCTTAGGTGATCCACCTGCCTTGGCCTCCCAAAGTGCTGGGATTACAGGCCGTGAGCCACCTCACCTGGCTCTTTTTTTTTTTTTTTTTTTGAGACAGGGTCTCACTCTGTTGCCAGTCTGAAGTGCACGTAGCACCAATTATGGTTCACTGTAGCCTCAGCCTCCCAAGTAGCTGGGCAGGGACTACAGGCACACGCCACTTTGCCCAGCTAATTTTTGTATTTTTAGTGGAGAATGGGTTTTGCCATATTGCCCAGGCTGGTTTTGAACTCCTGGACTCAAGCAATCTGGCTCCCAAAGTGTTGTGAGCCACTCCGCCTGGCCTTAAGAATCTCACCATTTTAAAAGCTTTTGATATATACTGCCAAAGAATAGAAAGATTGTACTGGTTCTTGCTCCTTTTTTCCTCCCATGCCTAAGTTTTTAAAAAAAATCAGATATAGTTGTAATTATATATTATGTACAATTTTACATTCTTCTTTGGCTTAACAAAATTATTTTCGCATGTTTGTCATACTATGTAACCCTTTTAAGAGATGCATAATAATTTTTTTTGGATATAATTATAGTTTGCTTAAACTTTTGTTTATTGTTGGAATTTAGTCTTGCCATTTTTCACACATAATTTTTATGTATTAAAGCAGGCCTTATAGTAGTAGTGATCTGAGCTTTGAAAGCTGGCTTTGAATTCCCTGCACATTATTATATATATTACATAATATATATTATGTATAATATATATATAATTTTTATTTTTTCCTTTGAGACAGAGTCTTGCTGTTGCCCAGGCGATTCTCCTGCCTCAGCCTCCCGAGCAGCTGGGTTTACAGGCATGTACCACCATGCCCAGCTAATTTTTGTATTTTTAGTAGAGATGGGGTTTCGCCATGTTGGCCAGGCTGGTCTGAAACTCCTGGGCTCAGGTGATCCTCCCGCCACAGCCTCCCAAAGAGCTGGGATAACAGGTGTGAGCCACCACGCCCAGCCAGCCCTGCACACTTCTAATTAGTCCAATGACTTAGGCAAGTTTCTTCATTTCATTAAGCCTTTTTCTTTTTCCCTAAAAAAGGTTATGGTTTTGGAAATACTTTCCCCGTGGGGTTGTTGTGAGAGTCCAGTGAAATAATAAGGAGTGGTGCTTATTACAAAATCAAACGCTCAACAAAAATAGGATTCAAAGCCATTTTTAAAAATCACATTTCCTTTTGTTGGCTTGATTAAATTGGGTACCAATAAGATTAACAAATCTTGATTAGGTTAAGATTAGTATAAAAGACCTTTCTTCCAGGGTATTCAATCATTTAGAGCTTGTCTTCGGTGCTCAACTTTAGTTATCCCAGATCACTGAAGCTGAGATGGCTGATGAAGTAATTTGCAGTGAAATTTTAAGCGACTGTGACTCTGCTGCAAGTTCCCCAGATCTTGAGGTAAGGAATTGTGAGAAAAAGTGGGGGTGAGGGGAATAGTGGGGTATAATGAGTCACTTGATTTTTTGGTTTGCTAATGAGGATCTTCTCTTGTCCAAATCCCTCGGCCAACCATGTTTGTTTAACTTTTTGGTTGGGCTATATGTATCTTTCGAACTGTAGGTTAGTGTGCCCACAAAAATTTCTCTTGCAAACGTACACTGCCATTCCTTTCTTTTTAATAAATGTGTAGGACTGCTACCAAAATATGGCAGTCCTGCCTTCCAGGGCTAGGTCTCATTGGTACTTGGGGTGCAGGGGTGTAGTGGGAACCTGCCAGGAGAAATTCCTCTGGGATCTTGGGGGCTTGAGGGCTTAAATGAAGGGTGGCACCCAAATCCCCAATCAATGCCTGTTCAATCAACAAACATCTAACAGGACATTATGTGGTAGGCATATTGCCAGGCCGTGGAGATGCGAATATAAATAGGAACCGGCCCCTCATCTGCAGGCGCTCACAACCTAGTTAGGAAACAGTAAAACAATTAAGCGCGCCGTGGAGATAGGCCCACTTGTCCTGGGAAATGAGGGGAAGCTGGGGTTTGCAGTGGTTTGATTGAAGGGGGACTACATGTTAGAGGCACAGACTGGGTGCAGGTACACCCAAAGGAACGAGAAGAGTGGAAGGAAACAACATCCACAAAGTAACCACATGCTGGCGTATCGAAGGCCGTGATTTACGGTTTTGAGACTTTACCTCGCCAGCAAAGGGGGGCCAGTCTGTTAGCGGTGCAGATTGGAGGGGTGACATTGGAAGCTGTCCAGGAAAAAGAAAATGGAACTGGGGAGCAGAAGGCCTACGCAAGAGGGCGGGACAGACAGGACTTGTGACTAGTAGCTCTGGACTGAGGAATCCTCCCTGCTTTCTGGTGCGGGAGAGCTAGTGGATGATGGTGCCAATAACCTGGATGGGGAAAGTAAGCTCCCTCCTGGAATGCTTCATTCACAACCTCCATTTTCAGCAACATCCCATCTACTGGTGCTTCCTGGTCGAGATACAAGTTTCCTGAAACTGCTGCTCTGTTTTGGGCCTCACCCGGCCAACAGCTCACTAGCTGGCAAGCAGTAGTATCAAGATGGCGGCCCCCTAGGACTGGCTAGTCATGTGACCTCGGGTTTCCCAAGTTTGAAGCCCGGCAGTCCTTTCGGGGGCAAGGTTCACCTGTCACGAAACGAGTGTCACCCCTTCGACTCTCGCAAGCCAATCGGCATCTGAGACTGGGCCACTGCGGTGAGGCGATCGGAAGATTGGTCCTTTCCAGTCGCCTAGCTAGGGCCAATCACGGAGCGTCCCATACTTCGCGGGCCCGCCCGTAGGCCGGGGAGAAGCAGGAATATCGTCACAGCGTGGCGGTATTATTACCTAAGGACTCGATAGGAGGTGGGACGCGTGTTGATTGACAGGCAGATTTCCCCTACCGGGATTTGAGAATTTGGCGCAGTGCCCCGCCTTAGAGGTGGGGCCTTATTTGATTGCCAAGTAATATTCCCCAATGGAGTACTAGCTCATGGTGACGGGCAGGCAGCTTGACTAATGAGTCCTCGGCGTGGCCGGCGCAGCTCTCCAATCGCCGGGCGGCGGGCCCCAGTCTGAGCGGCGATGGCGGCGGCGGCGGCGGCGGCAGCAGCAGCGGGGGCTGCGGGCGGTCGGGGCTCCGGGCCGGGGCGGCGGCGCCATCTTGTGCCCGGGGCCGGTGGGGAGGCCGGGGAGGGGGCCCCGGGGGGCGCAGGGGACTACGGGAACGGCCTGGAGTCTGAGGAACTGGAGCCTGAGGAGCTGCTGCTGGAGCCCGAGCCGGAGCCCGAGCCCGAAGAGGAGCCGCCCCGGCCCCGCGCCCCCCCGGGAGCTCCGGGCCCTGGGCCTGGTTCGGGAGCCCCCGGCAGCCAAGAGGAGGAGGAGGAGCCGGGACTGGTCGAGGGTGACCCGGGGGACGGCGCCATTGAGGACCCGGTGAGGGAAGGAGGGCGAGCGAGCAGGCCGGCGGCTGGCCGGCCGGGTCACTGGAGGCCCAGAGCTCGGGCGAGCGGGTGGCAGGCGGGGGGTGGGGTTGGGCGGGGAATAACGTGGCTGGGGCCGGGTCGGGCCGGGGATGGGTCAGCGATCACTACAAGGGGCCCGACTGGCTTGATTCGGGCGTCACGGTTGCCTAGTGTTGTTCTAGAGAGGGTAGCTTTTCTTTTATCACGACCCTCGCATGGGGCGAGGGAAATGGCCGAGCATGGCTGAGGCCGCGCTCTGGCCGAGAGCAGGGCACAGCCCCTGCGTTGGTTCCTCTTAAGCTGTCCTCCATACCCTCCCCACTTATATTAGGAGCTGGAAGCTATCAAAGCTCGAGTCAGGGAGATGGAGGAAGAAGCTGAGAAGCTAAAGGAGCTACAGAACGAGGTAGAGAAGCAGATGAATATGAGTCCACCTCCAGGCAATGGTGAGTAACTGGCGGTTGCACGCGGAGCCCGGGTTCTCGGGTTGGAAGGGTTGTGGGGAGGATGGGGAATGTGGGGTTAGATACTCGGCACCCTGGAGCTGCTTGTCTGAGCTATTATGACTGTGCCGCGGTCATAGTCCGTTGTGTGTTCCTCTGACCTTTGTGAGGCAGAACGTATATTTTGGTGGTGGTAGCCTTGTGCCTCCCTTTGTGCCTGTTATAATTGTGTTGCTCTTTGTTCTTAGTCTACGTCTATCTTTCTTTGTAGAGGTTGCGTGCTCGCATTTGACCTTCAAATCTAATAGTTTTTCCTCCAATTGGAGACGCTTTAGGATTCTAAGAGAAAGCAAGCTGCAAGGGGTTTCCCCTTTAATCTAGAAATGTGGAGTCTCAGCCCACTTAATTTTGCTCACTCTTAAAAGCATTTCAACCAAAGCCATTCATTAGGGATTTGATTTGGAGGCAGGAGGGATTCCTATACTGTTTTAAGTGTGTATTAATTCTTTCAATTTATTGAATATTTAGTGAGTACCTGCTATGCACTAGGCACTATTCTCGGTTGTGGGTACAGCAGGGAACAGCACAGACCAAAATCTTTGCCTTCACTGAGCTTATGGGATAGTGCTGGTGGTGGAAGTGCAACATATTGGTCAAGTAGAAAACAAGTGTGTGGTTTTTGTAAAAAATTATTTTTTCCTGATAGCTGGCCCGGTGATCATGTCCATTGAGGAGAAGATGGAGGCTGATGCCCGTTCCATCTATGTTGGCAATGTACGTACTGGGGCTCTGACTGGGGTTGGGGGCAAGTTCTTCTTTTGGGGAATTATTTAATAGTCCTGAAAGGAACATCTCCGGGATAGATGTGGTTTTGGGTGTGGAGGGAGTGTGGGAAGGAGGTTAAAGGTAATGGAATGATCAGTAATCAGCAAAGGCTCTGGGTTTGGAAGGAAAAGAGATTAATTCCTCAAATTACCAGATTTCATGTGCTTTGGTGTATGATGGCCCAGACCAAAGGCTCGGGAGGGTTCCTTTTGAGACAGGAATTTGCCTGGTGCCTGTGAAATTTTTCTCCTCTCATCAGGTGGACTATGGTGCAACAGCAGAAGAGCTGGAAGCTCACTTTCATGGCTGTGGTTCAGTCAACCGTGTTACCATACTGTGTGACAAATTTAGTGGCCATCCCAAAGGGTAAGTAAAGGGGAGTAAGTTGAGATAATTTAAATTACAGTGTACAAATAGATAAATTATGTTTTATATTGAGCAGTAAGTTATTTGGTGTTAACACAGGTGATCTGTGTCATTTAAGATCATGGCATTAATGTTGATATATCAGGAGTTGCACCTAAATGTCTTCAGAGGCCAGATAACAAAAATGAAGGCTAGATGTGGGTGGGATTACGAACTAGAAGGGGAGGGGCAGCTTCTACTTGGCCTATTATGGCCATATGGAAATTCAGGCCCTGTGTGTCTTATTTTTACAAATTTCAAAGAGTAGCTGGAAATTTTAAAATTTAAATGATTTCGAATGATTGAAATTTTCCATTTAGAAGAATTTTGACAAATAAAAAATATAACTGCATTGTAGCCCAAAACGAAGCATGCCTGCAGGTTGAATTTGACCTGTGAGGTATTTGTAACCTCAGAGAGATACAATGACAATTCTTTTCAGGTTTGCGTATATAGAGTTCTCAGACAAAGAGTCAGTGAGGACTTCCTTGGCCTTAGATGAGTCCCTATTTAGAGGAAGGCAAATCAAGGTAAGCCTATGTCCATTGCTGTTCTAGTTGTGTATAAACTCTCCAGGTTGCCTTTAAGGCTATCATTTGTTCATCTCTGACTCAGGTGATCCCAAAACGAACCAACAGACCAGGCATCAGCACAACAGACCGGGGTTTTCCACGAGCCCGCTACCGCGCCCGGACCACCAACTACAACAGCTCCCGCTCTCGATTCTACAGTGGTTTTAACAGCAGGCCCCGGGGTCGCGTCTACAGGTCAGGATAGATGGGCTGCTCCTCTTTCCCCCGCCTCCCGTGAGCCCCGTATGCTTCCTCCTCTCTGGTCTGAGGAACCTCCCTCCCCCCACCCCTCCCCGTGGTCTTCAGGAACTTTGTCTCCTGCCTGTGCAGGTTGAGGAAGGTAGTTGCAGGCCAGGCCAGAAGGCCAGCCTCATCATCTTTTCTGCAGTAGAAATTGGTGATAAGGGCTGCATCCCTCCCTTGGTTCAAAGAGGCTTCCACCCCCAGCCTTTTTTTTCTTGGGAGTTGGTGGCATTTGAAGGTGTTTGCGGACAAAACTGGGAGGAACAGGGCCTCCAGGCAGTGAAAGCACTGCTTGGACATTTGTTACTTTTTTCGGAGTTAGGGAGGGATTGAAGACTGAACCTCCCTTGGAAGAATACCAGAGGCTAGCTAGTTGATCCTCCCCAACAGCCTTGTGGGAGGATTTTGAGATACTTATTCTTTATTTGAGCCAGTCTTGCAAGGTTAACTTCTCACTGGGCCTAGTGTGGTGCCCAGGTTTTTGCCTTGCTTCACTTCTGTCTCTACATTTAAATAGACGGGTTAGGCATATAAACCTTGGCTTTTCATAAGCTCTACCTGCCTATCCCCAGGAGTTAGGGAGGATCTATTTGTGATGGCCTAGGGTTTAAGAGCTGTGGAGGACTGAAAACTGGATAAAAAGGGGGTCCTTTTCCTTGCCCCTGTCTCTCACTCAGATGCGCTTCTTTTTCGCCACTGTTTGGCAGTTTTCTGTTAAGCCCCCCTCCCCCTGCCCCAGTTCTCCAGGTGCGTTACTATTTCTGGGATCATGGGGTCAGTTTTAGGACACTTGAACACTTCTTTTCCCCCCTTCCCTTCACAGTAACTGGGGCAGGGGCCTACGGGGAGGGGCTTGTACTGAACTATCTAGTGATCACGTTAACACCTAACTCTCCTTCTTTCTTCCAGGGGCCGGGCTAGAGCGACATCATGGTATTCCCCTTACTAAAAAAAGTGTGTATTAGGAGGAGAGAGAGGAAAAAAAGAGGAAAGAAGGAAAAAAAAAAGAATTAAAAAAAAAAAAAAGAAAAACAGAAGATGACCTTGATGGAAAAAAAATATTTTTTAAAAAAAAGATATACTGTGGAAGGGGGGAGAATCCCATAACTAACTGCTGAGGAGGGACCTGCTTTGGGGAGTAGGGGAAGGCCCAGGGAGTGGGGCAGGGGGCTGCTTATTCACTCTGGGGATTCGCCATGGACACGTCTCAACTGCGCAAGCTGCTGCCCATGTTTCCCTGCCCCACTTCACCCCCTTGGGGGCTGCTCAAGGGTAGGTGGGCGTGGGTGGTAGGAGGTTTTTTTTTTTACCCAGGGCTCTGGAAGGACACCAAACTGTTCTGCTTGTTACCTTCCCTCCGTCTTCTCCTCGCCTTTCACAGTCCCCTCCTGCCTGCTCCTGTCCAGCCAGGTCTACCACCCACCCCACCCCTCTTCTCCGGCTCCCTGCCCCTCCAGATTGCCTGGTGATCTATTTTGTTTCCTTTTGTGTTTCTTTTTCTGTTTTGAGTGTCTTTCTTTGCAGGTTTCTGTAGCCGGAAGATCTCCGTTCCGCTCCCAGCGGCTCCAGTGTAAATTCCCCTTCCCCCTGGGGAAATGCACTACCTTGTTTTGGGGGGTTTAGGGGTGTTTTTGTTTTTCAGTTGTTTTGTTTTTTTGTTTTTTTTTTTTTTCCTTTGCCTTTTTTCCCTTTTATTTGGAGGGAATGGGAGGAAGTGGGAACAGGGAGGTGGGAGGTGGATTTTGTTTATTTTTTTAGCTCATTTCCAGGGGTGGGAATTTTTTTTTAATATGTGTCATGAATAAAGTTGTTTTTGAAAATAAAAATTGTTTGGCCTTTTGGGTGTAAGGATTATTTATCTTCCTATTCTCTCTTAGATCGCAGATGGCTATTAATTCTGCCTTGTGGTAGAAGTACTGGTGTTGTGGAAGGGAGGTTGCCACTTGTGAATTAAGGAGTAGGAATTACATTACAACTAGCAGGAACATTATGTGTTTAGTTGAGAATGATAGGTTTTCTGGATAACATGTAACCCTGATTGGCATTTGAGAGAGAAATAAGCCTGGGAAAGTAAAAGAATAGCTGAATTGGGCCGGGCATGGTGGCTCACTGCTACAATCCCAGGACTTTGGGAGGCTGAGGTGGGCAGATCACGAGGTCAGGAGATCAAGACCATCTTGGCTAACATGGCGAAACCCCACCTCTACTAAAAATACAGAAAATTAGCCTGACGAGGTGGCGGGTGCCTGTGGTCCCAGCTACTCGGGAGGCTGAGCCAGGAGAATGGCGTGAACCCAGGAGGTGGAGCTTGCAGTGAGCCAAGTTCACACCACTGCACTCCAGCCTGGGTGACAGAGTGAAACTGTCTCAAAATAAAAAAAGGAATAGCCGAATTACTGACCTAATGGCGCTTTTGTGTGCTCCTGATACAGCTTACGTGCAAATGAACTATCCATGCCTGCAGCCCTAGAGCTTTGGATTGGGGTCTGGGTAACCTTGTCTTTGGGGTCTCGCTATGTTGACCAAGCAATCTTCCCATCTTAGCCTCCCAAAGTATTGGGATTACAAGTGTGAACCACTGCACCCAGCTACCTTTTCTACCTCAAGGTGGGCCCAAGAAATGCAGAAGACAAAATACACTTAGCTAAGAGACAATCGGAAAGCTTGTTTTTCCAACCATGCAGTAACCATTTAATGTGTCCAGCTAACTTATATTAATTGGATCATTTATTTTTTTGAGATGGTCTTGCTTTGTCACCCAGGCTGGAGTGCAGTGGCTCACTGCAGCCTCAACCTCCCGGGCTCAAGTGATCCTCCCACCTCAGTGTCCTACATAGCTGTGACTATAGGTGCCTGCCTTCACACTTGGCTAATTTTTTGTAGAGACAGTTTTGCTGTGTTGCCCAGGCTGTCCCAAACTCCTGAGCTCAAGCAGTCCTCCTGGCTTGGCCTTCCTATAGGCGTGAGCCACAGCTCCTGGCCAGGATTAGTTTATTAGGACTTCACAACTGGCTTTCACTGTTTTCATATCTAAATTTTGTCTTGGGCATCCTAATTTCTCCATTTTTTATTCCAGTGTCAGATTGGTCTTAAAACTTGAACACTACATCACTAGCCAGGTTGAACCTTCAGACTTCATTACCTATAGAATTTCTTAGTATTTCAACCTTACTATTTTTTCATTTACTTCTCAGGATGTTTTGTTCACAATTGCCTCTGACCTGGATGCTCTTCAAAAATCATATGTTAAAGAAATGGCTCTGTGGCCGGGCGCAGTGGCTCACACCTGCAGTCTCAGCACTTTGGGAGGCAGAGGTGGGCGGATCACTTGAGGTCAGGAGTTTGAGACCAGCCTGGCCAACATGGTGAAATCCCGTCTCTACTAAAAATACAAAAATTAGCCAGGTGTGGTGGCATGCACCTGTAGTCCCAGCTACTCTGGAGGCTAAGGCAGGAGAATCGTTTGAACATAGGAGGTGGAGATTGAGGTGAGCTGAGACTCAGCCACTGCACTTCCAGCCTGGGTGACAGAGCGAGACTCTGTCTCAAAACAAACAAAACAAAAAACTCTGTTATATCTGAAGCCTTAACCCACCTCTCAAATTGCAGTATTTTCTAAAATCTCATGTCAGTGTTATCCACCACATATTTTAGGATTTGGTCATTTATTCTACTTTCTGTTATGGGTTAGGCATTTGAGGTCTATCTTTTCTCCTAACTAGATTCACCTAAAATAGTGCCGTGATCTCTGTGGCTTCTGCAGAGGCTGATTAGTGAGGGTCTGGATAGTGTTCAATATAAACTTTTTACTGGAAGAATGAAACAGCCTAAGTGACTTGTTGCTGTTAATGCTGTGATGGTCTCATCTGTCCACCAGGGGGCACTAAATGGCTGGCTCTAAAAGATCCCCATAAATTGTTGGGTATTGGAGGGTGAATCATGTTTTGACCCTTCTCTGGTTTAGTTTTCCATATTCAGTCAATTCTACCATATCTTGTCTGTTCTCTCTATTCCTACTTTCACTGCTTGAGTAACTCCCCATCATCATTGCAGGGGTCCTGGCAGATGTATTGGCTTCAAATTTTTTTTTGAAAAATAAAAATTCCTAAAAAAAGTACTTTAAAAGATAGGGTCTCGCTATGTTGGCCAAGTTGATCTTGAACTCTTGGCCTCAAGCAATCCTCCTGCCTCGGCCTCCCAAAGTGCTAGGTTTATAGGCGTAAGCTACCATGCTCAGCCTCCAAACTTCTTATTGCCAAAAAAAGCCCTCTATGATGCCACCAATAAGTACAAAGTCCAAACACAAGCATGGAACTACAACCTTTTTCAATCTGATCCTGATTACATTTCTCTTCCAGATCCTGCCCTACACCTGATGTACTATGCATTGTAGTTGTTATTTATTTTCATGTATCCCTCATGCTGTTCCCTCTAGCCTGCTATGCTCATTCCAACTCTTCTATGAAAATCACGCATATCCTTCCAAGTGTAAGCCAGGTACAACAGACATGAAGCCTTTCCTGATTTCCAAGTCAGAAGTAATCACTCCTGCAGTCAGGACAAACTGTTCCTATCCCTGTTTAATATTTACTTTGTGGTTTTATAATGAAACTAACTACATTTCTGTTTTCCCACTAGAATGCAAGCTTCTTCTTTTTTTTTTTTTTTTTTTTTTTTTTTTTTTTGAGACGGAGTCTCGCTCTGTCGCCCAGGCTGGCCTGCGGACTGCAGTGGCGGGATCTCGGCTCACTGCAAGCTCCGCTTCCCGGGTTCACGCCATTCTCCTGCCTCAGCCTCCCGAGTAGCTGGGACTACAGGCGCCCGCCACCGCGCCCGGCTAATTTTTTGTATTTTTAGTAGAGACGGGGTTTCACCTTGTTAGCCAGGATGGTCTCGATCTCCTGACCTCATGATCCACCCGCCTCGGCCTCCCAAAGTGCTGGGATTACAGGCGTGAGCCACCGCGCCCGGCCGAATGCAAGCTTCTTGAGGGCATCAATTGTGACTTTGTGTCTGCCTCACAGGGCCTGCCATTTAGTAGGTGCCCAAAAGTTGCTTATTCACCCTGGGCTTGCCTTTCCTGTCCTGGAGAAGGCGGTAACAACAATAGTGTTGCCTTTTACCTGGAGCTGGTAGTTTTCTTCCTCTTTTTTTTTTTTTTTCCTGAGACGGAGTTTCACTCTGTCGCCCAAGCTGGAGTGCAGTGGTGCCATCTCAGCTCACTGCAACCTCCACCTCCCAGGTTCAAGCAATTCTCCTGCCTCAGCCTCCTGAGTAGCTAGGATTACAGGCATGCGCCACATGCCTGGCTAATTTTTTGTATTTTTAGTAGAGACGGGGTTTCAACATGTTGGTCAGGCTGGTCTCGATCTCCTGATCTCGTGGTTAACCCACCTCGGCCTCCCAAAGTGCTGGGATTACAAGCGTGAGCCACCATGCCCGGCCTTTAGTTTTATTCTTATAAGAGTCAGACTATTTTACTTAAAAGAGACTAGGTTTAGAGGAAGAAGCATGGAAAGAAAGTTACTTTCCTCGGGCAAGCTTGGTTATTTTTGGTGGATGATTTCTGTCAGTCACTCCTGATCGGCTCTCTGTTAACTGAGGGATAGAAATGAGCCCAATCTCACTGGAGTTCCATGGGAAGAAAGAGACTGGGAGAGCCTGTGTATAAAACCTGTCTGGGGTGAGGGTCTGTGAGTCAGAGATCCTTAGAGGGCCTTTGGATGATGCAAAATAAACCGAGGCAAGCCAGTGCTTTTTAAGGTAGGATTTGCCCAATCCGACGTTGGCAATGGAGAAAAGAAACAGTTGGTGGGTTTTTACAATAATATTGCTGCTTTCCTTGTTTTTATGTATGGTTAGAATGAGCAGCCTTTCTCAAATTATGATCACATTTTATTATTATTATTATTTTTTGAGATGGAATCTTGCTCTGTCGCCTAGGCTGGAGTGCAGTGGCACGATCTCGGCTCACTGCAACCTCTGCCTCCTGGGTTCAAGCGATTTTCCTGCCTCAGCCTCCCGAGTAGCTGGAATTACAGGTGTGTGCCACCACGCCAGGCTAATTTTTGTATTTTTAGTACAGACGGGGTTTCACCATGGCTGGTCTTGAACTCCCGACCTCATGATCTGCCTGCCTCGGCCTCCCAAAGTGCTGGGATTACAGGCATGAGCCACTGCACCCGGCCTTATTATTATTTTTTAATGGAGACAAGGTCTTGCTCTGTTGCTCAGAATGAGCAACAAATTCATATCTCACTGAAACCTCAAACTCCTGGGCTTGAGCCATCCTTCCACCTTAGCCTCCCAAGTATCTGAGACCACAGGCACATACCACCATGCCTGGCTAATTTTTTGTTTTTTTATTATTTATTTATTTTTTTGAGATGGAGTCTTGCTCTGTCACCCAGGCTGGAGAGCAATGGAGCGATCTTGGCTCACTGCAACCTCAGTCTCCCGGGTTCCAGCAATTCTCCTGCCTCAGCCCCCCAAGTAGCTGGGACTACAGCCGTGCACCACCAAGCTCGTCTAATTTTTTTATTTTTTAGTAGAGATGGCGTTTCACCATATTGGCCAGGCTGGTCTTGAACTCCTGACCTCATGATCCGCCCGCCTCAGCCTCCCAAAGTGCTGGGATTACAGGCATGAGCCATCGCGCAGGGCCAGAATTTTATTATATTTTATTTTTTGTAAAGATGAGATCTTGCTATGTTGCCCAAGCTGGCCTCAAACTCCTGGGCTCAAGTGATCCTCCCACCTCAGCCTCACAAAGTGCTTGGATTACAGGCATAAGCCACCATGCCTGGCCCAGTATTCCTTTTTATGGCTGACTAGTATTTCATTGGATATAACACATTTTGTTTCCATCATCAACTGATGGACATTTGGGTTGTTTCTATTTTTTTGGCTATTACAAATAGTCTGGCTCCAAACAACTGTATAAGTTTTTGTATGAACATATGTTTTCATTTCTCTTGGGTATATACTTAAGAATGGAGTTGCTGGGTCATACTGTGCTATGGTTTGAGTGTTTGCACCTCCACCACAATCCATATGCTGAAATCCTAACCCCCAAAGTGATGATATTAGCAGTTCGGGACTTATGGGAGGTCATTAGTTCATAGGAGAAGCCCCAAGAGCTACCTTGCCCTTTTACATCACGTGAGGATACAGTGAGAAGGTACCATCTATGAACCAGGAAATGGGATCTCACCAGATATTAAATCTGCCAGAACCTTGATATTGGGCTTCCCAGTCCCCAGAACTGCAACAAATAAACTTCTGTTGCTTGTAAGCCACCCAGTCTACCTTATTTTGTTACAGCAGCCCAGATGAATGGACTAAGACCCATGGTAACTATCTTTAACCTTTTGAGGAACTGCCAGACTGTTTTCCAAAGCAGCTGCATCATTTTACATTTTCACCAGCAATGTATGAGGCTTCTGGTCTCTTTACATCCGCACCAAACTTGTTATTGTCAATCTCTTTGGCTATAGCCATCCTAGAGGGTATGAAGAGGTATCTCATCGTAGTTTTAATTTGCATTTGTCTGATGACTCAAAGATGTTTAGCATCTTTTCATGTGCTTATTTGCCATTTGTATGTATGTGTGTGTGTGTATATATATATATTCAGATTCTTTGCCTTTTTTCTTTTTTGAGACTGGGTCTCACTCTGTCCCTCAGGGTGGAGTGCGGTGGCCCAATCACGGCTATTCACAGCCTCAACCTCCCCAGGCTTAGGTGATCTTCCTACCTCAGCCTCTTGAGTAGCTGGGACTACAGGTGCGTGCCACCACGCCCGCCTAGTTTTTAATTTTTCTAGAAATGGGGTTTCGCCATGTTGCCCAGGCTGCTCTTGAACTCCTGTCTCAAGCAATCTGCCCGCCTCAGCCTCCCAAAGTGCTGGGGTTACGGGGATGAGCCACCAAGCCTGGTCCTCATTTTTAAAGTAGATTGTTTTCTTGCAAGACTTCTTTTTAATTTAAAAAATTTTTTTTTTTTTATTTTTAGAGATGAGGTGTTGCTATGTTGCTCAGGCTAGCGTACACAGGCATGGTACTCCAGTGCATGCCATAGTGCACTTCAGACTTGAACTCCTGGCATTAGGCAAACCCTCTGCCTCAGCCTCCCCAACAGCTGGGACTACAGGTATGCATCAGCATGCCCAGCCTTCCTTTGCTGAATACTGAATACTGAAGACTAGACTTATCAGATATATGATTTGCAAATATTTTCTTCCATTTTGTGGGTTCTTTGCTTGCTTTTTTTTTTTTTGAGATGGAGTCTCGCTGTTGCCCAGGCTGAAGTGCAGTGGCGCGATCTCGGCTCCCTGCAAGCTCTGCCCCCCAGGGTTCACGCCATTCTCCTGCCTCAGCCTCCCGAGTAGCTGGGACTACAGGCGCCCGCCACCTTGCCTGGCTAATTTTTTGTATTTTTAGTAGAGACGGGGTTTCACCGTGTTAGCCAGGATGGTTTCGATCTCCTGACCTCGTGATCTGCCCGCCTCGGCCTCCCAAAGTGCTGGGATTACAGGCGTGAGCCACCGCGCCCGGCCCAGTTCTTTGCTTTCTTGACAGCATCTTTTGAAGCACAAAAGTCATGAAGATGTGTCTATATTTTCTACTGAGAGTGTTATAGTTTTAGCTCTTATGTTTAGGTCTTTGATCCATTTTGAGTTTTTTTTAAAAATATTTATTTATTTATTGAGACAGAGTCTCACTCTGTCACCCAGGCTGGAGTGCAGTGGTGCTATCTCGGCTCACTGCAACCTCTGCCCACTGGATTCAAGCAATTCTCATGCCTCAGCCTCCTGAGTAGCTGGGATTACAGGTGCCTGCCACCACGCCCAGCTAATTTTTGTATTTTTAGTAGGGACAGGGTTTTACCATGTTGGCCAGGCTGGTCTCGAACTCCTGACCGCAAGTGATCTGCCCGCTTCAGCCTCCTGAAGTGCTGGATTACAGACATCCCGCCCTTGAATTTATTTTTGTTTATGGTATAAGACAGGGGTCCAGTTCTCTTCTTTTGCATGTGGATATCCAGTTGTCCCAGTATCATTTGTTAAAAAGACTTCTTTTCCCATTAAATTGTCTTGGTCCCTGTTTTGTAAATCAATTGACCAGTCTCTGGACTCTCAATTCTGTTCCATTGATTTTCGTGTTTGTCCTTATGGCAGTACCACACTGTCTATATTACTGTAGCTTTGTAATAAATTTTGAAATTTTAGGAGTGTGAGTCCGCCAATTTTGCTCTTTTTCAAGATTATTCAGCTAGTCTGGGTCTTTTGCATTTCCATGTCAATTTTAGAATCAGCTTATCAGTTTCTGAAAAAAGACAGCTGGGACTTTAATAGTGAATACACTGAATCTGTAGATCAATTTAGGGAGTATTGCCATCTTAATAATATATATGTATATATTATATTTATTTATTTAATTTTTTTGAGATGGAGTCTCGCTCTTGTCACCCAGGCTGGAGTGCAGTGGTGCAATCTTGACTCACTGCAACCTCTACCTCCTGGGTTCAAGCGATTCTCCTGCCTCAGCCTCCAGAGTAGCTGGGATTACAGGCATCCGCCACCACGCCTGGCTAATTTTTGTATTTTCAGTAGAGAAGGGGTTTCACCATGTTGGTCAGGCCGGTCTTGAACTCCTGACCTCAAGTGGCCTGCCTTGGCATCCCAAAGTGCTGGGATTACAGGCGTGATCCATCACACCTGGCTCATCTGAACAATATTAAGTCTTCGAATCTGTGAATGTCTCTTCATGTATTCAGGTCCTTAATTTCTTTCATTGGTGTCCCATAGTTTTCAGTGTACAAGTCTTGCACTTCTTTCATTAAATTTATTCCTAAGTATTTTGGGATTTTTTTCTATTGTAAATGGAATTGTTTTCTTAATTTCATTCTCAGATTTCTAAAATTGCTATTGTGTGGAAGTACAATTGAAGTTTTATATGATTATTTTTTCTTAATTTGTTTTTAGAGACAGAGTCTTTCTGTCACTGAGGCTGGAGTGTGGTGGCACATTCATAGCTCACCGCAGCTTTTAACTCCTGGGCTCAGGTGATCCTGCTACCTCAGTCTCCTGAGTAGCTGGGACTACAAGTGTACATACCCACACCTGGCTAATTAAAAAATTTTTTTTTGTAGAGATGCGGTCTTGCCATCTTGCCCAGGTTGGGCTCAAACTCCTGGTCTCAAGTGATCCTCCCACCTTGGTTTCCCAAAGTGCTGCGATTACAGGCATCAGCCAATTTGCCCAGCTATACTGATTTGTATCTTGCAAGTTCGGTAACCTTGCTGAACATATTTATTTTTAATAGTTTTTTATGGATTCCTTGGCATTCTCTCTAAATAAGATCATGTCATCTGCAAATATAAAGGGTCTTATTTCTTCCTTTCCATTCTGTGTGGTTTTATTTCATTTTCTTTCTTTATTACCTGGGCTAGAACCTCCAGTACAATGTTGAATAAAAGTGGCAAGAGCAGGCATCCCTATCTTATTGATCTTAAGGGAAAAGCTTTCAGCCTTTTGCTGAATGTGATGTTAGCTGTGGGTTTTTCATAGATGTCCTTTATCCATGGATGTTTGAAATAAACATCCTGTTTCCTGTTTTCCAAGCACACCATATCATGTCATACCTCTAGGCTTTACAAACATTTGCTGAAAGAATAAACAAATATTACTCAACTTTTGGAATATCTACCATATGTCACACATTGGTGTTTCTAAGTTGAATAAGACAAAGTTCCTGTCCTCAGGGAGCTGCAAACCAAAAATAAAATTTGAAGGCCTCCCATGTACATCTGAATGGACTTCTTCCTTGGCTAGGGCACTCTAAAATTTAACCTGAAAGACTGTTTCAGGCTATTATGGGAAGTGGGGGTCTGACATGCCTCATTATACCCCTCTGGCACTAACATCAATACAAACCTTAAGTCTGATAAGAAACATTTACAGGCCGGGCGTGGTGGCTCACGCCTGTAATCCCAGCACTTTGGGATGCCAAGGCGGGAGGATCACGAGGTCAAGAGATCGAGACCATCCCGGCCAACATGGTGAAACCCCGTCTCTACTAAAAATACAAAAATCAGCTGGGCATGGTGGCGCGCACCTGTAGTCCCAGCTACTCGGGAGCCTGAGGCAGGAGAATTGCTTGAATCCGGGAGGCGGAGGTTGCGGTGAGCCGAGATTGCACCACTGCACTCCAGCCTGCCAATAGAGCGAGACTCCGTCTCAAAAAAAAAAAAAAAAAAAAAAAAAAAAAAAAAGAAAGAAACATTTACAATCTATTCTCTCTGAAGCCTTCATCTTCATGATAAAACCTAGGTCTCCAAAACCCCTTATCTTACTCCAAACATTCCTTTCTACTGATAATTACTCTTTCAACCAATTGCCAATCAGAATGAATATGTTTAAATCTAACTATGGCCTGGAAGCCCCCGGCCCCGCCTTTGAGTTATCACACCCTTCCAGATCTAACCATTCTAAGTCTTATGCGTACTGATTGATGTATTATGTCTCCTTAAAATGTATAAAGCAAGCTGTACTTCGACCACTTTGGGCACGTGTCCTCAGGACCTCCTGAGGCTGTATCATGGGTGCATCCTTAACCCTGGCAAAATAAGCTTTCTGAATTGATTGAGACTTGTCTCAGATAATTTTTGGTTTACAAATTGGTGCCCATGAAGGGACTCTGAGTGGATGTAGCCCTGACCTTTGACAAATCTCCTATCGGTGCTCGGCACCAGCTTGAGCTATGTTTATGGCTCAAATCAACAGGACAATTTGCTGAGGCTTGGGAACTCCCCTTTCTCCAGAGAACCCCTGATCTCTCAAAATTTGGTTGAGATCTAAAGTTTATTTTGCTCTACGATTCCTTTTCTGGAGTTATACTTGCTTCCAACAAGGAAGGCAAGTTTTCCTGCTCCCATGATGTTGGAAGGCAGGTAACAGGTAACTCCTTTTTGGAGTTTTAGCTAATATCTAACAGGGAAGGCAAGTTTGAGTTTCTTCCTGCTTCTAGGAGGGTAGAGAGTAGTCTTCAACCTGAGACCCATTTTTAGGTAAGAAGCTGATTTGGTTTTCTTGCTTGCTTGCTTGCTTTTTTTTTGTCTTGAAAATTCTCCATAATGACTAAAGGTTAAAGTTGACAACCAGCTGGTCTTAATTTCTCCTTACCATTAGAGCGCTAAGTGATCATATTGTTGGTTTTTTTTGTTGTTGTCCCTTTCTCCCATTGGATTTGACTAACTCTACCTGTCTTGGTCAAATCCTAATGAGAATTCCAAATTATGGGGAACAAGGCCTCTGAATAAGTTAAAATTTCTCACAGCTGTAAAAAGAAAAAAAGAAACCATGGGCTTAGTTTCTGTGTTCGCTGTCTTAATTTTCATCCATCCTATTCCTCCTTCCCCTTTGCCATCTTCAGTACCAAGAAAAAATCTAGAGAAGGCTTCTAATGACTTGAATTCCTCAAATAACTCAAAACAAAGGTGCCACTCATCCCTTTTGGAGTGTTCTGTTTTCTTTTTGAAGTTTCAAGAGTTATAGGCAGATTCTTCTTCGGTCTAAAGTTCTGCTCTCCTGTATTGCATTACCTGATCTCTTTGGCTTTGGGGGATACCAAAGATTACTTTGCGCTGTGTGAGGATTTTACCTTGGTGTGTGTAATGGCGGACAAGTGCTACAAAGTTAGGGGTGGCTAAGAACAGTTTACAGAGAGTGGTCTTAGATTTTTTTTTTTCCTCCTGGGAAGATATTTAGGACCCTAATTCTAGTTTGGAGGTACATTTTAAATAGTGTCTTGTCCGGCTGGGTGCGGTGACTCATGCCTGTAATCCCAACACTTTGGGAGGCCGAGGTGGGTGGATCACGAGGTCAAGAGATCGAGACCATCCTGGCCAACACGGTGAAACCCCGTCTCTACTAAAAATACAAAAATTAGCTGGGCATGGTAGAGTGCACCTGTAGTCCCAGCTACTTGGGAGCCTGAGGCAGGAGAATTGCTTGAACCCAGGAGGCGGAGGTTGCAGTGAGCCGAGATTGTGCCATTGCACTCCAGCCTGGTGACAGTGACACTCTGTCTCAAAAAAAAAAAAAAGTGTCTTTTTCATTGCCTTTCCTCTTGAAATTAGTCTTGATTGGCTGCTCTGTGCATTTGTGGGAGGAAGTGAACTGTCTTTTTCATAGATAAATGAGAGACTGAGTTTCCACAGCTCCAAAGAGAAAGAGCATTTTGCTCTTCCCAGTCAAAAGGTGCCCCTGAGTGCCAGGGGGCTAAGTGGGAATGTTGGGGGGTTGAGCCCCCATGATGTGCAGTGGCCCTACAGGGAACTCCAAACAAAATTAGTTTAAAAAGGCTCATCCAGGAAGCACATATAGGAGCTGGTCACCCCATGCTATCAGCCCTCCCGGAGATGCTAGACCTCCAGAGTAAGAAACTGAGACACACTGTGTGTGACACACTGTGGAGTCCCACCCACAACCAGCACACTTTTCCCCACTCCACCAAACTCTAGGCCACAGCTTAGTTCCTCCTTTTAAGAAAAAATGTGGGAAATGAATTATCTAGGAATGAGGACAGACAAGGAGAATGACCCTTCTCAGGCACCCTGTTTGGTTTTATGACCCTCTACTTGCAAGTGGTTGTGTAAATGGAATGGCACACCAGGTTTTCTAATACTCCGGCTGGTTACACATCGGGTCTGCTCTTGTGCACATTTTAAACTGATGGGCAAATCACCTCAAAGAGAATTCAGAGCCTGAAGGTCAATCTGCAACTATAAACTTCCGAAGTTCTCTATTTCTTTGCTTTCTTTTCTGTCTGCTTTAAGTCTGCTGTTACTTTTCTACTGAGATAAAATCCACTGTTTGTATCCAACCATTTCTTTTGTTATTGTTTTTGCAAACCAATGAGTTTGTATTAATATCTCATGGCTAACATTCTGAAGTAAAAGCTATAGGATCTTTGGTTGTATGAGTGTGTATGTGTGTTTATGTGTACATACATGGATTCTGTTGTGTTTTGGGTCACAAGGTAACAAATTGGCTACCAATTATAGATTATCCATAAATTAAATAATAAGCCCAAATGCATTTCAAGTTTACATGACTTAAGTAAAATCTTTAATAAGCTAGCTTTAAGATTGTTGGTAAAGTAATATTTGAAATGTCTTAAGACTTGTCAGCATACATTTTTGTTTGCATTTATTGATCAAGTGATTTCATACTTATCTCTGCTGAATACTATAAGGTGTCAAAATTTGGCATAAGGGTTATAAAACTATAAACCCAGCAAAAAATGTAATGATTTTTGTTTGTGTCATTTTTAATAAAAAAGACATTAATATTGTTGATTTAATGAAAACAGCTAAATCTTGAATTATTGGTAAAATAATCATATATTTAATCTTAAGGTACTTACTTAGGTAATCACCTAAAATTCACAAGCTGTAAAAATGGTTGACAGGGAAATAACTTTAAATAATGACTATCACAATTTTCATAAATAATCTAGTTTCTCTCTCTGGAGGTCTATTTTCACATTGCTATAAAGAACTATCCAAGATTAGGTAATCTATAAAGGAGAGAGGTCCATTGATTTACAGTTTAGCATGGCTGGGGAGGCCTCAGGAAACTTACAATCATGGCAGAAGGCAAAGAGGAAGCAAGGCACCTTCTTCATAAGGCAGCAGGAAGGAGAATGAATGCAGGAGGAACTACCAAATACATAAAACTATCAGATCTCATGAGAACTCACTCACTATCATGAGAACAGCATGGGGTAAACCACTCCCATAAGTCAATTACCTCCACCTGGTCTCTCTCTTGACACATGGGGATTATAGGGATTATAATTCAAGACGAGATTTGGGTGGGGACACAAGCCTAACCATATCACTAGGTAAACTATTAAAATAATTAGGTAAATGTAATAGAAACTTGTAAACAAACTTGTCATAAATTAGAATCTAAAGTTAAATTAAATATTTCATTAAATGTCTAGGTATTTTCCAATTAAAAAAATTATAGTGTAGGAGAACATTCTTTCTAAAAAATATGTTCTTATTAAAAGGTGAATAATTTTTATCTATTCAAAGCTTATTTAAATGTTATGTGTAAAACAAGGTAAAAGGAACCAGGAAATAAGAGAGATGCAAAGAAAGTTATAGAAATAAAGAGGTATTTTTGGTAAGAAAGCTTAAAATAATTTTATATGAGAAAGAGTCTTGTATGGTGAATTTTTGTTCTAAAATAAAATGAATGGGTTGTTCAAGAAAGAGGAATATTTAGGACAAGCCAAAAGTCCAAGCATGTTGTAAATGGTCTAAGTTGTAATAAGGTTAGTAAAAAAGGAATTTATAAAAATGCAATTAATTGGCTCTAATTAAAGGAAATTATAGTAAATAGTTTTTCTAAAAATTGAACTTTGATATTAAAAATACACCCACAAAAACCTAAAGAATTGGTTAAAACAAGATTTCATTTAAAATAGAGTTACTTAATGTAATATGGTTAGGCTTTGTGTCCCATTTTCATCTTGAATTTTAATTTAACATCCCTCCTAGGTGTTGAGAGAGAGACCTGGTGGTAGGTGATTGGATCATGGGGGTGGTTTCCCCCATGCTGTTCTTGTGATAGTGAGGGAGTTCTCATGAGATCTGATGATTTTTATAACTGGCAGTTTCCCCTGGGCTTTTCATGCTCTCTCTCTTGCTAGCTGCCATTTAAGACGTGCCTGCTTTCCCTTCCACCATGATTGTAAGTTTCCTGAGGCCTCTCCAGCCATGCAGAACTCTGAGTTGATTAAACCTCTTTTCTTTAAAATTACCCAGACTTGGGCAATTCTTTATAGCAGTGTGAAAATGGACTAATACACAATGCAAGAATTTTTTAATTTTTAAATTCTAGAATCTATTTCTTTTTGAAATTATTCAGATTGATATCTCAGAAGCTGTACCCTGCTATTTCAGCATCTTCTGTCTTTTGAGAAGGCCTAGGATGGTAACTCTCTCCTTCAACTTTTGTTGTAACTTTAAAAATTAATAGTCTAATGTAAGGGAGAAAATTTTTGAAAATGGGCGAATGAAAAATCTTTTGTGTCTGCTTTTGCCTGCATGTCTGTTGTATCTATATGTTTACATGTGTCATGAGGAAGTGATATTTCACTATTAAACTAAACTGTATGAAAGAGTTCTAATCATTTGACTTAAAGAAAACTAACAACTTATCAGACTGATAGAACCTAGCTCAGATCCCCTTTAATTCATGACTTTGGCAGTCTTTGGTAAGATTAATTTGGTAAATTTAATCTCAAAATTCTCTGCAATAGTTTAAAATCTTAAAGTCATGTTATGTTAAATCAAGTAACCTTAGGTTTTTTTTCCCACTTGGAGTTTGTGTTACTAAGAGTTAAAATAGGAGCACAAAAGGTGTTTTTGGTGAAGTTTATAAAACACAAGGATGTGGTTCTTGCTAAAAAATATGTGATTTTTTTCTAGTTGAGAAACCATTTAAGAGTCACTTTAAGATAAAGGAAAAATTACAGAGATAAAACTAAATGGATAAAAACAAAAAAATTAAGCCAGGGAACAAAAGTTACCTCTGAGACCTGTGGTTACAGAGAAGATAGTCAATGTGAGGGAAGGGCAAAACCAAGTAACTATTAAACCATAGGGTATAATGTAAAGGAATTGTCCCATTTTGTAGATTGGTGTCATCAGCTTCTTGAGAAACCTTTACTATAATGGATAGTAAAAATATTATATAATTACTCTTAGGACAATTCCTTAATTTTAAATGCTACAGAAGGAAAGAGCTTGTTTGGATTGATGTAAGACCCACATCTCACTATTAAACAATCACTGATAACTACATGTGATCCAAATGTACAGGAGGTTATTCCTGAGAAAACAACCAGCCTATTGGCCATGGTAAGATCTGTTTTCCCTGAAAAGGGGACTGCCTGACTGCCCTATAAAATACCAAGTGGAGCACCCCAGATGAAGCACTTAATATGCTTCATATGTGAGCCATGTGGGACTCGCTTTATGATGACCAAGATATTCTCCCACTGAATATGCCTATTACCCACGTCATGGTAAACCTGGAGGTTAAGGGGACCCATTTTTACATGGGTACCCCTCCCACAGAATCATGCAACTGTTTGAGAGGCCTTATCAAATTTGCTGTCCCTCGTGGGGCATAACACATTGAAGTAATTAATTTAAAAAAAAAAAAAGAGAAAGGAAAACCAGAGTCGAAGGACTCTCCCCAGAAGGAGTGACGGAAATATCACCCATTTTGGATGGTTATTCACTATTTGCCTCAGATTGGAAAATTTAAAAAAAAATCAAAAGGCAAAGGTTATCACGAGAAAGCTGACATTGCCTAGGGCAATGCTGGGGCAAATTAAGATAAAAAAAATTGGCCAAAGAGCCTGAGTCCCTTGGCTCAACTCCCTGGGGACCCAAGCCTTTTTTCACCAGAAAAGGTAAAATGGTCTGGGGATAGAAAAGAAAAGTTCCTGTGACCAGAACATAAAAATGTACCGATTGGGCCGGATGTGGTGGCTCACGCCTGTAATCCCAGCACTTTGGGAGGCCAAGGCAGGTGGATTATGAGGTCAAGAGATGGAGACCATCCTGGCCAACATGGTGAAACTCTGTCTCTCCTAAAAATACAAAAATTAGCTGGGCTTGGTGGCCCAGATAGTAGAGAGGCTGAGGCAGGAGAATCGCTTGAACGTGGGAGTTGGAGGTTGTCATGAGCCGAGATTGTGCCACTGCACTCCAGCCTGGCAACAGAGCAAGACTCCATCTCAAAAAAAAAGTACAGGTTGATGGGATTATGAAATTTGAGATGTTTACATAAATAGGCTTTATGTAAGGTAATTGTAACTCCTTTACCTAAATGTTTTATGAAAATTGTTATTGTCTGGGAGGTTGAGGTTGCAGTGAGCCAAGATGGTGCCATTGCACTCCAGCCTGGGCAACGAACTGAACTCCATCTAAAAAAAAAACAAAAACAGAAAGAAAATGGGTATTGATTGTATCTAATTGGGGGGTGTTTTCCCTATCTAGTGCCATAAAACCGAAGGCATGTAAATCTGCTCTTTCAGAAATGTTAATTGGACACGCCAAATGGGAACTAGTAAGATTGCCTGAGCCCACAAAGTGTAGGGTAGAAGCTGGAGTGCCAGTCAAACAAATGCGCCACTTTATAGCCCTTTGTGGAGCATTTATTCGTGCTGATGGCAAAAGACTGTGGGCACTTCCCAATGACAGTGACTGGGCTAGAGAATTTCCACTTGAGGGGCATTTACTGCCTTGCTGTGGAATGTTGACAGAAGCTATCTTATGCCAATGGAAATAATGGTGCCCAAAGGAGCACCATGACAAAATAAAAATGGTTTACATAAGATCTTGCTACCTGAGGATACAAGGAGGAGATCCTTATGAGCAGGAAGCCTCTTTTTTTAAAATTTTTTTCCCTAGGACTGATTCTAACTATGTGAGGAGCTACTAGATTCTACAGTGCCTGATAGACAACTCTCATTAGCTGTTTGGCTTGTGAATGGCAGTTCCAAGGTGAACAAACATCCTGTTTGAAAGCCCCTGTTCTGGCTATAGAAGTGTCAAACAAATCCTTTTCTTTTGAGTTATTCACAGTTTAAAGCAACTGGGTGAAGTATGTGTTTGTAAGCAAATTTGCCTTTCTATCTATCTGAGTTCTCCAAAATTTGGATTGTGAGTTCATGACAATACAGTCATTTGCATAAGCTTAGTAAGAGTCTTTTAGAACAGAGCAATTGGAGACGCTGGTTATTTTGCCAAGGCTTTGACTAGAATAACATATTTGTAGGTAAAGTTCCAGCAAAGCCAACTTAATAGAAGCCTATATGGCCAAACAATTCTTGCTGCACTTTATATGAATAATCAGGCAAAGTATAATAAGCCTAAAATTTATTTTGTACACAAATTTCAGCCCTGGCTTTTGTTTTTGAGTGCAGATCGAAGAACGAATTATTTCTTGGCTACAATAATCCTCTGAAGAGTATCACATTATAATTTTTCTTCATATGTTTAGTCGGTACTCTAATAGAATAGCTCCCTTTTTCTGTTCTGACATACAAATATTCTTTTGATTGTCAAAATATTTATGTTATTTATCTGTCCTTGTTTTATTTCCTAGGAAACCAAAATCATGGTAGTCTGAAGACCAGGGATGTGACTCTACCTCATTTGGCATCCCACTGGGCCGGATCTGTTATTCACTGAAAATGCCCTGCTGCTAAGACTATATGAGCACCTTCTCTCTAAGCCCAGTAACTGTGGTGGATGAGGTGGACGCGTGAAATGGTGAAGGGTTGGTTTTAAGGGATAGAATCAGTTCAAGGTCAGGCCCTCCAAATCAAGGATGGGTACAAAGACACGTAAACAGATGGTAAAATAAAGGACTTTGTCTTCTAAGCTATCATGTGTCATCTTTGCATCCATCCCAACCATGAAGAATTTTCTGGCTGGGCCTGGTGGCTCACGCCTGTAATCCCAGCACTCTGAGAGGCCAGGAGTTCAAGACCAGTCTGGCCAACATGGTGAAACCCTGTCTCTACTAAAAATACAAAAAATTAGCCGGGCATGGTGGCGTACACCTGTAATCCCAGCTCCTCAGGAGGCTGAGACAGGAGAATTGCTTGAACCCGGGAGGCAGAGGTTGTAGTGAGCCGAGATTGCGCCACTACACTCCCGCCTGGGGAACAGAGTGAGACTCCATCTCAAAAAAAAAAAAAAAAAAAATTCCTACTTCCTGTAGAATTAAAATAAAATAATTACTGATAGGATAAAGATACCTTGTGACTCACCCAGCCTCCTGGGTATAATACTTCCGTTATAAGTTGTGCTGATAGATATATATTAAATCTTTTTTTGAACAATGCTTATGTTTTATATAGTTAATTGCTATAAGTCTGTAACTAAAACCAAGATTATAGTAGCTTAATGCATAGAAGTTTAAAAATAAGTCAATTTTGTAACCTCTCCTTTGGCTTTTGTTTGTTCACTTTCTACTTAAAAGAAAAAACAATTTTAAGGGATGAATGCCTGTCCATGTCCGTTACTATCTAGCCTAGAGCAATTAATTGGCTGTAAGTCTTGTTGACTGTAAGTCCCTCGGCCATAGGGAGTCCCACTGAGGGACAAGATGGACCTGGGGCAGGCAGCCATGTCACCCAGGCAGTGCTATGGAACAAAATTACAATTGGTGGCCATTAATGTTGTCTCTGGCAAATCTTGGCCAGAAGGGGGAGAATGTAAACTAAAAATAAAACTCAAACACCTCGCCACCCACCCTGCAACCATCTGAATGGACTCCCCCCTTGGCCAGAGCACCCTAAAATTTAACCTGAAAGGCTGCTGCAGGTCATGATGGGAAGTGGGGGTCCGACATGCCTCATTATATCCCTCCAGTGTTAACATCAACACAAACCTAAGTCTGATAAGGAACATTTACAATCTATTTTCTCTGAAGCCTTCATCTTCATGATAAAACCTAGGTCTCCAAAACCCCTTATCTTAACCCAAACATTCCTTTCTACTGATAATTACTCTTTCAACCAATTGCCAATCAGAATATGTTTAAATCTAACTACGGCCTGGAAGCCCCTGGCCCTGCCTTTGAGTTGTCCCGGCTCTTCCAGATCCAACCATTGTAAATCCTGCACGTACTGATTGATGTATTACATCTCCCTAAAATGTACAAAGCAAGCTGTACTTCGACCACTTTGGGCACGTGTCCTCAGGACCTCCTGAGGCTGTATCATGGGTGCATCCTTAACCTTGGCAAAATAAACTTTCTAAATTGATTGAGACTTGTCTCAGATAATTTTTGGTTTACACAGCTTACACCTAGTGGGGGTAGTTTAAGAGACACTTAGGATACATTACCTTGTTTAATCCTCATAGCAAGTCTTAAAGGAAGTTGGAAGCTAAGAGATTTGCCCAAAGTGGTAAAGCCAAACCAGATGTGGTTTAAGAGGGAGGCCCTGGCACTGAGGTAGAAGTCTCAGTTTTCTGCTGCCACCTTCCAGAGAGCCAAGAGAACCCACTCTTGCCTTCCAAGGAATGTGCCCAAAAGTTAGAAGAGTTGGGAAGGTGACTACAGTATGCATCCATGAAGAGCTCTCTGGGATCTAATCATGTCTCAGCTTTGCCACTCATTAGCTTTGTAACCTTGGGCCAGTTACTGAGTCTCTCTGACCATAAGTTTTCTCATCTTGTTTAAGAGAATAAGAATGCTGTACTGAGCTTCCATTGTTTTTTTCTGAGTGACACCCAGTCCCGCTTCTGCTAACAGTGCCCAAATTTTGCTTTACCTATTCCCAGTTGGGAGAAATAGGGGTGTGGGAGGCATGTTACTCTAGCTAGCCAGTGACATGCTCTCTGGAAATTAATCTTCAGTGGGATAACCCAAAGATTAAATTGCACTGGAGCTCATTCATCTAGAAGAAGCCCTGACAAAAATGTTGCTGGTTTTTGCTCCTCAGACAAGGAGCCTTCTCCGCTCCTGACTAGTTATTTTACGACGAGTTCTGCTTCTCCTTCATTCTGTGAGCTCCCACCACAACCTGCCCCACCAAATCGAATAATTCCCTTTTTGCTTAAGTTCATTAGAGCCAGTTTTTATTGCTTACAACAACAAACAACAACAACAACAACAACAACAACCCCTAATTGATCCAAACACCTACCTTGCAATGCTGTAAAAATTAAATGATACGAAGTGTGTCAAGTGCTTAGGCCAGTTCTGGCAGCAGTGCAAGCAGTCAGTAAGTGGTGACAGTTGTCTGTAAGTCACCACTGGGGGCAGGGCACAAGGAGGGAGAGGGGAGCTTGTTATCGGTGTGCATTCCACTGAGAAAAACCTTCCCCCAAGAGATAGAAGGACAAACAGAAGGGAGGGAAGTCCAGGCTATGATATGCTCGTTTATTCCAAATGTCTTTATTGAAACAGAATGATAGAGCAAGAAATAATGAGGTCTGGGTGGATGTCTTTGGGCGCAGGATGGAGCCCAGACCCAGTGGTTACAGTGTGGAGCTCTCTCCCTGTCCCCTGACTCTGGCCAAGGAAGTGAATGCAAAGCAGCAGGGAGGAGGCAGGGTGGGGACGGCCCTCTGAGCTCTCCGCGATGGCTGGCGTGAGGTGCCTCTGAGACTTCTGGGCAGCCCTGCCTTCCCTACTCAGTCTTCCCGATCTTCTTGCCACCTTTCTGTGTGGGCCAGCCTCCCGCCAGGGTACTCAGAGGCCGCTCAGAGGGCAGGGTTGGGGGTGGCAAGCAGCGGGACGTGGTCACAGCGGGTAGGGGGTGGCTGCCGCAGCAGGGAAGGCCGGCGACACAGCTCCCCGTCCCGGAGCACCTCGGGCAGGAGCTTGCGCTTGGTCTCCGGCAGCAGCATAATGCTGAGAATGCAGAGGAGGGCGCAGGCCGCCAGCACCACGTGCTGCAGGAAGGCTCCATGGCCCATGTGGAGGCGCTGGGCCGGGCCGCTCAGTCCTCCAAGCGCCCCTAGAGCCATGATCAGGCCCAGGCCACGGCCCCTGGGGGGAGACAGAGGAGGAGCTCAGCCCACAGCTGTAGCCTTGCTGGGCCCTTCTCCCGCAGCCCCCCTCCTCCAGCCCGCAGGCCCTGTCCTCAGGGGTGGGGTGGGGGAGCGGGAGGCGAGGGGGCCCGGCTCTGCCCCTGGGGGCACCCCTGCTCTCACCGGACAGTGGTGGGGATGACCTCAGCAGCAAGGAGGGTGCTGAGGATGGCGGCAGCTTGGGAGGAGAAGAGCCCAAGGACAGAGAAAGTGGTGATGGCAGCCTCGTTCAGATCTGCAGAAGCAAGAGGGATGATATGAATGCAGGTGGGGAGGTCAAGGCTGGCCTAGTCCCGGGTGTCATCCCCTTGGCTCTCTGTTCCCATGGCTCTAGCTGGGCAGGCTCTGGGCATTCAGTAATTGACTGGGAGAGCAGATGGGGCTGTGGGGCCAGGTGGAGGCTCGTGGAAGAGCTGGGCAGGGTCTGGGGCTTGTCTTGGGAGGCCTGTGCCAGAAGAAATGGCTGTGCCTGTCTGAAGCACCTCTGTTGGGGTTCCCTTGTTGAGCCCACACTGTGGGGAAGATAGGATGCTCACAATCCCACAGGCCCAGCAGGACCAGGGAAGCAATGCCGGTAAGGGTCATGGAGAGAAGAAGGATGCCCCGGCGGCCAAATCGGTCCACGGTGACCCCCAGGAAGACACAGGCCAGGGCTGCGGTGCCGCTGGCCAGCAGAGAGCACAGGTAGAAGTCCGATGGGCTCCCTCCTCCTCCCACAGGCTGGTAGCAGTGGCGAATGGCATGGGCAATGAAGCTGTGAGAAGGGGTGGGGAAGCAACGAACAGAGCCTGAATCCCCTCCCGCAGCCTTCTACAGTGCTGATGGTCCTCCGCAGGGGTCCCCGGGCCTTCCCACCCAGCCAGCCCCCATTCCAGCTACTGGCCTGGCCCTCAGCCCAGACACCCAGGCTCACTTGGTGAAGCCCAGGATAAGCAGATTTTTCCAGATGTTGCGGTAGTTGAGGAGGGAAGCAAAGGAAAAGGAGGATGTTGCAGGGAGAGGGCAGGTATTCTCCAGGTCTTTGGGAGAGAGAGAGGAGCTGTCAGAAGAAAACCCTGAGATCCCAGGATCCTCCCACATGGGTGGTGGGGACCCTGGGAGAAGGTGGCACAGCTACAGCCATGCAGAGGGCACCATCATGTGTGCAAGTGAGGCAACACTCACAGGGATCCCTGTCTCTTACCCTGCAGGGCCTCCTGGGCCTCCTCCCCCAGCATCTGCCCATGGGGCCGGTTTCGCTCAGCCAGGATCCTCAGCACAGACTGAGCCTCCTCAATCTGCCGCTTCACTATCAGCCACCGTGCGGACTCCAGGAACAAACCAGGCCAGCTGGGGGCAGGGGGGAAGGGGTATACTGTGAGGCCTCCCTTCTCCTGATCTAGGGGTGGGAAATGTGCACCTCTGAGGGACTGGGGCTGGGGTAGGCCTGGACCAGGGGTAGTTGGAGAAGAGGAGGGGTCTCCGGGCTAGGGCTAGTTTGGAGGCAGAGATGGGAATTGCCAGACGACAGGTGAAGGGTAATACTGACCCATAAAACAGGAAGAGGATGCAGGGAGCGGTGATCATTCGCTGTAGGAATCGCCAATCCTTAGAGACAAGGGCCAGGCCCAGGAACAGGAAGTGCCCTCCCACCCCCACCAACTCCCCTGCCAGGGCCACCCGAAGCCTCTGGGTTGGGTCGCACAGCTCCAGGCCTGGAGATACAGCAGGGGTGGAGAGAGGAGAGGGAGGCCAGGGAGGAAGAAGGCATAAGAGAGAAGAAGAAAGAGGGAGGGAGGAGGACAGAGAGAGAGGTCAGACCCAGAGTGGAGGCTGCAGCCATTGCCTCCCTTGCTAACCTCTGGGTGGCAAGGACTGGGGAGACTGTTCAGCCCTCTCTCCTCTCCTGCTCAAACCTAGGAGGGCTCTAGGGCCAGAGTCCTGGGTGAGTGTTCAACATTTCCAATTTATAGGCCCTTTCCCATCAGGCCTCTTATTTGACCTTCACATCAACCCTTGTCCAAGGTCACACAGCTAGGGACAATCCTTGTCCCTGGACTTACTGCTATCAGGGGAATAGCACCTTATTCCTTGGCAGCAGTAAGTCCAGGACAAAGACTTTAAAGATTGTCGGGAGGGGGAGATAGGTGTAGAGAGAAGCAAGAGCCCTGGATTCTTCAAGGGGGCCTGGGCAGAAAGATAGCTGAGATTCTAGGCAGCTGAAATGTGGCCTAGGGGGCAGTGAGGATGGCCTGGCGATGCAGGCAGGTAGGCATGAGACCCAAGGGAGGGAATTCTGGGAGGGTGCCACTTACGCATCAGGTAGACACCCAGGTCAACACCGGCAAGCAGAAAGCCCAAGAGGAATCGGAGGGCCATGACGCCTGTGGAGGAGCCTGCAGCAGCCCCTCCTACTCCACAGGGGCCCACCAGCCCCAAGGTCAGCAGCACAATCCCGCGACGGCCAAATCTAGAAAGTGGGAAGGGCTTCTGGTCACCCAGACTCTCTGGTGGTGGGAAAGTTGCTGGGTAAGACCCAGCTGCACACTTCAGAGCTAGAGGTATGAGAATGAAGTTCTGGGAGCAAGAGTTGGACAGAGGCTTGAGAAGATGGGGAGGGATGGGGACCATGGGTGGGTGATGCCTGGCTACTGGGCACTGGGGTGTGGTTGTGGTTCTTTAAGAGGTGGGAACATTGACTCTTGGGCTATTGGTCAGAGATTAGGGCACTTGTCAATGGATGTGACATCACTCAACAGAGGGGATGGGATATTGCTTAGGGGATTTGGGACCATTCATCCTTAGGAACAGAGCTAATGGTCAGTGGGCCTGGAGCTTATCTTGCTCAGACTGTTCAGAGGAGATGTGGGAGGGGGGTTCATTGATATACGGAGTTGGAACTATTAACCTGTGGAGGGGAGGCCATTGGCCACTTGTGCATGAGGATACTACTGGTCAGTGAAGGTAAAGCCAATGATATTAGGGGACTGAGTAATTGATTTTTGGAGATGAGGCCATTGTTCCATGGAGGTGGGACATTGGTCTATTAATACATTAAGAATGGTCAGGCTGGGCGCAGTGGCTCACACCTGTAATCCCAGCACTTTGGGAGGCCGAGGCTGGCAGATCACGAGGTCAGGAGTTCAAGACCAGCCTGACAAATATGGTGAAACCCCATCCTTACTAAAAATACAAAAATTAGCCAGGTGTGGTGGCAGGTGCCTGTAGTCTCAGCTACTCGGGAGGCTGAGGCAGGAGAATCGCTTGAACCTGGGAGGCAGAGGTTGCAGTGAGCTGAGATTATGCCACTGCACTCCAGCCTGGGCAACAGAGCGAGACTCCATCTCAAAAAGAAAGAAAAAAGAAAAAAAAGAAAGAAAAAAGAAAGATCAGTGGGGACATAGACATGGGTGTATTAATCCATAAGGTAGGACTATTGATCAGTGGGATGAATCTATTAATCCATGGGAATAATCAGTAAGGATAAGGTCACAGACCAGGGGAGATGAGACTATTGGTAAGTGATTATGGTCACTAACTATGAGTTAGTGAAGACATGGTTACTGATTCTTGGAGGCTGGGCTATTGATCTTTGGGGATAAGACCATTGATCTATGGAGATGAAGATAGGGAGCCTCTGGTCATTGCAAAAGGGGCACCAATCCCTGGGAGTTAGGCTATTGATCTAATGGGGTGGGGCATTTTTCCATGAGGATGGGCTTATTGGTTAATGTGCTGAAGGCTACAGATTTTAGAAGACCAAATTATTGATCTTTGGGGATGAAACCATGGTTCCATAGGAATGAGGCTACTGGTCTGTGGCAATGAGGCCACTGATGCATAGGGATGGGCTATTGACCTGTGGGTTTCGGATCATTGGCCCACAGAGGTGTGTGACTATTGGGCAGTGAGGATGGGTATTGATTTTAAGGAACTGGACTATTGAATGTTGGGATGGCTTTGATCCACAGAAGTTGAGTTATTAATCCACTTGGATGGAACTGTGGATCAATGGGGCTGAGTCTAATCGGAAGTTTAGTGCAGTGAGAGCATCTGGTCAGTGGTGAAGGTGACCAGAATCAGAGATGAGATTTTTGATCTGTGGGAAGAGTTATTGGTTGCTGGGATTGGGTTGTTGATCTCTAGAGGTGAAGCTACCGACTCATGGAAACGGGGATTTCGGTGAGAGGATCTCAAAGCCCTGAGGATCCATGAGGGTATGACTGCTAATCTATGGGCTATTCCCCTACAGAGCGTTGGGTCATTTGGTGGCAGGCATGGGACTGTGGGTTACTGGGTCTGAGGATATTGTCTTTGGAGATAGTTAGTTGACTTGTAGGGGAGGGGTCGCTGGTCAGAAATGGGGTAATTTGTTTGTGAAGTTGAACTATTGATCAGTGGGAATGGAGCTGTTGGTGTTTAGGAATTAACATATTGATCTTCAGGAATGAGGTCACTGAGATGGAGCGAACAGTCCATGTGGGCTGTTAGTGGGGATGAGACTATTCTCTTTGGAGATGAGGCCATTGATTCACGGATAGGGGGCCACTAATTAGTGGGAATGGGACTAATAGTCCATAGAGGTCGAGTCATTCCCTTGCGCGGAAGAGGTAGGGAAGGGGTATTTCTTGATGGAGAGTGAAGTTGAGACATGGATAGACCATTGAATAGAAGTCCAGAGAAGACTGCAGAGTCCAGCGAATCGTCTTCGACCTCCTGTAAACGCCCGCTGCTTGGGTTAGCTTCCCTAGCACCCCCTCCTTTCTACCAGCCCTGCCCCCACGACAGCCCTCACCTGTCTGCGGGGTAACCCAGGAACAGGTAGCCGGAGGCAAAGCCCAAGATGAAGAGGATCTGCTCCAGGATCACCTGCCAGCCCAGGTCACACACCAGATCCCACTGGGGATGTGAGAAGGGTGCAGCGGGCGTGAGGCCCCGCCCTCGCCGCTCTCTGCCCGCCCCCAGACCCGCGGCCCGCCTGGCCGCCTCACCTGGCCGATGGCGTTGGTGGTGAGCACAGGAAGGCCATTATAGTCCCAATCCTTGAGGCAATGGTTGAAGTCCGGCGGGGCGAAGCCGCTGCACGAGGGGTCGGTACTGGTGGCGACACGGCTGGCGGCGCTGGCTGCTAGGGCAGCGCTGGCGACGCTGACGCCGCTGGCATTGGGAGGCTGCTCCCAGCCAGAGGCATTAGGGGGGAAGGCCCCGTAGTGGCAATGCAGCGGGGGCGCCAGCGTGAAGATGGGGTCCGAGGCCATGCCCAGAGCCACGAAGAGCACCGGCAGGCAGCAGAGGCCGAGCTGCAGCTGCTGGCCGCCGCCCAGCGCCCCCACCTGGGCGAGCAGCGCCTCAAAGCTGAGGGGGCCTGGGGGCACGGCCAGCGACAGGCTGCTGCCCAGTCCGTCGCCGCCCGCGTCTCCCTCCCCCTCCCGCTCGCGCTCCCGCTCACCCTGCAGCTGCTCCGTGGGCACCGCATCTCCGAGGGTCCCGACCTGCTGTTGGGGGGCAGGGGGTGGCAGGAGAAGGGTGAAGCGGAGGAAACCGCAGAGCAAGGGCAGGGGGCAGGTGGGAGGGAGGGCTAGGAAGGCAGTCAGGGGCGAGGGATGCGCAGGAGGAAAATGCCAGACGCTCCGCGGGGGCGGGGGTGCTGGGAGAGGATGGCGTCGCCACCTGGGGCTCGGGCACTTACTCCGTTGGAGGTGGGGGTGATCTCTACAGTGTTGTCGATTTTGCCGCCGCCCCCGCCATTGGGCTCGGGGGTCCCGGTGGCCACCCGGGGAGCCAGCTTGCCGACCGCAGGGGCCCTGCCGGCCCGCGCCGAAAGGATGCGCTGTCCTCTGGCTCAGTTGCGCGCCGGCTGCCCGGACACAGACAGCTCGAAGAGATCCCGCTCTGCAGCTCTGCAGCCGCGGGCGCCTCCTTGGTCTCTGCGATCTCTGCGCTGCTTTCCCCTCCCCTTCCTCTAGACTCTCCTCCCCTTCCCACGTCAGCAGAACCTTCGGTCCAGACTCTTCGTCAGAGAGAGGAAGGGGGGCCAGGGCCCAGGGGAGGGAGGGAAGGGGGGCTCTGTCGTCTCTTTCCTGGGTCTGCGGGCCATTGCGGTAAAAAAGAAAAAAAGCTGAAGGATAGTAGCTAGTCCAGGCAGATGCCAGAGATTCTTCCTCTGCTTCCAATCATTTGCCATCATTCATTCATTCATTCATTCACCCATTCACTAATCAGTAAAATTTAAGTGTCCACTACGTTCCAGGACTTGCACTAGACTTTAAGGATAACAGGGTGGACAAGTTCCACTTTGGAGACCTTTACTCCAGGGAGACAGACATGTAAACTGGCTATTACAGTACAACTTATGCATATGGAAGACTGTCTTGGCCCTGTATCAGCCCTAGCTTCAGTCCTCTACAAGGAGACCACTTTCTTGGGTTTCATCACTCCCATCCTGTTTGAATCTCCATTTCTCAACAGCATTTGGCACTGTTGACCCCTCTTCCTCTAAACACTCTCTTCCTTTGCTGCTGAGTCTCTCTTGCTCCCCTTTTCTCCATTGCAGAAATCGTCTTCCAGCTCATGGCATTGGTGCTGAGCATGGGCAGGCCATTATCCTCCCGGTTCTTGAGGCAATGATTGAAGTCCAGCGGGGTGACGCAACTGCAGGAGGGGTCTGTATTGGTAGTGATGAGGCTGTGGTGCTGGCTTCTAGGGCCATTCCCGTCTGTATCATTTAGACACCATGGTTCAGTGTCTGGAATCCTCACAGACTTAGTCCTAGGCCCTCCTCTCATCTCACACTGTCTCCACTTTGGGATCTTACCTATGCCCACAGCTTCAATCACCACCCATACAAACAATACAAACCTGACGCCCAGACTGACATCTCCAGCTTCCACCTCTGTTCTGAGCTCCAGACCTATGAAGCCACCTCTTATTTGACCTTCACCTTGGATGACTCACAGGGACCTCAAACTCAATATGTTCAAGACGAAATTTTTGCTTTTCCCCCATAACTTGGTTGGCTTCCACTGCTTTTTTCTGCAGCGAATGGCACCCTCAACATCGCATTGTGGCCAAATGCTCAGGCAACAGCCTTTAGAGCTTTCTCTTCCTTATCCATGTTGAATTCTTTACAAAATTCTGCCCATTTTACTTCCTATATATTCTCAGACATCCCACATCTCTCCATCTCTACCATTATTAGTCAAGCTACCTGTTGCAAAGACCACTTTAGCTCCCTAATTCCTAACTGGTGTTCAGCGTCCGCTTTGTTTATACCTCCTTATCACCCATATGTCATTTATAGTCAGATAGAATGATCTTTTCAAAATACAGATCTGATCATGTATCTTTCCTGCTAACCAGCCTTCAGTGGTGTCTCCTCACTGTCAAAGTGAATATTAAAAATCTAGATACCTCATACATGGTTCTACATGCCTGGTCACATGCTGTCTGTAGTTCCATCTCACTTCTTTCCCCAAACTCTCTGCACTCCAGCCACAGACCTTCTTCTAGTTTTCCCAGCGCCACGAGGCCTTTGAACAAGCTGGTTCCTGCACCTAAAAAGCTTCTTAGTCACATTTTTCTCATCCTTCAGCTCTCAGCCTAAACATCTTTGCTACACAGGAGTCTTCCCTAACCTCTAGAATTGCTACTCAAAGTGTGGTTCATGGACCAGCAGCATTCCTGGGAGCTTGTTAGAAATGCAGAATCCAAGCCTCACCCAGACCCTTGAATCATAATCTGTATTTTATCCAGATCTCCAGGCATAGGTATTATACATTAAAGGTAGAGACACACATCTCTAAGAGATTTGTTACCTGATAGGTACTTTATTCTCTAATCCTAGGTAAGGGCTAGAAAGCAGTGTTCTATCATTGTCAGCCGGGAAATCTTTCCCCCTTCTCTCCACTGAACCACACTTTTAACTTGTCTCTGTTCAGAAATTTTCCACGTATGGGAAACTCTTTTCTTCAGACAGGGTCTCACTGTCTTACCCAGGATGGAGTGCAGTGGCTTGATCACAGCTCACTGCAGTCTCCACCTCCCCAGCTCAAGCAATCCTCCTACCTCAGCCTCCTGAATAGCTGGGACTACATGCATGTGCCACCACACTTGGCTAATTTTTTGATGTTTTGTTGAGACAGGGTCTCACTGTGTGGCCCAGGCTGGCCTCATACTCCTGAGTTCAAGCCGTACTCCGGCCTCAGCCTCCCGAAGTGCTGGGATTACAGGTGCGAGTCACTGCATCCCTCCGAAACATTTCTTTGCTAATGCATCAAGCAGCCTCCTACCACTTCCCCTCTCCCAACTCATTTCAGCATCTCTTCAGGTTTTACTATGGTGCTGTATAGCCAATATTCCTTGGGGATTTATCGTCTGCATCCTTGTGTCTGTCCTGGAATAATAATCACTTAATTTATACATTGTGGGGCTGTTCACATGCATTTTCTTGTTAGGTCCTCACAATAACCCTGTAAGACCATTATGATCATGCTAATATTGAAGATGAAACCAGGACTTCAGAGGGACTGGCATGATTTACCCATGGATGCACAACTACATGGCAGATCAGAGACTTGAATTGAAACCTCTAATTCCAGGCTAATCTCTTGAAATTCTGTTTGGAAGATGATGGACGATAGACTTCAACACATGGGGGTGAATTTTGTTGGCCCCAGAATCTGACAGTGCATTTTTCTTTGAGAGTGAGATGAGAAAGGAACCTAAAGGGGAGGAGGCAAATGTGCAGGGGTGCCAACAGACTATGATTATGCCCCCAATCCAGTCATCATGCCATGGTAATATCTTGGGAAAGCAGAACTGAAGCAATTGATTTGTAGCTTGGATGTTTTCCCTTGTGGTAAATGGCTAGCGTGATCTATCTAAGCCACGGTCTTATCAATTTCACCAAAGTCCTGAAGACTGACCTTTCAACACATTGCATTCATCTGCAACCGCGGATCCTCCAGAAAATGGTTTGTCCAGAAGGATGATGAGCAGGTCATCCTGAGATGATCTACCTGGGAAGCCAAGTGAAAAGGCCTATACCCTCTTGGTGTCACCTAAGGAAGAGGGTGCCTAGACTGGCCAGCAGCAGTCTCCAGTTGGCCAGGGCTATCCTGTGGTGCAAAGCTGAGGCTGGGCCTTTAGTTGGGGTGGCCTCTCCAGGATGGCACATTTCAAGGCCCTTATGTGGTCAGCTTCTCTCCACATTGACACCTCTCTAATGACATCATATGACAATGAAGTCTTGGAGGAAGGCCCTCAGGTCAGTCATCGGCATCTGCCTTCTGGGAACACTAGTCCTCAGACTCTCCTCCTCTGGGTTTCAGTTCAGATCTCACCTCCCAACCATCCTGTCTAAAGTCTCCTTCACTGCCCTCTCCCCTCATCTAGTTAGTTTCTTCAAATCATCCTGCCGACGTCCATCACCAGCAAATGTCGAATCTATGGCAGGTTTATGTTTTTATTTATGTATTTTAACTGACTTATTTGTGTATCCCACTAGAACAATACATTCACAATATACTTGCAGAACTGTGCCTGGCGCGTCATGGGAGCAGAGAACTTGTCCAGTGAATAGTTGTTGAAGAAAGGAGTAAAATCTCCCCCAAACCCTAAAGGCATCCTTTTCGTAGTGTGTGTCCCATAGGTATGGCTGCTGAGCACCAGGGCTGCTCACCATGCTCCCAAGAAGCAGAGTCAGGGAGGCAGACAGCAGGGTTTATTAAGGTGCACACCCATGTCTGAGCCCCAGCTCTCTCCGCCTTCTGTGGGGAGAAGCCCTCCGGTCTTTCCGAGAACCTTCAAACTCTGGACAGTTTATGTCTTGCCCGCACTCTCAGCTAACAGTGCAGTGCTGATCTTCTAGAGCCAAGAAACAGGAAAAGAGAGAGGCTCTATGTGGCCCCAGGTTTCTGCCACCTGACTTTTCACAGCCAGTCTTCCAGAGGTGGGTGGTAGTGCAGTGACCTCCACCCTAGGCTGAGGAGAGAAGGATCTAGTTCCTCACTGCCCCAGAGCCTAGTACCTGCTCCTGACAAAGCAGGGAATAATATTAAATATAAATAATTTACACAAAATGGCTTGTACAAAAAGCTGTAGGTTAGGGGGAGAAGACACCTCTGTGAGAGGTTGAGATGAGCAGAAAGGGCAGGAAAGGGGAAAGATACCCCCATTTCTCCTAGTCCCTTAACAAAGCCTTCCAGCCACCCAAGGCCTAAAGGGGGGCTTTGGCAGGCAGGGGAGGAGCAGAGCTGTGCCAAAGGACCTTCATGGAGCCAGGCTAGTGAGCAGGGTAGTGAATTGCAGGGCCTGCCCTGCCAGTTCTGTTACACACTGCACCATCTCTTGGATGGCAGGGCTGGATGGGTAGCCCAGGGCAGCTCCCTTGACAGCCAGCACAGTGGCCCGCAATGCCTGGCCCAGTGCTGTACCTGCAGCCCTGACCTGTGCTCTCAGAGGGGCAGAGGCTGCCAGCCGGCCCAGGGTGTCCCCAACAAACACCAGGCGATGAGCAGCCACCACCACCCTCTTGCTGTGGGGCACGAAAAGGCGCGGGGGCTGATTAGCCTGGGTACTGGACATCAGGGCTGCCACGGCTGCCTGCAGGGCTGAGTAGTGGCTCTGGCATTGCCCAGCATAGAAGTACAGGAGCTGCAGATCTCCGGTGGACACAACCAGTGGCTCCCCTGGGGACAGGGCCTCCTGAAGGGCAAGAGGAGTGGTCAGAGAGAACATTCTCATGAGTGCCATTTCCTCCCTCACTTCTTTTCTCCTTCCTCTCTTTCTTCCCAAGGGCGATCCTTTTAGCTCTTACCTCTGCCCATCGGAAAGTTTAGATTCTAGAGAGAGCAGCAGTGAAGTGCCCACACTTGATATCAGATAGATCTGGATTCAAACAACCTCAAACTTGATTTCGGACAAGGCTTTGAACTTGGTTTCCTTAACTCTAAAACAGGGAGTCTAGGACTGCACTGTCCAATATAAACATAATGTGAACCACATGTGAAATTTTAGATGTGTTAGTAGCCACATTAAAAGTGGTTAAAAAAAAAACAAAACCCTAATATATTTTATCTAACTCCAAATATAAAAATGTTATAATTTCAACATATAATCAACATGAAAATTATTGAGATTTTTCCCATACTGAGTCTGTAAAATCCAGGCTGCATTTTATATTTGCAGCATATTTCAATTTGAACTAGGCCTATCTTGAGTGCTCAATAGCCATATGTAGCTAGTGGCTACTGTACTAGATAGTGCAGTTCTAGTATGTACCTCATGAGGCTGCAGTGAAGGTCAATTGAGATAATATACAGAAAGGGCTTAGCAAAGTGCATTTCACACTGTGAGCACCAGATGAGTGTTAACTGTGGCTGTGATTAATACTAACACGTGCAGTGTGCCTAGCACAGGGTCTGGCACTTGGTAAATACCTGATAAATGGTAGCTATTGTGTTGCGACCATTCTACGCAGGGTTGAGGAAACCACCTCACTTTCTGAGGCCTGGAGAGATTAACTGACGGCTTCAAAGCCCCTGGCTTCTCAGTAGTGAAGCTGGGATTAGAAGCCAGGTCTCTTAGGAGCCCAGGAATTCACAGTTGGAAGGAGGCTCAGAAGTCCCCAGGCCCAGCTCTGACCCCACAACTCAGAAACTTTCTGCTCTCCTGGCTGCTTGATTTTCTGACTCCTCTCCAACACATTCTTTCCCCTCTTTCTGAATTCCTAACATCCTCTTCCAAGGTCCAGTTCCTTCCTGTAGATTTCTAACTTGCCTCCGCTCTGTCCCTGGTTCCTGTGAACTCTCACTCCATCCTAACCTATTTCCTTCCACGGTTGATGGCTCAGTTCTTCTCCCAAGTCCCCATTCCTCCCTCCCCTGTCCCCTTCTCTAGCACCATTCCCGCCAGGGTCACCTGCGGCGCCGGCATCCCCCTCTCGGGCAGTTCAGGATCCCCTGTGCAGGCCTGATCCGGGGGCCTAGATCCCTGAGCTTTGTCCATGCCCTGCAGGAGGGGATCAGGTCTCAGTGTCGGGGTGGGGGAGCAGGACGGGGTGGCCTCTGTGGCCTTTCTGCCCCTTCCCCGGACCCCCTTCCTTCCGAAGGACACTCCTGTTATCAGAGGTTGTAGTCCCTTGACTCCAGAGAGCTCTGGTGGCCCCAGGCTGGGTCTAGGAGGAACAGTGTGGCACTGGTACAAGTGTTGTGGCCAAGTACTGGGGTCCCAGGCTGCAGGGTAGAGGGAAGGGGGACAGAAGGGAGGCAGGGAGGCTCTGCCTCTGTGCCCTAGGTCTCCACACCCCTCCCCTTGGTCCCTCTGGGGTCCCTCCTGGTGGGGCTGCCAAGGGGCGCTCACCTTCAGGTGGACATAGTCATACTCCTCGGCCATCGGAATGCCCTCGTACTCATTGTGGTGTCCTGCTGGGTCATCCTCCATCTCCCTGCCCTCTGGATCCCCCTCGACCTTGGGGCCTCCATAACCAGGCAGGCGGGGTGGGGGTGGGGGCAGAGGCCGGTCCTGGATGCTGCCCTTCCGGCCTGGGGCAGGAGAGGGCACTGGGGAGGGGCTGGGGGCCTCAGGGACAGGCAGGGCAGGCAGAGGGCGGCGGGACAGGCTCTCAGCTGAGGGGAGCCGGGGCCTGTGTGGGGGTGGGGGGCTTCTGGCCAGAAGCTGGGCCAGGGTGTCCTGGTCATGGGAGGCCAAGGCTCCAGGGGGCTCTGGAGAAGGGGGAGCCTCTGGCCCCAGCAGAGGCACATCGTAGATCCCCTCATCAGTGCCCCCGCCCTCCCCGTCTGCCAGCAGTTCCTCGGGTGCTTCATACAAATTGAGTAAGGCTGACGCTCGTTTCAGGTTGGAGGGGGCAGCATAGATGGGGGGCCCCGGCTCCCGGCCTCCTTCCCACTCCAGATCTGGTTCCAGCTCTGCAGGTGGCTTTGGGGTCAGAGGCACATCATAGGGAGCATCATCCTCTCCAGGGGGCTGCGGGGCAACCCGGGTCAGAGGGTGGGAAAAGGAGGCAGGGCAGTCATAGGGGCCACTGGAGGGCACCCGGAGGGCGGTGGGGGGCACATCGTAGACCTGCGGAAAGGAGTGGTCAGTCATCTGTCAGCTCAGCGATGAACCCTCCCTTGGGGCCATTTGTCTCCCACCCAACATACACAGGGACCTCTAGCCCTCACCTCCAAGGCATCTCTGGGAGCAGCCAGCTGGGTCCCACTAGCTCTGGGGATTTTGTAGATGAGGTCAGGAGAGGGTGGGCAAGGTCCAGCTGGAGGTCCTGAGGTTGGACAGGGCCGAGCTGGGGGCGGCACCACATACACCTGAGGGATCAAATAGATGGGGGGTCAGGAGGAACGGAGGGGCCGGTGATCAGATAATGTCTGAGTGCGAGGAGCTTAGAGACCTTCTAACTCTCCCTGTATCGAGAGGGCCACAGCTCAGAAAGGTTGGTAGACAGGTTTCGTCCAGCGCAGAGCAGTGAAGAGCTGTGGCCTCAGGGCTCTTCCTGCCCACCTGCTGCAGGCCCTGGGTGGGGCTAGTTGGGGAGGAATGGGGCTCTTCTGGCTTGGGGTTGGGGAGGCTCCCACTCTCACCTCCTGGTCCTCATTGCTGTGATCTGGGGCTGGATATGGTGAGCCAGGCTGGGCTGGGGACGCAGGAGAGAGGCTGGGCTTGGGTGCTGGGCCAGCAGGCAAGAGCTTCACCCTGTTGGCGGGCACAATGCCCTGCTGGCCGTGTAGGGAGCAGAGGCACCAGCCGTCCAGTCCACCAGCGCCCTCTCTCTGCAGGACCCGTAGGACATCCCCTCGGCGGAAGGACAGCTCCTGGGGGGACTCAGCGGTGTTGTCATACAGTGCCCGGGCCAGCTGGGTCTGGTTGGGGAGGTGGGAGTGGGGAGAAGGGTCTTCAGACCCCTTTCAGGTCACGTCACCCCTGCTTAGAACCCTTCGGAGCTCCGCATTTCCCTCAAGCTAAAAAACCTGAACTCTGGATGCAGCTTTCTGCCTGGGCCCTAGCTTCTCTCCAGCTTCACCGCTTGCATTCTCCCTCTTCCTTTCAGTTCCTTCAACTAGACCAGCTCTCCTCAGAGAGGCCGATTCTTTACTCTTCTCCCCGCCCCATTCTCTGTTTGTCTCCACCTATTGTTTCCATCCTCGTACTTTATACTATTTGTCTATTTGCTTCTTTTGTATCGATTTCTTCCCTTATACTGTAAACCCTATGAACATAGGAACGGCTATATTTCTAGTCCTTGCAATAAGGCCTGACCTGGAATTGGTCATTACACATGTTGAATGAATGTCTTCCAAAACATGTGAAGCCCTGCTACAGTCTCTCATAGACCTTCTCTCTGTTCCCAAGTCATTATCCCTCACTAGCAAAAGGTTAGATTAAGCAGCCACAGAGACCTCTCATTCTGAGAGACTGGGAGAGGCCTAGTCCAGACAGTGTGCCTAGGCATAATAAGAAAGAAAACAGAAACAAAGCAATTGTTTTGCTCTCAGTCTGAGCAAATAAGTTTCTACCAGAAGAGGCTGAGGTTACCATGGAGAAAAGTGTGTATTCTTGTGTGTGTGTCACCACTGCCTGGGATCCTTCCAGCAGGCATCATCATTTAGCAATGGGCCCTTCCATTGCAGGACAGAGTGTGTCTTTGTGTGTGTGTGTGAAGGGGGTTGGCAGGCCAACCAAAAGGAAACATGTATCATTCTGTTTCCAGTCCTGTCTGGTGGGGGCTTATAAGCTTTTTCC